>NC_000005.10:16277123-17530548 GCF_000001405.40 Homo sapiens
CTCCTCACTTCTCAGACGGGGCGGCTGCCGGGCAGAGGGGCTCCTCACTTCTCAGACGGGGCGGTTGCCGGGCAGAGGTGCTCCTCACATCCCAGACGGGGCGGCGGGGCAGAGGCGCTCCCCACATCTCAGACGATGGGCGGCTGGGCAGAGACGCTCCTCACTTCCTAGATGTGATGGCGGCCGGGAAGAGGTGCTCCTCACTTCCTAGGTGGGATGGCGGCCGGGCGGAGACGTGCCTCACTTTCCAGACTGGGCAGCCAGGCAGAGGGGCTCCTCACATCCCAGATGATGGGCGGCCAGGCAGAGACGCTCCTCACTTCCCAGACGGGGTGGCGGCCGGGCAGAGGCTGCAATCTCAGCACTTTGGGAGGCCAAGGCAGGCGGCTGGGAGGTGGAGGTTGTAGCAAGCCGAGATCACGCCACTGCACTCCAGCCTGGGCACCATTGAGCACTGAGTGAACGAGACTCCGTCTGCAATCCCGGCACCTCGGGAGGCCAAGGCTGGCGGATCACTTGCGGTTAGGGGCTGGAGACCGGCCTGGCCAACACAGCAAAACCCTGTCTCCACCAAAACCAGTCAGGCGTGGCGGCGCGAGCCTGCAATCGCAGGCACTCGGCAGGCTGAGTCAGGAGAATCAGGCAGGGAAGTTGCAGTGAGCCGAGATGGCAGCAGTACAGTCCAGCTTTGGCTCAGCATGAGAGGGAGACCATGGAAAGAGAGGGAGAGGGAGACCGTGGGGAGAGGGAGAGGGAGAGGAGGGAGAGGGAGAGGGCGAGGGAGCCAGACCAGACACTTTTATAACGCCCCTCTCCCTCTATATATCATAATTAGCTTTAGTATTTTTAGTAATAATTACAAACTAAAATTATAAAAATGGCTCAAAATGAAAAACACAGTGAAATTTTTCTTTTATGGAATTTGTTTAAAAAATCATGCTAATAAAAATTAAAATAATAAAATATAAAATAAGTATTAGAGTTAAAAATAGAAAAACAGTCATTGTATTGGGTTGAATGGTGGCCTTTGAAAAGATATGTCCCATCTCTCACCCTAATAACACAGTCTTTCTAGATGTGATTAAGTGAAGGATCATGAGATAAGATCATCCTGGATTAACTGGGTGAACCCTAAAGCTAATGATTTGTCCTTATAAGAAGAGGAGAAAGACTCACAGAGGAGAACGCATGTGAGGATGGAAGCATAGATTTGATACAAACAGGAGACAGGGAAATACTGGGTAGAAGAGGGCCGGTCCCTGGCAAAGGCCCCACCCTCAACCTGGAAACCCATGGCCCTAAATGGGAACAGGCATTCCTGTTTTCGTGCCCAAATGTTGCCTCTTGGCCCACCGTGCCCAACTATCCTGTACCCATATAAATCCCAAACCCCAGGCTCTGTGAGCAGAAGAGCAGCAGAGTGGCAGAGTGGCAGACTGGTGCAGCAGAGAAGGAGAGAAGAGAAGAAGTGTCTGAACATTGAGAGAAGTTCAGCTGGGGACATTTGGAGAGGAGATCAGCTGTGGGACAGCCGGACTCCAGGGAAGATCATCTTCCCACTCCATCCCCTTTCCCATTCCCCATCCATCCCACTGACAGCCACCTCCACCACTCATTAAAATCCCTGCATTCACCATCCTTCAAGTCCATGTGGCCTGATTCTTCCTGGATGCCAAAGACCCAGGTACCAAGAGGGCGGGTGTTAACAGCTGTCACCCTGACTCTCCGTTGAGGTGGTTTAACACTTAACTATTCACAGATGGCAACTGCTAAAAGAGCATTAATTGTAACACACTCCTAGATGCTACTGTGGGGCTGGAGCCCAAAAATCTGCACCTGCCTGTCTGTGTGCTCCCCCTCCCATAAGGGGTTTGAGCACACAGTGGCCAAGCAAACAAGCCACATCCCTGTCTCAAGTCCCACTAGGGCATCAGGGAACTTTCCTGTTTCAGATTGATGTGTCTACAAGACAAAGAATGCCAAGGACTGCAGGCTGCCAACAGAGTCTGAGAGGGGCATGAGAGGAATCCTCTGTTAGCACCTTCAAAAGGACCTAACCCTGCCAACACCTTGATTTTGAGCTGTCGGTTTCCAGAAATGTAAGAGAAAATAATTTTGTTGTTTTAAGCCACTCAGTTTGTCATAGTTTGTTATGGCAGCCCTAGAAGACTAATACAGTAATGGACTGGTACTTTTAAATTATGAAGAAAGTATTTTTTTTGAAAAGGGCAAAAAAATGCCTATGTAGTGGTCTGTCACTGTGATGAATAATAACATAACAGTTTCTACATTTCCAGCCCTAACTTTGTGAATCTGTCAATTACTTAGTCAACATTGATCTTCACATATTCATGTTCAATGCACAATATAATCAAATTCGTTCATCTATTCACAATCATAGTTGATGGAATCACACTTTATTTTATTTTAGAAAAGCTTCTTGCACGTTAAGCTACAGACCTACAAATAGTTGCTTTTAAAAAATCTTAAATGCAAGAATAAGTTTGGTGGAGACACATAAAAGTCCTATTTCACAATAAATTCCTGAAATCACAATAGTATTTAAACAGGAAATTTTCCCTGACCCCTTCGCAGGACTTGCAAACAGTGTAGCTCGTTTACTCAGCCCACAGCTCTCAACCCCTCACAGGAGCAGGAGCACACGGGTGAGCAGGTACAGGGGCCCCGATGAGGCCTTCTGAGTGCCAGCAGAAGCAGAACTCTGTGCAGTCCCACAGCAGCATCTGGGGGGTACCCATGATCCCTGGAGACCCAGAGGGCTTGTGTGCTCTTTTAGCTTTGCTATCCGCGGACAGCTTAAGTTTTTAACAGCTCAGTACGACAGCCCTCTGTATCCCGAGCTCTTGTTCAGCATCCAGGAAGAATCAGGTCACATGAACCAATTGAAGATAGTAAATGTGGGGATTTTATTGCCAATGAAAGTGGCTCTCAGCAGGATGGAGAGCTGGAAAGGAGATGGAGTGGGAAGGTATTCTTCTTCTGGAGTTTGGCCATCCCCAGCAAAACTCATCCTCAGGTCCCACCATCAAGCAGTCCTTCTGAAATCAAGCTGCTTCTCTCCGATGTCTGCTTCTTCTCTTCTCTCCTTCTCTGCCGCTCCACTGTCAGTGGAGCCTGGGGTTTTTATAGGTACAGGATAGGGGGCAGGGCAGGCCAGGGTGGTTTTGGAAAAAGCAACATTTGAGAGGGAAAACGGGGATGTAAAGTTCTCACTTTGGGCTGCAGGTCCAGGCTTGAGGGTGGGGCCCTCACCAGGGGCTGCCCTCTTCTATCCAATATTTCCCTGCCTCCTGATGTAATCAGTATCCATGTCTTTTCTAACCTTTCTAGCAGCTTTCACATTTTTCCCTCTCCTCCTCCCCCAACATTGAAAACTTTTAAATACCAATAAAAATTCCAAGTTTACGTAGGAGGTAGAATTGAAGCAGCTCAAGTTTCATCCTGACAATTAGAGGACTATGCCTGGTTAGGGTAAATCTAGTGTTTTAATACAGGAATGTGTAGCATCAGAGGAGTGGAAGACACAAGCTGGCCCTGACAAGCACTCAAGCAATTCTGAAGCTTTAGAAATTTACTCCAAAAGCAATGAGAGTGGCCAAGTCTGTATGGGTTGCAGGCCAACTGAGTATCTGGGAGTTCAAATTAACTTCCAAGTAGAATGGATTTTTTATTAAAGAATATGGAATGTAAATGTGCCAATTTGAAGCTTACATATGTATTTTAAAAATTCAACAATTGCAGCAAATGTTTAGATCTGACACCAACAACACCGTTGAGGGGAGAAGTAGTTGACAATCACTGACGTGGTTTGTAATTACTGACACACAGTGATAATGAAGGGCAGGCCACCTCTTAGTCCAATTTTACTACTGTTTACAAATTCTCTGTAAACAATGCACCCCCTTATTGCCTGCTCCCAGAATAGAGCACACTTACCACTCTCCACCCTGCCTTCAGGACTCCACTGTCATGAAAGACAAGAGAAAGGAAAAGGAAGTTATATGAGTTTGCTAGGGCTACAGTAACAAAGAACCACAAACTGGGCGGCTTAAGTTCTGAGGCTCTGGGTAGAATCCTTTCTTGTCTTCTCCTAGTTTGTGACAGTGGCCGTCAATCCCTGGGGTTCCTGGGCTTGCAGGTGCATCACTCTAGTCTCTGCCTCTGTTACCACATGGTGTTCTCCATGTGGGTGCCTGTCTCTGTCCAAATTTTCCTCTTCTTATAAGGACACCAGTAATATTGGATTAGGGCCCACCCTAATGACCTCATCTTAACTTGATTATATCCGCAAATCTCTAGGTCCAAATAAGGTCACATTCACAGGTACCGGGGTTAGGACTTCAACCTATTTTTGGGGAGACACAATTCAACCCATTACAGAAGCTGACAATTTCTCAGTGCTTATTAACTGTGAAATATTTTGCATTTTTTTTTTTTTAGTGGCAGGATCCATTGGGGTCGCTCTGTGTTGACTTTACAGATGATTCATTTGAGATATTAGTTCCTTTTTAGTGGCAATTTACTGGAGCATGTATCCTTTCACTTTTTTATATCAAACAGATATTTTTGTAACAAACAAACAATAAAAACCTTGAATATCGATTTCACCAAGCCATTTGAAAAAGCGTTATGGAATTATGTCTCACTTATTAACATATTTGCTTTTTTCTGAAAGTTCTTCTTTTTTTAACTTCTATATTATTGGAAGTGCTTTCAAATTGTCAAAACCACTTTGCTTTATGTTAGTGTTCTAATTTTTTTAACCACATATATTTTACCCTTTTCTCTCTAAACTTTAATTTCTTGGCCAATTTCTAGTCTTTTTTTAAAAAAGAAAACCACCAATATTTGTCCTTTTTTTTTTTTTTACTTAATGAAATTTTTTCAACTATCTTTAACTTCTCCTTGAAGTCTTGGGTAATTTTTTTTTTCTCATTCAGTTTTTCAAAGGTTGGGAGGCCACTTAGCATAAACTATGAGATCTTGTAAAACTCTGAGCATCTATATTACCCTTTTCTTTCTTCCTCCTATTTTTTAACTATGAAACCCTTTTTCATTCTGTGATGAATTTAATGTAATATAGATATTTATTCCCCTCAATTTTTAAAAACCATTTATCCATTTTAGTTCTTATTTTCTTAACATTTTCACCAAACTCACAAAAGTGGTGGAAGGTTAGTAGGGCAAGAAAGCACAAGAGAAATGTAAACCTCTGAAAGGAGGCCAGCCCTTCAAAGGCCCCTCTTCCTACATTGTGTTCACATCCCTCAGAGGAGGGAAACTACTCCAGGTCACACAGCTAGTCACAGGCAAAACCGAAATTAGAGCCTAAGTCTGCCTAATCCCAAGATTCTTTCCATTACACTACACCCATTTTAAAGATGAGTCAATGAGCTCAGAGATGCCATCTATCACATCAAAATTGGCATAAGAAGAGATGGAAACCAGAGCAGAAGCCTTCACCAGTGCAGTCTCTACTACACCACATCCAGAGAAAACTGCCAGGGGTACAGGTACATGCTAGAGATACAGGAAGAAGAAGGCCAGCCTGGAAGAATACTGAGAAGGCTCTCAATAGGAGAAGCAACTTTCCCCTTCGTTACTGGCCACATCATCCTTGGGCACCATATGCAATGGGGCCAGTGCAATCACCTCTAGACTGAGACACCAGTTGCTCCCTCTTTTGGGAAAGGCTATCTAGTTCACTCTGCTGTAATGGTCCCAATGGAAATCAAACAGGAGAAAGAGAAATTATAGCTGCAATTTATACTCCTCTGGTATACTGTAGGGTAAATTATGGTTGCAATGAAGCTGTGATATCGTATGCTAATGTCCAAAATGAAAAAAACAAAAGGAAAAACAACGGGATTTTCAATGACAATGAAAAGTTAGCATAAGGATATGAAAAACTAGAGAAAAAATAACATTTATATAAAGACCTAAAAATAAATAAAAGCCAGAGCCCTGAAGAATACTTGCTTTCATGTAAATATCATGCCCTTTAATGCTACTGTCAACGTCAAAATATATTGCTATTGAAATGCCAGTGTGTGAACAATTGTATTTTCTGCTTTACGTGTTCCATACGGCAGTGAGAGGGGATGTTAGTCACTGTAACTAAGAGATCTGATGAGACTGGCACACATGGCTCATGAGAGGGGGCTTTAAAATGAGACTATATTATAATGAGACTCTATTATATGTTGTTTCAAATAAGTGATCTGTTTCTAGTATACGTTTATTTCAATTACTATATAATCTGTCAAGAAACTTTGATTGGCAATTTTAAACAAAGAACTATTATCAAACACATTAGTGAGGAACTGATTCCACTTTTCTTCCCAGTGGGAATCAATGTTTTTAAACTAAGAGCTCCTTTTTTTTTTTACAGTCACTAGTGCCTCATAGGAAGAGAAAATGTAGCTGAACTTTACAAACATAGCAATTTCATACATAATGCATTTTTGGAAGTGGGAATTGCTTTATATTCACAGAATAAAAGCAGAACTAAAAGACTAGAAATCTGTATCATTTCCTATTAAATAGAACTGGAAGGGGGAACTTAAACAGTAAATATTTTCATTAGGAAATTGCAAGGGAATCTTGGAAGTTGAGGGTGCAACTTTTGACTGCTCTGTGAGCTAACCAGGTTCATTGCAACAGCTGGAGGGGGAGAGTTAAGCTGAATATTTGTAAATGCAAAGGAAGCATCACATACACATAAAACACTAATTTTCATCAGTGGGTCCCCATGTGGTGTGTGTGTACGTGTAGAAAATTTATTATTATCATCACTATATATAACTCCAGTCAGTCTCAGCTAGTAAAGAACAGCTGTCTCCTATGAAACAATGTGCCTCTGAGGAGTCCCTAAGCAAGTCTCAGTGCAAGGCAAAGCAATCAAGACTGATTAAAAGGATAGCATTTAACAGCAGCAGAGGCAAAGCTGATGGGGGAGAAGGAGGGAGAAATCATTACACCCCAAATCATCCCAGCATCATCCATTGGTATTACCAAAGCCTGCAATCATACCAGTATCTGTTTACAGTCATGATCACTTATTTCAATGAGAAAATTTAAAAGGTATTTGTTATACCACATATCTGATTATGCAGGTACGAAATCATGTTGTGTTCCTAGTACACAAAGTGTGATGTTCATCATCGTGCATTTGTATGAAGTGCAACATAGCAGGTGCTAAGAACTCAGATTGTTGATGTCCTCCTTAAAGGCATTCCTCTGAGAGGTTACAGACTTACCTCAGTGATGCTCTCCAAACCTTTTTGAACCCTTCTTTGGGGGGAGTTTTTCAGTCATTCAAGAGTTTCTCTCTCTCTCTCTCTCACACACACAAACACACAAACACACCCCTACCTGTATATGAGAGCCAGTTGATTATGATGTGATTATTCTAGATATTTTTGTATAATTATTTTTCACCAAATGTATATTATCCAAGTTTATAATACACAACAGAATGATGCAAGCTCATTGTCATCATCCAATTGTAGTTCATCCTTTTTTCTGTGATAATAAACCTCCTGATATTTAGCTGGTATATAGTACATGACCACAGACAATAAGAATAAATTTCATTGCCTTCCATAGAGCTAGCTAGGACTAGTCTGCATTAGGCCATTTCCACACTGCTATAAAGATACTACCTGAGACTGGGTAATTTATAAAGAAAATAGGTTTAATTGACTGACCATATTGGTCAAGCTGGTCTCGAACTCCTGACGTTGTGATCTGCCTGCCTCAGCCTCCCAAAGTGCTGGGATTACAGGTGTGAGCCACTGCACCTGGACCCAAAAGGCACTTCTTACATGGTGGTGGCAAGAGAAAAATAAGAAAGAAGCAAAAGTGGAAACCCCTGATAAACCCATCATATCTCATGAGACTTATTCTCTATCATGAAAATAGCATGGGAAAGACCGGCCTCCATGATTCAATTACCTCCCCATGGCTCCCTCCCACAACACATGGGAATTCTGGGAGATACAATTCAAGCTGAGATTTGGGTGGGGACACTGCCATCCATAGCAAATAGTCTGTCAAACCAGAAGTTTATCAGGGACACAATTGAAAGGAAGTGGCCTTTCTGAGGTAGAAATAACCTTGGAATGGAAAGGTAAAAGTTTGCACTAGAGAAAACGACTTGGTGAGGAAGAGAGACAGCTGATCAGAAGCCAGAACACAAAGATGCGAGGGCAGTGGCTTGCACATGTAATCCCAGCTACTCAGGAGGCTGAAGTGGGAAGATGGCTTGAGCCCAGGAGTTTTCAAGGCTGCAGTGAGCTACGATGGCACCACTGCTCTCCAGCCTGGGCAATAGAGCAAGACCCTGTCTCAAAAAATGAACAAACAAACCATCACTACCAACAACAACAAACACAGAGATAGACTCAGAAAGTTGGCTGCAAACACCGCCAGGTCAGACTTTTCAGTATCCAGGAGGACCATTTCTAAGGCCACACAATGACGGTGCCAAAATTATGTCTGAGCAGGAGGGACAGTTAGACTTCAAACAGGGTCTAAGGCCCTCTCTGGAAAACAGTGCATACAAGGTAAGAGGAGTTTGTTTTTGTTATTTTGGAGTTTTTTTTTTTAAGTATTAATTTGTGGGTATCATGAAAACTTGGTTTAACTCCTAGATATTTTTGTTGTTGCTATTTATACATTTTTAGTGTGGAAACTTCCAAACATACACAAAAGTAGGGAAAATAATTTGATGCATATTTTGTTTCAGCAATTTTGTTTCAGCAATTTTGTTTCATCCATAATCACTACCATCACCCCAGAGCTCCAGATTATTTTAAAGCAAGTCTTAGGCAATCATGTAACATCACACTGAAATATTTCAGTGTGTCTGTCTCAAATATAAAAACTAGAAACTGACCAACATGGAGAAACCCCATCTCTACTAAAAATACAAAAAAAAAAAAAAATAGCCAGGTATGGTGGTGCATGCCTGTAATCCCAGCTACTCGGGAGGCTGAGGTAAGAGAATCACTTGAACCTGGAAGGAGGAGGTTGCTGTGAGCTGACATTGCGCCATTACACTCCAGCCTGGGCAACAAGAGTGAAACTCCACCAAAAAAAAAAAAAAAAAAAACTAGAAATAGCGACAGTTTGCCATTCCTTTGCCATTGAACAATTTTTCCTGCAACTAAATTTTCCCCTGTTGGTGTAATTTTTCCTTTTGGATGAGGTGAAATAGCCCAACCAAAAATGTAACTTTATTGTCTAAGAAATAGGGAATATCACTGGTCCATTGTTCTTTCAGGTCAGAAACTAAAGCATGGGCACTGTCACATTAAAAGCATTAACGAGTAGAATACAGAATTTTAGAATGAATTGAAGCAAAGAGTGATGCCTATGCCTATCTTACTTGCTAACCTTATGATTACAAGCTTCTGACTTATAGAATTGTAATTCTGTCAAATATGATTTGACATTTGAATTATGTGAAACTTTACAGTGATAATTTATGGTATTAAGGACCATTATGAGAAAAATATGTCTTAGAGTCATTCATTTATTCGTAATTACTTACTGAGCATCCATTATGTTCCAAGCATTGAGGTCTCATTCTATGTCCTAACATAGAGTAGGGGTCATGTCCTATCAATAAACAAAATAGATTAAGTCCATACATGTATCTAACTAAAATTTTGGAAGAGGATACTGAACATAAACAAGTAAACAAATAAATATAGAATGTAACCTTGGGTGCCAATAGGTGCTACAAGTCAAAATAAATCAAGACTAAAATAAAAAGACCAATGCTGGGGTGGCCATTTGTTTATTTGTTAACTAAGGTGGTCAGGAAGGTAACATTGGAGAGGAGACCTAAAAAAAATCTTTGAGAACAAGTGAGAAGGACTAGAAAGTATAAATCCCTGATCCAGAAGTAACCTTGGTACATGCAAATACCAGCAAGAAAATCAGTGTGGATGGACTGGAACAAGCAAAGGAGAAAAATAGTAAGTGATGGGGTCAGTGACATGGGTGGGGTTTACAGCCCATATTATAGTACTGGGATTTTATTTTATGTGTGATAGAAAGACATGGATTGGGTTGGAAGAAATCTGACTAGAGAGCTAAAGGGGGAAATGATAGGAATTGGGCTGGATTCATATATATTTTAGAGGTAGACACACATGCTTTGCTGAAGGATTAGAAATTAAATCTGAGGGAAAATAAGGAATCAGTCAAATTGCAGGGGTTTCTCTTTTTTTACATGAATCATTGAAGGAAGAGTGGTTTGGGGAAGATGGAATCAAAAGTTTGAACTGAAAAGGTTATGTTTGAGATAGGTTTCAGACCTCAAGGAGAAGATGTTGATGGGGGGTTGGACTTAAGAGTCTGGAGCTTTGGAGAGAGCTCAGAAAGAGGAAAAAATATTAGGAACATCACCACGTATAGGTATTCAAGAGATTTAATGGGATCAGCTAGAGAGAAGAGTTTTGAGAACTACGCCATGGGGAACTCCAAAATTAAGAGGAAAAAAAGAAATAATGGATCCATTAAGAAAGTGAAAAGGAAGCAGTCAATGCGGAGATAAGGAGAAAGTTGAATCATAGAAGGTGAATAAAGAAAGTGTCTCAAGAAGGGGTACAGTGGCAGTGTCAAAGGTGCCAAATGTTTGAGTAAAATGAGGATCTAGAATTTTGCATTGGCTCTGGCAAGATGAAAATCATTTGGTGACTTTAACAAGTGAATTTCCAGTGGGAATGGTGAGTGAATATGGGACAAAAGCCTAAATAGAGGAGACTAAAAAGGAAAGTGGAGGCAAAGAATTAGTGGTGGCAAATGCAGACAACTCCCTAAAGGAATTTTGCTTAAAAGGTAAGCAGAGAAGTGAAACAGTTGCTGGAGGAGATTCTGAGGTCTATGAAGCATTTTTGCTTTAACTTGTGATTCATTGTAGCCTTTCTGTATGCGGCTGAGATTGATCCAGTGGAGAGGTAGCAACTGTTATAATGCAGGAAAGAGAGGGGCAATAGCTGCAGGAGCAAGGTCCTTGAGTCAGTGAGACAGAATAGGATCCAAGCACAGGAAGAGAGGCTGGCCTGAGATAAAAGCAAGCTGTCTCCATCCTGTCAACAGGAGAACCAGCAGAGTAGCAGGATTTAGATGCCATTATACTGATAGATTTGCTGTAGCAAAATGAGGCTGTTCTCCTCTGATTGCTTCTATTTTCTAACTAAAATGAAGAGTTAGATAATCAGTTTGAGAAGAGAGGAGAACATGTCAACAGCTGTCTCAGAGAATGGGAGAAGCCATTGAATGGGTAAATGCAGTATATTTCAAGGCAATTCTGAATTCCCACTTGAGATTCTTGTGGTCATATGTTTTCTCTAGCCACAGTCAGCTGCTCTGGTGCAGGCGTACAGCAAATAGGTCAAGAGTTGGGTCTAACTAGAGATAGCGTTTTACTGGTCAAGTGCAAAGGAGAGGGGCAAGGGACAGGGTATTTGTAAAAGAGTTATTAGAATAGACAGAATATAGATAAAAAAGGAATAGCTAAAATGGTATATATAGCTGTATATATCTATAGAATGCTCTATAGATTGAGTAGATAGAGTGGAAAGAATAGAAAAAGTATGGACATTAGAAAGATAAAGGAGGTCTTCATTGAGTATAAAAATTCTTGGGCTGGGAGTTCGAGGGTTAACAAGTGAGGAAATTAGGAGGTAAGTCCAGGTACAGCCCCTTCAAGTCAGGATGATGATGGTGTTCACTTAACAGTTATAACAAGACGTAGTGTATGACCATTCTCCAGAGCTGAGCTACGCAATATTGTGACTACCAGCTTCATGTGGCTCTTGAGAACTGAAATATGGCTAGTTCAAACTGAGATACACTGCAAATGTAAGATACACATTCAGTTTCAAAGACTTGCTACAAAAATTTAAAGTGTATCATAGTAGCTGCAGAGAAACAGGTAAATACTCATATTTAACAACAAAAAAAGTTTCTGATGAACATATACAGAATGATGTAATTAA
The DNA here is from genome assembly GCF_000001405.40 of Homo sapiens. Taxonomy (NCBI): domain Eukaryota; kingdom Metazoa; phylum Chordata; class Mammalia; order Primates; family Hominidae; genus Homo; species Homo sapiens. The sequence goes on from NC_000005.10 coordinate 16,289,159, forward strand.
TATAAAGTTTTAAAATTGCAAAGCAACTATAAATTGTTTATGGATACATACATAGTAATAAAAGTATAATAATATACAGGGGTATGATTAAAAGCAAATTTAGGAAAGAAAACTGGACAGTGAGTAAGGATCAGGAAAATGAGGAGAAGTACAGGATCTACCATATCAATTAGGGTCTATTTCTTAGGGGAAAACAAACACAAAGGAAAACGTCAGCAAACATGGAAAAATAGTATGATTTGACATACTGATTGGGAAGAATCTAAATGCTTGTTATATTACAACTTATACTTTTTAATTGTTTGAAATATGTTATTGTTGGGGGGGAAGAAGATAATCAGTGAGACTTTTTTGAGTCAACAGAATCAGATACTTTCACATTTCTAGCAACTTTTTGTCCTTGCTGGATAAATTCTGTAAAATCAATAACACCAATAGCAATAAAATAAGTCAATATTTTCCTCACTTGCTATTAGTTAAGTGTATTTTCGGATTTCAGATATATTGGAATTCTATAGTATCGATTTTGACATCTTTTTCTTCAAGTTATTTTGGGAGCATCCTGGTCAGATACTGTTTTCTTGCAGAAGGTCATTACAAATAAAGACATTCAATATTAAAAAAAATTAACGATGACAACCAACATCATTTTGCAGAAACTTTCCTTAACTTCAATTAGTCTTTCAAACTGAGTCTATTCTACTAGATTCTTAAATGTTTTACATTTCATGTCTATCTGAGTCAAATGTGACCCCATCAAGGCTTTCAGTGGAACTGCTGGTGGTTAAACTACTTACTTATTCATTTAATAGTCAACAAATATTTGCTGAGAAACTACTATGCATCAGGCAGGAAACAGAATAGACAAAAATAGTAAACAAACAAATCTTCTGCCTTCACTAAGATTACAATCTAGTAGATGTCAGACAATAAATTTTTAAAAGTAAGTAAGATATAAAGTAGTTTACATTGTGATTAGTCCATGGAGATTAAAAGAGAAAGACAGCAAAAAAAGAAAAACTGGGATCTACGAGGGACACTATATTTGAGTAGAGTGGCCACAGGAGACATTTCAGATAAAGTGCTATTTGAGCAATAAACTGAGAAGAGCTGAGGAACCAAGCTATGTGTTTTTCCGGAAGAAATGCATTTCAGACAGAGAGGATTCCAGTGCAAACCCCCTAATGAAGGAGCACGCCTAGGATGTTCCACGGAGAGCAAAGGAACCATTGTGGCAGGAGCAGAGGGGGATGAAGTCTAAGCATGACAGACACTTAGGGCTGAGTGAGGCACTCATCTGAGCACAAACTCTAAGCAAAAAGGGCTAATATTCAGAATCTACAATAAACTCAAACAAATTTACAAGAAAAAAACAAACAACCCCATCAAAAAGTGGGCGAAGGATATGAACAGACACTTCTCAAAAGAAGACATTTATGCAGCCAAAAGACACATGAAAAAATGCTCATCATCACTGGCCATCAGAGAAATGCAAATCAAAACCACAATGAGACAGCATCTCACACCAGTTAGAATGGCGATCATTAAGAAGTCAGGAAACAACAGGTGCTGGAGAGGATGTGGAGAAATAGGAAGACTTTTACACTGTTGGTGGGACTGTAAACTAGTTCAACCATTGTGGAAGTCAGTGTGGCGATTCCTCAGGGATCTAGAACTAGAAATACCATTTGACCCAGCAATCCCATTACTGAGTATATATCCAAAGGATTATAAGTCATGTTGCTATAAAGACACATGCACACGTTATGTTTATTGCGGCACTATTCACAATAGCAAACAGTTGGAACCAGCCCAAGTGTCCAACAATGATAGACTGGATTAAGAAAATGTGGCACATATACACCATGGAATACTATGCAGCCATAAAAAATAATGAGTTCATGTCCTTCGTAGGGACATGAATGAAGCTGGAAACCCTCATTCTCAGCAAACTATTGCAAGGACAGAAAACCAAACACCGCATGTTCTCACTCATAGGTGGGAATTGAACAATGAGAACACATGGACACAGGAAGGGGAACATCACACACCAGGGCCTGTTGTGGGGTGGGGGTAGTGGGGAGGGATAGCATTAGGAGATATACCTAATGTTAAGTGACGAGTTAATGGGTGCAGCACACCAACATGGCACATGTATACATATGTAACTAACCTGCACGTTGTGCACATGTACCCTAAAACTTAAAGTATAATGGAAAAAAAAAGAAAAACTCAGGAAAAAACATAAGTAATACCCTATGGCAATATGTTTACAATTCAAACAATTGTAAAACAGCCAGGATAGACAAAATACCAAAATTTCAAATGAAAACACATTTAGTATCTGACCTACATTACTAATTTTTTCCTTTTGCTTCAGGATCCACTGTGGGTCCCTGCCACTGATTCTGATCTGTCTTTATTTACATTTTTGACACTTGGTTCATCATAATTTTTTTGCATTAATTTTGTTTTTAAAAATATCACAGTGAAATATTTATGCTGATTCATGGGGATTTGGTGCTGACTTTAATTTTACACTTGAAGCTAGTGTTTCCCTTGTCTCACCCTAGTTCCAGCCTTTCTGTCATTTTGCAATTTAACAAACACCTTTCCTGCCTTTTATAAAAATGGACTTTATTTTTAGAACTGTTTTAGATGTATGCAAAAATGAAAAAGAGTAGAGGACTTTTGCATGCACCACACTCAGTTTCTTTTTATTATTAACATCTTACATTAGTATGGTAGGTTTGTTACAATTAATGGTCCAATATTGATACATTATTATTAACTGAAGTTCATACTTTATTCAGATTTCCCCAGTTTTAACCTCTTGTTCCTCTCCTGTTCAAGAATACATCATCGCCTGTAGCAATCACATCTTCTTAAACGCCCCTTGGCTGTGGCTATTTGTCAGACTTTCCTTATTTTTGATGACCTTGACAGTTTTGAGAACTTAACAGATATTTTGTAGACCTCTCCATTATTGGGATTTGTCTGATATTTTTCTCATAATAAGACTGGGATTCTTGTTTTGGGAGAGGAAGACCACAGAGGTAAAGTGCCATTTTTATCACATCACATACCATCAGCATGATTTTCTACTATTGATATTGACCTTGATTACCAGATCTGTCCATAGTAAATTTGCTCTTTTACCCCATTCCTCTCCATACTGAACTTTCCATACTGGAAGGAAGTCACTATTTGTAGCCTACACCTGAGGAATGGGAAGCTATGCTATCCCTCCTTGAAGGTGAAGTATCCGTGTAAATTATTTGGAATTCTTCTGCACAGATTTGTCTCTTCTCCCCCATTTGTTAATTTACTTCATCACTTTATTTTTACCCGTATGGACTCACAGATACTTATTTTATACTTTGAATTACAATCAAATATTGTTTTATTTATTTTATTGCTCAAAATGTCCCAGTTTTGGCCACTAGGAACTCTTTCAGTTGGTTCCTGTGCATCTTTGACATATCCTATTATTGTGGGGTTTTGGTGGGGAAGGGAGGAAAGTTCCTTGATTTCTAACGCTGCCAGATGCTCTAGCTTCATCTCGTATATTTCTTGCCCCAGTCCTAGAATCAGCCAGTTCTCCAAAGCCTTGGTTCCTTTCGTTTGAGAATGTTATTAGAAACCAAGTTCTGGCTGCTGGCTATGCTCGTTGCCACTGGGATGCTTCTTGCTTTTTGAAAATCAAAGGTGACAGCAAAAAAAAAAAAAAAAAAAGGAAGAAGTTCTGATTATAACATTACTTTATCCCTGCAGACTTTAACTGATATGTCCAATTTTTATCCTTAGTTTAATAAAATTTTTATGTAATTTAATATTAATTCTTTGCTGTTTGAGTAGTTACTTTCACGAGGACAAAGGAAAAGCATTCTCTTAAATTCAGTAGACTGACCAGCCACTGGGCCAAGTGCTGCACTCTCAAATGTAAGTGGTGGTGACTTTGAAAAATACTCTGCCTTGTATCTTTAAATGACAAGGAAAATTCCATGTCATTATTCTTAAGAAATACTACATTCAACAAAACCAAGGCATGCCATAGAGACAGGTCCTTATATGACCTGCTGATTATATAAGGGGCCTATTTTCTCTTTCTCCTTTCCTTCCTTCCTTAGTTTCCTTCTTCCTTTCTTCCTGTTGAAAAATGGCACGGGGACAAATGTTTTCACCTCCCCCAAACCAAACCCAATTGCAGCCAGTTTCCCTCAGTCTCTCTATAATCCCTTAACTTTGAGAGGTTTTAAAATCTGAGATTCCCATGTGGCCAATTGCTATTCTTGCTCCATTTATGTAAATAATCAGGCCCAACTTCAATGAAACTAAACTTATTGTACAAACAAATGGTCTTATTTTGATTATCTTTGGTAAAATTTGGATAACTGTAGAGATAATTTATGTCTCAAATAAACTATAGTATACCTGTTATTAGACTGTAATCCTTCATTGTTTTGGGGTTTTTATTATTAACTTAGAATCTGGACTGAATTCTGAATTCCTCCAGGTTCTTCTGATTCAATTACCCCACTGTGATCTTTTGATTTGTTTAAGTGTTACCTTCAGGCCAGATTATGGCTCAGCATCATTATCCAAACTGGGGTTTTGTGTCATCCTACTGCTGTTATTTTTACTCTGCATGATCCTTTTTAAACTTTGCACCCTTTGCCTGTCTAAGTTCTGCAGAAGTACAACATTTAATAGGATAATGCTGGTGCAACATTTCAAAATGATAACCAACACCCATGAAGCTGAAAAAATTGAACAATATACTCCAGGCAGAATTAGCCTGTGAGACACTCTGTAATCCTCCTTCTTGTCTTGGCTAAAAAGGTTTTGACACTGGTTTCTAGTCACCAATCACGTTCCTCCAACATAGGACCAAACCAACTGGGACAGGTCCATCCCAGCACCAAGGGACAATCAAAACCTAACTGCAGGTTGATTGACCAGCAGTGCGTTCAGAGAAAGATCTTGATCAAAAGGGGAAAATGTGAGAGTTGTCAGTACCAAAATGAAGCCATTTATGTTAAAACCAAACTAAATGGGGCCAGGAAGTGATGAAAAGAGAGTCTTCACACATATTTGCCTGATTACAAGAACTATCACAAGAACTTTTTGAAAACTACAACCTTGCACAAAGAACACTTCTGTGAGGACATCTGCCTGGCAACTGCCTGTTGAACCTTGTACTGGCACCACCCTCGTTATTAATCCTTGCAGCCAAAGACAACTGTTTTAAAACAACTGGTGTAACCTTTCACATTTTGCCTTTAAAATGTTCCCTTTGCCTCAATCTCTCCAGATATGCCTATGATCTGTTATAGCATGTGTATCCTGGATTATAATCCCTTTCTCATGCCCAATTATACTCACGTTTTTGGAAAGCCATTCTTTCTATTGTTATTTTAGTTTGGAAGTTGCCTGTGAAATGTGAGGAAGAAGGCCTAAGTTCATGTCATGTCTCTGTTTTGAACCATTCAAAAATTTGTATCACACTCAGAATAAAATCTAAACTCCTTATCATGGCCTGTAAGACCAACCATAACATAGCCTTTCCCTACCTTTTTAATTCATCTCCCACCACTATGCCCTAGCCAGTAAGCCAGTGTCACTGGGTTTCTCATTCTCCCTCAAACATAGTATGTTTGTTCCAAACTCTCCCCTTGACATTTGCTGTCTTCTCTCTGTGAAATACTCTCACTTCAGATATTCACAAGACTGACTCAAATCATCAGGGTTTGCCCCAGTGAGGTCTTCCTTGGCCACCCTATGCCAATTGCCTTTCCCTTTGATTCTGATGTCCTTACCCTGCCTTTTTGTCTTACTGCCACTTGGTACGATACGAAATGATATTTATCTGTTCATTTGTAGCTTATCTGTTTTTGTTGCTAGAATATAAGTTCAATGAGGACAAGGATTTAGTCTGTCTTCTTTTTTGAGTCTGCAGTGTTTAGAACAGTGACCAGCACCTTGGAGGTATTTGATAAATGTCTATTCATTGTACAACATAATGAGGCTAAACAGGTAGACTGGTCCTGCTTTCTTAGGAAAACTGGATACACATCTTCACAGTTTTTGAAATGGCTTATATTATCAGTGTTAATTCAACCTCCATCCCAGGCTTGATACACACACACACACACACACACACACACATATACACACACACACACCACAAATATACATATATATGTGTATACACATGTAATACAGATACACACATACATATATTCCATTTCTCTTCTAATTTTCTTTGGTAAGGACCATTCTTAGATGACACATACTGTGGGAAAATTCTTCAAGTATGGTAGGGGTAGAGAGAAGGTGGAGTCCTCTGAGCTTTTTGTCAAAGATCTGCTCCTCTCTTGTGTTCCCTTACCATGTGTTTCTTTAAGGGATGCATGTTGGAATCTACGTCTCCAAGAGTTAGATATTGTCATAAGTTTTCTGCATTTGTCAATAGTTGCAGGGCTTCCCCTTTCCTTATTAAAGACCCCTATCATCATTAACAATCAACTCTGCGCATGAGTTATCACATCTATAGTTTGGGGGGAACTAGAGTGTCCTACAGACAAAGTTTTGCAGCTCTTGAACAGAAGAATTTAATTTAATTTTATGAAATGGCCTTATTTGTACATCTGGTAGAATTTGGCTGTGAATCCATCTGGTCCTGGGCTTTTATTGGTTGGTTGGCTATTTATTACTGATTCAATTTCAGAGCTTGTTATTGGTCTATTCAGGGATTCAGTTTCTCTCTGGTTCAGTCTTGGGATGGTGTATATACCCAGGAATTTATCCATTTCTTCTAGATTTCCTAGTTTGTGTGCATGGAAGTGTTCATAATATTCTCTGACAGTTATTTATATTTCTGTAGGGTCAATGATTATATCTCGTTTGTCATTTCTAGTTGTGTTTATTTGGATTTTCTCTCTTTTCTTCTTTATTACTCTAGTTAGAGTTCTATCTATTTTAATTTTTTGAAAAAAAAAACAACTGAATGCATCTATCTTTTGAATGGTTTTTCATTTCTCAGTCTCCTTCAGTTCAGCTATGATTTGGGTTATTCCTTGTCTTCTGCTAGCTTTGGGGTTGGTTCGCTCTTGGTTTCTCTAGTTCTTTTAGTTGTGATGTTAGGTGGTTAAATTGAGGTCTTTCTAACCTTTTGATGTGGGTGTTTAGTGCTATATATTTCCCTCTTAACACTGCCTAAGCTGTGTTCCAGAGATTCTGGTATGTTATATCCTTGTTCTCATTAATTTCAAAGAACTTCTTGATTTCTGCCTTAATTTCATTATTTATCCAAAAGTCACTCAGGAGCAGGTTATTTAATTTCCATGTAATTGTATGGTTGGAGTGATTTTCTTAGTCTTGATTTCTAATTTTACTGTGCTGTGTGCTGTGGTCTGAAAGAGTGGTTGGTATTATTTCAGTTCTTTTGCATTTGCTGAGGATTGTTTTATGTTCAATTGTGTGGTCCATTTTAGAGTATGTGCCTTGTGGCAATGAGAAAAATGTATATTCCATTGGTGTTGGGTGGAAAGTTCTGTAGATGTCTATTGGGTTCATGTGATTCAGTGCTGAGTTCAGTTCCTGAATATCTTTGTTAATTTTCTACCTTGCTAATCTGTCTAACACTGTCAGTGGAGTGTTGAAGTTTCCCACTATTATTGCATGGGAGTCTAAGTCTTTTTGCAGGTCTCTAAAAGCTTATTTTATGAATCTGGATGTTCCTGTGTTGGGTGCATATATATTTAGGATAGTTAGATCTTCGTGTTGAATTGAACCCTTTACCATTATGTAATGCCCTTGTTTTTTTCTCATCTTTGTTAATCTAAAGTCTATTTTGTCTGAAATTAGGATTGCAACCCCGTTTTCTTCTGTTTTTTATTTGCTTGGTAGATTTCTTTCTATCCCTTTATTTTGGGTGTCATTGCATGTGAAGTGGGTCTCTTGAAAACAGCATATCACTGGGTCTTGGCCCTTTATCCACCTTGTCACTCTGTGACTTTTAATTGGGGCATTTGGCACATTTATATTCAAGGTTAGTATTGATATGTGTGGGTTTTATTCTGTTGTCATGATGGTAGCTGGTTATTATTCAGACTTGTTTGTGCGGTTGCTTTATAGTGTCACTGGTCTGTGTACTTAAGCACGTTTTTGCAGTGGCTGGTACCAGTCTTCCCTTTCCATTCTTTGAGGCCAGCATCATCTTCATAACAAAATCTGGCAGAGACACAACATAGAAAGAAAACTTCAGGCCAATATGACTGATGAACACTGATGCAAAAAAATCCTCGGAAAAACACTTGTAAACCAAATCCAGCATCACATGAAAGAGCTAATCCACCGTGATCAAGTAGGCTTCATCTCCAGGATTCAAGTTTGGTTAAACACACACAAATCAATAAATGTGATTCATCACATAAACAGAACTAAAGACAAAAGCTACATGATTATCTCAATAGATGCAGAAAGGCTTTCAACAAAATTCAACACCCCATCATAATAAAAACTCTCAATAAACTAGGAAATGAAGGGACACAGCTCAAAACAATAAGAGCCATCTATGACAAACACACAGTCAACATCATACTGAATGGGCAAAAGCTGGAAACATTTTCCTTGAAAACCAGCACCAGACAAGGATGCCCTTTCTCAACACTTCTGTTCAACATAGTATTAGAAATCGTGGCTGGAGCAATTAGGCAACAGAAATAAAGCCCATCCAAATAGGAAGGGAGGAAGTCAAACTACCCATTTTCAGATGATGTATTCTATATCTAGAAAACCCCATAGCTCCTTAAGATGATAAACAACTTCAGCAATGTCTGAGGATACAAAGTCAATGTACAAAAATCACTAGCACTCTTATACACCAACAAGAGTCAAGCCAGGAATGCAATCCTATTCACAATTGCCATAAAATAATAAAATACCTAGGAATATAGCTAACCAGGGAGGTGAAAGATCTCTGCACTGAGAGCTGCAAAACACTGCTCCAAGATATCAGAAGTGATACAAACAAATAGAAAAGCATTCCATGCTCATGGATATGAAGAATCAATATCATTAAATGGCGATACTACCCAAAGCAATTTATAGATTCAATGCTATTCCTATCAAGCTACCAGTGATATTCTTCACAGAACTACAAAAAAAACTATCTTAAGATTCATATGGAACCAAAAACAGAGACAGAATAACCAAGGAAATTTTAAGCAAAAAGAAAAAAGCTGGAGGCATCATGCTATTCAACTTCAAACTATATGCTACTGAGCTACAGTAACCAAAACAGCATGGTGCTGGGACAAAAACAGACACAAAGACCAATGAAACAGAATAGACAGCCCAGAAATAAGACCACACACCTACAACCATCTGATCTTCCACAAAGCTGACAAAAACAAGCAATGGGGAAGGACTCCCTATTCAATAGTGGTGGGATAACTGGGTAGCTATATGCACAAAACTGAAGCTGGACCCCTTCCTCACACCATATACAAAAAATCAACTCAAGGTGGATTAAAAATTTAAATGTAAAATCCCAAACCACAAAATCCTTGGAAGACAATATAGGCGATACCATTCTGGACATAAGAACAGCAAAGATTTCATGTCAAAGACACCAAAAGCAATTGCAACAAAAGCAAAAATGGGATATAATTAAACTAAAGAGCTTCTAAACAACAGAAAAAACTACTAACGGAATAAACAGACAACCTACAGAATGGGAGAAAATTCTGCAAACTATACACACGGGAGAGGTCTACTATCCAGCATGTATAAGAAACTTAAACAAATTTAAAAGAAAAAAATAAACAACCCCATTAAAAAGTAGGCAAAGGACATGAACATACATTTTGCAAAAGAAGACATACATGTGACAAACAAGCATATGAAGAAAGCTCAACATCACTGATCATTAGAGAAATGCAAATCCAAACCACAATGAGATACCATGTCACACCAGTCAGAATGGCAAAAGTCAAAAAATAACAGATACTGGCATGGTTGTAGAGAAAAAGGAACACTTATATACTGTTGGTGAGAATGTAAATTATTCCAGCCATTGTGGAAAGCAGTGTGGTGATTCCTCCAAGTGCTAAAAACAGAACTACCATTTGACCCAGCAATCCTGTTACTGGGTACATATCCAAAGGAATATAAATCATTATATCATAAAGACACCGAATGTGTATGTTTATTGTAGCACTAGTCACAGTAGCAAAAACACAGAATCAACCTAAACGCCCATCAGTGGTAGGCTGGATAAAGAAAATATGGTACATATACACTATGGAATACTATGCAGCCATAAAAAGAACAAGATCATGTCCTTTGCAGGAACATGGATGGAGCTGGAGGCACTTTTCCTTAGCAAATGAACACAGGAACAGACAATCAGATATGGAACAGACAACCAGATACTGCATGTTGTCACTTATAAGTGGGAGCTAAATGATGAGAACACATGGACACATAGAGGGAAACAACAGACACTCAGGCCTACCTGAGGGCGGAGGTTGGGAGGAGAGAGAAGATCAGGAAAAATAACTAATGGCTACTAGGCTTAATAACTAGGTGATGAAATAATATGTACAACAAACCCCCATGACACAAATTTAGCTATGTAACAAGCCTGCACATATACCCCTGAACTTAAATAAAAGTTATAAAAATAGAAAAAACCTATTTTTGTTCTTTCTCTTTTCTTTCCTTTCCTTCTTTCCTTCCTTCCTTTCTTCCTAATGAAAAATGGCATAGAAAGTCTCCAGAATGCTAGAATCCTACACTGGAAAACACAATAAAAGTTAGGAAATGTAATCAAAATGACTAGAGTTGGTTCCTAAAACAGGGAAATTTGCTTTCACATAATCACCTTTGGGGAGTGTTTTTTGTTTTGTTCAAAATCTACAAACTACAAATGAAAAATCTTACAGAGTAAATATGTTCACCAATAGAATTCCTGATGCTTCATAAATATTCAAAGAGTATTGCATTTGATGACATGCCAGAGTTGAACAATACACTACCGAATCTGATATTCTGTTGATTAGAAGAAATATGCTTTGCCTGCTTCTTGTGGGAAGGTGAAAACGTCTGTGTTTGCACTTGGCCAATTATAGAAGTCTATATGGGAAAAACATAAATACTAAGTCATTTCCCCCAGACAATTCTATTACATGGTTGAAAGCATGTGGTTGCTTTCCCCTATCATCAATTTTACCTCTACTGAAGCCTGGTTCTTTTCCTACTATCTTCAAAGTGAGAAGGAAGAATGTGCCCCATTTCATTCACATGCAAATTAAGAATCAAAGAATAAAAAACATTTTTTCCCAAGTTCAGAGTGATCAACTCTCTTTGGCAATTACACAGGTTACTACAATGAGAAAATCTAGGGACACAATGAAGCTTCATTACTCCCCATACTTACTCTGATCCCTTCTTAGCAGCTTACATCTCTGCATTAATTCATAGCTAATAGAGGTCAGAGTCAGGGTTAATAGCCCACAGCTCAACATTCATTAAGTCATTCACTGATCATTATAACATCCTGAAAAAGCTTTGTGTTGAAGTTTTAATAGCAGCAGTATATGGAGACTTGCTGTTCTCAAATACTAATAATGTTCTTTTATCACAGTAAAGAAGTGTGTGCATCCAACAACTTATGTTAATCTTGATTACCAATTCTGCCCTCTTAGAGTGAATTCAAAAATAAATTTTTAAGGAAACTTTCAGAAAGATGATTTTATCTATCAGAATTCTCATAATCATCAGAACACAAAAGCAAACATCACAACCTTTGGGATCAATAAGTGTTCTGGCTGCTGATAGAACCCTGTATAGGGAGCTGCCCCAGACTTGGCTTGGAAGATTCCTCTGATCAAAGCACTTTATTCCAGTCCATTCAGCAGACTTTAATTGAGCACCTATGATGGAACCACCCTGGATTTGGGACATAGTAACAAACAAAATAGATATGATTTTGTGGAGTCTACATTCTAGACATCTGGAAAAATTCCCTGGCCCACATGAAACTGTACAATCTGGAGGCTGGTCAAAGGAATCATGTAAGGTCTATATGCATCGTCAAGGATGGGCCTCAGACACATGCCGGCATTTTGTATGTATAGCTACTTGTATAACTTTAGGAGTATAGAATAATACTATAGATTGTCTCTTAATACATACATAGGTTTGTAAATATATTTTAAAAGGACTGGAGGCTTCATATTTAACAATGGTTATCTCCAAGTTGGGATGGGAAGTAGGAGGGATGTAGGAGTCAGGGAGGTCAAAGGAGCCTATGTGCTGGGCTCCAAACTATTTATTGCAATGTTCTGGGACATAATCAGTACTACATTTGTCACGTTCCTGCCAAAAATAAATAACTTGAATCTAATCACAAGGAAACAACAACAAAAACAAATTGAGTAATATTCTACAAAATACTGACATGCACTCTTAAAAACTGCCAAGGTCATAAAAGACAAAGGGTTGCTGAGGAACTGACTAAGGAGAAACGACAGCTAAAAAGCAATGCACGACCCTGGATTGGATTCTGAGTCAGAAACAAAAAGTTACAAAAGACATTATTGGGACTATTAGAAAATGTTAAACGGACAGTGACTTAAACAACAGTATTGCATCAGTGATTTTGGTAGTTGGAGCATCCTTGCTCATAGGGAATACCCATGAAGTGTCTAGTAGTAAACTAAAACTTTAACTTACCCTCCAGTGGTTCAATGGTTCAGAAAATAATTGAACAGAAAGAGGGAGAAAGATTTTAAGTAGAGCAGACTGCAAGCTAGAAATTCATGTAAGAGTTGATGCTAGTCAGAAATCCATTAGGCTGGCCAGGTAAGCTGAAAACCCATGCAGGATTTTTATGTTACAGCCGTGAAGAAGAATTTCTTCTTCTCTGGGAATTCTCAATTTTTACTCTTAAGGTCTTCAACTGTTTTGATGAGACCACCCACAGTATGGAGAGTAATCTACTTTACTTAAATTAAAATGATTGTAAATGTTAGTCACATCTACAAAATACCTTCCTAGCAACATCGAGACTAATGTTTGACCAAACAAGTAGGCATCATAGCCTAGCCAGGCTGACAATAACATTAACCAACACACGCAACTAAGGTGACGATTGCACTGATCTTTAAGCTCAAGAACACAGGAAGGAAAACACTTGAGAAGGACATGAGTTCAGGTTCAGACATGCTGAGTCGGAAATGTCTGTGAAACAGCCAAAATACCTGTAAAGGAAGCAATTGATATATGGCTGTTGCAGATCACAGAGGTGTTGTTGGATTGTGCCAGCAGGAGGGAAAAGTTCTTCAAAGGAAGTTGAGTTTGCAATTTCAAACACTAGAGAAAAAGAGAATGTTCTCATCAAATTTGCCAATCTGGAGGTCAATCATGAAACTGGTAAAGATGTTGACATGAAAGCTGAATAGGAATTGAGAAACTCTACTCTTTAACCATCCCTGACAGCTCACTTGTCTCCTGGAATACCTGATGCAGCAAAATAATAATGACATGACAATAATTCAGACAACTTTTTGGAGTCGTTATCTGGAGTCCCAGAAACACTCAGAGGAAGGGGCTGAGCTACAAAAAGGACATTATACTCTACTACTACAACATCCTGTGTGCCCTCGGACAAGCCACTTAACCATTCTAATCTCTAGTCTCTTTTTCTATAAAATAGAAATAGGCTGGGCGCGGTGGCTCACGTCTGTAATCCCAGCACTTTGGGAGGCCAAGGTGGGCGGATCACCTGAGGTCAGGAGCTCGAGACCCGCCTGGCCAACATGGTGAAACCCCATCTCTGCTAAAAATACAAAAATTAGCTAGGCATGGTGGTGGGCACCTGTAATACCAGCTACTTGGGAGGCTGAGGCAGGAGAATCACTTGAACCTGGGAGGCAGAGGTTGCAGTGAGCTGAGACCATGCCATTGCACTCTAGCCTGGGCAACAAGAGTGAAATTCTGTCCCAAAAAAAAAAAAAAGAGAGAGAAAGAAAATAAAATAATAATTATACTTGGCTTAAAAATAGCACAAGGATTAAATTATATTTACATACGTAAAAGTAATAGTAAATTAGAAACAGAGATGCAAGTATTAGTAGTTGTTATAAGATATTATTCCTAGCAGCCCGGCATGGTGGCTCACACCTGCAATCCCAGCACTTTGGGAGGCTGAGGTGGGCGGATCATGAGGTTAGGAGATTGAGACCATCTTGGCTAACATGGTGAAACCCCGTCTCCACTAAAAATACAAAAAATTAGCCGGGCGTGGTGGTGGGCGCCTGTAGTCCCAGCTACTCGGGAGGCTGAGGCAGGAGAATGGCGTGAACCCGGGAGGCAGAGCTTGCAGTGAGCCGAGATCGCGCCACTGCACTCCAGCCTGGGTGACAGAGCCAGACTCTGTCTCAAAAAAAAAAAAAGAAGATGTTACTCCTATTAAACACTTACACAATAAGGACCTTAACTTCTAAGAATTTGGACAACTTTTATTGAAAGTCTACGTTACAGCCTATTATAGAAAACTATTTAGATTTGTTTCCTAGTTTTATAAATCATAGACATAGATATCAGAAAACTGAACCTTGGAAAACATTTTTAAATATCTAAGTGTTATTTCCCATTTTTAATGCACTAAAAGCCATGTGGGAAGCCGTTCTTCTTTTCATAGTTATGAATTCAGAACTACGGTAGAAAAATTTAAACATGAAGCTGTACTGGTATTCTTAGCTAATTAGGGTCAGCTGTCTTTTCAATAATTTGAACCTTTTGTTATCTAGGCAAAAATGCAGCCAAGTTTTCATGAGACAAAATTAAAGACTATCCATTTTTGTTGATAATTGTCATCAATTATTTTTTCCCACTGAAGCAAGTTACTGTGAATTTATTAGAAAAGAAAAAAAAAGTTCAAAAACTTGGTGGCTGACAAGCATGGCTTCTGCTTTCTGAGGACAAACCACAGATAGGCTCTAAGGATAGACCAGAGAAATGGCAGGCTGGTCCCTTCCTGTGTCAATGTTTACAATGGGACGACATTTGTACTCTGATTCCTGACACGAATAATGTACATTTTTAGTACTTACCAAAGATCTCAGTGGTATCATTTGTGTCCCATTATATAGGTGAGATTTATTCATAAAGTGTTTATTGAGCATTTACTATGTGCCAGGCATTGTCATGGGGAATACAGCAGTGAACTACACAAACTCCCTGCCCCCATGCAGCTCCTATGGAATCAACACACATTCAATGCCTGTGAGATACTTAGCTCTCTGCTAGACTTCAGGAATACCAGAATGAGCAAGGATGTCAAGAGCTTGCAAATTAGATGGGGGAAACATGAACCGTCTGTATGTAAGAACTGGCCAGCATAGGGTGTTAGGTAAGGCGATTCCAAAGGTTGAGTGAGAGGCATGTGATAATAGCACTTCTCTTTTTAAAAATATGGAAAGGAGAGCTTTATTTCTCATAAAGGGTTGCAGCCAGCAGGGTGACCATTCTGACAGGCTGGGAAGTGTAGTTCCTGGCCAGAAGCTGGAAACAGACACTTGGAGGGAGGGCAAAATGAAACGGGAATTTATGCTGAACCCAGTGGCTGAATGTACATACTCCATCAGCTATAGGAGAAGTCATGGATACTTATGAAAGGAGAAAGACACACATGCCCAATTGAGTTGCATGCCTCTCCCTGGGACCCATGTTTAAAAAATGACAACGTTAACATGATCCAAGGGTGAAGCTTTCAGCCTTCTGATGTCAAAATGTGAAGTAGAGGACTTGAAAGCCCTCACTGCACATCGTCGGTAGACTGGCCAGACCCACTTTGTGGTCGGTGATCTCTCATCAGGAAGGAATGCTGGTAAATTGTGCCAAAACTGGAAAGAGAGGAGCAGCACCAGGCAGTTGCTTGATATCAGCGGTGCAGCCTTTTGAAAGGGATGGTTTCTGTTTAGCCCTTGGGGAAGAAAGCCTAATGGTTATTGAAGGAGGTGATAAAGCTAGGCATGCCCAACCTTCTATCCCATGAAGACCCGAGAACAGCACCTATCTTTATCAAGGAAAGTTCCAGAAAGAGAAAGTTTTTGTCTTAGTTTAAGCTTCAAGTCAAATTAAGACGTGAAAAATCAAAATATGAGTAGAATTCAGCCAGGAAAGAGAAAACATTGTTAAGAACACTTTTGTGGGAAGTTCCACAGACAAGAGAGAGCATCAAATAGTTATGAAAACAAAACACATTCATGAACGTAGAGCTGAGGACGTGCAGGTGTATTTGGAAAGCAAAGCAAGAAATCCTCCTGGAGGTCTGGGGAATATGCAGTTGCTTGTGAGCAGGGCCTCTCATTTGAGAGAAGTCAAAGCCAGTTCAATCTGTTTGTCCCTTAGGCTACCAGGACATTAAAAAATAAAGAAATGTCAAAAGAGGATTATAATAATTATATATTTTAAATGTTTGCACTTAAATGAATGCTTCAACACAAGTATATAAACTTCAATGGCTGTGGAAGTAATCTTTTTAGAAATAAAGACATCTAAACATGAGGTCTTTTATTAATATGAGACCACCTCCCCCAAAACACTGCATGCAAACACACACACACACACATACACCCACTGCCCATACAACACCCATGTATGAAGCCTTCCTTGGAAGGAATGATAAGAATGGGGGACTTTATCATAAGAACTTTGGAAATGTTTGGAAAGAATTGAATCAAGGAAGTAAGATAATTCCATTTGCATTTTATAAATTATAGAAAATCGACTAAAGGGAGGCAGGATTGGGGACAGAAGACAAGATGAAAGCTGTTGCCATCATTTGCATGAGACATGGGAGTGGTCTGGACCAGCACAGAGGCCCTGGCACCAGCTTTGCATTAGAGAACTATTTGGATGGTAAAATCAGCCAGACCTGATAACCAATTGAATAAGGGAAGTGAGGGAGACACAGAAATTTGTTTGCCAATCAAAATAGTCAAGCTGCTTTCAGCTTATAAAAATAACATCATTTCAATAGCATCTTCACTTCCTAGAATGGTTTTATATCCATATAACCTCCACTGATTTTAAATCATTAATAATTATAATGTAATGAAGTGATTCATTTTTAAAGTAGCTTGAAGAAATGTGTTGGCTACAAAAACTTCATGGATCTTTTTCCACTTTCTAGCATTTCTATGAAGCTGCCATTTTGAGAAGTATTTTGATATTTGTGACCTAATTTTAAAATGTTAGTCCCTCCTACATGTGAATGAGATGTAAATAGCTGAACATAAATTCAGACATCATTCAAGCATGCTCTTAACATTAAAAAGTTATTGACAGCAATCATCATAGATGAATGACATATTTATAAATATCATTCAAAAATATTAGCAAAGCACTAAGTTTTATTTCCTCAAGATTCACTAATGCTTCTGTCTTTATTAAATTTGAAAAATAAATTTCTATGAAGGATCACAGCAAACCGTTTTGCCATAAATATCTTTAGAGAAAGGCCACATTCTTCCATAGAGATACGTCACAGCTAAAGGATATATTCAAAGGTTAAATTTCAGAACCCTAGACCAGGTTTGATTCATGCTGTTTTATAATTGCATGGCCCCTGGCTACCTCAGTTGGTTAGGACACCATATTAATGAGGCCAGTGGCAAAAGTTCAAATCCCTAGGCAGGAAACTTGTTTTTCTCTGCTTGTGGTGATAGCTGTAATATTTATCCCAAGTCAGGCCTCAGAAATGTGTGTCAACCGTCACAATGTCAAGAGAGAGTGCAAATGGCTTAATGAAAATCTGTCCTTTCTATTACAAAAACATCTCAAAGCACACACACAACTAATGGGGGGAGATAATGGTGTCACCTTCAAATACAGAGTAGAATATTCCTCATATTACTACAACAAACAAAGTTCCTGCCAGAAGCAAGTCATAAATGTCACCAAGAATGATGATCTTCAATTAGATTCCACATGAATAATTTCTTCATTTTTCATCTTTGACCAAACAGCACTAAATTTGCCACTAAGTGAAAACTACGTGAAATGTGCATTTACCTGCTTCCTCCCTGTCTCTCAAAATTGTTATGAGAATGAATCAGATAGTATCTTGGAGGCATTTTAAAATATAAAATATTAATCCAAATTATCCCCTTCTGACTCAGTAGGGAAGTAGATATATTCAGTTTTCACAATACAAAAGCAATGGGCAACATGCAATTCGGCCTCAAACAACAGGCAATTCAGAAAGGGATAACAGAATTTCAAGCCCACTATTGGAGTGGAACAATTGTTTGAATGAGTTAAGTGATCAACTGTTAGCATAATGTAGACAGAGACATTAGTAGTACTGACAGAATCATCCCTAGATGTTCAGTTTAGCAATATTCACTTTTGAGTAAAATCCAGAAGATGGTCAGCCCACATTGAAACCTATCTAGAAGGTTCAATGGCTTTATTAAAAAAAAGTCTCACTGGAACACATCAAAAGTCCCTCTTGTGATGTAGGGGCTGAAAGAAGTTCTGCAAGAGATACCTGACCAGCTAGCGAAGTGGCTCTGGAGGTGGGGCTTTATGTAAAGAAAGAAAAACAGAGGACAGGAATTACACAGGTCCAGGGTCTGGCCTTCAGATTTTTTGTTGGCTGAATCCAAAAGCCAAAGTTCAAGAAGTCACCCTTGAATTGTCCTTTTCACACATGTTTAATCATTCACTCTAATTATTCTTCTCACCCATGTCTCTACTTCTTAAATGTTACTCAAATCCATTCATTTCACTCTAGCCCCTGCTTTCTGTTCTTCTAACACCCCATATCTTTTGTTACTCCTGGAATGCTAAAAAGAATCCGTGAAGGAAACTGAAATCTACACAGAGGTTTTTTGTATTTTTTAAAGAACCTCAAAACCATCAAATTCACAGGAACATTTAAGAATCAGAATGGTGATGACTTATTTGTTATCTTGCACCAGGAGAATGATCCACATCCCTCATTTGCTTAGGAAATTCTCTCCTAGTAGGCAAGCCTGCTGAGAAACCAAGAGGTTATTTCATAAACACAGAGTTCAACTAAAAAGTGTTGGAAGTCTTAGGGGCCACTTCCACCAAGTCAGAGTAATCGTATGCTTTGTAGTCCTCCTTTCTAACTGAAGGAGCCATGAAGGTGAGCCATGGAGGTGGGGTGGCAGGAGATTGATCTGACCCACATATAGATAAAGAGGTGAATAATGTTGTCCGGCACTGTTCCTCAATGCTCAATCCTTCGCGGAAGGATATTTGTTTACAGGCAATGCATTAGCCTCAGTCCCCTCTTCCGCAAAGCAAGAGAATAAGCTATGGATTCTCTAAAGTCTTTTAGATAGGCATCCTTTCCAAAGTAGTAGAAGCTAAAAGTTGAATAAAAATCAAGAGCTTTGCCATTAAATAATTTATTAATATATTTCTCTAGACAACCAGAATGAAAAGTCCTGTCACCAGAAGTCTCATGATAGAATTTCTTTCTGTGCTTTTCTGATTATACTCTGGGAAGGTGAGCATGAGTATCTTAGTTGGCTTAATTAGAAGTGAGAGTGTCAAGAGGCAACATACATTATTCTTTCTTTTAGGTTTGAGCACTAATTATAACATATAGCTTTTCTAGAAAATTTGGAAACAATTTTCCCTACATGTTTATAATGACAACTTTTTCCTTTCTTCTGAATATCCCAAACTGAAATACCACCTGGTATAGAAAAAAAGTTGGCCTTATTTGCTATAGGGGAAAGTGAATAGCATTTTATTTATTAAAACAATCAGAGATCTAGAATGATAAAGGAAAATGCTCCCCTTTGTTATATGGGAAGATAAATTTGGTAATAGCATTCTATAAAACAGCAGTCCCCAACCTTTTCAGCACCAGGGACCAGTTTTGTGGAAAACAATTTTTCCATGGACCAGGGGTCAGAGGGATAGCTTCAGGATAACTCAGGCACATTAAATTTATTCTGTACTTTATTGTTTTATTATTACATTGTGATATACAATGAAATAATTATACAACTCACCATAATGTAGAATCAGTGGGAGCCCTGAGCTTGTTTTCCTGTAACTAGACAGTCCCATAAGGGGATGATGGGAGACAGTGACAGATCACCAGGCATTAGATTCTCATAAGGAGCACACAACCTAGATCCCTCGCATGCACAGTTCACAATAGGGTTTGTGCTCCTGTGAGAATCTCATGCTGCTGCTGATCTGATAGGAGGCAGAGCTCAGGCGGTAATGCAAGTGATGCAGGGAGGCTGTAAATACAGATGAAGCTTCACTCACTCACTGGCCACTCACCTCCTACTTTCAGTCTGGTTCCTAACAGGCCATGAACTGATGATACCAGTCTGTAGCCCGGGGGCAGGGGACCTCTGTTCTAGAACACTAGACTCCTGTAATACATATTAGATCTTTCTTCCTTCTGCCCCTGCCATGTCAATAACAAAGGCTGATCTTGGAATGGAACCAGACAAAGGAAACCTACCTGGAGTGCTGTAAAGGAAGAAATTTAATTATTATAAAGCTGGAGAGATTTCAATTGGGCATAAGGAGAAATTCATCATCATTGCTATAATACAATATGGGAATAGGCCAATCAGAGCTCATGCAGTTTCTATCCTTGGAAATTCTCTTTAAAAGTTAAAAAAAAAAAAACACTCTGCCTGGGGTCCTTTGTTCATTCATCCATTCATTCATTCATTCCCTTTATAGGAATGACTGATTTACTCAATAACAGATTGCCTAAATATGTACAAAGCATACTTCTCAGTCACAAGATAGGAATCATAATCATGTGGTCTCCTTAGGTTTGTAACATTTCTCAAATGTTATGAAGTGCTCATGCATACAAATATGGAAAGATTGGCTAAGAGAAGATTTTCGAAAGAAATATTTTTTAAGCAAAGACAGACTAATCCTGTTGCTGATAATCATACGTGGCTCTTTGTAATAAATAACATTTCTGAGAAATGAGTGTAGGCTGTGCTGTGTAATTTACTTCAGAAGGGGAAATGACCTCTGAGGCAGTGACCTTCCATCACCAAAGTTATCCAAAATTTGGATGACCATCTGTCAAATAGGTGCTCATATTTTGTTTGAAGGGAATATCTACCTCTAAAGGGTGTTTTCAATGAAAACAAAACAATCAAATTGTTGCGTAGCAATCTTAATTGGGGACACTCTAAAAGATAGACAATGTCAGGGCCATTGAATGCATGAATGCACACACACAGGGCCACACTCACACCACTCACACTCACACACACACTCACACACTCTCTCTCTCTCTCACACACACACACACACCCCAGAAAAGAATTAAGCTTGATCTGAAAGTACTAGTTTGCTTCCTACTTTTAAAGTTAGGGAAACTCATGCCTAATTCATGTGTAGACACCTTAACGAGGAGATTCAGGAGAACAAGTGGGGTGGTTATTTGACAACCTACATGGCACAGGCACTGGCTAATCAGAACGGGTTGGAGCAAGATCTCAGTACCCCTTGCTGTGACAAATGTTGACCCTTATTTGCTAGATCCGGGGATATCCACGGGTGCCTGAGAGCCAAAAAAAAAAAAAAAAAACTGGGCACAAGACAACTTACAGGACTTTGGGGACAATGGCTATCTATCAACTGGTTCAGAAATATTTTCTAATTTTAAAAAGCAACACTACCATAATTGAAGACTATGGGTAGGCTATCAGTCCTGGAAGCAACTACTAATGTGAATCCAAATACCACCACTGCCACCACACTAATCCTCTTTCCTGACAGTGAGTTTGAACGGAAAGAAGGAAAAGGGACAATCTCTTTTGACTTCTCCAGGTTCTTCCTTCTCTTCTGTGTGACATATTAATAAATGGGGATACAACAGGCAGGGCCCCACAACATGGCAGGGAAGATGGGCTGGAAGTTCTCATACAAACAGAGACTTCAATGACTCCATTCAAACAAAAGAAACCCCCACAGTTTGTTTTGGAAATGGTGATGTTTTATCTTACTTTGTACAGTAATGCCTATGATAATTGGCATTGTAATAGAAGCTGGAAAAATAGCCTAACTTAGAGGTTAAAGGAAGTACAAATTAGGAGTTGGAGAGAAGGGCCAACTTTTTGTGTTAAGACCAGCACAATTCCAAGTGTCATTGTCCATCTAGAAAAAGGTAAGAAAGAAAAAGTTCCACACAATACAGTCACTAGGTTGGGTGGGAACAAAAGTACATGAGAATGAGATGATGTTGGCAATTTTTGTGTAGCTACTACACCTGTCACTCTAGCTTCACCCATTCACTCATCTATTCAGAATATATTGAACCCCTTCCATTTAACTCTTTAACTGCACTTGCAGAAGTCTTCTGTAAGCTGAAAAGCACCATATTGACGCTTGTTTTTGTTACTACAGGCAATTGATTCCCCTGTGAGGCAAGAATCATGTTATAGCCTTTGATAAAACTAATTCTAATTATACAAGTAACAATAAATCCATTCCTCTTTTAAAAAAGAAAAAAATTAAACATTAAAGAAAAAGTGGAATGACTATATGATTTATTATCCAAACTGGGACACTCTTAAGAATGAACGGAAGGATATTAATAGTTATACCAGGACATCGGGTATAAACTGAGACAGACAGGCCAGACAAATTGGGACATTGTGTTACAACTCCTCTTGAGAACACCATGCCTCCAAAGTCTGGTTCTTCTGACCTTTCCAAAGGTAATTACTGTTACTATTTAAGAAGGGTGACAATTTGAGAGCATTTAAATTTCACAGGGTGCTTGACAGAAATCCAGAGAACTTTTTGTAGAGTCAAGAGAGATAAAATTGGAGAAGAAAAACACAAGTAAAAGTCCTTCCCAGAATGTGACCCATCTTCAGCTCACAGTTTTTCCTAGGAGATTACTTCTCTGAGGCTCACTCCCACACTTCTCACTTCGAGGCCCTTCCTTCTAGCAAATTGTAGTTCCCCTTACAAAGGTCTAGCTCTCCTCATTTGGCTTTACGAGATATTGGCAAAAGAGATTCACCCTTCTATGGGCAGTCTCTCAGAAACCTCTCTAATCAATACATTTTGTGTTTTGCATGGTCTTGATAGACTATTATTTCTACTTTTTGAAATAAGCCACTCAAGATAGTTCTCCACCAAGATTGTATTTTAATTGTAATTGATGCAGAGATTCACTTAAATTTGGGAAAGAAAATTATTCCTAACTCTTTATGTTCTCACGAGAGCAGAGAATATGCATCAACACCTCAGAAGGAAAATTATTGAGGAAAACTGCCCTCCACCCTTCACTCGTTGCTCCTACAGGGAGGAGAAAATAGCTGGTGGATGAAATCAGAAGATGAGAAGGAAGCAATGCCAGGTTCAGCCCCCTCAGAGATGAGGTCCCCTTCTGCAAATCAGACATTCTGATCAGCTAAGGAAAGAAGCTCACCTGTGATTGTTCAGCTGAATCTGGGACAGCTGGAGTAAGTCTTTTGAATTCAGGAGGAATTCAGTCCACATTTAAAACCATGTTTTCCCATCAGCTTTATCAATAATAAAGCCAGCTTTCCTTTTATTCCCCATCTGTCTTCTTTAGCCCATCTCTCTACTGGCTCCAACATCTGAACAGAAAGATGAGTGTCATTTATTGAAGCTCCACATGTAGCTCGGATTGATGAGGTTTCATAAAAACTCTTCTTTGTTGGCAATTACCATGTGAAGGGGAGGCAGTGGAGGATTCTGATTCACGTATACTGTTTTTCTTGATCCCTTGGTGACTAATAGCACACACATTTGCATGCAGTTCTCAGGGTCAATTGTGAGGCCCGGGATTACAGGATGGAGATTCTTCTATTTACAGCAGATAGCCATAGAGAGTAGAAACTTGTAATCCTGCATTTATTAGCATCACACACCACTACAGTGGTTCCTAACATTTTCAGAGCCATAGACTACTTTGATTATCATGAAGATACAGAAACTCATCACAGAAAGATGCACCTATTACGATATTCAAAAAGTTTGACATCCAATCTTACCAGGTTCCCAGTTTCCTCGAAATAAATGATCAACAAATCCTGCATCTTGTTCAGATGAGTGCATGACCCAACAGCCTCACCTCGAGCTGGTTGGCAGGAAAGAACAGAATCTGGACCCTTAAGTAGGAAGAGCTCATTAGAGACAAATTCTAATTTTAGACTAAGGAAATAGACCTCTAACAAAGTTGTTTAAGGTTGTGATGTGCAAATCCCTTTAAGCTCCTTAGGATTGTTAATATTTTAAGTGCATAAGGCCCATTTTCCCTCATGCAGAAACCCCGGAAGTCTTTCCATCCCAAAGCTGTACCTCCTTTGTACTCATTTACAATATATGTGGAAAAGCAAGGGACCTAATATAAATTCCTTCTGTTTCTGGAACAATTGACCTATCCTTATGAGGATAGCTGATGTAGGTTGCTGTTTTAAAACAAAAAGAAACCAAATGTAAATTTTTTTTAAATGTATTGAACACAGTGCCAGAGTGTAGTAAGTACCCAGTAAATGATAATTATCCAGCACGGGAAGAAAGAGGTGCATTTAAAAAAAAATTTTTTAAACCCACCATTGTTTGTATTTATTACAACTACACATTTTACGTAGACATATCATTATATGCAAATCAGTTACTACCCTGAGGCTCTGGGCAGGTAGCCAAAGTGATTCTAAGCCACACAGACCAGACATCTATGTCATGTGACCACACATACCTGACAAGGACATTAAATCATCTTGTCACATCGTTGCCTTTCCTTGCCTGTATTTCTTTCCCTTTAGTCAGCAGAAATTAAGTCCTTCCTAATTTCCTGTTAGTTTTTTCATGACCGTATAAATTGGTCCTTCCTTTCATGACCATAAAAATTGGCTCTTTCTTTCAACATTGTCACTCTTGAGATTTGGGGCACAATCAGTCTTTGTTGTGGAGACTGTCTAGTACATTCTAGCATGTTAGCAGCATCCCTGGTCTCTGCTAAATGCCAGTAGCGCCTCTCCCCTCCCCAGCTGTGACAACCAAAATGTCTCTAGATCTTCTCAAATATCTCTGCGAGGCAAAAAATCACCCATGTCCCAAGTGGAGCATAACCACTTTAAAGGAAGCTGCCAGAAAGCAAGAAGCTAAATTAAATTTAAATTTGAGAAAGTAGCCAATGATACGGGCAGGAGACAGGGAAATATTGGGTGGAAGAGGGTGGTTCCCTAACAAAGGTCCCACCCCCAAGCCTGGATACCCAGGGCCCTAAGTGAGAACATGTATTTCTGGTTTTGCACCCAAAAAGTTGCCTTTTGGCCCACCATGCCCCCTATCTTGCACCCATATAAACCCTGAACCCTCCAGAAGCAGACAAGCAGATGGGGAGATGAGGAGACTAGCAGATTAATGGCATAATGGTGTGGCAGAGAAGGAGAGGAGAGAAGGAACATTGGGAGGGGTTTGGCTGGGGACTGTTGGAGAATCAGCCACTGGATGGCCAACCTCCAGGGGAAGATTATCTTCCCACTCCATCCCCTGTCCAGGTCCCCATCCATCCTGCTGACAGTCACCTCCATTACTCAGTAAAACCCCTGCATTTGTCCTTCAAGTCCGTCTGTGACCCGATTCTTCCAGTATGCTGGAAAGAACTTGGGATACAGAAAGCTGTCACACTTGCTGTCTGCACTTGCAAAAATGCAGAGGGTCCACTGAGCTGCTCAACACTTAAGCACACTGTAACACGAGCCCACTGGGCTTTGGGAGTCACAGACACGCAGCCCTAGACAGTTCCTGCACCTGCCCATCTGCATGCTCCACCTCCCATAAGGGGTTTGAGCTCATGGCAGGTGAACAGAGAACCACACCCCTGTTGTGAGGGGGACCAGACCAGGGAACCCTCCCATTTCACCGAGAGTTAAAGAGCCCTAAGAGGACTAGCTGTTTGTTTTCTCCTCAATGATTTCCTTCACCCAGATGGCCTCTTTGTATGCACATCTCTGGAAATTCTTCCTTACAACCCTCTAATCTCTGCTGCTTTGCTTTAGGACTATTTCCTCTTGTGATCCACTGTACCATCATTTCTGTTTCTCATCTGTTTTGTAGTAGACGCACTCTATGTTCATAGGAAATATCATATTTATTTCATTCTGTGTTCATAGGAAACACCATATTTATTTCATTCAGACAAATGATCAATGGCCGGGTTTTCTTAATGAAAGAAGATGGCAGTGACTGGGAAGGAACTGGGGAAGTTGTTTAAGTAAATGTACCCAGTCAAGGTAAATTTACGTGTTAGCATAGTTGTTGGCCCAGTGATTGCAGAAAGTTATTTGCAAAGTTGGGTAACTTGGAGATAGCCCTGAGACTGCCAATGATGCATCCACAGAATCAGATTTTAGCCAAATGGAATATGGGGGAAAGGTTTCCAGTGTGCTGCCTTCTGCAATACTCTCATTCAAATTCTCTCCATCTCACTAATTTATGGCAGAGCTCCATGCAACTCCAGAGCCAACATGCAATCGAGCAGCTCATTAAGAGCCACCAGGGAGTATTTAGGAAACATGCAAAAGGAACAATTCTTTTATTTCCTTTCCCTAGAGCCTTATTTCTACTCTAAGGTTCTCCATTTCTTCTAGTTTGAACAACTAAAAATTGGCTTGAAAAAACTTGCCACTACGATTCATCTCTGAGCTAGTTTTTTCTTTTATGTTTCCTGAGCTGTATGTGATTCAGTTCTGATTCCAAATTCCAAATGAGCAAAATGAACTCATATTCTTCATCTACAATTAAATAATTCATTTCTCTAATTCTAAAGCATCCAATTCAAATAGTCAAGTTGATAGGAACTCATCTCGTGTATTCATTAGAAATTCACCTTTCCTTCTCCCTCTTCATTTATGATGTTGCCTTCCACAGTTTTAGTCGTTGTTTCAGTGCATGCTGAACAGACACAATCAATACCTCATTAAGTTATTTCAAATTGCTGAACTACAGCTGTTTCAGAGCATGAGCATAAAATATAGTTTCATCAATAGAAACCCAGGCTCTGGCTACACAGAGATGAAACAATTGGGTAATTTAGTCAATTTTAAAAAAAAGTTAAATGGGTTGTTTGCTATTGGATAGGCCAAACAATAATTTGCCTAATTATTTAAATCATTTATTTTTGTCACATACACAGGCCATAGAACCCATAGAGACTGCCATGATTTTTCCAGTTCACTTCTTTGATTCTTTTTAAAAATATAAGTAGAAGAATGCCTGTTTTATTCTTAAATGCTGCCAAAAAATTTCCTTCCAATTGTCCAAGACCACAGTCTTTCCTCATCTGACTTAAGCATGAGAGTACCTGGCCACTAATCACTGAAAACTGGACACTTACTATAAGTCAAATCCAAGGTTAGGGAATTTTTGGAAAGATTATAATATATGGATACTGAATCCAAATAGTTCATGATCTAGATGGGGAGTCAAGACTACAACACTTTTTTGTTTTGGGGGGAAAAAACAAAACCAGCCAACAACTCAAGATAGACTATAAATTATTGGTAAATAATGTGAGTTAAAGACTAACATTGGAGGAGTTCAAAGAAAAGAAAATTATCAAGAGATGACAACATTTTTTTAAAAAACTTGTTAGTAATAAAGTCTTTATCTACATTCCAAATAGATTATATATGCTGTATCTAAAACAGTATTTTTATATATTAGGAGAATGCATCCATTTTGTTAGCACATTAGTCCAAGCATTACAAATTAAATTTATGCATCTAGAAGTATGTGCTACCTAGAGATAAAATGGACTTATAACCATAAAACAGTCCAAGAACCAGAATAAGTCAAGGATTTGACTACTTCTGGCTGATAAATAGCTCTAAATTGTCCTAATTCTTTAGAGTAAATAAAGTAACTTCATTCTCAACAACAGCAAAATACAGCCGAAGTCTGGGTGGAAGATTCTGGGAGCATTTAATCTACAAAAGGCTATGAAAGGTACCAAGTGATACCATAGAGCCCTCACACAGCATTGCTTAGATTGCAGATCCCTAGATGCCAAGTACCCCGCTCCCAGACTACTTTCCCTTGACACTCTTCCACTACTTCCCATTCCTTTTTCAATGCTGATATTCCTTTCTATCTTATTTTCCTTCTATTCCAATTATTTTTGAAATGTTATTTGTGTTGAACTAAACATACATTCAGAAAAAGTATATGGATGTAAACAAATAAATCAGTTAATTTTCATATATAAAGTGAACAAAACATGTAATTGTAGGGGAGAGAATAATTTTTCTGCTACTCTTCTGAGTTCTTAGCTGGGATCCCTGTAACAAAACACAGATTAAAACAGAATTTAAAACCCAGAAATAAATCCATGCATTTACAGTCAATTGATTTTGGACAAAAATGCCAAGAACACACACTTGGCAAAAGATAGTCTCTTCAATAAATGATGCTGGGAAAAAGGATATCTACATGCAGAAGAATGAGATTAGAACCTTATCTCATGCCATATACAAAAATAAACTCAAAATGGATTAAAGCCTTAAATATGATATCTAAAACTGTAAAAGTACTAGAAGAAAACATAGGGGAAAAGCTCCATAACATTGATCTGGAAAATGATTTTTTCAATATAACTCCAAGAGCACAAGAAACAAAATCAAAAGTAGACGATTGGGATTACATCAAACAAAAACATTTTTGTGCAGTAAAAGAAACAATCAACAGAGTGAAGATACAGTCTACAGAATGGGAGAAAATATTTGCAAACCACACCTCTGTAAGGAGTTCATATCCAAAGTATATAGGACATTCAAATAACTCAATAGTAGGAAGACAAATAAATCAGTTACAAAGGACCTGAATAAACACTTGTCAAAAGAAGACATAAAAATGGCCAAGGGTATATGAAGAAATGCTTGACATCACTAATCATTAGGAAAACGCAAATTAAAACTACAATGACATATCACCTCTCACTTGTTAGAATGGCTATTATCAAAAAGATGAAAGATGAGCATTGGTGAGGACATGGTGAAAAGGGGACCCTTGCACACTGTTGGTGAGAATGTAAGTTAGTAGAGCTACAATGGGAAACAGTATGAAATTTTCTGAAAAACTTAAAAGTAGAACTACCATATGATCCAGTAATCTCACTTCTGGATATATATCCAAAGGAAATAAAATCAGTATGTCAAGCAGATAGCTGTACTCCCATGTTTATTGCAGCATTATTCACAATAGCCAAGATGTGGATCAATCTGTGTCCACCAATGGATGAATGGATTAAGAAAATATAATATATCAACACAATGGAATATGATTCAGCATTAAAAAAGAAAATCCTGTCATATGTGACAACGTGGATGAACCCGAAGGAAATTATGTAAAGTGAAATAAGACAGGCACAGAAAGACAAATACCGCATTGCTGTGGTTTGAATGTGTCCCCCAAAGTTTATATGTTGGAAGCTTAATTCCCAATGCAACAGTTTTGAGATGGGACCTTTAAGATGTGGTTAGGGTCTGAGGGTTCTGCCCTCATGAATAGCTTAATGCTGTCATTGACGGAGTGGGTTAGTTATCATGGGAGTGGATTCCCGATAAAAGGATGAGTTCAACCACCTGTTTCCCTTTCTCTCCCATGTTCTCTTGCCCTCTGCCCTCTACTATGAGATAACAGAGCAAAAAAAGCCCTCGCCAGATGGAGGCCCCTTGACCTTAGATTTCTCAGCCTCCAGAACTATAAGAAATAAATCTCTGTTCTTTATAAATTGCCCAATCTCAGGTATGCTGTTATAACAGCACAAAGCATGCATAATTTCACTCATATGTGGAATCTAGACACTAAGTCAAACTCATAGAGGCAGAGAGTAAAATGGTGGTTTCCAGGAACCGGGGGTGCAGGTGAGGTGGAGTTTGCTTGGGAGCTGTTAGTCAAGGATACAAAACTTTAGTTAGACAAGAGAAATAAGTTCATGAAATCTAGAGTACAACATGGTGACTACAGTAAATAACAATGTATTGCATCCTTGAAAATCACTGAGAGTAGATTTTTAAACGTTCTCACCACAAAAAAGGATAAATATGTACAGTAATACCTGTGTTATTAGGTCCATTTAACCATTCCACAATGTATACATAATTTTTTAAAACCTGTACACCATAAATATATAAAATTTTTATTTTTCAATTAAGATATAAATTAATTTTAAAAAGAAAAAGAAAAAACATTAACAAGACAGTTTACTAACATGTATATTTCCTATAGACATGGAAGAACATTTAGGAAAAGAGTAACTGTCAAAGACATGGGTTAGCACCCCGGCTTACTCTCCATTTACAATAAAGAACAATACATTTTTAGAGAGCAATTAGACAATGGAAAAAGATCTTGAGTCTCTGTAGTAAATTGTGGGAAAACAAATATATGGGAAGTTAATGGTAAAAAATGTTTGTTACGTAGACTCCTCTGGTGCCTTCTCTAGTTTGGTAAGTGTCTAAGGTCATCTCTAGTAATCAACTTTTGTCCTTCCTGGTAGAGTGGGGAGGAAGGACACGTTTGTAAGTTTATGGCCTGATTTTAGGCAAGTGGTGGGAAGACAGAGAGCTCTTCTTATATCTTTTTCTCAATTGCCTTCAGCCCAAAACAATCCTTATGCAAAAGTGGCATATTTTTGAAGTGGCATATTCTGTGACTCTTCATAATCAAAACCCACCTCAAGGAAAAGAACATTGCCAACACCTGAAAATCTCTTTTGTGCTCCCTCCCAAAGATTGGTTTTGCTTGTTATTGAGCTTCATATAAATAGAATCATACAGTATGTTTGTTTCCTTTGCTCAAAATTATGTTTATGAAATTAATCTCCGTTGCTGTGTGCAGCTGTAGTTTGTATATTACATTTTTGTTTAGTATCCCATTGTATGAATATACTATAATATATGCATGCACTTTACTGCTTATGAATATCTGGGCTGTTTCCAATTTGAGTGTTTTGCAAAGAGCTCTGTTATAAAATATTCTTTGTAAACATATGTCTACATTTCTGCTGGTGACACCCCAGAGTGGAATTGCTGGTTCAACAGGTATGCATTGTTCAGTTTTAGTAGATATTGTCAAAGAGTTTCCAAGAGTTGTGTTACCAATTTACCCTTTTAGCAGCAGTCTATGAGAATTCTAGTTTCTCCAAATCTTCACTACCACTTGATTTTGTTAGTCTTATTTAATTGCACTTGTTCTGGTGGGTATACAGTGGTATCTCACTGCAGTTTTAATTTGCATTTTTTCTACAAGCTAATGATATTGACCACTACCTCATATATTTGTAGGCAATTTGCATATGCTATTGTGCAAAATGCCTATTCAAAGTCTTCCACCTATTTTTCATCTCTCTTTTTTCTTGTTGACTTTTAAGAATTCTCTATAATCTTTGTTGGAAATATCTTCTCCCACACTTTGGCCTGCTTTTTTACACATGTAACGTGTCTTTTGCTCAAGAGAAATTCTGCATTTTAATGTCTACTTATCCAGTTTTTTCTGTATGATTATTGCCTTTTGTGTCCTGTTATATAAATATTTACCTACCACAAAGTCTTCTATTCTTTTCTAAGAGGTTCATAATTTTCCATTTATATCTACATTCCATATATGGCATAAGATAGAGGTCAGTATTCATTTTTCTCTATGTGAATGTCCAATTGCCCCAGTACCATTTATTTCAATAATTTTTTGTTAAATTATGGAACAAAAATTTTAAAAATTGTGTTTTAACAATTAGACCGAACACTAGAGTCATTACACCATGTTACCACTCTCTGTTGAAAACAATACTAATTCTCCTACTCAGGGTTAAGACTACATAATAATTAATACATAAAAATCATTTCCAATGTTAATATCCATTTCTTTTATCCTACTATCTCAATTTTCAACAATGAAATAAGGTATTAGAAGTGAGTAACAAATTACATCAATGATAGTAAAAATGTTCTGAATTATTTCTAAATTATGGTTTGAGATGTCTAAAACAATGGACAGCTGGTAAGTGAATCTTACAAAAATTGGTAGACTGTGTCTGACAGGAACCTTGCTAACCTGACTGTCAGTTGGGATGTTTTCAGATGCTTGCGATAGAATTGTTGTTAGAAAATAGGAGACTATTCCTATTATTGATGCTATTATTATTATTTACATTATTATTCCTGTTAAATAATAGGGGCTTATTGTCTAAAATAATAAAAGGTCAGGAGTAAGCAGTTCCAGGTTTGCTTAAGTCAGCAGTTTGCCAGTGTCAGCTCTTCTGAAGTCCTTTGACTTTTCCTTCTTGGTTTCAGGATGGCTGCCACAGTGCCAGTCAAGACATCCTCTCATAGCAATATCCAAAAACAAGAAGGAATGAGGAAGTAGGCTTCTTCTTGCATGTCTATTTATTTTTATCAAGTAAGAAACTGTTTCTCAGAACACCCTCAATTTCCTCAACAACAGACTTCTTAGGTTTCATGATCCAGATCTGAGTCACAAGCTGAGCCTTAAACCAATCACTGACAAAGACAAATGGGATTGCTATGATTGACTTAGAACAATCATGATCCAGCTCCTAGGGCTAGGGAAGGGACTAGCAAATTATGCTGGGTTAGGTTCCTAAAAAAAATAGTATTTTGTATGTAAGGACCATGAATAAAGAATAAGGACCAAGAATAAAGAAAGGAAAATGGCTGTTGGCTAGGCAACCAACCACATCTACTTCCTTCCAAGTGATGAGATTTGAGGGTAAAATGAGACCAAAAAAAATCCCTTAACAACTCTAAATTGAGTTTCAAATTTAATTACAATTTTAATTGAAAAACATAATAGGTATTTATTTATACGTAAGAATAATAAAGAGTGGGACTAGAAATAAATCTATAGCCCAGATATCTCTGACATACAGGCTATGAATTTAAATTACCCTGAAAATATTAATATAAAGAGGGAAATATAGCACAGAAGCAGTGGCAGGTCTTGGTATGATTTCACTGTAGTGACAGAAAGAACCACCCAATTAATTATAAATTTTTAGAGAATAAAATTATTTGAGAATAATAACTATCTGTACTAATACCAATATTGTGCAATTACAGAAAACATGACCATTTACACGGAGGTCTCACATATATTGTCTCATTTAAACCTCTTAACAATTTTGTCACTTATGTAGGGCAAATGGTTTTATTTCTGTATTTGTAGATTGTGACATTAAGAAAGGAATTAGTAAGGAGAAATTAACATATTAATTAAAATGAATTAACATGTTAAGAAAATGTATTCTCTGAGATGACAGAGTTGACTCATACAGTTGACTAGAACTCAGTTCTCCTTTTTGGTAGACCATTTATCAATCTAATACATCCATCTATTTATCAATTAATCTTTTGACATATGTAATAACTTGTTTATTAACGATGAGCATATTGATGAAATGTACTTATGTTAATATTTCTCAGCTAAAGGTTTTCATGTTTAATCAATGGGTACTTTCTCTGAGGAAGAAAAGAGAGGGAATTTTTCCTTATTCATTTATTGAAGTATTTACTTAATTTGACACCCTAGAAAAGATATCATCAAGGTTAGGTCTTCAATCTGGTATTTTAGGTCAGTTAACTCTAGAAAACATGTTTTAGGGGCACAAGGGCTAGAAGACATTGGATGAATACTGTAGCAGAGAGGTGGAAGCACATAGACTCACAAAGAAGGTTCCAATGCCCGCTGCCCACAAGAGTCAGGAAGTACTTCTTGTTGGTGTAACCACCCACATGAATATTTCATATTGAGGAAAAGATACTCTCGGACTAAGAAGTGAAGTCTGGACTTTCTTGACTAAGAAAAGAATTTGTGCAAATCCTCGAGGTAAGATAGTGTGCTCACAGGGCAAAGTGAGAAGCTCAAAATAGTTAAGACACAGTGATTATGCGCCCCAAAATTTAAGAAATGTATATGGAAAAGAAGATAGAGCAGTTGGGCATGTGAATATAGTCTATAGGGTCAGAGGAGGTGTTTTTGTTTTATTTTGTTCAAATTAAAATGGATTTGCCTATGTTTATAAACTAAAGAAAGCGAAAAGGCAGAAAACAATGAGATCTAGAAAAAGGAGATGTGAGAAGATAAAGTCAAGTACACAGATGGAAAGATGAACCTCATCAAGAGGAAACACACCTTATTCTGGTACTGAGCTGAATAATGTAAGTGTGGTATGGAGAAAATAAATTTACAGATGGGGAAAAGACTGGGAAAGTGGTAAAGTGCATGAGGATGGCTTTATTTTTGGAGTGCATAATAACAATTATGATGACAATAATGAAGGCAATAGTTTATGACAAGGCATAAACAGAAGGCAATCTGTTCATTATTTACCAGAATTATCTCATTTGATAACCTTAACAACACCGTGAAGTAAATTCCATTATCATTATGCCCCTTTGCAGATGAGAAAACTGAGGTTTAGATAAATTCACGTGACTAAGATCATGTGGGTAGGAAAGAACTGATAACGGCCTAGTAATCCGCACAACACTGAAACTCGAAGGCAACAAGAGGCCTTGTTCCACTGATCTATGTCTTAGCTTGAGAAAGAATATGAGAACCAGGGCTTGGAGAACTTCCTTATGGTATTGAAAAAAAATGTAAATCCTGACCTGGGCAAGGGATGCTAAGTGACAAATAACTTAAGGACTTAAAAAAAAGTATCCCATTTGCAAACAAGCATAACATGAAATTAGCTTAGCTTATATAAGGCTTAAATGGTAATTGACCTTAAGTTTCTATTGTCTCAGCTGATTATTTTGAAAATATTGTCGTAGTTGAACTGGTACTTTAAAAAGTCAACTTTTACACTTGCATTTGAAAATTAAATTAAAGTAGTTGTCTCAGCAGTAAGTCAGGAGACTCAGCATATCAAGTGAAATGTCCAATATCTGCCCATTAAGTATGCCTTTTTGAATAAGAACCATGAATCAAATGAATCATCCTTACCCAACCCTGACAAAGTCTTGATATTTCAAAGCAGCATATAATGAAGACCCAAATGACACTTCTAGCCCACCATTTTTGGGAAATGAGCTTGCATTTATGGTCTGGAAGACTGAACAGGTTGTGATAATCACTCTACAGTCTCCTGTGCATTGGTGCAAGTGACCTGGAGAATTGGATGAGAGATTCAAGGAGGTAAAATTACTTTACCTGAGTAAGGTTGCATGAGATTTCCAGGAAGAGTGTGTTAGTTTTGGGGGGTGTGAGGAAGTGTGAGTGTGGGTGTCTGCAGCTAACTATCAAAATACTATCCCCTACCTCAGCTTCATGCTTTACATAAGGTTGGTGCTCAAAAAAATGTGTCTATAAAAAAATGGAAAGTATACATGAATATTATGAGGATCTAAGCTCCCTGCCAAATATTCAGTCACTGAATCATTGCTGTTTATCTCTAAAAAAAAAAAAAAAAAAAAAAAAAATCTCTTCTTTTATCCGTCACCATGTACACAGCATCATCCTCCCAAACGCTGAAGCTTTTGCAATCACTGTAGCCCCCAAAGCCTTGTGTAATGCCTGCTTTATAGTTGACAGTAAACAAATAGAATAAAAATTGAAAATATCATTTGTAGAGATTAAAATGATATATATTTAGGATGTAGTAAGTAACATTATCAGATGTTTAGAAACATGTCTTACTAAATTCATGTATTTACTAGTTCAATACACTGATATTTTGACCCAAACATGAGAAACTCTTATTTTCCCTTTTGTTGGTGAAGATGCCAATATTCCAGAGGTTTTAACCTTTTTGTGCCATAAATCCCTTTAAAAACCTAATAAAACCTACCTTCATAATTGAAGGAAAAGCTAAATTTCAGTTGGAGTTTTGATAAAATAAGAATGTCATGTTTTCCTATCCATGTTTGTAGTTTCCCTGAATATTATGGTACGTGGGCACCACATAAAGCCCTGATGAAACCAATTTGAAGTGTGTATATTATGTCTACAAAGCAGGCAATGTTCTCTCCTTATTCTAGCTTTTTAATTTTTAAACAATTTGCCAGATCTATTGCATATTTTCCCCTCTGCCTTGCACATAATTCTTCTACTCTTCCAAATATTTTTTAAAATAGAAATTTCCCATAAATAACTAATTTTAAATAACTTCATATGGTCTTTTTCCCCAAACTGGTAACACCAGATAGAATACTCCCATGCAAGTAAGACGAAAATGAAGTTATTGAGTACCCGAACCGCTATGCTTTTCCCTTCCTTTTCTTCTAATCAGCCACACTTTTTGAGCTGGGGAAGTAGAATGATGAACCATAGTATTACTCTATGTCTATAGCAACTGTTTGGCCTTTCCTCAACAAAAGTGCTTAAACCACACACCTGAACCAAAACAAAATCCTAAGTACAATCTTTTAGTCATGCATGTATCAGTTCCTCAGTTTTTCTCGTCTTTCTTTTTAACATATGCAGGTTCACTTAGGAAAAAATTCTTTTTATCATAGACTGAGAATATGCTAGAAGATCTCAGAATCGTTTGGACGTTTTTAGCTCCGTTGACTTCTGTCTCTATGGCGAGGAAACAAAGGGTAAGTGGGGAAGAAGAGCTGAAAGACTGAAGATTATTGACGTTGTTGATTAAAAAAAAAACTCTAAAATTCTTCTGCCCAACTATTTTAACAAGAACATAATTTGAATAAAGAAATCATGAAACTTTTTGGTGACTTCTTTTTCACAAAGGATACAAGCCTCACTGTTATATAACTTATGTAGTTGGGGGTGGGTGGGAACTAAGCCATTTCCTTAGAGTGTATTCTTGTATTAGTCTTTTTAGAAATAGACAAGCTAAAGCAGGAAACAGGATGTGCCCTTTTATTACTTTTTTTCCCTTGAAGCTAAACCTTCTTTCAGTGATCCACGTCAATATCCCTCCAACAGCGCAGCTTTAGTTTTTACTTTGAAAAATGGGCTTGGGCCATTTTGTCAACACACATTCTTCCCTGCTAGACATTTAATTTGCTCTGGCCTTTATAGAAAGCGGCATCATCCTGGGCTCCCCCCTGCAGCCTTAATGGAGCAATGCCCCTGTAGCATGCCATCAGGTTCACCAATGGAAGCAGCAGGCGTTGCCAAAAACAAAGAGGATCCCTGGCTTTCCAACAATGAAAACTCCCTGTGTTGAGTTCTCCACCATGTGCCTCTCTCCAGGTTCTAGCCAACACTGAGAAATTTCATTTCTTCATTAGCTGGGAGCAGCTGTTGGGAAAGAGACGCTGGCCAGATTCATAACCGGGCGCCTATTCTGGCAATAAGCTTTTTAAAAACTGCTTTAAACAGCACTCTGGATCTCAGACTATATCAAGTGAGAATCTGTGTTAAAATTGGAGTGGCTTCTGTGGAAAGATCAAGTGTTCTATTCTTTATCTGGAAACTGTTGCTAAATGGCTTACAAACCCAGGCTGCAGAATGGGTTGTTTACTTTAACAGATTTTTATCGTGTTTTGTTTCATCCACTGTTTTCTCTTCCCATTCTCACTGATGTTCCAATCATTCTCTGAGAGAGATCTTGGTCAGGCTATAGCAGATCTGAGCCAGGCCTCAGCACGGGTGGAGAGTAAGTTTCATGTACAAAAGGGCTTAGCAAGTATCTGTTGCTACAGAATTAATTTAGTTCGAGAAGTTGCTTCATATTGATTGTCGCCCATTGCCTTAAAACTCAATGAAATCTCTACCAAACTTGATATACCCTACTACATAGCAAAATAGAATCCAACATAAGGTTTCCTTCATTTCCTGTTCATTTAGATCAAGGCTTCTTAAACTCTTGTATACTATGAAACCCTCTGGCATTTTGGTGAAGTCTGTGCACCCAGATTAATACTTTGGGGGTTTTGTAAATATAAAACACAATAAACGGTATTGTAGAGGAAACCAATAATATGGAAATATCAGTAGTGAAATATTTTTAAATAAATGTGTAACACTCTGGGTTTCCGGTGTGGCATGTAAGGCGCTTAGAAGCCACCACTCCATCTTAGCAACAAGTAAAAAGCTGAACTTTTTACTTTTTACAGATTGAGTATCAACAACTCTCCTTCGATTTGTTGAAGAAGCAAGGTCACAGGGAAAACCGCTTCCCCCAAAATTGGAGAGACAGACAGCCTAACACAGAGAATCACAACTGAGATTCCAGAGTAGGAACCGATGACCAAAAACTTTTGCAAGAACCAGGACAAAAGCAGGAAAACTATAATTGTAATTGATGAACTGCTAGAGGCTCCGTGTGGACAAGTCAGAGAGTTACAAACTCCAGTGGAACCCAGTCATAGTTGGCCCCCCACACTTCTGTGGGTCTTACCTCCAGGAGTTCTACCAGGTCCTCACAGTGAATATCAGAGAAAAATCTTCTCATGCTTCCAGCTGGGGAGGATAAAAATTGCCATTCTGAAATACACTATAATATTTTGTTCTTAACAAGGCCTGCCCTTAGAAGAATCTGTCTCACCAGAGCCTAACCTGCTGGGGTTTTATTAGAGCCTAGCTGACCAGGGGGAAGAAAAATACCAAACTCCAGCCCCCTCTATCCATTCTGTCCCATCTAAGGAAGAATAAAACTGAGAAGCACTGGTGAATTCACAGTCCCAGACACAGGTTCACCAAAAGACTGAGACCTACTCATAAAACTGTAGAATGCTTCCCCTCTCCAATACCTTGCCACCATACAACTAAAGGCCTACTTGGCAGAATTCCTTTCTACCAGTAACTCATGTCCAGATTATAACAAAAAATGACAAAGCACACTAAAAGGCAAAAAAAAAATCACTGTTTGAAGACGCTGAACAAGCTTCGGAACCAGAATCAGATATGGCAGGGATGTTTGAATTATCAAAATGGTAATTTAAAACAACTATGATGGGTATGCTAAGAGATCCAGTGGAAAAAGTAGACAACATGCAAGAACAGATGGATAATAAGAAGAAAGATGGAAACTCTAAGAAAGAATCAGAAAGAAATGCTGGACGTCAAAAACACTATAAGAGAAATGCAGAATGCCTTTAACGGGCTTTTAGTAGACTGGGCATGGCTAGGAAAAGAATCTCTGAACTTCAGGCTAAGAAAATATAAAGGTCCAAAACTGAAAAACAGAGAAAAAAGAACAAAGTATCCAAGAACTGTGGAATAATGACAAAAGTTATACATGTTAAGAAGACCAGAAGAAGAAAGACAGAAACAGAAACAATATTTGAACCAATAATAACTGAGAAAATTAATGTCAGATACCAAACCACAGATCCAGAAAGCTCAGAGGACACCAAGGAGGATGTATACCAAACAAACAAAAAACAGAAAACTTTACATCTAGGCATATGCTGTTCAAACTCTAGAAAACCAAAGATAAAGAGAAAAAAAAAAAAACTCCTAAAAGAAGCCAGAAGGAGGAAAAAAACCATTACCTGTAGAGAAACAAAGACAAAATTACATCCAATTTCTCCTCAAAAGCCAGGCAAGTGAGAGACCATGGAGTGAAATGTTTAAAGTATTGAGAGAAAAAAAAAAAAAAAAAAACCTAAAATTCTGTACTCTGAAAAATTATCCTTCAAAAGTGAAGGAGAAATAAAGTATTTCTCAAACAAACAAAAATTAAGGGAATTTATTGCCAGTAAACTTGCCTTGTAAGACTTGTTAAAAGTTTTTCAGAGGAAGGAAAATTATATTGGTCAGAAATTCAGACCCACATAAGAAAAGAATATCAGCATTGGAGAATAAATAAGTGAAGATAAAATACAAAATTTTATTTCTTTTTTTCTTCTTTCTTGTTTTTTTTTTTTTTTGAGATGGTGTCTTGCTCTGTTGCCCAGGTTGCAGCGCAGTGTCACAATCTTGGCTCACTGCAACCTCCACCTCCCCGGATCAAGCAATTCTCCTGCCTCAGCCTCCCAAGCAGCTGGAACTACAGCTGCATGCCACCATGCCCAGCTAATTTTTTGTATTTTTAGTAGAGATGGGGTTTCACCGTGTTAGCCTGGATGGTCTCAATCTCCTGACCTCGTGATCCGCCGGCCTCGGCCTCCCAAAGCTCTGGGATTACAGGCGTGAGCCACTGCGCCCGGCTTTCTCTCTCTTTTTTTTTTTGTTTTTTTGTTTTCTTGGTTTATTTTTGTTTTTTTTGAGACTGTCTTGCTCTGTCACCCAGGCTGGAGTGCAGTAGCATGATCTTGGCTCACTGCAACCTCCGTCTCCTGGGTTCAAGTGATTCTCCAGCCTCAGCCTCCCAAGTAGCTGGGATCACAGGCATCCGCCACCATGCCTGGCTAATTTTTATATTTTTAGTAGAGACAGGATTTCTCCATGTTGCCCAGGCTGGTCTTGAACTCCTGAGCTCAAAATGATCCCCCTGCCTCGGCCTCCCGAAGTACTGGGATTACAGGCATGAGACACTGCACCTGGCCCAAAATTCTATTTTTCTTATTCTTAGTTGATCTAACAGATGACAATTTGTTCAAAATAATAATACCAACAATGCATTC
Source organism: Homo sapiens (assembly GCF_000001405.40). Classification (NCBI taxonomy): domain Eukaryota; kingdom Metazoa; phylum Chordata; class Mammalia; order Primates; family Hominidae; genus Homo; species Homo sapiens. The sequence goes on from NC_000005.10 coordinate 16,329,751, forward strand.
AACTATGTATGCTTATGTACAAGTGAAATGAATGACAACGATGATACAAGGAACTGGAGAGAAGAATTGAAGAAATTTTATTATTATAAGGTATTTGCACTACCCATGAAGTGGTATAGTGCTATTTGACGATTGACTTGGATTAGCTGTTAAGTGTATACAGCAAACTATAGAGCAACTATTTGAAATGTTTTTTAAATATATTTGACATGCTAAGAAAGGAGAGAAAATGGAATCACACAGTGCTCAATTAAAACCATAAAAGGCAGAATAAGTGTGAAAGACAAAAATAGGAACAAAGAACAAGGGCAACAAATGCGAAAGCAAAAAATATGGTAGATATTAATCCAACTATATCACTAATTACTTTAAATGCCAGTGGTCTAAATGCACCAAATAGAAGACAGATATTCTTAGAATAGAAAACAAAAATAAACAAACAAAAAAAAAACAAGACCAACTATATGTTGTCAATAAGAAATCTACTTCAAATATAAAGACACTTACGAATTAAAAGTAAGGTAATGACTGGCCAGGCGCGGTGTCTCATGCTTGTGATCCCAGCATTTTGGGACACTGAGGCTGGTGGATTGCTTGGGTTCAATCATTTGAGACCAGCCTAGGAAGCATGGAGAAACCCCGTCTCTACAAAACATACAAAAATAGCTGGGCATGGTGGCATGTTCCTGTGGTTCCAGCTACTCCAGAGGCTAAGGTAGGAGAATACGTTCCCTGAGAGGTCGAGCCTGCAGTGAACTGTGATTGTGCCACTGCACTTCAGCCTGGGCAACAGAGCAAGACCTTGTCTCAAAAAAAAAAAAAAAGTAAAGTAATAGAGAAAAATGTGCCAAACACTAATCAAAACAAAGTAGGTGTAGCTATATTAATTTCAGACAAAGCAGACTTCAGAGCAATTAATTTTATCAGGGATAAGGAAGGCCATTATCCAAGTGTGGTGGCTCACACCTGTAATCCCAGCACTTTGGGAGGCCAAGATGGGCAGATCACTTGAGGTCAGGCTGGTGAAACCCTGGCCAACATGGTGAAACAGGCATGAGACACTGCACCTGGCCCAAAATTTTATTTTTCTTGTTCTTAGTTGATCTAACAGATGACAATTTGTTCAAAATAATAATAGCAACAATGCCTTGCCAACATGGTGAAACCCTGTCTCTATAAAAATACAAAAATTAGCCAGGGGTGGTTGCGCATGCCTGAAATCCTAACTATGGGGGAGGCTGAGGCAGAAGAATCACTTGAACCTGGGAGGCAGAGGTTGCAGTGTGCCGAGATCATGCCACTGCACTCCAGCCTGGGTGACAGTAAGACTCCATCTCAAAAAAAAAAAAAAAGGCCATTACATAAAAATAAAGGCGTCAATATTCCAAAAAGAAATGGCAATTCTTAAAGTGTATGCACTTAACAATCCAGCATCCAAATTCATAAGGTAAAATGAGAAATAAATAAATCTAATATACTTGGACACTTCACAATACCCCTATCAAAAATGGACAGCAGGAGGCAGAAAATCACTAAGAATATAATTGAATTTAAAGGCATCATCAAACAATTGGATATAATTGACATCTGTAGATTACTCCATTCAATAACAGCAGATTACACAGTCTCCTCAAGCTCATATGGAACATTCAACAAGATAGGCCATATCCTGGGCCATAAAACACACCATCACAAATTTAAAAGAATAGGACTCATACATCTGCTCTCAGAAAACAATGGAATTAAACTAGATATCAACAACAGAATGATAGCTGGAAAATCCCCAAATGCTTGTAGATTAAATGATGCACTTCTAAATTACACATTTGTCAAAGGAGAAACCTCAACAGAAATGTTAAAATATTTTCAACTAAAATAAAATACAACTTACCAAAATTTGTGGATGCAGTGAAAGCAGTGCTTAGAGAGAAATATATGCATGGAACACATATGTTAAAGAAAGGTCTAAAATCACTAATAAAACTTTCTACCTTAGGAAACTAGAAAAAGAAGAGCAAATTAAATCCAAAGTAAGCAGAAGAAATAATAAAAATTAGAGCAGAACTTAATGTAATTGGAAACACAAAATCAGTAGACAAAATCAACAAAACAAAAAAGGTTGATTCTTTGGGGAAAAAAATGGATAAAATCAATAAGCCTCTAGCCAAGCTTACAAAGAAAAAAAGAAAGAGAAGACACAAATTGCTAATATCAGTAACGGAACAGGTGACATCACTACCAATTCCATGGACATTAAAAGGTTAACAAAGAAATATTATGAACAAACCTATGCCCACAAATTTGACAACCTTAATGAAATGAACCAATTCCTTGAAAGACACAATTTACCAAAACTCGTACAAAAGTAGACAAAATGAATAGGCCTATACCTATTAAGTTGAATCAATAATTTATAACTTTCCAAAACAGAAAGCTCCAGGCCCAGATGGGTTCGGTGGTGAATTCTACCAAAGATTTAAAAATATATTTACCAATTCTCTAAAATCTCTTTTAGAATATAGAAGCAGAGGAAATACTTTCTAATTCATTCTATATGACCAACATTAGTGTAATACCAAAACCAGACAAAGACATTACAAGAAAAGAAAAGTGCGTGCCAGTATTTCTCACAAGCATAGGTGCAAAAAGCCTTAACAAAATACTGAAGCATATTCTACAATGTATAAAAATAATTATTACCACGTGGGATTTATCCCAGGTATGCATGGCAGGTTTAACATTAGAATATCCAGTTAATGTAATATACCACATCAATAGGCTAAAGAAGAAAAATCACATTATGTCAATCAGAAAAAACATTTAACAAAATACAACACCCATTTATGATTTTTAAAAAAACTCTCAGAAAACTAGGAACACAGGAGAACTTCCTCAACTTGGTAAAGAACAACTACAAAAAATCTTAAGCTGACATCATACTGAGTGGTGAGAATCTTGAGGCTTTCCCGCTAAGATCAAGAATAAGGCAAGGATACTCCCTCTCACCACTGTTTTCAACATCATATTGGAAGTCCTAACTGATACAAAAAGACAAAACAAAGAAATAAAAGGCATACAGATTAAAAAGAAGAAATAACACTGTCTTTATTTGCAGGTAACATGATCATCTATGTAGAAAGTCCAAAAGAATTGACAAAAACACTCCTGGAACTAATAAGCAATTACTGTGAGGTTGCAGAATGTAAGACTAATATTAAAAAGTTAATTGCTTTCCTGTATACAATCATCCCTTGGTATCCATAGGAGACTGGTTCCAGGACCCCATGAAGATACCAAAATGTGCCAATGTTCCAGTTCCTTATATAAAATGACATAATATTTGCATTTAACCTATGCACATCTTTCCATATACTTTGTTATCTCTAGATTACCTATAACTTAATACAATACAAGTGCCAGGAAAATAGTTGTTGTACTGCATTGTTTTTTATTTGTACTATTTTCATTGGTATATTGTTATTATTATTATTGGGTTTTTGTTTTTCAGATTTTTTTATCCACTGTTGGTTGAGTCTGCAGATGTGAAAACCCACAAATATAGAGGGTTGACTGTACTAACAATGGACAAGTGGAAATTGAAATTTAAAACACATTACCATTTATGTTAGCATCCCCAAAAAAATAAATCCTTAGGAATAAATCTAACAAAATATGTACAAGATCTATAAGAGGAAAACTACAAAACTCTGACAACACAATATTGAAAGAGAAAGACAAACTTGAAGGATTGACACTTTCCCACTTCAAGACTTACTATATAGCTACACTAATCAATACAGTGTGGCCAAAAATAGGCAAACAGATCAATAGAACAGAACAGAGAGCCCAAAAACAGACACACACAAATATAGTCAACTGGTCTTTGACTATATAGGAGCAAAGACAATACGATGAAGCGAAGGCAATACAATGGAGCAAAGAAAGTCTTTTCAACAAATGTTTCTGGAACAACTGGGAATCGATGTGCAAAAAAAAAAAAAGAATCTAGACACAAACTTTACACCCATCACAAAAATTAACCCAAAATGGATCATAGACCTAAGTGTAAAACACAAAGCTATAAAACTCCTAGAAGATAATATAAGACCTTGGGTAAGGCAATGACTTTTTAGCTAGAACACCAAAGCCACGATCCATGAAAAAAAGAGTTGATAAGCTGGACTACATTAGAACTTAAAATTTCTGTTCTGTGAAAGACAATGGGAAGTGAATAAGAAGAAAAGCTGCAGACTTGGAGAAAATATTTGCAAAAGATATATGTAATAAAGGACTGTTATCTAACATAGTCATAGAACTCTTAAAACTCAACAATAAGAAACAACTGGATTGAAAAAGACCTGAAGGGCAAAAGACCTGAAGGAACACCTCACTAAAGAAGATATACAGATGACAAGTAAGTATATGAAAAGGTGTTCAATATCATGTGTCATTAGGGAATTGCAAATTAAAGCAATAATGAGATACCATTACACATCTATTAGAATGGCCAAAATCGAAAACACTGACACCACCAAATGCTAGTGAAGGTGTGGAGAAACAGGAACTCTCATTCATTGATAGTGGGAATGCAAAATGCCACTTCAAAAGACAGTTTGGTAGTGTCTCACAAAACTAAACATAGTCTTACTATATGATGCAGCAAGCATGTCCCTTGGTATTTGCCTAATGAATTGAAAACTTATGTTCACACAAAAACTTGCACACAAATGTTTATAGCATCTTTATTCATAATTGACAACATTTGGAAGCAACCGTGACTCCTTCAATAGGTGAATAGATAGATAAACTGTGGCACATCCAAACAATGAAATATTATTCAGCATTAAACAGAAATGAGCTATCAAAACATAAAAAGACATGGAAGAAACTTAAATGGATATTACTAAGTGAAAGAAGCAAATCTGAAAAGGCTACATACTGTATGATTCCAACTATATGATGTTCTGGAAAGACATATCTGTGAAGACTATAAAAAGACCAGTGGTTGCCAGGGTTTAGTGGGAAGAGAGGGAAGAGTACAGGCAGAGCACAAAGATTTTAGGGCAGTGAAACTTCTGTATGATACTTCAGTGATGGATACACACCATTATACATTTGTCCAAACCTGTAGAATGTACATCAAGGGTGAAGACTCATGTAAACTATGGACTTTGTGTGATAATGGTGTATCAATGTAAGTACATCAATTTTAACAAATGTACCACCCAGGTGCAGGATGTCCATAGCAGAGGAGGTTGTACATGTGTGGGGGTATGGGGCATATGGGAACTCCTTAAACTTTCCACCCAATTTTTCTGTAAACTTAAAACTGGTCTGAAACAATAAAAATAAATAGTTTTTTAAATTAAAAAAATACTAGTTTTAAAAATAAATTCATGATAGAGCAATGTATATGCTTCTTTATTAACATGATAATCACAAGTCTAATAACAAAAATTTCAGTGTACTAATGACTATCAACAGTATTTTAAGATATTTGTAACAAATGTAATATTGTATAAACTTGTCTGTGATTTCTATTGGTGATAAAGTCACAAGTAAAGCTAATACTACTGTGATTGTTGCTTATATTTATAATAAAAGGAAATGCTACATTTTGGCTAGAGGTTAATAAAAATAAAGATATAGGCTATTACCTCGGGGAGGAGCCAAGATGGCCGAATAGGAACAGCTCCGGTCTACAGCTCCCAGCGTGAGCGACGCAGAAGACGGTGATTTCTGCATTTCCATCTGAGGTACCGGGTTCATCTCACTAGGGAGTGCGAGACAGTGGGCACAGGTCAGTGGGTGCGCGCACCGTGTACGAGCCGAAGCAGGGCGAGGCATTGCCTCACTTGGGAAGTGCAAGGGGTCAGGGAGTTCCCTTTCCGAGTCAAAGAAAGGGGTGAGGGACGGCACCTGGAAAATCGGGTCACTCCCACCCGAATACTGCGCTTTTCCGACGGGCTTAAAAAACGGCACATCATGAGATTATATCCCACACCTGGCTCGGAGGGTCCTATGCCCACGGAGTCTCGCTGATTGCTAGCACAGCAGTCTGAGATCAAACTGCAAGGCGGCAGCGAGGCTGGGGGAGGGGCGCCCGCCATTGCCCAGGCTTGATTAGGTAAACAAAGCAGCCGGGAAGCTCGAACTAGGTGGAGCCCACCACAGCTCAAGGAGGCCTGCCTGCTTCTGTAGGCTCCACCTCTGGGGGCAGGGCACAGACAAACAAAAAGACAGCAGTAACCTCTGCAGACTTAAATGTCCCTGTCTGACAGCTTTGAAGAGAGCAGTGGTTCTCCCAGCACGCAGCTGGAGATCTGAGAACGGGCAGACTGCCTCCTCAAGTGGGTCCCTGACCCCTGACTCCCGAGCAGCCTAACTGGGAGGCACCCCCCAGCAGGGGCACACTGACACCTCACACGGCAGGGTATTCCAACAGACCTGCAGCTAAGGGTCCTGTCTGTTAGAAGGAAAACTAACAAACAGAAAGGACCTCCACACCAAAAACCCATCTGTACATCACCATCATCAAAGACCAAAAGTAGATAAAACCACAAAGATGGGGAAAAAACAGAACAGAAAAACTGGAAACTCTAAACAGCAGAGCGCCTCTCCTCCTCCAAAGGAACGCAGTTCCTCACCAGCAACAGAACAAAGCTGGATGGAGAATGACTTTGATGAGCTGAGAGAAGAAGGCTTCAGACGATCAAATTACTCTGAGCTACAGGAGGACATTCAAACCAAAGGCAAAGAAGTTGAAAACGTTGAAAAAAATTTAGAGGAATGTATAACTAGAATAACCAATACAGAGAAGTGCTTAAAGGAGCTGATGGAGCTGAAAACCAAGGCTCGAGAACTACATGAAGAATGCAGAAGCCTCAGGAGCCGATGCGATCAACTGGAAGAAAGGGTATCAGCAATGGAAGATGAAATGAATGAAATGAAGCAAGAAGGGAAGTTTAGAGAAAAAAGAATAAAAGGAAACGAACGAAGCCTCCAAGAAATATGGGACTATATGAAAAGACTAAATCTACGTCTGATTGGTGTACCTGAAAGTGATGGGGAGAATGGAACCAAGTTGGAAAACACTCTGCAGGATATTATCCAGGAGAACTTCCCCAATCTAGCAAGGCAGGCCAACGTTCAGATTCAGGAAATACAGAGAACGCCACAAAGATACTCCTCGAGAAGAGCAACTCCAAGACACATAATTGTCAGATTCACCAAAGTTGAAATGAAGGAAAAAATGTTAAGGGCAGCCAGAGAGAAAGGTCGGGTTACCCTCAAAGGGAAGCCCATCAGACTAACAGCGGATCTCTTGGCAGAAACCCTACAAGCCAGAAGAGAGTGGGGGCCAATATTCAACATTCTTAAAGAAAAGAATTTTCAACGCAGAATTTCATATCCAGCCAAACTAAGCTTCATAAGTAAAGGAGAAATAAAATACTTTACAGACAAGCAAATGCTGAGAGATTTTGTCACCACCAGGCCTGCCTTAAAAGAGCTCCTGAAGGAAGTGCTAAACATGGAAAGGAACAACCGGTACCAGCCGCTGCAAAATCATGCCAAAATGTAAAGACCATCAAGACTAGGAAGAAACTGCATCAACTAATGAGCAAAATAACCAGCTAACATCATAATGACAGGATCAAATTCACACCTAACAATATTAACTTTAAATGTAAATGGACTAAATGCTCCAATTAAAAGACACAGACTGGCAAATTGGATAAAGAGTCAAGACCCAACAGTGTGCTGTATTCAGGAAACCCATCTCATGTGCAGAGACACACATAGGCTCAAAATAAAAGGATGGAGGAAGATCTACCAAGCAAATGGAAAACAAAAAAAGGCAGGGGTTGCAATCCTAGTCTCTGATAAAACAGACTTTAAACCAACAAAGATCAAAAGAGACAAAGAAGGCCATTACATAATGGTAAAAGGATCAATTCAACAAGAAGAGCTAACTATCCTAAATATATATGCACCCAATACAGGAGCACCAAGATTCATAAAGCAAGTCCTGAGTGACCTACAAAGAGACTTAGACTCCCACACATTAATAATGGGAGACTTTAACACCCCACTGTCAATATTAGACAGATCAACGAGACAGAAAGTCAACAAGGATACCCAGGAATTGAACTCAGCTCTGCACCAAGCAGACCTAATAGACATCTACAGAACTCTCCACCCCAAAGCAACAGAATATACATTTTTTTCAGCACCACACCACACCTATTCCAAAATTGACCACATACTTGGAAGTAAAGCTCTCCTCAGCAAACGTAAAAGAACAGAAATTATAACAAACTGTCTCTCAGACCACAGTGCAATCAAACTAGAACTCAGGATTAAGAATCTCACTCAAAACCGCTCAACTACATGGAAACTGAACAACCTGCTCCTGAATGACTACTGGGTACATAACGAAATGAAGGCAGAAATAAAGATGTTCTTTGAAACCAATGAGAACAAAGACACAACATACCAGAATCTCTGGGACGCATTCAAATCAGTGTGTAGAGGGAGATTTATAGCACTAAATGCCCACAAGAGAAAGCAGGAAAGATCCAAAATTGACACCCTAACATCACAATTAAAAGAACTAGAAAAGCAAGAGCAAACACATTCAAAAGCTAGCAGAAGGCAAGAAATAACTAAAATCAGAGCAGAACTGAAGGAAACAGAGACACAAAAAACCCTTCAAAAAATTAATGAATCCAGGAGCTGGTTTTTTGAAAGGATCAACAAAATTGATAGACCACTAGCAAGACTAATAAAGAAAAAAAGAGAGAAGAATCAAATAGACGTAATAAAAAATGATAAAGGGGATATCACCACCGATCCCACAGAAATACAAACTACCATCAGAGAATACTACAAATACCTCTATGCAAATAAACTAGAAAATCTAGAAGAAATGGATAACTTCCTCGACACATACACTCTCCCAAGACTAAACCAGGAAGAAGTTGAATCTCTGAATAGACCAATAACAGGATCTGAAATTGTGGCAATAATCAATAGCTTACCAACCAAAAAGAGTCCAGGACCAGATGGATTCAGAGCCGAATTCTACCAGAGGTACAAGGAGGAACTGGTACCATTCCTTCTGAAACTATTCCAATCAATAGAAAAAGAGGGAATCCTCCCTAACTCATTTTATGAGGCCAGCATCATTCTGATTCCAAAGCCAGGCAGAGACACAACCAAAAAAGAGAATTTTAGACCAATATCCTTGATGAACATTGATGCAAAAATTCTCAATAAAATACTGGCAAAACGAATCCAGCAGCACATCAAAAAGCTTATCCACCATGATCAAGTGGGCTTCATCCCTGGGATGCAAGGCTGGTTCAACATGCACAAATCAATAAATGTAATCCAGCATATAAACAGAGCCAAAGACAAAAACCACATGACTATCTCAATAGATGCAGAAAAAGCCTTTGACAAAATTCAACAACCTTCATGCTAAAAACTCTCAATAAATTAGGTATTGATGGGATGTACTTCAAAATAATAAGAGCTATCTATGACAAACCCACAGCCAATATCATACTGAGTGGGCAAAAACTGGAAGCATTCCCTTTGAAAACTGGCACAAGACAGGGATGCCCTCTCTCACCACTCCTATTCAACATAGTGTTGGAAGTTCTGGCCAGGCAATTAGGCAGGAGAAGGAAATAAAGGGTATTCAATTAGGAAAAGAGGAAGTCAAATTGTCCCTGTTTGCAGACGACATGATTGTATATCTAGAAAACCCCATTGTCTCAGCCCAAAATCTCCTTAAGCTGATAAGCAACTTCAGCAAAGTCTCAGGATACAAAATCAATGTACAAAAATCACAAGCATTCTTATACACCAATAACAGACAAACAGAGAGCCAAATCATGAGTGAACTCCCATTCACAATTGCTTCAAAGAGAATAAAATACCTAGGAATCCAACTTACAAGGGACGTGAAGGACCTCTTCAAGGAGAACTACAAACCACTGCTCAAGGAAATAAAAGAGGATACAAACAAATGGAAGAACATTCCATGCTCATGGGTAGGAAGAATCACTATCGTGAAAATGGCCATACTGCCCAAGGTAATTTACAGATTCAATGTCATCCCCATCAAGCTACCAATGACTTTCTTCACAGAATTGGAAAAAACTACTTTAAAGTTCATATGGAACCAGAAAAGAGCCCGCATCGCCAAGTCAATCCTAAGCCAAAAGAACAAAGCTGGAGGCATCACACTACCTGACTTCAAACTATACTACAAGGCTACAGTAACCAAAAGAGCATGGTACTGGTACCAAAACAGAGATATAGATCAATGGAACAGAACAGAGCCCTCAGAAATAATGCCGCATATCTACAACTATCTGATCTTTGACAAACCTGAGAAAAACAAGCAATGGGGAAAGGATTCCCTATTTAATAAACGGTGCTGGGAAAACTGGCTAGCCATATGTAGAAAGCTGAAACTGGATCCCTTCCTTACACCTTATACAAAAATCAATTCAAGATGGATTAAAGACTTAAACGTTAGACCTAAAACCATAAAAACCCTAGAACAAAACCTAGGCATTACCATTCATGACATAGGCATGGGCAAGGACTTCATGTCTAAAACACCAAAAACAATGGCAACAAAAGACAAAATTGACAAATGGGATCTAATTAAACTAAAGAGCTTCTGCACAGCAAAAGAAACTACCATCAGAGTGAACAGGCAACCTACAAAATGGGAGAAAATTTTTGCAACCTGCTCATCTGACAAAGGGCTAATATCCAGAATCTACAATGAACTCAAACAAATTTACAAGAAAAAAACAAACAACCCCATCAAAAAGTGGGTGAAGGACATGAACAGACACTTCTCAAGAGAAGACATTTATGCAGCCAAAAAACACATGAAAAAATGCTCATCATCACTGGCCATCAGAGAAATGCAAATCAAAACCACTATGAGATACCATCTCACACCAGTTAGAATGGTGATCATTAAGAAGTCAGGAAACAACAGGTGCTGGAGAGGCTGTGGAGAAATAGGAACACTTTTACACTGTTGGTGGGACTGTAAACTAGTTCAACCATTGTGGAAGTCAGTGTGGCTATTCCTCAGGGATCTAGAACTGGAAATACCATTTGACCCAGCCATCCCATTACTGGGTATATACCCAAAGGACTATAAATCATGCTGCTATAAAGACACATGCACACGTATGTTTATTGCGGCATTATTCACAATAGCAAAGACTTGGAACCAACCCAAATGTCCAACAATGATAGACTGGATTAAGAAAATGTGGCACATATACACCATGGAATACTATGCAGCCATAAAAAATGATGAGTTCATGTCCTTTGTAGGGACATGGATGAAATTGGAAATCATCATTCTCAGTAAACTATCGCAAGAACAAAAAAACCAAACACCGCATATTCTCACTCATAGGTGGGAACTGAACAATGAGATCACATGGACACAGGAAGAGGAATATCACACTCTGGGGACTGTTGTGGGGTGGGGGGAGGGGGGAGGGATAGCACTGGGAGATATACCTAATGCTAGATGACGAGTTACTGGGTGCAGCACACCAACATGGCACATGTATACATATGTAACTAACCTGCAGAATATGCAAATGTACACTAAAACTTAAAGTATAATAAAAATAAATAAATTAAAAATAAAAATAAAGATATAAACTTTATTTCATTTAAGTTCAGGGTCCCTGAATTTTATTCATAAACTCCTTGATGGATGGGGAGTCTGTGGATTCCTCACTTAGATTATTCTAAACAAATTGGATTGATTTTGTTGTAAAGAAAAACTGCAGCAATTAGGAAGGGAACCGTGGAACCATCTGAGAACGCACTGCAGTAGTTAATTGTTACTGATAATCTAACTACCAACTAGTCTTTGTTGCTGAAAAAAATTTGCTTTCTGAGTCATCTTTGTTGAACTTTGGTTTTTTTAGCACCTGCTACAGGCTGAATGTGTCCCCTTCAAAATTCATATGTTAAAACCTAATCTGCAATGTGAACATATTTGGAGGTGGGGCCTGTAATTAGGTTATGAGGGCAGAGCCCTAGTGAATGGGATTAGTGCCTCTTTATAAAAGACTCCAAGGGGCTCTCTTGCTCCTTTTGCCCCTTCCACCATATGAAATGACAATGAGAAGATGGCAGTGTATGGACAAGGAAATTGATCCTCACCCGATAATGAATCTGCAATTAATCTTAGACTCTCCAGCCTCCAACATGCTGAGAAATAAATTTCTGTTGTTTATAAGCCACCTTGTCTATGGCATTTTGTTATAGCAGCCCAAATGGACTAAGGCTGCCTCCTTGATGTTTAGGCTATTAGATGGCTTCTCTTGGGCTCTTACTGTTCTGCCATTATTAATCCCTTCCCTGTCCAGTCCGTTGGACCACATGCAGATTCAGCCCAAATCAAGTCCTGATTCAAAGGTATCAAGGCTCAGTGATGTGCTATGAGCTTTTCCCTCAACCTGGTTTGCTGGCCATCTGCTCAGGCTCCTAGTTTCTAATTGTCACTGTTCTTTTCTATGGCATTGGAGTCTAGATTCTAGCCTTAAGCATCAATTTATTCTGCCTGTTCTCTTCACTGTAAGAAAAGCATGTCTTACTCTCCATTGCTCCTCCAGCATGGGTACCAGATTGAAGAACACTTGAATCCAACCTGAGCATGGAGCTTAGCCAAGCCCAACCAAGTAGAGACAAGATCAGCTAAATCACAACTGACATGTAGACCCATGAGCATGAGCAAATGTGTGTTGTGTAAGCCTCTGAGATTTGGTAGTTCTTTGACACACAGCATTTGGTGGCAAAACCTGCCTAATGTGAACTATTTACCTCTAAACTCTGTAGGGCATTGAATAAAAGAAACATGCTGAATTGGAAAGAGCCATTTTTTGTTGTGTTTTGCATTATAGCAGACTGCAACTCTGAAAACAGGTCGATGTCCAGGGTTTCAGTGGCAGATAGCAGCACCTCAAAAATGGTTGCTGACATGGTGGTTCTTGTCTGCATGACAGAGTGAGACAGATACGACTGTTCTCGGCAGAGATGACGGCAGTGCCTAATAGCATCCCAAGTACCAGCACCAGCAGCACAATGTCCACTGACAGGGCAGTGTGCTATGAATTACGGACCCCAGAAGTTTACATGTTGAAGCCTTAACTCTAAGTGTGACTGTATTTGGAGATGGGGCCAGTGGGAAGTAATTAGGGTTAGATAAATTCATGAGCATAGTGTCCTCATGATGAGATCAATGCTTTATAAGAAGAAGGAGAGGGAAAGACAGAGATAAGTCTCTTTCTCTACCATGTGAGGACACAGTGAGAAGGCAGCCATCTACCACACAGCAAGAGAGCCCTCACCAAAAACTGAATGCTGATGGACTTTAATCTTGGACTTCCCAGGGCTCCATAACTGTGAGAAATAAATGTCTTCTGTTAACATACTCACCTATGCTATAGCATTATAGCATAGCAGCCCAAGCTAAGACAAGGTGCCTTGTGTAGCAAAAAGAGGATAGAAGACAAAGAAGAGGAAAGCACATCATAGAAGACCAGGCAACCTTTGTACCTGTGGAGTTAAGATGGTGTCCAGAACACTGAAAAATACTTTGCAGTATTTCTGTGCAGGAAACTCAGATTCTACATCCTAACAGGAGGGTCAAGACCCAGTAAAACAGAAGTTAATAACAGCAACAGCAACAGTAGGTAACACAAATTTCTCACTCTGTGCCAAGCACTAGTCTAACAGCTTTTTGTGTGACAATTCATTTAATACTTTTGGAAGATACTATTATCTTCCCCTATTTAATAGATAAGGAAATCAAGGCACAAGATAGTTGAGAAATTTACCTGAATATGCATAGCTGTACTGGAATTTGAATCTAGACTGGTTGATTCTAGAGTACTTTTAATCTTGGTGCTCATCTATGTCTCTGGATCACTAAAAATGTCCTGGGTAATTAGTCCTGGCAGCCGGGTGGCCCCCACCTCTGGCTGCCCACTGGTTGTCTTAAAGTTGCAATTCCTTGAAAACCTTTCTGCCTCTTTCCCTTAAGTATCCTGTAGAGGTGATTCTTCTTCTTCTTTTTTTTTAACTTTTATTTTAAGTTCAGGGTACAAGTACAAGTGCAGGTTTGTTACACAGGTAAATTTGTGTCACGTGGGTGGCAAGGTGGGGGGTGTTTTACAGATTAGTTCATCACCAAAGTATTACCCCTAGTACCCATTAGTTATTTTTCCTGATTCTCCTCCTCCTCCCACCCCTACCCTCCAAAAGGCCCCAGTGTGTGTTTTTCCCCTCTATGTGTCCACGGGTTCTCATCATTTAGCTCCCACTGATAAGTGAGAACATGCGGTATTTGGTTTTCTGTTCCCGTGTTAGTTTGCGAAGGATAGTGTCCTCCAGCTCCATTCTTATTTCAGCTGCCAAGAGTCAAACTTCACATACATCCTCATTTGGAACTTAAGTCATCAGAAACATCTCACCTTTCCTAATGTTGGGGCTCAGAAAATGATATCCCCAAAATGTTGCTTTGGACTTCAAACTGAGAACACCTTGGAAGCAGCAAATGCAGAACTCTGATGTTCCCTTATCTGCCTAAGGAAAGTTCCTCCAGAAGAAATGCAGTTGTCATGATACCCCTTCCTATAATCTCATCAAACAGGGATGATTAACTCACGGGAAAGGAGACTAAAGGGAAGGTTCATACCACCTATTCTTTTGAGGACTCCTATCTAACAGACTTTATCTGAATAACAAGACAAACTTTGTTTACCATGTTTTGCTTTCCCTCAACCTCCTATAACTTGTCACCACCTCCTCTGAGAAACCTCAACCCCTATTTATTTCTGTAGCTCAGGATACTATAAAAATTTCAACCATCTGGCCCTCCTTTGAGTTTTATTTTGCAAGACTCCTGAGTATGCATGTCATCAATTTACACACCTTTTCTCCTGTTAATCTGCCAACTGCTAGTTTATTCCAGAGACTTAAATTATCAAACCTTCAGAAGATAGAAGGAAAATTCCCCGATTCCTACACTAACATAAGTTTCTAATAAAACAGTTTCATGTGCTTGAACTACCTTTAGGAAAATTGGAGTCCCATCTAATTTTCATTTATTCATTCATTCAACAAATATTATTGGGTACCTACTATATAGCAGGCATAATTCTAGGCAGACAGATTGTAGAAGCAATAAAATAGAGGTCCTGCTCTCATAGACTCACATTCTAGCTGGGGAACAGGGGAGAGATATACAGTAAACAAATATATGTCAGGAGAAGATATAAATCAAGGAGAAAAATAAAGGAAAGTGTATTTATGACCAGAGAAAATAGCAGGTGGTTTCCCAGATAATAAAAATCCCATAGTTCTATAATTAAACTGTGTCACAACATCACATATATTCAGGTATTTCTCAGGTCAAATCATGACCATTACAAAAGCTTACATATACGAAAATTCTAGTAGACCATGCTACCTCATAAGGAGATGTTATCCTTATGAGTATGAAGACATTAAAGTAACGTTAGCAGTGGTGAATCCATATGGGTCTGCACCATCTTGATTCTTGCCTCCTTGAAGGAAAGGGGCATAAGGCAGAGTGAGAGACTGAGGCAAGTTTTTAAGCAGGGGTGAGTTTATTAAAAAGTTTTAGAGCAGGAATGAAAGGAAGTAAAGTACACTGGGAAGAGGGTAACTTGAGAGCTGGTGACTTGAGAGATCCAAGTGTGCTGTTTGACCTTTGACTTGGAATTTTGTATGTTGGCATACTTCTGGGATTTTGTGTCTCTCCTCCCTTGATTTTCTCCCTTAGGGGGAGCTGTCTGCATGCACAGTAGCATCCCAGCACTTGGGAGGGGCTACATGCGCAGTGTGTTTACTGAAATTGTGTACATGCTCATTTAAGACATTTTTCCCTTACCAGTCAAGCATTCCTAGAGGAAGGTCACAGACCAGTTAAACACCATTATTTTGCCCCTTAGTGTGCATGCTTGAGCCCACTTGCCCAACTCCTGAGATCCTAGTGGGAAGCTGCTGATCACCAGCTTCAGGTGTTTTCTATGCACTGGGAGACTGCCTTTCCCTGGCGCCAGCTATGACCAATTATTATTTTAGAGAGACAGTTTAACAACCACCTGAACATCACCTGATGTTTGCCTGACATTCCTGAGGTTGGGCGGGATGTGGGGTGGGAGGCTCTCCTGCCATGCTCACGTCAGTCTAGCTATCCATTCTAATAATAATAATTGCATGTATGTGCATTTTTTCCAAGATCTTATTATATACAAAATTTATATTCATTAAAAGCCTAGCCCCTTCTTTTTTGACTCCACAGTGACCTTGATATTAAAAAATATTGTTTGAAAAGTCCAGTGGCTAAATACTCAGAGAGGAGAAACAAACTTTAAAAATTCTGAAATAATATGAAAACTTGAACTGAAGTTATTTTTCAAGTAGAAATATTCCTTAAAAGGAAGTCCTACAACAAAATCTCTACACAAATGTGTTTTTTAAAGGAGTCTCTGATTTCTGTGTCCATAAGGCTGGAGATTTGTGTGTGCTTCCAGTACCCCCACTGAATTTCTAGGCAGAATTTCTTGGAAGATTTCACACCCTGATTTCCAGAACCTGAGAATGTGAAGTCACTCCTATGACTCTGTTATGTTGTATGGCACAGTTGACCTTAAAAATGGGGAGATTATTTGGGTGAACCTAATCTAATCCCATTAGCCCTTAACAGCAGAGAACTTTCTCCTGATGGTGGCATAAGAGGAAAGCAGAAGACAGAAGGGACATTCAGGGATATCTGAGGCATGAGAGGGATTTAACATCCCATCATCACTGGCCGAAGATGGAGAGCTGCATAAAGGGGACTTCATTCCTGTAAGGACTGGATCCAACTGTAAGGAACTGGATCCTGCCAACAGCCTGAAGAAGCTTGGAAGCAAGCTTTTTCTCCAGAACCCCTAGAAAGAAATGTAACCTTGGTATGTTGCTGGTTGTTTTTTTGTTTTTGTTTTTATTTTTGTTTTTGTTTTTTTGAGACAGAGTTTTGCTCTTGTTGCCCAGGCTGGAGTGCAATGGCACGATCTCAGCTCACCACAACCTCCGCCTCCTGGGTTCAAGCCATTCTCCTGCCTCAGCCTCCCCAGTAGCTGGCATTACAGGCATGCGGCACCACGCCTGGCTAATTTTGTATTTTTAGTAGAGACAAGCTTTCTCCAGGTTGGTCAGGCTGGTCTCGAACTCCCAACCTCAGGTAATCTGCCCACCTCAGCCTCCCAGAGTGCTGGGATTACAGGCATGAGCCACCGTGACCAGCCACTAGCTTTTATTTTAGCCTTGTGAGATTCTGGAGCAGAGAATTCAGCCAAGCCCACCAAGACTTCTGACCTACAGAACTGAGAATTAATTAATAGTATTGCTCCAAGGCCCTAAGTTTGCAATAAGTAATTAAGGCAGCATAAAGAAAACTAATACACCCACTTATCCTGTGCCATGGCAAATGTCTCTAAACAGTTTCAGTTTCTGTTGTTAGGACTGTTTCTACTGGATTCACCCAACTGAACAGCTTATCACAGTATTGAAAACAGTGTTGTTCTCTTCCTATTACTTTGACTTTGTCTTTTCTGTGGTGCTGTTGTTCTTTCCTTGTGCTGGTACCGTATCCATTAATTAGTGACAGACACTTTCTTGGGGTCATTTTGTGCTCTGCATTACTGGGTGCATTGTTTGTTGTGTTAGCTGAGGATGCCTGATATCTTGTTAGCCTGGTCCTACCATTCTTTCAGCAATCTTTGCCTGTATCTACAGTTCTCCCATTTTAACCAAAGTGTAATAAATCAAAGCAGTCAAACTAACAGTGGAATTCATTTTATTCCTCACATAACTTACTGTTTTAAGTATAAAATTAGCTGTTGTTTTGTTACTTGGTAGATTGCAGCATCAGCAAGTTGAAGAACATTGGCAGCCTCACAATCATTATTGGAATCTGGTAGTCATTTTTGCTACAATGTGTGGCTTACTTCTCAATCATAGTAAAATATGAAAATATCAGGATCTCTTAGAAAACTTTAGTCATGATGCATGACCTGAACTCTGTGAAAATTAACTCTTCTTTCCAAACAGGGTGACCAACCTCTGCAAGCTACAAAACTCCGCTTAAGATTCTCTTGTACAAGGATCTCCAGCTGCAAAGAGGAAGGTCACTGGGCAGGATGGAAGCAGATTTCAGTCCAGTAGAAAAGAATGCCTGGGAGTTAGGCTGGGAGTTAGTTAGGGTTAGGGTTGGCGTTAGGGTTAGGGTTAGGGTTAGCAAATTAAACCTGGAGGGATAAAAATGAAAATTTGCAAATGAAAGAAAGCTTTGAATACAAAGTCCCACCAAAACAGTTTGAAGATAGTGAATGCAGCCTGATTCTGGAGGAAGTTGGAGAGAAGGTCTCTAAGAGCTCAAATAAAGGAACAAATTGAGGGGTATGTGCTTCCATTCAAAGGAAATGAGGAGCAATTTTAAAAGCAGAGCAGGGCCAGGTGCAGTGGCTCGCACCTGTAATCCCAGCACTTTAGGAGGCTGAGGCAGGAGGATCGCTTGAGGCCAGGAGTTCAATATTAGCCTGGATGACAAGTGAGACCCCATGTCTACAAAAAAAATTTTTAAATATATAGCTAAGCATGGTGGCTCATGTCTGTAATTCCAGCTATTCAAGACGCTGAGATGGGAGGATTGCTTGACGCCTGGAAGTAGAGGCTGCAGTGAGTGTGATCATGCCATTGCACTCCAGAGCCTGGTGACAGAGCAAGATCTTATCTCAAAAAACTTTTTAATTAAAAAAATAAAAAAAGAGCAGTCAAGCATGTGGCTACAAAAATCATTTAAAATAGAGATAATTTTTAAAGTGAGTAGCATTCATCTAGAAATTACTTTTTAAAGTTACATTATACCAAAATGTGTGTATAAGGATTTCTTTCCAGCTTTGATTATACGTTTACAAAATTGGAAACCCTCTAAATAGTAAACAAGGAAAACATCCTATTCTCCCTGTCAGCATATCAGGCAGCTCTCACATAGTAATGTCTAGATCTACCTATATTGTAATGAAAAGGTGTTTGTGACCCATTACCAAATCAGAAAGAAATCAGAATGAATAATATTTTACAAAATGTCCTGAGTGCCTACTATGTGCTGGTTACTGGGCTTTTCTCATTGTAACCCCTATAGCAAGCCTCTGGGGTGTACATGGTATCGGTACCTAATTTTGCATAAGGAAACTGAGCCTAGAAGTGATTAAATACTTTGTATAAAGTCAAAGACCCAGTAAGAAGGAAGCAAAGCTATGGTTTGAACAGGGGTCTGTCTGACTCATGCCCTAAACCACTGTACAGAAAAATAGACAGAATATAATTTTTTAAGAAAAAAATTCAAAATACGTAATCAAAGTAAACTGCTTCATCTACTCTAAGATGCACCTTTTTTACAATCTGGCTGCATCTTAAAACCAAGTGTGTCGTACAATTGTTGACAGTCTGGAGTAAAGACATTGAATTCTTCCAAAGATTTGGAATTGCTCCTGGGAGTTTTTTAATTAAATTAAATTATCTTTAACACTTTTGGACCACATAGGAGCTGTAAATTCAGACCACAAACCTGCATATAAGTACCAGCTTGTGATACAAATTCTCAAGGGATAGCCTTTTTCTTCTTCTGCCAGTACTAAGTTAAGCATAAAAGTTTCCTTCTGTTCCTTTCTGTATTGTGTGTGGATCTTTTGTGTCCCAGATTTATTGGGGAGGAGCTCCAATTGGATTCCCCATGTTGATTGTTTTTATCTCTCTTAGTGGTATATCTTATAATCAATGACTTTTTAAATTATATAAAATTAGATACATCAGAATGTGAACAGTGGTTTATCTGAGTTGTTTTTCTTTTTGCTTATTTTGTTTCCAAAGTTTTCTGCACAAAGACACATACATTTCTATTTTTTAAAGGTAATTTTTTAAAAATTGAATAAGCCAGTAGATTGTAACTTTGAAACAACCAACTGATGTAGCTGGATTGTACCCTTGTAACAAAAGACATAAACGAGAGAAAAACATGGAAATTTATTTAATACAAGTTTCACATGGCATCAGAGCTTTTGTAATGAAGTGAAGACCAGAAGAAACAGTTAACCCTGAGTATTTTTATACTAGGTTTGATAAAGAGTAGAAAGTTGTGGGAAAATATGATAGGACAAATAGGAGTATGAGCTAAGAGGAGTAAACCAGGGGAGACTGAGCAAGTCCTGTTTATTCAGATTCCTCTCAGCCTCCCTCCTTCTTCAGAGATAAGAATGCTTTTTTTTTCCTCTGGGTATAGAGAGGGACACCTCTCACATAATGGTCTTTTCAACCTAAAATAAGCAACAAAGACTAACTTTCCAAAGCAAAGATTTTATTCAGGAATAGCAGAGGATTGCAATCTGGGCTACGTGTGCCATGACAGATGATAGGCGCATCAATGTTGGAGCAAGGGGAAGCATTTAAAGACAAAAGTCTCTGTAAACCGTTTTGAAACAAAGACCATTGGTTTTAGGGACTTGTTGTGGAAATTAACAATAGCTCATCAGTGGAAACAATAATTGTTAGGAAAATATCCTTACCGGGTATCCTGAGATTTTGTGGATTTTCCTGCATAGGTCCCATCATAGGCATAGGTGCATGAGGTCTCCTCCTTCATGGCCTCCCAGCTCCCTTTTGTTAGGATTTGACTTTAGTGTCTCTGTCTTGATACTGATAACTTTCACAATCTTATGACCCGCTCAGGGAAGGATCAGAGTCCTTCCTGCAACTGCTTCTTATCAGATTTCTTCAGCTTAAAATATTCAATATGCCAAAGCACCGTATTTTGGGATAGTATGTCTTGAATCCCATCAGACTTATAAACATACTAATACCTAGTCTGTCATGTTGTTCCCTGAAGAGGCTGTATATGCAAAGCAGCCCCCAAATGAGAAAGGCACCAAGAAACCAAAGAATGAGACAGACAAATCCAGTTTGTTGGTAGAGTGTCTTACTGGGGGAATTTACACACAAAAATGTGGCCTAGACAACTGCAAGACAGATAGACCTCCACTCCAGTTACTCCCAGACCACAGGGAAAGGGAATACACGCTGTGTGTGAGACAATTAAGGGCCACTTTCCAAAACAGGCAAGAGTGCCAGATGAGTCACAGCCTATAATTTGTGCACACATCAGGGGTGCTTTGATCTACAGGCAGTATTTATAACGAGTACATGTTCTTACACTAAGGACAGTAAATAAAGTAGAAATCAGGAAGCATTCACAAGACAGGTTAATCAGAAGTCATCGTGGTGGATTGGCATCCAAGATGGAGTCAGTTTTTTCTCTGTATACACACACACACACACACACACACACACACGTATTCATATCAAAAAAGAGTTGTATACTATGTGCATAAGTACTGTGAATCATATAAGTATATACATATAATAAATTATATATGCTATATACCCATAACATGTACAATGTACAGGTATTTTATAGTTTTGTTCATATATATATAGATACTTTCAATTTTTCTTGGGAGTTATTCAATTAGATAAAAGGTAGTGGATGCGAAAATTGAGAGAAAGTCCTAGGCTTCAAGAGGTACTGGTTTGTCTGAGGAAGTAAGAAGAGGACATCATTTGATTTCATTATAGGCTTCATGAGTCCCTAAGTAATATTTACCTACCTGAGAATCTCAACAAAATTCCAGAGTGGAATGCCTCAGTTCCAGAACCCTATACAATCCCTTGTCCATTGCCAATCACACACATGCACACGCGCGCGCACACACACACACAGGTTTTTGATAGGCCATTATTGTTCAATGTATTCCTTCAGCACATTTAAGTAAGTTCTGGATCCCAGAAGTTGTCACAATGTGCTTCTGAGGAACTCTTGATGTTTAGCAGCTGGTGGACAGATAAGCACCATCAGTGACTGGGGCAGGAAGACATTGAAGCAGTTTTTGACACGCACATCTAAGGAAAATAATAAAACAAAGGAGAGGGACAGGAGCACTGTGATGTGGTGATATTAAGAAATGTATATTTTGGCCAGGCGTGGTGGCTCACACCTGTAATCCCAGCACTTTGGGAGGCCGAGGCAGGCAGATCACCTGACCTGAGGTCAGGAGTTTGAGACCAGCCAGGCCAACATGGCGAAACTCCGTCTCTACTAAAAATACAAAAATCAGCCGGGCATGGTGATGCGTGCCTGTAATTCCAGCTACCCAGGAGGCTGAGGCAGGAGAATAGCTTGAACCGGGGAGGCAGAGGTTGCAGTGAGCCACGATCACGCCACTGCACCCCAGCCTGGGCGACAAGAGAGAGACTCCATCTCAAAAAAAAAAAAAAGAAAAAAGAAATATATATTTTGTCTTCATCCTCAGTTTTTGGCACAGGGTTCTAAATCCTTGTAATTTTCTGGGTAGATAGAGGTGATAGAAACGTGTTTCATTATTCATATAAGCCCCTTTCAGTCATACCTAAGTTTATGTTAATGAGGTGACTCTTGACAGAGCCCCTGGATGGCTGCAGGATGAAGGCTACTCTGGTCACCAGAGGAAACAACCATGTGATCAAAGTGTAGAACTTTCAGCCACACCCCTAATCCCCAGGGGAAAGGAGAGATGCTCCATTTGACTGAATCACCGACAGCCAATTGTTTAACAACTCAGGATACAAAATCAATGTGCAAAAATTCCTAGCGTTCCTATATGCTAACAACAGTCAAGCAGAGAGTCAAATTATGAATGAACTTCCATTTACAATTGCTACTAAAAGAATAAAATACCTAGGAATACAGCTAACAAGGGAAGTGAAGGACCTCTTCAAGGAGAACTACAAACCACTTCTCAAGGAAATCAGAGGGGACACAAGCAAATGGAAAAATATTTCATGCTCATGGATAGGAAGAATCAATATGGTGAAAATGGTCATACTGCCCAAAGCAATTTATAGATTCAATGCTATTCCCATTAAGCTACCATTGGCATTCTTCACAGAATTAGAAACAACAATTTTAAAATTCAAATAGAACCCGAAAGAGCCCAAATAGCCAAGACAATCCTAAGCAAAAAGAACAAAGCTGGAGGCATCATGCCACTCAACTTCAAACTATACTACAAGGCTACAGTAACCAAAACGCCATGGTACTGGTACAAAAATAGACACATAGACCAATGGAACAGAATAGATAACTCAGAGATAAGATCACACACCTACAATCATCTGATTTTAAACAAATCTGACCAAAATAAGCAACGGGGAAAGGATTCCCTATGTAATAAATGTTGCTGGGAGAACTTGCTAGCCATATGCAGAAAATTACAACTGGACCCCTTCCTTACACCTTATACAAAAATTAACTCAAGATGGATTGAAGACATAAATGTAAAACTCAAAACTATAAAAACCCTAGAAGAAAATCTAGGCAATATCATTCAGGATATAGGAACAGGAAATGATTTCATAACAAAAACACCAAAAGCAATTGCAACAAAGGGATATTTGACAAATGGGATCTAATTAAACTAACGAGCTTCTGCACAGCAAAAGAAACTATCAACAGAGTACACAGACAACCTGCAGAATGGGAGAAAAATTTTGCAATTTATCCATCTGATAAAGGTCTATTATACAGAGTCTACAAGGAACTTAAACAAATATACAAGAAAAAAATAACCCATTAAAAAGTCGGCAGAGGATATGAACAGACACTTCTCAAAAGCAGGCATTCATGTGGCCAACAAACGTGAAAAAAAAGCTCGCCACGGACCATTAGATAAATGCAAATCAAAACCACAATGAGACACCATCTCACACCAGTCAGAATGGTGATTATTAAAAAGTTAAGAAACAGCCAGGCACAGTGGCTCACGCCTGTACTCCCAGCACTTTGTGAGGCCAAGGTGGGTGGATCACAAGGTCAGGAGATTGAGACCATCCTGGCTAACATGGAGAAACTCCATCTCTACTAAAAAACACAAAAAATTAGCTGGGTGTGGTGGCGGGCGCCTGTAGTCCCAGCTACTCAGGAGGCTGAGGCAGGAGAATGGCGTGAACCCAGGAGGCGGAGCTTGCAGTGAGCAGAGATTGCCCCACTGCACTCCTGGGCAACAGAGCGAGACTCCATATCAAAAAAAAAAAAAAAAAAGTTAAGAAACAACAGATGCTGGCAAAGTCGCAGAGAAAAATGAATGCTTTTACATTGTTGGTGGGAGTGTAAATTAGTTCAACCATTGTAGAAGACAATGTGGCAATTCCTCAAAGATCTAGAGGCAGAAATACCATTTGACACAGAAATCGCATTGCTGGGTGTATACCCAAAGGAATATAATCATTCTATTATAAAGATACATGTATGTGTATGTTCATTGCAGCACTATTCACAATAGCAAAGACATGGAATCAACGCAAATGTTCAGCAAGGATAGACTAGATAAAGAAAATGTGGTACATATACACCATGGAATAAAAGAAACAAGATCATGTCCTTTGTAAGGACATGGTTGGATCTGGAAGCCACTGTCCTCAGCAAACTAATGCAGGAACAGAAAACCAAACACTGCATTTCTCACTTATAAGTGAGAGCAGAACGATGAGAACACATGGACACATGGAGGGGAGCAACACACACTGGGGCTTGTCATGGTTGGGGGGTTGAGGGAAAGAGAGCATCAGGAAGAATAGCTAATGGATGCTGGGCTTAATACCTAGTTGATGGGTTGATCTGTGCAGCAAACCACCATGGCACACATTTACCGATGTAACAAATCTGCATGTCCTGCACGTGTACCCCAGAGCTTAAAAGGTGAAGAAAAAAAAGATATGACCAAAAGATGGAAGCAGCACACACACACAAGCCTGATTTGGGTACCACTTTGACCGGTTTCCAGGAAGGACAAGTCCCTCATAGCATGTGACTGTCCAGAGGCTATAATGCAAAGGCCACTAGAAGGAGTTGGGGAGATGAAACTCCCAGGGGAGAGGGTAATTGGAGGGAGGATTTACACATCTAGGTGACATCACACAGCAGTCCAGCAGGGAGTCTCTGGGTCAGAGAGCTCCAGAGGGCAGCAAGCTACTGTTTGGGATCTTTATAGCCCCAGGATTTATCTTGTGTATGGCTAGTAGATGGTGGGCACAGTTTCATGGTGTGTGCAAAGCAAGCAGGTTTTAACTAAAAATATGCTCACTGGGGCTCTGTGTAAAACAATTGGATGTGTAACAGTTTGAGTTTGCTGTTGGTAGGCTTTTGAGCTAACAGGTCTCAGCCTGCTGTGAACTGGTAGACAGCCCAGGGGTCCATACACAGAGGCCATCTTTGGCTCACTTACGTAACTCTTTCTTGCACATCCTCTTTTTTTTTTTTTTTTTTTTTTTTTGAGATGGAGTCTCGTCCTGTCGCCCAGGCTCCAGTGCAGTGGCACAATCTCGGCTCACTGCAACCTCCGCCTCCTGGGTTCAAGCAATTCTCCTGCCTCAGCCTCCCGGGTAGCTGGGACTACAGGTGCGCACGCGCCACCATGCTCAGCTAATTTTTGTATTTTTAGTAGAGACGGGTTTTCACCATATTGGCCAGGCTGGTCTCAAACTCCTGACCTCATGATCCACCCGCTTCGGCCTCCCAGAGTCCTGGGATTACAGGCATGAGCCACGGCACCGGGCCCCTTGCACATCCTATTTCTGCATGGAGCTGCTGTTCTGCTCGCCACACCTCATCTCTGGCAGCACTCAGGTTCTGGCCATCTCCACGTGGCAGGCCCAGCCCATTCCCTTCTTGTCTTCATTCATTGACTCTCCAAGGACTTCAAACCAAGCTAGGGTTGTGATGCTCAGACTTTTATTTCGTCTCCGATGGTCATGTCCTGCCTTGGCTCCTTTCTTATCCTCTTTTTTTCTCTGGTCCCTAGCTGGTTTCCTACACCCTGGCTCTCTCCTGCTTCACTTCTTTTTTGTTGCCTTTACAGAAATTATCTCAATCTTGTTCATTATCTGCACTCTCCCCTTTTCTCCACTAGATTGTGAGCCAAAGAAAAACACATACCTCACCAGCTTCACTCAGCTCTGGATCTCCAATGCCTGGAACAGTGCCTGACTCATTATAGGTGCACACTGAATGAATGAATGAATGAATGAATGAATGATCTACCTCACGGCCATGTAGTGTAAACTTCTGAGAAATGAAGTATACATTTTTTTCAAAGCCACTTATTTAAAGCAATAGTATTCATGCATAAGTTCCAGGAAGTTTGTTTTAAACCACAAATTGATTATTGAAGTCATTTTGTTCCTACATTTAAATATCTAATTCTTCCGCAGGATCACTTTATGATTAGCTTTGGTTTGGGGGTCAAAGGAGTTGCTTATATCAGTAACTATCCAAGAACAGTGATCATATTATGAATATTCATGATGACCTATTTTTTGACATGACTTTAAAGATGGGAAAACATTGCTCATATTTCATTTGTCAAACAAATACTTTTTAAACTGACAGTTTTATTGAGGTATAATTGACACACAAAAGAGTTGCACGTTTGTCTTAGTTATTGCATGCTGCTATAACAAAATACCAGAGACTGGGTAACTTAGAAATAATAGAGGCTGGTCGCGGTGGCTCACACCTGTAATCCCAACACTCTGGGAGGCCGAGGCGGGCGGATCACCTGAGGTCAAGAGTTCGAGACCAGCTGGCCAACATGGTGAAACCCTGTCTCTACTAAAAATACAAAAATTAGCCAGATGTGGTGGCAGGCACCTGTAATCCCAGCTACTCAGGAGGCTGAGGAAGGAGAATCACTTGAACCCAGGAGGCAGAGGTTGCAGTGAGCCAAGATCACGCCATTTCATGGCACTCCTGCCTGGGGACAAGAGCAAGACTTCGTCTCAAAAAAAAAGAAAGAAAGAAATAATAGAAATTTATTTCACACAGTTCTGGAGTCTGGAAAGTCTAAGATCCAAGTGTCAAAAGGTTTAGTGTGTGGCGAGGGCTGCTCTCTGCTTCCAGAATGGTTCCTTGAATGCTAATTTCTCCAGAGGGTACAATGCATTTGAGGATGCATTCATCCTCAAATGGCAGAATGGACTGAAGGGGCAAACTTGTCCCGTCAAGTCCTTTTATAAGGCACTAATCCCACCCGTGAGGGGATTAGTTACCTCCTAAAAGAGGTAACTAACTACCTCTAATTACCTCCTAAAAGGCCCCATGTTG
Source organism: Homo sapiens (assembly GCF_000001405.40). NCBI lineage: Eukaryota > Metazoa > Chordata > Mammalia > Primates > Hominidae > Homo > Homo sapiens. The sequence continues at coordinate 16,357,076 of NC_000005.10, forward strand.
TAATCCCATTGCACTGGGGAATAAGTTTCAACATGAATTTTGGAGGTGATATGAGCATTCATAGCATAGCAACATGTTTATTGTATACAATTTGATGAGTTTAGGCGTATCCCATACACCTGTGAAACCAATCACTCTTTGCCAAAATATTCTCTGGAAAATCCTCTTCTCACTAGCCCTATTGTAAACAAGCATATACCAGAGCAACTGGACATGTGAGAAACTTGAGTTGCAACAGAGGGAACAGGAGTAAGGATTCTGATGAATCTCCAGGTGTTCAGTGGAACAATCTTTTGTAGCATTCATGTTTGTGCACATTTGCACTGGGGCTTTTTAGTATAATTTAGTGTAATCACCTCCACTAGCTTCTTATCAGAAGCAACATTCATCATTTCATTAATTCCAATAAAAGTTTTGTGTTGTTGAGCAGAAGCTCTTTAGTTTAATTAGATCCCATTTGTCAATTTTGGCTTTTGTTGCCATTGTTTTTGGTGTTTTAGTCATGAAGTCTTTGCCCATCCCTATGTCCTGAGTGATATTGCCTAAGTTTTCTTCCAGAGTTTTTATAATTTTAGGTTTTACATTTAAGTCTTTAATCCATTTTGAGTTGATTTTTGTATAAGGTGTAAGGAAGGTGTATAAGGGTCCATTTTCTGTTTTCTGCATATGGCTAGCCAGTTTTCCCAGCACTATTTATTAAATAGGGAGTCCTTTCCCCATTGCTTATTTTTGTCAGGTTTGTCAAAGATCAGATGGTTGTAGATGTGTGGTGTTATTTCTGAGGCCTCTGTTCTGTTCCATTTGTCTATATATCTGTTTTGGTACCATTACCATGCTGTTTTGGTTACTGTAGCCTTGTAGTATAGTTTGAAGTCAGGTAGCATGATGCTTCCAGCTTTGTTCTTTTTGCTTAGGATTCTCTTGGCTATATGGATTCTTTTTGGGTTCCATATGAAATTTAAAGTAGTTTTTTCTAGTTCTGTGAAGAAACTCAATGGTAGCTTGATGGGAATAGCATTGAATCTATAGATTATTTTGGGCAGTATGACCATTTTTACGATACTGATTCTTCCTATCCATGAGCATGGAATGTTTTTCCATTTGTTTGTGTCCTCTCTGATTTCCTTGAGCAGTGGTTTGTAGTTCTCCTTGAAGAGATCCTTCACGTCCCTTGTAAGTTGTATTCAGAGGTATTTTATTCTCTTTGTAGCAATTGTGAGTGGGAGTTCACTCATGATTTGGCTCTTTCCTTGTCTATTATTGATGTACAGGAATGCCTGTGATTTTCGCACATTGATTTTGTATCCTGAGACTTTGCTGAAGTTGTTTACCAGCTTAAGGAGTTTTGGGGCTGAGACGATGGGGTTTTCTAAATATACAATCATGTCATCTGCAAACAGAGACAATTTGACTTCCTCTCTTCCTATCTGAATACCTTTTATTTCTTTCTCTTGCCTGATTTCTCTGGCCAGAACTTCCAATATTATGTTGAATAGGAGTAGTGAGAGAGGACATCCTTGTCTTGTGCCAGTTTTCAAGGGAAATCCTTCCAGCTTTTGCCCATTCGGTATGATATTGGCTTTGTGTTTGTCATAAATAGCTCTTATTATTTTGAGATATGTTCCATCAATACCAAGTTTATTGAGAGTTTTTAGCATGAAGGGTGTCAAATTTTATTAAAGGCCTTTTCTGCATCTATTGAGATAATCATGTTGTTTTTGTCATTGGTTCTGTTAATGTGATTGACTATGTTTATTGATTTGTATGTGTTGAACCAGCTTTGCATCCCAGGGATGAAGCCAACTTGATCGTGGTGGATAAGCTTTTTGATGTGCTGCTGGATTCAGTTTGCCAGTGTTTTATTGAGGATTTTTGCATCGATGTTCATCAAGGATATTGGCCTGAAGTTTTCTTTTTTGTGTCTCTGCCAGGTTTTGGAATCAGGATAATGCTGGCCTCATAAAATGAGTTAGGGAGGAGTCTCTCTTTTTCTGTTGTTTGGAATAGTTTCAGAAGGAATGGTACCAGCTCCTCTTTGTACCTCTGGTAGAATTCAGCTGTGAATCCGTCTGGTCCTGGGCTTTTTTTGATTGGTAGACTATTAATTACTGCCTGGATATCATCAGAGTAAACAGGCAACCTACAGAATGGGAGAAAAATTCTGCAATCTATCCATCTGACAAAGGTCTAATATCCAGAATCTACAAGGAACTTAAACAAATTTACAAGAAAAAAAACAAACAAACAACCCCATCAAAAAGTGAGCGAAGGACATGAACAGACACTTCTCAAACGAAGACATTTATGTGGCCAACAAACATGAATAAAAGCTCATCATCACTGGTCATTAGAGAAATGCAAATCAAAACCACAATGAGATACTATCTCACACCAGTTAGAATGGTGATCATTAAAAAGTCTGGAAACAACAGATGCTGCAAGGATGCAGAGAAATAGGAACACTTTTACACTGTTGCTGGGAGTGTAAATTAGTTCAACCATTGTGGAAAACAGTGTGGCGATTCCTCAAGGATCTAGAACCAGAAATACCATTTGACCCAGCAATCCCATTAGTGGGTATATACCCAAAGATTATAAATTATTCTACTATAAAGACATATGCACATGTATGTTTACTGCAGCACTACTTACAATTGCAAAGAGTCAGAACCAACCCAAATGCCCATCAGTGATAAACTGGACAAAGAAAATGTGGCACATATGCACCATGGAATACTATGCAGCCATAAAAAGAATGAGTTCATCTCCTTTGCAGGGACATGGATGAAGCTGGAAACGATCATCTTCAGCAAACTAACACAGGAACAGAAAACCAAACACCGCATGTTCTCACTCATAAGTGGGAATTGACCAATGAGAGCACATAGACACAGGGAAGGGAACATCACACACTGGGACCTGTCAGGGGGTCGGGGGTAAGGGGAGGGAGAGCATTAGGACAAATACCTAATGCATGCGGGGCTTAAAACCTAGATGATGGGTTGATAGGCACAGCAAACCACCATGGCACATGTATACCTATGTAACAAACCTGCACATTCAGCACATATATCCCAGAACTTAAAGTAAAATTTTTTTAAAAAGACATACATATTAAATTTTTTTTAAAAGTTTTGTGTTGCAATTGTTTTATTATTCTAGCATAGAAGAGTAGACAAGGTATGGTTTCCTAGGTCTTACTTAAAGTCCTAGGGATTTAAGAGATTGAAAACTCACCATTTCAGCCATATTAATAATAGCTCATTCCTATTGAGTTCTTACTATGTGCTGGCCTCTTCACCTAAATTATGTCTTCTAATTATAAAAACACTTTTATAAAGTAGCTACTAATATTACTTCCAACTGACTTGGAGAGAGTAAAATATCATGTCTGTGTGCATGTGTGTGTGTATGTTTGAGGATCTAAATTCAAAATCAGGCAATCCAACCTACAGCCTACTTAATCGTGACACTAGTCATAAAAACAATCCCTCTGGATTTGCACTGTCCAAATTCAGTAGCTACTAACTCCATGTATCTATCAAGCATTTCTGTGAATTAAAATATGCTATATGTGTCAAATACCCACTGGATTGTAAAGACATAATATGGCTATGTTAAGTAAAGTAGACTATGTTATTAAAGTCAATCTCATATGTGTTCTATTTTTAATGTGGCTACTAGAAAATTTTAAACTACACATGGGGTTCACATTGTATTTCTATAAGACAACACATCCATGGATTTATTCAACAAATGTTTATCAAAAGCTTACTAGGTGGTTGGTACACAATAGTGTATTAGTCTGTTTTCACATTGCAATAATAAAATACCTGAGACTGGGTGATTTATAAAGAAAAAGGTTTAAGTGGCTCAGGGTTCTGCAAGCTTTATAGGAAGCATGGAAGCATCTGCTTCTGGGGAGGCCTCAAGGAGCTTTTACTCATGGCAGAAAGTAAAGTAGGAGCCAGACTCTTACATGGCAGGAGCAGGACCAAGAGGGGGTTGAAGGGGTGCCACACACTTTTAATCAACCAGATCTCATGATAACTCACTCACACTCTGCAGTACTAAGGCGATGGCACTAACCTATTCGTGAGAAACCATCCCCATGATCGTCACCTCCCAGCAGGCCTCACTTCTAACCTTATTACAATTTGACATGAGATTTGGGCAGGGACACTGATCCAAACCACATCAAATAATGAATGAAAAAAGAAAAATACTTTCTGTGAAGAAGATTGTATTTTAGTAGTGGAGACAAAAATAAGCAGGTTGAATGAGCAAAATAAATAGTCTGGGAGATCATGATAATGGTCAAGGAAAGAAAAGAAAGTAGGCAAAAGGAATATTTAGTTGATGACTAAGAGGGGTTTGTGGTGAGAAAATGGTATTTGTGTAAAACCTGAAGGAATTTGAGGACCAAGCCATATAAATATCAGAAGGAAATGTAAATGTGAAAAAGAGGAAAGAGTAAATGCAAAGGCACTGAGGCAGAAGAATGCCTGCTGGCTTGAAAGAATAGAGTGGGGCTAATACAGCAGGAGGGACCAAATTAGGGGAGGGAAGTAGAGGAAGATCAGAGGTGATGAAGGGGTACTGTGTAGTCACAAGGGAGGGTTTTTATTTTTACTCTGAGGGGATGAGAAGGCTTAGGATGACTTTTAATAGTGGAGTGTCATGATGACCCACATTTTAACAGGATCCCTCTTGTTGCCATGCTGAGAATAGACTCAAGTAGGCAACAGTTAGGAGGCTCTTACAACAATCCAAGGAAGAGATGATGGTGGCATTAGAGTGGTGAAATGTGGCCAGATTCTCTATATAATTTGAAGATAGAGAGAGCCACCAGGATTTACCCCTGGGTCAGATTCAGGTCTTGAGACTGCAGGGTGTGTGATCTTAGCACCCAGCCTGGTAGAATGATACTAACTGAAAACAGAAAGACTGCAGCAGAGCAGTTCGGGCAGAGGAATGTTTAGTTCCTCCTGAATAGAGAGTACAGTCTTGGAAAAATTGCATATAGATGAAATAAGAAATGAGAATCTTTCCCTATGACCAATTTGGCACTGAACAGGGCCAGTAAGGCAATTTTCCCAAGTACAGAGCAGCAGTGTAGGAAAACCAGGAATTTGAGGCAAGTAAAGATATATATATTCAATATAATTGGTTTCCTTTTAAATCCTATATACTGTATTTTATTTTAAAATGTTATTCTGAGAAGGGAGTTCATAGGTTTTACCAGTCTGCCAAGGGGGTTCATCATATAGAAAAGGTTATACACCCCTGAGAGAGGCAACATTTTAAACCACTGTTACCAAAACAGCAAGGATTTTGTCTAGGCCCTGTTGCTCACCTCACAGAAAGCCAATCACTGAGACAACAGGCATTGCCAGGAAAGAAGGTTTTATTTGGGTGTGGCAGCTGACAAGAGGAAAGATCAGTCTCAAATTTATCTCTGCAGCCAACTAAAATTAGAGGTTTACAGAGCAAGGAAGAAATGTAATCATGTGTGGGAAAAATAAGAATTAGGGAAGGATAAGGAAGAGGAGTTGGTCAACAGAAAGCAGGTTGTTGGTGAGACAATCATGATGGGTGAGGGTTCTGGAATCTCATTGTTATTTAGAAAAGTAAGCAAGAGTAGAAATGTGTAAATGGTGTTTATTTTGAAGGTAGTTCAATTCAATCAATAATTTGAGTTGGTCTCAGATCTTTTCCTTTAGGTAATGAGGAAAATTGTGATATGGGTACAAAGTTCTAATGTTCAAGAAAGAGTGGCCTTGTCCTTCAGAAAATTATATTGATTAGGATTGCTCCAAATTATTTTAGTTGTGTTCACTATTTTTAAAATTAAATGACCTTCACTTGGATTAAATAGTAAGAAAAGAAGTGAGACTTTCTAGTGGTTTTTTATTCTAAACCTTTTATCACTGTTGGGCCTTCAAGTGTGTATTTGAAAACAAAATGTGTACAAATGTTGCACTGGTTTGGAAATTCTTATTACAATCAGTTGTCAGTAGACAACCCTTTCTCCTTACCCCTCTAATTCCTGTCTTCCTACACATGCTTACATTTCTCATCTGATCTATAAACTTCTAGTTTTATAGTCAGTTGAGGAGATGTATTTCATCTCCTGTTCTCCTCAGCTGCAGCACCCAGATAAAAACATTCTTCCCTGGCAATACTTCTTGTCTCAGTGAATGGCTTTCCGTGTGGCAAGCAATGGGACCTAGACTGAATGCCTCGTGTTTTGGTAACACGATGAGGCGTGGAAATTGCCTAAGTGGTGAGTATAAGTAGAAATGCTGAGTACCAGAACTGAGCATGAGGATACTTCAATATTCAGAGATGGAAGATGAAGAGCTGAAAAAGGGTCCTGAGAAGGAGGGAACCAGGCAAATGAGGTGTCCTAGAAACCAAGTGAAGAATGTGTTTCAAGAGGAGAGAGAAATCATCTGTGCCAAATCCTGAAAATCAAGTTACATAACCATCAGAAAGGACCACTGGACTTACCAATGTTGATATCACTGATGATCTTGGTAGGAGTAATTTTGGTGCCTTCCTAGGAGTGAAAACCTGGCTGAAGTCCATTCAATTGGAGGAGTAAAATTGGAGATGGAGAGCATAAACAAAGCAGTCAAGAAATTTTGTTATAATGGGGAGTCAAGAAATAAGGAAATAACTGGAAGATGAAATGGGGTCAAAGAAGTTTTTTTCTTTTTATCTAATAATGGATAAATAGAAGCAGTTTGTATACTGGTGGATATGATTGGTGGAAACTGTCCATGTATTAGAGAAGGTTTAAAATTGTTGGAGCGATGTTCAACATTGTTGTTGGATAGCAATGGATAGGCTATTCATGGAGAGTTTGTTCACCCCGATAAGGGTGAGAGAAGTGAGATTACGTGGGCACAGACACAGGTAAGTGGGTAGGTACAATGATGAGAGCTTATGGAATTTCCTTTCTGGTTTTTCAAATTTTTTCTTAAAAATAGGAAAGAGGGCATCAGCTGAGATTTGGAGGTCTGAGAAGAGAGGAGAAAGAATGAAATTGTCCTCTGGAGAGACAGAGGATGATGATTTCAGAAAACAGCATGATTGCCAAGCAGCATGCATGGGCTGATTTGATGTTAGCAAATGTGATGTTAGAGTGAGACCTGTGCACATCACTGTGTATTTTCCAGCGTTCAGGAAGGCCAGGAAATTCCACTCATCAAAAAAAGGCAGGGAATTTGAATATATAGGCAAAGAAGAGATTTTAATGAACGACCCTGGAGGTTAAGGATTGAGTCCTTAACTTTAAGAAGTGAGGACATGAGAGAAGTGAGGGACAGTGAAATGATGTTAGAACCCTTGCAGGTAGTGGAATTGTTGGATTTTCAAAATCAGCATACTAGCTGGGTGTGGTGGCTCATGCCTATAATCCCAGTACTTTGGGAGGCCATGGTGGGCGGATCACTTGAGGTCAGGAGTTTGAGACCAGTCTGGACAACATGGTGAAACCCCATCTCTACTAAAAATACAAAAATTAGCTGGGTGTGGTGGTGGGCACCTGTAATACCAGCTACTTGGGAGGCTGAGGCAGGAGAATCACTTGAACCTGGGAGGTGGAGGTTGCAGTGAGCTGAGATCATGCCACTGTACTCCAGCCTGGGTGACAGAGCAAGATTTCATCTCAAAAAAAGAAAAAAAAAATAGGATATTAGAGGCAAGAGTTCTAAAGGTAGGAGGTGGGAGAGATGCAGAGTTTGTGTTATTAAATGACAAAGAAGGAGTGAGGGGCTGAGATGGAGGAGGACAAGTTCAATAACAGGTGAAGCTAAAGGAACTGCAAGGATACATAGGTATTGAAATCCCCAAGAATTGAGACAGTAGAATCAGAGAGAGTAAGCCAGGAGCTAAAATCTTTAAGAAAGGAGAAAGAGTGACAGCTGTGATGACGAGAGGGACAAGGGTAACTGCCCCAAGAGGACAATGGTTGGGTTGTTTCAGCTGCTTGCATATGCAGTCAGAGCTAGAGTGGATGAGATATGACAAACTCAACCACTTGGTTTAGCCACACAGCAGCCAGCTGTTCCCTCTGCATAAACTTGGTCTTGGGATTGATGCAATCTGAATCCATCCAGTTTTCTTTCCTGTGGCATATCTGCATAGAGAGCCGCCTGTAAAATTCTGACCACTAAAAGTGGGTTATGATGTTGCCTTTTATTTGGTTGACAAACACACAAATCCACAGAGTAAAATGAACAGCTAGCTCATTTGCTAGTGGTTGGGGATGAGCATAGCCTTTCCCAAAACCCTGTGACATATCTCACAAGCCAAATCTTTAAATGCTTGATAATGATTGGGGGAAAGTGTTATTTTAATTATTTTCATATGAAACATTTTCAAAACCCCCTCATGGAACCATTTTTGTGTATCCTTTAATTATTCATCTCTTTGTTCCAGTGATAAGCTTTGCCAGGGCAAGAGCATGCCAATGTTCTCATCTATTGCTTCTCTCTCCAAATTTGGAATATCCATTACTCATGCCCTGAAACGGCCACACTTACCAAAATTAATGGTCAATGGAACAGGAGTTCTATTCAAAATCAGGATGCAATTAAATTTCATATGGCAAACAATTCAGAGAGTTATTTTTTAAATACATTTTCAAGAGAAGAAGAGTAGATGTTTTATTTAGAAACGTCCATCGTGTTCTCTTTCCAAGGTCTTTGCACACATTGTTCGGTCAGCCTGGAGCCTTCTCTCCTCAGATATCTGCTCGGTTCATTTCTTATTTCATTCAGGTCCCTAATCAAATGTTATGTCAGCAGAGAGGGCTGTCCTGGCAACCCTGCAATGCCCCTCTTACTCAGTGCTCCTATCGCCTATTGAACTGCTCTATTGCATTTTTTTTTAATCATTACTGTGTCTGCTTTGGTCACTAATGAACACTCAATTCCTAGAACCCTGGATCTGGCACAAAGCAGGCACTCAGTAAACATTTACTGAATGACAGAACAGATGAGGGCATGACGGAACAAAAGAATGCAAAAAATATCATCCTGGGGAGAGAACAAGTTTTAAGAAATGTTTTCAGTTCATAATAAGAAAGCAATCATTTAAAAAATATTTTCTGCAAGCTTGTCATTAAAATACAGTAATAGTCATAGAAGGGGCTGAAATAAAGCTTTCTGTTTAGAAGAAAATTCCACTTAGCTAGGAAAACTAGAAGAAATGTGAGTCCAGAGGATAATTTTATTTGAAAGGCAGGTACTTGAAAATAAGTCTTACAACGGAATTGTTTCGTCAAGCACACTGCATGCTTGACAAAGCAGTTTCATTAGTGTGATTTATATAATAATGGGTTTGAGCATGTCAAGATACACACATATTAAACATAACAACTACACAAACACGTACTCATGTATCCTTCTTGTCTAGTTCTGAGAAATAGGTAAGTCCCAATCTGGTTGATAATCACATTGATATTTATGGGAATTGCTGTGTTAAGTTCCATGAGGTTTTCCCTGCCAAAGGATCAATTTAATGTTCTGCCCTAAGGAGCATCAATCGTCTGAATAATTTCCTCCTTATGGATTCAGTCAACGTGAGACACCATTTTCAGATATTCCTGGCTGAGTTCCAACCCAATATTCACAAATTCATTGACTTGGTTGGGGCAATGAGGAATGAGGTTGAGGTAGGACTGGGGGAGGGATGGACACAGAGGCCAAAGTGAAAAAGCTGAAGTACTACTTCCATTTGTTATGCAGACATAGAAATAAAATATAACTCCAGCTCCATTTCAGAAATTGCACACTTCCCTATTGCTTATTTTCCATTTTACCTTTTGGAAGATGACACTCTGCTAGCTTTGTGATATTATTATGCATAGATATTTGTCTATTCATTTATAAATATGTATGTGGGTGTGTATATATATATATACATATATATACACATACATACATACATATATATATACACATATATATATACACATACATACATACATATATATATATATAATTCACTCAACCCCAAGATATTGTTCCATTCTTTTATACCAGATCTTTGGGCATCTTCTTGGGCAGAAATCCAAAAATGCTCTTTTGGAATTCTTTTATTTAGTTTGGGCAACCTAAAAGATAAATGTCATAAAAGTCAAAAGGAAAAAATATTCACCTCTATTCAAGACATCATGCCCAACCAGCTACCTGAGTTAAATGATTTGTACTCTCTCATTAAGATTTCTATTTATTAAAAGACTTAAAACTTGTTTTCAAGATTTTAATCCACGTCTTTGGCACATAGCCCTGTGGTGGACTCCTGACCTTACCCAAGTAATGGAGGAGCTACATACACAATTTTTATCTGATAGAACTTGAAGTTGGCTTTCTTCTCTCTCAAATACAGTCCACATCTTCCAAGAAAAAGAGCCTCAGAAGAAAAAGAAGGCAAAATATGCGTCCAGCACTTCAGATAATCTTGCTCTATATTCCTGGGAGATTTATATTCTGTAGTTTGAAAGCGGCCAGTAGCTTTCATTCATTAATTCACTCACTCACTCACCCTTCATTCATCAAGCCTTTTTGTAAGTCCCTACAAATTATATGGGAGTGTACTAGGTGCTGAAACAGTACAATCATCAGGAATGAGTCCCTAGCTTATTTTCACCAATGTCCTCTCACCCTGGGAGGCACAGTCTCTTGTTTTTGTCATGTACAGAAACCCAGTGTTTCATATTCACCTAGCCAATGTGTCAGAGAGGAGTAATCAGCGAACTTCGGGAAGCAGACATTTCTTCAGGCTTATTTTGCAAGTGGATGCATAATAATCACTTGAGGAGGATGCTGACTTTATTTTCTAGGCTATGTCAGGATGTCTACAGAGGATGATCAGTGAATATATTCAAAGATCCTTGATGGACTAATTTCATTATACTGCACTGGACCCAGGAAATTGTGCTTCTCAAAAGGGTCAGATCAGATGTACTATGGCATCTGATGTTTTCTTTACCTTCCGCCATGAATAATTTATCCAAAACCATTCTCAAATTCTGAACAACACAAATAGAGAATGAATTATTAACACAAGCTTCCTCAACCTCATCATCTTCTCTTCCTTTTTGACTTTATCTTTCTCTTCCCTCTTGTCACGACTCAGTAGGAAAGTCTCTATTCTGGGCTCTTCTGTCAAACAGCTGTGCACTCGAAGTATTTGTGTCTTGTTTCTTTATCTGTAAAGGGAAGGATTGGATTAAATGATTTTATGGTCTGTCAGCTCTCACAATTTTTCTTTTTTTAATATCAAGATTTAGGAGTACGAGCGACTTTTCCCTCCAATGCCATTCAACTGCTTCTCTGAATGAGGATTTGAGAAATCTTCATCTAGCATCAGGTGGAGATCAATGCTTAGAACAGCTACTCAGGAGGCTGAGGCAGGAGAATGGTGTGAACCCGGGAGAGGCGGAGCTTGCAGTGAGCTGAGATGCTACCACTGCACTCCAGCCTGGGTGACAGAGCAAGACTCCGTCTCAAAAAAAAAAAAAAAAAAAAAAATTTTGCCCAGGCGATGTTGCTGGGGAGTAGCTCAAGCAACCCCCAGAAGAATCATATCGGGGTCTCCAGTGGTGGGGCCCAGGCACCAAGTGCTTCCATCCTGCAGCCACGGTTGGGATGGAGAGACCAATCGTGCTTCTCTCCTGCACTTAGAGAGGCACTTCTCTCTGCCTCTCACTGAAGAGTTCTTTTCCCTCACCAACACCAGCATCATCGTGTTCCAGGATATTTTGTTTCTTGTTTATTTTCCCCCCACAGGGAAAGTCAAGCCAGATTCCACTGAAAGTGTAACTTTTGAAGTGAGCAAAGGAAGAAAAATATTAATTGATTTTGAAATAAATTCTGCTTTGGAATTGAAAAAGATTCTTAGGAGCCAAAAAAGAATATTAGCAATACTTTTTAATTGACATCTATAAAGACCCAGTAAATAAACCCCAAACAATATCAACTGGTGAAAAAAAAGCCTACAAATTAATAGTTTAAAAGTTGTATCAGCCATTCGTACGTTTTATCAATCTTTTTAAAGTATTTCATTAGATCCTTCATGGAAAGACAAATTATGCCTTCTTGTCATGAAGTTTCTCCAATCCAGGATTAAAAAGTCTAATTTCAAATTTGCCACTAGAAAACATCCCACTGCATTGTGAAGATATACTAAGAATGAGTGTAAGCCATCCAGTCACACATTACCAAAAAGAAAACAAATCAGTATCCAAATATGCATATTTAAGAGCAATCAATACACAGCCATTGATATCACATCTGTCAGCAACCAACTATCCACCTTCAGAGAACCAGGACTTTCATCACCAAAATCAGGAAAGTTCTGGACAAACCAAGATAAATTGTCCATCCATTTCATGAGCTTCTCCTTCCCTGTTCTTGAGAAAAGGGAAAAAAAAACAAAAACTGGAATCTCACCTTCGGTTTGTTCCCTGGCTTTCTCCCTAGTTGATGTTAGAGGCTGACTTGTGCAATTGCCGGCAACTGCTGATTGCTGACACATAGCACTATCCAACACATTTGGGATGTTTGTGAGGTGTGGCTGATGTCATGGTAAGCAGAACAATATGTTGGTGGTTCTTCAACATTAACTTAAAGATTTTAATACAAAGCCTCCAAGACGCAGTTTCAGATGGCCTCTCTGTAGGGCTGGTGTTCGTTCTTTGCTCTCTTGAATCCCTGAAGACAAGAAACGTGAAGAGGAGATGGCTTTGATCATCCACTGGCCTGCACTGCAGCCATGTCCTTTTCTGCAAGCAGTCTCTTCGTCTCTTACTTCAGGGTGATTGGCAGCTATTTCCCATGCTTTTAGGAATGTATAACCCTTCTCAGTGCTTGTCCTCCCTTGACATTATCTCCATCCAGATCTATCATGATCCGTGTTGCCTGGAGCTGGAGATGCTGAGAAAAACACATTTCACAGAGCATAAAAGGCTCAGAAGTATGGTCAGTGCCTAAGCCCTGCTGGAAGTCTTCCAAGAGCCAAAAGCATTCTATTCATAGTCAGCCTCCATGATTCCCAAAACTTACAGGTGTGGAGATCTGTAAGGCGTGCCTTTAATCCTGTGTCCAGTGAAGGAACACAAAGGGAAAAGGCTGCTTTATCAGCTCACACTGAAGCATTTCAGCAAGCTTTCACTTACTCCCGTGATGTTAGCATTACTCAAAAATGTTTAGAATTAAGTGCACGTTTTGGGGCAGTCATTAAAACGAATCATTCGGGGCCCAGCAGGAAACAAATGGCATACTCAAACCAGTGCATTGGAAGAGCTTAGCAAAGGGTCCGTTCACAAGGATATGGGTAGAGTTTATGGAAAGCAACAATGGACAAAGTTATATCACTCTAAGACCTAAAATGGGAAAGGGGAAGAAACAGTTATGAGATTCCTGACAGGAAGTGATGAGGGCCACCTGCCAGGAATGGTGACCTTCAGTAGGGGGATACAGCAGACCTGTGGTAACCTGGCAGACAGAGAGAGAGCTTAAGGAATGAATGCCTTCCTTCTCTTCCCACCCTTCAGTCTCCTAGCAATGCCTGCACTCTCGTTGGTCAAAGCAACCCAGAAGCCAGAGGACAAGAGACCCATTGATCAGACCATGTAGATCACCTTCTGAAATGCAGAGAGGGGTAGAGTGGTCCTGGAAGGCAAGGAGATCTGCACTGTTACTCTTATCCCTGTTATCACAATTTCTGGGCACAGTGGAGAATTGCAAGATGGAGTGTAAGAGTCAATCTAGTCCAATCCCTTTAACTAAAATGTAAGCTCAAGGAGGGCAAGAATTTTTGTCTAGCTTTGTTCATTGCTATTAGGATAATGCCGTACACATAATAGGTGCTCAATAAATGTTAGTGGAATGAATGGTTACGATCACACCACAAGTACCAACTGTGAGTAAAGCCCAAATTTCCCAACTTTCAATCCTGCACTTCTTCCTTTATTTCTTTTGTGACCATAGCATAGATTTTGAGCAGATTTCCCACAATTGTGGAAGGATTTGTGTGGATCTGTTCATACCGTTTGCCCCAATTTTCTTTGAGACAGTGATAGGCCGCTCTTATTTTTATAATTTATTCTTTCTCAACCTTCTTGTCCAATGGCCTCTGTGCAACAAACTCCCAGATATTTCTCCCTAGCTCTTACATTTCTTGAGAGCATCAGCACCTGAATTTATTTTCCAGTGCAAACGTCCTCACCCCTGATTACACATTGCAATCACTGTAGCTTTTATAAAATACCGGTACCCTGGCTCCACCCCAGAACTACTGATTTAGTAGGTCAGAGTGGGGCCTAGTCGTCCACATTTTTTAACAATTTAGGAAATTCCAATGTGTCCCAGAGTTAAGAAACACTGCTTTAGTCTCCTCAACTCTGCACATCTAAAATGGAACACACAATTCAGGGTTTTTTTTTTTCCTGATTTTCCTGTCTCTGTTATAAATTCACTATTTCCCAGGAGCCCATAACCAAAACCTTGGAGTTTTCTTTGCCTTCTTCTCCCACCTTCCTTTAGGCAATTGTTTACCAAGTCATGAAGCTTTAACCTCACATGATTTGTCCAATTATTTCCCCAACTTCCATCTCCACCGTTGGCCCTAAAGTTGGATCAGTGGCAGCACAGAATGGATGTCTCTCATCCTCTAGAAGTGCCCAGCCTCCAGCCTGTGCATATGGAGATTCCAAAGGGGTGTGGCCAGTGTCCACTCCACCCCCATTCACAGTTAAACAACATTTAGTCCATCATCAGCAACCTTGCAAGCAGATATTATCATCCCCATTTTATTTAAAAGGTTTCAGTCTGAAATGTTGTAAAATCATGACAGTTATATTACCAAGATGATAGAATCATGGGCAATTTTTTTTCTTTTATCTTTTCTCCTTATTTAGGTTAAACGATGGTTCATCATAGACAAAGAATAAACTCAGTAGGAAACTCAAGGACTTATCCCACCCATCACATAATAGTAGATCAAATATCAAGACCTAGGAGGAAAAATTTTTAATGACATCTCCCAGACTTCGAATATAAAACCCCAGGAATATTGTCAACCATAGCTTCTAAGCTGTCACCTTTGCCAAGAAAGCAATCAACTTATTAAGGTCAGGAGATCTTTCCAGATATCTGCCTTTACAGTGACAGACAAGGTCGTACATGACTTGTCTCCACCAATCCCTTCACCTTCACACCCTCCTGTTTCCCACCCCAGCCACATGGGCTTCTTGCTGTTTTTCCTAATATTCCTCACCTCCTCTGAGTAAGGGTGTTTGCCCTAGCAGCTACCTCTACTTGGTGGACTCTTCCCCGAAGCAGCCTCAAATTTCTGACCTCCTCAGTCCTGGCTCCAATGACCCCCTCTCAATGATACCTTCCCTGATGGCCCTATCTGAAACTTAAACTATCCCCTACTCCTCGATCCTTTCCTTTCATTTATCTCTAGAGCACTTCTCACCATCTAATGTCAACAAAATCACAGCAAACCCTTCTGGAAGGCTCGCTGCATGCTGGACCTGTTCTAAGAGCTTTGCATGCACTATTTCATTTAACCCTCACAGCAGCATGGCAGAGTGAGTCACCTGTTGATCCCATTTCACAGATGAGGAAACTGAGCCACAGAGAAATTAAGTAGCTTGCCCAAGATTACAAAATGGCCAAGCAGCGGAGCCAGGACTGAAACACCAGGAGGTCGGCCTGGAGAGTGCACAGTCCTACCCACTATGCTTTCCTTATGTAACATATCCATTTTGTTTATTTTGAGTCTCCCCCACTATACAGTAAGCTCTGTGAGGGTATGAATTTGGGCTTTTGGGTTTTTTTGTTTGTTTTGTGTGTGTGTGTGTTTTTGTTGTCTTTTTTTTTTTTTTTTTTTTTTTCTTTGAGACAGGGTATCACCCTGTTACCCAGGCTGGAGTGCAGTGGCACCATCTTGGCTCACTGCAAACTCCACCTCCCAGGTTCAAACGATTCTCGTGCCTCAGCTTCCTGAGTAGCTGGGATTACAGGTGCATGCCACCATGCCCAGCTAATTCTTTTGTGTATTTTAGTAGAGACAGGGTATCACCATGGTGGCCAGGCTGGTCTCAAATTCCTGACCTCAGGTATCTGCCCGCCTTGGCCTCCCAAAGTGCTGGGATTACAGGTGTGAGCCACCGTGCCTGGCCATGGCTTTTTTTTTTTAATTGCTATATCCCCAATGCTCAGCACAGTGCCTGACCCACAGTCAATGTCTAATACATTTGTCTAATTAATTAGTTTATTAGTTAATTGATACATCCCTATTACCCACTTCAGCCACTGGTAAATTTCTGCGTACGTGTTAAGTGCCTAGTAAATATTTTTTAACATGAAGTAATTCCCTAAGGAGCCTTTTTCTCCCCATACTTTCCCATCCCCTGCTCTGGGAGGAAGCATAGGAGAAGATGTTAGGGTGGAACTCTTTCCACCTGACTCTTGGCCAAGGCCCCAAAGGCCAAGAACACAACAGTAAGTGCCAAGGGCCCCTTATTCCCAAACCAAGTGCTTGGTCCGTGATGGAGGATAAGCAAATGAGGCTGAGAGTCTTTCCCAAAGCCAGATGAGCACGGGAAGCTCACCAAGACAGGCGGCTTCTACCCTGACGTCTCTCAGATTCCCATCAGCTCCAGAAGCCAAACCTGATAGCAAGGGTGATTCTGAGAGCTGCGTGTCAGCTTTCATCTCTTTCTCTGGGCCAGGCCTGAAATACAAGCAAAAGCCACATCTCAGTACTTAGTCTCAAAGGTGTGTAGCCATCCTAGCCTGGGAACTGGGAAACCTGGGTGAATGGGAATCACCTTCCCCGGCTGTCAGCATGTGCGCGTGTGCACACACACACTCACACACACACACACCAGCCTCATACTCTGCACCTCCAAGTATCCTTTTCTTTAACCTCATTGGCCAGAAAGCCATTTGAGCTCAATTTTGGGGACCCCACAGTCTCTATGAAACCTGTGCTCTCCAATCATTGCCCCCAGGACAATACCTGACATAAAATGAACCTGAAGCTCCATGTTAGTGAATCCACAAGGACATGCAACCTGCTTTGAAATATACTTTAATTCACATTCACCCTGTCCATCCATGCCCAGTCTCAACCCAGTTTGCCAGGATTGAACCTCCCCAATGAAGACAAGAATCATAACGAAGATCAAGAATCACTTTACTGCAATGCCTGCTTCCCTTTGGAATTAAGCAAGGCCAAAACACCAAATCAGAATGCCTCCAGCCTCCTTATTAATGTGTTTTGTTAGCAACAACTGCTTCAACCATGTCTCATCTAACCTTTGCAGAAGAGCTCAGGTTGAATGACCAGGCAGCCTGCCCTTCCCCAGTGCAACTCTCTGGATACAGTCTCCATCTCTGGGCAGCTGCTGACCCACCTCACCATCTATCAAGATGGCCCTCAGCCCATGGGGGGAAAAAATGAGCCTGTAATTTATTGCACCCAGCAAAGGCACCCAGGAAGATGGGGATTTGCTAGATCAGTGGCATTGCAGTTTCACATTCCACCCCTCTTGCCGGAAGCTCTCCCTGATGGCACCTATTGACAACTGTACTTGTGGAAGAACCTGGGCATCCCATAGCACAAGAAGGGAGTATCCGCCAGCAAGGGAGTTTCATATGACAATCAGTCCTGACAACAGCCTGTGCAGCTCCTCCTGAGCCTGATGAAGATTTGGAAAGCTCAACTCTGTTTGTGTAGTCCTTCCCTGCTGTTACAGTCACCTGGGAAGAATTTGCCAGTAAGGGAAGAATTGGAGCAAGCTGACCTGGTTGTCTCCTTGCTAGCTCTGGCAGCACATCTGAATAATGGAAATAATTGGAAGACAGTGTCAGCTACAGGATTGTGTGGTTACTTTAATTGCCAATTTGCTTCCTGTATAACTGCTCAAGTGTGGGGAAAATCAGTGTATGGAAATGACACTGCCCCAGACACCTAATTAGCCACATTCCTATCAACTTGGTTTCTGTCTTCGGGCAGAATGTTTGCCATTTGGTGGAGGGAGAGGGCTTCAAGGTAAGATAGGGAAATAGGGATAAAGAAAGAATAAATAATTCAACAGACCAATTTGCAATAAAATAAGGATGATGATGAGCTTGTCCCTGTGCACCATTTAATAAGAAAAGAGAGGAATGTACATTTTCTGGGATACTTTGGACTTCAGTAAAACTCCCATGATGGTTACTACAACCCTATTAAACTAAGCAGATAGCATTTAGAACACTGAATAGAAACTTACTCTTTCTCACAGTTTGAAAGGAGGCAAGGAGCCTCAATGTTATTCTTTAAAAAATACACAGTGCCAATTGGTAGGTGCTGGAAATGGAGCCTAGTAATGGAGCCACTCCAGGCATATATACTCCTTTGTGAGAGGAAAGTGCAGTGAACCTGATTTAGCAAATTTATCATCCCACCCAAGAGCCCATGGGAGCAGTCCTTCTGGAAGACCAGTAAGGTCAATAGCACAAGACCAGCCCCACGATGGGTCCTTGGCATTGCTTTATTCTGAGGCCCTACAAAAGATAACCCATACCTATCAATTATCTGCGAATTTCCACCTCCATCTCATAAGTGAATTATTTTTTTAAAAGAGTGGCAGAAATAACTCCCCATGACCTCCTTTTCAAATACTGGTGGGTCAGTGGAATTGGCATCTGTACAGAGGGCCCATATTATTATTAGGGGAACAAGGCAGCAGGGAAAGATCCGATTCAACGCTTGCATT
Organism: Homo sapiens; assembly: GCF_000001405.40. NCBI lineage: Eukaryota > Metazoa > Chordata > Mammalia > Primates > Hominidae > Homo > Homo sapiens. The sequence goes on from NC_000005.10 coordinate 16,375,869, forward strand.
ATCCAGACCGCTGTACTTTAGGGCACTCTTGATCCTGCAGCTATTTTCTACATCCTTTTCCTGTTATGTGCTTTCAAGATACTAATTTATTTATTCGTGCTTCAGTGAGACTTAAGTTTATGATGGTCAATAAGCTGACACTGCTGTTAAATGATGCAAGCTCTCTGCTGGGGAGCATTGCCAGGTTGGAGGGAGAGGGTGCTTCTCTCACAGAATTCTTTTCCCATTCTCTGGATGAGTCTCTAGTCACAAGCTTAATTGTGTATAGCACTGACCACTGTCCACAGTTTGTTGAGTTGAGACCACGCAATTTACTTTCTTTTGAGTTTCTGAGAAATCTGATGAAACCCTAGACATTGAAGCCACTAAACTTATTTCCATTCATTAATAGGCAAGGAAATCATTTATTCTTTTCACTGAACTTCTCTACACAAAATGAAATACTCAGAAAATAGGCATAAATGTAGATCACGAAATAACATTGGCTTTCAACTTTAGTTCACCTGCTTGAAAACATGTTCATATTCAAACATAAATGAGGCATTATTGGAATATCATGTCATGGTGTCTTTCTCTCCTTAAGAGAAATGTGCTCTGTATCATTGGCAGGCTTTCTACATGGATACATTTGTGATAAGACTGTGATTTGGGGGTTGGGTTTTTTGGGGGTTTTTTTTATTGTTGTTGTTTTGCTTTTTGAGACAGGGTCTCACTCTGTCACCCAGGCTGGAGTGCAGTGGCGCGATCTTGGCTCACTGCAACCTCTGCCTCCTGGACTCAAGCAAATCTCCTGCCTCAGCCTCCCAAGTAGCTGGGATTACAGATGCCTGCCACCACACCTGGTTAATTTTTGTATTTTAGTAGAGACAGGGGTTTCACCATTTTGGCCAGGCTGGTATTTGAACTCCTGACCTCTGGTGATCCGCCTGCCTTGGCCTCCCAAGGTGCGGGGATTACAAGCATGAGCCACCGCTCCCAGCAACTGTGATCTTAAAGATCTTAAATGCCAAAAGGAATATCCTGATGGGAAGGAAATGGCTCCACAAAGCTAGGAAATGGCTTGTTTCCAAACCACCTGCTCCATACTGCCGTTTCATTCACAGCCAAATTCTTCAACCTAACTTGGGTGTCTCTATGGGACCAAACTTCTCCAAAGGAACCTCCTCCAATAGCCTTCTTTATTCTGACCACTTTCAATGTGTTGCTTTCTTGCCATAGGCCTTAAATAACCTTGCTTCCAAACATTTTTCCCATCCTCTTCTAATTTTGTCTTATCATTAAGCTCCCAGCTTCTAGGAGAACGTCTCAGATGAGCTCTTCTACACTGTCCCTCCAGCATTCTCTGCCCAAGCCTGGCATGTGCTTTGCACCACTTTGCTTACAGATACGGTACTTTGGCTTACTCTTGTGTCTGTGCTATGCACGCACTTGGGGATGTGGTGTGTGTGTGTGTGTGTGTGTGTGTCTTAATCACTTTGGGCTGCTATAATAAATTACCATAGACTAGGTGGCTTATAGGCAACAGAAATTTACTTCTCACGTTTCTGGAGTTTGCAAGGCCTAGATGAAGTCCCCAGCAGATTCCATGTCCGGTGAGGACTTGCTTCCTTGTTCACAGATGGCATCTTCTCGCTGTGTCTCACACAATGGAAGGAGCAGGCAGCTCTCTGTGACCTCTTTATGCTGGCACTAAGTCCACTCATAAAGGTTCTGCCCTCATGAACTAAGTACCTCCCAAAGACCCCAACTCCTAATATTCTCACTTGGGGGGTTAGGATTTCAGCATATGAATGGGGGGCATAAACATTCATATTAGAGCTGTGTGTGTGTGTGTGTGTGTGTGTGTGTGTGCGTGTGTGTGTGTGTGATGTTTCTCCAACTAGCTCTATAGATTCTGGAATTCTGTTATTTATATTTTACATTTCTGCTTGCCCAGATCCTCACAGTTGGTAGATGATCAAAACAACATGCTCATCAAATGAACCAAGAGAAGGAAAAGCCCTTCTTGAAATTTAAAAATTCAACCCCCGAGCCATCCTTCTCATGAAATCATCCACAATATCCCCCACTCACCACACCAACCCATGTTAGAATTAAATAAATGTTCCTTTGTCTGGGCTCTTAGAGAGCTTGGCGTTTTCCTTTTAGCACTTGAGCACATACTCTGGCTTGTCATATATCTGCTTGCATGTGTTTTTGTCCCCTCTGGGCTGTGACTGCACTGAGATCAGGAATCGTATTTACTAAGGGTCTACTGTGTGCATGATAGCAGCTTGACACGCGAATCTCTAATCCATATAATGGCCATTCTGTGTCGATATTAAAATCTCCATTTTAAAGATGAGAAAACTGTGGCTTATAGAGATGGAAGTAATACACAGTGGGTAAGAAGCTGAGCTATGATGTTGTTCTCAAGGTCATGCTTCTGCTCCTCCCCTGTGTTTTCCTGTAGGAGAGGGGTGCCGAATTCTCGTTCCCTAAGACTCCAGGCTTCTCCCTGTCCCCTTACTCCCTCCTCCTCAGAAAGCTGAAAAGCTGTCTCAGTGTGATGGTTTTGTCTGGAAGGAGAACCTGGAGGCACTTTCTTCTTCTCTTCCTTTCTCTTCCATTTTTCTCTGCTTCTAATCACTGTAAGTCTTTTGGAAGAAGCTTCGGTTCCTGTAGCCAAAGGCATGGGGGATTGTAGTTTGGGAGATCTAAACTCAAACTCACTAATACCTAGCACGGTATGTCAGCAATCTTAGAAAAGAGACCAGAAGTAAAATTTCAGAAGAATAAAATGTATGTAGAGCGTTTGAGCCAGCAAAGTGGATTTGAGCCTTGGATCTTAGTGTATGAGCAGGTGTTTTAACTTTGGAAGGTTTAGAGGATCATACACAATGGTTAATACAACTGTGAAATTGGATTTTAACCACTACAGCCCGGGCAAATGCTTTAAGCCTTGAGCTATGTACTACTTGACCTTGGTAAGTGGCTGTGGCATATGCCTTTGTTCACAGGCCATTGACAGCTTACAGAGAGGCAGGGTTGCTTGCATAGTGCCAAAAGCTGATAAGGTGTCCCAGCCTCATCAAAAGGGCAAGGTAGTTCAAGGATTAGCGAAGGCACAGGGGACCACACAGCCACCAAAAAGCTAAGCTTAGTTCACACAGGTGTCCTCCATAGATGGTGTCTCTTGGAGCTTGTGAGCCAATCCTGGCCCTACAGGCTCAACACAGGTGTGGGCCGTTAGCATGTGAAGGTGGCCTCTGCATACAGGTGCTTCAAGGGGCCCTTGACCTACACAGGTGCAAGATTTCCTAAGCAGACACAGGTAAAGCAATGATTCATCTATAGAGAAAAGAGAACTGAGACATTAGGGTTCGGAACCTATTTGCTGTTTTTAAATTACAGTGCTAGAGAATTGCATTTGCACTGCAGAGCACTAAGTAAGGTTCTAGATTTAAATTGTTAGTGCCAAGCATAAGAAGGCAAAGCAAATGGAAAATGCGAATTAGGAGGTGATGAATATGGTGGATGGCAAAAATAGAAAGATCAATTACTGGAGATGGGGTGACCATCATGGCAAATTTCTAGTTTGCAACGAGGTATGCTAGTATGATAGTGGAGGTGTACATGTGTGGATTTTCCTCCCAGACATGGTACCTGCCCTTGCTTGGAGACTGTTTTTCCCCATTATGTTTTTCAAAGCTCATGAATTCATGACAACTAGCATCATCTGGAGAAGACAGTAGCTGGGCAGATTTCCCTAGCTATCTTATCCCTGACTCATCTGATTCTCTGCTGTTTTCTGTGACAAACTACTTTGCTGGCTTCTAGAAACCTAATTTTGCTGGAAATAGCTGCCCCTGGAGTTAGGAATGGGCTGCTTTGCTCAATTTGGTGGATGTGGGGTCAGGGTTCTGATATATGTTCTATTAACTCTTTAAATTATTTTATAAGAATTTTTTTTTAATCTTAAGGAAACCAGAAAATAACAAGTGTTGGTATGGATGTGGAAAAATTGGGTGGCGAGTTGGGGGAAAGAAAGGCATTGAAGAACTTTTGACTGAACTAATATCACTTCTGAGACCTAAAAAGAACTATGCCCATTCCAGATAGAAACAAACTAGGCATCTCCCTAGACTACAGTCCTCAAAGTATGGCTCATCGGCCATTAACGGTTCTCCGGACATTTTCAGGGGTTCTGCCATGTCAAAACGATTTTCAAAATAAAAGTAAGATGGTATTTGTGAGTCTGTTTTTTCCATTTATTGACATTTGCACTGGTGGCACAAAAGCATGGGGAGGTAAAGAGCTTGCCCTTAGCATATGTCAAGACACAGCACTGATGGGCTTCAGGACATGCTACTCCAAAATATGGTACCTCGACATTTGAGAAAACAGCAGAAACAGCAGAGGAAGGTCCCCTTAAAGCAAGCCATAAAACGTAGAAAGAATTCTCTGACCTTCCTCTGGACCAGGTCATAAGACCCTCATGTGAGAGATGCCCACCCTATACCCAGAGGAAAGAGATGTCCTTGTCTCTGCAGACAGAAACACAAAGAACAATGTAGACAAACAGGACTTGCTAAGTTTCCCCCAACTTATTACCATTAAACCATACCCCTTTTGTCCAAGCATACTTTTCCACAAGTATTCACTTCTTCACCAAACTTAGCATAAAAAGATATAGGTTCCCCTATTCCTTTGTTTCTTCATTTCCTTATGAAGGCTCCTATGTCACGTAAAACTAATTAAGTCAATCTATCATTTTTTATAGGAACCCTGCCATGAACTTTGCTACAGGTGAGGAAAAGACACTACCTTCTCTCTTCTCTCCACTATGACACCCAAGTATACTAGCAGTCATTGAATTATTCACCATCAAGCACTCACACACAAAAAAAATTAAGTCACTTTCACTTAAGACTGTCCTTAATGAAACTGTAAAAAAATATTAGTTTTATTAAATCTTATCGATTGAGGACATGTCCTTTTAATAGTTCATGTGACAAAGTGGGAAGTTGCATAGATTACATTTGCAACATACCAAAGTATGAAGGTTGTTTCAAGGGCAAGCACTGTGCAGTTGTTTAGATTAAGAGAGAACTAGGCTTTTTCTTTTCTTTTTTTAAATGAGCATTTCTTTTATCTTAATGGAACTACTGTGATTATTCAAACCTGGGTATTTGACAACTATTTGCTCAAAAATAAACAAGGAAAGCCTGTCACTTCAAGGAGAATAGCTGACAATAATTGTCACTAATAATAAAATTCAAGCTTTCAAGTGAAAATCAGGATTTTAAAAAACATGTGTCCAGCACTGTGAGCTTGACAGCTTCTTAATACCGAAAGACTTTTCTGATGAGGTGCATGGAAATATTACCAAATATGATTTTTTGGTATTGTATAATGAAACGTGTCAAGATTTGGGAGATCTGCCTAACTCAGTGAACCAATATTTTCCATATGACCAACATATGATGTTAACAAAATTATGCATGGATAAGGGATTCTTTCAAAATGCAAGATGCTATCATGGATTTTAATACAGCAACGTGTGAAAACTTCACTGACCTGGTTTCAGATTCAACGCATTGCACTAACTTTTCAGAAACTACCACTTGTCAATCATCATCATAATATCAAATAAGAAAATCCACCATTATCTGAAACTGGTATAAAAATATGCCTGCCTTTTCCAACTGCATGTCTGTGTGAGGCTGAATTTTCTTCAGATTATTCAACCAAAAAACATATTGCAACAGATTGAAGGCAAGAGCAGAATCCAGCTGCCTTCTATTAAACCAAACATGAGAAGGATTCGCCAACATGAAAAAAAAAAAGCTACACTTTTTCACTATATTTTTTAATTTATTTTTAATTGACAAATAATTTCATATATTTATGGGGTACAATGTGATGTGTTGATATATATCATATATATCAAATATAATATATATATGGTCTACCATGTATATGGTATAATAATTAAATATAACTAATTAACATATCTATCACCTCATATACCTAACATTTTTTGTGGTAAAAAAAATGAAGTCTCCTCTTTTAGCAGTTTTGAAATGTACAGTTTTGAATTATTATTAACTATAGTCATCATGCTTTGCGATGATTACTAAAATATTTCTCATGCATCACTGAAATTTTGCACAGTTTGACCAGTATCTTCTCATACCCCATTTCATAAATACATGCTATCTATGTTAAGTTGAAATGGGTTTATTTTGTTATATTTAAATGAATAAGTATTTTTAAATGCCTCAGTTTTAATTTATAATATAATAAATATTAATAAGTACTTTGGTGTTTTCAACAATTACTCAGAGTTTCAAGAAATCCTGAGATTAAAAAGTTGGAAAATTGCTGACATAGACAGTAAGAACCCTCTGGCTAAAACAGCCAGAATAATAAATTAAGCAATGAAGGTATGGCAATATCTTTGAATTTTTAACAGATAGGGAAATAGAATTTACTTCCAGATGTTAATTGCTGTGAATGTTTGAACTTTAATCTGCATAGGAATTTTAATCATTAAACTCTAATTTCTTGCTAGGAAATTTAAAATGGAAGAGGGTTTGGATTCAAATTTCAGATATCTACATTGTTATACTGTATTATTGTACTTTGTTGTTATGTTATCATTTAATTTCATCTCTGAATCTCTGAATTAAAAACACTAGAATGAGCTGAATTGTACAGTGTAGCTGATATTAATTTGAAATGGAAATGGAAGAAGGATTGCTTTTTCAGCCTTGGCTTTGATTTTACAGATTTCAGACTGGCCTTGGCTTTGATTTCACTAATTCACTTTTCTGGCTTATTCTAGAAACCTCTTGGAGCAAAATCTACTGCCCTGGAGATATCAGGGAGATGCCCAAAAGACCCTGGTTGGTATTGGGAGCAGCATCAGGAGCATGAGTGGATCTCTCCTGAGAGCCAGCTGACCCTTCCTGAGTAGGGAATGGCCATCCCTCTCATGGGCTCCAGGTCCAAATACTCCTTCTCCACTCCTGGAGTTTCCCTTCCTGAAGATGGAGTGCCCTTGGCACACCCTCTGCCTTCCATCACCCCGGCATTCGCTGTGCCTCAGAACAGGCCCTGTAATAATCGGTGGTGGTTTTGGAGTAAGGAGCTGTTCTGTTGTTGCTCCTGTTCCTTCTCCCGGGAGTGCCCAGACAACATGAGTTCTCTTCTATCCCAGCTCTCCATGAGTGATTGGTGTAAAAGTCTGCCTAATTCTCAAGTTCAGAATTAGGAAGTCAACTTACTTCAGATACAAGCCACATTCACCAAAATCATCTCATTACTAAAAGTAGTGATATACTGGCTTCCATATGTTATCTTACTTTTTGTCTTATCTCTCCGAGGATTGAAAAGCCAGGTTGGAAACCAGAAATTATTTATTGGGTTGCCTCAAATACTGTAAGAGACTGAACTTAGGTCCATTTGATTCCAGAGGCCATGCTCTTTCCACCTCATTACGCTGGTTCCACTTTGTGTTTTCCCATAGCATTAAAACCAATACCTTCACGGATAAGTATTTGTGAAATGCATGATGAATGAACACATAAATGAATGAATGAATGAATGAATGAACAATATCCCAGCACAGAATTGTCTCCTATTGTGTGGATTAGTATTCAAAATTAGGCAGAATATTTCTCTTTCATTTCAAGTGCTGACTAGCTTATAAAGTAAATGCTGCGATTTGTTAAAACTTAGTGTTTTTGTTTTTGTTTTTGTTTTTACATTAAGGAGGTGTATAGTCTTGAGAGGTAGGATAGCATAGTATGCTGAGACAGGATAAAAGTAACCATGATAGTTACATCACTTCACCCCAAATTCATTAACTTCACTTAAGTGAGAAACAAATCTGTGATGGAAAACTCTTAGGCATCCACAGACCATCTGAATCCTACATCTGTTTGCTGTTTGTGGCAGTGCGTGTTTATCCTTTGGCCACAATTCAAGGAAAATAAAGCTTCACCCCAGCCATTTCACAGATAATTGGCTCACTGCATGCATGTTTTTACACTAAAAATCATATTTAGTAATTACTTGCTATCTACAAAGATCTACTGATAAGATACACAGGAAAACTCTAAAGTATAATGTATGTTTCCTATATGAGTTATCTATTGTTACTTAACAAATTACCCCCAAACTTAATGGTTTAACATAACAATAACTATTTATTACCTTGCATAGTTTCTATGGAAGATAATAAATGGCTATTGTTATGTGATGTTATTTGCAGCTTACCTGGGATGGGGGAGTCTAATTTGGAATCTTTCCTGATGTTGTAGTCAAGATGGCACCTGGGGCTGCAGTCATCCAAAGGATCAACCAGGCTGGAGGATCTGCTTCCAAGATGGCTCACTCACATAACGGTAGCAAGAGGCCTCAGTTCCTTCCACGTGGACTTCTCCATGGGGCTGCTCAAATGTCCTCATAACATATCAGCTAGCTTTCCCTAGAGTGAATAATCCAAGACCAATGGAACCACAATGTTTTTTATGAACATTCTGGCTTTGGAAGTCACGTGGTTATTTTCACAATATCCTATTGGCTACATAGGTCATTCTATTTAATATAAGAGGGGACTACACAAAGAACGAATAACAGGGGTGGGGATCATTGGGAACTATTTGGATACTGGCTACCAGGGTTTTTATCACTTTCTCTAGTTTCATCATGAAGAAAAACTAGGCTCATGAAAAGCGAATAAGCAATTTTGTGGCCACAACACATGAGGTGTCCAATGACAAGGTCTGTCTTTTTTGTACTTGGTTGCTACATTACAGACACATTGAGAACATCCAAGGTTTGACGTTAAACTAAATTCCCAGGAATGATTAGTTCAAGAAGGTCCCATCTCAGAAAATTGAATCTTAGAGGAAGGGTAATAATTTATTCATTGAACAAAATTCATTGAGCTCTTAGTAAACACTTAGTAAATACAGACTAGCTCTGTAGACCCTTAGATAAAATGTGGAGCTCACGCTACAATGAGGAAATCAAACATGTGGATACATAATCAGAGTATAATATTGTAAGACACTGATATAGAAAGAAATGCTTCGTACATGGAAGTACTAAGGAGAGCTGCTAACTCAGCAGGACATGGGGAGTGTCAGAAAAGATTTCCTGGAAGGAGTGACACACAGTCTCAATCTCAAATGATAACTTAGAATTCGCCAAGCATTCAGGACAGCAGAAACAGCATGAGAAAAGTTATGAAGGTGAGAGGCAGCATGGAATGTGTAAGAGAATGAAGGTAGAGTGGCGAGGAAGAAAGTAGAGATTTGCAGAACATAGCATTGGAGAAGTAGGCAGGCCCACTCAGAGAGAACCAGGAGTTGGGTCTTTCAGATTATACACTATGGGAAATCTTTGACTTTTATTGCCAAGAAGAGTGGTATGGTCAGATGTCATTTGAGTTTTGTATAGAAAGAATTTGAGCAAAATAAGATTATAGACAGATAGATCAATTAGAAAACATTCGCTGAAGAAACAAATGGGGTAATGAGGACCAGAACTAGGGCAATAACAATAGGCAAGGAAATGAAAAGACATATTTGTTAATTAATAATGAATTCATCATCCAGAAAAAAAAAACAATGGGCAGATTTTCCAGTAGTAAGGTAAAGTACAGTAAGTAAAGTACGACAAAGAAAGAGGAAATTATTCTGGTGGTCTGTATTCCAAGCTTGGGAGATGGGATATTTCAAAGTTTGGTCATTTTCACTATAGAAGGTCCTGTTTGCTAGCCTATCAACCTTGGGAAAATGAGCCCTGTCATGACCACCTAGACTCTCAAGGGGCCACACAATAACTAGAAGAGGAAAGAGAAACTGACTGACAGTAAAAACCAAACCACAGAACATCTGTGGACTGCCATTGAGTTCTGACTCTTTTATTATAAATCAAGCATCGGGATTTTTCCTCTTACAACAGTGTCCCTGATTTCCCTATTTCACCTGTAGGAAAGCCAGCCTTATAAATGTACACAGGGAGACCTGGCATTCTTTCATGTAAACAGACGCCCTTACCACCTCCTGAGAGCATGGCATCTCTGCCTTCCAATTATTGTATTCTCCTATCAGAAAGTTCTATCTGATTCTTTTCCAAATCCACCTAGTAAATGTTGATCTCTTGTTTCTTCATTATATTTTCAATACTTTGTTTTATGAAAACATATCAAACATACTCCCTTTACATTCTGTTTCTTATCCTTTTAATGTCTACTGGCTTTGCAAGTCTACTTCTGTGCTTTGTTTTTGCTGCTGACTTTTGTTTATAATGGCTTGGTTTTGCCTAATTTTTGTAAGAAATTTTGAACCCACTCCCTCTGGGGATTTTTGTATGAGAAATTTCTGAGGCTATAGTTGAAATTGTATTCATCTAGGGAGTATTTACATTTGCTTCTGCCAACCTTCCAGAAGCACTACCAACACAAGACTACTGTAAATTAATTCTTCTACAACCAAACAGGTAGAGGGATTTTGGTCCCCAACCTGCGATTACAGGCCTGTGATTAGAAGTGGGAAATTTTTTTCATCCAATTTATTGAAAGCCAAGATTAAGACAGAAATATATCTCTGGTGTGTATCTCCAAGCTCTTTATCAGCAGGGCAAATTTTTTTCTATTTATCTACTTTAGGGGTGTTAGATTTACACAGGAACTCTGACTGGATGCCCCCTCTTTCCCTGTTGGGGCTCAGGCTTTGTCCCCTGTCCCTGTGTCTTTGTCCCATTAAAACCCAGAAAGCCATCTCCAGGTTTTACTAGATACCCCCAGGACAAACATTGGCTCCAGCACTGCTACGCTGCCCTTTTGGATTTGTATTTTCCTGAAGTTTCTAAAAGGATTTGGAGAAATTCCTTTACTTTCTCCTCACTCTACCTGCACTCTCCCTGTGAGAGGCTGATTTTTATGCAGGATTTTTAGGTATGCTGTACTGGAAAAGGTCTCTCTGTACATCTAATCTGCCACTTTGCAGGCATTGGAAGTTAGAGCTAATCTCGTATCATGCCACAAGAAAGACAGATCATTTACTTATGCCTTATGCTTGAAATTCAATCAATAAAGACAGTTGGAATAAAGGAGTTAAGAAGGCCATGTTGTCATTTTTCCCACATGTTCTACCAAAAAGGGACCTAAAGGAGAGCCAGAAGGCCCTTAGACCAGTCAATATTTGAGTGCTACTGAGAAGCAATAAAGTGTCAAAGGATGAGACCACTTCTCAGTGTCTTAAACAAACAAACAAAGCACAACAACAAAAACCCACAAAACTGAATTTATGCCTTCCTTAAGTGAGGAAGAGTTATGCTGGATGGGCGTGATCTCTTAGAAGAAGAGTAGGTAACTGATGGGTGGAGTGGAGGGTAGTGTAACCTGTAGGAGCGTAGTTACTCAGGTGAGACTGTTGTGGATGGGTTCACTGCTAGAAGGCTATTCATTGGAGGGAGTCCATTTCCCACTGTCTGATTTTCCAAAGCAAAAGGCTGATGCTGATTACTTGGCTTTCAGAAGCATATTTACTGAGGGGAGTTGTTGATGGATTAAATAGGTTTACAATGACTTCTCATGCTCCATTACTTTGAAATTGTCTTATTACAAATAAACAGGTTTAAAATCCATTTTGGTGCTTACCTGTTACTATGGCTACAGAATAATTAGTCTTTCCTAGGAGTATGGAAACTTTTTTGTTGGCAAAAGAAAATGTCATCAAGAAAAATATGCAATAATTTGTAGAATTTAATCTCAACAAAATCTCTGTATTTTTAGATAATGCTAAAATCTTCAAATTAGCATTAACCTACCACAGCCTCAATTAACCACATATGTGTATATATGTACCTATTCCTTCTATGAGAAAAAGGCAATGACAAGACAACACTGTGCCCTTAGTTGACTCAGCCTCTCACACCTTCAGTGGCAACAGCACTGTACAATTCAAATTAATACTCAGAATATTTACCTCATTCACAGATCATAAAGTCCTCAATCACAAAATAGGATTTCAGTCATTGTTACAAAGTCCACATAGTAAAGGATGAAAGGAGACATTCATCCTAGAACATTTTTAAACAAAGTATGAAATCAAAAATATTATGCTTAATGCTTAATGAATTAGAAAAAAAATGAACTAACCTAATTTCCTGACTATTTTGATCAATACTGATTACATAGAAATTAAAAATGCATTGAGATAACTAGTAAGAGATGCCAAAAGTACATATGCTGGCATTATATTTTATTCAAAATACATGACCGTGTAATGATTAAGAACACAGCCCCTGAGCTCACTGCCTGGAATCACAGGTTGGCTCTGCACGTGTCTCTGTATTCTCGTCTGCTATTTGGACTAAATCATGTCCCCCAAGATTTGTATGTTGAAGTCCTAACCTCCAGTACCTTAGAATGTAACTATTTGGATAAAGGGTGTTAACAAAGGTAAATTAAGTTTAAATGAGGTTTTTAGGGTGGTCCCTAGTTCAATATAACTACTGTCCTTGTATGAAGATGAGATTAGCACATAGACACACACAGATAAATGACCATGTGAGGACAAAGCAAGAAGGTGGCCAACTGCAAGCCAAGGAGAGAGGCCTCGGAAGAAATCAACTTTGCTGACACTTTGATCTTGGACTTCCAACCTCCAGAACCATGATAAAATTAATTTCTATTGTTTAAGGCAGCCCATCTATGGCGTTTTGCTATGGCATCCTTAGCAAACAAATACATCTGTTAAATGAGATGACATTAAATTCACATAGTAGTTGTGAGGTGTCTTAGTCCATTTTCTGTTGCTAAAAAGGAATACCTGAGTCTGGGTAATTTATATATATTTCTTTTTTTTTTTTTTTTTTTTGAGAAGGAGTCTCACTCTGTTGCCCAGGCTGGAATGCAGTGGTGCAATCTGGGCTCACTGCAAGCTCCACCTCCCAGGTTCACGCCATTCTCCTGCCTCAGCCTCCTGAGTAGCTGGGACTACAGGTACCCGCCACCAGTTGCAGCTAATTTTTTTGTATTTTTAGTAGAGATAGGGTTTCACCGTGTTAGCCAGGATGGTCTGGATCTCCTGACCTCGTGATCCACCCACCTCAGGCTCCCAAAGTGCTAGGATTACAGAAGTGAGCCACTGCACCCGGCCTATATTCAAAAAAAAAAAAAATCTTTATTTGACTTATGATTCTGATGGCTGAAAAGTTCAGGAAGATTGGGCATCTGCATCTGGTGAGGGCTTCATGGCAGAAGGCAAAGGGGAGCAGGGATGTGCAGAGATCACCTGGTGAGAGAAGAATCAAAGGGGAGAGGGGATGCCAGGCTCTTTTTAAAAACCAGCTCTTGCAATCATGAATGGATTGAGAGCTCACTCCTTCCCAAGGGAGGGCATTAATCTATTCATGAGTTGTCTGTCCATGACCCAAACACCTTCTGTTAGGCCCCACCTCCAACAGTGGGCATCAAATTTCAACCTGAGGTTTGGAGGGGCCAAACACTCAAACCATAACACGGATCAAAATAAATTAATAGGCCGGGCGCGGTGGCTCACGCCTGTAATCCCAGCACTTTGGGAGGCCGAGGTGGGTGGATCACGAGGTCAGGAGATCGAGACCATCCTGGCTAACAAGGTGAAACCCCGTCTCTACTAAAAATACAAAAAATTAGCCGGGTGCGGTGGCAGGCGCCTGTAGTCCCAGCTACTCAGGAGGCTGAGGCAGGAGAATGGCGTGAACCCGGGAAGCAGAGCTTGCAGTGAGCCGAGATTGCGCCACTGCAGTCCGCAGTCCGGCCTGGGCGACAGAGCGAGACTCCGTCTCAAAAAAAAAAAAAATTAATTAATTAATTAATTAATTAATAAATGCTAAGTAATAATAGTGACTAACATTTACTCACCACTTACTATACACCCTAGCACTAAAATCAAAGCCTGGGGCATGGCTGCTGCTCAATAATGCACTCACCAGGGATTTTTATTATTTCTTAAATTATTATTTGCCCAGTAAGAAAGGAGTGTAATTCCAATCAGAGGTTTGGATTTAATCTTAAATATTTACTATTAACAGCTTGCCTTACTTCCAAACTTGGGGAAGAATACCATCCTCCATGAGTGGCAGCCTTGTGCAGTTTTTCATCAGCACATGGATAAATTACAGCTTAAGGAGTGAAAATAATTTATTTCACCTCATCCACTATATCAGGTAAGAGCAGGGGAATATATGCTATTTTGAGTGTCAGACTGTAATTCACTGCATTAAATGAGAATATTGGTGTTGACCCATTCTTTTTCTCTTTAGAGGTCTTAACCTAACTCTGTAGTGCTGTCAAAAGAGACTTGCCATTTCAGTGAGAGGTGGAGACAGATGGAATGAAAGCATGGTTTAGAAAGAGCCAGAAAGGTAGCAAGGAGAGCAGCACATAAATTTGCCTGGATGGGGCAGGGAAGGAAGACAAGAAGAGGAATACATTGAGCACCTGATGGTAACTTCAGAAATTTAATGTGGATTATGGTACGATGACAGATGTATGTCATGTTTGGTGGGGTGTTTTTAGCACCAATATGTAAAAACAACTGAGAGGCAAATAGCCTTTAAGGTGATCCTAGAAAATCTGAACTATTCCTACAATAACAATGAAAGGGTCACTTGGTAAAGCGGTCTTGTAAGGAAATTCACAAGTAACTCTTCCTCTGGTTCTGTAGACAGGAAATGTGCAATGGGATTAAGAAATCCATGAAAGTCAACCTAAAACGAATGTGCTGAGCTCTGCTACACTCTAATCCTGAAGCAGAGACGAATTCTCATGGTACAGTCTAATTATCATGGTACAGTCTAATTACTGGGGAGAAAGGCAAGTTAGGATTTCAGAAGACTTCAAAAGTCCAGTTTCTGTCTTTCAGGGAAATGCAGTAACTAGAAATAGACCAACAAAATATAGGCTAGTAGCAGTTCAGTTAACTTTGCTTTAATGACTATTTAAGGATCACATATAATTAGAAAATATGAAGTGTTTATACTTAATGAATTATTTGAATTATTTTTAATTTTAGGAACTGAAACAGTTTTCATGTTGTTCCTTATCTTAGTCAAATGTTTTGTGATTAATATATGAGGATAAACTTCAGCCCAGCCTCTAGACCAATTATCATACATTCCATATTTATTGCATCAGGTAATTGAATTCTTGGGTATCCTTTGTCCCCGCTCCTAACCTCCCCTAAGAGGACTGCCCCATAAATTTACAACAAATCATCTTCCACAAATTGGACCAATTCCTAGATTGTGAATTATTTGATGTATTCTCTTAATGTATAGTTTAGCTTAACTCAATATGTTAATTCAGTAAGTGTGTGCCAAACTTTGATGACTTTTTCCCACAAAGGCCTAAGCTCCACAAAATTAAAAGACAAAAGTAAAAACAAAAACCTTTTCTCTCCTCTAAGTTAGTTAATGTGATATTAACTTGCCCTAAATAACATTTTCTATTATGAGGGATTTCAAGTATGTTGAGAGTCTACATTTTTTTTAATATTCTTAACTTCATCCTGTATCACAGAGTCAAGAGGAACAGGGAACCCGGAGTTTAACCTCTTAACTAAGAATATTCTGGATAGTACAGTTTGGTTTTGTATACGTACAATTACTAGCTGAGTGCTAATTGCAGATTTATGAATAGAATGACTAACAGGACAGGGCTTCTTTGCCAAACCATTAACTGAGTTTACAGTTGTCAAAGTAACTGTCATTGTGACCTGTACATAAAACCAAAATGATAAGGAAATCACTGAAAACAAAAATTCTTGAGCTTATAGTCACACAAAGAAAAAGTTTTATGATTTGCAGACTCCAATGATTACATTAGCTGATTCTAACTTGAAAATTCATCAAATCCGTTATTTTACTGAATTGATTGTTAATTTGTTTTAGAAAATGAGTAAGTTAGCCCTATATGCAGGGCTTGAATTACTTTTCTCTACATTGTCATTGCGTTCCAGGATAAGTAGGCATAGGCCTAGCATTCATTAGTGGTTACAATTTCTATTTGCATGCTCCCTGATCCATCTCTGACAATCCCATGTAAACCGCATTTAATCAATGAAGATTCATTATGTTGTAATCAGTAGTAATGTCATAAACTGCTATGAGACACTGCAACCAGCAATCTCAGGGTAGGAATGAAAGATGAAAATAGGGAGTAAAGGTGTCAGTTTCCAGACGGTGAGAGAGGCCTCCCTATTGTCTCTGCTCCATGACGGAAATTGTTATTACCCAGATGGATATTAATGAACAGCAGGAAAGTTGACTTGCATCACTACAATTAATGCATATGGTGACTTCAAGTGTTAATTTGTTATCAATGTAACTGCATGAAAGTTATCAACATAATTTTCTCTGACAAGTGATTCAGTCTAGGGGAAAAACTATGAAGCTTCTGTGGTTAGTTATCAGGCATCTGTAAACTGTTTTTTCCTTCTCCCACCCAATCTGCAGGTATTCCAGGCTGGCTTGAAAACACTAATGATATGCAAAGGCAAGGATGTGATTTACTGAGACACACCCTCTTGTATAAACACGGCAAGGTTCATTATCACTTCCAGAAAGTGTCTTTAATAGGGGTGACAACTAATGTTATAAATAGTGTTTTCTAAAGATCCAGAAACAAAATGAGCTGGGCTTGGGATTTGAAAACACACTGCAGACAGACCAGGGCGAATTAGCATGCACTGCGGAATTATCTCACCTTCCTAATGACGCTAACATTTATTTTTACTTAATCGCAGAAAATGACAATGGGGCAAGGAAGACAATAAGTATAAAGAATGGAATTTGCCAGAGAGAGAGAATCCAACATCCTGACCAATTTCAGCATCTCTTGGGAGACCTTTCTGTCAGCACTTAAAGGAAGGAAAAACAGAGGCACCATCTTTCCTCTGTGCTTTTGTCGATTTCTTTGCTTGCTGTTTGGGCCTCAGACTAACCCATGAGTCATTCTGCATAAAGGAGGATGAGGGTGGGAGGAGCGGAAATGGAAGCAGTTATCTCTTATCTATTTGCAAGGGCTTTATTTGAAAAAGGCTAAATATAATTGAAGCTAATATTATTAGCGTGCATCAACTCTCAGATTTTTTTAAAGATCCATTTGTTTGATACATTCATTTTCATAAAAGCTCTTGCATGAGTTTGATGCTTTTAACTTTCACTCTATTAACTGAAAGTGGTCAGGAAGGAAATGAATATTCCAGAGCAGCAATGGGTTCTTGTTTAAAGATTTCTCCCAAATCTCTGAGATATACCACTAGTCCCATTGTTGTTTAGGCGGTGGGGGGCTGTAACTCCAGCTAAATAGGACCGAATGCTTTATCTTTAGAATGATGCCCCTCCCCTAAATGCCCTATATTCAGAAACGCTGAAGTAATGGCTTGACCATTTTTAACGTTTTTATTGCCAATCTACTAATGGTTAAGCGTTTGTCTTAATATTTCTGGAAACTTCTTTACTTGAAGACAGCAGGTTGCATGTCCCACCAGCAGAGCAACTGGGTTTCTTGCAAACAAATGTGTTCTGCCAATTTTAGTTTTTGAACAGAGTAGAAAAGAGAGGAAGATGACCATCTATTCAAGGAAGAGGGAGAGGAAAGGATTTTAAGTGTTGAGGATGTGTTCTTAAACCAAGCACCAAGGGCACAGAAGCAACATGATTTTGAGGTCAAATGACCTTAAGCTATTTACAACTGCTGCTTTTTTGAGGCAAGGAGATCTTTAAGGATAAAATTATGCCCTCTAAGTTTCTTGTTAACTCACCCCTTCTTTGGAAACAGACAAGTAAAAACAAGATAATGGGCCTGGCATGGTGGCTCACACCTGTAATCCCAGCACTTTGGGAGGCTGAGACAGGTAGATCATTTGAGGTCAGGCATTTGAGACCAGCCTGGCCAACACAGTGAAACCCCATCTCTACTAAAAATACAAAAATTAGTGGCATATGGTGGCACATGCCTATAATATCAGCTACTCTGGAGGCTGAGGCAGAAGAATCGCTTGAACCCGGGAGGCCAAGGTTGCAGTGAGCCAAGATTGCACCACTGTGCTCCAGCCTGGGTGTCAGAATGAGACTCTGTCTAAAAAAAATAAAATAAAATAAAGGTGATGGAAATCTAAAGTCCATGAGCCTGGTAGAACATAAACATATTTTCCAAATAGCCAGAAAAGCTTCAATATTCGTAACCCTTTTTAATATCAGAATTGCATCACCAATAGACTAGTGATACAAGGGCATGTGACCTAACCTATAATTTAATACCAGTTTAGTCACTGGGCCACTTGTACATGAGAAGCAAGCATCTCTTTCCTGATTCAGCAACATAACTTCCAAAACATCTTGAACATTTGAATTACATGAGTCCAAATATGAGCAGTGCTATTGGCAGTGAGTGCAATGTTAACAAAGCAACTGGCCGGGCAGGGTGGCTCACACCTGTAATCCCAGCACTTTGGGAGGTCAGGAGATCAAGACCATCCTGGCTAACACGGTGAAACTCCGTCTCTACCAAAAATACAAAAAATTAGCCGGGCATGGTGGCAGGTGCCTGTAGTGCCAGCTACTCAGGAGGCTGAGGCAGGAGAATGGCGTGAACCCGGGAGGCGGAGCTTGCAGTGAGCCCAGATCACACCACTGCACTCCAGCCTGGGCGACAGAGTCGGACTCCACCTCAAAAAACAAAAAACAATAAACAATAAACAGAAAAAACAAAGCAACAACGTGCAGGCACTCCTCAGAGATACTGTAGGTGCAGTTCCAGACCACCACAGTAAAGTGAATATCTCAATAAAGCAAGTGGCACAAAGTTTTTGGTTTTCTGGAGCATATAAAATTGTATTTACTACTGTACTGTAATCTATTAGGTGGGCAATCTTATTATGTTTAAAAAAAATGTACATACCTGAAGTAAAAAATACTTGCTAAAAATGCCAGTGATCATGAGAGCCTTTAGCAAGTCCTAACCTTTGCTGGTGGAGGGTCTTGCCTCAATGTTGTTGGCTGCTGATTGATGAGGGTGTTGGTTGCTGAAAGTTGGGGTGGCTGTGGAAATTTCTTAAAGACAAAATAAGATTTCTTTTTTTCTCTCTTTTTATTATACTTTAAGTTCTAGGGTACATGTGCACAACGTGTAGATTTGTTACATAGGTATACATGTGCTATGTTGGTTTGTTGCACCCATCAACTCGTTACTTACATTAGGTATTTCTCCTAACGCTAACCCTTCCCCCAGCCCCCCACCCCCAACAGGCCCCAGTGTGTGACCTTCCCTGCCATGTGTCCAAGTGTTTTCATTGTTCAATTCCCACCTATGAGTGAGAACACGTGGTGTTTGGTTTTCTGTCCTTGTAATAGTTTGCTCTGAATGATGGTTTCCAGCTTCATCTATGTCCCTGCAAAGGACATGAACTCATCCCTTTTTATGGTGTATATGTGCCACATTTTCTTAATCCAGTCTATCATTGATAGACATTTGGGGTGGTTCCAAGTCTTTGCTATTGTGAATAGTGCCGCAATAAACATACGTGTGTATGTGTCTTTATAGTAGCATGATTTATAATCCCTTGGGTATATACCCGGTAATGGGATCACTGGGTCAAATGGTATTTCTAGCTCTAGATCCTTGAGGAATCGCCACACTGTCTTCCACAATGGTTGAACTAATTTACACTCCCACCAACAGTGTAAAAGGGTTCCTATTTATTCACATCCTCTCCAGCATCTGTTGTTTCCTGACTTTTTAATGATCACCATTCTAACTGGTGTGAGATGGTATCTCATCGTGGTTTTGTTTTGCATTTCTCTGATGACCATTGATGATGAGCATTTTTTCACGTGTCTATTGGCTGCATAAATGTCTTCTTTTGAGAAGTGTCTGCTCATATCCTTTGCCCACTTTTTGATGGGATTGTTTACTTTTTTCTTGTAAATTTGTTTAAGTTCTTTGTAGATTCTAGATATTAGCCTTTTGTCAGATGGGTAGATTGCAAAAATTTTCTCCCATTCCGTAGGTTGCCTGTTCATTCTGATGATAGTTTCTTTTGCCATGCAGAAGCTTTTTAGTTTAATTGGATCCCATTTGTCTATTTTGGCTTTTGTTGCCATTGCTTTTGGTGTTTTAGTCATGAAGTCCTTGCCCATGCCTATGTCCTGAATGGTATTGCCTAGGTTTTCTTCTAGGGTTTTTATGGTTTTAGGTCTAACATTTAAGTCTTTAATCCATCTTGAATTAATTTTTGTATAAGGTGTAAGGAAGGGATCCAGTTTCAGCTTTCTACATATGGCTAGCCAGTTTTCCCAACACCATTTATTAAATAGGGAGTCCTCTCCCCATTGCTTGTTTTTATCAGGTTTGTCAAAGATCAGATGGTTGTAGATGTGTGGTGTTATTTCTGAGGCCTCTGTTCTGTTCCATTTGTCTATATCTCTGTTTTGGTACCAGTACCATGCTGTTTTGGTTACTGTAGCCTTGTAGTATAGTTTGAAGTCAGGTAGCATGATGTCTCCAGCTTTGTTCTTTTAGCTTAGGATTGTCTTGGCAATGCGGGCTCTTTTTTGGTTCCATATGAACTTTAAAGTAGTTTTTTCCAATTCTGTGAAGAAAGTCACTGGTAGCTTGATGGGGATGGCATTGAACCTATAAATTACCTTGGGCAGTATGGCCATTTTCACGATATCCATTCTTCGTATCTATGAGCATGGAATATTCTTCCATTTGTTTGTATCCTCTTTTATTTCATTGAGCAGTGGTTTGTAGTTTGAAGAGGTCCTTCACATCCTTTGTAAGTTGGATTCCTAGGTATTTTATTCTCTTTGTAGTAATTGTGAATGGGAGTTCACTCATGATTTGGCTCTCTGTTTGTCTGTTATTGGTATATAGGAATGCTTGTGATTTTTGCACATTGATTTTGTATCCTGAGACTTTGCTGAAGTTGCTTATCAGCTTAAGGAGATTTTAGGCTGAGATGATGGGGTTTTCTAAATATACAATCATGTCATCTGCAAACAGGGACAATTTGACTTCCTCTTTTCCTAATTGAATACCCTTTATTCCTTTCTCTTGCCTGATTGCCCTGCCAGAACTTCCAACACTATGTTGAATAGGAGTGGTGAGAGAGGGCATCCCTGTCTTGTGCCAGTTTTCAAAGGGAATGCTTCCAGTTTTTGCCCATTCAGATGATATTGGCTGTGGGTTTTTCATAAATAGCTCTTATTATTTTGAGATACGTTCCATCAATACCTAGTTTATTGAGAGTTTTTAGCATGAAAGGCTGTTGAATTTTGTCAAAGGCCTTTTCTGCATCTATTGAGATAATCATGTGGTTTTTGTCATTTATGTGATAGATTACGTTTATTGATTTGTGTATGTTGAACCAGCCTTACATCCCAGGGATGAAGCCAACTTGATCATGGTGGATAAGCTTTTTGATGTGTTGCTGGATTCGGTTTGCCAGTCCTTTATTGAGGATTTTTGCATCAATGTTCATCAGGGATATTGGTCTAAAATTATCTTTTTCGTTGTGTCTCTGCCAGGCTTTGGTATCAGGATGATGCTGGTCTCATAAAATGAGGGAGGATTCCCTCTTTTTCTATTGATTGGAACACTTTCAGAAGGAGTGGCACCAGCTCCTCTTTGTACCTCTGGTAGAATTCGGCTGTGAATCTGCCTGGTCCTGGACTTTTTTTGGTTGGTAGACTATTAATTATTGCCTTAATTTCAAAGCCTGTTATTGGTCTATTCAGAGATTCAACTTCTTCCTGGTTTAGTCTTAGGAGGGTATATGTGTCCAGGAATTTATCCATTTCTTCTAGATTTTCTAGTTTATTCATGTAGAGGTGTTTATAGTATTCTCTAATGGTAGTTTGTATTTCTGTGGGATCAGTGGTGATATACCCTTTATCATTTTTTATTGTGTCTATTTGATTCTTCTCTCTTTTCTTCTTTATTAGTCTTGCTAGTGGTCTATCAATTTTGTTGATATTTCAAAAAACCAGCTCCTGGATTCATTGATTTTTTTGAAGGGTTTTTTATGTCTCTATCTCCTTCCATTCTGCTCTGGTCTTAGTTATTTCTTGCCTTCTGCTAGCTTTTGAATTTGATCTTGCTTCTCTAGTTCTTTTAATTGTGATGTTAGGGTGTCAATTTTAGATCTTTCCTGCTTTCTCTTGTGGGCATTTAGTGCTATAAATCTCCCTCTACACACTGATTTGAATGCGTCCCAGAGATTCTGGTATGTTGTGTCTTTGTTCTCATTGGTTTCAAAGAACATCGTTATTTCTGCCTTCATTTCATTATGTACCCAGTAGTCACTCAGGAGCAGGTTGTTCAGTTCCCATGTAGTTGTGCAGTTTTGAGTGAATTTCTTAATCCTGAGTTCTAATTTGATTGCACTGTGGTCTGAGAGACAGTTTGTTGTTATTTCTGTTCTTTTACATTTGCTGAGGAGTGCTTTACTTCCAATTATGTGGTCAATTTTAGAATAAGTGTGCTGTGGTGCTGAGAAGAATGTATATTCTATTGATTTGGGGTGGAGAGTTCTGTAGATGTCTATTAGGTGGGCTTGGTCCAGAGCTGAGTTCAAGTCCTGGATATCTTTTATAACCTTCTGTCTCATTGAGCTGTCTAATATTAAGAGTGGGGTGTTAAAGTCTCCCATTACTATTGTGTGGGAGTCTAAGTCTCTTTCTAGGTCTCTAAGGACTTGCTTTATGAATCTGGGTGCTCCTGTATTGGGTGCATATATATTTAGGTTAGCTCTTCTTGTTGAATTGATCCCTTTACCATTGTGTAATGGCCTTCTTTGTCTCTTTTGATCTTTGTTGGTTTAAAGTCTGTTTTATCCAAGACTAGGATTGCAACCCCTGCTTTTTTTTGCTTTCCATTTTCTTGGTAGATCTTCCTCCATTGCTTTATTTTGATCCTATGTGTGTCTCTGCACGTGAGATGGGTCTCCCAAATACAGCACACTGATGGGTCTTGACTCTTTATCCGATTTGCCACTCTGTGTCTTTTAATTGGGGCATTTAGCCCATTTACATTTAAGGCTGATATTGTATGTGTGAATTTGATCCTGTCATTATGGTGTTATCTGGTTATTTTGCCCATTAATTGATGTAATTTCTTCATAGCTTTGATGGTCTTTACAATTTGGCATGTTTTTGCAGTGTCTGGTACCAGCTGTTCCTTTCCATATTTAGTGCTTCCTTCAGGAGCTCTTGTGAGGCAGACCTGGTGGTGACAAAATCTTTCAGCATTGGCTTGTCTGTAAAGGATTTTATTTCTTCTTCACTTATGAAGCTTAGTTTGGCTGGATATGAAATTCTGGGTTGAAAATTCTTTTATTTAAGAATGTTGAATATTGGCCCCCACTCTCTTCTGGCTTGTAGGGTTTCTGCCAAGAGATTCGCTGTTAGTCTGATGGACTTCCCTTTGTGGGTAACCCGACCTTTCTCTCTGGCTGCCCTTAACATGTTTTCCTTCATTTCAACCTTGGCGAATCTGACAATTATGTGTCTTGGGGTTGCTATTCTCGAGGAGTATCTTTGTGGTGTTCTCTGTATTTCCTGAATTTGAATGTTGGCCTGCCTTGCTAGGTTGGGGAAGTTCTCCTGGATAATATCCTGAAGAGTGTTTTCCAACTTGGTTCCATTCTCCCCATCACTTTCAGGCACACCAATCAAATGTAGATTTGGTCTTTTCACATAGTCCCATATTTCTTGGAGACTTTGTTCATTTCTTTTACTCTTTTTTCTCTAAACTTGTCTTCTTGCTTTATTTCATTAATTTGATCTTCAATCACTGATACCCTTTCTTCCACTTGATCAAATCGGCTATTGCAGTTTGTGCATGTGTAATGAAGTTCTCGTGCCATGGTTTTCAGCTCCATCAGGTCATTTAAGGCCTTCTCTACACTGTTTCTTCTAGTTAGCCATTTGTCTAACCTTTTTTCAAGGTTTTTAGCTTCCTTGCTATGGGTTAGAACATGCTCCTTTAGCTCGGAGAAGTTTGTTATTACCGACCTTCTGAAGTCTACTTCTGTCAACTTGTCAAAGTCATTCTCCATCCAGCTTTGTTCTGTTGCTGGCAAGGAGCTGTGATCCTTTGGAGGAGAACAGGCTCTCTGGTTTCTAGAATTTTCAGCTTTTCTGCTCTGATTTCTCCCCATCTTTGTGGTTTTATCTACCTTTGGTCTTTGATGTTGGTGACCTACAGATGAGGTTTTGTTGTAGATGTCCTTTTTGTTGATGTTGATGCTATTCCTTTCTGTTTTTTAGTTTTCCTTCTAAAAGTCAGGTCCCTCAGCTGCAGGTCTGTTGGAGTTTGCTGGAGGTCCACTCCAGACCCTGTTTGCCTGGGTATCACCAGTGGAGGCTGCAGAACAGCAAATATTGCTGCCTGATCCTTCCTCTGGAAGCTTCATCCCAGAGGGGTACCCGCATGTATGAGGTGTCTGTCAGCCCCTACTGGGTGACGTCTTGCAGTTAGGCTACACAGGGGTCAGGGACCCACTTGAGGAGGCAGTCTGTCCATTCTCAGAGCTCAAACGCCATGCTGGGAGAACCACTGCTCTCTTCAGAGCTGTCCGACAGGGACGTTTAAGTCTGCAGAAGTTTCTGCTGCCTTTTGTTCAGCTGTGCCCTGCCCACAGAGGTGGAGTCTATAGAGGCAGTAGGCCTTGCTGAGTTGCAGTTCAAGCTTTCCAGCCGCTTTGTTTACCTAGCTAAGCCTCAGCAATGGTGGACACCCCTCCCCAAGCCAGGCTGCAGCCTCGCAGATGGATCTAGGCTGCTGCACTAGCAGTGAGCAAGGTTCTGTGGGTGTGGGATGTGCCAAGCCAGGCACAGGAGAGAATCTCCTGGTCTGCCGGTTGCTAAGACCATGGGAAAAGTGCAATATTTGAGTGGCAGTGTCCCATTTTTCCAGGTACTGTCTGTCACGGCTTCCCTTGGCTAGGAAAGGGAAATCCCCTGACCCCTTGTGCTTCCCAGGTGAGGCAACACCCTGCCCTGCTTCGGCTCACCCTCCATGGGCTTCAACCACTGTCCAACCAGTCCCAGTGAGATGAACCAGGTACCTCAGTTGGAAACGCAGAAATCACCCGTCTTCTGCGTCAGTCATGCTGGGAGTTGCAGACTGGAGCTGTTCCTAATCGGCCATCTTAGAACAGAACCCAAAATAAGATTTCTTAAAATCAAAGTGTGCCACATTGATTGGTTCTTCCTTTCATGGAAGATTTCTCTGTAGTATGCAATATTGTTTGATAGCATTTTATCCACAGTAAAACTTTCAGAATTGCAGTCAATCCTCTCAAACTCTGCCACTGTTTTATCAACTAAATCATTTGTTTTCATTTCAACATCTTCACTAGGAGTAGACTCCATCTCAAGAAACCACTTTCTTTGTTCATACATAAGAAGCAACCCATCAGTTAAAGTTTTATCATGAGATTGCAGCAATGCAGTCACATCATCAGGGTCAACTGCTAATTCTAGTTCTCTTGCTATTTCAACCACACATGCAATGACTTCCTCCATGGAAGTCTTGAACCCTTCAAAAGTCATTCATGAGGGCTGGAATCAAATTCTTCTAAGTTCCTATTAATGTTGATATTTTGACTTCCTCCTATGAATCACAAATGTTATTAAGGATGTAGGGAATGGTAACTCCTATCCAGAAGATTTTCAACTTACTTTGCCCAGATCCATCGGAAGAATCATGATCTATAGCAGGTATAGCCTTACAAAAGTGCTTCTCAAATAATAATACTTGGAAGTCAAAATTACACTTTGATCCATGGGCTGCAGAATGGATGTTGTGTTAGCAAGCATGAAAACAACATTACTCTCCTTGTATCTCTCCATCAGAACTAGCCCCTAACAAGAGAGTCAACCTGATCTTTAAAGCTTTGAAGCCAGACATTGACTTCTCTCCTCTAGCTATGAAAGTCCGAAGGGACATCTTCTTCAAATATAAGACTGTTTTTCTGTTGTTTAGTGTACCCACATTCATCAATAACCTTAGCTAGTTCTTCCAGATAACTTGCTGCAGCTTCCACTTGCTGCTTCACTTTGCACTTTTATGTTCTGGAAATGCCTTCTTTCCTTAAACATCATGAACCAACCTCTATTAGCATCCAACTTTCCTTCTGCATCTCCCTCACCTCTCTCAGCCTTCAGGGAATTGAAGAGAGTTAGGGCCTGTCTCTGGATCAGGCTTTGGCTTAAGGAAATATTGTATCTGGTTTGATCTTCTATCCAGACCACAAACTTTCTTCATATCAGCAACAAACTGTGTTGTTTTCTTTTCATCTGGGTGTCCACTGAAGTAGCACTTTAAATTTTCTTCAAGACCTTTTCCTTTGTATTCACAACTTGGCTGTTTGGCACAAGAGGCCTAGCTTTTGGCCTGTCTCAGCTTTTGACCTGCCTTTCTCACTGAGCTTATTTTTTTCTAGCCTTTGATTTAAAGTGGAAGAAATGTGACTCTTCCTTTCACCTGAACATTTAGAGGCCACTGTAGGCTTATTAATTGGCCTAATTTCAATATTGTCATGTCACAGGGAATAGGGGGGCCCAAGGAGAAGAAGAGAGACAGGGAAAAGGCCTGTTGGTGGAACAATCAGGACACACACACAACATTTATCGATTAAGTCTTATATGGGCACCATTTATGGCACCCCAAAACACTTACAATAGTAACATTAAAGATCACTAATCACAGATCACCGTAACAGATATAATAATAATGAAAAAGTATGAAATAGCATGAGAATTACTAAAATGTGACACAAAGACATGAAGTGAGTCCCTGATGTTTGAAAAACAGCTCCAACAGACTTACCCAGTGCAGGATTGCCACAAATCTTCAATGTGCAAGAAATGCAATAAACGAAGTATAATAAAACTAGGTCTGCCATTATATTAAATATGGTGTTTTAAAAACAATCACACATAAAGTAAGGTTATATATAGACCAATTGACAGAAATATAATTCTTTATCCAGATTTTTGTTGATGGTCATTTTCATAGATTTTGCTTTGACTTACAAATTGTATTAGGCCATTCTTGCACTGCTATAAAGAAATAATGGAGACTGGGTAATTTATAAATAGAAGAGATCTAATTGGCTCAAGGTTCTGCCCACTATACAGGAAGCCTAGTGGCTTCTGCCTCTAGGGAGGCCTCAGGAAGCTTCCAATCATTACGGAAGGCAAAGGGAGAGTGAGGCATCTTACGTGGCGGGAGCAGGACCGAGAGAGGAGGAGAGGGAGGACGTGCTACACACGTTTAAAACAACCAGATCTTGTGAGAACCCACTCACTGTCACAAGGATAGTACCAAGGGGGATGGTGCTAAGCCATTCATGAGAAAGCCACCCCGTGATCCAATCACCTCCCATGAGGCCCCACCTTCAACTCTGGGGACTATACAATTCAGTATGACATTTGGTGGGGACACAGCTCCAAACCATATCGCAGACATTTCTTTGAATTGGAGACACATGTACTTATGTCCTCTTGTGCACATAAGCAAGTTCTTTCTTGAGAATATATAGCTAGTTGAATTATTAGGTCTTAAAAGTTGTGCATCATCAAATTTAGTATATTATGCCACATTGTTTTCCTGTTTGTTTGGACCAGTGTATGCCTCCATCAATGCATAAATAATGCCATTGACCATATTCTCACAATCTCTGATATTGTTAGTCTAGTTTTTGCAAGTTTGGTGGATGAAAAACAGAAAGGTATCTTATTGCATTTACATTTCCTTCATTGCTAGTGAGAATGACCATCTTTTCATAAACCTATTGGTCATTTTTGTTTCTTTTTCTATGAATTATCTTTTCATTTCTTCCTTCGCCCATCTTTCTACTGGGTAAATTGAAATATTTAGACAGACATTGCTGCCTATCTACATAGTATCTAAAAATATTTAGACAGGATAAGTATTTTTCTTTTGAGATTTTTTTCCTTTGGTGATATTTTTATTATTTGTTGGATATATTCCAGATATAAATTCTTTATTAGATTACGTGTGTTTAAAATATATTTTCCTTACATAATTATAGCTTATTTTCTACTTTCCTCTGATGAAAAGAAATTCAAGTAATTAATATAGCCCACTTACCAATCTTTTGTTTGAGGTGTGTCTTTTTAAAAATATCATTCCTATCTCAAGTTCATAAAGATATTCTTCAATTTTTTTTCAGAGTTCTAATTTTGATTTCTACACTTTCATTCTTAACCCAAACAAGATTGATTTTTATATGATGTGAAGCACTTTCCTGTTCTCTTTTCTTTTTCACACAGCAACCAATGTCTTAGCACCACTTAATGTATTGTTCCTCCTTTAATTCTATAGTCAACTTGTCAGGTCTACCACAAATGCTTTTGGGATTTTGATAAGAATTGCAATAAATTCATAGACCAATTTACCAAGAAGCAGCAACCATGAATATGGTATATCTCTCCATTTATATGTCTTCTTTAATGACATATAAGTCATTACATTTTTAAAATAAAGTTTAAAAAATTGATCCATAAATGTCTTGCAATTCTTTTAATAGTTTTAGTTCTTCTTGTCTTTTATTTTTATTATTAAAAATGTTCCTTTTCTAACTTATTACTGATATATAAAAGTGCAATTAATTTTTTGTTTTAATATTCTATTTTATTCTAATAATTTGTCTTCGTTTCTTCTTATTTTCTAATTTTTATATGTAATTTTTTTCCATAATCTTTTGTCCATTGACTAGAACCTCCAGGATAATGTGTGTAAGTGATGACATGGGCATCCTTGACTTGTTCCTGATTTCAACATAGAATATTTATCACAGTTAAGTGATATTAAGCACTCTTTGCAGTGTCACCCTGTGTCCCACCACTATATACCTAAATAACCTAGGGCAAAGATACAGGTATGACTGGGCTCCAGAACAATCTGAACACTGTGTCTGTTATTGAGTCTAATTATTTTCTATACATCCCCAAATTCTCTTGTCAAAGAATAAGAGTACATTCCCCAAATGCTAGTGCCCACCCAAGAACCCCCACTAAATCTCCAAACTAATTATAACTAAAACATAAAATATCATCTTCTCCAGCAAAAGAACAAAGCAGTTTTTAAGGCCAATAGGGCATTGCTTGAAACCTTCTTGTCATTCTAGACTCCTTCCTCTCCTTTGCTCCAAAATCCTATTGGGTCCCCAATCTTATCTTGATGGTGGACATGTATCCCTTCCTGCAACAAACCCGTTCATGTGTCTATTTTCATCTCATGCTGTCTCTCCTAGGTTATTGTATTCACCCTCTTAATTGGTTATATTTTTCTTATTCACATTTTGCTAATTAAATGAAGCTTTACTATGGCTTTATACGGAAAAGAACAGCCTGGAGAGTAAGAAAACTTTTGTGTTTGTTTAAACGCATTTCCAGGACATTGATATCATGCTAGCCTCATTCTCTTGGGTACATACAGCACACAAAGGAACTGCGACAATAGACCTCACATTTCCTTTCATTAATTTGTACAAATTAAAGCTGCTGGTGGTATGTCAACCACTATTATTGATCATCTCTTTAGTACAGGGCACTGGGTGAGGAGCCGAGGGGATATAAAGATGTGTAAACAAGAACCTTGCAGTCTAGACAGGACACAATCAATTAGCTCCATTGGTTGAAATTACGACTATTTGAAATCTTTGTTGTTACATTTATGGAGACTAACAGCTAGAATTGTTAATACTCTTTTGTCTCTCTTGCCTTTAGCTTTTTCATTAACTAGACCTACTAATGTACTACACACACTCAGTTCATAAATTTTAGTCACAGATGCAGTCATTTTTGTATCCTAGTTCAAAAGATGTTTTGTTTCATCTCTTCCTTAACCTTGAGGATAACAAAAGAGACAGCAAGGGCCATTGTCCTTGACAGCCACTCTAAATGCTTTCATCTAACCTCCTTAAACATATCACACATCTCCAAGGATAATGATTTTACCAACTGCTTAAAGAAAAAACTTTGAAATATTTGCCCTCAAAAGGTATTGTCATACCATAAGCAAATCAAATGTGAAAAATCTCACTTTCCATGTTGGGGAATATACTGCTTTTTGTAAGGCTAGAGGAAAAAATAAAAAATTACTGTGCTGAGAATGATTGCATCATTTGATTCTCTTGCATTACCAGGGAACTGGGTGAGATTCTTATTGTTTGGGGGCATTCCAGGAGAAGGAATAAATTACGCAAGTAGGCCTGGCCATCAGGGCTGGGGCACCTAGAAGCAGGTCTGGCAGGTCCACTCTCAGTCCACCACATGACCTGCATGAGTCAGGGTTCACGGGAGAAACAGACCCAATTTGATGTGCATAGAGAGATTTATTTTAAGAAATTGGCTCATGTGATTATAGAGGCTGGTAAATCCAAAATCTGCAGGGTAGGCGGGCAGCCTAGAGACCCAGGAAAGAATTGTAGTTTGAGTCTGAAGGCTGTCTGCTGACAGAATTCCCTCCTATCCCAGGGACGTCAATGTTTTTCTCTTAAGGCCATCAACCAATTGGATAAGGCTCACCCACCCAGATTATGAGAGGTCATCAGCTTTACTCAAAGTCTACTGATTTAAATGTCAAGAAAAACTTCACAGAAACATCTAGAATAATGTTTGGCCAATTATCCGGATACCATGGCCTAACCATGTTGACACATAAAATTAACTGTCACAGGGGTACACCAAAATCTCACAAATCATCACTAAAGAACTTACTCGTGTAACCAAATACCACCTGTTCCCCAAAAACCTATAGAAATAAAAAAATTTTGTAATCAACCATCACAAGACCCACATGGCTTAACTTCTCAGTTAGAGACACTTATTCAAGGTTTCAGGGACTATGGCTGAAAATCTGGCACTATGCCAACTCTGTGGCACAATCAGGCATTTGTCCTTGGTGTTTACCCTGATATAATTTGGCAAGCAGTGAAGACACTGTCATCATTTTTATGGGGGCCTATGTTTCCAAAATAGTGTGAACCCAAGTCTGAAGAAAACATTAAGTAGGGGCTCTGAACATGATATTCAACATTGGTCCTTTCCAATTCATTCTACTTTTCCAGAAATTATACTCAACTCAACATTAACCAAAGACTTATGCTCAGTTTCCTTTGTTTCGTTCATATATACCTCTTTATAATCATAACGTATCTCTTTTCTTCTGCTTATTTTATCATAATATACCTATTTAACAAAGATGGGTGAGGAGCTGAGGGGGTATAAAGATATGTAAACAACCTTGTAGTCTAGATACAACATAATCAGTTCCATTGGTTGAAATCAAGATTATTTGAAATCTTTGTTACATTTATGGAGACTAACAACTAGAGACTAACCTTTTTTTTTTTTAAGATGGAATCTCGCTCTATCGCCCAGGCTGGAGTGCAGTGGCACCATCTCGGCTCACTGCAAGCTCCACCTCCCAGGTTCACACCATTCTCCTGCCTCAGCCTCCCGAGTAGCTGGAACTACAGGTGCCTGCCACCACGCCCAGCTAATTTTTTGTATTTTGTTTTAGTAGAGACAGGGTTTCACCATGTTAGCCAGGATGGTCTCGATCTCCTGACCTCGTGATCTGCCCGCCTTGGCCTCCCAAAGTGCTGGGATTACAGGCCTGAGCCACTGCACCCAGCCAGAGACTAACCTTTTTAACAAAGGGTATATTATGGCTTGCAATGCAAACTTAAAATAAGAGACTTCAAGGAAAAGTTTTTCTTTTTGTAATTCCTTTTTTTTTTTTTTTTTTTTTTTGAGATAGAGTCTCACTCAGTGGCCCAGACTGGAGTGCAGTGGCATGATCTTGGCTCACTGCAACTGCCACCTCCCAGGTTCATGCCATTCTCCTGCCTCAGCCTCCCAAGTAGCTGGGATTACAGTCTTGCATCACCATGCCCAGCTAATTTTTGTATTTTTAGTAGAGACGAGGTTTCACCACATTGGCCAGGCTGGTCTTGAAGTCCTGACCTCAGGTGATCTGCCTGCCTCAGCCTGCCAAATTGCTGGGATTACAGGCGTGAGCCACCATGCTCAACCCATAATCCCTTTTGAACTATGTGTCCCAGTCTTTCTCAGAGACAATTGTTCAACTTATACTTCTTTGCCATTAGACACAAAAATTTAAGAATTTCTGTGACAGCTTCACCTTGGCATCTTAGAGCTCTTCGCCACCTTGAATAGGAAATTTCCCACTGGCTATCTTATGAAGCTGAACTGCAGGCTGACCACTTGGCATTGCCAGGACAAGACAGTTTCAACCCCCTTCAGTGAAGAAGACAGGGACACAGTTGGGCTAATTCATTCTTCGCCTCTGCACCCTGCCTCCCATCCTGGCTGCTGGTAGATGACAAAGAGAGACATGAGGAAGTGTGAATGCTACGTAGCAATCCATCACTGATATACAAGCTTAGGACAAGCATACTCTACAGGAAGAAAAACAGCTTAAGACATTATTCATCCAACAAATATTCATGGAGCACCTATTATACATCATTATACATCAATAGCATTCTACTAGGCACCTTGGTCGCGATATGCGTCTTGTTTGGTTCTTGCTGTCAGGAGGTTTGTTGGTATTCAAGCAGACATAAAAGTATGAGAGAGTAGCACAAGCTTCATCCTAAGCATGTTTGCTACATAGTTGAATTTGATAATCCATTTTAAGGCTTAGTGAAAAACCAATTGCAGAAACCCTTTAATTTAAAATGGAAAAACTCAGCGATTTCCTCCTACTGAAAATTTAGAGGGAAAAAAACCCTTACTATCTAATAAATTATCTGCATTAAAGATGCATTAATCAATCTTTGATTGGTTACAGCATTGGTGACAGCTACATTGCTTATTAAAAAAAGCAACACAGTCTCCTTTCTCTGAGCATGCTTTGTATGGTTCTTCTGAAAGAAATGTATTAAACTCAGCCATAGAAGAAAGTTAACTACTTTACAATAAATTAGTGTCTTGTAAATAAGAAAATGCTTAGCATAATATTTTAATGGCTATTTTAATTTAAGGCCTAATATATCGCTGCCCAGAATGTCTACTGCCGAACATAGTTCTTGCTGTTGATAGGTGAACCCTAGAAAGAAGACGGCATGGAGTTTATTTTTCCTACTCTTCAAACTGAACAACAGAAGATCATAAAGTGCTTTGTGGACTATCCATAGCAAATGGCATTTTCCTCCTGCCTTGGAAAGCTCATGCACCCAGTTGTCCTGAAAGGCCCATTATTCATGGTTAGAAAGGCAGATGCTTCTGAAGGCTCATTGGCTCTTGTAAATATATATTGACACGTTGAATTTTCCTCTTTTAGAGACCTAAATGTTTCTATGGTTCTTAGCATAAAGTATCAAAAGATCCAAAAAGGATCATAAAAACCAATTAGTTATGGATTTGTTTTAGGTACTTTCAGACAAATGGGTGATTTCTATATTTGGCTGCTGAAGAGGCATTATTTACAAAGTGAAAGAAGCCAATACACCCACAAAGGGATTCATAACTCCTTTCAGAAGCCAACAGTCCACTTTACTCTCTCAGTGCCCCAAGGTATTGAGTTGAAAAGAAGTGCATGTACAAAGAAGGCTAAAGAGCTTCCATATTACATGACCTCCAGCCAAGTGACAAGAAAGTGGTCATAAAAAGGGTTTGAGAATAAGGGATCATTTAGGGCGTTGGAGAAAGATGAGGTAGGGGGATTCACACAGTTGGGAAGCTGGAACTCAGAGGAAGGACAAACTGTATTTGTGGAAATAATAATAAATATGTGATGAATGAATGAAGCCAAATGAAGAAAATAAGAGAGCTCTCTCTCATTTCTAATAACGTACTCTCCTTCTGCCATGCTATGGTTTGAATGTGTTCCTCCCCAAGTTCATGTTGAAACGTAATCCCTATTGTGGCAGTATTAAGAGGTGGGAAGTGATGAAATCACAAGGGCTCTGTTCTCATGAATGGGTTAATGATGTATAAAGGTCTGGAAGGAATGAGCTTAGGCCCTCTTTGCCCTTTCTCTCTTCTACCATCTGAAGATGCAGCAAGAGGGCCCTCACCAGACACCAAAGGCCAGCATCGTGATCTTGGACTTTCCAGCCTCCAGAACTGTGAGGAAATAAGTTTCCATTGTTTATAAATGACCCAGTCTGTGTTATTTTGTTACAGCAACACAAACAAAGATACCCTGCCTTGCTTACTCTCATTCTAATCAAGCCCAGTGTATTCTTCTTTTCTTTCTTTTCTTCTCTGTAGTTTGTTTCTCCTGAGTGCACAACATCGTTCCTCATTGACTTTTGAGGTCACTCTCCCATGGTCACTGGATGAATGAACACCTGATTCTACTTCCCAATTCTGCCACTTACTGGACTTGTAATCTTGAGCAAATCTATTACCCTCTCTGAACCTTAGTTTGATCATGTGTAAAATAGGAACACCAGCACACACCTTATATGATGAGTACATTTCATAATCTCCCCAGGATTGCTGATGTCAGCCCACAGTTGTGTATTTCAGTAATTTCTAGGGAAATTACACTGACCGGGAACGGAGTTTACATCCTTGACCCCTGATCCTTGAGGCCTGACTGCCAGTCAGCTTCAGTTCATTTACCACCTGCTCCACACCCTTCTGTCAACACTGACACTGCTTATTTCTGAAGTCCCTAAACCTGTTTGCTCATCATAATCACCTGGAAACCTTCCAAAAAATATAAATTTCAGGGACTATTTAAGTTAGAATTTCTCAGACAACTGCATCAGAATCTCAGGGGTGGGAGTAGGGTGGGAATTGGAGTGGCCACGTGCATTTTTTACAGAAATTTTCATTCCAAGAATTCTGATATGTCATCAGGCTTGGGCCATGTTTAAGTTCTATTTCCCAGTGTGGAAAATTGGCCTAGACTAATGCCTGCTCCCTGCAGCCAAACCACTGGGTGACCAGTGATGTTCTAGAAGTCCACCTTGGTGGCCTTCCTCCTACTGGAGTTGGCTGAGTCCTCTTCTTCCCCATTGCACGTGTCTCAATCCTGCTCCCAGCCCTGCTCTTCCCAAACTGTTTCATCCTCTGCATTTAACTCTCTCAAGCCCAGGTTTCCATATGTCAAAACAACCTCAGCCTCTTATATATGCCCTCCTCTGAACTTTAGACATCTGATATCCTAACACCCAAGTTTCGCATCTGACTACATCTAGTGGTCCCATGCTTAGCTCTTAACTCCAAGGTTGCATGGTTACTTTCTCCCAAGGCTTCTATTCTTTGCACAGCATCAAGCAGTCCTTCTAATTAGTCACGTGAATCCAGAGTATTGGTTCGCCTTTCCTGAATCCTCTGTAAATGCCTTCCATCCCTTTGCAGGAACCCAGTATTCGGGTATCTTTAACCCTGAAAAGCAGATTCAGCCTTTTCTGGGTTTTCCTGCAAGTGCTGAGTTAATGGAATGCAAATGCTCTCTTGGCAAGTGCCTCAGGAAAAGCATGAGCAATCCCTGAATACAGCCGACAGGCTGCACCCACACAACCGTGGAGCACCTTATTCACTACCAGACCCTCCATGACCCAGAGCCAGCCATCGCCACTGCCACTTTAAACTTTGATACTCTGTTCCTCTCATCCGTATTCCGTGTAGTTAAACATACATCACACACAGACACACACACACACACACACATGCACATATGTGTGCGTATGTATGCGTGTGTATGTGTGTGCAGCTCATAAGCCTGGTGCCAAAAGAAATGTGCACCAGAAACTACGTCAGTAAGTTGTGAGGAGGGAGCTGCCTTGGGCACCTCTCCAAGGATAATGAGTGCGCAAGGGAAGTTGGGGGTAAGAAGGTATTCAGATGTTTTCGGTTGCAAGTTAGTAAATATCCAATTCAAGTAGCTCAAGCAATAAAGATATAAAACAAGAAGATCAGAGAAAAGGTGACTGCTCAATTGCTGCAGCATTTCATTGATAGGATCCAGGTTCTGTCTGCCTTTTTGCTCCGCCACTTCCTGGTGTGGTAATATCTACTCTCAGGGCTATCAGATATCTGCTGCAGATCCCAGCATCATTTACAGTCAGGGACTAGTGCCTCTCCCTGTGGCTCCCTTTTCATTAGGAAGTCAACCTTTTTTTAAGACCCCCACACAGACACACACAGCACACTTTCCTCCTCATGTTCCCCTCTGCCAGGACTGGACCATAAACACAAGTCCCAACTTGAAGCAAGTCTGGGAGCATGAATATCCAGCAAGTGTGTATCCCTAGAGGGAAGCTGGATCCACCAGGAAAGAAGCAGATGCAGGGCTGAGGTAGGGACAGAATGGGTGGTGAGTAATAGCCCACACTGGATGACCCAGGGACTCAGGAATGAATGAAGAGAAGAACAGAAGCATTTTTCCTGCCTGTAACTTGGATGGTCTCTCTTCCTACTGCACCAGAAACCATAAAGCATTCCAGTAGTCTCTATGTATCCAGATATATCTCAGAGGTGAAGGTCCAGATACTCAGGCCTCACCATTTTTGGTCACTACCTAAGGACATCAAAAGCATTTCACATCTTTCTAGGCACCAAAAGAAACCTGGGAAGGCATTCTCTTTTTAAGTACGTACCCCACACAGACACACAAATTCTATAAAGGTCTGAAAGGTCTGCCTTAGCTAAGGCTACTACAGCAAAAATACCATGGATTGGGGTCTTAAATGGTAGGTATTTCTCCAAGTTCTGGAGGCTGGGAAGCCTGAGTTCAGGGTGCCAGTATGGTCAGGTTCTGGTGAGAATATACTTCCTGGTTTCAACAGTCACCTTCTTACTGTGTCATCACCTGGCAAAAAGAGTGGGAACTAACTCTCTGGCCTCTTCCCAAAGGGAAGACATTGATGTGTGGAAGCACTTATAAGCATCAGTCAGAGGTTAAAGATTTATAGGCAATAACAAGAGGGACAGAGTTTGATGATTTTTTTAAATATTGCATCTAAATATTATTTATCTTGATTACTGAGTTTGTTGATGCACCCTTAAATTTTGTGTGCAACATAAGTGCCTTCCTCATCTCACCTACTCCTAGCCCTGGTTACTCTTCCCTGACACTTGGTAAGTGCTCAAGGGCAGTTAATTGTTATTTATGGGGCAGCTTAAAGATAAAAATGTATATATTAATAATGTTTTTACAAAAAAAATTAGTGGTGTTTGTTTTCCAATTGGTCTGATGAGAAAATACATTTACAGATCCCTTTCCTGGTGTTTCTGGGTCATTACTTTGCACTGTGGTTTATGAACAGGTCAGAATGTGATTTTTTTTAAAAACTAGCCTGAGTTGTGACACAGCCTGACCCAGAAAGATGTATGACTTGTAATAATGGAAGCAGCCTAAATTCACGTGGAAGAGGTCTGGCCACATCATGAATCTCCATCTGGATCCTTGTGTTAGACACAGAACAAACTCAGCATGGTCCTTTTTGTTTCTTAGCCCCACTTGACTCATTAGGGCTGACTGCTTACCCTGTCTACTGAACTGGGGCTGACAAGAACATTTCTCACTTTATATGACATTTCAGTCACCCACAACAGACATCCCTTCTGAATATGAGGAACATCATGAAAAACATCACAAAAAATGTTTTGATATGTTCCCCCTGGACTTCTATGGCCCCTTTCTTTCAGGGAGTGTAGATCACTTTCTAGTATGTGTATAGCATTCCTGTGCACCAGGCAAGAAGAGACATGATTTCTTCTTCCTGGTAAGTGCAAATGCTGCATAAAGCAGACTCACACCTCCTCACATTGCTGCAGAATGATGTTGTTCAAGCTATTTTCTGAGGCCATGATTCTTGGCCTTCTTTTCACAAAACTCCCAAGTTCATCTTCCTTTCCTCACCAGTGCTTTTACCTCAAGGATTCAAGTATTTAGAGTTCATTTAGAGTTAGTAAAAAGGACCAAATGCTTTTAACTGGGAATCCCATTTCTAAGCCTCATATTAATTCCACAGTTGGTAGAACTCTTCCCCACAGTCATGCATTAAAGGGAATCTTTATGTGATTATCATGGCACCACCATGGTCATTACTGTGGCTATTGGTCAAGAAAGTAGAAAAGGGAAAGTGCAGAGGTATTGGACGTTGGATGGGGCCAGGGTCCTGATGCAGTGAGCATCTTTGGGGAGAGTCAGACAACCATGTCCACATGAACAACCCAGAACAGGTCACTGGAGCTGGTGAACTGGCCCTGAACTCCTGTGAAGAGAGAAGGGACTCTTGCAGAATTCTGGCCCTGGCCTGGGAGTCAGGAAACCAGAAGTTTCACCTAAGATGTTCCCCTAACAAGCAGGGTGACTTTGAGGAACTCACAAAACTGGATCTTGGATGCCTAATCCAGATTATAAGGAATTTAGGCTAGACCAGTTGTTTTCTACATGGGTCCCTCTAACAAGCAGAAGTGCCTTCAGGCCACTGTGGGAATAGGCATAGGGACCCAAGCTCATGGGGCCCAGGAGCTGCCATGTTTGTGACAGAGCAGTTTCCCTTTCATCTGCTTCCTATACTGGGATATGACTTAAGATTTTGTCTAAAAAAAGAGTTCTGCTGTTGGTAATAAAGCAAAGTAAAACAAAATAAAAAAGGAAGGAATGAATGGTCTCAAATCTGCCTTTCATTGTCACTAGTCAATGATTAAATGAAAAGAAAACAATATGGTTTGTAAATTTACCTCTGTCAATACCCTTCAGCCAAAGCCCATCAGGAACACTCCATCATTGAAACTGGGTTTATTATTCATTGCAGCAAGGAAGAGTGTTCTCCAGGAGGAACCACAAAGAGGGTATTAGAAGGAGCCTATCATATGACTGGGGCTTTGATTTGATTAGATCATTGGCAGGGAGAAGGTCTAAGGAAGTGGGAGCTTGGTTTAGATTGGATGCTGCCAGAATGTGGGGAGAATCCTATTATTTGGTATATTAATATTTTCCATGGGGAGGGCAGACTAGAGCAAGGATAAAACTGTAATTGATAAAGAAACAGCGGTCACTCATTTTAGCTGAGAGAGGGAGATGTTTGGTATTTTATGGGTTGCACATGGCCTTGCTTTGTCTCACTTCATCATGGTCTCAGAGTGACCTTGCTTGGTCCTGGTTGCTCTGTGAGATTGTTTATGTAAGCAGGAGAACAGGGCCCAGCTATGAGCTCCAGGCCAGCTTGCAACAGCACTGAGGTCCAGCTAGGAGTATAAGGCTCCCAGATGGCAGAGACTGCTTTTCATTTCTTTATTTTTTACTTCCCTAAAACAATGCATTTTAACTTGGGGCAGAACGTTATATCAGCACCTCTTCACCTGAGAGTCCCTCGATACAATTAGATGCTTCTCTGAGCAACCTGCACAAGATACTCTGTGAAACATTTATGTGAAAAATCATCCTCAAAGTGTCTTCTGCACCAGACACTTTTCTCTTTTCTTACCAACTCCAACTCTCCCTCACCCAGAGATAGCTGATGTGATGCTGAGTTCTGCCCGCTTTGTGCCTCCAATCCTCCAATCCCAGAATTTGGAAATTCTGGGAGATGCCAAACAAATATGAACAAAGAACAAAAGGGGAAAAAAATAAAAATGAGATGGAAAAATATACGGAATTTTTCATAAATGTTGCTCATTACACCAACAAGCCAATCAGAGCAAATACTGCCTGATTCTTTTCATTAGTTAGTGACAGGTCAGTGGCCATATTAGCATCAAGGTAGAATTCCTTGTATAGAGAAAATTTGGAGGGTATGTGTGTCCTCTTGAAGGAAGATGGAGATGAAAAGAAAAATGTTTAATAAACAGTTTATTTTTGGGGGGGTGAAATAGAGAAGGGGATATGAAAGTAAATTGTATTTGAGCTTCTGGTACATAGATATAGAAAATTGGTGAATATCAATTAAAAGCCACTGTCACATACATACATAGACAAACATACATGTTTGAGTTTTTTTTTTTTAACACTATATATGATTCCCTTACAGGAAAAGGGTTACTTAGTGGACTAAGTGATGAGAGGAGAAGGAAATATCCAATGAGAACATTTGGCTTTCCTCATTTTTGAGCAGGTCTACATTATTTATTGCTTCTAGACTGCAAATCTGCACAGCATATTACTGTACTGAATACTGTAGGAAATTATAACATGATGGTAAGTCAAAATATGGTATTATAACCTTATAGTACCACCCTTCATATATGTGATCCTTCATCAACTGAAACATCGTTATATGGCACATGACTGTTTATAATACAATCAAAGAAATGTAAACTGACAAGGCATTTGGCAATATTAAATAATTATTGTTAATTTTTTTAGATGTGACAATGATATTGCAGGTATTTTTTAAAAGAGTCTTAATCCTTTAGAAATACAAAATGGAATCTCTATAGATGAGATAGCATCTGGGATTTGCTTCAGAATAATTGCTCTGTGGGGAGGGAATAGATGAAATAAGATTGGCTGGGTGTTGATAATTGCTGAAGCTGGTGATGGGAATGCTGGATTCATAACAACATTCTCCCTACTT
Source organism: Homo sapiens (assembly GCF_000001405.40). Lineage (NCBI taxonomy): Eukaryota > Metazoa > Chordata > Mammalia > Primates > Hominidae > Homo > Homo sapiens. The sequence goes on from NC_000005.10 coordinate 16,416,473, forward strand.
TTAGATATACTTGAAATTTAGGGCCGGGCATGGTGGCTCACACCTGTAATCCCAGCACTTTGGGAGGCCGAGGCAGGCAGATCACCTGAGGTCAGCAGTTCAAGACCAGCCTAGCCAGCATGGTGAAACCTCATCTCTACTAAAAATACAAAAATTAGCCAGGCATGGTGGCTGGTGCCTGTAATCCCGGCTACTTGGGAGGCTGAGGCAGGAGAATAGCTTGAACCCAGGGGGCGGAGGTTGCAGTGAGCCGAGATCACTCCATTGCACTCCAGCCTGGGTGACTCTGTCTCAAAAATAAAAGAATTCTGGACTGTAATTTTTAAAATTTAAAATAAACATACACACTCTTTTACACAATAATTTCACTTTTGAGAAATGATACAAATTATAGACAAATTTTCCTTTTAAAATTATTTGTAATAGAAAGAAACTAAGTGTATCTATTTAGATTATAGTAATTCCTTTCATTATAATATGTAGCCTTTGATTATGTCAAGGAGCAATTTTTAAAGACACGAAAATGTGCTTTATTCTTTGTTAACTAAAATATATATCAAGATTATAATATCTCATATAAGTGAAATATATATTACATAAAAGACTGGATTTATTTCTAAATAAGGCCATGATTATTATTAAAGGGCATGTATAATTATGGCTAAGATTGCAGGTTCCAGAGTGAATTGGAGCCTCAGCCCAGCCACACAACACCTATGATCTCAGACAAATTACTTTGTCTCCATTTTCTAAACTCCCCAGTGGGGATAAGGATGGTACTTACAAAGTATCTACCTAGTAAGTGCTTAATAAGTCTTGGCTATTATTACCATTCCCAGTATCAAGCATATAATAAATGATGACTATTGGTTGCCTGAAATTTGATTATTTGTATGGATCGTACTGTCAACTTGAAATAAAAATACATAAAAAGGATTTATTTAGGAATAAACAAAGAAATAGGATTACAATTTCGGACAGATACAGAGACCAGTGTGGTCTCTGGTATGTCCAGAAAACAAAGGAAAGTTAGAGTTTTACTAGGGAGAGAGGAGGGTATACAAGTTGTTTTGAAAGAAAGCTCGTTGGTGTTGGCATCATCTAACAAGAGCTGGCAAATTCTGATTGACAAGTGTCAGCAGTTGCTAGGTCGGACTTGTAATCTTGGAGTTATGTTTAAGCCCTTGTAGTTTTGAACTGGGCTTGTGAGACAGTTTTTGAAACAAGCAGGTGTTCTTGTATAAGTGGCTAGCCGTCCTTGTGCTGCTAACTTGCCTTGAGTGACTCACGTAGTAAGCTGCAGTTTGAAAACATTTCTTGTGATAGTTCCCATTATCAGGAAAATTGTGCATGAGAGCCCTCCATGGCCTTCCCCAGCTCCATTTGCTAGGGTTTGACACAAGGGACTCCATTTTTGTTATGACAACTTTCACACCACAGTTGACCCTTGAACAACATGGGGGCTAAGGGGCTAACCCTCTGCGCAATAGAAAATCCATGTATAACTTTTAACTCACCAATAACTTAACTAATAGCCTACTGTTGACCAAAGCCTGACCAGTAACACAACCAGTCAGTTAACCACATATTTTGTACTTTATATATATTATATACTGCATTCTTGACAATAAACTAGAGAAAAGAAAATGTTATTGAGACAATCACACAGAAAAGAAAATCTATGTCCTATTCATTAAGTAGAAGTGGATCATCCTGAAGGGCTTCATCCTTGTTGTCTTCACCTTGAGTCAGCTGAGCAGGAACAGGAGGGAGAAGAGGGGCTGGTCTTGCTGTCTCATGGGTAACAGAGGTAGAAGAAAATTCTCATCTAAGTGGATGCGCACTGTTCAAACTCATGTCAAGGGTATTTATAATTTTCCAAAGGGCTGTTGCCACCTTATTGCATTTTATTCTAATAATAACAGTCAGATGATAACTGTTCACAAAATGAAGATGAAAACTTAGCTACAGAGAAGTCGGCCAGACTTTCCTGCGTGACCTTGGTAGTCTGCTGGTGATTCAGAATCTCCCTACCTCAGCCTCCTGGCTTCACTCAGCCAAGACTCCTTATCCACCAACAATAAACAGCACCATGTGGCTGGCTGTTCACCACTGTCCATCAGGCCCAGACATTGTTTTTAATCCCTCTACTCTAACAGAAAATGGTTCCAAATTCCAGGACTGAAGCGATAAGAGCTCCCCTGCTAAGCACTCAGAAGCCAGATGCCATTTAATGTGCCTGGGGCCGCCGATAACTGATAGCACTCCACTACTCCAGCTAAATTTAATTTCTCCTGCCTCTGCTCGGCTTGTCTGGGCACCTTTAGAAGGGTGTTGTCCTGACAGCTGTCTTGATTCTGATGAGCTTTGTCTGCACCTGATTAGCATTCTATTTCTATGCAAATAAGCACTTGCCTTTGTGGCTCCTGGATTAATGGACACTGTGAATTGGAGCCCTGGTCTTCAGAATCCAGAGAGCTGTGGAATAAAAGGGGTGGATGGGACTTTACAGAATCAGAAGCCAAATGTCTTCATTTTAAAGATGAGGAAAGTGGGGCTGAGAGTGACCTAGTGGGTTTCCCAGGTGCATATCACTAGTGAGTGCAGTCAGTCCCAAAATTTGGATTATCATAGCCCATATTTTTATCTCTATGCTATAAGCCCCAGTTCAAATGAAAAAAAAGTTACAGATTTCTGATTACTATCAATTATTCAGTGTGTGTGTGTTTGTGAGAGAGAGAGAGAGAGAAAGGGAGAGGGAGAGGAAGGGAGAGAGATGCAAAAACAGAGGTAGGAGTGCATTTCTCCAAAGTGTAGGACTCACTCCTTTAAAGGGAGTGCTCAGTTAATAAATTCTAAAAAAAACTTCTATTTTTTAAATAAAAGTTATATTTAGTAAATGTATATGTTTAAATTATTGACCATTTTATTTGCTGAACAGTTTCATTAAGCTGATACTAAGAGTACAAACACATACTATGAAATGAATGACCAATAAATTTTTTTTTTTTTTTTTTGAGGCAGAGTCTCATTCTGTCACCCAGGCTGGAGTGCAATGGCGCTATCTCCGCTCACTGCAAGCTCCGCCTCCTGGGTTCACGCCATTCTCCCGCCTCAGCCTCCCGAGTAGCTGGGACTACAGGCGCCCGCCACCACGCCCAGCTAATTTTTTTTTTTTTTTTTGTATTTTTAGTAGAGACAGGGTTTCACCATGTTAGCCAGGATGGTCTCGATCTCCTGACCTTGTGATCCACCCACCTCGGCCTCCCAAAGTGCTGGGATTACAGGCGTGAGCCACTGCACCCGGCCCCTAAATATTTTAATATAAAAGGAGAGAGAAGGTTGTGGGGAGAAGCTATAAGTCAAAGGGAAAGATAAAAGAGGGGCACATCATTTGAAGATGAAACAGAAGGGAACCACGATTGCTTCATAAAAAAGTAAATTATTATAACTGACTTCCACCTCCCATAAATAATGGCAAATCAGCCACAGTCCTTGTCAGGCCTCTGAGCCCAAGCTAAGCCATCATATCCCCTGTGACCTGCACGTACACATCCAGATGGCCGGTTCTTGCCTTAACTGATGACATTCCACCACAAAAGAAGTGAAAATGGCCTGTTCCTGCCTTAACTGATGACATTGTCTTGTGAAATTACTTCTCCTGGCTCATCCTGGCTCAAAAGCTCCCCTACTGAGCACCTTGTAACCCCCACTCTGCCTGCCAGAGAACAACCCCCTTTGACTGTAATTTTCCTTTACCTACTCAAATCCTATCAAACGGCCCCACCCCTATCGCCCTTCGCTGACTCTCTTTTCGGACTCAGCCCACCTGCACCCAGGTGAAATAAACAGCTTTATTGCTCACACAAAGCCTGTTTGGTGGTCTCTTCACACGGACGCGAGTGAAATTTGGTGCCATGACTCGGATCGGGGGACCTCCCTTGGGAGATCAATACCCTGTCCTCCTGCTCTTTGCTCCCTGAGAAAGATCCACCTATGACCTCAGGTCCTCAGACCAACCAGCCCAAGGAACATCTCACCAATTTTAAATCGGGTAAGCGACCTCTTTTTACTCTCTTCTCCAGCCTCCCTCACTATCCCTCAACCTCTTTCTCCTTTCAATCTTGGTGCCACACTTCAATCTCTCCCTTCTCTAATTTCAATTCCTTTCATTTTCCGGTAGAGACAAAGGAGACACGTTTTATCCGTGGACCCAAAACTCTGGCGCCAGTCACGGACTAGGGAAGGCAGCCTTCCTTTGGTGTTTAATCACTGCAGGGACACCTGATTATTAACCCAGGTTTCAGAGGTGTGAGACCATGCAGGGACGCCTGCCTTGGTCCTTCACCCTTAGCAGCAAATCCCGCTTTTCTGGGGGAGGTGCAAGTTCCCCAACCCCTTTTCTCCGTGTCTCTACCCCTTCTCTGCTTTTCTGGGGCAGGGGCAAGAAACCCCCAACCCCTTCTCCTTCACCCTTAGCGGCAAGTCCTGCTTTTCTAGGGGAGGGACAAGTACCCCAACCTCGTATCTCTGTGCCCCAACCTCTTATATCTCTGTGCCCTGATCCCTTATTTCCACACCCCAACCTCTTATATCTCTGCGCCCCAATCCCTTATTTCCACGCCCCAACCTCTTATATCTCTGCGCCTTGATCCCTTATTTCCATGCCCTGACCTTGTATCTCTGTGCCCCGACCCCTTTCCCACTTTTCTGGAGGGTAAGAACCCCCGAACCACTTCCCTCCGTGTCTCTACTCTCCCTTTTCTTTAAACTTGCCTCCTTCACTATAGGCAACCTTCCACCCTCCATTCCTCCTTCTTCTCCCTTAGCCTGTGTTCTCAAAAACTTAAAACCTCTTCAACTCACACCTGACCTAAAACCTAAATGTCTTATTTTCTTCTGCAATTCCTCTTGACCCCAATACAAACTGGACAGTAGTTCCAAACAGCCAGAAAACGGCACTTTCAATTTTTCCATCCTGCAAGATCTAAATAATTCTTGTCATAAAATGGGCAAACAGTCTGAGGTGCCTGACGTCTAGGCATTCTTTTACACATCAGTCCCTCCCTAGTCTCTGTGCCCAGTGCAACTCGTCCCAAATCTTCCTTCTTTCCCTCCCGCCTGTCCCCAGTCCCAACCCCAAGCGTCACTGAGTCTTTCTAATCTTCCTTTTCTACAGACCCATCTGACCTCTCCCCTCCTCCCCAGGCTGCTCCTCACCAGGCCGAGCTAGGTCCCAATTCTTCCTCAGCCTCTGCTCCTCCACGCTATAATCTTTTTATCACCTCCCCTCCTCACACCCGGTCCGGTTTACAGTTTCATTCCGTGAGTAGCCCTCCCCCACCTGCCCAGCAATTTCCTCTTAAAAAGGTGGCTGAAGCTAAAGGCATAGTCAAGGTTAATGCTCCTTTTTCTTTATCAGATCTCTCCCAAATCAGTGAGCATTTAGGCTCTTTCATCAAATATGAAAAACCCAGTCCAGTTCATGGCTCGTTCGGCAGCAACCCTGAGATGCTTTACAGCCCTAGACCCTAAAAGGTCAAAAGGCCGTCTTATTCTCAATATACATTTTATTACCCAATCTGCTCCCGACATTAAATAAAACTCCAAAAATTAAATTCTGGCCTTCAAACCCCAGAACAGGATTTAATTAACCTTGCCTTCAAGGAGTAAAATAATAGAAAAAAGTTGCAATTCCTTGCCTCCACTGTGAGACAAACCCCAGCCACATCTCTAGCACACAAGAACTTCCAAACGCCTGAACCTCAGCGGCCAGGCATTCCTCCAGAACCTCCTCCCCCAGAAGCTTGCTACAAGTGTCAGAAATCTGGCCACCAGGCTAAGGAATGCCCGCAGCCCAGGATTCCTCCTAAGCTGCATCCCATCTGTGTGGGACGCCACTGGAAATTGGACTGTCCAACTCACCTGGCAGCCACTCCCAGAGCCCCTGGAACTCTGGCCCAAGGCTCTCTGACTCCTTCCCAGATCTTCTTGGCTTAGCAGCTGAAGACTGATGCTGCCCAATCACCTCGGAAGCCCCCCAGACCATCACGGACGCCGAGCTTCCGGTAACTCTCACAGTGGAAGGTAAGTCCGTCCCCTTAGTCAATACGGAGGCTACCCACTCCACATTACCTTCTTTTCAAGGGCCTGTTTCTGTTGCCTCCATAACTGTTGTGGGAATTGACAGACAGGCTTCAAAACCCCTGAAAACTCCCCCACTCTGGTGCCAACTTGGACAACACTCTTTTATGCACCCTTTTTTAGTTATTCCCACCTGCCCAGTTCCCTTATTAGGCTGAGATATTTTAACCAAATTATCTGCTTCCCTGACTATTCCTGGACTACAGCCGCATCTCATCGCCGCCCTTCTCCCCATCCCAAAGCCTCCTTCGCGTCTTCCTCTCATATCCCCCACCTTAACCCACAAGTATGGGACATCTCTACTCCTTCCCTGGCAACCGATCACATACCCGTTATTCTGTTCTGGAACTCAAACATGCTGTCTTTACTATTCCTTTGCATCCGTCATCCCAGCCTCTCTTCGCTTTCACTTGGCCTGACCCTGACACCCATCAAGCTCAGCAAATTACCTGGGCTGTACTGACGCAAGGCTTCACAGACAGCGCCCATTACTTCAGTCAAGCCCAAATTTCATCCTCATCTGTTACCTATCTCGGCATAATTCTCATAAAAACACACGTGCTTTCCCTGCTGATCGTGTCCGATTAATCTCCCAAACCTCAATCCCTTACAAAACAACAACTCCTTTCCTTCCTAGGCATGGTTTAGTGCAGTCAGAATTCTTACGCAAGAGCCAGGACCGCACCTTGTAGCCTTTCTGTGCAAACAACTTGACCTTACTGTTTTAGCCTAGCCATCACGTCTGCATGCAGCAGCTGCCGCTGCTTTAATACTGTTAGAGTCCCTAAAAATCACAAACTATGCTCAACTCACTCTCTACATTTCTCATAACTTCCAAAATCTATTTTCTTCCTCATACCTGATGCATATACTTTCTGTTCCCCGGCTCCTTCAGCTGTACTCACTCTTTGTTAAGTCCCACAATTACCATTGTTCCTGGCCCGGACTTCAATCCAGCCTCCCACGTTATTCCTGATACCACACCTGACCCCCATGACTGTATCTCTCTGATCCACCTGACATTCACCCCATTTCCCCATATTTCCTTCTTTCCTATTCCTCACCCTGATCACACTTGATTTATTGATGGCGGTTCCACCAGGCCTAATCGCCACACACCAGTAAAGGCAGGTTATGCTACAGTACAAGCCACTAGCCCGCCTCTTAGAACCTCTCATTTCCTTTCCATCATGGAAATCTATCCTCAAGGAAATAACTTCTCAGTGTTCCATCTGCTATTCTACTACTCCTCCAGGATTATTCAGGCCCCCTCCTTTCCCTACACATCAAGCTCAAGGATTTGCCCCCACCCAGGACTGGCAAATTAGCTTTACTCAACATGCCCCGAGTCAGATAACTAAAATACCTCTTAGTCTAGGTAGACACTTTCACTGGATAGGTACAGGCCTTTCCTACAGGGTCTGAGAAGGCCACCGCAGTCATTTCTTCCCTTCTGTCAGACATAATTTCTCAGTTTAGCCTTCCCACCTCTGTACAGTCTGATAACAGACCAGCCTTTATTAGTCAAATCAGCCGAGCAGTTTTTCAGGCTCTTAGTATTCAGTGAAACCTTTATATCCCTTGTGGTCCTCCGTCTTCAGGAAAAGTAGAACGGACTAAAGGTCTTTTAAAAACACACCTCACCAAGCTCAGCCACCAACTTAAAAAGGACTGGACAATACTTTTACCACTTTCCCTTCTCAGAAGTCAGACCTGTCCTCAGAATGCTACAGGGTACAGCCCATTTGAGCTCCTATATAGATGCTCCTTTTTATTAGGCCCCAGTCTCACTCCAGACACCAGACTAACTTAGACTGTGCCCCAACAAAACTTGTCATCCCTACTATCTTCTGTCTAGTCATACTCCTATTCACCGTTCTCAACTACTCATACATGCCCTGCTCTTGTTTACACTGCCAGTTTAAACTGTTTCTCCAAGCCATCACAGCTGATATCTCCCGGTGCTATCCCCAAACTGCCACTCTTAACTCTTGAAGTAAATAAATAATCTTTGCTGACAGGACTATGCTGAATTTCCTTAGGCACTCTAATTAGATGTCCTAGGTCCTCCCAATTCTTAGACCTTTAATACCTGTTTTTCTCCTTCTCTTATTCCATTTAGTTTTTCAATTCATACAAAACTGTATCCAGGCCATCACCAATAATTCTAAATGACAAATGTTTCTTCTAACAGTCCCACAATATCACCCCTTTCCACAAAATCTTCCTTCAGCATAATCTCTCCCACTCTAGGTTCCCACACCGCCCCTAATCCCGCTCGAAGCAGCCCTGAGAAACATTGCCCATTATCTCTCCATACCACCCCCCAAAATTTTCACCGTCCCAACACTTTACCACTATTTCACTTTATTTTTCTTATTAATATAAGAAGACAGGAATGTCAGGCCTCTGAGCCCAAGCTAAGCCATCATATCCCCTGTGACCTGCACGTACACATCCAGATGGCCGGTTCCTGCCTTAACTGACAACATTCCACCACAAAAGAAGTGAAAATGGCCTGTTCCTGCCTTAACTGATGACATTGTCTTGTGAAATTCTTTCTCCTGGCTCATCCTGGCTCAAAAGCTCCCCTACTGAGCACCTTGTGACCCCCACTCTGCCCGCCAGAGAACAACCCCCCTTTGACTGCAATTTTCCTTTACCTACCCAAATCCTATAAAACAGCCCCACCCCTATCTCCCTTCGCTGACTCTCTTTTCGGACTCAGCCCACCTGCACCCAGGTGAAATAAACAGCTTTATTGCTCACACAAAGCCTGTTTGGTGGTCTCTTCACATGGATGCGAGTGAAAGTCCTCACCTCCATCTACCAGAGTAGGACTAGAAAATGCCCAGGGTCAAAACAGGGCACAGAGAGGACAAAAATGCCCATGCTCTCCTAGACAGAAGGAGATTGAGGAGCTCTGCTGCTGCAAGGATCCTAATGCCACCCAACACTGAGGGACACGCAAATCATAATGCCACTCAACACTGAGGGACACGCAAGGATCCTAATGCTACCCAACACAGGGACAAACCGGTGTTGCCTGTACACAGGTCTTCTGGAAGGAAACAGCCTTTTGAGGCATAGCTGATAAATATTGGACTGGGCCTGACAGTGTCCGGTGGAAAACTGATTGCAGCACTGAGAATATCTGCAAAGGCTTGGGAGCGATTTTGTTGATCATGACAACATGCCTGGGAGAGAAATTCAAACACGAGGCACTGGCTTTAGATGGCAGGATGGCTTTAGCGGGCGAGAAGGCCCCAGAAGGCTGCAATGGATGTAAAATGGGCCTAAGGACAGTTCAGAGGGGTCCAGCAAGACCCAGCTGGATTCACACATGCAGTTTGCAGAACTGTGACCCCTGTGGGCACCCAGGTCCATACACTGATATGCTTGGGAACCGATCAACGTTTTTGGTACCAGAATGAGGAGAGGGAAGTCATGTGTGCAAAGGGAAGAAAGGAGGCCGAGCCTGAGACAACCTAGCAGCTGTCCCCCTTCCTCCCTGCCCCACCCCATCCCACCCAGACCAGATTTGAGCCCTAGAAAGAAGTCAGATAACAGCATGAGGTAGCAATGTTAAAGAATGGGCAGCTGTGGTGGCAGGAGAGGGGGTCTCCTTCTACAGAAGGCACTGAAGGCACCTTTCTAATCACTTTACATACATGCTGTCACTTAATTTTCATGACATAACAATAGTAGGTACTACTATTATCCATATTTTACAGATATGGAAACCAAGGTACAGAGAAGGTAAGTAGTTCCCCCAAAGACACAGAGTAAGAGGTGGAGCCAAGATTCTAGGAGAGATGGTCAACTCAACTACTGAGCAATGCTGCCTCGGCCACACAGGCGACCATGCTCCCAGTACCTGGGTAACACAGGAGCCCCTCGCCCCTTTCCAACCCACTCTTCTCAGAAACTTCAGAGGATTCTTTGCACCATTAGGACCCTGAAGGCAAGCAGCTTTCAGGATGTGGAGTGGAGCAGGATCTCACAGAGGCCTTGGGGCAGGGACGGCAGTGGCCCCTTGGCCAGGAGCATGCAGCAGACAGGGCAGGCAGGCTTGCTCCTGGTGAAAAAGTGACGCCCACTCAGACACACCCACACCACACACCCAGGGCCATATCCAAATTGATGGCCCATCAGAAATTAAGAAGCCATCCAGAGGAAAGATCTTTTCCCCAGCAACAGGTACATGAGTATGTGCTGTGTGTTGAACAGAAGGACCGAGCTCCCACAAGAGGATCCAAGGAATGTGATTGGTTTAGTCCTGGCCTCACCATCTCCCTTAAAAATCCAGTCAACAGGACTCACTTATGCTCCAAGCTCTCGAAGGAGATAGTCAGAAAAAGGAGAAAGAGAAACCCCATAATATCCTGCCTTCATTCTTCCTCCATGCCCAGACATTACCCTGACCAGTTCTCTTCGGGGCTAATGTCAATATCCTTAATACCTCAAATTATGGGCATTTAAGGGAAGAAATTAACCAAGCTAACTATACCATCTCAGAAACCTATTCACATAACCACCAACCTCACTGAGCCCCAGTGACTTAGGAATACTCTCTGGGCTACTAAGCTAGAGTAAAAAAACTAGGCACTTGGTGAAATGGGAGATGTAAAATGTGAAATGGTAGATTGTGTGCACCATTAAAAACAAGGAAGCTGGGCACGGTGGTGAGTGCCTATAGTCCCAGCTCCTTGGGAGGCTGAGGAAGGAGAATCACTTGTTTGAGGCCAGCCTAAGCAACATAGTGAGATGGCTTCTTTTTGGAAAAAAATAAAAATAAAAAGGAGAAGAAGCCAGCCAGAGCACTATTACTTCTGCTGGAGTCTGGGTTTCTCACCAGGTGTGTCCAATGTCCTTCATTTTGGCCATCAGCAGATTATGTATTCTGTTTTGGCAGAGGGAGCTGGTCAGAGGTGCCACCCAGGGAGAACTTAGCTCTGCCCCTCCCTCGAGATCCAGGTGAGGATGGCTTCTGAATCTTGTTGCCATTAGGAGAGAGGAGCTCCCCCAATGCAGCCTGCTTTGTGTCCGCAAAGAAAACCAGCGCATTATTATTCCTCTGTCATCCTAAGAGTTGCTGAGCCTTGAAAGCTCCAACAGAGGCGGCTGCTGGAACGTGGCTGCGGGGGCAGTGCCACATCTAATTGCTTCACACACGGCTGCCAGTTTATGGGTCCTTCGCTCTGCATTTAACACCGTAGCTGCTGATGGACTTTCGCTGTTGGAAAATATGACCCGGTCCTCTGCACACGGTTTTATAACTGATGGGGGAAGATGCTCTCTCATTTGGTAAATTGTATCTGGCCTTTCCAGCTCAGTGGTCATTAATGTTTGTTCTCATCCAAGGAGCAGATTCAAAGAAATACAGCTCTCATTAGCTCCTGCTCAATTAAGAAAAATGCTCATCTGCCCCCATGACTCAAACACAGCTTCCTAGCTGGAGCTGTTTGAGTTCCACAGCTGGAGAGACTGGGGAGGTCATCCAAGCCATCTCTGATGCTTCAGCCCCAGCCCCAGCCCCAGCCCCAGCAACATCCAGACTGCAAATCCCCTCCAGCACCTCCTGCCTCACTCATTCCACACCTGCCTCCTAACGAGCGAGGACTACAATAAGTGACCCTGCTGAGTGCTTGCTGTGTACCAGGTGCTGTCCTAAACGATGTGCATGGCGTAGCTCACATAGGCATGCTTACAAATCTATGATCTCCAAAGTCACAAGAACGCTCTGGAGCAGGGTTCAAGTTCGACTCCTGACACCTATGTATGGGCTGTGTGAACGTGGAGAAATCACAAAGAGAAGACCCACATTTTTGTACTTAAACCAGATCCAGGTGTAATAAGGTGAATCTCCGGGGTCAGTGCCTCTATGGATAAGTTATCTTCACTTGGTTCTCTTTCCTCAGACTATTCCCAGGCAGCTGACTTCCACATCCTTGTGATTGGCCTCCAGGGGCATGAGGGAAAAGGAGAGAATGAATCAGCCAAAATCCCATCACTATCCTTGGAAAAAATGCCATGTGATGTTATATTCTAAAATTTGCAAGTTGGAGCTGAAAATAATCAGCGGTAGGTGTGTTAACTGGCATGGCCTCTATGGAGGACAATTTGCTAATATGTCAAAATTTCAAATGTACATCCTCTTTGACCTGGCAATTCTACTTCTAGGAATGTATCCTGAAAAATAGGTTTGGTGAGGGAAAGTGTGTGTTCAAGGATATTTATGTCTGTATTGTCTTACTAGCATAAGCCTGGAACAATCTAGATGAGGACTGACTAAATAAATTATGGTATATTTGCACAATGCCATATTATGTAGCAATAAAAAGGCAGCTTTAACTAGATTCAAGTGGAACAATCTTCAAAATATTTTAAGTGAAAAAAATCAAGGTGTTATTGTACTTTTTTTAAGTATTTATACTCAGCTGTTTATATATCATAGAATATCTCTAAAACAAAATCAACAATCTGATCATAGTTGCTGCCTCTGGGGAAACACTTTAGGTGGCTTGAAGTCAGGAGTGAGAGATAATTACTTTCACTGTGTAACCTTTTGAATCTTGAATTTATGTCATAGGAATGAACTACATATTCAAAAAGCAAACTGTATGTCATTAAAATATTAAAAATATTGATGTTTCAATAGACAAAATGCTTATTATTTATTTATTTATTTAGTTGATATTTTTAAAGGGGGAAAGAGGCCAGGCATGGTAGCTCACACCTGTAATCCCAGCACACTGGGAGGCTGAGGTGGGAGGATTGCTTGAGCCCAGTAGTTCAAGTCCAGCCTGAGCTGGACTCTCTCTCTAAAAAACTGAAAAATAAATAAATAAAGACAGCCATGATGATGCAGACCTGCAGTCCCAGCTACTGGGGAGGCTGAGGAGGGAGGATCACTTGAACCCAGGGGGTTGAGTCTGCAGTGAGCAGTGATCTCACCACTACACTCCAGCCTGGGTGACAGAGCAAGACCTATCTCCTAAAAAAAAAAAAAAAAATCAAAGGGCCGGGCACAGTGGTTCACACCTGTAATCCCAGCACTTTGGGAGGCCGAGGTAGGTGGATCACCTGAGGTCAGCAGTTTGAGACCAGCCTCACCAACATGGTGAAACCTCATCTCTACTAAAAATACAAAAAATTAGCTGGGTGTGGTGGTGCACACCTGTAATCCCAGCTACGCAGGAGGCTGAGGCAGGAGAATCGCTTGAAATCAGGAGGCAGAGGTTGCAGTGAGCTGGGATTATGCCACTGCACTCCATCTCAAAAAAAAAAAAAAAAGAACCAATTGAAAATCATAAATCTGCAGAGGACAATGAAAAAATAATAAGGTAAATATGCAGAGAAATAAACTGGCATTTTTAAGGGAGATGGTGAGGCCAGGACTAAACCAATCATATTCCTTGGATCCTCTTGTGGGAGTCCTTCTGTTCAACACACAGCACATACTCATGTACCTGTTGCTGGGGAAAAGATCTTTCCATGGGATGGCTTCCTAATTTCTGATGGGCCATCAATTTGGATACTTTGGGAGCAGCTAAAGACCTGTTCTCAGGCTTCTTTGAGTACTGTTATGTCTCCTAACCAGCTTTCCCCCATGAAGCCTCTCCCCATCTGTGATAATTCATTTTATGTACCAGTTTGGCTGGGCTATGGTGCCCAGTTGCATGGTCAAACATCAGTCTAGTTGTTGCTATGAAGGCAGTGTGTAGATGAGATAAACATTTGCATCAGTAGACTTCAAGGAAAGCAAACATACCTTCTCTAATGCGGGTGGCCTCATCCACTTGGTTGAAGGACTTAGGAGAAAAAGCCTGAGATCCTCCGAGAAAGAGGGAATTCTGCCTCTGCACTGCCTTCAGACTAGAGACTGCAGCATCAACTCTTCCCTGGGTCTCCAGCCTCCTGACCTGCCCTGCAGTTGTTAGACTTGCCAGCCCCACACTTGCATAAGCCAATTTCTAAAAATAAATCTCAAGAGAGAAAGAGAAAGAGAGCAAGAAAGAGTGAAAGAGAGAGAGAGAGAGAAAGACATACTGTTGATTCCATTTCTCTGAGAACCCTGACTAATACACCATCCAGAGGAATGGCTCCCCACCATCACCCATCCCACTTCCCACATCATACTTGGTGAAGCCTCTGCTATTCTCTTACCTACCAAAGTGCGTATGTCCAGTCCTGCTGCCTAGGCTGGAAGGTCCTCATGAGCCGGTGCTGTGTCTCCATCATCAATGCATTTCTAACATTCAATGGAGTACCTGCAAGTGCTCGATAAGGATGTGTTGTTGAATGAGGCTGCAGTTTTAGTGACAGTGCTCCCAATGCCGAATGCTTAGGTTTGACTCATCTGTAGGTTCATATACAAATCAGCACATCAATTAGGAAGAACATGAAAGAAAAGAAAAACAATCCTTACCAGTTGTTTTCAATTACCAGGACCCTTTGTTTGCCTTGCCGCTTCTTACCCAGCTACCTGAAGACCTGTAAAAGGCAATTTACTGTTCAGAATTAATTGAGCAGGCCACCGTAGTCAAGATGCCACAGTGTTGGATTTAGCCTACACTGTATCCAAAATTAAAAAGCAAGAATTCTCTTTTGAAATAAGATGTATTCAAATAGAAAAAAATTATAAGAAAAACTTATCTGTGATCATCACCCTTCCTTGTACTCCAAATGTGTGCTGAATTTTAATGTCCATTTTAAAGAGGAAATTATGACCCTCAAGCCCAAGATCAAAATATCATTTCTGAAAATCAGATTGAATCTTAAATTAGAAACTTCTGCAGACATCTTCCACAAAAGTTTTTTTAATCATTTGTCATATTTTTAAAAGATTACAAGATGAATTCATCTTCGATTAGTCAATCTGAATCCTCAGGTGAATAAAGAACCAATTGTGTTAGTTTTCTGATCAGTAAGACTATTTTCAATGAGCACCCAACACCAACAATCTTGTCCCATAGGAAAACTGATTTATAAGCATGTCAAATGGAGATTTTATTTCATCCTGCCTTCAGCTGTCAACAAAAGACTTAGCGGCTCTCCCCAGGGAGCAAGGAGACGAAACAGTAGGAGACCTTCAGAGGTCAACCTTGAAAGCAGGCAACACTCAGTTTTGACCTGGTCTATTGAAATCAATATGGCATGGCATAGAGAAAGGAAGCAGATGGCAGAGTATACTTACATCAATATTTTTCTTTATTACAGAATTTGCATTAAATTTTGTTAAAGGACAAGTGGATTCAATTGACCATGAGAGATACAAAAGGTATATGCCATGAATCATATCTTAAATGAATTTTAATCAACACTATAGGATTTGCAGTACAGGCTTATTTTTCTTTGAACAAACTTATCTTTTTATTTCTATTCTTTGTTATGTAGAAAAATACAGTATAAGACATAAAAAAGAGAAATATAACCTGTATTCCCACCATCAGATGATGCCATCAACATTGCAGCATATTTGATCACAATAGCTTCTTTATGCATTTTATATCATTGTGAACTCTGCTTTTTCCATTTACACTAGAGTAAAATAATTTTCTGTTATTACCTTTCTCTTCCTAATAGGAGTTCCTATTATCATCATTTTGGGAGGTTAAGCCTTTTCTAAACCCCAGAGCTCATAAGCAATGGAGCTGAGACTGTAACCCTGACCTACCTACCTTCAAAGACCATACTGTTTCCACTAAGTCAAACTACCTTAAAAATACTTATTCCTTTTGGCTCAGTAAGTCACCTTTTGGGAATCTACATGGAATCTGAAATGTACGAGATAAGCCTGGGACATTTTGAGATGCAAGAAAGCAAGAAGCTACTAAGGACTAAATAGGTCACGTCAAAAGGAAGCAAACGAAAAAGATCCCAAAATGACACAATGCAGCTACCCAAAAGAATAATAATCACTCTCCGTTAAATCATTAAACATAAAAATCAATGAGTTCATAATGATACTTTTTTAAAACTTGCTTATGAGAGCACCAACTCATTACTCTGAAAATTGATAAATACATAGAAAGAATCAAGAATTTATCCTTTCTTGTACAAATTGTAATTCAGGGCAGCCAAATACTTGATGAGGATAAGTCTTTATCGAAGAATTATGGATAACTAATGCAGAAGGAAGGACAGATTAAGAAAATTGCCATTTCAATCCCTCATGAAACCCTGGATCTGTCAATGGTCGTCAGTGAATGTTAAAATCACAGGTGAAATACTTGTGGGAGACTTTTAGAGGATGGAGCATCCTGACATCACCAAGACTGATTCCTGGCATTACCAAAAGTGGAGCAAACAGATGTCATGAGTTCATGGTATGATTCCACAGGAAGTACATAGCATCAGAAATATTATAATCTAAAAAGCATTTTAACCTTAATTGATTTAAGGCTCAGATCTAACTATCAGTTTATAGGAAATAGAAAAAAACAGAGGAACAAGTTAAAAACATCACAGAGAAACAATTATGCAAATCTAGATGTAGATCTAAAGGATAATCTGATTTTTCTAACAAATTCAATGGCATGAAAACAATTGAGGAGTGAGAAGGAGGGACAATGTAGACTGAAATAGCTAAGAGAAATTATTATTAATATTATTCGAATAGGCCAACCGTAAAAGAACAACTTTCAGACAATTAAAGACATTTGAATATGAATTGATATTAGAATATTTTTGATATTTGTGTTATTTGTTTGGTATGATAATACCTAGGTGGTTTTTTTTTTAAAGTCGGGCTGCTTAAATGTATATAAAGAACTTACAAAGAAAATAATATGATATCTAGTATTTGCTTCAAATATTCCAGGAAAAAAAAGTGTGTGTGTGTGTGTGTGTGTGTGTGTGTGTGTGTGTCTGTGTGTTTGTATGTGGTGGGAGGGAGAGAGGAGACGGAGATGATTAGATGAAACAGGAGTTGCAAATTGTTGACAGCTGCTGAAGCTGAGAGATGAGTCCATGAAGGTTCATTATCCTATTCTCTCTACTTTCTGTATGTTTGGAACATTCCATAATAAAATTTAAAAAAACCCTAAAAAATGATGCATATGAGTACATCAAAACCTATAGAAATGAAATTCCATATATGCCAGGACTAGAAAGATATGGAATAAATAACTGTAAAAAAAATGTGAGAAAATCCTACTCCATATGTTATATGCTGATTTCTGATTTGCATTTTAAATGGAATCGCTCCAATATTATCTGATTAGTTTTGAAATTGATGATTAAAATAAAAGATTGATCATCTTCTACATTTTTTGGCACCTTACACCATCACCAATTTAAGTATTAATAGAAGGAGCATCAAAACTATCAATCTAAGAAATTCAGAATGAAGAGGTCTGTGATATGCTCAGTGAACATGTCTTTGTTGTGGCAATGAAATAATTTGGAGATGGAAAGAGAACATAAATTCTGCAGAACAATTTTCTGTGCTCCTCTTTAAACAGGTTAAGGTGCTGATTTGGTTTTTCGAAAACTGAAGCTGTGGATCACAAAACAAAGCAAAATTAATTGTGAGTAAATGGAAGAAAAGATCACTTGTAATGACACTTCTTTCCAGGGATATGGTTAAGCAAGATAATAGCATTCAGAGGGTAAAAATAAGTCCATTCACTAATGCCCACACACATTCCATATAATGACAGATGGAGACCTAATTTTAAAAACATACTACATTGTAAAAATACTTTGGAAATATCTAACTAAACAGTGGATTAGAACTTGATTAAAAATAAATGATTGAAATGCCAAAAGCTCATTAAAGGGAAGATGCTATGTAGAGTTGACTCCCCAAAGAAACAAAGCCCTTTGTGTTCAGTAAAATATTTTCAGCTGAATGAAACTACTGAATATTTTAATTTTCAGTTTGTGAGGGAAAAATTATTTACACTTAATCACTGGTTTGTTTTTAACCCCAGAATTATAACAATTAGGAAAATAAGAGGCATTTATAAGATGCTTAAAGCAGGTCACACTCTCAGGACAGGTTCCCAGGAACTGGACTCTGCGATGGAAAGTTACATGCAGGAGCTTTACTGGGGAATGTTCTCAGAAACAGCACCTGGGAGGGGTGAGGGAAGCAGGATTGGGCACACGGAGAAGTAGAACTGTGATGCGGTTGCAAGAGGCCACAACAGATACCAGGAGAAGACCAAGCAGAAAGGCCCTTCAGAGCTTTCATAATCTAGGCAAGGGGGGCCAGGCCCTTGTATTCTCACATAAATCCAATACCCATGGAAGTGGGTATTGGAAGAAGTAGCTCCTTTTGGCCAAGAGTCAATCCCAAGAGGAACTCATGGATGAGTACCTTTGCAGGAGTGAGAAACCAATGCTTCTGACTGCTTGGAAATGAATGCTTTGATCCTGAAGGAAACATGTGGGGAGTGTATCTCCCCTCGCATTGCAGCCCCCACCCTTAGCCTCCCTCCTTCATGTAATAACTTCATCCCCTCTGAGAATAGCTCCATGGGATTCTCAATGATCTATTTTTCTTTGGAAACTGGTAAGAGGAAGGTTATTGGGACAAATCTCAGCCCCTTTCAGTGACTACATCTGGTGTCATGATCTCCCTCCTCTGCTTTCACACTTTTAAACAGCACTGCTGTAGTCTGGGGGGCTTACCTGGTGGGATGACCATGATTTTCATCCCAGGAGACCCTAAGCCCTGCCTTACCATGAAAACATGGCTTGGTGGCATAACCAGTTCCAGCCATGGCTACTGCACTTGCTCATTTACAATGAAGATCTGGCAAGGGGGTACCAAGAGACAACCTAGTGAGTCACCTGGGTGGCTGTGATCACAACTGGACAGCAGCTGTAGCTTAAAGTGTAATGGAATTCTTGTGTTCCCTCGTAGAAGCATTCTCCCCTTGGAGATAAGGACCTGGGAGAGACTAAATGTGCAAGGACAAGCAAGCACAAATTCCTCAAGCAGGTCATTGGGAGTAATGGTACTGGAGCCAGACCTACTCCAATCATTGTTTTCTTATTGTTTTCTTTTCTCGCTCTGTCACATGGCTGGAGTGCAGTGGCGCAATCTTGGCTCACTGCAACCTCACCTCCCAGTTCGAGTGATTCTCTGCCTCAGCCTCCCGAGTAGCTGGGACTACAGGCACACTCCACCATGTCCAGCTAATTTTTGTATTTTTTGTAGAGACGGGGTTTCACCATGTTGGCCAGGTTAGTCTCAAACTCCTGCCTCAAGTGATCCACCAGTCTTGGCCTCCCAGAGTGCTGGGATTACAGGCATGAGCCACCACACCAGGCCCCAATCATTGTCTCCTGAGGCCATCAATCCCACCTATTGGAGACGTAGCACTATATAACGGGCATTGGTTCAATGCCACCCTGTCCTTACAACATATTGAGAGGTGACAGCGTGCTGGCAGCCCTCACAGCCCTCGCTTGCTCTCGGCGCCTCCTCTGCCTGGGCTCCCACTTTGGTGGCACTTGAGGAGCCGTTCAGCCGGCTGCTGCACTGTGGGAGCCCCTTCCTGAGCTGGCTGAGGCCGGAGCCGGCTCCCTCAGCTTGCCGGGAGGTGTGGAGGGAGAGGTGGGGCAGGAACTGGGGCTATGCACAGTGCTTGCAGGCCAGCACGAGTTCCGGGTGGGTGTGGACTCGGCACGCCCGGCACTCGGAGCCTCCGGCCATCCCTGCCGGCCCTGGGCAATGAGGGGCTTAGCACCGGGGCCAGCGGCTGCAGAGGGTGTGCTGGGTCCCCCAGCAGTGCCGGCCCACCAGCGCTGCGCTGGATTTCTCGCCGGCCTTAGCTGCCTCCCCTCAGGGCAGGGCTCAGGACCTGCAGCCCACCATGCCTGAGCCTCCCACTCCCTCCGTGGGCTCCTGTGCACCCAAGCCTCCCCAATGAGCACCACCCCCTGCTCCACGGCACCCAGTCCCATCGACCACCCAAGGGCTGAGGAGTGCAGGCGCACGGCACGGGACTGGCAGGCAGCTCCACCTGCGGCCCTGGTGCGGGATCCACTGGGTGAAGCCAGCTGGGCTCCTGACTGGTGGGGACTTAGAGAACCTTTATGTCTAGCTAAGGTATTTTAAATACACCAATAGGCACTCTGTGTCTAGTTCAAGGTTTGTAAACACACCAATCAGCACCCTGTGTCTAGCTCAGGGTTTGTGAATGCACCAATGGACACTCTGTATCTAGCTACTCTGGTGGGGACTTGGAGAACCTTTGTGTCCACACTCTGTATCTAGCTAATCTAGTGAGGACGTGGAGAACCTTTGTGTCTAGCTCAGGGATTGTAAACGCACCAATCAGTGCCCTGTCAAAACAGACCACTCGGCTCTCTGTAAAATGAACCAATCAGCAGGATGTGGGTGGGGCCAGATAAGAGAATAAAAGCAGGCTGCCCGAGCCAGCAGTGGCAACCTGCTGGGTCCGCTTCTACACTGTGGAAGCTTTGTTCTTTAACTCTTTGCAATAAATCTTGCTGCTGCTCACTCTTTGGGTCCACACTGCCTTTGTGAGCTGTAACACTCACCCCGAAGGTCTGCAGCTTCACTCCTGAAGCCGGTGAGACCACTAACCCACCGGGAGGAAAGGACAACTCCAGATGCCCCACCTTAAGAGCTGTAACACTCACCGCGAAGGTCTGCAGCTTCACTCCTGAGCCAGCAAGACCACAAACCCACCAGAAGGGAGAAACTCCAAACACATCCGAACATCAGAAGGAACAAACTCCAGACACGCCGCCTTTAAGAACTGTAACACTCACTGTGAGGGTCCGCGGCTTCATTCTTGAAGTCAGTGAGACCAAGAACCCACCAATTCCGGACACAGTATCACCTGCAGGCTGGCACTTTAGCTGTGCTGTCAAAAACCTCTAGTAGATAGGCAGTTTCTGGATGGTGTTATCCTATCATCATATGTCCATTGTTGTCCTTCTTTTGCTATAAAATGGGGCCAGTGGTCCACAGTCACGTTATGCAGGATTCCATGTCAGTTTATCATATAATCTATAAGCTTACAGGTGGTCATGCTGCCTGAGTCCCTGTGGGTAGGAAAGGTAAAGCCATCTCTGGAATATGTGTCAATTCCAGTCAAAATCAATTACTGCCATTTCCAGATTGAAAGGAATCTGATGTGATCAAGTTGCTAGCAAGTGGCTGGTTAGTCTCCTCTGGGGACTGTGTTTGTTGAAGAGCTCAGTGTTGGTTTCTGTTGCTGGCAGGTTGGACATTTGGTAGTGGTAATAGATATATTAAGTAATTACTTGACTTCATGGAGATCCACTGTCAATTATCAGGACCCCTGGTTCTGAAGGGGGACAGAGAGATAATTAAATGGGGACATGATGGGGACCACTTGTAGTGTTGAGCATGTTTAGAGTGCCAGATTTCTTGGCCATTCCCCTGGATGTGATTTTTTTTTTTAATTTATTCTCTTGGCCATGGTAAGAAAGTTTCAGAGGCTTCTATGTAGCCCTCTTCACTACAGACCATACTGGTTGGCCCTACAAACCAAGGAACTAATGAGAAGATTCTGCTGACTACTACGGATTTCAATTATACATCCAGAGACTGAATAAATGACCACCAGGTGGATCCATGGAGCCAAAGAATCCCTTGTGAAATCAACTAGGTCTGGACTTCTTATTTCTTACTCTTCATAAGCTCCCACTTCAGCAAGGGGCCTGGATGAAACAAAACTTCCTGAATACCAGTGGAGATTGGACTATGCCCAAGAGTCCTGGAAATATCTAGGATTGCCCTTTTTCCCATTGAACAGTTACCCAAGTAAGTGGCCACAGATCCCTTTGAGTAAAGACTGGGGGAACTGTTATCATATGCACTTGCCATAGTATAGCAGGCTCCTTCCTCAAACCAGCCTCTCCAGTCAACAGGTTCTGGGTCAAAGGACAGGCTCAGATCTGGAAATTGGCCATGACTCTTCAGTGAAGTGTTGGCATTATTCTTATGTGTCCCTGTATCTTGCCCTTAATAACACTGTGGTCTAGTAACCATCTCCACAGCTCTCTTTGGGTGAGGACTCCTGGCTGCCACTCCAACCTTTCCATTCATGATAATAATTGCATCCTTCTTGGTCTGCTACCTATAGTCTACCACCCAGCCTCTATCAATCTGGGATCTTACCATCCCCATTGCTGTTATATAGAAGCCCACTGCTGTTATATAGAACCATCCCAGTTATATAGAACCCCGGCACAATATACAGTATCAGCCCTCCCCTAGAGGGGGTAGCCACCATTGAGTTTCTCATTGACACATTGCCCCTCTCACCAGCTCATTTCTTACAGCTTTGGTAAAAGGTTGCCTTCTGGGTGCCCCTGTGAAATACAGTGAACTGGTAGATTGTTCGGTCTTACAAAGTACAGTAGGCCCCCATTATCTGTGGGAAATACATTCCAAGGCCACCCCACAGGTGGATGCCTGAAAACGCGAATAGTACCAAACCCCATATATATGATGTTTTTTCCTATACATGCACTGTGGCACTTTTGCAGTTTGAGGTATAACCACAAAACTAGCATAAATTTATTTGTCCTTCTTCACAATTTCACAGGTAAAAAATTTGTTCTTACCATGGATCTTAGCAACCTCAGCATATAATTTTTTTTCCTTAAGAACTTTTACCTTTTCACTTAAAGGAAGCACTTTACGGCTTCCCTTTGGCATATTTGAATCACCAGCATCACCACTCTTGTGCTTTGGGGCCATTATTAGGTAAAATGAGGGTGCCTTGAACACAAGCACTGCGATACCTCGACAGTCCATCTGATCACCGAGATGGTGAAGTGGCTAACTGGAGGGAAGTGTTGACAGTGTGTATCCACTGGACAAAGGGACAATTCACATCCTGCGGGGGACAGTGCAAGACTTCATCACACTACTCAGAACAATGTGCAATTTAAATCTTACAAATTATTGATTTCTGGAATCTTCTATTTAATATTTTCAGCCCACAGTTGACTGGGGGTAACCAAACTGTGGAAAGCAAAACCATGGATAGGGAGAACCAGTGTACAGTTGTCCCTCAGCATCCATAAAGGATTGGTTCCAGAACCTACCTTGGATACCAAAATCTATAGATACTCAAGTCTGTGATATAAAATGGCCTAGGATTTACATATAACCTACACACACCCTCCCATACACTTTAAATCACCTCTAGATTACTTATAATATCTAATATCATGTGAATGCTATGTAAATAGTCACTATACTGTATTGACTAGGGAATCATGACAAGGAAAAAAATGTCTGTACATGTTGAGTATGGGATGCCACTTTTTTCCCAAATGCTGAATATTTTCAGTCCGAGGTTGAATGAACCCACAGATACAGAGAGCTGACTGCATATCCACCGTAGCATTCCTGCTTCTCGGAGCCTTTTGATCTCTTTCTTCATCATCTGCTAAGGCATTTCTCACATATCTCCTCCACATAGTTGATCATTGCATTTCTAAGAAAGAAAAGAGTCAACAAAGATACCCCAAGAGTCAACCAAGAAGAGTGCTAAATTCTCTATCTCAGGGGAGTGCTCCCACATAGATAAAGTTTCCAGTATCCAACTATATATTGCATCCTTCTTAACCCAGGCCCTTCAGGATTCATCCCATATATATTCTTCCACTCCTGCTAGTACTTGCTGGCTCAGTCTTGCATCTTCTTTGGTGTCTATTTTTTCCTTCCTTATCACAATCAGCACTTCTCCTGTCAAGTTTTATTGTACTTGACTCTAGTTCAGGGTCTGCAAACTTTGCCTGTAAAGAACCCGATAGTAAACATTTTTGGTTTTGTGGGCCATATGGACTTTGTCGTGACTACTCAGTTCTCCCATTGTAGCATGAAGGCAGCCATAGGCAATGTGTCGTTGAATGGATGTGGTTGTATTAAACTAAAACTTTATTTACCAAAATAGACTGCAGGCTGGATTTGGCCAGGAGACTGCAGTTGCTGATCCCCATTGTATTTACTGGCCTAGTGTCCAGGAATGGAGTTGGGATCAACCCTGACTTAAGAACACGCTATCTTGCAAGAAAAAGCTCCTGCACTCTCTTCAAGCAAGGGTAGCACTAGCTTTTAATAGGGAGCAGTGGGCCCAGACGGTTGAGGGGAATCTGAAGATTCGAGATTTTTGGTGCAGGAACACATATATCCTTATTCCAAGTCTCAGCATCTCACTCCTTCCTAGTCAGGGTCCTGACCTTGGCATAGCACACTTACTAGGATTGAAAATTTTAACCTTCTCTGGAGCCCTCCTGGCCTTATAATTAAGTTCTAGGCTTGATCCTGGCTTTTTTCTACTTCTGGCTGCGGGAGATGAGAAGCTCTTTATAAACTGCCATAGGCCCTCTGGCTTTCACACTTAGCCTTAAATTGGTAATTAATCATTGTATCCTTTCATCCCCTTTCTCTAATTCATTTTATAGCACTCAGAAACAGCCATCCAATTCTATTGTACTTACAATTACCACTTCCCCTGGACCCCTAGATATCTCGGATACTAGACTTACCAATGCATTGCCTTCCAGCAGTTACATCACAGTGACTGTTGCAACAATTGCATAGTTACAGCCTGCCAGGGGCTGTAGGTAATCCACCCACCCACCCCTAGTTATGGTGTCCTCCCTGCTGGCTGGTCAGCTGGTGACCCAGTTCCAGATTCCATTTTAGAGTCTCCTTCCTCGGACCATTCCTAGCACCAGTGGTTTTAGGAATGCTTACCTGAGAAATAGGGTCTGAGGTGGAGATATACATGCAGGACTTTTACTGGGGAGTGCTTTTAGGATCAATACCCATAAAGAAGAGAAAAAGGATTCCATAGAGGGAGAAATTGAATTATGATTCTGTTGCAGTAAAGGCCTTCAGCAATCCCATGGACTGCTGTCAGAGTTGTCTAGACAAGGCAAGGGGCCAGCCAGCCACAGGATGCGTGCTGCCCCCCAAACCCCAACTGCAGAAGGGGTAGGGCCTTGGGCAGGGCAGCTCTCTTCTGCTAAGGGAGGGATTCCCAAAGACAGACTCATTTGTGAGACAACAAAAGCCAGCACTCCTGGCAGCTGGGCGAATGAGTGCCTGAGTCCTGGAGGGGAGATCGGGGCTGCACACCACCGCATCCACTACAAGCATGTGCAGTGGTTGAGTTCATGTCCACAGTAAGCGTGTCAGATAGGCATCCATGAGCCCAGCTTTACTGACACACCCTAGTTACCAGGAATCCTGGGAGAAGCCTTGGGTTCAACTAATTGTTGCGATTGTAATTGTGGTTCCTGAAGGAATTCTAGATGATAAACGCAATAAAGTAGCAGTGATTTATTGTATATAGAAACTTTAAAACCCACTTTTGAAGGGTAAAATAACAAGAAAGAGGAAGGAAAGAATAAAGGAAGGAAGGAAGAAGAGAAGGAAGGAAGAACGTAAGGAAGGAAGAAGGGAAGGGGAGAGGAGGGGAGGGGAGGAGAAAGGAGAAAAATCAAGTCCTCTCAACTCACTAGAGCAGCCATATCTACTTAACTGGAGACAGGTATTATAAAAAGTTATTTTTCTACTTCCCTGCCTTTTAACAGACAACATTTTCTGCTTTTTGGCTGGGGAGAGGACATTTGAAGTACCATGAAGCCAAGTTTGTGACAGTGACAAACTTAAAGAGGTTACAATTTTGAAATATGTAAGTATTTAAGTTGGAATCAACAAAATACCTATTAATGTGTGTGACATGTACAGATGTCCAAATAAATGTAATTTATTTCCTATAAAGTCAGAATAATTGTGTAGGTAGAGTTAGAAAACATCATTTTAAATTATTTTGTCATTGAAGCTGCAAATTATTATAAAATCCCACAGAAATTGATAGTTGAAATGATTTTGAGATTCTCAAGTATTATCATAATACTTGCATAATTTGAAATTCTGATGAGTTCCTCAGAAGTTTATTTCCAAGTACCTGTAATCTTTTCATGTTGTTCAACATTAATTCATAGCCAGGACTTATCTTCAGGCAACTTTACGGCTTGTTCCTCTGTGAAATTCTGTAAGTTGGAGATTATAAACATGAAAACAATCAGTTGGGGCTCTTTTTGGCAGATTTTGAAATGTTGCCATTTGTTCAATTTCTATCCCTATAAACGTAGCAGGTACTGGATCTTATTGGTATCCAAAACATATCATCTCACCTTACATTTATTCTTCAGGAAATTAGGCTCATAGCTAGGTGGATTTTCAACAAGTTAAATATAAACTTTCTGAACCCTCATTATTTGTTGATGCTATTGAGTTCATCTTGAAACACACACACACACACACACACACACACACACACACACACACACACACACACACATTCCATGTGTCTAACTCCTCCTCCATCCCTCTTCAAACAAAATGAACATTAGGACTTTAAATTGCAGGCAACAGCCATAATCAGAAAGCCAGAAGCCACTGCTCCAACCCTGAGGTCCTCTAAAGTTGATTGCAAGGCAGATACTAGGCAAAGATCTCTCTAGATCCTTAGATGTCTGCTTCTTGCTCATGGAGTTGAAAGGATGAAATGAAAGGGCGTGGGCACAATCCCTAGCTTGGTGCTGGCACAGAAGCCCAATAAGGTCCACAATTCCTCATCTACAGTCCCAAATCCCGGAGTTCTGAACACTGAAATATTTTTTGTAAATCCTTTGGCATCAAAATCTGGCCAGAGAGAAGGCTATTTCTAGGCCTCGGTATGAGTGGAATATGTCCCTCTCTAGAAGTATAAATGTGTTTGATTATCAGATGGTCCTCCAAGTCTTATGGAGCTCTGACAGTATCTACAGTATATGCACCCCAATAAATTCCTAAAAGTCCGAACATCTGAGTCTCTAAACACCTGGCTTGAAAGGCTTCTAGCTGGGAGTCTGTGGATCTGTCCTTGGTGGCTCTCTTCTCCTTCCCTTTTTGTTGGTCATGGCCCCTCTCCTTCCTCCCTGGCCATCATTAGTCTATCTGAAATAAAAACTACACTTGGTCAGACATCCTCTTGTGTCAGCACCTGTTAGGCACCTTATCACATATTTTTTGGAAAGCCTGGGATGACCCTGGAAGGGATTGGTAATGAGCCTCATTTTAAAGATAAGGAACCTGACATGGAGAGAACTTAGTGAAGGTCAAGAACTCCCATGCACAGAACTAGGGTTGCACCCCAGTCTCTGGCTACTCAGCCTCTGCTCCTTCTACCACAGCAGGCTGGGATTTACTTGAAGAAACACTGTTTCTTAAGGAACACTTAAAATTCAACCAAGACATTCTCCCTGTGTACCTACAGGCAGTAAAGTGTAGTGCCATAATTCTCAAAGTATGATCTCAGGATGCCTGGATGTCCCTAAGACCCTTTCAGGGGCTTTGCAAAGCCAAAGCATTTTTTGTAATAATAATTATATGTTATTTGCCTGTTTCGCCTTTGTTCTCCTATCAGAAGACTATGTAGTTTCCAGGGTTGGCATGACATGTATTATACAACAGATTGAATGCAGAAGCAGATATGAAAATCCAGTTGTTTCCTGTTAAGCTGGACATTAAAGAAATTTGCAAAAATGTAACCAAAAAAAAACCCCACTCATCTCACTATAGTTTTTTTTTTTTAAGGAAATATCGTTGTTTTTTATAAAAATATATTAAGGTTAACATGCAATGGTTTTATTACTTTTAAATGAGTTAAACATTTTTTAATTTTCTCCTTCTTAATTTCTAATACCATATATATATATATCAATAAATGCAACCAACAAAAACGAAGCTCATCAGAGTCCTCAGTACTTTAAAGAGTGTGAAAGGGATCTGAGGCCCAAAAATTAAAGAACTGCTAGTGCAGTGTGAAGAGTGCAGACCTAGAATCCTAACTACCTGAATTCATACCCCAATTTTGCTACTTAGTAACTATGGAAGTTTCTTTATGCCTTAGTTTCCCCACCTACAAAATGGGGATAATATATTATCTACCTCCTAGAGTTGTGAGGACTCAATGAGTTTGCACATGTAAATCGCATACAACAATATCCATCACTGAATAAGCTCTTTGTTTTAGATTTTATGTTACCAAATTGTTACCTACTCTATATATTTGTGTTTATTTCTAGGGAAAATCCCCCAATATTCAAGATGAATAAAAAGAATAAATTACTGAATTATCCAAATAGGTTTCATTTACTTGAATTAGAAAAAGAAAAAACGTCTTGGAACTGAAGTCATGTTTCAAGCATAAATGTTAAAATAGTTTCCATTTACTCTATTTACTGCCAATTTAATATTCTCATTCTCTGGCACTAAGCATTAGAAAAATCTTTTTAGAAAAGCTAAAATCTCTCACCTTTATAAGTCGTCTCATTTTCCACATTTGCCGATGCTGTTTAGAAAATGAGTAAACTAGGGTTGGGCAACATGTCTGAGACACGTTACCCCAAGTAAGAATGGTATATGAGATTGGAATACCAAAAGTGGTGATTAATAATAAAACCGAATGCTTTCAATTCACAACTTAGAAGTCTTATTCAATGAAATCAAAAATGTAGGTTTTTTTAAAGCACAGATTCTTAAATAAATGTATTCTTGAATATAGTTTTAATGCTTTTAATATAGGTTTAGGTATATGCTAAATATAGATTCATTCTTTTCCTCTAAAGAAATGCATCGTGCTTACTCAGTAAGTAACAGTTTATACCAAAGAATTTTTTAAGGAGTTGAAAACGGTTTGACTTTGCAGAGCAGCACAGTGGCTAGCACACACACTTAGAGAAATACGTTTCTACCTTACTCTGTCAATTACTAATGCATACCATGGCTGAATTTCCTTATGCCCAGATTCTGCTGTGTAACCACAATAGGAGGGAATTGACTGAGGTCAGTTCAAGTATGTCATGAAAGTCTAAAATTCTGACTCCTGGAGCCTCTCATTTTCCAGCACTGACAATAGAAAGCACAGTAATTAAGAGCAGTGTGACCTTGGGCTGTTACACCCAATATTCCTGAGCTGTAAAGCGGGAATAATAATTGTATCTACTTCTTAGGTGTGCTGTGATGATTAAATAAGGTATTATAATGTATGTAAAGTCCTTGCGCTTAAAACAACATTGACGGGAAAGCTCCACCACAAGGTGTTTAAGTGGAATCCAAGATTCAACCATGTAACATATGTGATGGTGTAATAGTGAGGTGTTCCAGGTACTATTGCTGCATAAAGTTAGTGTTGTAAAACTATTTCATTATGCTCATGGATTCTATGGGTCACGAATTTTGGAAGGCCTCTTCTAGATAGTTCTTGCTTGGGTCTGTTCCAGGATTGCCATGAGTTGGTGGGGGCAGCAGTCATCTGAAGGCTCAACTGGGCTGGACATGCAAGATGGTGCCCTCAGGTGCTGGAAATTGGTGCTAGATGTTGACTGAGACTTTAGCTGGGACATCAAACAGAGAGCCTACATGTGATCTCTCCATATGGCCTGGGATCCTACATAGCATGACTTCCTGGGGGCGTCAGACTCCTTACACTGGTCGAGAGTCCAAGGAAGCCAACTGGGAGCTGAATTGTACTTCTGCTGCATTTAATTGGATATGAACAAGTAATAAAGAGCAGCCCAACATCAAGGGGAGACAGACCCTACCTCTCCAGGGAAGGAATGTCAAAGAATTAGCGGGCATGTTGTGAAGTTGCCATATGAGGGAAAGAAAAATATTATTTTTCTGTCTGTATAGTCTCCAAAATAAATTAATAAAAGGGACAATATTGAAAATATTGACCTGAGAAAGTCCCGAATGATCATGAAGCAAGCACTTCCTAACTGTCCCCAAAACCAACCCTGTGTAAGAATTTAGCCCACTTCTAGCTGGGGGTGGTGGCTCACACCTGTAATCCCAGCACTCTGAGGCAGGCTCACCTGAGGTCAGGAGTTCGAGACCAGACTGGTCAACATGGTGAAACCCTGTCCCCACTAAATATACAGAAGTTAGCTGGGCATGGTGGTGGGCGCCTGCAATCCCAGCTACTTGGGAGGCTGAGGCAGGAGAATCACTTGAACCCAGGAGGCAGAGGATGCAGTGAGCCAAGATTGTGCCACTGCACTCCAGCCTGGGCAACAGAGTGAGACTCCATCGAGAAAAAAAAAAATTAGCCCACTTCAGATTGAGAACAGGGGCAAAGGGAAGATAAGAAACAGCAATTGCCAATTCCATCTACATTTGAATTATGCCAGGTCATATTAGCATTATCATGGATTTTTACTCTATCAGATTATAAGCTAGGTTACTGTAACTAAAACATCACAACACAATGGCTTCAATTTATTTCACTAACAGTCCAGTCAGCTCCAGTTGGCAGAGCACCTCTCCTCCCTAATGTCCTTCCATACTATTGCTCTGCCATTCCCTGAGGTATAGTCCTTATCTGCATGGGTAACACTGGTGCACCTTACTTCCAGCTCGGGAGAGGAAAAACAGGCAGCGAGTAGAAAAGCAGCTTATCTCAGAGTTGTGAGGATCTGTAGTCAAGTTGCATCCATTGCCTCTGTGCACAACCACTGGTCCAAACTTAGTCACATGACCACGCCTTGCTGGAGGCGGGGCTGGGAAACAGTTGCTGCCTGGTAAGCCACATGCACGAGGAGAGAACAGATTAGGGGAACAAGTGTGCCTCACAAACAATAAATAAATAATTATTCTAAAATTTTAACTGTTTGCAGCATTAACAAGCTAATCAAATCTTAATCTCCATGAATTTCTGTGTCATAAATAACTAATGTGCCAATTGCAAATTAGTCTGAATTAAATGACATGTATTCTTCTAAGCACTTACAAATTTCTCTAGGACTGCCAGCAATTCTCTTGCAAAAATGACTGCACATTGAAAGTTGGCAACACAGCTCTTACCTGGACTCCCACATATGAATTATTGTGAATTCCAAATTAATAATGTTCAATGAGATCTTAACAGAGTTTAGAAATGATAATCAAGGTGGAGGAAAACAGCTTAACAATGAAGACTCCACAAATAACCAAAATTGGGGCAAATTTTGATCACCTTCTAGGGAAGAAAAGGTGATATTTTTTCATGTATTAATGTAAATGTAAGATTGTATGTATTTTCGGATTTAAAATGAGATTTTTGCACAGCTGCTGCAAATCTAGTGGACTTGAGTACATTTTTATAGCCCCACCTTCTCCCCAAGTGTGCTCCTTAGGCTGGGATGACGCTGAAGACACTGCACAGGTGTGCTGCAATATTAAGAATGCAGGACACTTTGGGAGGCTGAGGTGGGCAGATCACTTGAGATCAGGAGTTCAAGACCAGCCTGGCCAACATGGCAAAACCCTGTCTCTACTAAAAATACAAAAATTAGCCAGGCGTGGTGGTGCATGCCTGTAGTCCCAGCTACTTGGGAGGCTGGGGCAGAAGAATTGCTTGAACCCAGGAGGTAGAGGTTGCTGTGAGCCGAGATTGCACCACTGCACTCCAGCCTCGGTGACAGAGCGAGACTCTGTCTCAAAAAAAAAAAAAGAAAAAATGCAGAACAAGAAATTGTCACCTCTGGCTTCCTTTTGTGTCTCCTTTAAAAAGTTACTGAACTCCTCTATTTCCTCATCTGTAAAATAGGAATACTACATATACCCCACAGTGGAGAATCATAAAACGGCACTTTATACTCAGTAAAACACAAAGCAGAAAGATTAAATCAACACTGTCCAGTCTGTAGACAGGCAGCAAAGGCAGCTAGGGGTTTCTGTAACATGCATGGAAAGGGACAAGATTATGTTCTCTCACTTTTGATCCCAGTCTTGATGTCTCAAGGTAAAGACTGACAAACACTTGCCGGCACCATCTGGTCCTGCAATGCCTCCCAGGAGGAAAGGCTCCACACAAGTTGCTGGCAGCCAGCTGCAGCAGCCAGCGCTGGCTTGGTACTCACTAAGAACCTTTTTTTTTTGTTTGCTTTTGTTTGAGATGGAGTCTCACTCTGTCACCCAGGCTGGAGTGCAGTGGCGCGATCTCGGCTCACTGCAAGCTTCGCCTCCAGGGTTCACGCCATTCTCCTGCCTCAACCTCCCAAGTAGCTGGGACTACAGGCACCTGCCACCTCGCCCAGCTAATTTTGTGTATTTTCAGTAGAGACGGGGTTTCACCGTGTTAGCCAGGATGGTCTCGATCTCCTGACCTCGTGATCGGCCTGCCTCGGCCTCCCAAAGTGCTGGGATTATAGGCGTGAGCCACTGCACCCAGCCGAAGAAGAACCTTTAACATGACGACTCTGGCATCCACTGTAAGTTTAGATAACTGTTTTAAGGACAATAGGTACTGTGGCAGGACGGGGGGTGTAGGTCAATACAGATTAGCTCTTTTCATCAAAAAGAAATGTGGAGGATAAAAATTTGAAGAAATAATGATGTCACGCCTGTATCAAAACATCTCAAGTACCCCATAAACATATACACCTGCTGTGCACCCACAAAAATTTTTTAAAAATTGGAGGAACAAAAGCGCTATGTCAATACCACAGTGAGGGTAGAGAAATGTAAGAACAGAAGCATTCCCTAGGCTTTACACTTGGATCTTTGTTTGGCAGGTTCAGCCCACATGCATGTGTTCACTTCTCCAGTGTGATAGGCATAAGATACCAGAAAAGGATCATGTAGCTGTGAAAACACCAAAACAGGGAGAACTGATGGTAAATGACTATGTGTGAATGGACCAGGAAGCCCAAAAAATCCTAATACAGAAAACAGAGTGGGGAACAGAGTGCACCTAGAGAAAGAAAGATAAACACACCCCAAAGGAACAACAAGCAAATAAAATATCAAAGACATCTCCACATTTTCTTGTACCACCAAGAGGCTCCCCCAAAATAACAAGTCCATTTGTCATGTTTCCTGTCTCGTTCACTTAACTATCAGGAGATAAGGTTTAAATCTCTTTTTGTTTGCTGGGCCCCCCTCCATCCTCCATCCTGCAAATAGAATTCTACTCCAGAAAAGCAAATAAATTGAATTTTATAAAATTACAGTGTGGATAGAAGTGAGACAATGGATTGTTCCACAAACCCAAAATCAGAACTAAGGTGTCTCCTGAAGCCTGGAAGAAGTAGCTAATTAAATAAATGAAGAGGCTGGGCGTGGTGGTTCACGCCTATAATCCCAGCACTTTGGGAGGCTGAGGCATGAGGATTGCTTCAGCCCAGGAATTCAAAACCAGCCTGGGCAACATAGTGAGACTCTCTCTCTGCAAAAAAAAAAAAAAAAATTAGTCAGGCATGGTGGTACAGACCTGTAGTCCCAGCTACCAGGGAGGCTGAGGTGGAAAGATCACTTTAGCCCATGGGGTCGAGGCTGCAGTAAGCAGTGATCACTCCACTGCACCCAGCCTGGGAGACACAGCAAGACCCTGTCTCAAAAATGAAATAAACAGAGATAGTATTAGTATTTTACAGGTCAGTAAACATGCTGTTCTCATTGCCTCCCATGCCCCTCACCGGATAAAAGAGATGACAAAAGACGACATAAATGTATATTTATATATATTCATGTATATAAGTGAGGTATGCATTAACAGTGCTAGCTGGTATGGTGATGTGGAGTTGAAGGCAATCAAGGTGTCAGCTCTAGAGAAAGCAGTAAGGAAGGTGTGGTAGACGCACACTATAGAATACCAGGCAGCAGTCAGAAGTAATGAACTAGACACTGCTAGATGTGGAGTGAAAAAATGTTGAATGAAAAACGAAACTGAGAAGAACTATAACACAGTATCATGTACATTTGGTTAAGCATAAATTAAAAACATACCACATGCAAAGCACTACACCATTTTCTCAGGCTATAGATTTAAAGGTGTGTCAAACACAACAGATTGGGTCCTTCTGTGGGGAGAATGGTAGAAAACAGGATTGAAGGAGCAAAATTAAAACCAAGGAGTCCTCATTGTTGGATAATAGGGAACCTGGGCACCAATGGGATGTAATTAATTCAACTCTGCATCCAAAGTTTAAAGAAAAAGACCTATGTCTAGCAAATGAGGTCTGGTTAATACACCGTGAGGGCAACCACATTCTCCTGGCATGCTTGAACCCACCACTCAGTATACTGCACTGACTAAAACTCACCATGCCTTACTCAGTGTGGTATATTTGCTCTGTAAAAGAGAACTTTAAGCACTAACTCTGCCAGGGACTCAATGAGTGTTGGGTCCTTTAGCAGATTTATTTAACCCCAACAGCCTGTGAGATAATAAACACCTCCATTTTACAGATTTAAAAAGCCAAGTCACTTTTCCAAGGTCACAAAGATAACTCAATGGATTTGAACTTCATGTTTAGCTTCATTTTCACTATATCAGTGCCTTCCTCTAAGCCACCTAACCTGAGAATTTCTCCCAAGATTTGACCCTGAGGTAGTCTTTCTAAAATGATACCTAAGCATTTTACCTTTACTTTCCTCCTAGACTAACTGCACCACTGGAAACTGCATCAGACTACACAGTAGTCACTCTGTGCAGTCATGTTTAGAAATATAAAACCTTTACAGCAAGCTATTGATGTGCTTTTTAACTTAGCCTGGATTTAATGCAAGCGCCCAGAGATATTCAGTACCTCCTGTACCATGATACATTCCATGAGTGACATTCAACTTTGCCCCTACATAAGCCTTCAAGCCCCCTTACATAGGTCCCAGTGCCATGACATGGTGAGTTACTCTCAAAGTTAAACTAAGTTTGGGGCACACAAGTCATTCCTGATTCCTCACATTACTCTGACAATCATAAATCATTTAAAGCTGAGGCGATGAAGCAACTGTCAGGCAGCAGTGCAAGTCCCAGGGTCCAGTAGACACAGGACTTACCTTGTGAAAACATAACCTTTCAACACTATTCAAAAACGACATCTGAAAACTCATATGGTTCTAACTTTTATTATTAGGTCAGAACGAATGAAGTAGCAGCAAAAGGGTCTCTCCTATGATCTGTCTTTCACTGGTCCTCAGGGCAAGGAGGAAACTTGGGCAGGAGATGATTGCTCAATCCCAGCAGACTCTCAGAATCTCACTTGGACCCGAAAGTGCATCTGCTTGGTGGCATTGTTCTTCATTCCTGTCTTCAGCATCCATTTTGATTTCATCCTTTGGACATACTGCATGTCTCGCTCTCGCATAAGAGCCGCTCCTATGATTGGAAGGCAGTTAAGAAATTAGGCAAAGTTCTGTTATTTGTGATCAGAGAAAATCCAACCTTGGCAGAGAATTCAAAAGGTTAGTTTGGGGTAACTAGGTTCTTGTATTTAAAACAGAGTTGCTAACTTGGGGTCTCTAAGCCATGCGCCTCAGGGGTCTCTGTGGACTCCAGAATTGCATACCAGAACTTTTGTATATATACACTTATCTGGGATTAGTAGCTTTAGTTTTCATCATCTGGAAGAGTTTATAAGCCCAAAAGGTAAAGCCCCATTAATCAGAAAGGCAGAAGCTATATATCGAGTCAGACAATACTTCCTGATAAGAGTAAGATGAAGTCAAGTCTCTGCCAGATTCAAGTGGCCACACAGCTCACAAGCAGCCACAGTGAAGGAAACCACATATAAACACAGTGCCTTTTCAAATGGATTTTAGTTGCCTAGAGCTTCCCAGGCCATCAGAAGGCAGCCCGCCTCTTATTTTCTCCACAGTCCTCAGTTGGATAGATGCTTTCCCTGAAGATCTAAGGATATAACCAGCTTCATCCAGCAGACACATCAGAATAGATGTAAAGAGTACCATACTGATGAGGTTTCAAAACTCAACAATTGCAGTGGCATGCTTTACTCTTCTAACTTTTGCTAAATTTTCTATGGGAAAATTACAAAAAAGGGGACTGATAGCTAACCTCGACTATGGGCATGCACTATATCACACATGCATGACATTCAACCCACTCAACTCTAAGAGGTAGGTCTTATTACTATCATCTCTGTTTTATAAATGAGGAAACAGAAGCTTATATTAATTAAATTACTCATGTTCATCATATAAGAACCTCTAAGTACATCACATAAGTCACGTCTGACTCCACAGCTCAAGCTATTAACCACTAGGATACTATCTAATTCCTCTGCATAACCTCCAGGATAATTTCAACCTTTGGTGATTACTAAATAATTCTTTTTGTAACTATTATCTTCTGAAAAAGTTAATGGTATATAAAATCACTGTGCCAGGAATATGAAATTTCTAAGTCATAGCACTTTGGGCTTATTGCCTTAAACATATCAAGTGGTAATGGAAGTCCCTGGAGCCAAGACGTTACGTTTCCCCTAGAGAGAATCCACATGGACAACATAAATGGAAACAACTTTCCCCAGACCCCTTCTAGAAATA
Organism: Homo sapiens; assembly: GCF_000001405.40. Lineage (NCBI taxonomy): Eukaryota > Metazoa > Chordata > Mammalia > Primates > Hominidae > Homo > Homo sapiens. The sequence goes on from NC_000005.10 coordinate 16,452,972, forward strand.
CAAGTTCTCAGACTGGTCTGTAGTTGTAAAGATCAATGTACCTGTGCTGCCAGTCCATCCCAGGGCTCTGTACTGCTGAAGTACTCGGCCCACGGCCTTCCGATTTTTGGCAACTGCCACAGCTCTTGACAAGCCAAATCGCTGTTTGTAGTATCTCATCAAGGAGCGATGACCCACTCTGGCACCTGTTTTTCAAAAGAGCAATACTGAAACACTGAGTTGGATAGTTTTTTCAAGGCAGAGCTATAAAGCAAGGGCTTTCCAAATCAGATCTTTTAGTATATCTAGATGGAAAATCGATGTACCAGAAGAAACAGTTGTTCTATCTACTAAAGACAGATGAAGCAGCATGTAAAATAAAAATAAAAAGTGAAAGAAAGCAAGCATGCAACAAAAAGAAAACCAAACAATAGATTTTTTAAAAAGAAAATGACAAGTCACTGTTAAGTGAAAAACTTAGCATTGTGTACTTACTTGCATACAATATGCCTCCCCAAAAATTCACATAGAAACCCCTACTAATACAGATAATAGGGGCCTAGGAGATAAGAGATTTTTAGCGTTTTATATATATAAATAAATAAAAATTATATATATATATATATATATATATATATATATATATATATATGAAGAAGATTAAGCACAGAGAGCAGTTCTGATGTTTGGGACTACAAGCCACAGTCAGGATCTAAAATAGAAATCAATCCACCTTTCCTTTGCTTAAACTCTCTATTGCAGTGATTCTCCAATGGGGATTTTATCCAGCAAGGGACATTGGGCACTGACTGAACACATTTTTGGTTGTTACAGCTAGAGGGGTACTACTGGCACCTAGTGGGTAGAGGCCAGAGATGCTATTAAACATCTTTACATGCACAGGACAGCCCCCCATAACAAAGAATTATTCAGTCCAAAATGTCAATAGTGCCAAGGCTGAGTAACCCTGACCTATTGCTTCCTAAATGATGGAAATCACCTGGTGAATATGAATTTTAAAAGGTGATTAAGTTGAATTCTGTCTATAGCTTTTGCTTATTTAGTAGGATCTGGTAAAACTATGTGAGTCAATCATGCTTTCAGAAATGAATTTCTAAATTTAATTTTCAAAGTATGCTGATGTTATTACAACACGATTGTATATCTCATTATCTCATAGGCCCACTAACTTGTAACAGAGTGAGAAAAAAGAAAATAGACTCTGAATATTTCAAATAAAAAAACTATGGGACAGGGCCGGGTGCGGTGGCTCACGCCTGTAATCCCAGCACTTTGGGAGTCCTAGGTGGACGGATCACGAGGTCAGGAGATCGAGACCATCCTGGCTAACACGGTGAAACCCCATCTCTACTAAAAGCACAAAAAAATTAGCCGGGCGTGGTGGTGGGCACCTGTAGTCCCAGCTACTCGGGAGGCTGAGGCAGGAGAATGGTGTGAACCCGGGAGGCGGAGCTTGCGGTGAGCCAAGATCATACCACTGCACTCCAGCCTGGGCAACACAGCAAGACTCCGTCTCCAAAAAAAAAAAAAAAAAAAAAACTATGGGACAAAGGTATTGGCCACCAATTGGAAATTCTGTAGCTGGAATAATAAAAACCTGAGGTAAGTAAAGATATCTACTGGAGGAACAATTCAAGGTTCTTATTTAAGGGTGAGGCACATCTGATATATTAATCTAGGGGTGGCAAACTACAGCCAGAGAACCAAATCTGGCCAACCGCCTGTTTTGGTTTGTTTTACTGCCACACAGCCACGCTCAACTGTGTAGGTATTATCTCTCGATGCTTTGGTGCTTGCTACAACAGCAGAGGTGGGAAGCTGCTGCAGAGACAGAATTGCACACAAAGCCTAAACGATCACCTCTGGCCCTTTCTAGGGAAAATGTCCCAACCCATGTGTCATAAGTTCAAGGGAGATGACCTGAAGGGGGCTGGGTTTAGAGATGACTAATTCCAGGCTCCCTCAGAGCAGTGGCTCTCCAAAGGTGGTCATCAGCATTGCAAAGCCAGTGTCATCAGCATTACCTAAAAGCTTACTAAATACACACTATCCTTTCACAAGAATATTAATTAGGACAAAAGTAATCAAATATCTTCCCAGACAGACATAACCATGCAGATATTTAACAACAGCATATACATAAGGCACGAAAAAGCCATTTCCACTGAAAATGAATAAAGGATAGTTGGCTAGGTAGAACCCTGTGTACGGTTTCCAGGAAAGATTTATATTTACCTAGGTAAAGCCATTTCTTTCAGAATCTTTTGTGTAAAAAGACCATGAACCAGATACTATAAATATTGTGGAAGTCTGTATTTGCTTTTAGGATCCAGACTTTCAATTTGCATAAGAAAATTATTTTGGTTATTTTAAGTCCCTATACCTGCCAAAATAACTGGAAAATAATTTGCTTGATACACAGATATGGAAAAGTAGTTACTTTCAGTTGCTTGTTTTATCATCATACTCAAGAGATGACAAAAAGAAGCTTTCGATTCAAAGACATGGTCTTTGGATACTAGTGTGGATAAAAACATTTTCCCTAAACCTGACTGTTTTGACAGCATAAGAGTTAACAAAGCTCTTAGACCACAGGAAATAGGTGAGATGTAGTTGATGGATAAAACACAAGCTTAAATGGAGGGTCTACAGGAAATTCCAGCATTGTTCACTGTGATGTTCTATTTGTAACGTTAGGTCTGGACGCTCCAGGTTTGCAAGGTGATAATGTTGGTCATTAGTACATAAGAATTCAATATACTTATATTCTTAAGCAACATGTGGAAACACATCCTACAGCACGTTGGCCTTTTAAAGCGTCTTTGAAATGGCTTCATTACTCAATGCCAAGGTTTCCAACAGCTGGTAAGAAGGAACTGAAAATAGCATTCAGAGCTCCCCCTACCCTGTGCCAATGACAGTGACCACCTGATATTAGCACCACGTATGATGGGCTAAGGACAGCTACACTTGAAGGCCCTCATCAAGGAAAAGTATTTTCTAGAACACAGGGTGACTGCCCAATAAATAAGGGATTGGTTATGTCTAAGTCATGGTGAAGCATGCGACCTGTCCATCTAGCTTTTGACACAGCAGTAGCCACTTATAGACCATCCACTCCTTTTTTTCTTTTTTTGTTTTTAGGAGACAGCATATTGTTCTATCACCCAGGCTGGAGTGCAGTGGCGTGATCATGACTCACTGCAGCCTTGTGACTCTTGACTTCCTGGGCTCAAGTGATCCTCCTGCCTTAGCTGAGACTATAGGCACACACCATCACACCAGGCTAATGTCCACTCCTTCTTAACAAACGGCCTTACAATTTCTGACATCCAATTGAATGGGCCTTTCATACCAACTTACTCCAAAAGAGCTGAAGAGCAACGAAGGAAACCCAAAAAAACCTTGCCAGACCACAATCTTCAAAATAAATGCTCACAGTGCCCTCTAGTGGATACTTTTTGTCATTAGCTTTGAGATAGCCTGCTTGATTTTACTGAAGTCCAATCTGAGTAACTAGATTTAGTGTCCCAGCAGCAGGGGAGAGACTCTTGTTACCCAGTAAATGGACAGAAGATGAGTTCAGGAAGCCTTCCCAGAGGGTTGAATCTAAATAAGTTGAATCTTACAAGAAAAGTAGGAATAAAAGAGGCACCACACATGTAAACACCCAGAGGAAGAGAACTGTATGTGGGTGGGGTAGAGGAATAGCACTACACACCTGAGGGACCAGAAGCGAGAGAAACTCAAAGTTACCCTAAAGGCAATGGCTCCCAGTGGAGGAACTACAGAGGGTAAAGAAAATCTACTGGTGTTTTAGAAAGAATGTTTTGGTGGTCATGTGGAAACCAGATTAGAGATGACCAGACAGGAGGGTATAATGGTGACACAGATAAATGAATACAAAAAAAAAAATACTCAAAAATACTCAAAAGACATTTAGGAGTTACTAAGCCATCTGGATGTGGGAGAGGAAGATCTCTCTAAGATCTTTCTAAGGCTAGCCAAAGCCAAAAATGGGCTTGGCTTTGGCGGTCAAAATGGGTATCTTTTTAGATACCTTAAAAAACTCAGTCACCCAGGACAAAGCTGAGGATTCTTTATTTTTTATAAGTTTCAAAAATTTAAAGTCTAGATGAAAACTTCTCTGAAACATCCTAGATTTCTTGAATAGATATGCTCACGTTATGCTAAGGTTTGTAATATATTGTGCTAAAGTAGATGCAAAATGAAGCAAACACTATAGTGATCCTACTACACGGCAGACACTGCTGTACTAGGATTGTCTTATTCAATTTACTTAAGGTCTATGGTTATCTGATTCTACCGTTTAAGAAGCAGAAGCTAAGGAGACAACAAGTCAAACATACAGTTCTGGAAAATAAGTTATTAAACATATTTCTGATGTTCTATATGGGTACTGTCACCAGAGAAAGACTAGAAAAGGTTCTCTGGGATTTAGGTTTTACCACTGTGTATTAGATAGGCCATAATAATATATTGCATTATAACCTTCTTATCACTGTAGAAAGAACTGTCATCTTCAAAATAGGTTCTGCCTGACCTTTCCTCCTATTGCCACACTCTAAAGCTGCTCTTGGCCTTACAGGGTTATCATTCTGAGCTAAAGATAGTCATCTGTACCTAAGCAGTGACATTCTATGTGGAAAGCCATAAGACAAGGCTGCTTCATTGCGGACCTCTCCACCAGCAGGGTGTGTTGTTCCTGCCTGCACCGTTACTGCAAATCTCCCAAGGCAGTATACAGATATTGGAAAAAGGCTTTGCTGATTAGGCATGTGATCCTGGTAAGTTACTCAGCCTCTCTAAGCTTCATATGTAAAATGAAGATGCTGGAATCTAACTCACGTTGGCCTATAAAGACAAATACATCTGCCTGAATGTGCTAACTGCTCAGTAAATACCAGACATTAAGATCTTATTATCATCTCTACCTTTCCATCCCCTTTCATTTCTCAAACATGTCTTCTGTAGCTTCTCCTATTCTTATCAGTTAATCACGATTCTTTCTTCCTACACAATAAACAACCATGTATGCTTCTCACATTCATGGTTATTCTTCATCTTTTCATACCTCATGGTGGCTAAATTTCCACCATGAGTCAGATACACCCACACCAAACTACCATTTGGAAGTCTGAGCAACAAAAGGAAACAGGAATCAGTTCAAAGAATAACAGTAAGGTTACAATTAACAGGAGAAACCTAGACAGGACCAAAAAAGATAAATAAATAAAGAACAGAATAGAAAAGGTCTACATCTAAAAAAAAAAAAAAAAGAAATGCCTGATCAAACATTCTGAATCATAACCCAGAAATGAACAGAAACACTGATCAAATTTAAACAAAACAGGCAACTTAGAGCTGAGCAGCAACCTTCAGGGTTTACACCGTACATGAGAACCCAAACATATACTTTAAGCTTATGGTCTATTTCCCTCAGTATGGAAAGTAATTGATGGAGATATGCTTCTCCCTCAATCCCACTGGCATTAAGCTATTTATTTTTGACAAATGCACTTACCAGAAGGCAGAATCAATTCCATGGTTTCATCATCATATTCCAAGTTCTTTTCTGAGGGCAACTCCTCAGCCTTATTGGGGTCCTCCCCTTCCTTGTGATCTGGATAGCTACTCCTATAACAGAGAAATTGCACTAATAAATAGACTAATATCTCAAATTGAACTAAAAGACATAAACTCATTTGCAAATGTGGCAAACTTCCTAAGCTACCTAAAAGGGAGAGGGGAGGAAGCAGCTGTAGGAACTACCAGCTAAAAGGTTTTGGGAGAAAACAACTCGTTAGCATTTTGTCTGTAGTAGAAATGAGCAAATGACATATAACAGAATTCTATTTGTTTTTCCCTAGAAAGGCTGTCTAACAGAGAAGAAGGAGAATGTACAGCTGGACATGCAGCTATACTCAATTTAACCACTATAAAAACAAATTATAGAACAGTGCTGTCCAACAGAACTCTGTGATGACAGAAAACGTTCTATCAATATGTCTTTGTGTCTGATACAGTAACTGCAATCACATGAGCTTTCCAGCACAGAACTTTGAAATGCAGGTAGTCTGACTGAAGAACTGAATGTTTAAATTTTTAATTAAACTTCCAATTTATTTAAATAGCTATATGGGTATACCCAGTAATTACTATATTGGACAGTGCAGTTCCACAAGAATCTCTATATTCCTAAAAATGTTGACAAAGGCTATTCATAGATACACATGAAAAAATAATTGGAAAAGTGTACATTAAATTATTAACAGTAAACCAGACAACCTAATAAGAAAATAGACAAAATGCTTGATCAGATACCTCACAAAAAGATATCCAAATGGCCAATGAATATGCAAAAAGCCTCTTGATTGCAGTAATCATCATCAGGGAGATGCAAATTAAAGCCACTACACACCCACCAAAGTTGCTAAGATGAAAAACTCTCCCTCACTACAAGTGGGAGTATAGAAAACCACTTTGGAAACCAATTTGACAGTATTTTCTAAAATGGAACATATGTATATCCTCTGGCCCAACTCCTACATATACACACAACAGATAACCTATAAACATTTGCCAAAGACACATTAGAATGATGTGGCAGCATTGTTTGTAATAGCCCCAAATTAGAAACCACTCAAATGTGTATCAACAGTAGACTAGATGTTGTGGAGCACTGAACAGAACACTCTGTAACAGTAAGAACTCTCCACAGCTATATAAAATAGTATGAATGGGTCTCCCAAACATAAAGTTGAGCAAAAGAAGCCACACCCAAGAGTACATTCTTTGTGATTCCATTTATATAAAGTATAAAAACAGGCAAAACCAATCTATGCAGCTATAAGTCAGAATAGTAGTTACTCTTGGAGAAAGGAGGGGTAGTTTCTGGAAGGACACACAAGGGAAATGTCAGGGTATTATTAACATGCTGTTTCTTGATCTAGGTGCTAGTTATATTTAAAATTTCACTACACTGAATCATGATATCACAAGTACGGTCATCCCTTGGTATCCATGGGGGATTGCTTCCAGGACCTCCCTAGGATACTAAAATTTGCAGATGTTCCAGTCCCTGATATAAAATGGTATAACATTTGCATATAACCTAAATCATTGCATACTTTAAATCATCTCTATATTACTTATTAATACCTAATACATTGTAAATGCTATGTAAATAGTTGTTACACAGTACTAAACGTTTAGGGAATAATGACAAGAAAAATAAGTCTGTGCATGTTCAGTATGGACAAAATTTTTTTCGAATACTTTAGTTTGGATGCACAGATGGAGAATCTATGACTACAGAGGGCCAGCTGTATACATATATGCACTTTTCTGTAAGTTTATTCTTCAATAAAAAGTTTCAGGTCCAAAATAAGTAAACAAGTTACCTTGTGAAGGGGAGTGAAATTTAGGTAATTTGTCATTTTTTAGCTGAGTGAATCCACATAAAATGCTTATTAGAACAGTGTCTGGCAGGTAAGCACTCCATAAACACTAGCTTTGTATGTAAAGGCTTTCTATTTTCCAAGTTTTCTTTATTAAGCATTATCAACTTTTTTTTTTTTCCTTTTTTTCCCCTAGAGACAGGGTCTCACTGTGTCACCTAGGCTGGCCTGAAACTCCTGGCCTCTGGTGATCCTCTTACCTCAGCCTCCTAAGCAGCTGGTACTACAGGCTCATGCCACCACACTTGGCTGACTTTTATTTTTTTAAGACAAACAAATCATTTAATATTCATTTTTAGGAAGAAAAGTTCATATAATTTCTCATTTCTAGGCACCAACAGAATAAAACTGTAAATGGAATGAAAAATACATCATCTGGACTAAGGGAGAACCGTTTCCATCAGTTACATATTTTAATTCAAACTAACGGTTTAAGCAACACCCAGTAAAGAACAAGAGTAACAACAACAAAAGGCTAGGGCTTGAAGCTTAGATTCTAGAAGGAGGAGACAATAAATAATATACAATACACACAATGGCAGTAGGGGATATAAGGAAAAATAAAACAGGATAAAAAGGATTGGGTAGGTGTTATTTTATGGAAGGTGGTCAAAAAAGGCCACACTGAGAAGGTGAAATTTATGTCAAGGCCTGCAAGAAGTGAGGGACAAGTCAAGTGAATATCTAAGCGAATACTATAAACAAATACAGCAGCAAATGCAAAGGTCTTGAGAAACACACTTGATGCATTAGAGGAATAGTTAGGAATCCAGAGAGCAACTAATACAAAACCACAGAACCACAGATGCTCCACACTATGTGCAGGGCCTTGCAGGCCATTATACTTTGGCTTTTACTTTGAGTAAGATAGGTAGTCTTTGAAAGAATCTGAGCAGAGTTTGACCTCACTTAATGTTTTAAAAGGATCCCCCTAGTTACAGTTTTGAGAATAGAACATAGTGGGTAGTAAGGATGTAAATATGGAGACCAGGCAGCAGGAGGCTACTGTAGGAAGTCAGGCGAAAGATGATGGTGCCCTGGACCTGGGTAGTAGCCATAGAAGTAGTGAGAAGCAGTCAGCCTCTGAAGATAGATAGTGCAAAAGCAGATAAAGCAGAATTTGGTGATCGATTCTAATGTAAGCATGAAAGAAAATAGAAGAATAAAGGAAGACTGCATGGCATTTGGCTTAAGTAACTAGAAGGACAGAGATGCCATTTACTTACAGAGAGCAGACTAGGATGCATAGCAGGAGTTGATTTTGGACAGGTTAAGTTAATGATTCCTTTTGGACACAAGTAGAAATATCAAGGAGGCAGCTGGATATCTTCAGTTTACAGCTGAGGGGAAGGCTATACTAGAGATATAAATGTGGGGGTCACGGGCCTACAGAAGATATTGAAATCTATGAGACTGGGTAGGATTCTGAATATAACCACAGGATGAGAGACTGAGTGCTGGGCATTCCAAGCCTACTGCTGATGGCAGCTGCTTAACTATCCATGGTATTTGCTTTGACCACTCTGATTACAACATCAGTCAAAAGGTCATAAACACTGCTGTCTAAAAGGAAACTTGAGAGGGATAAATACTGAAAGAGGATGCTTCCCACCACCAGCAGACATTCATTGTCTTCTCTACTGCCACAGCCTCTAATCCTCCCCTCTACCTCCACCCAGTCATGTCCACCAACTGCAAGTCTCCAGCTGCAAAATGAGAAATCAGGGAGAAAATGCAAAAGGAAGACTTAAAAGACTGAGACTTTTCTGAACATGGTATCACTTGGTCTATGCATGCCTGGCATGGTAATTATACACATCTGCTTATCTCCTGTGCTAGCTCACAGGAATTTTGACAACTAGTTGTTCACAAGTACTTAACATACATTTGCTAAATGACATACAAAAAAATTCAAGATTCTAGTTAGGGCCGGGCATGGTATCTCACACCTGTAATCCCAGCACTTTGGGAGACTGAGGTGGGTGGATCACTTGGGTCTAGGAGTTCAAGACCAGCCTGGGTAACATGGCGAAACCCCATCTCTACAAAAAGTACAAAAATTAGCAGGGCATATTGGTGCACACTAGCTGCTGGGGAGGCTGTGGTGGGAGGATCATCTGAGCTCAGGGAAGCTGAGGCTGCAGTAGGCCATGATTGTGCCACTGTCCTCCAGCCTGGGTGACAGCAAAAATCTTTCTCAGAGAAAAAAAAAGATTCTAGTTAGGGGTGAACCACCAATGGGGTAATCTCACCATCAGATGCCTGGTTTGGGCCTGGTTTAGCAACTGTCTCAACTCCTTCAGGAGACAGCTGGTGATGCAAGGACTCTCCAGGAACCCAATATGTGAAACCTAATTTCTGTACCTCTGTTCAAGGGGTAACTGGCAAAACTGAACTCTTGATGTTTTAACCAGAACAAAAACAAAAACAAGTCAAACTTCAGTCTGGGTCTAAGGTCTTCTCTTCACTAGATGTGTTAAACTCTGTTAAACTGAGTTTCTCAACTACAAAGAAAGAACTACCTAATACAGAGGTGTTATAAGTGTTATTAAGGATATGTTGTACAGTGCCAAACATATCCAGCACTGGCACACCTAATAATCACTTCAAAGCAAATATGACCTCACTTTACTTCATATTACAAACTATGCTTACCTAAAATCATAGAAGTCTGCAAATTCCAAAGCAGCATCGCCATCTGTGAAGAGCTTACAGTGGCTTTTGTCATTCATATGTGCCTGTACAGCTTCTGTGGAGTAGAAGGACTTCCCTTTCTCGTTGCACCACAAGCAAATCTTGCCAACACCAACTTTCTCTCCTAGAAAAATAATTTAAGGAAAAAATATGAAAAAAGCTTTTTGCAACCAGATTAAATCTCACTATTTGTCACCAAAACTCAAAAATCATTCACAAAATAACCAAGCAATTATATCAAAGATTGATGAAAAATGCAAAACTAATGTTCCCTTGAGACCAGTCCCCCAATAATGTGATTATTTCCTCATTAAAAGGAAAACTATTGTACTTACCCAAGTATTTAATCAGTCCCTTAATATCTGAAAGATATTCTATATCAGGAATAAAGAAACTGTGGTCTTTGGTCATGTGAGCCACATTCTTCATCAGCGAGCTGGAATGATGGGAACAAAATAAGCAGTCCGTGATAGGGATGGCACCAAGGGGTGGGCCTTCCTCAGCCTCTTCCTCCTCTGCATCCTGCTCCACCACATCGTCCATTGCTTCAGTATCCTCACATTCCAATTCTTCATCAGAATCAATATCTTCCCAATCTGCAAGCCAGAATTTTGAAATATAAAGTTTAAGAAAAGTAGTAGCAAGCAAAGATATCACAAAAATTCACGAGGTGATACAGTCCTATATTTGGAGAAACAGCCACACCCCAACTCCCAAGGACAACTCCTCTTTCAAGATCTCAATTTTAGCTATTTGTTTACCACAGACTCATCTGAATGGCCATGAAACTCCTTAGTCTTTCTTTTCCAGGAAACAGGAATCTTTTCTTTGTTTCTTTCCTATGCCTTACAGCACCTAGCCCAGTGCTGAAAATATAGTTAGGAAGTCTCCTACCTGCCTGGATATTTTTATAAACTTCTAAAACAATGCCTCTATCTACTATTTCACAAAAGTACTATGGGGTGTGTGTATGTGCTGGTAGGGTGCTCTATGAACGGCTATGGTTTGAATGCATGTTTCCCTCCCAAAATTCAAATGTTGAAACTTAATCATCAATGAAATGGCATTAAGAGGTGGGGCCTTTAGTGGGTGATTAGGTTAGGCAAGCACTAATCCTGAATAAATGGATTAGTGCGAGGGAACTGGCTAGCCCCTTTTTTGCCTTCTGCTTCTTCCACCACATGATGACACCATGAGAAAACTTCATCTATAGAACAGGCCCTCACCAGACACTGACTCTGCCAGCACCTTGATTTTGGACTTCCCAATTTCCAGAACTATGGGAAAATACATTTATGTTGTTCATAAATCACCCAGTCTCTAGTACTTCCTTATAGCAGAGTGGACAGACTAAGACATGAACACCTACACCAGCACTGTTAATAGGATGTGGGATGAGGGAAGTAAGGAATAAATAGCTCATAAAGGCAAAGAGGTGAGGGTGCTGGCTCCAGCTCCAAATTTCTGGCTGAGTTGGTTTTGATCCCCTCATTCTGTTTTACTCAACTAAATTAAGTGCAAAACCATCATAACTGGAAACCCACTAGAATCGCAAATTACACGGCAGCTGGTATGACGATAGCATGTCCTCCTGTGCATATGTTAAAAGCCTCTTCATCCAAAACACAGAAGGCATCAATTCATTCTCCAAATATGCATTAAGCACTTCTTTTTCCAGACAAGGTTTTAGGCCTTGGAGAATGAATTGAGTGAACTAAACAGCCAAACCTGCTGGCCAGATAAGGCACTTCAGAAAGCGTCTAAACCACCTTCCCTCATCATTTTTACTTAAAAGCTCTCAAACACACACACACACCCATCTCGAGTATAAATCTGGAAACTTAAGGGTGGGCCAAGTTCCTCTTTACCCTCCCCGCCCAGACAGGGCCATCACCGTCTCCATCCAGGTCCTCTTCCTCCTCCTCGCTGTCCTCCTCCTGCTGCTTTGCCAACTTCTTCGCCTGCTGTTCAAACCACTGGAGCCGGGGTGGTTTCTCACTCGGGTCTCGGTCGTGGGTCCCACGGCCACCAGTACCCACGGCCACGACATTCCTGGCCTCCTTTGCAGGCGCTGGGGGCGCCTTCTTGGGAGACATGGACGGCTGGGCCTTGATGGCCTGCTGGATGGCCGCGTTCATGGCATCCTTGTCCACACTGTCCACGCCCAGTCCTTTCTCCAAGTTCTTTTCATTCATCATCTCCACTTTCCGATTCACTGCCTGCACGGCCTTCTTCTCCAGCTCAACGTGACGCCGGGACTTGAGGTGGTTCTCGTAGGCGTTGAAAGAGGCAAACTTCTTACTGCAAACGGTGCAGTAGGTGGCCGAGCCCTTGCTCTCCTCCTCCGCGACGGCCCGCTGCGCCCGCACTCGCTCCTGGAAGCCCTCGGCGGTCACTGGGGCCATGCTGGCCACCTTCCGCCGCAGGTTGTAGCGGTGCCAGTCCGTCTTATAGTGGGCCCGCTGCATGTCCGCGTCGCGGAACGCCACCCGGCAAGTTATGCAGGTGTACGTCGCCATTGCCAGGCGAGAAATAAGAACCGACCAAGCCAAACACCTGGTGATCAGCGCCGTGGCCCCACAAGACCCTCAGACCTTAACCCGCCTCAGCAGCCAGGAAGAGCCACTCGACACGCCGACTTCCTGATTGTCACTGAGGAAACTTCCGGCACACGTCGGAAGTTATTCACAACTGGACAGGAAACCCGCCTCTCAGGCTGTGGCCACGCCTCCGCCGCCGTGAGGCCCAGGAAGCCGAGGGAACGCTGTGGCTGAAAGGGACCTGGGTCCGCTCAGTCAGCCCGAGGTGGCTGTTGATTGAGGGAGGTCGCGCCCTCCCAGTTACCTTCCCTGGTGGTTGTGCCGCTCGGTGTGACGCGGTCAAGGGGACGGCTACGCGAGAATGGGGGAGTGGGGCGCCCGAGGCTGCTCCTGGGCCCTGGGAAGCCCCCGATTAATGAATGGTCGGGTCAGCGACGCGAGGGTCGGGGTTTCTCTGAGGACCGCGCGCTGCACCTGCGGAGCCGGGTGAATGGATGTCGCGAAGGCAAGGGCTGCCCTTACCCCTCGGGGCCGACCTCGGAGCCCTCGCCCGTGGTTGCAACGCTTTCCCGGGAAACCGGAGAAGCCAGGCCGGGGGCTCGGCCTTTCTGAGGCGGCCCTTCCGGCGGAGGACACCGGCGGAATTTGAGTGCACAGAGTGCGCGAGAGGAGCTCCCTGTAGACACACAGTCCAAGCCACGTAGGTAATTCTAATAGCAGCCACATTTTTAAAGAGTAAAGAGAAATCGGTGAAACTGCTTTTAATGTGTTTAATTTAGCCCATCCTGTCATTTCAGCATGTAATCAGTCTAAAAGAATTAATTAGATCTTTTACGCTCTGTCGTTGGTTCTAAGTCTTGGAAATCCAGTGTGTGTTTTAGAGTTAACAGCCCATCTCAATTTGGACTAGACCCGTGCCAGGTGCCCAGTTGGCTGTGTACCCTCATGTATATAGGACAGCAAAGTTCTGTAGAAAAGAACTTCAGGCCAGGCGCGGTGGCTCACGCCCGTAATCCCAGCACTTTGCGAGGCCGAGGCGGGCGGATCATCTGAGGTCAGGGGTTCAAGACCAGCCTGGCCAACATGGCGAAACCCAGTCTCTGCTAAAAAATACAAAAATTAGTCCCGGCGCAGTGGCGCAGACCTGTAATCCCAGCTACTTGGGAGGTTGAGGCAGGAGAATCGCTTGAACCCGGGAGGCGGAGGTTGTGGTGAGCCGAGATCGCGCCACTGCACTCCAGCCTGGGCAACAGAGCAAGATTCCATCTCAAAAGAAAAAGAAAACATGAACTTCAAATGCTTGGGGAGGTCGTAGATTTCATCCACACAGCCTGGTTGAACCAGAGTCAGCCTTGTTAGAGTCGAATGTTGCATGCTCAGAATCCAGGCTGCCAAGAGAAAACCAAAAGAAGATGGCGCTTTAAAAAACCTTCCAGTGCCTTCCCTTGACTCAATCAAATTCAAACACCTTACTTTCTATTCTCCGAGGCTCTACCCCTCCCTCTGAGGTCCTGCCACACCCCCTTCTCTACCCTGCTCACCCTACTTGAGTCGCAATGACACATTTGATGTTCTTCTAACAAGCACTTTAGTTGGTACTAAGTCAGAAAGTCAGAAATCCATTACTCTTCTGCTTGGAACATCCTTTTGCTGGCTTGCTTCCTTATTTTTTGGATCTCTGCCCAAATGCCTTTGTAAGAGAGGCTTATCCAAATCCACTTACCAAAAATAGTGCCTACCTTCCTAAGTCCTTACCAGGCATAACTTTTCTCCAGTACTGTATTAGTTATCTACTACTCTGTATTAAATTACCCCCAAATTTAGCATCAAGCTTTATTTCAGTTTCTGTATGTCAGGTATTTGAGTGACTCAGCTGGGTGGTTCTGACTAAGATCTCCTAAGAGGTTGCAGTGAACATGCTGTCCAGGGCTAAAATCATCTGAAGATCTGACTGTATTTGACTGTGGCTGGAGAGTCTCCCTTAAAGATGGTTCATTTACATAGCTGATAGCAAGAGGTTTTGGTTCCTTGACAAGTAGGCCTCTCCATAGGGCTGCTTGAGTGCAGCAGAGAGCCACATGAAATTCATAGACCTAGCATTGGAAGTCACACAGTCGTTTCCACAATGTGTTGTTACTTTTGCAGGTCAGCCCTATTTAATGTGAGAAGGGTTAACATAAGGGCATGAATACCAGGAAGTGGGAAGTGGGGGGCAGGGTGGTTTTAGGGGATCATTGGGAGATCAGCTACCACTAGCATTTGTTGTCACTGATTTCCCAGGCTTAGCACTGGAAGTCCTGCATCCCAGGAAATCCCTCAATCCTGGGCAAACCAGGATGTCTAGTCACACTGCATGTTAGTCATCTGCGTCTAGATAGAACATAAGCTCCATGACAGCAAGCACTCCTTTGTTGTATACCCTAATGCTAGAACAGTGCCAGCAGATCAACTGTTCAGTATTTGTTAAACGAATCTTTTGCAGTGCAAAAGTTAAGTCAGATGGTGATTTTTATTTCTGAAAACTTATTTTGAGATTATCAGTATCTTTTAAAATAGCTGAGCCATCTGGATACTCACTTTGAGAAATGTAGCTAGTATTAGTTGTTAACTGGAATAAGCAAAGCAGAGTATATTTTCAAGCTTCCCTAAAAAGTAAAGCAGAAGATGGCTATAAAAGTAAAGAACTTCTGGTTTTACTTTTGCCTATTATCATTCTTATATGGCTCTTCCAGCATCTGTTCTTCAGGTCACTATTTCCTCCCTGCCTCCTCTAATCTATTTTCATGTTCCTCCTATTTCAGCATCATTGAACTCTCCAGTTTCTTTACTTTTCTTCTTTAAAGGGGTATTGTTTCCTCCGCCATACTAATTTTCCAATGTACTGTTCTTCTGCAGTCTCCAAGATAACCTTACTCTTTCCCCATATCCCCCTCTACAGTAAATACAGGTAATCAGTAATTTTCCTGTAGTATTTTTTTCATATGTCACTTTTTCTGTTCAAGAATAGTTGTCTGATGCCCATAAGATAAAGTTTAAATTCCATTTGTATCTTTCCTTTCCTGGCTTTCGTATCTCCCATAGTCTCTCCCACATGCTATGTATTTTTTGTAATATTCTACTGGTTCTAAATTAAGGCATTCCTACCCTCACGAAGTTTTTTTTTTTTTTTTTTTTTTTTACTTCTTAGGGATGATAAAAAAATATTTACAGTTAAATAGCTGGATCTAGTACAATGAAATATAAAGAAAGGGCTAATGAGTATTTAGGATAGAGAAATCTCATGCCATTAGAGAGATCAGAAAAGTTTTCATTAAGGAGTAGACATTTCAGATGGGTCCTAAAGGAGAAGATTGAGGACTCTGCAAGTGGAAAGGGAGGTGGAACAGGTAGAAGAAATACTGTGGAGGGAGGAAAATCAAGGACATATTTAAGAAGAATGTGTCTACGTTGGATGAAGCTTAGGATACAAACAAGGGAAAATGAGACTAGAGAGAGCCACGATATCATTGGCAAAAGACTTGGATTGTTGTGTTTACTGCTCATGCTTCATTTGATGGAGAGTCACAGAATGTTTCAGCTTGTATGGCACCAGGAATAGAAGTGGGCCTTGAGTAAATCCAGCAGCAGTATCTGGAACTAATTGGAGAAAAAAAAAAAGAGTAGGTCTACAGCCAATACCTCCTTGGTAAATGCAAGGGACTGTTGAGTAAAATCTCTGCGGCACATCCTCAGCACTCTTAATGTGTCTAACCTCTGCTGACAGTACTGCTATCAAAAAAAATTACCAAATTGATCACTCTGAAGAATTTAAACTAAGATCACTGATATAGTTTGGATGTTGTCCCCACTTATATCTCATGTCAAAATGTAATCCCAGTGTTGGAAGCAGGGCCTGGTGGGAGTGATTGGATCATGGGTGTGAATTTCTCAGCACCATCCCCTTGGTGCTGTTCCAGCGACAGTGAGTTCTCTCAAGGTGTGGTTGTTTAAAAGTGTGTATCACCTCCTGCCTTGCTCTCTCTTGCCTCTGATTTTGGCATGTGAACTGCCTGCGCCCACTTTGCCTTCTGCCTTGAGTAAAAGCTCCCTGAGGTCTCTCCAGAAGCAGAGGCCACCATGCTTCTGTACAGCCTGCAGAACCCTGAACCAATTAAATCTCATATAAATTACCCAGTCTCAGGTATTTCTTTATAGCAATGTGAGGATGGACTAATACAACCATCTATGACAAAGAAAATTAATTTGAAAGTATTGAAAATTATAATTCCTTCTGTATGTCATGACATAGCCCTTAAAATAGTTCACGTAATTCTTAAACTACTAGAGTTATGGTGCACACTGTAACAGTGACAGTACACACAGTAACATGGTTCTTGTTTCAGTCTTGGAAGACTTTGGGATATTCATCCTTGATAATTACATAATTTAAAATAAAAGCTAATAAAGTTGCCTTCAAGTCATTTTGTATGCTGATCACAATATTCTCTGTGACAAGTTTACTGCTGTTCACATTCCTATATCGCAGTGGCACCTTGGTTTTTAAAAGGAAGGCTATGAAGGGGATTGGGTTGGTTGAGGGTAACCTTTGGTGGGGGTAACAAATACTGAAATATAAAAACTAATGTACACTTATCACATGGTTTACAGTTTCTGTGAATTCTGTGTTTATGAAAACGTTAAGTCCTGTGAGAGATTTTCAATCCCCAATTGTTTTGGCTGTCTACATATGCAAAGTCTTGTCTTAATTTAATAAGGAATTGAAATTTACAGCAAAGCCTGTTTACACAGCATTTAAAACAGTATAGATCAACTGGTTTCTGCAGTCTTTGAAAAAAGAAAAAAACTAAAATAAAATCAGTATTTAATACTTAGTGAAATTCTGTTAAACTATTTAAAATTATGATCGCTGTTAATGTATCAAAAAGCAAAACCAATATACTAGTATGATACATTAGAAAGAGAATAGGCTTTGGGGTCAGGCTGGCTTTTTCCCTGACTAGCTATGTAACCTTGGACAATTTATCTACCCTGTTCTTTGGCAAAATGTTCCTAATACCACTTAACTGTAGAGTCAGGAGGGTTAAACAGGATCCTGTTTTCTATGTCTTAGACCAAGAGTTTGCACACTTTTCCTGTAAAGGGCCAGAAAGTAAATATGCTTTGTAGGCCTGGGTTCTCTGTCACAGCTAATCAGCTTCATTGTTATAGCATAAAAGCAGCCATAGACAATACATAAACAAATGAGCCTAGCTGTGTTCTAATTAAACATTATTCACAGATGCTGAAAATTGATTTTCATTTATTCTCATGTCACAAAATAGTCTTCTGATTTTTTTCAACTACTTCAAGATGTAAAAAATCGTTCTTAGCTTGCAGCCCCTACAAAAACAGGTAGCAGGCCAGATTTGGCCCATGGGCCATAGTCTGCCAACCCTAGCCTTAAGACACTTAATCCTTGTAACACTCTGTGAAGTAAATGGTACTACATTTTTATTTTGTAGATGAGGTAAATAGGTATGGAGTTATTAGGTGATTTTCTCAGAGTCCCATAGCTAGTAGGTGTTATAACCATAAAAATTACTATTATAGAACCTTACGCTTGGTCCACAAAATCAACTGAAATAGTAGACATTTTTGCAACACTTCCATCCATTAATTCCACAAGGATTTCTTGCACTGTGAGGCTGATACAGTGCTAGACCCATTAAAAGAACCTTATGGTTCTTGTAAGCTGTTCCTTGTTGATAGCCTTTGTTTTAATGTTTAAAAGAATGGCTCAGTTGAAACACAGGCAGGAAAAAATCAGTATCTTGGTTTTATGCAGCCTTTCCACACACACACCTGCCCCCAACGTGCTTCAGATACTTTTTTTCATTCATTCTCTAAACATCCGTGTGTGATAAGGTAAGAATTAACTTCCCTATTTAATGTTTGGGGAAACAGGATGGAGCTTGGGGACGTTGTATGACTTTGACACTGTGTCTCAGGGCCATAATATTAACATGAGAACCAGAACTCTTATTTTCAACATCTTTCTTAGTACAAATGCTACAGTGGAAATGGAGGAATAATACACAAAAATATAGCTCTGAGGCTAATTTCATCATGACACAAATGATCTAAGACAACAGTAGTTCAGTAAAGGTTTTCAGAAGAATTTCCTATCTTGCAATGAACACAGCTAGAGCAGTGTAAAGAAGTATACCCATCTAGATTATAAACATAATATAAATGTTAAAATCACGTTTTTCTTAAATGTGGATTTGCTTCTTGACTAAAATTAGTGGCATGCTGGCATTTGCCACTTTTTTAAATGGAAGAAAGTTGCATTTATTTCATATATAAGAGTGAGATGCCTAAATATGTTGACTATATTTGCCAATTACAAAACCTTATAAAAGTTTTCCTAATATTTTATTAAACCGGGAAGCAGGCAGTTTAAAAAAAAAAATCCCTTTTGAAGCTATGTAGGGTAAGAAAAAAACAAAGGTATTTCAGAATGAGAATATTCAAGCCTGGATTGATCTTCCAAAGCGAGCTTCAGCTTCTTGAGCACTGCTTTATTGCTTCAGATTAAAATACATGCTCAATGTATGCTATTGCCATTGTGTGATTTTGCTCAGTACTTTCTAAAGGAAGTAAGCAGAACTTCTCTACAGCTTTCAGTTTTAAAAATATATATCCATGGTTCACATTTTAAGTACTTCAGTCCACTTAGATTTTACAAACCACTCATTATCAGTTCTTTCAGATGTTGGGGAAATATTGCTATTTATATTCTCATAGTAAAGGACATGTAGTCCTCTACTACACTGGATCAATCATATGAAATGTATCTGCTCCTTCATCTTTTAAAACCAGAAACAGTGACCCCCCACCACCAAAACACACATATACACAAACAAGAACTTTCAACATCCTTGTGTTTGTTTGAATTAATAGTTGTGAGAAAGTCCCATTATTGTATTGTGTAAATTTGTAGTCATACAGTCATATACAAATAATATTAAAATTCATACATAGTTATAATGCTGCTGTCCCTAGAGAGCTGGCATGTCTCCTCAATAGTGGTAATAGCACATTTTTCTACCCTACCAACTTCCTCCCATCCTCACACCCCTTTTAATTTGTAGTTATTAACATTTTATTCTAGATTTATTGTTCATACCACCACAGATTATCAGCCCTTGAGTTCGTCTTCCTGTAAGGTCATCTAGTGACTTATATTCTTTAATTACTTGGATTATTTAACTTTTTTTCTCCTTAGTGAAGAAATGGAAATGACCTTTAAACTTTTCTACTTTATATCCAAGAATATTGTTTTAAAGAAAGAAACATACACATAAAAAAATACTGATAACGACTATTTTATAAATATGTAACTGTATTTTTCTTCCTGTCCAGAAACTGTTATTGAATAAAATTCAGGTATATTCCTCCAAAACCCACACAGTTCAGAGATTTTCAAACACCAGGTTTCCATTTGTATTAAAATGGGCAAGATAATGAAGGCACAGGCTCACTTTGTATCAATAAAGGACATCAAACACAGTCATGAGGCACTAATGACATAAGCAATCACAAAAAGCAAGTGTTCAAAGTCTTCAGTAACTCTTCTCCCTTTAACATTTGGCAAAACTCAGTCCAGATATTTTAATACCTCAGAAAGAAAAAATAAATAAGAGTAGCTACATTAAAATGTCAGATTACTTATAATTAGTCTTTAGAAATATAAGGGATAAAATGAAAGGAAGAGAACACAGATTTCCTATATTCTTGGATTATCCTTCCTTTCTGAGGGTCTCAGATGTCTCTATGCATCTGCCAAAATGCCAGCTGTACCTGAAGATTTAAGAGATTTTTGGTAGTTGCTGGCATGGTCCCTCGACACTTAAAGTTTATATCACAAAAACAAAACTAGGTTGGTTTCAGCTCTTTAGTCCTTTGTTAAAAACCATAAATCAAATTTGGTTATTTAAAAGTGACCTTAAAAAGTTTAAAGGAAAATATATATATTCTATCTTCCCAATAAGAAACAGATTCCATATTTATACTTAAATGGCAAATAAATATATTTTAAAGCCAAGCAAGTTCCTCTCCTCTATACAGGCTAAGAAAACAGAGTTATTATATCTTTATTGCTGATGATCACATCACTCATCAAGAACTAGTTTCACAATTTTAGGAGACTTTTTTCATGACATAATATAAAAGATAAGGGTCTAACTTAAGTCTGAGCAGGCAGAATAGAGCTGTGCTCCCAACATCCCTATCACAAACATATGACGAATGAACAACAAAACAACTGAATCTGTTTACATCATAACCATTGTCTATGTGATACACAACTGCTTGCTTTCTATGGGTTAATACCACCCACTGCAAGACTAGAGATGGCAGTCAATGGAGCATGCTTCTTTACAAATAAGCCTAAGTCTACAACTGCAGAAATAACATGGAAACGTTTCAGTCTATCCAGAGTACTTAAATATACTTTTAAATTTTTTCCTAAGAAATTAATTTTGATAGTATTTCCCAAGTCCTTCAACTAAGATACCTTGATAATTTCGGTCTTTTTTACATCAAAATCTATCCGTTGAAAAAAAAATTTTCCAGGTATTAGGAATAAGGAAGCTGGTAACAGCATGTATTCACAATTAATTGTTAATATTTTTCAGTAAGTTACAATAAACTGTTTTGCATGCTTGAAAAACTGTAAAGAAAAAGAATATTTATAGGAGGATTTTAATAGTTTGGTTTTTGTTTTTTTCTTTTTGCTTTAAAAACAACCCCTAATATTTATCTCTGACAACACAGTGGTGTGTATAAAGTTCATTTCCATGCTTATTACACAAAAATAACGATCAGAAATATCAATCTATCAGTGTCAGCTGATATATATCCAATTAATTCACTGCAGGAGGGAAAATAAAACAAATCTAAAGTAATCATTAAAGCTTACAGTTCAATTTTTTTCTTTTCCTTTTTTTTTTTTTTTTCTTGTTTGAAATTTTTTTGGTGTTTTTTGTGCTCTGTTGCAAGCTGATTCCTAGATTAATGGCCTCCCAGCAGATTTGAAAGGAAACCTGAAGACTTCTTATTTTGCTGTGCTTCTGCTTCCTGGTCTTGTGTAAGTCCCAATTCACTCTCAATTTGATCCAGCTCTGACTGGTCAAGTAGTTCAAAGTCATCACCTTCTTCAGTGTCTGTGTCCTCTTCTGGGATGGGGGCAGCCTGAGAAAGTGCTTGCTGCACACCCTCTAACTGGTCTTTGATAGCTGCAGTCACTGCAGCTGTGATAACATCCCCAGCCAGGTTGCTCATCAGGTGAAAGGTTTGGTCACTGTTCAGAGGAAGGGTGAGACCAGCTGCTGATTGCGTCTCTTTGCTTGGTCTGTGACCACTGTCCAACTGTTCCTTCTTTCTCTTGAGCTCAGTGGGCAAACCAAGGCTTAATTCATCTTCATCATTTGTTCCCATGCCATTTTCTAGAGATGGAAAATCTGAAAGATCTCTAGAGAAAACTTCCTCACTGGGTCGGTCAAGATCTGTGAAATGGATAACAGAAGTTCAGACTGAAGCACCATAACAAATTTCAAATAAAAGTGCTGTCTAAAGATATCTGACTTTAATCTGAACCCTCTGGCAACCTTGGCATTCATCTAGCCTCCTGGGTCAACTTGAATCAATTTAACCACATACTGAACTCCTCCTAATCCTGCAACACTCTTTCTCCACAGGGACACAAATACTACACATCCCTCTCCATATTTAGCTTTCCTCTTAAGCACAAAACAGTGTATTTACTGACTTAACATTCACCTTTGTCTGATATTAGCTTGAGGTTTTGACTAAAGTTTAAGCATTTACTATAAAAATTCCCCATCCTGCGCCTAGGGTGGGAATTATCTTAAGCCAATGAGTACACATGTACATGAAATTTAAAATACTATAATAAGTTTCCTTGGGTTTTGGTTAATATTATCCAGCCTCAGCATTTTCATACATAGAGATCTATTTCAGTGCCTGTAATCTGTGTTTGTTTTAAGCAATGAAAGGAAGATACTGCTCCTTCTATTCCATATAACCCAAGAGTTTATGGAAACATTTGGCTCTCTATAACTATAGCTGAAACTGACCATACCAAGATTTAGGACATTTGAAAGCAATGTCACATTAGAAGGCTAATAGATTTTATTGTTTTTACCTTTCATATAAAATCTTTTAATATAACAGTTAACTCCCTGCAACAGTGATTTGAAATCTTCAATTAATGAAAAGCCTTGTATGTGGCTTGGATTATTATTGTCTCTTTTGTTGAATCTGAGATGGGATGCTTAAGAACAAGGTACTTGTTATTCTTGTTCTTTAAAATATGACCTCAAATTGTAGGTACTGAAAGCTTGTAGAGCTTGAATGACCTTCAGCAATGCTCCTGTTCTAATTTAAAGGTGAGGAAATTGAGATCCACAAAAATTATGTCACCCGTTCAAGGTCATAAAGTTAGGTAGTGACAAAGGCAAGACTCCACTTGGGTCTTCCACCTTCCAAACCCATCTTCTTTCAAACACTGCACAGCCTCCCTCCCTCCTTCCTTTAAAAACAGAAAATGTCCTTTTGGAACATAAGTGTAAAATAGTTCATTCACCCTCCTCCTTTATAATCTGCTCATATGTTCAGTATATGGCCAAAACAAGGTAATCCAGTGAGACTAACAAAAGTTAAGTTACTGTACAAGCATTGACTCTCAATTTAAGTTTTGGACATAATTTGCATTATAAAGAATACTGTGCTTTCCTGTTTTTAATTGTACTTATTATAAACAAAGAATATACTGGATAAAGAAAATGTGGTACACATACACCATGGAATACTATGCAGCCATAAAAAGGAACGAGATCATGTCCTTTGCAAGGACATGGATGGAGCTGGAAGCCATTATCCTCGGCAAACTAACACAGGAACAGAAAACCAAACACACTGCCTGTTCTCACCTGTAAGTGGAAGCTGAATAATGAGAACACATAGACACAATGGTGGGGAACAGCACACACTGGGGCCTGTCAATAGGGTTGGGGGTGGGAGGAGGGAGAGCATCAAGAAAAATAGCTAATCGATGCTGGGCTTAATACCTAGGTGATGGGATGCAAACCACCATGGCACATGTTGACCTATGTAACAGACTTGCACATCCTGCACATGTACCCCTGAACTTAAAAGTCAGAAACAAAAAAAATAAAAATAAAAAGCTTTTTTAACTTTGAAGACAAATGTGAGAAACTCCGGAGTCAGCTTTGGACTCAGGGAACTTGACGTCCATACTTCAGCCCCTTTTAATGAGGACTAGGCCTAAATGTGTAGGATTAGCGTCTATCTTTCTCTCCCACATTATCGCTTGGGACATTTCAAAGACATTTCAGGAGGTAATTTTTCTAATTTTTGATTATTTTGTTTTCAAAATAAAGGCAAATTTGGACATTGACTGATTTATTTTCCTCATACTTTTTAAAAAACAGCTTTTGATAATTCATGCACCAAAAAAACACCCTTCTAAGGTATACAATTCAGTGTTTTTTAGTATATTCATAAAGCTGTACAAGCAGCATCACTATCTAATTCTAGGACACTTTCATCACTCCAAAAAGAAATGCATACCAATTAACAGTCACTCACTATTCCCTCCATCAGTCCATAGCAGCCACTAACTTAATTTCCCTTTATATGGACCTGCTTATTCTAGGCATTTCATATAAATGGAATTACACAGTATGTGGCATTTTGTGTCTGGCTTCTTAGCATGTTTTCAAGGTTCATCCATGTTGTAGCAAGTATCAGGACTTCATTTTTATAGCCAAGTAATATTCTACTGTGTAGATATGGTGGTAACATGTTATTTACCCATTCAGTATTTGACAGAAGTTCAATAGTTTTGTATGCACTCATAAAAATAAATGTCTCCAGAAATATTAGCATACCATCAGAAGTGTCTGTCTGTGGAGTGTATCCTTCTGAAAGGTTGAAGGTCCCATTATCAGTCCAGGATACCTCTGAGACGTCTGTGTCAGACACAGATAACTCTTTGGCAGCAACCGTGAGGCTAATCTGTGTTAATATAAATAAATACCAGCGGCACATTTTAAACTGCTGAAGGGAATATTTTGAAAAATCCATATGAACCCCCAAAATGACAGAGTAATAAAAACCAAATGGATATTTTTATTTTGAAATCATTCAGTCATCTTACAGAAATATGAGGAGTTTATTAGGAAGATCATTCAGCTTTGTATGCATACATGCATTTACAGTCAAACCACACAGGAACAAATTGAAAACTAAACAAAAAATACCTTAGGACAAAGAGCTGAAAAGTCTAATTCACTGTCATCTTTGTGACTTTTTTCTTTGTCTGCTTCTGTTGAGGAAAAAATTTGGAAGCTTTCAGTTTCCTAGCCAACTCAGACATAGTGCATTTATTTCATTATGTATTCTTACCCCACATTTCTCATATTCTCCAAATACAAATATATATTTCTCATATTCTTAACTACAAATATAATTAAATGTTTGCACATAACAAGCTTCACATATTTGCAAAGGAAATGATCCACATTAGTGGCTCTCTTAATATTGTCCCTGAAACAGCAAAAGCATCCTCCCTGGGAACTTTTTAGAAATGCAGATTCTCAGGCCCTACCCTAGACCTACTGAATCAGAAACTCTGGGCTGGGGCCTAGCAATCTGTCCTTTAATAAGCCCTCCACGTGACTCCGATACATTCTAGTTTGAGAACCTATAAGGTCATAAGCCAAGTTAAAAAGTAAGAGATGATTATATTGGCTTTTCCTGTATTTTCTTTTTCTTTGTGATAGTCCAACCCAAAATAAAACTAAGTAAATCATAAGTAGCACAATAAAGAGTGTTGAAGCCTTTTCTTTCTCCCCTGACACTGTGGATTAAAAAGTCAATTTATTTAATTGTATATTTGAGAAAAGAAGGAAAGCCCAAATAGGAAAAGGATATATATAACTTTGAGGGAGATTAGCTTCTATAATAATATTTAGTAAAAAGCTAAAAGTATCCTCAAATGTATTAAAGAATTTCCTAAAAATAGCTCGCTAATGTCTCATTTCATGCATAGAATCTAAAATATAAACTTTACCTACCAGATCTCTCACGTTTCTTCTGATTAATATATTCTCCAATTCCAAAATCCAGTTTCAGCAGAACTGACTTAATTTTGCTGTAAATTTTTTGTCCAATATCATTACATTTAAACAATGGACACAAAAATGCACACAGTACTGAAAGAAGAAAGAGAGCAGAGGTAAAATGCCTTTCCTTTCAAAAGGCTACGTACATTTCAGTATTTCACAAAATACTACATTTCTTTACTGAAAAACTTAAGTTTTTTTAAGGGAAATGCCATTGTGAAATAAGTTTATAATTTCTATTCTTTTTCTGTAAGGTAAACATTTTCTGCCACCACCCACAAACACACACATGCATCCCACACTTACACAAGTTTATAATTTCTATTCTTTTTCTGTAAGGTAAACATTTTCTACCACCACCCACAAACACACACATGCATACCCACACTTACACAATGCTCACAGTCATTGTTTCCAGGTGCAGTTAGATCAACTCCCTCCTTTCAATCCTTTTATTCTCAAAATTTATAGAAAAATTACATGCCTTCCAGACAACAGTCCTGGTTTAACTGTGTTTATTCAATGCCATTTCACCATGGGAAAGTTATTAGCCTCTCATCAATAATATTAGGATAGTAACATTATTTCTTGGGGTTGTTGTGAAGCATAAATGAAATCAATGCAAACCATCTGAATAATGCCTTGCCCAAATTATTCTTTCATTCCCCAGTCCTCTTCTCCTTTACCTCCTAAACAATGTCATCATGAGGCTGATGTTATATATGACTTCTTTTGGGGAGAATGGATTTGAGCTCTGACCATTTGCCATTTGCATTATGCATTAAGAATACAAAAAGAAGCAAAGATTGCCACACTCTAAGTATTGTATTCCCAATATTTATTTCTTTGTTCGTTTTAGGAAGTGTCCCGTATTATATTTTAAAATAAGAGCTACAAACTCAAATGTCTCTAGAGGCCAAGAAATTGTATGTAAATTTTAAAGTCCATTGTAAGAAAAATTGGAAAATATGGGGGTATGTTAAGTGGAGAGTGCCTGCCCCATCGAAAGGTAGCAGTGCCAGATCATAGTTTTCAGGTGAAGAAAATCCATACTTTTTAATAACATTTTTGGGTGGTCATTGATGTATAATAAAATACATGTATTTAAAGTGTACAATTTGATAAATTTTGACATATGCATACAACTAAGAAGCCATCACCATAATCAAGATAGTGAACATGTCTACCAGTAGACATGAAGTTTTCTCATGGTTTTATTCAACCTTCCTTCCAGTCTCCTGCCTCTTCTCCCTGCCCCCACCCACCTCATCCCCAGGCAACCACTGACCTGCTTTGTCACTAAAGATTGTTTGAATTTTCTGGAATAATATATAAATGGAATCACACTTTTTCATCTGGTTTTGTCTACTCAGTCTAATTATTTTGAGATTTATCTTTAGTGTTGTATGTATCCATTTTTAGTGCTAAGTAGTAATCCATTATATGGATATACCACAGTTTGCTTACCCATTCCTCCAATTGATGGATGTATGGATTATATTCTGCTTTTGGCTACTACATATAAATCTGTTATGAACATTTATGTCTTTGTACTTTCATTTCTTTTGGGTAAGTACCTAGTTGTGGGATAGCTTTGTCATGTAGTAGTTTTTAAGAAACTGCCAAACTGTTATCCAAAGTGATTTTAACATTCTACCTACCCCGCAACAGTATGTGAGAATTCCACTTGCTCTGCATCCCTCCTAATACTTGATGTGGTCAGTATTTTTAATTTTAGCCATTCTGGTAGGGATGCAATGGTATTTCATTGTGGTTTTAATTATTTTTTTGAGCCAAAGAACACGCACGAAGGCAAAGGTGTTGGTGTGTTTTTGGGAGGTGGGGCATACAGCTTTATGTATACTTTTACTGACAAAATTTAACATAAAATTATTCACTTATAATTCTGCCTTTTGCAGCTATTCTTCCAATTTTAAAATAGAGACATGTCTCTAGGAAAATGGAGAAACTTTGTACAGCAGGAGATTAAAGAATAATCAACTTGTATTATAGTTAAGAACTCATCCCCCCTCTTCAAACTACAGGTCTGTTGACCGTAAGGTGATACCATATGCATCACAACACTTAGCCATATGTTCTACTATACTTACACAGTAGATAGCTGAGTATAACCCCAGGAATGTAACTTCCCAAGATCGTAAAAAATGTGCACACACTACAGACCAGGAGACAAAACTGGAAATAATAGAAATAACATGGGATAGTTAAGCATAACACCAAGATATTTCGGAGCACAGGATACACACACAATTGTAAATCTATAGTGACCGGTATAAGTGACCTATCTGGTTATTACAGATTTTTTCCAAAGAGCATTATTTTGCACTAAGGGCTGACTAATGACTGCTGCATTCAACCAGTCTTAGTCCATTTCAACACTTGGTAATAATTATTTTGAGGACACAGGAGCTAATTTCTGGCACAGAGAGTGACAACTCCCATTACTCATGCCTGTGGCTATATTACTGCCAGGTGCAAGAGAACAGAAAACTATTATGTTCCCAGAAACTTCTTTTACTTCGCTCATTTAAGGAAATTAATGCGGCCTGATAACTACATCTGAAAGTTCAAACTACCACTATAAGCCCACTGAAATTCATAAAAACACAGCAAAACAAGTTACAGAAATTAGAGGTATCTACACAAATCTAACGTAATTTACACAAATCTAATGTAATTTATAGCTGCTAAGCTGACAGGATAAATTTATGGCCATCACTATCCTCTTTCCTAACCATATATACTGCTCAAACTGACCCCACTTCTAAGTCACCTAGAAAAAAACTGCCATTGAAATGAAACTCCTACAGTGACATGTTTATTTTCCTTCTGTCATTTATGGTTAAAAAATCTTGATTGTTTTAAGAAATTTAAAAACATCAGAAAATATCCTTAATTCCCTTTAGAAACATCAAGGCAGAAAAATGTTACCATAAAGTCTTCACCTGATTTTTCACCCTCCAGTCTTAAACTGTCTTACATTTTTCGTCATCTTTAAACAGTGATAGTAAATTAAACTGATAAGCAAGCAAAGGAAATTCATTAAGGGAGTTTCTAAAAGATACAGGAGGAAGGAATACATACCTCTGACCAATAACTGATGATGATAAAGAGCAAAGGGGTCTAAATCTAAGTTTAATTTTGATTTTTCATTCTTCGGTACAGAGTTAATAAATTAACTAGTCAAAAGTAGATTAGATGACTTGTGGAACAAAATTAAGAGCTGTTTCTAAAACAGCAAGGGCCCTTGAAAGAATCTGGAATTCTATAAATGAAATGGAAAGGCCATAAAAGTCAAAGGAACAAATAAGCCAAGAAAAGCATTACTATATCCAGAATTTAGTTTTACAAAGGGATTTCATAATATGCCCTACATTTGTAGCATCATCATTTTAAGCTAATTGACTTGGGGCACATTAATGCAACCCAATGCAGAAGTTTGAAGTTTAGAATCTTCCAAAAATACATTTAATCACTTCAGTAAAATCAACATCAACAGCACATCATGCCCCAAATATAGGTATCTATGCTAAAAAAAAAAAAATGCCTTCAATGAATAAAAAAAATGCATCCAAATGCAATACTGCCACTTTAATACACTCAAAATGTCTCCAAGCATAGTTCTATTATTTAATACTATTGAAGTTACGATATTGCCTATACAAGGTACAAAGACAGAGATTTTCAATGCTGACATTCCTAGCTCTTCATTCTATCCACGGGTGGATATTCAAGGAGCTTGAAAGCAACACTGGAATAGACAAGGTCTATTGATGGTTCTGCACCTCACCCAAGCTATCAAGACAGTTGATCAGAATTAAAGCTGCCTTTATGCATAAAATAATACAAGTATGTGCAGCACTCCATGTAATCCCTTCCCAACCATGTAAGACACTTCCCCCTCATGGGTTTTATCTTAATTGGAAAAATACTCATTTTGTTTATATAATCACTATGAATGTTTTTGCCAAAAGTTTTCTTTCTTAAATAAGTAAATCATACAAGAATCTCCACTTTTTAGCTTGAAAATAAGATTCAGTTATCTCCAAAAGCACAGTCAAAGAACTATGTATTCATTTCATCTCCCTTTGACTTCAGCACCAGGCTAAATACGATAACTGAAATTCTTAAGACTGTTTTCTCCCTAGTCTTGCTGATAAGACCAATCACCATTCATTTTAGCTAATGAGCTAGATAAATATATATAAAATGTAAAACCAATCCAATTTCACAATGTGAGGCTGAGGATTATCTAGTGTTCGCACACTCACACATCTGAACCTTGCTGATACCAGCTTTTATGGCATATGTTCTTAGTATATTATATTTAAAATTGGAGAAATCTGACAAGCTGATAAAATAGGTTAGTTCATTTGTTTCCAAGTAACTGAACATTTTAAAACATACTCCTTTACTGGAAAACTTGCCTTGCCAGGGCTCTGCTGTTTAAAAAGAGACATTTCTTGAAGAAATATGCTGAAATTCATCCATGATTCTGCAATACAGTGGCTGAGCCTGGGTCTTTCATCTGGTTTGGAATTGATAACTTCCCAGCTAAAGAGACAAAAAGAAAAAAAATACTACTGAACTTTGGATGATTCATTCAACATTTATGGCTTTGGCAAATATTTATTGAGCATCTACTGTTGGCCACACCCTCTGGAAAAGCCCTGTGAATTCAGAAGGGAACTATCCAGACACCTGCTTCAGGAAACTCACATGTCAAAAGAAACAATTAGCTGTCTAATTAATTGTCTGTTTACAATCAGGGAAACACTCAGGGAGAACAGGGTGAGGCTTAGGGACATCTTTAATGAAGAGTCATTTTAAAACTCAGATATGGGATGGATCAGCAGGTTAATCATAGGGTTCCAGGTAGAACAACATGCAATATATGCAGAAGCCCTGGAGTGGGAAGGAGCTTAAATGTGCTATCCTATTGAGTCTCAATGTGACTCCAGCAAAGTCAACCAGAAGAAAAACATGTGAAGCTGGAGGGGTAGGAGGAGACTAGGTCATGGAAGACTTGTTAGAAACGTCTTAAACCTTAAGGATTGGGAAACCACAGTACTTTTAGAGAAACCTTGGAATTAAGCATACAATATTAAGAATAAATACCAACAATGTATTTTCAATATATACCATGGTTGGAAAACTCTATAGAAAATTGTTAAAAAGATCTTACAATATCCTCTATTTTTCCAGAGTACATTTTCCTAATCATCATCTAGAATGTGTTGAGTGTGATGCATGGGCCGGCAACCAGCTTTCTCCCTGCCCTCATTTTCCACAGGAACCTCAGTGAGCTAAAAACTAGAAACAATCACTCCAGGAAGAAGACACATGTAAATACATGTCATTCCCTAACATTACAATGACATAAAGCTTAATTCCTGCTCTTGCAATCCTAACTCATAAAAACATACCAGTTCAAACAAGCCCTGTTAAGAATCCTCAAATTCATTCATTTAAGAGATTATTGAGAGATATGTGTCTACCATGTTGAAGGCACTGCCACAGAGCTATGGATATGGCAATAACAAAAGCAGCAAAGTTTCTAGAAGAAGACTAGAATTGTTAGTGAACTATCATCTGAGCTGTGGTAGGGTACCAGGGTGAGGCTGATCTCTGGATTCAATTCCAGTAGCCCTAAGACAAATCAAAACTACCTTTGCCCTTAGATGCTCAACTATACAGAAGTTTATGTACATACAGATTCTGTGACTTTTAATATATTTTGAATAGTAAGGCAATTTGTAAATTACAATTCCTTTTTATAAAAATAATTTTAATCCAAGTTTAAATGAGTGCAATAGCATATTTTAAAAGGGGGGAAGTATACCATTTTCCTTCCTCTTTGTTCTTTCAGCCTCAACTAATGCTCTGGAGAGTCACTGAGCTACCAGTTGTCCAGGCTGATGTTATTCCTGCAGGTAGATTTCCTGTCTGTCAGAAGAAATGAACTTTTGGGGATGGTTTATGCATCCATTAACTCTACCCACTCTTGAATCACTGAGCAAATCTGTTTTCAGCAGGACCATATCTGGCACCAGGTTTGCATACCCCATGATTCCACATCTATTAAAATACTAAGTGCATAGCTAAGAAGCAGATATCTGTGGCAAAATCTTGCCACAGATATCTGCTTAGTGGGAAAAGATTTTGCACCAGAGAGCAAAAGCTATATGGCAAAGGAAATATAAGGTTATTAAAATGCAGTCTGTTTTCTCAGAATAATATAGATTTGCTGCAAATTGGCACAGACAGGCTAAGCTACTGTTCAGTTTAATGGGACCATGAAGATGACAGAAAACATTTTAATTTCTGCTCTCTATGCATATTGAATAATTATTTAAGGATGCATTTGAACTGTTTGCCCAATATAATTCTAACAAAAATCAATGAAAAGCTATAATGGAAGGATTTGTTATTTTCTTTTAAACATTAAGATGGAATAAATGAACAGTTCATAACTCCTGGCCTCAAACAATCCTCCCACCTTGGCCTTCCAAAGTGCTGGGATTACAGGCATGAACCACTGCGCGAGGACAAAAAAATATTTTTTTGAATGAATAGTACTTTGTACAGATGCTGGAACTTTGTTCTAATATCATCTTTAGGATTCATGTCTTGGAAATGACACCATATCCATATTTGTTTACATATTTTTTATTACTGCTTAAGTAAATGTCCCCAAATTGTAAAAGAGCCTAGTATAATACTAAATTGTCACTATAGAGATAATGTTAGAACAAAGACTTCATATAACTTAAAGTGTTTTATAGAGATTACTATGAAATAACTAAAAACTCTCTTTAGCATTTAAGGAAGGGTCTTATCTATTTTCCACAGGGGACTTCAAGTGGACACCATCTATCCACTAATTTATTCATTTATTCAATAAAAAGTTATTAAGTTCCCCCTTTGTGTCTTGCATCACACTAAATGTGGAAAATACTGTTATCAAAAACTTGAATGCTGGTAGCACTATTCCTCTGTGTCTATAGATAAACACTATTTGCTGGAAAGAAAGAAAAAAATATGCAATCTTTGACTATCTTCCATAGTCATAAGAAAACACTCTTAATTATATTACATTTTTCCCTTTTAAAAAGCTTCATATAATAGTTTTTTGGGACAATAAATTTCATCATTACTTACATTTTTATTAACACAATAAATTATAATTGATATTTGAATTGTTATAATCACAAACAGAAATGAGAAATTCATTGTGTACAACCTGAAAATAATATCTAACCAAATGGGTTTGTAAAGAGTAATAAGTGTTTGAGATTAAAAATAAATGTTCAGATTGGGCTGAATAAAATTTAATCGAAATATATATGATTTAAAAAGAAAATGTAAGTTCCAGGGTGAAAAAAAGATGTCACTCCACATCTTTTCTTCTGGACCAAAAACAGGTGCTCCCTGGGAGTTTAACAATAGTTTTAAATTGCCCAGTGATTAATTCTGAGTACCATAGGAACTCACATTTCTATAGTCTTCCAGTGAGTTTACCATTAATTTATGTCACCACAGTTCAATTTAGGTTATACAGAATTAGATAATTTGTCATGAGACGGGACATTTGATGTCAACTTTTCAAATTCCCTTATTTTATAGGTGAGGAACGTGAAATCCAACTTTTTGCAGCTAGTATGAGGCAGAGCCAAGACCCAAGGCCAGGACTCTGGGTTTCCAATACAGTTCTGATCCTTTAAAATGTGTGCCCTCTTCAAAGGGTGAATACATTCAATGATATTCTTTGAAGAGACCACATGGCAATTCAGAATGAGAAGGAGCATTTCATGTTCCTCACTCCTTCCTAGAACCAGAAGAGATGAGGTGTGATTGACCAATACCAACGTGCCATCATGCAGGACCAACCCTTTCCAGGAAAACAGAGCACTTCATGTGCAGAATCCAAATACTCAGCAGAAACCAAGATCTACGCTTAGTGGTTGGTTGATGTTTAACACAGGTGTCATCTGCACACACACACATACACACGCTGAGTTGCTACGTAATGAAACTCTAGGTTTTCCCAGAGAGCCTTATTTGGAAAACACATAACTAGAAAAAAGATCTCCTGTGAATGCTGGGCAAGGCTTGGGGAACAGATCTTTTCCATGGTGTGTAGCTGTCTTCCCACCATCCTTGGCACTGATCACCATGCAACATAAGGCCCAACTAACATAAAAGGAAATGAAAATACCTAAGGCTTCAAAACATTTTGAGTTTGTACTAAGTTCCTAAACAAACAATACAAGTCTTCTGTGACTGACGCTCAACTAAGGGAGAAAATTCATTACCAGTAGCTTTATTAATATTTCCTCCTTAGTTTCAGAGAGACCATGCACTTTCCAAGTTCAAAAGGAAATAGGTTCTTTGGTTCATCTTTCTATCCATCTCCCCTCCCTCTCGCCAGCCTTCCAGCTTTCTCTCACACTCTTGCCTTCACTAAGGAGTGAACTCACCACACACTCCAGCCACAAGATAAAGACCATTTAAGAGTCACCCCCGATGACCATCATCCCCAACTTTCCATCCTCGTAGCCAGTCCAGTTCAAGTAGTTCCCAGGGAGAAGTCACTACAAGCCCCAGCCTCTACATGGCCATGCCATCTATCAAATGGGCTTTGCTCAAGGATCTGTAACTGTAAATGACTCCCAAAAAAGCCCCAGCAGATGCCATCTGGTTAAGTTTTCCTTCTTACGGAAAAACTAGTCAGGTGTTTTGATGAAGGCCATTCTCCAATCAAGCAATTCTTTATCAAAGAAGCCTAAGCCAGGGCAAAGTCCTTTTTCAGCAGCTGAAGAATTTCTGGTTTTACCTGCCAGTGAAACTCTAAGGGAATAAAACATGGAAAGATGGCTCCTTAGATAAGCAAACTCACTTTGTCCACAGAAAGGAGCTTTGGCTTCTCAGTAGAATTTCAAACCAACATCCCTTCTTTCTTCCTCCCTGTCCCTATTAGAATACAATTTACCATATACATTGGGAGGTCTGGCCAAATAAGCCCTTCATGCAGTTCCTGCAGCTGTAGTTGTGAGACACCCAGGGCACTGTTTAAGCAGCAGCTGTGTGGGCCTTACTGAAGAGATGGAGATGGAGCAGGCCTGGGTGAGGCTCAGAAATCTGCATTTTAACAGGTGTCCTAGATGATGCTGAGGCAGGTGTGTCTTACCTTAAGAGTCACTGTGAGAAATACCCTTGATAAAGTAACACTGAATTCCTGTCCTACAAATAAAGAGGAGGGAGACTTCTGCTTCTGGGCAAGACGGTGTGAGAGGGAGCTGATATACCCAACCCACCTGAAACAAAGAAAATCTATGCAACAACGATTTTCAAAACTCTGGGCATTAGGCAAGGAAGGACAGTGACTCCTAAGGGATGAGAAACCAATAAGGGAGTTATGTGATCACCCAGCTCGCTGCCTTGAGTGTTTCCTGGCCTGGGAGCAGGGGCAGCAACCCAGGTACCACCTGGCAACTCCCTGAGTTGAGGAGACATTGCTGAGGGTCCAAAAAGGAGATCCAAGGGGCCAGAGTTTGCAGGACCCAGTGCCAGAGAGTAGAGCACAGTACAGAGGGAGATAAAGGGAGAGGTCTGATGTGGGGGATTCCTGGAGTCTTCAGCTGAGGCTTTGCTGGCACAGGCGTGTGAGGAGCCCGGAGGCCAGGAAAGAGCCATCAGAAAGGACTAGAAGGAACAGTGTCTTTGGCCAAGAATGACACCTAGTCCCACCAACTAGACCGAAAAACTTCAAAATTCACAGACATGGGTAGAATACTCAGAAGGGTCTTGCCTCAGTAGCAGAGAATAATCAGTCCTAAACTAAATGCGGCTCTGGTCCTAACAAGTCTTAAAAGCAGACCTTAGGCCGGGCGTGGTGGCTCACGCCTATAATCCCAGCACTTTGGGAGGCCGAGGTGGGCAGATCATGAGATCAGGAGATCGAGACCATCTTGCCCAACACGGTGAAACCCCATCGCTACTAAAAGTACAAAAATTAGCCAGGCCTGGTGGCATGCGCCTGTAGTCCCAGCTACTCAGGAGGCTGAGGCAGGAGAATCACTTGAACCCAGGAGGCAGGGGCTGCAATGAGCCGAGATAGCGCCACTGCACTCCAGCCTGGGCAACAGAGCGAGATTCTGTCTCAAAAAAAAAAAAAAAAAAAAAAAAAAAAAAAAAGCAGACCTTAAAAGGATCAAACTGATTTTAAGTGATTCAACCGCCAACTGTAGGA
The DNA here is from genome assembly GCF_000001405.40 of Homo sapiens. Lineage (NCBI taxonomy): Eukaryota > Metazoa > Chordata > Mammalia > Primates > Hominidae > Homo > Homo sapiens. The sequence goes on from NC_000005.10 coordinate 16,489,171, forward strand.
TACAAAGTGGTGAGTTTTGTTATGAACAAAATAACTCAGTCAAACTGGGATGTGAAGCAGTTCACTTATTTTACTTTTATGTGTATCTTTTAAATTATCATGTACCTTTGTTCCCTTAAAAAATATAGTTATCAAAACAATGTTTAAATATTATAAGATTTGTCTTTGTGTAGTTTAATGCCTGCATAATGGAATTTCTAATGCACTTGGCTGGCAGTTTCAGAATGCAGCACACAGTATTCTCCATTAGGGGGTTCTGTAAGACTAAGAAATAGGACACTCTTGTGCTCTTTAAAAATAGATTGTAATTCTGTAAGACAGAACATGTGCTAGCAGCCTGTTTCATCCCTTTCACCAATAGTATCTTTGAGCACTAGAAAAAATAATGCTGCAACAAAATGAATCTTGGCATAGAAGAAATACTATCTCATTATCATTTAACTTCTGTTCGTTTTAATAAATATGCAGTGAATGTACATTAACTGTCACCATTCCTGGCTCTGGGACTGAGGGTTGACTAAGGCACAGCCTGTAACCAATAAGTTAAAGTGTACATGTGACCCAAGAATGATGCAAAGCCTACACACACTGGTGATACATGAAACTCACCTTTAAAAAATGGCATTTAATTGTATCTAGGGCTATTGGAGATACATGAATTTGAAAACTATGTTGGGGATTGGATATATGAGGAGAGCTTGTTAAATGTAAGATCTTTTCACTATTGTACATTTTACAGGACAATGTTTTAGCATATACTAATGAACTTAAAAGTGTTTTTACAACTCAGTTATTTTTGAAAGCAAAAAATTATATTTTTAATATATCAAAGCTAAAATATTTTCACATATTTCTTGAGCTTTAGATTTGAGGAGATAATTACCAACCAGAGATAGGAAACCTGGAGTAGATGGAAAAAGAGAGGGAGGGAGAAAGTATATGGGAGGCAGGGAGAGAATATGAATGAATCCTGATAGTCAGGTTTGAGTTCTTGGGTCCTGTTGGGCCCAAAAGGCAAGGTGCAAAGCAAATCCACCCATGGACATCCCCCATAATTGGAGCCAGTTCCCTTGTGCCTTAAGCTGGTTTCTGGCATTTGTAAAACAAAATAAAGTGTCCCATGTTTCAGTGGGAGCAATGGAAAATTGTTTAAAATATCTTAAATTATGAATAAACGTAACTATTAAAAAAGAGTTATAAGATTACACAGATTACTATGACAGTTTTATTTAGGTGGCAATTTGTAGTAGAAAGGAAAGATGCAATTAGGTTATATAATAAATCAAGCAAAGGCAGTTTGTTAACAATTCAAATAAAGGGGGTTACAGGCACCATAAAAAAGAATAGCTAACACTCACCAGGGGTCAGGTAGTGAACAGCATCTTATAAACTTACTATCTTATAAACTTACTACTTACTTCAATCCTTACAACCAACCTGTGAGTGAACTACTGTTTATTATTCCTGTTCAACAGATTGAGAAAGTTGAGGCCCAGATACATTAGCTATCTTGTTCAAGGTCACAGAATGAATCCACAATGGAATAGGGAAGTAATGCATAGAACTGGGAATGCTCCTAATGTGGGGCGAGATACAGAAAAAACACTCTCCGGATTGGAACATGGGGACCATTGCAAAGATGAGTAGGGAAGCACATTAGGGCAGTGCCACAGGCAGGATTATGGATCCCTAAATGCCAAGCTACACAAATAGAAATCAAAATAGTTAAAAAGCGGCTTTGGTTCCCAGGTGAAACTCCTTGGTCCTAAGGCATCTAGATTCTTATTTTCTCTCTGAACCCCTCCAGCTGTTCCTAAATTAGTACCCACAAAGTGATTCCATAATCATGAACCCAACTTCACAAACTTCAATTACAACACGTGCCCATAATAACCATGACCATGGCAACTATCTGCTAAGCTCTCCCTGTGTGCCAGGCACTATGTTAAGCACTCTGCCCGCACTGTCCCAATGTCCTCCACATGATCCCCCTAGGACCCCATCCCATTACGATACCCTGCAAGGCAGGGTTATCTCCATTTTACCCAAGAGAAAACTGAGGCTGAAAAGGGCTTGAAACACAGCAGATCTCCTGGTTACCGACCACGACCGTCGCATCTGGTAACGTTCTTTCAGGGCAACTATGAATTGCAATTAATTTATGACATTTGTAACACTGACTCCCTATGAGACTTTAAATCCCATGAAGGAATTCTTGGACAGTGCTCTGTCTTCAGTAGCTAACAGAGCTTGACATCTATGAGGCACATAAAAATACTGAATGAATATAAACAGTAAACATCCAAAGAAGAAAATATCAAAAATAATTAACAGTGGTTATTTGGTGGCACCATGTTTTTAATTCACTTATCCGAATGTTTCTATACATTACGTGTTGGTAATAATTAGCATGCATTCCCTCATATGTATAAAAATATACAAAATAATAGACAAAAAGTCCTATTAAAAATCTAGAAAACAACTGTCATCTATAGGGAAGAGTTTTGTTTTGTTCTTTCTTGCAAATGGGCAGTTAAAATGCCTTCAAAATTAGCTAATTAGGAAATACGGGCCAGGCACAGTGGCTCACACCTGTAATCCCAGCACTTTGGGAGACAAAGGCGGGAGTATCCCTTGATCCCCAGAGTTCATGACCAGCCTAGACAACATGGCAAGACCCTGTCTCTACGAAAGAAAGGAAAGAAAGGAAGAAAGAAAGAAAGATGCTTCATATATTCCAAGACTTTCTGGAACTGAAAATCGGTATTTCATATGAGATTTCTGCGGGCAAAACTTGAGCCTTAATGTGTGACTTGGGGATCCCTGGATCCATGAGTATCTCCTGCGGGCACTGTTCCCACATGGCCCACCAGCATTTGTGATACCAGTAGAGAACAGAACTGGGCCCTGACGAATATCCAACCTTCACATGAAATATCAGAGAAAAATGACTCCCTTTTTGGTTTTGCTTTTCAAGTTTTTGTAGGGCAACTGCACCCCGCTGGAGAACATTTTCAGACAGTGTTGTCCTCTCTCTCTCTCTCTCTCTCTCTCTCTCTCACACACACACACACACACACACCATTCTTGTTAGGTTTTAACTTTTTCACATCCTTATGAATTTATAGTGCAATAATCATTTCCAAAGATGTTTTGATTTCTGTTATAATACCTCCAGAAAGTATACATTATTTCACACTACTCATTATTTTATTTTCAATTTATAAGAAATGGAAGTTGAAGCCAAACAATATTTTTCAGAAAGTTTGCTAAGTCACCATTCCATATTGACAAACTTAAAAAAAAAAAAAAAGGATTTGTTATAACTCGTCACCTGGCAACCATGACAAACAGCTGCTGCAACCATCACACCTATAAATATGCTTTGGCTTGGAGACCTTTCATTCTCAGCTAGTGACTAAGGGTCTCATGCTCTCTACTGGTAGTGGACATCTGTTGATGCTAATTCCTGTCGAATTTTTCTTAGAAAGGTCAGTCAGTATCTGGTTACAGATTTTAACATTTCTTAGTGTAATGTGTTAGAATTTTTTTTAATCCTGTGGATACTTATTATGTTCCTCTGTGTGTAGGTGCTTGCATATGACTGTATGTAGGCAGAGAAACAAAATAAAAACAGATATATTTCTCTGCATGAGCACTCACTGAATTAGAACCATGACAACGCAAATAAGATTTGTCAACTAGAGGATTAAAAAGAGTAAACACAAGATTAAGAAATTACATCGCACTCAACTTGAAGCGTTCACTTTCTCAGGCCAATTAGCCACGTGAGCGACTCCTCCCAAGGCCAGGGACCAGAAGGCGCCAGTGAGTGCTGGCTTTTTCTGCCTGGAGAAGCTTTCTGCCCGGAGAGCCCCATCTTCCTCAGAGCAACTTAGTGTTCTATTTGGGGCTCTCCCTTTTTTTATATCAAGTTTAAAACGACTCAGAGATCAGCTACTTACTTTTGCGATTGACCCTTTCCACCTCCTATCTCAAACTGAGCACTGCTACTTCTCCAGGTGATCATCAATTATCCAATCCACCTAGATCATTTGGGAGGCTGACACTCAACTACCCATCATAGTATTTATTACAGTTTCAAGTTTCTATGAACAAGATGCCAAGTATAAGTCATTTTTCAGCGTTTTTAATTTTAACATTTTAATAACTAGACTTTCATAAGCCCAGGGCATGAGTAATGCAAATTCCATTACTAGCATAGGACAAGCACCTACTTGAGACCTGCAGGAGATTCAACACCCTTTCATTTGTGAATGCCAAGATTTGCTTCAATCACTGTCCCTGAGGGCAGAAAATATTTCTACTTTATCCCTGAAGGACAGATAATATCAGATAGTCAAGAAACACTCCTCAAGGAAAACAAAACTGTTATTGTGAAGCAGGCTGGCTCATTTAGATATAAGTCTTTTCTTGCATTCCACTGAAGATCCACAATTTCTGATGAATTTCAACCCAGGGTTTACTGTAGTTGGAGTCAAAAGTAAATGTCCCTTCCCTGCATTGCAACATTTGGCCTACTTATATGAAACCTGTGAGGATACTAAAAAATATGTTTCCTACAGCACAAAAAAAAAAGTCATTAACAATATTGTTCCTAATTTTGCTTTTTAGAGATGGTACCCACCACACTGGTCCTGAGCACCAGGTATATACAACTCAAACACTGAATTCTCAAGTTTCTCCAAAGTGCTTTTATTATGAAGGCCAATTCAAATTATTTTTGTTTGTAGAATCAGCCTTTGTAATAAAAAGCAATAACCTGGAAGATGGCAAACTTGGAGTGACTATCGCACATTAAGATATTCAGTCAAGATGCTAGGCTGTTTAATTAGGTCATATTCCCAACTTAGTCCTTTAAAGAGTGTATCTCTCATTTATGTTCACATAAATAATCAGAGGCTTTTAAAGGAATACACTCTTACTAAGAGAATCAGACCCTTATCAGTCACAGAAAAAAATGACAATGCTTGCTAAACTTGCCCTCAGTCTCCCTCAATAGCAGATTTTGAGAATAAGCTATTATGTAAATAGTACATGTATTAATGGTAAATTAATAAATATAATATTCAACAACAGTATGCAGGGAAGATGGGTATGGGTATGAACCTGGGATTATAGATGACACAAAAAAAATGGTAGAAAGTTAATGACATGGTTTGAATCTGTGTCCCCACCAAATCTCATGTCAAATTGTAGTCCCAAGTGTTGGAGGTGGGGCCTGATGGGAGGTGGTTGAATCGGGGGCAGACTCTCATGAATGGTTTAGCACCATCCCCTTGGTGCTGTGCTCATGATGGTGAGTGAGTTCTCAAGAGATATGGTTGTTTAAAGAACGTGTGGCACCGCCCCCCTGCTCTCTCTTACTCCTGCTCTGGCCATGTAAGATGTGCCTTGCTTCTTCTTTGCCTTCTGCCATGATTGGCAGCTTCCTTAGGCCTCCCCGGAAGCAGAAGCCACTTTGCTTCCTGTAGAGCCTGCAGAACCATGAGCCAATTAAAACTCTTTTCCTTATAGATTACCCAGTCTCTGGTATTTCTTTATAGCAGTGCAAGAACAGACTAATAGAGAAAATTGGTACTGAAGAGTGGGGGCATTGCTGTAAAGATAAATAAAAATGTGGAAGCAGCTTTGAGACTGGGTAATAGGCAGAAGTTGGAAGAGTTTGGAGAGCTCAAAAGAAGACAGATGGATGAAGGAAAATTTGGAACATCCTAGAGACTTGAATGGTGGTGACCAAAATGCTGGTAGTAATATGGAAAATGAAGACTAGGCTGATGAGGTCTCAGAAGGAAATGAGTATCTTATTGGGAACTGGAGCAAAGGTCACTTTTACTATGTCTTAAGCAAGGCAACTGGCTGCATTGTGCCCCTGCCCTGTGAAACTCTGAACTTAAAGAGTGATGATTTAGGTATCTGGTGGAAGAAATTTCTAAGCAGCAAGGTGTTCAAGATGTAGCCTGGCTGCTTCTAAAAACCTATGCTTATATGTGTGAGCAAAGAAATGATGTGAAACTTGAACTTACATTTAAAAGGAAAACAGACCATAAAAGTTTGAAAAATTTGCAGCCTGGCCATGTGGTAGAAAAGAAAAGCCCATTTTTAGGGGAGGAATTCAAGCAGGTTGCAGATATTTGCATAAGTAAAAAGGAGCCAAGTGCAAATAGCCAAGTCAATGAAAAGCCCCATTGTCAAAGGCATTTCAGAGACCATCTAGCAACCCCTCCCATCACAGGCCCAGAGGCCTAGGATGACATAATGGTTTTTGTGAGCCAGGCCCAGGCCACCTCTTCCCTGAACAGCCTTGGGACACTGCTCCCTATGTCCCAGTCACTCCAGCTCCAGCTATGGCTCAAAGAGGCCAAGGTACAGCTCGGGCTGCTGCTTCAGAGGGTGCAAGCCATAAGCCTTGGTGGCTTCCATGTGGTGTTAACCCCACCCCTACTAAAAATACAAAAAATTGGCCAGGCATGGTGGCAGGTGCCTGTAGTCCCAGCTACTCGGGAGGCTGAGGCAGGAGAATGGCATGAACCCAGGAGGCAGAGCTTGCAGTGAGCCGAGATTGCACCACTGCACTCCAGCCTGGGCGACAGAGCGAGACTCTGTCTCAAAAAAAAAAAATAGATGAGTATGAATATTCTTAGACTCAGGGTATAAGTTGAGTGCTGACTGGGGACTAACAAACCTAGCAGTCCACCCCTGTGGTATTCGATTCAATCCAATAAATCTTCACTTAGGTGCGGGGACTGAGGGGGTTATCAAATTGCCAATTGATTTAGGGCTTCAAATAAATTGATGTATTAGGCATGATTTCTAGTTTTATTTATTTAAAAAAGGAGCAAGGATTTAATGACAGAAGTCAAACCCAAGTAAAGGATCATTCTAAATTTTTCTGCTCATCCCCCCAAACCTTTTTAGTTTTGTCCACACTTAAAAAAAAAAGTAGTATTAGCAACTTACTCTTACTCTCTCCAATGCATTTGACTTAATTTTCATAAACAGTTATATGTATTACAATATAGGTTTTCCTATCATATCAAATGTCAAAGCAACAGTGGTCTAAACAAGAGAGCAGTTCATTTCTCCCTTATGTCACAGCAGAGCATAGAAGTCCCAGGCTGATATGGGACATCCATAATGTTGGAGACCCAGGCCCTTTCCATCTCATTGCTCAGACACTGTCAAATCACACTGCCACCCCATGGACCTTGCCCCATCCACATTGCCACCAGCAGGAAGGGGTAAAAAGAAGCTGAGATAATTCCCCTTTCTCTTTAAAGTCATGGCCTGCAAGTTGCCTGTGCAACTTCCATTCACCTCCCACTGGCTGGAACATAGAAACATGGCCATGCCTACCTGCAAGAGAGCCTAGGAAACATAGTTCAATTGCTGGTGGCCACCACCCAGCTGAAACTCAGAATTCCATTACCCAAAAAAGAAAGGGAAGCTGGGTATTTGGAAACAACCAACAGAATCTGCCACAACAATTCTCTTTTTGATACCTTATTTCATCAGTTTACATAATTTTATGCAATTACAATGGAAACAACGGGCACAAAGAGATTTGAGAATAAACACAACTGACTCAGCAAGCACACAACTCAAATGGTAGAAGCCATTAGACACTAAAGGGCCAGATAGTAGATATTTTTGGCTTTGTTGGCTATACAACTCTGCCACTGTAGCAAAAAGGCAGCCATAGACAATATGAAAATGAAATAACATGGCTGTGATCCAATAAAACTTCATATACAAAATCAGGCTGCAGGGTGGATTTGGGCCCAGGCACAGGAGTCTGCTAGTTCAGGGTGTCATAGGTTCAGACACATGGCTATACAAAGGTGATGAAAATCACCAATTCTGCAAGCTACTAGGAACTATTAAGAGAGCTTCTACTCTAATAGAACCTCCCATTTATTGAGCACACACCAAGTGCTAGGCATGACATTAGGAGCTTTATTATTATCTCTAATCCTCACAACACTCTGACGAGGTGGGTAAAATGCCTCCATTTTCCAGATAAGAAAGCAGACACAGCTAAGAAGAGGCGACCAGGATCAGAACCCAGTCTCCAGCTTCAATCCACCAGCCTCCAAAGCCCGTTCTCTTCCAGATGAAACAAGTTCTTCTACGGAAGTTGGATGAAAAATTGTCCTTTGGCTAACAATAAGTGAAATAAGTGCACACAATTTCTTGTCACACTACCGGCAAAGCTGCTATGTCAGATTGGACATGTAAAGTATTACAATGACAAAGGCTTTCCTCTGATCTTAAAATATCCCCTGCCTAGCAGTTAACCTGGGCTTTAGCAGGGAGGCACCTAACCTTCAGATTTTCCTGGGTAAAGTCGCCAAGGTCATAAGCTTTACAACATTGGTAACTAACAGGGGTCGGGGGCAGATAAAACTCAAGGTCACATCAACATCACTGACCACTTATAAGGTCTTTGAAAGTTTATCTAAATAAAGAGAAAGATTATCACCCTCTGTCCTCATCTCGGGATAGGCATGTAACATTCCACCATTGCCATGCATGGCAGACCACACTAATGTGTCACAGCACTCTTTCCAGAAATTTCCCAACAAGGCCTCATGATCCTATTAGAGCTCCAGGCACCATTTGCAGTTTATAGGAGTTGGCATGAGAGAATGAAGTCATCAAACCCTCAACACTTGCCTTATGGGACACAACAGCTTCCAATTTTCCCCTCTCCTATGCCCAAAAAAGAGGGTTATCAGTTACCTCCTTTATCATCAGTGCCAATGTTTGTTGTACCTTAGTTTATTGAGCAAATCTCTTCTTGTTTCAGCAAGCAAGTCAATTCATTCTAGGTTTATAATTTCTCTATGCATTCATTTTATAATGAAGTCTATCTCAAAGTCTTCCTGAGCACAAACAACTATGTTTCCAAAAGGAAGTTTTCACAATATTTCGGAATGGAGAAACTATGACTACAGTCATGCATCATTTACCAATGGGGATATGTTCTAAGAAATGTATCATTAGGCTATTCTGTCATTGTGTGAACACCACAGAGTGTACTTACACAAACCTGGATGGGATAGTCTACTACGTACCGAGGCTATAGGGTACAACCTATTGCTTCTAGGCTACAAACCTGTACAGCACTCTACTGTACTGAATACTGCAGGCAATTTTAACACAATGGTAAGTATCTGTGCATCTAAACATAGAAAAGGTACAATAAAAATACAGAATAAAAGATTTTTAAAAAATGGGGCCAGGCACAGTAGCTCACGCCTGTAATCCCAATACTTTGGGAAGTCGAGGCGGATGGATTGTTTGAGCTCAGGAGTTCAACACCAGCCTGGGCAACATGGCAAAACCCAATCTCTACAAAAAATACAAAGATTAGCCGGCATGGTGGTGCATGCCTGTAGTTGCAGCTACTCAGGGGGCTGAGGCAGGAGGATCACTTGAGCCCAGGAGGTCGAGGCTGCAGTGAGCCAAGATCGTGCCACTGCACTCCAGCCTGGGCAACACAGAGAGACCCTGTCTCAAAAAAAGAGAAAAACAATGGTGCATCCATATAGTGTACTTACCCTGGATGGAGCTTGTAGGACTGGAACTTTCTCTGGGTGAGTCAGTGAGCAATGAGTGAATGTGAAGGCCTAGGACATTACTGTGCACTACTGTAGACTTTACAAACCCTGTACACTTATTGAGTTAAATTCTTTAAATTTTTCTTTAATAATTCTCTTAGCTTACTGTAACTTTTTTACTTAATAAACTTTTCCATTTTTTTAAAGTTTTTGACTCTTGTAATAACGCTTACCCTAAAACACACATTGTATAGCTCTACAAAATTTTTTTCTTTTTATCTTTGTTTTATAAGCTTTTTACTATTTTTAATTTTTGATTTTTTTTTTTTACTTTTTAAAATTTTTTGTTAAAAACTAAGACACAAACACACACATTAGCCTTGGCCTACCCAGGGACAGGATGATGAAGACATCACCAGGCAACAGGGACTTTTCCACTCCAGTATAATTTCATGGGACCACTGTCACATATGCAGCCATGTCCTTATGCGGCGTATGACTGTATTTAGAATTAACATTTCGTTTACTTCAATCATGGAGTGTCTATCCCAGTTACTTTTGAGGGAAAGTTATCCACCACTAATGTTATAAGCTACTCCAGAAACATATATGTGCCATATAATTTGCGATTCCTGGAGAGAATGTTCTAAGCAGTAGAAACTAGTAATTTCTAAGAAACATAAACACATTCATAACCCCCTTACCTTATGTAAAATAGAGTTTATAATTTTTAGAGGTATCATTTTAAGATTCTGCACCAATAGATGGCTTTGTTTTCTTTTCAAAATGAAGCACTTGCTTACAATTCAACCAAACTATCACCAGGCGATGTCACTTCGAGTCAGAGTAATATTTGTGCACAGCTCCTCCTGTTTTGTTTATATGGCTAGCAAGGCGGCCATTCCTGATGGTAATTACCATGCGACACTCATTCACCACCACCACCATCATGTGTGGGTGTCTGCCCACCTCTGGCAGTGCCAGGCTTCACCAGTGAAACACTTGCATGTTGGGGACATAGCAACCCTTCATAAATCACTGCTACTGTGAGAGAACATTCTGGGCTTCGACCCTTTCCCTCAACTGTTCCCATATCAGGCATTCACAACTGCAATCCTCCCTTCCAAAGCAAAGAATCTGCAGTCTGGTAATGCCTCCCTGCACCCCACTGACACAACTAAGGGCCACAGAGCAACATCTTTTATACTCTCCATGGTATTTACCCAGCAGATAACAATTACACCTAGGGCAGGCCAACTCTGCAAAAATGAGGCTGAAGCAGGACAGAGGTTGTGGCCTGGCCTGAAAGACCATGGGAGCCTCCCTTTAAGACCGTCATTTCTTCTGTCTCCCTAATAAGAGGGTGAGCTTGTCCATACGAAGTGGAGCAACACAACTGTCCTCTTGACATATGCACAGAGCCTATGGGCTTCTCCCAGGGACAGCTGGAACATTCCCTACACCACCGTTGCCCAACTTCTGCCTCAGGATGCTTTGTGACCTAGATGAATTGTAATGCATTGCTACATCCAGGTTTTGCCGCATGCCTTTATCAATTTGGGATTCAGAGACAGCAGGTGCCATGGTTTTAAGAAGGCAGTTTACTGGTGTGGCGGTACAAGGAGAGCAAAGAGAGAGATGAGAGAATGGGTGAATGAGAGACTGTGAGGCTAAAGAACCTGAAGGGAAGAAGAAGAATAATGTCATGTGGAAGAAGACCATACAGGAGTGCATTCCAGAGGGTTCTACACACTTGCTAGAGGAGAGCTGAAATTTTAGCTCCAAACCTCCAAATGGCTCAATCAGAAATGGAAATAGGACCAGTCAGAAGATTCAGAGTGCTCAAAAGACTAAAGCAAACCAGCTGCACAAAAGACATATGGATGTCCTGAGCCTGAAATTCTCCGTGTGGGTACTCATCTCTCTATAAGATGCACTGGGCAGACATCCTTGCTTTCCCCCTAAAGAGTAAATACTTTCACTCGGCACAGTCCATGGCATAATATCAATGTTCACGCGCGTTAAAGCAATCCTAGGAAGGGTCAAAACAAGCTGAACAAACCACAAAGAGCCCACAGATCCTCTAGACCAGACTAACCAGGAATGCACTCCGGAGCTGTTTAGGGAGCTGGAGCTTCTCCTGAAAAGGGGCCCCAGGTAACTTTGCACACCCCCTAGAGGAGACTACCACCTAGAGAGAGTGGGTAGACCACACGTTAAGGACCTGCCCTATATATTATGTCTGGCAATCAGGATTTTCTCTAGGGGTAAACCACAGATGGTTTGAGGTGTTTCCATTCAGTGTGACCTATTTTGTATTGCTTAAGGAAATGTATAACTTATGTATACATTTATTATTGTTAACAACTACTTTTGAGGACTTAACAATGAGCCATTCACTAAAGTGAATATTTAACATGGCTTACCATATTTAATCTATAAAACAAACCTATAAAGTAGGTATTATTATGCCCATTTTGCTGATGACAAAATGAAATTCAGAGAGATTAAGTAGCTTACCCCAGGTCACCCAGCTAGTACCTGGTTAAGGCTGGGATTTGCAGCCAGGAGTAAAACCAGCATTGCATGGTTCTAAAACCCATGCTCACAGTCACCCAGCAGAATGGTTAAAATGGTTAAAATCGTTCAGTGTTTACACTTTAAAATGCAAGTTTCAATTAACTGGAAAGTGATTCCATGTAGAAGAGCTATTTATCAAGCGACTACGCATCATTCTGTTAGGGAGAGAGTTCATTGGCCTGCAATTTTTATTTATTTTTTTATTTTTATTTATTTATTTATTTTTGACACAAAGTTGCTCTCTGTTGCCTAGGCTGGAGTGCAGTGGTATGATCTCGGCTCACTGCAACCTCCGCCTCCCAGGTTCAGGCAATTCTTCTGCCTCAGCCTCCCAAGTATCTGGGACTACAGGCATGTACCACCATGCCCAGCTAATTTTTTTGTATTTTCAGTAGAGACAAGGTTTCACCATGTTGGTCAGGCTGGTTTTGAACTCCTGACCTCAAATGATCCACCTGCCTCGGCCCCCCAAAATGCTGGGATTACAGGCATGAGCCACCACGCCCAGCCTGGCCTGCATTTTTTTAAGAGCACAAGAGAGCACCAGATGGCAAGTACTACCAGAGATATCCTTTCCACTAACAACTGATAAAATTTTATAACTATAAATATTAATTAAGTAAGCTTTTTTTTTTTTTTTGAGATGGAGTCTCACTCTGTTGCCCAGGCTGGAGTGTAGTGGCGTGATCTCGGCTCACTGCAAGCTCCGCCTCCTGGGTTCACACCATTCTCCTGCCTCAGCCTCCCAAGTAGCTGGGACTACAGGCGCCCGCCACCACGCCTGGCTCATTTTTTGTGTATTTTTAGTAGAGACGGGGTTTCAACATGTTAGCCAGGATGGTCTCGATCTCCTGATCTCGTGATTCACCCACCTCGGCCTCCCAAAGTGCTGGGATTACAGGCGTGAGCCACCATGCCCAGCCTAAGTAAGCATTTTTTTTCTCTTTCAGTTAGTTGTAAATTAAAGCCCAATTTGTTTGACATTCTTCCCAAGGGAAAGTTTGCTCTATGTCCCCTACCCTCTAATCATGGCTCCTGGGCTGCCTGACCAATTGAATATGGTGGGACTGATGCTGTCCCAGCTTCTGGGCCCAGGCCTTAAGGAACAGGCAATAATAAACGTGGGTCAATCCAAAGGATAGGATATTTTTGCAGGCATTTAAAAATGCTTCCAAAATGTCTAGATGCCACTGAGAAATGCTGCTGCGAGAAAAAAGCAGCAGACAAAATTGTACATATGAGATACTTATTATAACTCTGCCAAGAAAATATATCCAGGAAGAACTAGAAGACAGTATAACAGTATTTTTTCGAGGCATTAAGATTACAGTTGATCTGTTCGCCATTATATTTTTCCCCCATACTATTTTTATCTTCCCAAATGAACAGCTATAACATCCTTTAGTGGGAAAATTCTTTAAAGAGACGTTGTTTTTAAAATATATGAATAGTAGTGTACCAGACTTGCCCTCAGGCAAGACTTCATGCCCACATAGTTTCTGCAGGACCCAGATTAGCCCACTGTGGAGAAGCAGCAAGACGCTCTAATGGATTTAGACACAGATTTGCCATAAAGAGAGAAGAGGCTGGGAATAAGGGTAAGCCCACACAATTAGGCTTTTGTCCTGTCAGTCACCAAGGACAGACCCTCCCCATGGCCAACCATAGCAGCTGCAGCCCTCCTTGGGCATGGTAAACCAGAGACACCTTCATCACATTTTACAAACAGCAGCAAAGAATTAGTCACTCTGTGTTTATAAAACAGAAATCAGCTTTCACAGGGGCGTGATTACAGGAAGCTCACTGGGGCACTGAAAAGGTTTAGGAAGCATACCACTTATTAACTGGTGATTCAGATATCTCACGCAAAACAAACTCAACAAACTCTCTTGCATCAAAAAGATTGCATTGTTCTACATGTTCTTAATCAATTTTAAATATTAGCCCAGCTGGGACAAAATAGGATTTCAAAAGTGGTAAACATTTTCCATATCTAAGAGACATTTTCCATGACTATGGTAGAAGAGTAGAAGAAAAATAAATAATTCCATAGACCAAGCGCAGTGGCTCACACCTGTAATCCCAACACTTTGGGAGCCCGAGGCGGGTGGATCACGAGGTCAGGAGTTCAAGACCAGCCTGACCAAGATGGTGAAACCCCATCTCTACTAAAAATACCAAAAAATTAGCTGGGCGTGGTGGCAGGCGCCTGTAATCACAGCTACTCAGGAGGCTGAGGCAGAGAACTGCTTGAACCCGGGAGGCAGAGTTTGCAGTGAGTCAAGATCACTGCACTCCAGCCTGGGCGACAGAGCAAGACTCCATCTCAAAAAAAAAAAAAAAAGAAAGAAAGAAAGAAAAGAAAACTAAATAATTCCTTCCACAAACTTTTATTGAATGTCTATTATACCTTAGGAATATATAAATGAAGGAGCCACAGCACAGTTAGAATTAAATGCTCACTCTTATCTTGGCCCACAATCAATGGTATATTGGGACTGACCTCTGCAGGCTCAGGAGAGCCAATATTTTGATTCTCTTTCCAGCTTCACTTTTTTTTTCATTTTAATTTTTATTTTAAGTCCCAGGGTACATGTGCAGGATGTGCAGGTTTGTTACATAGGTAAAGGTGTGCCATGATGGTCTGCTACACCTATCAACCCATCACCTAGGTATTAAGCCCAGCATGCATTAGTTATTTTTCCTAATGCTCTCCCTCCCCCCAACCCATCCCCAACAGGCCCCAGTATTGTTGTTCCCCTCCGTGTGTCCACGTGTTCTCACTGTTCGGCTCCCACTTGTAAGTGAGAACATGCAGCGTTTGGTTTTCTGTTCCTGCATTAGTTCGCCGAGGATAACGGCTTCCAGCTCCATCCATGTCCCTGCAAAGGACACAGTCTCATTTCTTTTTATGGCTGCATAGCATTCCATGGTGTATATGTACCACATTTTCTTTATCCAGTCTATCGTTGATGGGCATTTGGGTTGATTCCATGTCTTTGCTATTGTGAATAGTTCCAGCTCCACTTTTAGTGACCTCAAGTGGTGATGTGAAATCAACCACAGTGGGAGTATTTACACTACAGGAATCAGCAAATGCTAAAGATCAGGTTTTCTCTACCACATAGAGCAGATTCCATGACATTCACCATCACACCGCTGCCTACCTGGCCCAGTGAAGGACTCCTATGTACCTCTCCCACTTCAGCCACTCTCTCCTTTCTCCTTGGGTGTCAACCCTACTGACCTTTCTGCGCCCACACTGCCCTCCTAAATGCTAAACACACCCGGGGTATCGCCAGCACATAACAGCCATATATGTACGTATCTAACTGCACAGGCTCCTCAGGAGTCAGCCACTTGCCTTCAAATCGCAACTCCCTCACTTCACGGCTGTGTGAACTTTGTTTACTTCAGCTCTCTGTACCTGTTTCAAAACCAAAGGCCACATACGACCTTTTCAAACATACAAAAGTTGACATACGCTGGCTCACAGGAATCCCAACGGCACCCTGGTCAGGCTCCTGTGCCAGGCTTTTCTCCTCCTCACCCGATTTTTTAAAGAAATGGTAGTATCAACAATAGGCTTTGTCAACAATGTAAAATTAAGCCTAAAATCTGGCTAATCTGAATTATTAAAACATCTGGATTGCAGAATATATTTAAGTCAATTTCTTTTAAACTTCCAAGAATAAAATTTAGTGCAATTACGAATGACGTTTCGGCTTTAAAAGTGCTTTGGTGATCTTAAATACAATCACCTTCGTGCATCCGGAACACAAATGTACGGCAGCCCTACCGCTCCGGAGTCCAGCGATCACAAAAGGCCTGTGAGGACGCAAAACTGGTATTACTAAATTCCAGTTGTACGGACTCAGTGGCCTTTGCAGACAAACTTTTCAGTCCTTACTATATGACAAGTCCAGTAGGATGTTTCACAGGGGCCTGGATTAGCAGGTGACATTCTGCTGTTAATCCCCTCCCCCAGCCTGCACGCCAGGTACTCTCCCACACGACCATTTTAAGTTTCATTTCCTCAGCCCCTATTATCTGAAATACTCTTGCTTACTTTTTTTTCACCTTGGGGTCTGTCTCCACACCTGGGCTGTGTGCTCCGTGACAGCAGGGGCCTGACATCACCCTAGCTCCTGGCACCGCAGCTGGCTGACATTGGGAGCGCCATAAAGCCCTACCAAGTGAAGCAATGAACATGTGAACACAATTATCCGGAAGTTATCTGGAAAGCGCTTCCACAAGAAGATGCATGAAGAGCTCCGTCTTGGTGCCTAGGGTCCCTCTCCCTTCAGGACAGCTGGAACAGGGACCGTCCCCCTTTCCACACCCCTCAGCCCAGGCTGCTTGCTGAAGGCGTCAGAGGCCCTCCCAGGCCCCGGCTCCAAGGTGGGGCCAAGGAACCACTGCAGAGCCAGGCCTCTGGCCAGGGTACACGTTTCCTCCTATTTCTTGACCCTGTCTGCTATCCTAGTCGCTGCCCCCATTGTTCTTTCCTTCTTCTCTGGCCCCTGAGGCTCCCTGTTTGGGCTTCTGCCTTCCTCGCCTGCTTCAGAGTGGCATTCAGGCTCACCCTCTCCCCTCGTCTCTTGACCTTGGAAAAGGGCATGGAGTCTCCAGAGGCTCCTACTAATACCACGTATGGCTGACATAAGATAAACCACAAGGAGGGGGGTCTCTCCTGGACCTGCCCCCTCTCAGGCCGTTGGTTCACCAAGTCCATTTGGTGAATATCAAATGGTGCCTCGGGGCCATCAGACCAGGGCACGCATGGCAGTCTGCCCTGGATGCCTGGGCCCTACACCTGGATACACTTATGAAGCTGCGGAGCATTTGGCTTCCACTGATTTTTTTAAAAACAAAACTGAGATTTAGCTCACTGATGGTTCCAGAGCAATCTAGGACACCAAGTGCCAAAATGGAACTGAAGTCACATGAAAAAGCCTCAGTGTGAGACTCAACTAGAACCTGCTGCAATCAAGCTCTAAGAATGTACTTTGTAAGTAGATAAACAACTTCCAACAGTTATTTCTCTTTCAGACAAGGCACCCAAAGACTTGTCCAATGGCATTTCATCTCGAAGGTAGCAAGAGTCAAATTCCTGTTCCATTGCAATCTTTTTGTTTTTTTGTTTTTTTTTTTTTTGAGACAGGGTCTTACTCTGTCACCCAGGTTGGAGTACAGTGGGCTGATCACAGCTCACTGCAATCTCCACCTCCCGGGCTCAGGTGATCCACCTCAGCACCCCTGGCTGGTCTCAAACCCTTGGACCCAAGGGATCCTCCTGCCTTGGCCTTCCAAAGTGCTGGGATTACAGGTGTGAGCCACGGCACCAGGCCAGTTGTAATCTTTTATTTCTAGCCTAGCTCTAAACTTTCTCCCTGTCTGGGATGCCCCTTCTTTCTGCACAGATAGGGAAAAAACAAATGTATGAAGTAAGACAAAGTATACTGCATAGAAAACCACCAATGGGTAAAAGCTTAAAGTTATCAAAATTAAAACTACAGGTAGTAGGGGGAGGTGGCACAGGAATATGCTACCTCAAAGGACGGGGAGTCTCTCATTTTCAATCCAATATATTACTAATCCTTGGTAATAATAATCATTATATGTGTGTATAATATATGGTTATGTGAATGTATAGCTATATAATATCTATACACTCCTATCTGGTTACGCCTTGTTAACCAGTAAAGCATTCTTAGAAAAAAATTCTTATGTTTGTTCAGTATATATCACAAACTGTTGGTTCAAAATATTTATCAATAATTACTACTTAATTGTGAAAATATTGCATTTCATTAAAGCAACCCTAATCACATTTCTGCCAAATCTCTCCCTTCTTTCAACCTCTAAAATGAGTAGGCCCCATAAATATGTACTGCACATATCAAATAGCTTATCAATACATTTCATTCTACAAGTATGTATTAAAAATGCCTGTTCTGTGAAAATTCTATGAAGAGAGCTGGTGGGAGTGCCTAGGTGCCAAGAGGAAAATAAAAGTCCTGCTTCCAGAAATGTTAAAATGTCATGAAGGGGATACATACGAGTAAATCAACCCATGATCTCAAAACTGAACCTGACATTTACACTTTTCTGGAAATGTTTTCTTAACCAGCTAGTTAACCCATATCCCACTCTAAGCATTTCTGTAAATGTCATCTTCAAGTACTTGGTTTACTGTGTCATTTTATGTAGAAAGTTGTTTCATTGTTCAATTAAATGTCAACATAATGTTGATGTACTAGGAAGGAACTTGTAAGAAAATGGAAACTAGAAAACTAGAGAAAAGTAGCTTTTACAGACTCTACTACAACTGATTATAATTACCACACACACAAACATGCCCCATATACCCATGGCTGAAAGGGGATGCTTGTCTTTAATACAATGACAAAAATATATTTTGGTGCCCTTGTTCCTAGAGAGTTACCAGTTTCCACTTTCTTTGGCAAGAAAATTGTCCAACTCCTTTTCTTGTTTAATAATGTTCTGTCTACTTCATATCCAAATTTCAATGGCCCCAATTAGAATTCCAATGAAGGCATCTAACTGACTCATACAAAAGTTGTTCACAGCAATGGGGCTAAAATGCAGACTTTCACTCTGGGCACAATTATGCTCATATGAGCAGGAATTAATTGTCTGCTTCCTTTCTGTACTCTTGATCTCCCCCTTCTCAGAGTTAGATATTAATATAAACAGTGATACAATTAATGTACTCCCTGTAAAGGGAACCCAAGTAATCACATTTTCAACAATAGGAACTGTGGTTTTAAAAAGTTTTACAATATCAAAATGGTATATTGGTCCAATGTTTAAACTGTGGAAATGCTTAACAAATCTTTAAAATGCAATAGGTTTTTAAAAATGTTCAATAGCTTAGATTTCCAACAACTATCATCTAATGTTAAAAACTCAACATTAAAACATTCAAGTAGATTCTACATTATGTGCTGGGAAACACTTTTTTAAAAAATTTCAGGCCATCACTTTCTGATTCAAGAAAAGCACTTATTGGCATAAGTTTTTAAGAGGACATTAAGTTATTTGCCTCTCTTGAGTGAGTTCGTGCCAAAGAAAATTATGTTTCCTGGAATTAAAGGACTGCATTCTTCATATTTTTACATTTTAAACTCCTTTTTAAATTAGTCATAATATTTTTAAAAAGATAACTAGCCAGTGAAACAGACTGAAGAATAAGTACGTACGTATATATCACAATTACCTTTTGCCTGGTCCAAAGTCTTCACCTTCAGGCATTTCTGCCCTTTAAAAATAATAACAGTGGCAAAGGCTGCAGCACCTGCTAACCACGGCTAATGTGGCCAAACAATAGTTTCTTTTCTACTCTAATGCTGAATATCAGGAGGAAAAAAACCCAGTAGAGACGTTCTTTCCTTTTTGGAAAAAAAGTGCTCCTCCCTTACTCAGAAAGTTGGTGTTTACAAACTTCCAAAGCGCCTGCCTCCCTTGAATGAAGCTAGGAGCTGGGTTATTATCACTGCCCCCTTCTAAAAATAAATAGGTCACCTCTTACTCCCAGTACTGTGACAGGCGGCTGGAAGTGAGCCCTGCCCAGCTGCCCCGCATTCTCTCTCCAGTCCTGTGAGAAGGTGTCCCCGCTCAGCCAGTAACCTTCATTGGATGACTTCACCTAGGCCCGCCTGCCCTTTTTCTTCCCCCGGCTTTTTTTTTTTTTTTTCTGGCATGACTAGGCACCCACCTAAGGGTGGAGTGGCCACAGGAGGTTGAAACATCACCCTGGGCTATCAAATCTCCTCCTTCAAGTCACAGGAGGGAGTTGGAGAGCAGACAGCAAAACAGGCTGTACCTGTGAGGGTTGGGGGTTTTGTTTGGAGAACGCCTAGCCACTCGGCAAAAAGATCCCTTACTCAAAAAGGTTTAAAACAAAAGCCATTATGCAATGGGGTTTTGAGGGATATTGCTTTGCAAGAAAATCTTTTCGGGTCATCTAGATTTCTCAACTCACCGGAAGCATGCACACGAATGTTGAGTTCACGTGTTCATCTGGGCAAAACGCTTTCTCCCCAGGACTTCCCTGTCCTTAGGGGCAGCCTGACACTGGCACAGGAAGGATTGTGGGTCTGGATGTTTTCATAGTTTGGCTTGTCACTGAAGAGAGCCATCCCTCATTTGCTTTTTTAAAAGAGTACGACAAAAATCCCTTCAAATCTTGCTCTCAAAAAGGCCAGAAGAAATATTACTGAGATTTCTTTAGGAATATATCCTGAAAGCTTTGGACAAAAAGTTGAAGCCATTTTTTTTTTCTTGACTAGGAATGTTAGGGATGGCAGAAAGTAAGATCTGCTTATTAAGAAACAATATTATTTTCAAAATGTGTTGCCAGGTGCTGTGGCTCACGCCTGTAATCCTAGCACTGTGGGAAGCTGAGGTAGGAGGATCATTTGAGCCCAGGAGTTCAAGACCAGCCTGGGCAACACAATGAGACCCCATCTCTACCAAAAATAAAATTAGCCGGGCCTGATGGGATGCTCCTGTGGTCCCAGAAACTTGGGAGGCTGGAGTGAGAGAATTGCTTGAGCCCCAGAGGTGGAGGCTGCAGTGAGCCAAGATCGTGCCACTGCACTCCAGCCTGGGTGACAGAGCAAGACCCTGTTTCTTTAAAAAGCTAATAATAAAATAAATTTTAAAAATAAAAAAATAAAAATCTGTGTATTCTGTTGTTATGTTATAGCTAATCCTAGCATGTTATCTATATTTAATGTATATTTTACCATTTGTATGTGTGAAAGTGACTTTCTACCACATTAAAGAAATGTCAAAACAAATAATATCTGCTTTCTTTTGGATAGTGTTAGTTATTTTGTGATGTATGCATCTCACAATTAACAATTCCTTAAGGCATTTCATATTTTACGCAAGACCTAACATTTTAGACACTTCAAAGTCTAAGATGAACTGGGTGTGGTTACTCAGACACACAACTGAAATACCAGGGACTTGAAAGAAAACAGTCATAGGCTGAGCTCTGAAGGTCGGGGTGTGCGAGAGCCTGTCAGAGGCAGGGCAATGTGCTATACTATTAGAAATTCCAGGTTTTTAAATAACTGAAAAGTTGAAATGCTGAAAATATTATCAATGATAATATTTTGGCACTTGTACAAAATCTTATCGGCTGGGGGTGGTGGCTCACACCTGTAATCCTAGCACTTTGGGAGGCCGAGGCAGGCAGATCACCCGAGGTTAGGAGTTCGAGACCAGCCTGGCCAATATAGTGAAACCCTGTCTCTACTAAAAATACAAAAATTAGCCGAGCGTGGTGACGCATGCCTGTAATCCCAGCTACTCGGGAGGCTGAGGCAGAAGAATCACTTGAGCCTGGGAGGCGGAGGTTGCTGTAAGCCTAGATTGCACCACTGCACTCCAGTCTAGGTGACAGAGTGAGAACCTGTCTCGAAAAAACAACAAGAACAACAACAACAACAAAAAAAAAAAAAAAAAAAAAAAACCTAATCAACACAAAAGGCTAATTCTCTTATCTAACTTTCAGCTCTGATCATTCTAACCCATGAATTTTACCTTTTCTTTCTCCTGAGCTTCTAGCTTACTATTTCTTGCATACCTGAACATAACTGTTGTTGATCTTAGTTGCTGGTTACCACAGAACTGAATATATCCCTGAGACCTGCCTCTTAATTGTAAAGGATGATGAACTGATTTAGTGCTATAACAGATGAATTAGCTATTACCAACAGGAAATATTTACCATTACAGACAGTCCCCAACTTAGGATGGCTCAACTTCACAACTGTTTGACTTTACAGTGGTGCAAAACAATACACTTTCAGCAAAAACTGTGCATCAAATTTTAAATTTTGATCTTTTTCTGGGCTAGCGACATGTGGTGGGGTACTCTCTTATGAAGCTGGGCAGCAGCCAGGAGCCTCAGCTCCCAGTCAGCCCCACGATCAAGAGGGTGGGCAGCCGGTACTCTGCAGTGAACTGTGATGCCAGTTGATTCTACCCAACCATAGGCTGATGTAAGTGTTCTGAGCATGTTTAAGGTAGGCTAGATTACACTTTGATGTTCAGTAGGCTAGATGGATTAAACGTATTTTCAACCTACAATATTTTCAACTTAGGATGGGTTTCTCAGGCTATAACCCCACAGTAGGTCAAGGAGCACCAGTACTTTGTTTTAGCGCCCTGTCATGCATGTTAAAATTGCTTGTTCCAACCATGGAGTCCCCTTTAGGTACATTTGTGGTAATTCCTACAATTCACAGGAACAAGGATGGTGTATTAGTCCAGCCCCGTATTACTATAAAGAAATACCTAAGACTGGGTAATTTATAAAGAAAAGAGGTTTAATTGGCTCATGGATCTGCAGGCTGTACAGGAAGCATGGCTGGCATCTGCTCAGCTTCTGGGGAGGCCTCAGGAAACTTAGAATCATGGTGGAGGGGGAAGGGAGAGCAGGCACATCGCATGGCCAGAGCTGGAGCAAGAGAGAGTATGAAGGGGGGATGGTGGTAACCATTCATGAGAACTCCACCCCCATGATCCCCCATCACCTCCCAGCAGGCCCCACTTTCAACACTGGAGATCACAATTCAGTATGAGATTTAGTGGGGACACAGATCCAAACCCTATCAGAGGGAAAACAAGGACAGTACAGACAACAGATCCCGAGTGTAGCTACACAATCGACAAGTGTCCCCCCACTGAAGGCCTAACATGGCTTCTTCACCCAGATGGCACCTTTCACCCTGCTGGGGACTAAGGTGCTAAGCGTTTCCTCACTGACCTGAAACCTACTAGACATCTAGAACTTAAGGACTCACAGAATTCAGATGTGGGAGAGACCCTGAGTGCCACAGAAGTGATCACCAAGATTTTTAGATGCTGAAACTGTGGAACAGCAAAGTCAGGTGACTTGCGGGTGACAGAGGCAGGAGTCACCTCTCCAGGTCACTATGCCTTGGCTGGGTGTCCTTCCACTCCAGCAGAGCCTACACATGCTGCAGAAGCCCAAGGGACCAGATACCTCCACATTTTAAATTTTCCTGTATATACTCTCTTTCCAAATGTATCTCCATTTAATATTAGTAATATACTTTAAATGGACATTTTTATTCTCCTTTGCAATTTCATCATATAGTATGCCCTAGAAAACCATTGCCACTTCAAAGCTAAACGTTCACCTTTCTTGACACCTTTTTCCCCTTCACATAACCATCAGTCCGAGTTTTTTTTTTTCTATCTCCTCTACAGCTGCTTTGATTAAAGCTCTGGAACTTTCTATCTGAGACACTAGGAGAGACCTTCCCCCTCTTGGATGTCATAGGAAAATATTAGCAATGAATGGCCAAATGCAGATGCCAGCGTGAAGACAGGTTGTCTCTTCATATCCCTTCCCAACTTTAGTACACATGGCCTTCCAAAATTAAAACTACATTTCTCAGACTTGTTGGAGCCAAATGAGGCCTTCTGTGATTGTTCTGATTGAGGAGATGTCAGCAGAAACATCAGGCTGCTCCAGGTGCCAGAAACGGGATTCAAAGTAGACCTCTAGTGATTCCCAGAAACACCGAGAGACCAAGCGAAGGTAACTGCCAGGGCCCACTGTGCCCATTGATCTCTCGCAGCAACTGGGGTCATGGTTGAGTTCTCTCTTGGATTCTGAGCTCTGTGAATTTGCATTTTGGGCTCTCTGAGTATATTTGAGCACTTTGTTTGGAGCAGATTGGTTCAGAAGTCATGACAGAAATAGGGCTGGGTCTGTAGGAAGGCCTCAGGTGTCTGACTGGGTCAAATTAGAAACTGGACTGGGTTCAGTAGCTAGGTAAGATTACCAGAAGACAGGGAATCATGGGCTCATCTGGCTCTGAGGATTCTAGAACTCAACCATCTAGAACTCCAGCCAATTTCATGTAAAAGAACTTTGGATCCAGAACCTGTGCTTTTCTAAATAAATGTTGTGACCCTTAGCAAAGGCAACATAGAGTTACAGCAGCCACAGTGGGGAAACTCCTTACAAAAGGCAAATGGACACATGTCTTTAGAGCCGCAACAGCTACAGGGACCAAGGGGACCTCCTTGCACACGTTTTAAACCAAAATCAAGGAGTCCCAAACTCAAGAACTCCATGCCCCAATATGTGCCTTTATTTAAATGGCCAGGCCACTGGAAAAGACATTGTCCATTTTTACACCAGCCATCCGATGGACCGGCTCTTTTTGGTTTGGACTGTTTCTCCACTAGAGGAAGCCCCAAAGCCTCACTCTTAAGACAATAATCAACCAGTCTCTCAGACAGAAGAAAGAATATCTCCATGGTGGGCATTTCAAGTCAAGTCTATATCCTCATATCTGAACCTATCTGCCACTTGGGCCATTTTCAGAAAAACATTTGCAAGAATGAGTCCTGTTTTCTCTGTTCGATGCTCCTTCTCCCACGGGAGCCTCTCAGTTGACTGAAACCCCTGTTCTCAAACCCCTGACTCTGTGCCCTGCCACCTCTGTCCACTTCTTCCTTGTCATGATCTTTGATGAGACAAATTATTTTACGCTGACTGGTAACTCTATTCTGACAGCACTTTCTTTTTTTAAAAATTCATATTGTGTTTAATATCTAGGACAGACTAAACATATAATTTAAATTAACTTCAAAACATAATTTTAAATATGATTAACATTGATCTTTTTAAGATATGCCTGAATTAAATTTGGTCAAAACACAAAAATTATTTATATACTGCTATTAAGGAATTTGTCACTCTCATTCTGAGTTAAAACTTAATTTAAAAGCTGGGTTTGGGGAGAGGAGATCATGGGTGCTTTTGCTTGATTTATGGGGAGGAGATGAATAACCTAGAGCTCAAGGCTCTCTAGGAGCCATCTCCCTCCCACATTCTTATTTTTAACCTAGAAGGAATGAAGTGTTGAACCTTCTGCAAATACGGGAGAGCCCAAAGGTCCTGTTTTCTACTTGTGGGATCTGTAACCAGAAATTTGGCCCAAAGAAGGCCTGCTGGTTCTCAGCACCACCTCACGCCACCTGCGTGAGGTTGGTACAGATATTTTCATTTTGGAATTTGTATTTTTGCCTTGTTTCACTTGTATCTTCAGTATATTCCGTGTTATTTTTCCATTCATTAGATATTTAATGTTTCTATCTTATTTTGAAATGTTTTAGCTTAATTTTTTTATTTCAATAGTTTTTAGGGAACAAGTGGTATTTGGTTACATGGATAAGTTCTTTAGTGGTGATTTCTGAGATTTTGGGATACCCATCACCTGAGCAGTTTATACGGTACCCAGTGTGCAGTCTTTTATCCCTCACCTCCCTCCCACCATTCCCCCCAAGTCCCCAAAGTCCACTGTATCATTCCTATGCCTCTGCGTCCTCATAGCTTAGCTCCCACTTATAAGTGAGAACATATGATGTTTAGTTTTCCATTCCTGAGTTACTTCACGTAGAATAACGGTCTCCAACTCCATCCAGGTTGCTGCGAATGCCATTATTTCATTCCTTTTTATAGCTGAGTAGTATTCCATGGCATGCATATATATATATAATATATATTATATAAATATATGTGCATATATATTATATATGTGTATATATATTATATATATATATAAAATTTTCTTTATCCACTCATTGATTGATGGGCATTTGGGTTGGTTCCACATTTTTGCAATTGTGACTTATGCTGCTATAAACATGCATATGCAATTGTCTTTTTCATATAATAGCTTCTTTTCCTCTGGGTAGACACCCAGTAGTGGGATTGCTGGATCAAATGATAGTTCTACTTTTTGTTCTTTCAGGAATCTCCACACTGTTTTCCATAGTGGTTGTACTACTTTACATTCCCACCAGCAGTGTAAAAGGGTTCCTGGAACCTGGAAGCCCCACAAGTATCTCCAAGAAACAAGTGCAAAGAATCCATCACCTTTCTGAAACTTGCTCCTCCTTTATCCTTGTCTATTTCTTCTCTTAAAGAAACATAATAAATACTTTATGTCATTCTCATAATCTCCTTATTCCAATCTGTTTTCTTCATATAACTTGGCAATATCTCAATTTATCTATTTTTGGCCTGAGAATTTTTTTAGTTTTAATCCTTATACGTTTCACATTATAGAACTGTATACATAAAAACACTAACACAACTGGGGGAGACAAAGGTTTGCAGATCAAGATAAATGATTTCTAGCAATAACTCACTTGTCAGGAGGTCACAAACATGACAACTGCAGTTAAGGATCAGGAAGTAAGTTAGAAGAAGGTAGTTGAGCCACTAGAATAATGTCACCAAGTCAACGCAGCAAAGTACATCCATTTTATTCCTAGAACAGCTTCTCAAAAACTCATTCAAATCCTCTTCACTATTACTCAACATATAGTCTGCAGTCACATGATTTCCCAGCCCCAGAGCAAATTAGAAAGCTCCTAGAGCCAGGCACAGCAATGCGCGAGGGAAATGACAGAAAACCGTGAGGGAAAAGAAAAACTCTAAAAACCATGGCAGACCAAGAGCAAACACATTTGAGGCTATTCAGAGTAGGGGCTTTAACAAATCTAAGTCAGACCTGAAAGAATGAAAAACATATATGATGACCCTGAAAAGATTTAACTATCTTCAGTAGATTGTGTTTGCCAAAGGACAGAAGCATACACTAAATTAAGAAATAGTTCCATGTAAATAGTTGAAATAAAGCAAAAAAAAAAAAAAAAGTGCAACTTAAAGGAATAACCTTCAGTTGTCTATACCATGCACCCCAAATGTCTGGTAAATGGGATATTCGTACATTTATACTACTTATAAAATACACAAAGTAGTTCATATAAAAAGAATACAGCATCTTTTTCATCCATATATGATTGAAACTATAAAAGACCCCTTCGAGGTAGAGATAGCTCAAGTCAGCTTCTCTCTGAGTAGGAACTTTATATTGTGTCCTGAGTGATCAGCTGTATTTATCAATCAGCCCAAGTGACTGAAAAATCTTCTTAAATGACAGAAGACACAGAGATCAAAAACACCTCCCCTAAGTCAGTCTTTCTAAAAATGTTGTCTGTAGAACAGCACAACCGAATCTCCAGAAGAACTTGCTTCAAAATGCAGATCCTGAGTCCCAGTTGAAATTCCAAGAATCAGAATCGCTGGGGGAAGGGCCTGAGCACCCGCATCTTAGCACATTTCCCCCAAACATTTCTGGTACAAGTGAAGTCTGAGAATTGCGGGGTAAATTATCACCTTGAAGCCAGGAGGAGACTGGCCAGGTCTGTGAATTCACCCTCTCCCACTCTTGCCTCTAGTGTGCCCAATCAGGCTGTATTCCTGGTTTTGACATTTCTTAAACTACACAGTAGACAATAAAGTTAAACATGTACCTCTAAATGTTTTTTCACAAGACATATAACAAAAAAAAAAATCTAACAAGCCCAAATTAATTCCAAAAAGATCATAAGAGGCCAGGTGCAGTGGCTCATGCCTGTAATCTCAGAACCTTGGGAGGCAGAGTTGGGAGGATCGCCTGAGCCCATGAGTTCAAGACCAACCTGATCAACACTGTGAAATCCCCATCTCAAGAAAAAAGTAAATGAAAAAAAAAATCATAAGATTTCTAAACCGTATATGTGAGGCTTGAAGCAACAGATGCCTGCAGGGGGAACAATACTGAGTGAGGAAAAGTAATCCCTAAGGAGCATGGGAACGAGGAGGAAGATATAGCTAATAGGAGTCTTAGAATGAGGAGGAAGATATATCTAACAGGAGTCTTGGAATGAGGAGGAAGATATATCTAATAGGAGTCTTGGAATGAGGAGGAAGATATATCTAATAGGAGTCTTGGAGAAGAGGCAGAATGCAGCTTACATCCAGAAAACAAAAATGCAAATCCATTCCAAATCGGCCAGGATGTGTAGGCCTGACCTGAACACTCTTGAAGCAGAGGCTAGAAACTTGTTTTATTGTTCACATGTTTGTTATCTGAATCCCCCACCTCACCAGAATTTAAGGCAGGGATGTTCTTGTTTATTATTGTATCTCAGCAATAGTACAAAGCACGATGGAGCTGGCTCCTAGAATACAGCGTATTAATATTATTTTTAGATTATCTTATTAGTTGATATTAATTACTTAAGTAAGTGAAGAAATGGTCAACTGAGGCAGACACATGGAAGCTATACTCAATTCTTCCCTCTCCCTCACCAGACAGACTATCACCAAGTCCCATCAACCCTAACATATTGAGCTACACTTCTAACCACCTCAGACTCCATGCTGCGTTACTGTCTTAGTTCAATTCATCATCTGTTGCTGAGGTGAGGGGCAGCCACATGTTTTTGATCAAGCACCCCCAGCAGCACACACCCTCCAAATATATTGTGCAACTACAAATTACATGCATATACATTTATAATGTACATATATTACTTGTAAACATATTATGGACTTCACAAATCACACACACAAAATTTAAAATGTAGAGATAAAATAAATATAAGCATTCTTTGCAACAGCCAATAAATGAAAACAACCTAGAGGTCTATCAGTAAGAGGTTAAATTGTATGATTCAATGAAATCCTATGCTGCCATTAAAAAGGATGACATTGTTAGGAAAGTCTTTCCCTAATATAGTTAGTAAAAGAGAGAGAGAAAGAATAGAAATCAAAATATATAATATCTCATTCATGTGAAATATACATTTATGTATTTATATATTTATCTACATACTATGTATATTTATATATAATCAATGTATTTACATATAATTGTATATATTTATATATAATCAATATATGTATTTATATATAATCAATATGTAAATATAGTGATTATATATAAATGTAATATATGTAAATATATTGACTATATATTTATATATTATATAAGTATATTATGGATTTATATACTGATTTATATATTTATATATACACTTATATATTGATGAACATATCTGGAAAGATATGTACAAAGAAGGAAAGGCAAACTAGAAGGACAAGGCGAGGAGGAGGAGGGGGAGAGGATGGGTGAAGGGAAGGGAGGAGAGGAGAAAAAGAGAAAGAAAAAGTGTTCAAGGACCTACACTATGGTTTTCTTCTGTGGCTTAGGGAAATAATGAGTATTTTCCATCTTATCCTTTTGCCTGTTTTTTTCTTTTTTATTTTCAGCAACAAATTACTCTTATGGTAAGAAAAAAATAGTTTTTAAAATATAAAAAGAAAAAAGATTACTTTTAAATGAAAAGGGGGTTGTAAGGAGACTTTCCAGGGTTCCCTGTCCCTACAGGAAAGAAATACCCACTCACTTGGGACACAGGCCTTCAGGAGCACCTCTCCAGTCAGCCTCTACAGCTTCAGGATTTTTGCTCAAGTCAGAGCACAGAGTCCCTGCCTTTGAGAAGCTGACTGTTTCGTAAAAGACATGTGTTGGCTGAAAGAATACAAGAAAGAAAATTGAAGCAAACCCTCCACCCACTGACTCAAGAGTCTAAGAATTTCCCATCTTCACCCTTCCATAGCCCACAAAGACTTCCAATGTCACCAATACAGAATTTGTTGCCCGTGAAAATTCAGAGAATGTATTATGCACTTTGCCAAAGAGAAATAAGGGTATGGAACTAGTATCAAACCCAGGATATTTCTGGAACAAAGTGGAAGAGGATATTTTTCTCCTTAGATCAAACTGACCAAAAAGAAAACACCCAAACAAACAAAAATCAAAGGATCAAATGAGCATCTATACACGTGTTGTAAATGATGCCATCGATAATGACAATCTGACGAATGATGACTATGTGCACCCCGCTGCTGAGGAAGAGATGGTACCCCCTCTCTCTCGCTGCGTGGTGGGTGGAATCACACTGAGACTTGTCCTAGATCAGCGGCTTTCAAAGCAATACAAACTTTTTTCTCCAAAATACTATGTTATAGCAAATCTTAATAAGTAAAAGATACAACAACCAAACCAACAAGAGTTCCCCAGGTTTAAATGGGGGCAGGTCACTGACACATGGTATCAATCCCTGCAAAGATTGCCCCTGACTCAGGTCCTTGGAAACCCAGAGTTGCTCAGGATACAGTTGTAAGCAGTGTCCTGCCTCATCTGGACAGCCAGCAGGAGAAAGCAGAACCTTTTTCTCAGCCTCTTCTCATAATAATTAGATCAGACTTAACCCAGTTACCCTTTTATCTTTCTCTTTTTGAGCTTAGTACATGGAGTGTTTTCCTCAAAGCTCCTTTCAGCCCAAAATAACCAGGACACTCAAACCAACACCCTGAGCCTCTGAAGCTTCCCTGCCCCTGAGCTCTCCTGTGGACCGCCTCCATTCTTGTTGTGGAAGTATCACTGTAGTCACCATATTTCCCAGTCTAACGCAGACACTGCCCAGTTGCACCTCTTGTGCTGGTATAACTATTAACAGGCCCCCTCTCCGTGCCTGGATAGGCCACAAATTGTAAGGTCACGCAACATATCACTATTTTCTTATCCTGAATAGTCAGAACTTCCATTTTGTTCATTTGTTTGTTATGGTCTCAGCTGGGACCAACAGCTGGAACCACGTCTTTGTCATGGACCATCACTTTGGCCAGCGAGAGCTTCTCACCCCTTTCCTGTCCAGTCCGTGCCACCCCTACCGCCTGACCCTGTTATGGGTTGGACTGTGCCTCCCAAAAGGGTATGTTGAGGCCAAGCTACCTGGAAAGCATGGCCTGGACAGAGCGGACTGCAGCCATCCAAGGGCTGCTGGGGGACAGGCCAGCCCGGTGGGAGAGAAGGCCAGGAGAGCAGGACATGGACTTGCAAAAGTCATGATGGGGAGGGGGTGAGGAAAGACAGAAACACGGGCGAAGAGTCAGAGCCTGCAAGGGTGGTGTCCTGCCCCAGCCCTATTTTGTCATGCTCATCTCTATGGTGATAGGCTTAATGTCCTTTCTAATCAATAGTTTTTTGGGGGTTTTGTGGTTTTTTTTTTGTTGTTGTTGTTGTTTTTTGAGACAGAGTCTTGCTCTTGTCACCCAGGCTGGAGTGCATTGGCATGATCTCGGCTCACTGCAACCTCCGTCTCCCGCGTTCAAGCGATTCTCCTGCCTCAGCCTCCCGAGTAGCGGGGATTACAGGCACCCATCACCACACTCGGCTAATTTTTGTATTTTTAGTAGAGACAGGGTTTCTCCATGTTGGCCAGGCTGGTCTGGAACTCCTGACCTTGTGATCCTCCTGCCCCAGCCTCCCAAAGTGCTGGGATTACAGGCGTTAGCCACCGCGCCCAGCCAATAGTTTTTTTAAGAAAAGTTCATTGACTGCTGCTATTAGGATGGTGCAAATGTAATTGTGGTTTTTGCAGTTAAAATTAATTAAATTAATTTAAAATAATTTTTAAGTTGCGCTATTTAGTGGTTGATGACCATTTGAAAACATGATGCAAAGTGTAAAGTCTGTGAGAAACAATTTGCCCCTCACTGGTGGCTTCACTCCAGGAAGGGTGAGGTAATGGCAGGTGGGAAAGAGGAGCAGGAGGTGGCAGGGAATTCAGAGGACAGGAGTAGCCTCTGGAAACACGGAGAGGGACAGGGGGCAGTTTGGTGACAGCTTAGGAAGGCCAGAGAAATAACTGCAGGAAACAGGGCAGGGCTCAGACCTCACGCCTCACCCAGGGCCACTGACTTGTTCTGCGTTGAGTCCTGTGTTTACTGAGTCTCCTTTCATTGCACTGAACATGGTCTTTATAAATTCTGGTTTGTGACTCCCTCTCAGAAGTCCTGTGGGTCACCTGGAACTGGTTTTATTCCTGCTTATTTCCTCATTCCTCTTCTCATTAAAACATAATCGCTATGCCTCTGATATGAAGCCACTTTCTTTTGCTATCTCTCTTCCTTCCCATTCTTCTCCCCTCCCATCCTACCTCCCAAATCCCTCAGAACTTCTCTAAAACCCTATGCCCCACAGTTTAAACACTTGTAAAAACCAAATTCCCTAGGGGGTTAGTATTGCCGCTGGTTCAAGCTGCCCTCCACAGAACTCCCCTGTTCCTGAAGGATGTTCCTGCATGCTTTCCTATTTAAAGCTCTCTTCTAAGGTGATACGGCTTGTGCATTTCAGGGGCAAAGTTCCTTGACAGAGAATCTTTGGTTCTGAGAAATTTAGAACAAATCATCATAGCAGCAAAAGAGCTCTGGCTCAAGTCTCACTGCTCTTAGCAAACGTAAGGAAGTGGAAATTTTCAAAGTCCACACACCATAGAGACAGAGGTCTTTGTGGATAGTAGAGACAGGAGTGAATCAACAAGGTTGGCCCTCAGCTCAAAACAAACCTTATCTCCTGAGTTGAAAAGCACAATGCAACACAGGAGCAATTACATATAACCTTCTGTTTAACTATGGGTTCTGTTACACGTCGATCTTCCTTATTGCACTCTGCTGATGTCAGGTTTAAAGGATTTCAGTCCTTAAATAGCAACTGATAAGATGTTTCTTGGTTATCCATTTACCCAGTAGTTTTTGGAGAAGCCAAATTGAAAGGGAGACTTTGCAGCTTGCAGCTCTGGAAGTAAATCATTATTTCCATATTCGCTTTGGGGTGTGGGACAGGGGACCAGAGCACCTCCACTGGGCACTCTTTGCCACGTACCATCTGACGGCCTTGCGGTCTTGGCTGCATGAGCTTCACCTGCTGACCCAGCCTTGAAGGGGGATGAGAGATTGCCTCAGACACTGAAAGGACTTCTCCTCCAAGCAATGGGGCTTGGGAAATGTGTTTCTGGACCACCACCCTGTGGTATCTAGGCATTTTCCAAGAGGAACCAGCTCCTGGAGAAGCATTTGCTACAAGAAAAGCTGAGCAACACCCTGATCTTGATATGTGGAAAAAAAAAAAAGGCCTTGATTTATGAGATCTCAGAACTGCTTCTTAGGAAGGGCGGATTCCTCCAGTAATCTAATGGGCTTTCATTTCCTCATTGCCTCAGTCGCTGTCTGGAGATAAACTATGTGTTTGAGAGGCACAGTTTATCACATGTCCTCTCAGAAACATGGGGTTATCTCCTTCAGGCCACCTCAGGATTCCAAATGATGTAGCAACTTGAAGGTGTCCAGTAAGTGGCTTCACTTCTATCGGGGTATGAGCAAAACACCTTCAATGACTAGAAAAAGTCATGAGCTTTAAAAATAGAGTAAAACAAACCCAAAACTTGAATCTTAAAGACTCTGAGAAGAGAAACTGGATCCAGTAAGACTTTCATGGTGTTAATCCCCAATCTCCTGTCTCCACGATAATTCCTCATGAGGGGTTTCCTCCAGCATCCAGCCCCCTCTTCTATGGACATACACAAACTTGTTTTATTTTAATAACTTTTTTTGAAATAATATTGGGGCCGGGTGCAGTGGCTCATGTCTGTAATCCCAACAGTTTGAGAGGCTAAGGTGGGAGGATCGCTTGAGCCCAGAAGTTCAAGACCAGCCTGGGCAACATAGTGGGACCTTATCTCTTCAAAAATTTTAAAAAGTTAGCTGAGCATGGTAGCACAAGCCTGTAGTCCCAGCTATTCAGGAGGCTGATGGGGGAGGATCACCTGCACTCAGGAAGTTGAGGTTACAGTGAGCTGTGACTGCGCCACTACACTCCAGCCTGGGCAATGCTGTCTCCAAAAGAAAAAAGAAGAAGAAAGAAAAGAAAGAAAGAGATAGAGAGAGAGAGAGAGGGAAGAAGGGAGGGAAAGAAAGAAACAACAGTGGATTTACAGAAGAGTTACAAAGAGAGCTCCTGATCTCTCTCACCCAGTTTTCCCCCTGTTAATATTTTACATTACCATGGCGCATTTGTAGAAACTACAACCCATCGGTACGACACTATGAACTAAATTCCGGACTTGGCTTGTACTTTGCTAGGTTTTTGTTTTGTTTTGTTTTTTTCTTCATCCCTTCCAGGATACCCAGATACCCTCCCAGGCACCACGCCACATTCAATCTTGGTATCAGCTTGGTCTCTTGTGGTCTATGAGAATGGCCTGGACTTTCCTCAGTTATCATGACCTTGACAGATCTGAGGAGTGTTTTGTAGAGATGCGTCAGTTTGGAGTTGTCTGATGTTTTTCTCGTCATTAGGCTGAGATTTTGGGTTGGGGGGAGAGTCCATGAGGTGAAGCGCCCCTCTCCTCACATCATATTTCGGGGCTCACGATGTCCAAATGGCATATCACTGGTGTCGTTAACTTGATCACTTGGATAAAGTAGCTTGCCAAATTTGCAACTGTAGTTATTATTTTTCCCTTTCCATCCTCTATTCTTTGAAAGCAAGTCACTAAATCCAATCCACGCTCAAAGAGGGAGGGAGTGTGGCACAAGGGACAGGACTCTAACTCCTGAATGGGGGAGTATCAACGTACAGTATTTGGTGGCTTGCAAGGAAGACCTGCCTCTCCCCTCCCCCCAATTTATTAATACTTATTTGTCCAATCATTTATTTCCATCAGTGAAGACTCGTGTGTTTTCACATACTTTGGGCGGTAATCCAGTGCTCTGTGATTTTGATGTTCACGTTTGTTTCAGCCACAAACTTGTTCTTGCCTCCCCTTTCTGTTGATTCCTCCTCCAACCCCAGGCGATTTGAAGGAGCCACCTCTCTGCCTCAGCGCCCCTCTCTGCCCTCTCAGCAGGGCTCCCCTCAACTGGTCCAACCCTGCCCCGCCTTCCATCTGAGCTCAGCCTTAACCACAGAGCAATCAGTTCCCTCAAAGATGATGGCACTTCCTTCCCACCCAGCATCAGCCCCAGCCAACAGGCAACACCAGCAATGAACCCAGAGTCTGAGCTGAGCCGACCAGTCAGGCAACATCTGTGCCCCAGAGTGCATCTCCACCAACACGCGTGAGACAAGGCGACACATGTGCTCCTGGATGCTGTGACTGTCTCCACTGCAGTGAGCCGTGTGAACCATTTCCAATGTACTCCCATGAAAGCCATGAACAACAGCCTACCATTTCCCCCTTCACTTTGGTAAAATCTCCGAAACTTAAACCACATCCAGATTTCCTTTCCATGTGTGCCACTAGTCCTTACCTTTCATGTTTCTTTCCTATTTCAAGTACTAGAGGAAGTCCAAGGTTTAAAATAGAAAGGGGACTTGGCTTCTTTACATCCATCTACTTTCAGCATCAAACCATGGCAACGTCATACACACAATTCATCATAAATTTTCATGGTGGATTCACGCTGCCAGACGCTGCTTTCGGCCTGCTTATTTATAACCAAGGAGAATTTGTTTCTATCAAATGTGGTTTTATATTATTTTTAACAGGACAATGAAATCACAAGTTGTGTTGAACACTGTAGAGGGCAGTGGCTGTTTGACACTCCTGCTACTCCAGCTTCTGTGTCCTTCCCAAGCAGTTAAAATCTAAACATCATCCCAATCCTAAAAGTTAAGTGAAGAGGAAGGGACGTGCTGTGTCAGAAGCCGTATGAGAGGCCAGGAAACAACATGTGCTTGCACACCCCTGCAGGTGGATGTGCGCGGGGGACACCGTGCTGACCTGCGTCCTCCGGCTCCTGCAGGTGGATGTGCGCGGGGGACACTGTGCTGACCTGCGTCCTCCAGCCCCTGCAGGTGGATGTGCATAGGGGACACTGTGATGACCTGTGTCCTCCGGTTCCTGCAGGTGGATGTGCGTGGGGGACACTGTGATGACCTGTGTCCTCCGGCTCCTGCAGGTGGATGTGCGCGGGGGACACTGTGCTGACCTGCATCCTCCAGCCCCTGCAGGTGGATGTGCGTGGGGGACACTGTGATGACCTGTGTCCTCCGGCTCCTGCAGGTGGATGTGCATAGGGGACACTGTGCTGACATGTGTCCTCTGGCCCCTGCAGGTGGATTTGCGAGGGGGACACTGTGCTGACCTGCATCCTCTGGCCCCAACAGGTGGATGTGCGCGGGGGGACACTGTGCTGATTTGCGTCCTCCAGCCCCAACAGGTGGATGTGCGCGGGTAACACTGTGCTGATCTGCGTCCTTCGAGATGCTCAAGCCCCTTTCTCCCTTCCCCCCCGCCACGAAAGTGCAGCTGACCTCATGTGAGGAGATGGACAGGGAGGCCCTACCAACAATGGGAAACAACTGTTCCTAGGTTCTTCACAGTGAATGAAGTTACACACCCCAAAGGCACCAGCAAGGCTCCTCTTGAGCAAGTCAGCTGGGAAACAGGCTTAATCGGATGAGATGGCGTCTTCCTCTGCCCAGGATGGAAGTCCTGGGCCCACATTACAGATCCCCAGACAAACATAGCAGCAATTTAAGCAAAACTAGGGGATCAATTTAAGCAAAACTGGGGGATAGAGACTCGGCAGCACTGAATTCCTAGGTCTATTAGTCAGGGTTCTTTGGGAAAAGATAACCAATAGGCTGTGTATATATATACACAGAGAGGGAGAGAGAGATTGATTTTAAGGAAATGGCTCATGTGACTATGAGGGCCTGAAGTCTGCACGGTAGGCCAACGGGCTGAAAATTCCATCTTGTGGATGTAAAGAAGCAGAAGTTGTCATTTTGAGTCTGAGGGAAGTCTGCAGACAGAATTCCTTCCTCTTCAAGGGACCTGGGTCCTTGCTCTTAAGGCCTTCAATTAATTGGATGAGGCTCATTCACACTGCGGAAGATAATCTGCCCTACTCAAAGTGCTCTGACTTAACCACATTGATCACATCTGAAAAATACCTTTGCATCTACACTGGTGTGTGACCAAATAACGAGGCACCATTGCCTGGGCAAGTTGACATGAATTTAACCACCACACTAGAGAGCTCTCCCGATGCCCATGGAGGGCCATTGCTGTGGGTATCAAATGGCTCAGGGAGATTCTGTAGAGAAATATTTTGTTTCCAAGAAAAATCAATCAGTCTTGATCCACAGGCATGCCACTGAGCAGATAAGAAAATCTCGAGTCTCATTTGTTCATTCATCACATGCTTACTGGGAGCGTATTCTGTGCAATCATGTAGCTAACATGTAGCTAACAAGTCACAGGACCAGTGTCAACTGCCTTAGTTACAAGCCAGGGCTAAAGCAGGAATGAGGCTTTGAGACCCTATTCCCAGAGGCTCCCCCCAAGCATTACATGGGAAAAGGTGGACTCAAAAAGAGATGTTTCAGGAATAACTATAAAGACCCTTAGTCAGGAGTGAAACTGGCATATTCCAGAAGTAGGGTCTGGAACTTAATAAGGTAGTAGCATAATTAAGAAGACAGTGACAGAAGGAGATGAGTCAGGCCCAAGGTTTTAATTTTGTTTAACAAATACATGTCAGTTACTGTGAGTCCGACACTGTTCTAACATTTCTACATATCTTAATCCATTATAATCATCAATATCAGAATATTAGAAATATTCAATATTTCTAATTCTATTTCTAATTGAATATTAGAAAGGGACTGTTATCACCCCCGTGGTGGTTCTGTGATGCACACCGCCAGGTCCCCCTTACGGAATGAAGGGCTTACTCCTCCAGCTGCAGGAGTGCTGCAGAGGATGCCACACAGCTGTTAGTCCTTTTTGGGTACCATCTTTGCTACAGACAACTAACACTCACAGTGTCTCACTTCCTCCTAGGGTGAGCCAATGACTGATCAGCACAGGGGTGCGAAAGACTGGCCTCCTCGTGGCAATTTGGGACAACTCTGCAAGGTGTGGGCTGAGGCCTTTGTTGCGCCTGCATCACAGCTCAGCTTCTCCCTCATCCAGTGCTGCTTCCTTTACCTTCCCCCGCCAGGTGATGATTCCAAGAGCATCCCCTGTTAAATTTGTCGACCTCAGAATTTGCTTCCTGGAAAACCTTAGAGATGGGGTCAAAGCACCTAAGTCACTTGGCCAAAATCACAGAGCTTGTAAATTGGGGAACTGGGATTTGAACCTAGGCCATCTGGCTCCAGGGTGGAGCTCTAAACCACCAAGTCAGCCTGCTCCTCCGGGCAGGGCTTTACAGTGCTGTGTGCAATTGAAATTTCACCTTATACATCTGAACACAAGGCAAAGTTTTCCTTCACTTTACCTAAAGTTATCTCTCAGAAACAGGATGTAGCCATGTGTTTGTGATCTTACAAAATACCAGGGCTATACATTCTATCTATTTTGAATTTAGAAGTTCTGGGGAAGGAAGAATGGCTGAAATGGCATTAATGCTAGTTTGGAGCATTTTAGATGTCATAGAAGTTGCCTGATAGAATTGATAA
The DNA here is from genome assembly GCF_000001405.40 of Homo sapiens. NCBI lineage: Eukaryota > Metazoa > Chordata > Mammalia > Primates > Hominidae > Homo > Homo sapiens. Next base: position 16,527,572 of record NC_000005.10, read on the forward strand.
AAATCATAATAATAACAAGAATAATCAAAAAGAGAAGAAGAAGAAAGTTTATTACACATCTCATAATTCTTTCTGGGGGTGTGACCTCACAGTTGAAAAGGCTAAGTGTCATTGTAAATAGCCTTGCAAAAGTTTCTTCAAAAAGTTTTAATAATATAGTAAGTGGTTGTGTGATGAAGACTGATCAAAATAGCTGTCCATAGCTTAGTACAATTTCGAGGGACTCTAATTTTTTTTTTTTTTTTTTTTTTTTTTTGAGATGCAGTCTCGCTCCGTCGCCCAGATTGGACTGCAGTGGCACGATCTCGGCTCACTGCAAGCTCCGCCTCCTGGGTTCATGCCATTCTCCAGCCTCAGCCTCCCGAGTAGCTGGGACTACAGACACCCGCCACCACACCCAGCTAATTTTTTGTATTTTTAGTACAGACGGGGTTTCACCGTCTTAGCCAGGATGGCCTCAATCTCTTGACCTCGTGATCCGCCTGCCTCGGCCTCCCAAAATGCTGGGATTACAGGCGTGAGCCACCGCGCCCGGCCAGGGACTCTTATTTTTAAACACGCTTTATCACAGCTTAGTAGTGAAGACAACGTGTTCCGGAAAATGTGTTAGATTCAAAAAGTGGCCTTAGTGTCAATAAACCTGGCATAAAGAGAAAGTAGGAAAAGCAGCATTTTGAAATTAACATATTATGTAAATAAGATGTGATTTTTACATATATTAACATAACTAAATTAACAGTGATTTTACAGAGATTACAATTCACATGAGTAAAAAAAATATGACTCTTTAAATTTATATTCCTGGAAGCCTATATTGACAAGCTTTACCTGGACCTTGGCAATGAAAAGGGGACGGTCACCCCAGGTTCAAGGTCACCTTGTGATGGATATATATTCCACCTGCCTGGGACAGGAGTCAGCTCTGGATGACATGGAGGCCAGTCTCTTCAGGAGCAAAAGAAAGATTAGGGGGCCAAGGAGGAGTGAGACCTGTCCCAGGTGATAGCAGGGGGTTCTGAGACACATCTGGAGACAAAGCCAAGAGGGTTTCCCAGCAGGTGGGATATGTGCAAGAAGGGACAAGGTAAAGTTATATGTAACTTTGATCCACTCACGTGAACACTATGCCTCCTTCAAAGCACCTGTCTGAAGAACATCTGATGGCATGAACTGCTTGACATATTAAAACGGGGATGGAGAAACGTTTCTATAAAGGGCTAGACAGGAACTATGTTCAGCTTTGTGGGCCATACAGTGCCTGCCACAATACTCAATCCTACCATTGTGGCATCAAAGCAGCCACAGGCAGTAAGCAGACAGATGAGCGTGGGCCATAATTTGCCAACTGCTGTATTTACATACCCTCACCCACACGTACACGCACCATACAAGTTATAAAAGAATATGTTACATATTTTGAAATTGAGTAAAACAAACAAACAAAATCTGGAAGAAACTATATACCCCAAGAGTAACAATGATTATCTCTATGATTCTCACTTTAGGTATTTTCAAAAATTCCCCCACCTATGTGTTCCCTTTTATAATCAAATAAAACCTACAAATAAAAAATAAAGTATGGGGTTCTACCTTCCAAAATCTACAAATGCAAATAAAGTCTGGGATTCTGTGTCTTGGCGCCTATCATAGATCACACATTTTTACTTAAGACTATTTAATATAAAATACTTATTATAAAAGGTCATCAGTAAATCATTTCTAAATCAGTAGTTGACCAAAAAATAAGTTATAGTTTATTTCCTAGACCTGGCGAGTGTCTGTGTGAGGAATGGGGAACGTTGTTTTTTACCGCATTGGCTAAGTTTCTGGAAAAGATTGCATCTTGAATTAGCAGCTTGACTGTTTGCTGTCCAGGTAAATATTGTGTTGCTAGGACTGAAATTGCCCTGCCACATGGGTCGCCCTGTCATATAATTAGCTTCTTATCATATCAGGTGCAAATCAAACCAGCAGCACTTGCTGTTAATGTGGTAATTTAACAAATCAGAAACACTGTTTTCATATGTCAACATCTGATTTTATATGATCACTGTCCCACCGAAGACACACCGGGGTGACTTTGCGTCACTGTTCAACAGCAAGCTTAGCCTTACTTGAGTTCTTAGCTATATCCGCTGGTTTGGTTAATTTTTTTACATCCTTAATTGCACCAGTGCGTGTTTTTCAGTCCAACCCAGAGTGGAATGGGGGTAGAAAGTGAAATTTCACCCTAGGTGCCCTTTTGGTACATAAGTACCACGCTCAGGCTTTCCCATTTGGGTTCATCCTGCACAGTGGTCATCAGACTAGTTTTCTTCTCTGTTTCAATGAGCAGCAATTCAAGTCCAAGCAGAGCCTGATGTAGCTTGACCTGCTTCCAAAGAGCAGCACCCTTTACTCTCCACATCACTGAAGAATGGTTCTCCCAACCCCGGGAGGCCAGACCACATCACAGCTCCATTTCCCCGCTCTTCACTCTTATGCCTGCTCCTCCCTTCCCAGATGCTTATCCCAATAAACGCCTTGCATGCTCATCTCCATCTCATAGTCCACTTTCGGGGAACCTAACCTGGCTATAGGCCTCTTGTCTGTTTCCAAGTTGTATTCACTTCTCCATGTGATTGTAACTCTTTGCCTGAAGAGCCAACCACTAAAGGGCAATGTTTCTGGTGTCAAGTCCTCTCACTATGCTGGGCACATACTTGTGCTCCCAGGGGCATTTCTGCCAAGCGACCCCTGGTGCCAGCCTGCCTGGGTGCTCATGCTGGCTCTACCACCTACTGGCTGTTCAATCTCAGGCAAGTTACTTAACCTCTCTGTGCTTGTTTCCTGATCAGTAAAAGTGAGATAATAATTATATATTATATAGTGGTTGTGGAGATTTAATATATCTGTAAATGTGTATAAAGTGGCTTAAATAGATGATCTGATGAGAAAGTAATCATATGCAAAACACTGAGACCAGTGCTTGGCATGCTGACCATCTTACTCAAGTGTCTGCTTTTTAAAAACACCTGAGGGCCGGGCACAGTGACTCACGCCTGTAATCCCAGCACTTTGGGAGGCCGAGATGAGTGGATCACCTGAGATCAGGAGTTCGAGACCAGCCTCGCCAACGTGGCAAAACCCTGTCTAGACTAAAAATACAAAAATTAGCTGGGTGTGGAGGCGTGCACTTGTAATCCCAGCTACTCGGGAGGCTGAGGTAGAAGAATTGCCTGAACCCAGGAGGCGGAGGTTGCAGTGGCCCACTGCACTCCAGCCTGGGAGACAAAGCAAGACTCCGTCTCAAAAAAAAAAAAACTCCAAAATAAGATTTAATCACACATTTTCCTTGTTGCTTTCTGCAGTTATAATGATCTTTCCTTTCTCTGACTCATCAGAATTTCAACATAAGGAAGAAATGGATGAATGAAAAAGGGGAGAATAAGGAAGGAGGAAGGGAGGTAGACAGGAAACATTTCTTAGATCTCCTATTCATTCATTTTAATCCCTCACTACTTCTGGCCAGTTCATCCCTTGATGAAAGATAACAGCAGTAGCTAAGGTGTGCTTACTATTTACCCAGTCATTTGTGTTACTGTTTTATATAATCTTTATAATGTCTTAAAGAAAGTATTCTTATCCTATAGCACAGATAAAAGGACTGAGGTTGGGAGAGGCAAAGTAGAAACCTTGCCCAAGGTTACAGAGCTCATAAATGGCTGAGCCAGGGCTATGTTTTTCTTCTCTCGAATCATCCATGGCTCACAGCACAGTTCTAGACTCATCATAGATGCTTATTAATGACATAGTTTGGTGAAATGACCGATGCATTTAACAACTGTTTACTGTTGCCAATTGCAGGCCAGGCGTCAGGAGGGTAAAGATTAGAAATGGTCCCTGTAGTCACCAAGCTTAAGTCTGGCGGAGAACACAGATAAATCAACAAGCAATGACAGAGCAATGTGATGCAGGCTATTATGAGGGGGAAAGTACAGAGTGAGACAGAAATCCACAGAATGAGCACAGGAGACAGCCTTGGAGGTCTGGGGGGTGGCAGAAAAGGCCTCCCAGGGAAGGGGTGCCTCTGTTAAGTTAAAGGATACCTTGGGCTTGGAAGGGAGGAAAATTCCAGGCAGAAGCAAGACACGCGTGGCACATCTGAGGACCTGAGAAGGGGGTGGCTAGACAGAGCAGAGTGGAGCAGGAGGCTTTGCTCACCAAGCATCAAACAGGAGATTCCTTTAACAAATTAGCCTGTGACCATCACTGAGTTTGGCTGCTCTTTCTCAACACAAGCAGTGAGCAAACTAATTTTGCTCCGTGTATCCTGACTCTAATTGCAAGGTTCCTTTACACCAGTATGAGTTGGGAGAGCATCCCTGAGCATGGCCTTACCCATACAGGGCTGTGTCCACCCTGTTAAGGTGCAGACATTGCTGGAATAGAGAAAATGGAAATGGACCCATTATCTCCTTGGCCTTGGAAACCTTCCTTAACTGACAGACACAGGAAGGTACACTTTGAGATTAAACAATAGTTCCTGATATCCAGTGGAGACCCAATGACATCACATCTTAGTAGCCTCTTTGCCACTCAAGTATTTTAAGGATAAGGGTATGATATGCAGTTTTCTAGAACATCAGAAGTCTCATTGTAACTCAGCTGCTAGCGTTCAAAAAGTTTTCCTGGGCTGGGCGTGGTGGCTCATGCCTGTAATCCCAGCACTTTGGGAGGCTGAAGTGGGCAGATCACGAGGTCAGGAGTTCGAGACCAGCCTGACCAACATGGTGAAACCCTGTCTCTACTAAAAATGCAAACATTTGCTGGGCATGGTGGCACGCACCTGTAATCCCAGCTACTCGGGAAGCTGAGGCAGGAGAATCGCTTGAACCCTGGGAGGCGGAGGTTGTAGTGAGCCGAGATTGCACCACTGCACTTGAGCTAACATTGTGTTAGCTCTCCATGCAGACAATAACGGGAAAAATTAAGGCAATTACCTAGATGTCACTTTTTATTTTGCCAAAGTGTGCCCCTATTATCTGCATATTTGTGAAGAAACTTTCACAATTTATCTGTACATGTCAGATAATTGTGTGAATTCTTCACAGGAAGTTAAAGTCTAAGTGAGCACAGTGTAAGTCAGTCTTGGGAAAGCAAGCTAGGTTCCTTCATTGTTTATTAGTATCTTTGTTTTATAAACTATTCCAATTCCTGTAACATAGCTCATGTAAAATACTATGGTGAAATGTAAAAGAATAACAACAACTTTGAAGACAGATAATTTAGAATTATTTCAACCCACAGATAAATTGCAAATCCCAACACAGATGCAAACATGAATTTATATAATATGCTACCTGAATTCATTACATGTGACACTTCAGAAAGATCTGAAGAAAACCCTAGGTAAATGCTCTACTTGGGTTCTAGGTTTTAGAGTTGAATGGAATTTGCAAAGGACTAAAATGCATACTTTAGCAGTTGATAATATGAACTTTTTTTTTTTTTGAGACGGAGTCTCTCTCTCGCCCAGGCTGGAGTGCAGTGGCGCTACCTAGGCTCACTGCAAGCTCCGCCTCCCGGGTTCACGCCATTCTCCTGCCTCAGCCTCCTGAGTAGCTGGAACTACAGGCACCCGCCACCACACCCAGCTAATTTTTTGTATTTTAGTAGAGACAGGGTTTCACTGTGTTAGCCAGGATGGTCTTGATCTCCTGACCTCGTGATCCACCCGCCTCGGCCTCCCAAAGTGCTGGGATTACAGGCGTGAGCCACCACGCCCGGCTGATAATATGAACTTAAAACTCTTAATGATTTAAAATTCTCCTAACTGCTTAGACCAAGAGCCTAATGACCACCCCCATCCTTCTCCATCTCCCAGGAGAAATGCCATATTTTAAGTAGGAAGGAAATATGTCCAAAGGCAGACCAACCTAGTAGTCTCCTGGCTTAACCCTTCATCAAGGGATGCTCAGGAATGAAGAAGAACTTTCTGTGGTAACCAACAGAGGTCCCAAAGGGAGCCCCAAGGTGATTATGGTGAGAATTCACACCCCCATGGGTTCTAGAGCTTGAGTGACCCACAGTACCCACAAGGGTTCCTGGTGGCAAATAAGACTGACTCTGGCTGGTTCAAGCAGAAAAGGAATTCACAAAAGCATAGCCCACATTGCCTCCAGAACACAAATGGGTCATAAATGTTACCCAAATCACACCACAGAACTTATCTACCAGAAAGACCAGTAGAAGTACCTGGTGCAGCCCCAGATGGCTGGGCAGCCTAGAGCCTTCACCACTGCTATTTTGGAAAGTGGATGTATCGACCACCGTCCTCGCCAGAATAGATCACTTTAAGCCTGCTTCTATCATCGCCAGCTTCTAATGCAAAGTCTGGTGAGAATGCATGTGGTTGGTGGAGTGTGAGGTCTGGAGCCTACACCCCAGCTTCCAGGGAGCTCAGCTTCTACTTTGGAAAGGCACAGACTTATAAGTCGGAAAATTCTCCTTCATTAGAAAGTCCCTCGAGAGGTCTGAGAAACCAAAAAAAAAAAACACATTTTCCCTACATCCACAATTTACAATAATGAACATTTCACCAAGCAAAAAAACTTGGCCGGGCATGGTGGCTCACACCTGTAATCCCAGCATTTTGGGAGGCCAAGTTGGGAGCTATCATCATGCCACTACACTCCAGCCTGGGTGATAGAGTGAGACCCTGTCACTAAAAAACAAACAACGAACCAACCTAGCATCAGTGTATGTTCAGAGTAGCTAAGGCTTTGACTGTTTGAACTGTATTGTCAACATGTGCTCTAAGAACTGAGATGCAAGGTACCCATCCCACTGCCTGGAGCAGTGTGTACCAGCCAGACAGGGTGCTCCCAAGGTTATCATCCTGAAGTGCAGAGGGCTCCACACTCATCCAGCCTTGCTGGGGAGTGGGGACATATAGAGTGGGTAGAGAGGAGAGATTACCATGCTTATTTCAGCTGACATTATCAAGGCCAAGGCAATCATGTGATAATGTGTGAATGAATCAGAAGGGGTAGCCCAGATATTTCTGTACTCATATCAACATTCACACTTCAATCCCAGCCAGCTGCCATGTTCCTTTTCTGAGTTTTCACTAGCCACTTTCCAAGGGAGACTCATCACCTTTATTTTATTAATCTGCTAAGAAGAGAAGCCCCCCTCAGAATTATACTTAGTACCTGGGATTGCTTCCTTGACAGTATATCCCTGCCAAACTTCTGAAAGGAAAGGTCTCTGCTGCCATTTTTCTTCTTCTGTAAATAATGATCTCTTTAATAGAAACTAAATCACTCATTCATTCATCGGGCATTTTTACTGAGCATTTATTAAGTGCCAGGCACAGAGGTAAGCCCTGGAGGTCCAGGGATAGATAAGAGAAACATGCTGTCTGCCTCATGGAGCTTCCAGAGTGGTAGAGAAGCTGGACATTAAACAAGTGAAGACACAAATCCATACTTAAAGACACATTTTGCTAAGAGCAATGAGAAGCTGCTATGAGAAGCTGGAATTCTAATAAATTAGATTTCAAACCAGAATGCTTATGTCACTTTTTTTTCTTCTCTCTCTCAAAGATATTTATATTTTATACTGTATATTTTATAAACGTACAGATTTTCCGTCCGCTCGCTCCCAGGCTGTTCAGTTGGGGTCAATCCTTGCAAGCTCTGAGTGCGCTCATTGATTTCCAGGATACCACATGTGAAGAGAGCCCTTCATGAAGTGGGAGTTGGAGTTCCTGTGTGCACGCTGCCTTCACAAAGTGGGAGCTGGAGCTCCTGCGTGCATGGGGCCTTCGCAAAGTAGGAGCTGGAGTACTGCATGCATGCTCCCTTCACAAAGTGGGAGCTGGAATTCCTCCATGCGTGCGCCTTTGCAGAGTGGGAGCTGGGGTTCCTGCATGCACGCTGCCTTCACAGAGTGGGAGCTGGAATTCCTGCGTGCATGCTGCCTTCGCAGAGTGGGAGCTGGAGCTACTGTGTGCATGCTGCCTTCACAAAGTGGGAGCTGGGGTTCCTGTGTACACGCTGCCTTCACGAAGTGGGAGCTGGGGTTCCTGTGTGCACGCTGCCTTCACAAAGTGGGAGCTGGGGTTCCTGTGTGCACGCTGCCTTCACAAAGTGGGAGCTGGGGTTCCTGTGTGCACGCTGCCTTCACAAAGTGGGAGCTGGGGTTCCTGTGTGCACGCTGCCTTCACGAAGTGGGAGCTGGGGTTCCTGTGTGCACGCTGCCTTCACGAAGTGGGAGCTGGGGTTCCTGTGTGCACGCTGCCTTCAGGAAGTGGGAGCTGGGGTTCCTGTGTGCACGCTGCCTTCACAAAGTGGGAGCTGGGGTTCCTGTGTACACATTGCCTTCACAAAGTGGGAGCTGGGGTTCCTGTGTGCACGCTGCCTTCACGAAGTGGGAGCTGGGGTTCCTGCATGCACACTGCCTTCACAAAGTGGGAGCTGGAGCTACTGTGTGCACGCTGCCTTGGGCTGACATGCACCTGCCTGATCTAATCTCACACAGTAACAGAGAAAGCAAGAGTCTGACCAGTCCTTTTATCTCCTTGGGAAAACACCTCTATCCCACCCCAAGAAGGAAGAGATAAACTCCCACCTACTTCACTTCTCTGGCTTGGCATGAACCATCCAAATGCTAGGACTGACCAGAATTTCCAGGCCAGCTTTTACAAAGAAAGAACGCTGCCTCTTCCTAGAGGTGGCCTTGAAAGCAGGAAGCCCACACTGATTCATTCCCAGAGAGAAGCTCTCACAAAAATGCTCTGAAGCTGGACGGTGTTGATAAAAACCCAAACTTTACGTCTGTGAATATGAGGAATCTGATCAGTCACAGCAGCAAGGAGAGTGACAGGACCATTAGTCAGCAAAAGCAGATCACCTCACCAAGCAGGAATCGCCAGCCTGGTTCACCCCTGGACCCTGACATGCCAACACGTCAACACACTCTAACTCCTCGCCCAAGGAGCCACCAAGAGACACCAGGACACAGGACAAACATGCCTCTCCCATTTCATTTTCTCAACATGCTGACATTTATTCCCTCATCCCATCCAACAGGAAATACTAACTCCACAGATGTGTCAGATTGTTTCAAATGGAAAAATCACAAATTATCATGGAGTGGGAACATTTTTTGCCAAAAGACTGAAAATCAGTGCAAGGTGTCAATGGCGCCAAAGTCAACGGATGCCTGAGATCTCAGACTCTTGTCTTGCAGGAGCATTCTGGCAGATTAAAAGGATGTTTTTCCAACATGAATTTGCTTGGGAGCTGCCAGAGATGAGTTCTCTGAGTGGGGAAGACATACTCCAAGGCCAAGGGTGGCCCTTCACCATGCCTCATGTCAACATAGTCCCAGGATGTCAAGAGCTCCCATCGTCAGAGAGTTCACACAAAAGGTCCAGTGTCAGCTGACTTCCCTTCTCTACTCTTCCCCTGACCAGTCCATGCCAATCCCACCCTGCCTGCCTCCTCCCTGACCAAGACGAGGGTCTGTGTACATCAGCTATGCGATCAAAGAGCTGCTCTGTTCTTGGAACCCTGACCAAGGGCCAGGCCCTGCACCAAGCACATAATAGGTTTCTGTATGTTTAATCCACACTGCGACCTCCCAATTAAATTGAATTTTTCATGTATTAAAAGTGGAGAAATGAGGCTTTGAGGGTAACTTGCCCCAGGCCAGGTACCTGTTTAGAAAGACAACTGGGTTGAAACCGCAGGCGTGAGGCTCAGAGCCGACCCTGAGAACAACTCCTCTCCACTGCCTGGAAATTCCGCGGAGGCTCAGCACAGCTACCAGCTGCAAACATCTGCAGCAGCTAAAAGCCAGGGCACTGGGAGTGTGTGTATGGTGTGTGGATTTGGCCACAATTCCAACAAAGGTGTTAAGTTCTTTAAAGGAAAGGATGCCAGTCTGGCCAACATGGCGAAACCTTGTCTCTACTAAAAATACAAAAATTAGCTGGGTGTGATGGTGCGCCCCTGTAATCCCAGCTACTTGGGAGACTGAGGCACAAGAATCGCTTGAAGCCAGGAGGCAGAAGTTGCAGTAAGCCTAGTTCGTACCACTGCACTCCAGCCTGGGGACAGAGCAAGACTCTGTCCCCACCCAAAACAAAGCAAAGGATGAAGTGAGGTATGGATGTTGGGGTGGCAGGAGAAAGAGGGTCAGCACCATGCAGCATGCAGCATGCAGCATGCAGCACAGCACCATTCTCAGACGCAGTGCTCTTCACCCACAGGCGAACAGTGGCATCCCTGCCTGGGACCAGTCTCACCCTGCATGCAGGGTCCATGGCTTTGGGAGTGAATATCAGGCAAAGAAAGCCCACTTGATACAGGAATTCTCAGCTCTCCAGTATAGTCACAGAATCACAGTTTTAGAGGCGGAAGGAACTTAGGATCAGCTTAGCTCAGTCCCTTCATTTTACTGTGGCCTGCAGAAGAGAAATGATGTCTGCAAGGTCAAACACTGAAGTCAAGCAGGGTTCCCAACCAGACCAAGACTTCCAGAGCTGCAGTGCAGCCCTCAGTCTTGGAAGAGACTCCGAAATCTGACTCCCCACCGGACCCCACCTGCCACAGCTAAATCTGGGAGCAGATGGCGCCTGGCTCCGACTCTGAAGACCAAGCCGGTCGACATCAGGGGGAAAAATGAAGAGCTGGCTTTGGACAAAAGGCGCCCGTGATGTGACTGCTCTAGGCAGCTGCAGGATTAGTCCTTGCTCCTGGCTCCCCTTGGAGTCTTGTTTTTAGTGTGGAAGTAGCTTCAAATTGGGGGCTCTTTGACTTCTCAAACAAAATGAAGATAACAGATAATAATGATGATCGCTAAAGTGAACGGAATGCAGCCCACGTGTCAGAGACTGCATTAAATGCTACACATTCATGATCTCATTTAATCCTCCCCAAAGCTCTGCACGATACTTCTATTACTACACCCATTTTAAAGATGAGCGCAGGAAGGCACAGAGATCCGAACTCAAGTCTGCCTTAACCACGATGTCCCTGCCTCTCAGTGCAACCACAGACCTACCAAGACACCATGTACCTTTCCAGTGGGGTCACAGACATAACCTTAGCATCAAGAAGAACAAATACATTCTTTCATTCTTTTTTTTTTTTTTTAATTGAGACGGAGTCTCGCTCTGTCGCCCAGGCTGGAGTGCAGTGGCACGATCTCGGCTCACTGCAAGCTCCGCCTCCTGGGTTCACGCCATTCTCCTACCTCAGCCTCCCGAGTGGCTGGGACTACAGGCGCCTGCCACAATGCCCGGCTAATTTTTTGTATTTTTAGTAGAAACGGGGTTTCAACATGTTAGCCAGGATGGTCTCGATCTCCTGACCTCATGATCTGCCCACCTGGGCCTCCCAGAGTGCTGGGATAAACACATTCTTATTCAAAATAAAACTGAGGCTAGGCTGTCGGAATCTGTTAGACTCACTCTGCATTCCAAGATTTTTCAGGTGACTGAAGTCATCTCTCCAGACATAAAGCCCAGACATCAGTATAAGGCACCTCTAAGAGCTCTGCCTTGAGACCATTTCCCTGTGAAGGGCCAGAGTGTTCCATTTCCAAATGGGGAGGTACATCCATAAAGGGGGCCACCCGAGGGAGGAAGAAGGGCCTGCCTTTATGGCCTGTTCAGATGAGCCTGGAGGAAATAAACAAGTTATTTTGCTTCTCCACTCATGTGCTCTGACCCGAAGCCAGCAGGGAAAGTCCTTAGAATTCAGTGACTAATCAGATGATGGGCCATGAAACACACCCCTGAATGTCATCAGAGTCCAGGCATTTGCACCGGGAATCCAGAAATAAGCTGTCACCAGAGGGACGTGTGCCCTCTGGAAATAATTTCCAGAACATGTTTCATAATCCCGGGCCCGGTCGGTCGGAGCGAGCCAGGAGACAAGGAAAGGTCAAAATACAGCCGCTGATCCCAACTTGCCCAGCCTCATCTCCTCCTGCTCGGCACTCTCCTCCCGCCCAGCTCCCTGCACAAGCTGTCCCATGCTTGCTCCTGCAACTGAGCCTCCCAGTCCTTTCCAATCAACCACCAGGAAAGCCAACTGTCCCGGTACCGGGGCCCTGATGTGACTTCACTATTGCTAAGGGCAGAACTCACACCTCTGTCAGGAGACGCTGTCATCACTTCCTCGACTTGCCTTGAACGTGTTTTGAGAAACTGTCAAAAATTAATGAGTAGTTTATTCACCAGATGTTTAGATGTCAAATAATGCTGGGACTTAATTCTGCACTTATCAAATATAACTGAATTGAATGACATGTTTTAAAATAACTTTTCTTTTTAAATATTGCCTTGGTGTAGAAAATGGAAATGACATTTTTAAGTGAACAGATAAGAATTCCTCCTGAAGGATGCGCATGTTAAAATAATCCTCTAAAATATAAAGCTTACTATGATTTTATTTATATTCTTGAGTGCTTTCTGGTTAGGACAAAGGGTTTGGCTACTGATAGGAATACAGACACTCAGTGAGTAGATTTATCAAAAGCAGTACTTTTGGAACCCTTTTTGATGGAGATCTAGGAATCCAAAGTGAATTTCTTAATCCAAGCCTGGATCCCCCCGCTAAAAACTACCAATAAAACAGGCTTTTATACAGCAGTTTGTATTTCCTATGGCAATGATCTCTATCCTATTGATGCAGTTGAAGGACTTGTAAATTGCCTAACAGCAAATAAATTATCCTTATTAGCCTTGTTTATTGAGCAGAATCATTGATCAAGTCAATAACTGATAAAGCAATGAGTGGGCTAATGTCACACAGGAATACCCACCTTCGGCAAATACAGGGCAGGGCTAAGTAACGGATTCCTTTCCACCATGAATTCAGTTATTACAGAAAGGATCTTAAAAACTGAGAATCTCAAACTCTCTGATTCTGGAAATTCACACACATACCAGTGAATGATTCACTTCACCACTGTAAGAAAATCAAATCTGGGAAAGATGCAGACTTGGTAATGAGTAATTGGGAATGAACAGATGATTATATAAAAGGGACAGGAAGGAGCAAGAGAACACTGTGTCTATTCCATCCTAACACGGGTGCTGGGCACTCCACATGCATTAGCTCACCCATCCCCAGAAGAACCAAACAGGAAACAACAGGTCTTCCTCACACCAGCCACAGGCCTCCCAAGGACCTGAGCACTGAAGGCAACAAGAAGAGGAGATGCGAGACATGTCATGAAGACATGTTCAGTGGCTGGCTAATTTCTCCCATGCATCTTTTCCACTATGTCTATGTTAACCATGGGGACCGGGGAGTAGAATTGTTGTCTAATGGGTTATTCAGGCCAAGTAGACGGGGAAAAGCATGGATTCAGTCAACTGACAGGTAAACAAGTACTTATTACGCACCAGCACCATCACTATGCTTGAGATTCCAGAAGGAATCCCACCTTGGTCGCTGCACTGCCCCAGACCTTACTCATTTCAGAAGATACAACAAATAATCACACTTTCTGTCATATTTAATTTGTACTATGGTCTGAATGTTTGTGTCCCTCCAAAATTCATATGTTAGAACTGAATATCCAGTGTGATAGGACCAAAAGACAGGGTCTTTGGGGAAATGATTCAATCATGAGGGCAGAACTCACAACTGACTGTCAGTGCCTTGATCTTGGATTTCCCAGCCTCCAGAACAGTGAGCAATAAATTTCCATTGTTTGTAAATTACCCAGTCTAAGGTATTTTGTTACTGCAGCCCAAATGGACCAAGACAATTCACTAAAACGAACTGCCTCGATTTCACATTTGACTTTGCTCTTAGAAATACAGATAGAAGATAGGTGCGGTGGCTCACGCCTGTAATCTCAGCACTTTGAGAGGCAGAGGCGGCGGATCTCAAGGTCAGGAGTTCGAGACCAGCCTGGCCAATATGGTGAAACCCTGTCTCTACTAAAAATACAAAAATTAGCTGGGCATGGTGGCAGGCACCTGTAACCCCAGCTACTCAGGAGGCTGAGGCAGGAGAATCCCTTGAACCCAGGAGGCAAAGGTTGCAGTGAGCCAAGATCATGCCACTGAACTCTAGCCTGGGCAACAAAGTGAGACTCCATCAGAAAGTAAGAAGAAAAGAAAAGAGAAGAAAAGAGAAGAGAAGAGAGGGAGGGAGGGAAGGAAGGAAGGAAGGAAGGAAGGAAGGAAGGAAGGAAGGAAGGAAGGAAGGAAGGAAAGGAAGGAAGGGGAAGGTAGGTCAGATAGAAAGAAATAACATCCAGGTTTAAAAATAAAAACTAATCTCTACATCTATGGTTGAAACAACTAAACAAGAGGTTTTAGTCTTGTTTCCTAAGAGAAATTACACAGGAGGCAATAATGTGATTATTTTATTAATAGCTGTGTTCAGGGGCCACTATGTTCTAAGGCTGAGGGCAGAAAGGCATGGAGTCTGAAAAATAACCTTATTTTGGTAGATGTGATAAAGAATAAACTGTCTACATTTAAAGCAGGAAAGTTGGTGAGTTTTGAAAGATGTTTACACTCTTAAAATCACCACAACTAAGATGCAGAACATTTCCAACAGCCACTGTAAATACACCCACTCACCCTCCTCATCTCAGGCCCCTCTGCGGCCACAGGCCACCACTGCTCTCTCTGTCACCACGGATTCGTAAAGGCAGGAGCTTTAATGGTAGAGTTTTCTAAGGAAAAACAAACAAAAACAATACCTCACCTGACTTCTGCCTGAAGGCTTCTCAGCTGAGGGGAGGTTACAGCATGTATGTGTGTCATTTGCTCATCGGTATACAACAGTAGCAGGTGACAGGGCTTTTGAAAAACGGAAGACAGTCATAGACTGTCAATAGACGATAGTCAATAGAACCTGTTTTCCTCCAACCAACGATAGTCAATAGAACCTGTTTTCCTCCAACCAACCACCTACTGCAGTCTCTGTTTTTATGACATACAAACAACGCAGCCCAGAGCCATTCCCTAAGTAAACACAGCTCATAATCCAGGTCTACACTTGTCCATCTGTGTACTAGGAATCTATAAGGCATCTTCAAAGAAAAATTAAATAAATAAATGTAATACATTACTCTCAAAAGTCAAAGGGGATGTCTCAGCAATGTGAAAGGATGTCAGAACTAGCTCTGGAATTAGCTGCAGACAGTTCCATGAAACTCCTACTGACTTCTTAACAGAACAGCCACTACCTCTACGGTGCTTTCATTCATGTATTAGTGCTCATCGCTGGATCTGCTTTATTGATGTATAACTGACCTACAATAAACTGCGCATAAGTTTTAACGTTTGATAACTTTTGACAGAGCTATACAGCCATGAATCCAGCACCAAAATCAACATAATCAATACCACCATCACCTCCCATAGTTTTCTGGTACCCCTTTTAATGCTTCCCTGCACCATTCCTTCCCTTCCAAGACAAGAACGGGTCTGCTTTGTCACTGTAGATTAGTTTGCACTTTTAGAATTTCATACAAATGGAATCATACAGGATGTACTCTTTTTTATCTGGCTTCTTTTATCCAGCATAATTACCTTGAGATTCTTTCATGTTATTTGATTTGTATCAATAATTCACTCACTTTTATTGTTGAGCAGTATTCCACCATATGGATATACCACAATTTATTTATGCACTCACCTCTGCTGACAGATAGTTTCGGCTATTACAAATAAAGCTGCCGTGAACATTTACATGCGGACCTGTTTTCATTTCTCTTAGCTAAATATCTAAGAGAGGAAGTTGTTGAATCACATGGTAGTTGTATATTTATCTTTTTAAAAAAACTGCTAAACTGGGCCAGGCAAGGTGACTCACGCCTGTAATCCCAGCACTTTGGGAGGCCAAGGCAGACTGATCACATAAGGTCAGGAGTTCGAAACCAGTCTAGCCAACATGATGAAACCCTATCTCTAGTAAAAATACAAAAATTAGCCGGGTATGGTGGTGCACGCCTGTAATCCCAGCTACTTGGGAGACTGAGGCAGGAGAATCACTTGAACCCAGGAGGCGGAGGTTGCAGTGAGCCGAGATCGCGCCATTGCACTCCAGCCGGGGCGACAGGGAGAGACAACATCTCAAAAAAAAAAAAAAAACTGCCAAACTGTTTGAGAAAATGGTTATACTATTTGATATTCATTCTCACCAGCAATATATAAGAAGAGTTCCAATCACTCCACATCCTCACTAACACTTGGTATGGTCAGTCTTTTTTCCATTTCATCCATTCAAATCGGCATAGTGGTATCTCATTGTGGTTATAATTCGCCACTTTACTGACTAATGATGTTGAGCATCTTTTTATGTGTTTATTTTCTTTGTTGAAGTGTCTGTTTAAATCTCTTGGATTTTTTATGGGTTTGTTTATTGCCAAGTTTTTTTTTTTTTTTTTTTTTGGAGACGGAGTCTCACTCTTGTCACCCAGGCTGGCATGCAGTGGCTCCATCTTGGCTCACTGCAACCTCCGCCTCCTGGGTTAAAGCAATTCTTCTGCCTCAGCCTCCTAAGTAGCTGGGATTACAGGCGCCCACCACCACACCAAGCTAATTTTTGTACTTTTAGTAGAGACGGGGTTTTGCCGTGTTGGCCAGGCTGGTCTCCAACTCCTGACCTCAGGTGATCCGCCTGCCTCAGCCTCCCAAAGTGCCGGGATCACAGGCATGAGCCACCATGCCCAGCCTATTGCCAAGTTTTAATAGTTCTTTATACATTCTGGAAAAAATGTATTTTATCAGATATATGATTCACAAATATTTTCTCCCAATCTATGCCTTGACTTTTCATTCCCTTAGCTATGTCAGTTAAACATCAAAGGTTTGTCATCTTGATCAAGTCCAATCTATCAAATTTTTCTTTTGTGGATCATCCCAATAATATTGTATCTAAGAAATCTTTCCCTAACCTGGGGTTATGAAGACTTTCAGCTGTGTTTTCTTCTAGGAGTTTATGGATTTAGGTTTACATTTAGGCCCATGTTCCCTTTTGAGTTAATTTCTGTTTGTGGTACAAGGGATGGATCAAAGTTCATATTTTTGCATACGGGTATTAAATTTTCCTAGAACTATTAGTTGGAAAGGTGATCCATCCTTTTACCAATGAGCTGCCTTTGAACCTTCGTTGGAAATTAGTTGTCATGCATGCGTGTGTCTATTTCTGGACTCTCTGCTTTGTTCCACTGATCTATTTACTGCACTGTCTTGATGACCACAGCTTTATAATAAGCCTACTCACTGTGTTTTAGCCAATAAGCAAAATGAGGCCTAGAATGCTGAACTGCTTTGTTCAGACTCCAAAGTTTCTTCCACTGGGGCCACATTATCTCCTAAGGTTTTACTCTTTTACAAATAGGAACAAAATGTATGCCAAGAAAACAATTAGCTTATGTGACAACATATGAAAATACATTTTACTAAAAATACAGCCTTATTTTGAGAGGAAAGCAGGCTTCAAATCAATTAAAAATAAGCTTTGAATAACAGCAAAGCAACACATTTCAATTGCAAAAGCACAGCTCACCTCTCCAGTATGTGGAGAGTCCTGTGAATCAGGGCTACTTCCAGCTCGGGTTCCCCTACAAGCTCTTCCAGCTCCAATCCTCAAATTCTGCTTGCTTCCTCATTCTTGCAATGTGATGAAAACATTTTAAAATTCTTGTTTGAAATTCCTAACCATACCTTTATTTTCCTAAATACTGTTTAAGAAGCTATGAGCTGGGGAAAGATATGCACTGTTTGATATGGGATATGGTAGAATGCTGAGGTGAAGCCCATTGGTGTTAGAGGGGGAGAGAGGCAGGAGTGAAACCCATCAGTCTGGCCAAGTCCCTTAAGGAAGCTTTGGTGTCCTTGTCTTTGAAAGGGGGCTGCTAATTCCTGCCTCATGGAATTGTCTTGAGGATAAATTAGGTAATACGCAGAAAGCATTCAGCACAGTGCCTGGCAAATACTAAGCACTAAGAGAGGACAGTTAATTCACAGTTTAGCAGCAGCAGCAGCAGCAGCATCCACTATCCTCCCCTTCCCTGGGTGCCCCTCACTTGACTCCAAGCTCCCTGTCAGCTTCCTTTGATTCCTAGGAGGCTTTAAGTTGCTTCTGTTCCTGGGAACGTCTTGGTTCCTGTTCCTAGCATTTCTTTCTCTCAGCTTCCATAAGATGCCCCAAGTCCAAATAATAATTCCTCCTTTGTTGATGCTAGACCGAGGGCATTTCTGTCTGTTGTCAGCACAGAAGCTTCCTCAGAAAGAAGGGTAAATTAGCTCTTCAGAGCCACCGTTCCATGTGTCCAGGATGCTTCTCCTCCAGGGCACTGAGCACAGTCACTCTAGGTAGCTAGGGAAGGAGAAGGCATGCTGGATGGGAGGCAGTGCTGGGTTACAAGAGGCAGCATGCCGTGCAGATGTGAGCTAAACCCTTTCCCTTTCCATGAGAGAATCCCGATTTTATGCCTGCACCAGTCATATAAAGCAAAGAGGTGAGATACAATGATTGAAATCCCAAGAAAGAAACAAACATGAAAAAGAAAACAATTTCCTTTGGTCTATCTGTTTTTCCACTGCACAAATCTTGAAATTTTATATCTTTTTTTTTTCTTACACAGGGTCTGTCTCTGTTGCCTAGGCTGGAGTACACTGACATAAACACAGCTCACTGCAGCCTCAAATTCCTGGGCTTGAGTGATCCTCCCACCCCAGCCTCCCAAGCAGCTGGAACCACAGGCGGTGTACCACCATGCCCAGCTAATTTTTCGTTTTTTGTAGCAACTTGGCCTTGCTATGTTGCCCAGGCTGGTCTGGGACTCCTGGCCTCAAGCCATCCTCCTGCCTTGGCCTCCCAAAGTGCTGGGATTACAGGCACGAGCCAATGCACTGGGCCAAAATTTTATATTATTGAGATAAATGTCTGACTTTAGAAAAGAGTAAGTCATTAGAAGCAACATGTTGCCCCAAAGATGCTGTGATAGTAGAAATAGGAGACACATGCTTATAACAGGTGGTTAGAAAACAGGAATAAAATAGGGTGCTGATTAAATACAAATAAAAATTGGTGCCAGATTCCAATTTTGAAATATTAATCAGTGTGTACAAAATAAATGTGGTGGCCTTCTTCAGTCATCCCTCCCCCTCCTACCTTTTTTCCTGCTTTGTCTTAAAATCATCATTTCAATGAGCAAAACAGAAATCTATCTAAATATCACCATGGACTTGTTCCCTTCATGGCCTGATGAACCAATGAAAACTTCTGATGATGATGTAATACTTACAGCTATTTTTATTCTGGTGGCACAGACTCTCTCTTTATGTAGAGCAAATAGCAACAGAATCTCTTTAGAGTTACTTCAAAGGTGAATTCCACAGCTTCAAAGCCCAACCATGGACAACTCTCTTGTTATTTCTACCACCTCTCTGATATCAGAGACCTTTTCCCCATGTTCTGACATCAACGGAAATACAACAAAATCTTGACACAATGCGAGGGACCGTTCTATAGGTCCGGCAGGGTCTGCCTTCTGCAGAGCAGGTATTTAATAAACAATGGAAGTCTACAGCTCAAGACACCCACAGGGAAGGTGGCCCCAAAGTTTAAGCAGGAATCTAAAACAGCAGCTTTGTCAGAGACCGACAGGGTGACTGTGGAAAGTGTCACCTCCTTTCTCTACTCACAACCAAAGTGTTTCATACCATTACAAATATCACAAGAAATTCAAGGGAAGAATTTCAGAGTCAGGCCCAAGATAAGAGCTATTTTATCCGAGGAAAACATAGATGACTAATGAACTCCTGAACAGAAAACAGGGGTATTTGGTTTCTTCCAAATAAAAATAAAACCTTTGGTACATTCCACATTCCCTTTCAACCATCTTCCCGCAGAGCCTGGAACTGTTGGCGCTCTTAACTTTTGTTGAAAACCATGAGTATTAGCAACAATGGGAATTTAATTTATGGCCCAAAAATAAATAACTTATGTTTCAGTAGCATTGATTTAGGCTGCAGAAACAGGCGTGAGACTTTGCCAAAGAATATATCTGATTCTTCCAAGTTCCCCTTTCAATGTGTACAATGAGGCCCTTCTATAAATATAAAGGTACATGATGTGTTCAGTCATGTAACGGCAGGTTTTACAAACCCCTTTAGCTCTGAATATGTGAACACGCACACATATAACATTTTAACGTCAAATCTGCCAACAATTTTATAATCTGATGTTATTAGTGGGTAAAACTGTTCTGGTTTTGAAAGAGGGAGAAATAATCAGGTATTGAGTACATTCTTTGAAATTAATGCTGGATAAAATTAATAATTATGGTAAAAAAAATTCAAGCAACACCAACAAAACACTGAGGGTTAGAAGAACGTATTTAAAGTAGCCATCTTTAAAAATAAATGGGGAGATTGGACTTATAAGCTTATATCCTATAAGTACATAAATATATATATATCTACACATCAAAAACTATTCTCAAGAGCTTTGAAAGACACTAAATACAAAATAAAAACACACAACTCTATGAAATAAAGAATTCCTACCTAATAATGTAAAAAAATTCATATCAGATTAAATTATAAGACTCATTTCTTTACTCTCTTATAGTAGTGTTATACGTCCATACTCTCACCATGGCCTTGTGTGGCCAAAGGTATTTTTCCCTTCTTGGCTTTGGACTTGGCCATGTGACTTGCTTAGGCCTCCTGGTTATCAGCAGGTGGAGGCGTGAAATGTACCTGAGTTACTGGGTTTGTGCTCTTATGCCCCTCCTGCCTTTGTCCATGAGAATAACACACTTTAAGTAGCCTCTGGTCCAATGAGGCTGAAAGACTGTGGAGTAAGCTTGGATGCAACCCAAATCTTAAAGCCAAGTCCAGCCTAAACCAGCTGAACCCCAGTTGATCCACAGAAACATAAGCAAGAAATAAATGTGCATTGTATGACACCGAGATTTTATGCTTGTTTACTGTAACCTAGCCATACCTGGCCATACTCAGTCCTTACACAATAAAAAGAAAAGTACAACAAATGAGGGAGTCATAATGTATTCATTATTAATGTGGTTTCTGTTTGGTTTCCCATGAACAGCTGATTAAGAAAAATGTAAAGGATCTTGAGAATACTGTTATAACCTTCTTGACTGAAAATATTTTAAACAGATACACCTTACTATTTTGTCTGGATTCTCTCCTTCTATAACATAAATGAGGAGCCATAATCAATCAGACACCAGGGTGGTGAGGGGAGCGTGAGCAGGACTGCTTAGCAGAACTGTGAGAAATAAATATCTGTTATTTAAGCCACCCAATCTATGGTATTCTGTTACGGCTGCCTGAGCAGACTAAAATCAAGAGAATCCCAGGCCAAGAGGCCATGCAAAATCTAGGTGGTGAGTACCAGCAGTGTCACTGACACAGTAGCAGAGCTGAAAGCCCTGTCCAAGCAGCCTCATCATCTTCTCACTGGCCTCACCCTATTTCTCAAAATCACTTGCTTGCCAGAGAAGAGCTTTTTTTCTATTCCAGAAATCAGTTGGCAGTATTTAGAGGAAAAGCTTTCTCTTGAATTTAGCTACCTTTCTGATACTGATAAAATTATCGATCCCATATTCTAACCAGCTTGAGGAAATTCATTTATTACAAGCTGTGTATTCCTTCACTGTTGGAGGACTGTCATGCCTTCATCAAAGAACAAGACGAATTTATAAGCAATGTGTAGCTAACTTTCTAAGTGCTCTACACAGAGAGCACAAACAAACTCCTCAAACTGGGATCACTTCCCCCCCTATTTCCACTAGGGAAGTAGAAATGGTCCATCTCAATCACCTATGTATTTATTGAACCGCTCATATATTAATATAAGTAAAACTGTGGAGAAAGGTGGGCTTTTCTATTCCTGTTTAATAAAAACTTGGGATAGTCCTACTTTGACCCCCTAGATCAGTTTCAGGCCTATTTCTCAATTTAAAAATAAAGTTTCTGTTCCATTTAGACATTCTCTCAATTACTGAGTCTTCATTATATATTCCAAGCATGATACATCCATTAAAATCCCTTGGAAGCAAGATTATTTCATCCAAACTTAGCCCCAGGGGAACAAAAGTATTTAAATGTGCAATTTATTCAACATAAACAGCAGTTCTGACTTGAGGATGTTCAGCTTAATAAGCTATGGAATTCAGTTTTCGTGCCACAGCAGATGACTCCTGAGTCATGATTGAAAATATCACTCATTTTAATAAAGATTGTAATAACTGGCCCCCCAAAATAAGGAAAACATCAAAAACAATCTAGAACATGTATTTTCTGTGTTCGTGAAAATATGATGCAAAATCTGAGGTCTGTAGTCCAGGAGAAGTAAATAGTGAAAGTACTGCTCGGGCGTTAAAGTGACATGAGATGGCTCTGAATGTTATAGTTTAAAAATACTCTCCAAGAATACAAGCCAAATGACTGCAGGATTATAAGTCCTCTCTCCCAGTTGTTCAGGTATTAAAAACAGGCACAAGTAAGAATAACCTTCAACAGAACTAATAAACAGCACGTGAGTAATAATGCAATACACCCCAGTGAGGATACTACACCATGACACCCCAGTGAGGATACTACACCATGTATCTTTTCCTCTTTTTGCCAAATACCTCTAAATAATAATGTCGACTTCCTTCCTTCTGCATAGTCCCTCCTCTTTAAAATTTAAAAAAAAAAAAGCGTTAAAGGAAATATGATTTAAATGTCAAATTAAGGGCACATTCTTGGGTTCCTCCCTTAGAAGCAATGCTCTCACTGCTGGAGGTACTGATGGTGCCTAGAATTCAACTTCCCCAGCTGCCATTACAGCATCTGCAGTTACTTAATGCTATCGTCAATTTTCCAATATTTATGGATGATGAGCCACGCCCATCATCTGCCAGTCCACCTGTCCCCCAGACATAACTCTGCCCCCTTGTGGCAGATCAGACTCTACTGCAAGCTGCCAGGCTGCATGCAGAAAACACTGCCTGGTGGACAAAAGCCATCCAGCCCTGCTGCATGCTTCTTCCCCTTCACCTACAGAGTCAGCTCTCACTATTTTGAAAACAAAACCAAACAAAATAAAACCGAGCTGCTCCCTACTCAGAATAATCAAAAGACGGGAACAACCTGAATGTCCGTCAACTGATGACAAAGCAAAATGTGGTCTATCCAAATGATGGAATAGTATTCAGCCATGGAAAGGAATGTAGTGCTGATAAGAGCTGTAACATGAATCAACCTTGAAGATATTATGCTAATTCATATGTTGCATGATTCCATTTATATGAAATATCCAGAATAGGGCAAATCCATAGAGGGGGAAGCAGTGGTTGTCAGGAGCCGCAGGGAGGAGGATACGGGAATTGACTGCTTAATGGTTACAGAATTCCTTTTGGGGTGATGGAAATGTTCTGGAACTAGACAGTGGTGATGGTTGCACCACCTTGTAAATGTACAAAATGTCACTCAGGGTAAATTTTATGTTATATGCATTTTATCACAATTTTTAAAAATAACAACAAAAGCCATGCTACTCTTTTCCCGGTCACTGTTTCATTTTTCTCCATTCATTTACCAGCAATATTTTCCAAACTGTGATTCACACTACCTACCTCCATTTTCTCAGCCCTCATCTCATCCTCAGGCCCTTGAATTTGGTTTTTCACTCCTAAAAAGCTCCTTCCCCTCCTCCTCCACACATATAAACAAAAAAACATGGAGAACTGTTGATAAAGGCCTCCAAAAACATTTTTATACAATCCAGTGACTTTCCCTGGTGCTCTTAGAACCCAGTTAATGCTGACTCCTTAAAACACTCTTTTTCCCTGGCTTCCAAGCATGGCATCTTCATGACTCTTCTTGACTACCTTGGCCATGTTGGTTCATTTTTCATCAAACCTTCTTATTTCTACTTGCCCAGTAAGGACATTCTCCCAGGCCCATTCTTGGCTCCCTCCCAAAAATGTTACCACCCCATGTCACTCTAGCCCTCCTTGTTTCAGGATAAGCTCTCCCACAAATCAGGGTCAAACTTCATTCTTTCATAGATGGAGACATGAGTTGGAAAAACTGCCCTCTACATTTCCAAATCAAAGCTGGTTCTTTCACATCATAAGAAATACTAGATTAGTTTCCTATTCCTGCTGTAACAAATTACAAATTTAGTGTCTGAACACCACAAAAATCCATCATCTTGCAGTTCTGGTGGCCAGACTCTAATCTGGGTCAGCTGGGATGCATTCCTTTCAGAGGCTCTCGGGGAGATGGTGTCTCCTGGCTTCTTCCAGCTTCTAGAGGCCACCTGTTTTCCTTCACTCATGGTCCCTAGCTCCATAGTCACAGCCTGCAGCCTCGCATTGTCTCTCTTTGACCTGCCTCCTTCCTAAAAGAACCTTTGTGATGACATGGGGCCACCTGGATACTCCAGGATCATCCACCCATCTCAAGATCCTTGATCCCATCTGCAAAGTCCCTCCTGCCATCTGAGGTCATGTATTCACAGGTTCTGAGTTACGGTATGGACTTCTTTGGTGTGGATGGGACTATTCAGCCTGCCCCAAACACACAATGGTGTGGAAGACGTTCTTTAGCAGCTACTGCTCTTGTACACTCTTCTAACAAGCAGGAACCTTTGCCCTCAGTATTTAACAGGTTAATTTATGCCTGGGAGCCAACAACTCACTAATACCCCCTCTTTCCACACAATCACTTGCAAATTAAGTTATTTTCTAGGATTCACAATTCAAGATGATCTGGAGTCCTCAAGAAAAGGAAAATACTAAGTCAAAAGACTAAGTCAAAGAGCAAGGAGGGAAGGAAAGACTTTGGAGAGCACAAGATAAACAACATTCAAAAGATTTTATATAAGACAGTGGATAGAAACAAACAGTAAAAGGGTCATGAACTCAAAGTACCATTTAGTTCTTAGAGACCTCACAGATGCTTAGCTTGTTTGTCAACTAAAAAACACAACCATTTGTCATTGATTCATGTCATTCATTTGTGAATTTCCTGCCCACCCCCACTTTCTCTGTCATATTCTCCATTGATCTATCCTTCAATCACTTCTCTTAGTTAGTCCCTGTTAATTTTTTTCACTCCCCCTACTACTCTAAAACATATGAGTATCCATGCACACCTGTGCACACAGGTACAGGTATAGAAGTCACCTTTCATCGGACTTTCTTCTTGTAACTAGAACAACGTTAATGCTTTTGCCCTGCTGGAATGTGTAGGTACTAATCACACTTTGGAGCCACACGGCTGGGTTCTGCAGTAGCCAAACTATTCTTAGCTTCTCTGAAACAGATGTCCCATCGCTCACACCCCCTCTAGTGGCAGCCAGCCCTAGAACAGGGCTGAGCATGCACAGACTAAAGACAAAAAAACCTCCCAAGAACTCACAAGAATATTTCCATGCTAGGTGTCACAGCCCTTGTATTGGTATAAATTTTACACAACCTTTCAAATATACAATATTCTGGCTTTGGGAACTGTTCACTTTAAGCATTAGGCATCTACCTTTTTCCTTTAAATGACCATTTGTACTGCCATATCGTAAACTCAGAAACAGAAACAGTGCACACTATGGAAAAAAAAATCCAAAGTCAGTGCAAAAAGAGCAGATAAATAAGTTGTGATATAGTCCACATGATGGAATATCGTACAGCCACAAAATATGAATGAACTACAGCTATACACAGCAACACAACTGATCTTTTTAAAAAACGTGTAAGAAAAAAAAACACTAGTCCTAGAAGAGCACATAAATATGGTACCATTTTGATACACCTCAAAAACAAAAACTTTATTTAGGGATACATATATGTGATTTAAATATATAAATATTCATACTTGGTTTAAATATATACATGTTTATATTTTGTTTAAATATATATCTATACTTTGAATATATAAACATTTATACCTTGTTTAAATATATAAATATTTAGATTAGATTTTGTTTAAATATATTTAGATTTTGTTTAAATGTATGAATATTCATATTTCATTTAAATATAAGCGCGGCTTTTTTTTGAAAAGCAAATGAATGAGGAGCACAAACTTCAGGACCATGCTTGCTTCTGGCAGGCAGCAGGACGGGGTGGGCGGGGGAGCAACTGTATCAGTCCTGATTGGATAATAGGTTCATGTATATTCATTTTATTATGTTTTACAACTTATATATATATTACAAATATCATTCAGTATATTCAATATGATCACTAACATGTACCTAAGGAACATATACAGGTAGGCCGACAGACAGACAGACCTGCCCACTGACAGAACCCAGGGATAGGTTGTTGAAAGAGAGCACGATATTCTCTCAGATTCCCTCTTGTTGTCCAAAGACTACAGTTCGGACCATGAGGATAAGATTTAAATCTTATTCTGGATAATGCAAAGAGTTTCCAAATCTTGAAACATTTTTGGGTTTACACCTAAGTCACCAGAATATGCATTCAACCCTGTCACTTGTACCTGGAGGCTGAACCTTTGAGCTTGCCTCTGAGCCTCAAAAAGCAAGAATTTAAGAACTTTGATCTCACCTGACCTTGGAAATAAATCATTTTTCTTCACCCCAATCCTGTGAGACTTTGTGTCAAAAGACACTCGGCCTGGCTGGGCCCCCCACCTGGAATGATGCTGACATTTCCGAGGCTGGAACCTCTCCGTTGAGCCTCGCTTGTTTCTCTGGACTTTGTCCCTGACCTTGGATTCCTATGACTGGGCCGTGCCAGTCTCTCTCCTGTAACCAGCGCCTGCCTCTCCACAGCAGCTTGGGAGCCGGAGCCCTGGGCACTCAGGTGAACTAAATGCCAGGTGCTGCTGCCTGCAGAGTGCTGGTTGTCACCTCCCCACATTCACCCTGCCTGCGGGCACACCCTCTTTTTCATTGAATGTCTTTTGTTTCCCCTCTTGATAAAAGAATGTTCATTATAGGAAAAATAATGTAATAAGGGTGAACAAAATCAAGAAAATAAAAAACACTTATATTCCCCTCACCCTGAGATAACTACATTTATGTACCAACATACAATTATGATGTACTGCGCATATACCTCACTGCGCTTACTTTAAATCTACAATTTTTGATACAAAATTAACAATAAAGGATGATCTTTCGTGTCCCTATATATTCTTCTACAACATGATCTTTATTGGCTACATAATATTCCACTGATCCCAGTCACTATGGCTACATACCATGAATAACAAAATAAAACAAAACTTACTGGTATAACACAATGGTCACCCTCACACAAGCCCGGGCCTTGGGGCCTTTGCACTCCCTGTTCCTGCCGCCTAAAAGCTCTTCATACAGACGCAATCTGCAAACTCACCTTCAAGTTCTTGTTCAAAAATCTCCAGTAACATCTTTCCTGAGTGCCACATTACAAACTGGACTCTCCCTGGCCCCTCACCACTCCCTACTCCCTCTTCTGCTTTAGTTGCCACTCAACCCATTTCACCATCTAACATCATATTGCAGTAATTATTTTCTGACTCACTAACTAGAATATAAACTCTACAAGGACAGGGTTGTCTATTTATTAATTTATTTTTATTTTTGAGACAGAGTCTCACTCTGTGACCCAGGCTGGGGTGCAGTGGCGCAATCTGGGCTCACTGCAACCTCCATCTCCCAGGCTCAAGCAATTCTCCTGCCTCAGCCTCCCAAGTACCTGGGACTACAGGCGTGAACCAACACACTCGGCTACATTTCTGTATTTTAGTAGAGACGGGGTTTCACCATGTTGGCCAGGCTGGTCTCAAATTCCTGAGCTCAGGCAATCTGCTTGTCTCAGCCTCCCAAAGTGCTGGGGATACAAGCGTGAGCCACCACACTTGGCCTGTTTTTACATTTTTTCCCTTTCACAAATGCTGAGAAGATGGTCTGACAATAAAGGTACTCAATAAATTTCTGTTGAAAGGATGGACGAATGAACAAACACATATGTCATTCTACAAAAAGACTGCAACAAAATAAACTAAAAATTGGAAAGTGAGTTTAATTTCTAGGTGATGAGTCTCTAAGTGATTTGGGTATTCTTCTGTGTAGTTTCCTTTATTTTTGATTTCCTAAATTAGCACTGTATTACCTTTACAATTGGGGAAAAATTAAAGTTATTTTATAAATGCTACTAGGCAAATATGACTACAAGTAACAATGTTTGGGGACTATAGATAAATAAATAATAAGAGAAATAGATTTCTAACCACCTGCAAAATCTTAATTTGTATTCATATAACTGCAACACAGCATAGGATGAGTTAAGAGAAATGTTAACTACTAATCATTTTTTCTTTTATAATTTAAATTTATTGACGCAAGCATGCTATTAGGTAACAATTATTCTAGCCGAGTTATTTTCCATATTTATAAATGAACTTCACGCATTTCAAATCCATAATAACTCAGGATCTGCTAACTAATCAAACCTAATAAACCTGGGGTTATGAGAATCTGAAAACACTGATAAAACCATCAGAGTTTTACCTTTCATTTGTTATCAAGCAGCTGTGTAGGCCCAAGGCACTGCCACAGGAAACACCTTTTTTTTTTCTTTTTTTTTTTGGAGACAGAGTCTCGCTCTGTCGCCCAGGCTTGAGTGCAGTGGCGTGATCTTGGCTCACCACAAGCTCCGCCTCCCAGGTTCACGCCATTCTCCTGCCTCAGCCTCCGGAGCTGGGACTACAGGCACCCGCCGCCACGCCCGGCTAATTTTTTTGTGTGTATTTTTAGTAGAGACGGGGTTTCACTGTGTTAGCCAGGATGGTCTCGATCTCCTGACCTCGTGATCCTCCCGCCTCAGCCTCCCAAAGTGCTGGAATTACAGGCGTGAGCTACCGAGCGAGGATGAAGTAGCCCCAAAATAATGAAAAATGGGTGACTGAACTCATGTTCAATCAGATTGTCATAAAATTACATTAACTTAAAGGAATGTCAAAAACGATCCTGAACAACAAAAATTATAAATTATAAGAAAATATAACATTGAATATCTTTTGCTTAGGGAGTTCTGAGTATTACATCATTGATAAGTTACCTAATGTCCACTGCTGCCAGACCCACCTAAAATCCTGGATCCCCTAGTTTCCTGTTTTGACTTGACAAATCTGAATTTAAGGAGAACATGTTGCCTGTGAAAGGAATATGCAATCAGGTACGGGTCTGAAAAACGTATCACCCTCATCAACAGAGCAACTAGGATACGATACGCACCTCTTGTTTCATTTTATTTTTTTTGAGATGGAGCTTCGCTCTGTCACCCAGGCTGGAGTACAGTGGCACCATCTTGGCTCACTGCAACCTCCACCTCCTGGGTTCAACTGATTCTCCTGCCTCAGCCTCCCAAGTAGCTGGGAATACAGGCGCCCGCCACCATGCCTGGCTAATTTTTGTGTTTTTAGTAGAGACAGGGTTTCACCATGTTGCCTAGGCTGGTCTTGAACTCCTGATCTCAGGTGATCTGCCCGCCTCGGCCTCCCATAGTGCTGGCATTAAAGTCATGAGCCACTGCACCCGGCCATCATTTTAGTGTCTCAAGAAATATATCCGTTGCTGTCCTGAAGATCCACGTCAATTTCCTAGAAGGCTCTTCCCTTGAACTTACATTCTAGGCACGTACTTACTTGAGTTAGATGGACTCTTGAGAGAAAAGAGTGGCCCTTAATTGTTCAGCATGAGACTTTTTTTTAAAACTCATAATTTTTTATGTAGGTACACCACTGATGGTAAGAAATAATAACTACAGTTCTCCACATCCTTTTATTCCAAAACAGCTTTAAAACCTACTTCTAGTCTCTTGTTTCATATTTGTCTTCAGTGGATCTAATTTTCAAAGCACAAATTTAAAAAATTAACCACAGATTGGAAACTGCATGTAGAACTTGGAGAAACTTTCAGACCAAATCTGAGCAGCTCTGGCTAAGAGCTTGCTGTCAGTCAATGAATGGATCTGTTCTTTCTTCGGAGAGAGAAAGAAAAGGGCTTTGACTCTCTATTGTGCAATATATGACTGCAGAATTGTGCTCAATTATTATTTTTGAAAAAGGGAATAAAAGGCCCATTTGGGTTTTGATTTTGGCAGGGTACAGACTTTAAAACTGGTGCTTAGTTCCCAGGCTCGCCTAGGCCTCTTCAGCCAAAGATTTACCCAAGCACAGATAGGCTTACTTATAACGCGTATGTCCAGCATATTCTGAATTTAAGTGATTCTTTTGAGGGATGCTTTTTTAATTTAATCTAATTGCTATGGTTTGAAAGTCCCCTGCAAAACTCATGTTGAAATTTAATTGCCATCATGATGATATTAAGATGTGATTAAGACATGAGGGGTCTGCCTTCATGAATGGATTGTTTTTATAGCAGGAGTGGGTTAGTTACCATGACAGTGGGCTTGTTATAAAAGTGAGTTTGAGAAAAAACAAAATTTAAAAAAAGAAAGAAAAAACAAAAATTTTAAAAAGAAATAAGAAAAAAAATTAATGAAAAAAATAAAAGTGAGTTGGAGCTGAGTGTGATGGTGCATGACTGTAGTCTCATCTTCTCAGGGAACTGAGGCAGGAAAACTGCCTGAGCCCAGGAGTTTGAGGCTGCAGTGAACTACGATTGCACCACTGCACTCCAGCCTGAGTGACAGAGCGAGACTCTGTCTCTTAAAAAAAATAAAACAAACAACAACAAAGCGAGTTTGGCCCTTTCTTGCTCTCTCGGGTTCTCCTGCCCTTCCATCTTCACCATGGGATGACATATCAAGAAGGCCCTCAAAGATGCAGGCCCCTTGACCTTGGACTTCTCAGCCTTCAGAACTATAAGCAATGAATTTCTTTCCTTTATATATTGCCCAGTCTCAGATAATCTGTTACAGCAACACAAAACAGACTAAAACAACAATGTATCCTTCACAGCAAGATTTTCTTTTAAACTCATGAAGATGTGGCTCTCTGTCTATAGTTGTGACTGAACAGAAAACTAAAAAATACAGCTTTCAAATATGATGCCTTATTAACAAGGTTCCAGTCTTACTGTACAAGTTACAAGGTCCAGGTACAAGATTATAAAGTGCAAGTTACAAGGTGACTTTAAGACACATTAGAACAAATTCAAACTGTGAAGTCTAGTAGTTACAACACATGAATGTCAGAATTACTGTTACACTTAACATGGAGCGTGATTAAACCTCTTAAGCTATCAGGTAAACATTTAATGCTTTTTATTTGGGAATTCAGATCAGCCAATCTGTGGCTAATCCAGGCAAGTTTGAGATAAAGATATGAGTCATAAATATAAAAAATACATTTTTCTCACTAAGTTCCATTCCTTAGAGGAGACAATTTAGCAAACGCTAGATGACTTTCTACTTTTAAGAGTGACATAATGTTGTGCTCAAGGATTTAATGTGTTAGACATCTCTGATTTAAATGCTCCAATTTGTTCTGGGCCTATAAGCTGGGTGAACACCAAGGACTTGGGTTTTACAACCAAAGATTCTTGAATCCTTTCACCTTCCCACCTCCAACCCCTCCGCCTACTTGAAAGCATACAACCAACTAGAGCATTTTCACTGGCCATTTTCTGGAAGCCCACAAAACAAAAGAGCATTTCATTGCAAGAATCAGGGCCACACAACTGCTTCTCCTAAGAGTTTGAGAGATAGACAGGCTGAGGACGCCCACAATCTGACCAAGCTAGGGGCAAAAAAAACCTCAGGACCCCCTTTGCTAATCCCTGCTGGCTCTGGAAAGACTGACTCTGTTGAATCTGTGCTCTGCCTCTCAAGAATCAGCTCAAGGTAAGGCCATCAGATGCAATGGCCTAGCTGCAAGCTCGGGAAGCCCCATCCACTTCCTGCAGAGAGCACACCGCTAGGGGCATCTGGATTCCTGGAATATCTATCAGAAAATCCGATAGCTCTCAGCCATAATTTTCAGGTTTCAAGCTTTAGATGCCAAGGAAAAAATTGCTTTAAATTGGCACCAAACAATAAAACAAGATTCATGATGAGAATAACTTGTTCATCTGAGTTATAATGTACCAACTATTGAAGAAATTTTGAATGATTTGTTGTATGTAAAGTTATTTCTTTCTAATTTATAACATACTTGGAAAAACCTGGCCAAACTGAAAACAGTTTTATGTTTTTAAATGATGCTGTGCATACAGAAAAGGTCACATGCATACTTTCTCATTCGTTAAGAGGACTTTATTCAATCAAATGCTACAGTTTCATGCAGAAAGGAAAAACTATTATAATACTATGGATCAGGTTTCAATTCAGTGCTAGGAATGAACCATAAAGATGTCAATTTGGTTCTGTTGGCAGACAGCTCTATGTAAATCCTGTTCACAGATTGTAGAGTTAGTGTTTATTAAAGAAATAGGTCAAGCATGGGTCCTTCTCAGAACATACCCACTGAGAACCACATTTTCACAAAGGAATTTTCCAGGTACAAATATTGACATGTGAATGGCATATGACTAAAATTATCTAATGTTGATTGTTGATGAGGCCATCAGAAATTAGACCCTGGGTTTACCATTACATTCAGTGTGACATTTGTGAACTTTATGAATACTCTTTAAACATCCAGAAAAACCACACCTGCATAAGTGTACATATCTACTACCACGTTTATGCTAAATTTTGAAGGAAATACTTTAAGCTTAGTGTAGTTGACAAAAGCAATTTTTCCCAAAGAGTAAATGATAGTTTGTGATCTACATAACGAGCCATTAGGATTGTAGGGAAGGAAAGGAGAAGTTCCTTCTCAATGTAAAAGCTTAACAATGGCACTGTGAGTGGTGAATGGCCCACTATTTGATCCACTTTTTTTAAACAGTGAAATTAATGCTAGGAATGCTTCTTAAAGGTCATGAAACGCCATGGAAAAAAAGGCTTGGCTTATCCTGAGATCTAGCCCAATGAAGAAGGAGGAAAAATTAAGCCTTTCTGACTAACCTGAGAATCTCAGTTGTGTAGCCAAAGGGCAGTTGGAGGTGATTTCTAGCTCCTGCCATGTGAGGGGGAGGTTTCTGAGCTCAGCACCTGTGAATGTGGAGGTGAAAAAACCCTAATCCCACATGGCTCACATGAGCAAAAGAGCACCTCTGTCTGCCTTCAAAGATCTACTTATCAGTCACTGTATTTTGTTCTTGAAATAAAGTGTTCTTTAATTTTTCAGTGTTAAAAATATAAGCACTATCTAGTGCCAGATGCTAAGAATCACTGCAGACAACATATCGAATCATCAAAGAAATTCAAGGAATAAGTATGTAACTTCACATCTCCAATGTGGTAAATAGCATTACACATTGGAAACTGCAGTGGCCACACCGAGGAAAGTATCCCTTTGGTGTAAAAAGACAACAATATGAAAGGGACACATAAATCCCTCACATTGCACCATCATACACTTCTCAGGCTGTATGGGGTACTTGCAACAGTTCACTTGTACCTCCCATTAACCAGATGAAAACCTGAGGCCGAAAGAGAAGTGAAGTTGGCAGGACCACGAGCTGCAGGGTTGGGACCAGAATGAAAGTTAGCTGTACCTGGATATACACCTAACCAGTTCTAGAATGAATAAGACCCTTCCTATAAACGGTACTTCCCGCCGGGCGCAGTGGCTCACACCTGTAATCCCAGCACTTTGGGAGGCCGAGTCGGGCGGATCATGAGGTCAGGAGATCAAGACCATCCTGGCTAACATGGTGAAACCCCGTCTCTACTAAAAATACAAAAAATTAGCTGGGCATGGTGGTGGGCACCTGTAGTCCCAGCTACTCGGGAGGCTGAGGCAGGAGAATGGCATGAACCTGGGAGGTGGAGCTTGCAGAGAGCCAAGATCGCTCTACCACACTCCAGCCTGGGCGACAGAGCAAGACTCCGTCTCAAAAAATAATAATAATAAAATAAATAAAATAAAATAAAATACAAATACAAATAAATGGTATTTCCAGTAGCCTGCCTTCTCTGGGACATGTGAGCACTTCCCCAAAGGAGAGAAATAGCCTAAGTCTAACAAAAGCCCTAGAATAGGGAGCTTCTCACTCCGTAACCAAACCTAACAGTTAGCAAAGTATGTCCTTCGGTTCTGCTGTGCTAATATTTTTTCCAAATCATCATTAAACACTCAAACAGCTTCTGTATTAAGAGACAGCACAGCAGAAATTCTCACATGCAAATTTTAGATGCATTCAGAAGGGTTGTGGGTGCAAGAAAGAAGGGGAGAAAATACCTTGACCAGTCAAACTGAGTCTCAGTAAATCTGAAAGAACCCTGAGTCAAAGAGCATGGAGTGCTTTTTCAAATCCACTGAAATTACCCTAGCTCAGCTTGTCTAATCTTTCCCCAACCACAGTTAGAGAGAAAGCCTCGATTTCCTTGCCTGACAAATGAGGTAACCCAGGCATACAAAGCTTAAGACACTGCCGGGCACAGTGGCTCATGCCTGTAATCCCAGCACTTTGGGATGCCAAAGGCAGGCAGATCACCTGAGGTCGGGAGTTCGAGATCAGCCTAACCAACATGGAGAAACCCCATCTCTAGTAAAAATACAAAATTAGCCAGGCGTGGTGGCACATGCTTATAATCCCAGCTACTCGGGAGGCTGAGGCAGGAGAATGGCTTGAACCCAGGAGGCGGAGGTTGCAGTGAGCTGAGATCGCGCCATTGCACTCCAGCCTGGGCAACAAGAGTGAAACTCTGTCTCAAAAAAAAGAAAAAGAAAGAAAGAAAGCTTAAGACACTTACCCAAGGCAGCCCAGGATATCTGTGGTGGGCAGGACTAGGACACAGGCTCCAAACTGCCAGCCCTGAGGTGGATACATGCCTAGGGCCTGTGTGCCTTAAGGGTGCCATCTTCAGCAAACATCCAAATCCCTGGCTGTTCTCATCAACAGCCTTCAGATCTTAAGTCAGTTTCCCCAATAGACTCTCCTGCTTAAGAGAACCAACTTAGAGATACCTGACAAACACTACTTCAGTCATAACACATGTCGATGGCTTGTACCCTTGATAGGATGATGAAAATGACATTTTACCTCTGAAATTTTTCTCCCAAAAACACATACCCCCAATCTAATCATGAGAAAAACATCAGACAAATTTCAAGAGGAGGCATCAATGACTAGTACACCTCAAAACTGCCCATATCAACCAAAACAAAGGAAATCTCAAAAACTGGAACAGCTAAGAGGAGCTTAAAGGGACATGACAAATAAATGCAATGTGGGATCCTAGATGGGATCCTGAAACACAAAAGTGACATTAGGTAAGAACTAAGGAAATCGGAATAAAGCATGGACTTTAGTTAATAAGAATAAATTAGCTATTGCTTCATTGATTGTACCACACCAATGTAGGATGCTATTAATGGGGGGATGGGGGGGACTGTTTCCAGGAGGTGGGGAGTGTATGGAAAGTCTGTACTGTCTTCTCAATTTTCTGTAAATCTAAAACTGTTTTTAAAAATAACGCCTGTGTGAGAGAACCAACTAATGCAAGATTCAAACCCACTGAACAGTTTAATTCCTTAGCAGAGCAAGATCCCTCTCACTCATACTTACAAATCTTTGTCTTAGAGCTTTAGTTAGCAGGAATCACTCCTCAGAGCCTACACATTTCTGTAGGAACAAAGTAAATGTCTTTAATTTATTTTATGTTATTTTTTAAGACAAGGTCTCGCTCTGTTGCCCAGGCTGGAGTGCAGTGGCGTGATCTCCGCTCACTGCAACCTCTGCCTCCTGGGTTCAAGAGATTCTCCCACCTCAGCCTCCCAAGTAGCTCAATTTACATGCATGCGCCACCATGCCCAGCTAATTTTTGTATTTTTTTGTAGAGTTAGGGTCTCCCTACCATTGCCCAGGCTGGTCTCAAACTCCTGGGCTCAAGCAATCTGCCCACCTTGGCCTCCCAAATTTCTGGGATTACAAATGTAAGCCACCGTGCCTGGCCTGTAAATGTCTTTAACAAACATGGAGCTGGCAAACAAAAATGAGAGCCATGCTCACCCTATCCCAGTTCCTATCCTTTATCATATTATTAATTCCTAAATTAACCAATTAATTTAGGAAGATTTGGTCTTAGAAGATGACCTGTGTGGGTAAAATGTATTTATATTACTAGATAGAAATTGTTTTTATTGAAAAGTTTTTTGAAAATTAATCTTTATTTCTATCAATTAGGCCTAAAAATATAAATCTTTTTTTTCCATGTATTTCAAACCTTACTTGTTGGGTTAATTAAGATACTGGAAAAGAAAAGAGGAAACTTTCTTAAGTGAGTCACTGTACATATTTTGTCATGATTGTAGAAATTATGTCATCATATCCATTGACAATATATCTTAAATTTCTGTTTCCAATTACACAAATTATTTTATTATATGAATACAAACTTTTTTGTTATTCCTTTTTAAAAGAAATCTAAAACTTAAGCAGTATTTCTTGTCTGCTCTATTTATACAACTGTATTTATACAACTGCTGGGTCAGAAATGTATTTTCTGCTTAGGAATCAGATTTTAAATTCTCAGTTTGCTTTTCATTCTCTTCTTTATCCTCCTCTTTACTACTGATAAAACTCTATCAGTAAAGAAAATTATTGCCTGTGCATAATTGCAATTTAAAATAATTCTAAAAACTCATACTGAACAAACTATGTATGAAATTCCTTGTCTTCATAGATGTCTTTTACTGATTTCCAACATTATACTGCATAAATCAGATCCTATTTCCAGCTGAGACGTTCTCTTACAGTTTTTTATTTAAATGATTTCCCTAAAAGATGACAATGTAGAAAAAGCACTTGGAGCATGAAGCAGATAGACAGCAAAACCCAAAACACATTTTAATCCATTCCAAACACATGACTGTTTCCCTATCTCAAAAGAGTAATTTAAGGTTCTCTTTATCTTGACATTCCCACAAGCAAGTTTCTATAAAATAGAAAGAGAACCTTAACCTGCCTATGCGCAGCACACAGATCAGAGCACAGGGCAAGACAAATGCCTACCAGAGCCTATGCCAGCTCTTCCCTGGGGCCAGCCCACCCCTCCCAGGCTGCCCGCCACCTCCACGAGAAGCACCAGGGATCACGTTTCTCTTCTTATATCCAATGTCACCCTCTCTCCTGAGTCTCTTGGCAAGTCTGCATCCTGCCCATGAAAATCTGGGATTTGAAATGAAGGAACAAGCAAGCAGTTGTAAACAGATCATGAAATTAACCTTTCCAGCTGAAATAAGCCTTATTTGCATAAGCACAGCTTCCAAAGGTGCGTTACATAAAATACAGGGTGATTTTTTATAAGATTTTTCATGGCATTATTTTGTCCTCCTTTTGTACAATTCATTTTGTGATGCCCACTTAGATACAAGTCAGGTTCCTCAGCCATCGTTTTTAAGTAATACAAATATATTTTAAGGCAGAAATTTAAAAAATCAATTCCTACAAAAATTCATCTTACTGCAATATTAATCCCCATACTCCCCTCATTTTCCCGCCTCTCATACACCCAGTTGGTAGAGTGCACTGTGGTCCCCTCAATCAACTGCCCCAGCCCTTTCCTTGTCCATTTGGAAACAGCCCCTTTACCATAGAATGGATGAATGATGGACCTTCCATAAAAAGAGAGCTGAGGTTTGCCTCTGGCTGGGCAAGGAGCCCACTGGCAGTCAGCATCTCCTGCACCCTCACACCTCACAGCCTCTCACCCTATCTCTGTGTCTCCCCCACCCCACAGTCCTCTGAACTGACAGCATGGCTAACCCTCGGGAACATTCCAGCAGCCTTCTCCAACTGAGTGCATGCAGCCCTGTTCTCCCAATACAGCAGTTTTGTTCACATCCCAAAAATGAGTCTGAAAGGAAATCCCAAAAGAAAATGCCTCCCTCCCCTCCCTTCCAAATCCTCACACATGATTCTCACAAATTCATGTTGCCCAGTATCATAGCAAGATACACAGCACTTCCTAGAATGAGTCCCAACTTCATCCTTGGCCTCCGATTGATGGTATTTTTCTTCATTTTCCCACTCTGGTAAATTACTCTTGGATTTAGATTCCTGTCACTAAAATTCTATTTCAGAGCTACATCTTGGTGGCTCAGTCCCCTCCCTCACCCTCCCTCCATTAAGCACAACACGGAAAGAAAGTTCCCTACCTTTCACTGAGGCTTCTCCACAACTGTGCACCTGCAACAGGGAGAAGCAAAATGTGAAACTTAACAGAGGTATTTTTCTCCTGAAATATTTCTCAACTCTGAACTAGTCCAAGCTATTTAAAGTGGAATGCTCAGATCTCTAACACTCAGGACACCATCAAGTCATACAGTGTACACTGCTGGCACCATGGCTAATTCAGGCAATTCGTCCACATATACTTATTGAGATCCTACTACATGTAAAACACTTGGGTGAGTACCGTGGGAGATAGGACACTCTATAATACATGGACCCTGCCTCGGGGACTTCATTGTCCCCTGGGGCAGACAAAATATGAACCCAAGTAAATATGAACCAAGATAGGCAGTATAGGAACTAACTACACAAGAGGGAGGCACACACCATGTGAGTTCAGGGAAGAGAGAAAATGCAGCTGCTCAAAAAGCGCCAATAATAGAAATGGCATTTAAGGTGAGTCTTGACATGGTGCCGACAAAAGGAGAACTAAGACAACTGTTATTTGAAAAAAGGAGATTTTTATCTATTCATTGTTTAGATGTTTTGACTTTTAGGTAGGTGCAAATGAAATCAATATAAAACATAAAATACACACACACACACATATATACATATGCACACCTAGATCTAATTTGCTTTCTTAATTTTCCAACCAATGTCTTTATTTGACTACATCTTGATATTATACTCCCAGCTACCAGCTTTAATGCAGCTCAATGTAAGAAATGATCATGAGGAAGCTTCCGCATTTTCCATCTAACAAAAAGCCAAATGTGTTGTCCCTTATGTTTTTCAATATCCCCTATCGAGAGCTATGGGATAAATCCTTCTTAACCTTTACTTCCAGAAATAAGTGTCTCAAAATTGCTTGCTTCATTTTTTTCAAATAATTAGAATTGTGCAATTGATGTGGTTTTCCTTTTTGCCTTGGCTGCCAATATGCATGTGGATAAATCTGTTGATCAATCAGTGGTTACCAGGTTAGACTCTTGCTCCTCTTCTAGACCTCTTTTGAACAGTTTTGTGCTTATGTTCCAAATAAGCTTCTTCAAACTTGTTGGAGGAAGGTGGCATATAAAAACAAATGGAGAACTCAAAAGAATGCAGGGGACTGTGAGCAATAATAAGGTTTCAACTAAAGTTGGAAAGTTGGAAAGCATCAGCTCAGCTTGTCATTTGACAATTCTCTAACAATCCTGGAGCCAAGAGTGGAGAAAGTAGATGATGGTATAGGATGGGCATTGGCTTGTTTGTTTTATTATTAAAAAGTAAAGAAATGAGTATAGCTGATGGATAAGGAAACAAGGACCTTTAGAATGGTAAGGACAGCATCTCTGTAGTCATTGAGCATGGACCAGGTAGGAGCTGAGTAGAGGGAGGAAGTCAGTCTAAAGGCAGGGCTGAAGAACAGTACAAGTGGCAAGAGACTTAGCAGGGAAAGAGTCCATCCAAGAGTCAAAGAGCTGGTTCAACAGGCATGAAAGGCCAGGGAGGAGTGGAGACAGGGTGCACTGAGAACTAACTCGCAGACTCTGCAGGTCTTGGAGACACTGTGCTTCCAAAGGCCAAGGTCAAAGATGAGGCTACCTGATAGGCAACCAAATCCAGGCCATCTGACAAGCTATCAGAGTACAAGTTGGAATGACAGAGAATGGTGAGTGCACGAAGGACTGCAGTTCATGGGCCACAATCCCTACTGAGACCACAGTTGATGGCAACCAGGGTGCTGAGGCCAGGCATCAATGGACAGTGTAGATTTCACAGGAAGGAAAGTATAAAGCAGCAGTGGTTACAGATGCTCCACAGGTGGCTGGGGGAGCCTCAGAGCCACCCACTGAGCCCTCCTCCCACAGCACAGGGCAGTAGCTAGAGAAGATCTTCAAGAGAGCTGGGGGGCAGGCACGCTGACTCACACCTGTAATTCCAGTGCTTTGGGAGGCCAAAACGGGGGGATCACTTGAGGCCAGGAGTTTAAAACCAGCCTGGGTAACACAGCAAGACCCCATCTCTACAAAAATTAAAAAAGAAAATTAGCCAAGTGTGGTGGCATGCACCTGTAGTCCTAGCCACTCAGGAGTCTGAGGTAGGAGGATCACTTGACCCAGGAGCTCGAGGCTGCAGTGAGCTATGATCACACCACTGCACTCCAGCCTGGGCAACACAGTGAGACCCCAATTCTAAAAATAAACAAACAAACAAACAGAAAAGAAAGCGGGGGGCAGATATGACTGGTTCTATCTCAATGAGAGAGAATGAAGCTAGTCATGGAAAAGTTTCAGGATGCAGGAGGAGTTTTCCAGGCCATAGAAGAGTTCCCCAGAGTTCAGACAAAGGCATTAACGCAGGGAAGCACACACTCAAGGTACATAACAATGACAAAGAGAGGGAGAGAGAGAAATCCATCCCAGCGAGAGGATGTTCACAGGCAATACAAAATAGACATGGGCTCCCACAGGTTTCACAAACATTCACTCACAAGATGATATCACTGACTTTTTTTTTTTTTTTGAGATGGAGTCTCACTCTGTCACCGAGGCTGGAGTGCAATGACGTGATCTCAGCTCACTGCAACCTCTGCCTCCTGGGTTCAAGTGATTCTCCTGCCTCAGCCTCTTCAGTAGCTGGGATTACAGGTGCCCACCACCACGCCCGGCTAATTTTTTGTATTTTTAGTAGAGACAGGGTTTCACCATGTTGACCAGGCTGGTCTCAAACTCCTGACCTCAAGTGATCCACCTGCCTCGGCCTTCCAAAGTGCTGAGGTCATGCGGAGGCATGAGCCACTGCACCCGGCCTCATCCATCTATTTCATATTAAGCACCTAAGATGGTATCAAAGATTGTAACTGGGAGTCGTCAAAGTCATAGAAGCAGAAAGTAGAATGGTAGTTGCCAGGGGCTGGAGGAAGGGGGAACAGGGGAAAGGGGGACTTGGCTGTTCAATGGGAACAGAGTTGCAGTCATCAAAGATGAAAACGCTCTAGGGATCTGCTATACAACAACATGCACGGGAAACAATACTGTACACTTAAAAATTTTCTAAGAGAATAAAACAAAAATAATAACTGGGGGAAGGATACAATTAAACTCTCAACAATAAAAGTTTCATATTTTTAGCGAGAAAACGTGGGAAGCAGAGAAGCTGGAAGAGAGGGAAGGAGAGGAGACTGCTGACTTGGTCGTCCTTTCATTGTCATTGTCGTTGCTATAAGCCGGGGCATCTAACAAGAGCAGCTGGCAGTTCTGATTGACGCCATGGAGTTACCGTAACTGCATCTGGATCTAACGTGAAGCCAAACTGTGCCCTGCAGAGACTGATTCATCGCAGCAGCAGCACCCTGCGCTAGGAGGCCTGCGAGATGGGACTGCTGCCAACTATTCACAGGGCTCCCCAATGGGCCTTTGTCCTAAGAGACTCTACTGAAGGAGGATGAAGCTGGCACCAGAGTTTCTTCAGCACAGAAAACAGAGCTCTAGGAAGACAGAGTAATCATTCCCATTTCTTTCTTTTTTTTTTTTTTTTTTTTAATTTTTCATGCAGTAGAAATGCTACACTCAGAGCACTGTCATCCGGTGAAGACTGAAAGCCTGTCCTTGGACAACGGCCTGATCTACAGGATTGCAGGGAGGCTCTGCCTCGACAGAGGTCTGGTTCCCCACAGGGAGCCCAGCACCCAGGTTGGGCCTCAGCACAGAAAGGGGCTCAACACGGACTGACCCAGGAACACACAAACCCCATGTGGCCCTGATGACATGTCAGCTGGGCGAAGTAGACAGCTACTGTGCTGAAGGCCCTTCTATTTGACGCTTTTATTGACCTCTTATAAAGCCCTGTGGTATGAGGATGTTTTCTGCCATTTCACAGGACAGAGAGGTTCAGATGGTATAGGAGGCTGACTCATAGCTCACAAAGATACCAAGTCACAATCCCTGGAATCCATGATTGTCACTTCAAGTGGAAAAAGGGTCTCTGCTGAGGTGATTAGGTTAAGAAATGTGAGATGAGAAAATCACACTGGATTATCTAGGTAGGCCCCAAATGCAATCGTAAGTGTACTTACAAGAGGAAGATGGAGAAGTTTGACATAGACAGAAGAGAAGGTCAGGTGAGCATGAAAACAGATTGCAGTGATGCGGCTGCAAGCCATGGAATGCCCGCAACTCCCAGGAGCTGCAAGAGGCAAGGAATGGATCCTTCCTTAGAGACTCCAGAGGGAATGCAGCCCTGCCAACGCTTTGATTTGGGCCCAGTGACACTGACTTCGGACTACTGTCCTTCAGAACTTTAAGAGAAGATGTTTCTGCTGTTTTGAAACACCAGGTTTGTGGTCATTTATTACAACAGCCACAGAAACAAATGCAGTCTATCATGGGGCTTCTCCACAGGTAGGAAATGGAATGAACTAGCTCAAAAATGAGGCCCTTTAGGCTGGCATTCTTTCTATTCTACTACCTTAATTTTTTTAAAGGACTGAATTCTTGCAATGTAAAGGTTTCCTGCAATTTGTGAGTATGAAATTTCCACATCTGCATGAATATCAAGCCCATGAGTCAACAGCGGAAACGATCTGTGTGTGAGGGGCCAGGAGTGAGAAAAAGACAGTTGCAAAGTCTTTCAGCTTTGCCTTTGGCCTTCCACACATGTCTATTCCTTATAACTTGTGCCCAGACTAGGGCCAAATTTGAGGAAACACTGAAAACACTCAGATGCTCAGCTTGCTTCCTGGGTCCATGTTTAGCTTACTCTACACCAAGATAAAATGGTTGCAGATAAAATGTATGAGTGGCTTTATGTCCTGAGATTTCCCTGAGGGAGTTCCTGTAGAGGGTGAACATATTACTGTCTATTTAGGAAAACAGGCTCTGCTCTACCAGATATGAGTCAAGGCAGATAAATAAGAATCATCAAGGACTGATCCACAGACCAACTCTGGCATGAAACCCTGATGCATGGAGATGCCCCACCTCAAGGCAGCCTGGATACGTGTGTGGTAAACAAGTATCACAACAAGTGCCTGTTTGGGCTGAAATTGGGGAGTTAGGTGTCTGTTCCCTGAAACAGAAAAAAGGAAAGTGAAGATGGAGAGAGAGGGAAAAAAGGGAGAGAAGGAAAAGTGCATTGAAGAATACAACTGAAATCCACAGATTCACAGAAAGCACTAAGGGCACAAAACCAAATTTGTTTGCCTTCCTGGAATCTTGGGAAGGAAATATCTTCAAACCTGGAAACACACGAATATAAAACAATCTAAAGATGGTTTACATGATGAGTTTAAAAACTGTAAAGACTTATAACTGGATTTCAAGCAGATCCCTAGAACACCATGATAGTAAATCCGTACCAGCTGACATCGCTGGCTTCTAGTTGCCATCAGGGAGGAGATGGGTGCCTCCCATAGGGCAGGCCTAGATATCCCTGCCAGGACTATAATCCAGGCAGCTCTGATGCACATCAGTCCACACGGACCTCCACCAAAAGCATCCCTCCATTTGGGGTGCATTTAGTGAAATTAAATGTCTCTTTGTAACCTCCTGGTGGCTATTTCTGATAAAATCTATCTCATTACATTTAAGTTTATGGGGCTTAATTATTCTCAGGAGGGCTTTTCCCAAGTTTACAAAAACTAGCTCGAACAGTGGTACAAGAGGCCCCTCCAAGTATGCAAAAGACTTGAGTCAGATTTGTAATACAGTTAAATTACCCAAAAAGCACCTCAGGCCAATTTTTTTTTTTTTTAAACCAAGCTCTTGCTTTTAAACTTAATGTTAAAATTTATTCATTTTTTATTATCAACTCATTTTTTAAAATTATTTAACCATCGCTTGCTTTTAAACCCTGAATTAGTTGTTTTTCTTCATTGAGGCAGAGAAAATTTTTACATAAACTAGTCCATTTTCCAGTGGCCCAGTTTCATCATGTGAGATGTAATAAATATTTAACTGTTATCCTCACTGCAGCCTACTTAAATACCAACGTGGTATTTAAAATAGCTCTTAAGACCAAGAGAAAAACCAGCACACACAAACCTTTTACCTACAAGCAGTAGCTACAAAGACAGCACCACCTCAATAAATTATCGTATTGAAAACAGCTAAGTCAATGCCTATATTTGCTTCTGTTCAAAGGACTAATTGGCTAATATGCCTACACAAAGATCAGAAATGCAGGGTCTAGAAAATTAAATACCATATAAATAAAATCTGAGTATTCTTACCTCTTGTTCTAGACAAAACCATATCCTTTATTATTTGCATAATAACACGCCCAAGTATCATGACGGAAATCAGGTGATATACTCTCCATGGAGTCAATGCAAGGAACCTGCAACAGCGAAACACAAATCAGTATTTCAATTTGAGGATTTTTAACCTTTTCAAAATTGGGTTTACTTCCTGCCACAGAAACAAAAAAGGTATTCAATAATGATTTCACTTTTTTTTTTTTTTTTTGAGACAGAGTCTCGCTCTGTTGCCCAGGCTGGAGTGCAGTGGCACTACCTCGGC
This sequence comes from Homo sapiens, assembly GCF_000001405.40. Taxonomy (NCBI): domain Eukaryota; kingdom Metazoa; phylum Chordata; class Mammalia; order Primates; family Hominidae; genus Homo; species Homo sapiens. The sequence goes on from NC_000005.10 coordinate 16,572,285, forward strand.
TCACTGCAACCTCTGCCTCCCTGGTTCAAGTGATTCTCCTGCCTCAGCTTCGCAAGTAGCTGGGATTATAGGCATGAGCCACCACGCCAAGCTCATTTTTGTATTTTTAGTAGAGACAGGGTTTCGCCATGTTGGCCAGGCTCATCACGAACTCCTGTCCTCAAGCGATCCACCCACCTCGGCCTCCCAAAGTGCTAGGATTACAGGCGTGAGCCACTGTGCCTGGCATGATTTCACTTTCCAAAATCACCCCAGTGTGACTGCATGAAAGTTATTTAATAGGCATCAAAGTCAGCAAAATGAAAGTGTCTGAGCCTGCGCGCTTTTGTGCTAAGCTTTCTGCTCTACCCTCCAATTTCGGGCAGAGGATTTGCTATCTCAGGCATAGACCAAAATATTGCTCCTAGTGCTGGGCTTCTCCAATAGCCGATGGAGAATGGAAGTGACCTGAAACAGAGTTAGGATGGGCTGCAGAGCCAAGCTGCAGGGCTCTCTAACAGACACGGATGGGCTGCACTACAGAGGCCCTTTAGTCACCACCCTGTCTTGTGTTTTCATTTACGCCCTATTCACTTCTCTAACTACTCCCACCCTCGTCTCTTAAAAACAGCAGTTATTGGCCGGGCGTGGTGGCTCACACCTGTAATCCCAGCATTTTGGGAGGCCGAGGCAGGCGGATCACAAGGTCAAGAGATTGAGACCATCCTGGCCAACATGGTGAAACCCCGTCTCTACTAAAAATACAAAAGTTAGCCAGGCATGGTGGCGTGCGCCTGCAGTCCCAGCTACTCCGAGTCTGAAGCAGGAGAATCACTTGAACCTGGGAGGCGGAGGTTGCAGTGAGCCAAGATCGCACCACTGCACTCCAGCCTGGTGAGAGAGTGAGATTCTGTCTCAAAAAAAAAAAAAAAAAAAAAAAAAAAAAGCAGTTATTGAAGATCCACTTTGCTAACTCTTTCGCTTTAAGATCATGCTCCCCTTTTGCTACCTGTCTACCTCCTCTCTGCAGGGAAACAAACTAAAAATTATTGACCGTGAGCAGCACACAAACCCTGCAGTGCTTTTTTTGGGTGTGTTTGTAAAGAAATCACAAAGAGCGTTGAGCCTTCACATGAGATTAGAGGTCTGTTTACACAAGTTAATTGGCCAAGCTGCCAATGAATATTAACTTTGATAGAATCAGAACTCATAGAAAAATTAATTTAATAAATGTTTAAGACTGTTTGCAAGGCTATAAAGAGAAGTAAAGAACACACGAATACTGCCTTCTGCAAACTTGCTTTCTCATCAGACAAACACAGGCCAAGCTCACAAAGTCCAAGGCAGGCAAGGCTTAGGTGTTGTCACAGAAATGTGCAGAGAACAAGGAGAGGCACAGGGAGAGGGAGGATGGATTCGCTCCAAAGCAGGGAATGGTTTTTTTTTTTTAATTGGTTTTTTGGGTTTGTTTGTTTTTTGTTTTTTTTTTTTTTTTTTTGAGATGGAGTTTCACTCTTGCCACCCAGGCTGGAGTGCAGTGGCACGATCTTGGCTCACTGCAACCTTCTCCTCTCAGGTTCAAGCAATTCTCCTGCCTCAGCCGCCCAAGTAGCTGGAAATATAGGTGTCTGCCACCACGCCCAGCTAATTTATTTGTATTTTTAGTACAGACAGGGTTTCACCGTGTTGGCCAGGCTGGTCTCAAACTCCTGACTTCAGGTGATCCGCCGGCCTTGGCCTCCCAAAGTGCTGGGATTACAGGCACAAGCCACAACGCCCGGCTGGGAAGTTTTTATAGAAGCGGCACTTAACTGGGTCTGGGGAGGTGGATGCAACTCAGATGAAAATAGAGGCTCCTCCAATTAGAGAATACAACATGAACCAAAGATCAGACTCAGGAAAGGGTGAGGTACCTGTGGCACATCAAGTAATCTGGGGTGCCTCAGCAGGAAGAGAAAGCAAAAGAAGAGGGTTCAGAGACTGGCAGAGAGACAAGATTGGGGAGATAGGATCAGGGAAGACTGTGTCAAGCAGAATGCGCAGTAAGTCTTATGCTACAAACAATAGAGAGAAAGTCAAAGGTATAGAGCAGGGAAGTGAAATGATGGGTGATTTAGGGAAATGTCTGAGGGCAACAGGAAGGATGTGACGGGGTAGGGAGGAAGCATGGAGTCCAGACCACCTACTAGAAGGTCATGCAGTATGTTTGGTGAAAAGCAGATCAACATGAGATGCTGGGTGACGTGGTGGGTAGAGCCCTCCACCAGAAGGTGGCCAACCCAAGCTCTCACTGGTTCAAATGCTGTTTGTATGGCCTGGGCCAGCAAAATGAGCAGGTGGACTAGGTCAGTGTTTCTTAAATAACAGTCTGCAACTGCTGCCAGGTTGGCTGCCTGGAAAACTTGTTAAAATGTAGATTCCCAGGCCCCAGGCTCCTCCTCCCAGGCCCCCTGAAACAGGTGGTTTGATTACTAGTATTTGCATCTAATAAATATTTATTGATTGCCTAATTGCACCAAGCACTGTGCTACCAAAAGGGAGTGGTGAATTAGGAGCATAGAAAGATGGAACAGACATAAAAGACACAAGTTACAGAATAAAATGCCGCAGTCCATGTCTTTAGCAACAATCATTTGTTCCTCCACTAAATTTGTCCCTCCCCTAAGGAGCCACCACTTGCTCTATTTTTGTAGCTCTTGTTTGTTTTAAGCAAGGTTGCATTCTGGTGTTTGCTTGGTTTGGGGCCAGCCTCCTCACTCTCAATTCAGGATTCATTCTTGCTCTTGTTCATGTGCTGGGTGCTCCCAGTTTTCCCGACCTCACGTTGAAGTGGCAGATTTCATAGTGACCCACAATAAGAAACTCATTTATATTTACATACATATAAATGAAAAACAAGTTTTGAAAAATATTTTCCTTACAATTCATAATGCAGTTCAACTTTTTCCATTCAATTCTATTACGCGTTTAAATGCTGACTGTGAATCACTCGCCTGACTCAGGGCCCACTAATGAGCTGTAATGCGCAGCTCGGCTCACATGGCATGAGACAGAACCTGCAAATGTTCGAACAGCATGCTTCCTTAGAATGGCTTTCTTTGCAGGGTCAGGCAAAGCCCTAGCACAGACAGAAAGCTCCCTCAAGTTTAAAAGTCTTTGGAGCTGGCCAGGAAGCCATTTAAGCATCTTTTCAAAACCAATGAAATGCAAAACCAACCAAAGCACAAAGGCCATTAGTTATTCTCTTAGTGGAAGTTACAAACTTCCAAGAATAATAAAAAAGAAAATTAGGTAATGCCAGGACTGCAACCCACAGGCCTGGCTGCCAGACTTCATTTGGAAGGCATTGCCACAGCAACTCCAAAGAGCACTCGGGATGTCTGTCTATTCTGTCCTGGGCAAGGGCCCAGTTGGCATATTGGCCAAGGTCTTGTTGGTCATCGAGAATCCTCGGTCCACTGAGAAGACAAGCCCAGCAATTGCTTAGCAAGGTAATGCCAAACTGTATGGGACTACATATTTGATTCTTTGGTGGGTTAGTGTCATATAAACATGTTTGAGAAACGAAACCCTAAGAGAATAATCTGTATTTAGAAAAATCTGAGCACTTTTGGTACTTTAATTATTTATAATGTTTAAGATGATTTGTCTCAGGGCTCCACTTCAAAATATGTAGCTGAGTAATTTAGACTTGTGATTGGAAATTTAAAATCTTACAAACATGAGTTTATTCTTTAGTTTATTCATTTTTCAAGTAGTACCTAATATTTGGGAGGGTTTGTGTTATTAGATGAAGGAATTTTTAAAAAGTTTTTGTTTTGGTAAACTTCAAACGTACACAAAAAGAGAGGCCAGAGTGTAATAAACCCGGTTTCAACAATTCTCCATTCATGGGTAATCTTGTTTCTTCCATATTCCCACCCACTAAGCTCATCCTTCCCCCGAAATTATTTGAAGCAAATCCCAAACATCATGTAATTTAATCTGCAAATACTGCCATTTATCTTCAAAAACAAGATTTTTTCTTTTTCTTTTTTTTTTTTTTTTTGAGATGGAGTCTTGCTCTGTCGCCAGGCTGGAGGGCAGTGGCGCAATCTTGGCTCAGTGCAACCTCCACCTCCTGGGTTCAAGCAATTCTCCTGCCTCAGCCTCCTGAGTAGCTGAGACTACAGGTGCACGCCACCATGCCCAGCTAGTTTTTGTATCTTTATTTTTTATTTATTTATTTTTTTATTTTTTGAGACGGAGTTTCGCTCTTGTTGCCCAGGCTGGAGTGCAATGGCACGATCTCGGCTCACCGCAACCTCCGCCTCCCAGGTTCAAGCAATTCCCCTGCCTCAGCCTCCCGAGTAGCTGGGATTACAGGCATGTACCAACACGCCCGGCTAATTTTGTATTTTTAGTAGAGACGGGGTCTCTCCATGTTGAGGCTGGTCTCGAACTCCTGACCTCAGGTGATCCACCTGCCTCGGCCTCCCGAAGTGCTAGGATTACAGGCACGAGCCACCGCGCCCGGCCAATGTTTGTATCTTTAGTAGAGATGGGGTTTCACCATGTTGGCCAGGATGGTCTCGATCTCTTAACCTTGTGATCCCCCCGCCTCCACCTCCCAAAGTCCTGGGATTATAGGCAGGAGCCACCGCGCCTGGCCAAAAACAAGATATTTTTAACCAAATAACAATACCACCATCACATCTAAAAAATTACTTTAATTCTTAATGTCATCGAATATCCCATCAAGGTTCATATTTCCCCACTCATTTTTGTGTGCACGCACACACACACACACACACACAGACTGAAACAGGATCTGAGAAAGTCATCTGCTGAAATTGGCAGATGTGGATTTTAAGTGTCCTGGACCCTTATAGGTCCCTTGCTGTCAGGTTCATTTCTCCAATAAAGTTTTCCAGCTTCTGGGAATCGTTTGTTGTATCCTTGTGATTTGGTTTAACATTTTCCTTGATCTTTTGTGTAGCCTATAAGTTGGCACGTGGATCTAGAGGCTTGATAAGACTTAGGTTTGTTTTTTTTTTTTTTCCCTCTAAAACCCAAAGATAGGTGGTAGTGCCTGTTTCCATCAAGAGACACGCAGACTGTCTGGATGTCTTGGTGGCTACACTTGCACTATTGGCAGCCACAGACAATCCCTGTCTAGTGGCTGATTCCTCAGAGGCTACAAGGGGTGACGGCCCTTCACTCCTGCTTCGAGTAATAGCTGGATCACAGTTATAACGAGAAACTTCCCCTCATCAATGTCCAATTACACTGAGAGGTGGAGCTCGTCGGAAAGGCAGCATCAGTTCTTGAGTTCTTCCCTTTATTTTACCGGTTTTTTCAAGATAGTGAAGCAGTTCCCTAGTGTCCTCTAAAGGTAACTGATATGGTTTGGCTGTGTCCCCACCCAGATCTCATCTTGAATTGTAGCTCTCCTAATTCTCATGTGTTGTGGGAGGGACCCAATGGGAGACAATTGAATCACAGGGGCGGTTTCTCCCATACTGTTCTCGTGGGAGTGAGTAAGTCTCACGAGATCTGATGGTTTTGTCAGGGGAAACCCCTTTTGCTTAGCTCTCATTCTCTCTTGCCTGCCACGATGTAAGACGTGTCTTTCACCTTCCACCATGATTGTGAGGCCTCCTCAGCCACGTGGAACTGTGAGTCCATGAAGCCTCTTTTTCTTTATAAATTACCGAGTGTCGAGTATGTCTTTATCAGCAGCGTGAAAACAGACTCATACGTTTTCTTATTCCTTTTTTTCCTGTTATTATGAACTCAAGAGTTTGAACATATTTGACGTGTTTCAGTCACTGCAGAGTTATCCTTACTGATGCTCCAGCTACCCCGTCTTATTCAGGTCGCCTCTCAGGTCTTTGGCACAACCTTAGTTATTCTGATAATAAAGTACTTCAAAGGGATATAGAAAATATAACATTTACAAATGCAGTTTAAAATGTTCAAAGGAATATAACTCAACTTTCTAACAAAACTAATCACTTAATAAAGCAATCATTTATTATTTAATGAAACAGTCAGACTCTCTTGAACACGGTTACAATTTGCTAGATTTATAAACAAAATAATGTTTTGTTAGCTAAAATGGAAAGCTCAAAGAAAAATGAGTTTTAAGTTTGTAATTTTATAAAATCAAAATTTTTCTTTAAAAAGTAATTGAACAAAATTGTTTCTAACCGATCTTTACATGGAAACTGGCCTGTAAGGACATCAAAAAACAATCCCCATCTGCTGGGCGTGGGCGATCCTGACACTGGCACGCTGTGGCATCACTCAGAGAAGGACTGTCACAGAATCACAGAGCTGGAAGGAGCTCAGAGGTCATCTGATTTACTTTCATCTGATCCACAAATCCCCTCAGCTGCAATCAACCACCTCTACTTAAATAGATCTCATGCCAGGAAGCTCAACATTTCTTGCAGCATTCAATTTCCGGCAGCATCCTATTATTACTGGGGGAGGCAGGGAATTCTGTTTTCATTCCATTCACAGCATCTGTCACACACTGGGCTAGCTGCTGGGAAAACACTGGTGACTAAATCCCAGCCTTCCCCCTGCAAAGCCAGGAAAGCAGACAGGTAAACAACTGTGTTTAACCAAAGTGCTATTCAGGATGCTGTGGGGGCAGAAAACAGAGCCAGTAACTACATAAAGCAGCCAGAGAAAGCTCTAGAGAAGGTGGCATCTAAACTTTGACTTCGAAAGACATCTGATTTGGCCAGGTAGAAAAGAGACCAATGCATTCCAGGCTGGGGAACAGGGTACCCAAAGGGAACCGCAAGAGAGCCACAAGACTAGAGCCTGAATTAGAGAGGTTACCCTTAACCTTTGTCTCCTCCACTCTGAGGCACAAGTTATGAATTCCAGAACCAAATGCAGGATAAATAGCACAGCTGATTTTCAGTGAGCACAGGACTGTTCTAAGAGCTTTATATGGAGTCACTCATTGAATCCTGTATCCCTTCAGGAAGGGATCGTCATTAAACCTATTTTACAGAAGAGCAAAGAGGCTCAGAAACTTGCTCAAGGCCCCAAGACAAAGGAGACGCAGGACCAGGACATGAATCCAGGCAGCCTGGCTCTAAGCCAGCTCTTGCCATTCTGCTAAACGGCTGCTGGACACAAGTGTCTGCCTCTTAATCTGCCTGCTCCCACATGAAAAGAGCTGGAAGGACTGGCACCAATTTACAGCCTTTTCTTTTTTTATATATTTTAGAGCAGTTTTTAGAGCATTCTATGGGTTTTGACAAATGCATAATGACATATATCCACCATTATAGTATCATACAGAATAGTTTTCTGGCCGTAAAAGTCCCCTGTCCTCCATCTATTCATCCCTGTCTCGCCCAAGCTCTTGGCAACCACTGATCTTTTGACTGTCTCCATAGTTTTGCCTTTTCCAGAATGTTCTGTAGTTGTGATCACACAGTATGTGGCTTTTTCCTACTGGTTTCTTTCATTTAGCAAAATGCATTGAAGCTTCCTCTGAGTGTTTTTGTGGCGTGATAGTACATTCATTTTGATCACTGAATAATATTCCATTATAAGATATACTAAAATTTATCCATTCACCTTTTGAAGGACACCTTGGTTGCTTCCAATTTTTGGCAATTATGAATAAAGCTGCTATAAACATCCACGTGCAGGATTTTGTATGGACATAAGTTTTCAACTCATTTTGGCATGGCTTTTTAAAAAAATTTTAACAGTTCCATCAGCATGCTGGCTGAAGTTGAATTCACAGGCAGTTAAAATCCCCAAGGGTTCTATTTTTCAGATACCATTTTTGAATCTAAATATGTCCTATGCAGTTTGTTCTTGTTTGACACGTCCTACATTCAAACCTATGGACTTTAGTGGTGACATCAATCACATCTGTTCTCTTGTCCAGCTTCAGGACACCATGCATGTTCTATCTGGACGTCATCAGTCCTCATCCACACTACTGATCAAAGCTATTGATCGGTACTGGAGTCCTGTCACTCCCTATTAGCAGAGTGACCTAGATTACTAGTCAGCAGACAATCCAGTCTGCCACTATGTGCTTGCCCATATCATTCCATCTTATCCACAAAGACAGAATTAGCTTTTCTGAAACACCTTGCTGACGCCTCCAGCATTCTGAAGGGCTAAGTGTCTATAAGTGCAGATTTGCTTGACTGCTGCTGAAAATTACTTTAAAGTATGTAATAGTTCTCTGTAGAAGAACTAAATACCATCAGACTCTGCCAAAAACATCATGGGGTGCAGCCTGAGCCAAAGCCCCAGGGTTACCTTGCTGATCTGCCCATTCACAGAGTCCACAGAAACGTGTGGTAACCATGGAGGAATTCCGAAGGGAAAATAGCCACACACAGGCTGTCAGAGGGCTCTGGAAAGCTGCAGAATAATTATCATGAGGGGGAGTGTGGTCAAAGTACAGGCTGCCCAGAAGACCATGAGGGCAGGGCGATCGAGTACAGACTTGGAAGAGGGAGGTCTGTGCATGTGCGCCATCCTCACTAGAGGGTTGCCTTAATTTTCAAAGCCCAGGATAAGTGAAAATGCAGAGACCTCACCTGGGCTAAGGAAGTCAATAACCCCCTTCCCAGACAAATGGGGCATCCCCAAGATATTGCAACTTCCACTCCAGGGCATGTTCAGGACCTGGATCCAGGACAGGTGAGAGGCCCGTGCCTAGTCACCCGCTGAATGCACCACATTGCTGCCAGCCTAGGTGATGACAGTCACCACCTGCCTGGCAGCTGCAGGGCACACAGCCCCTCATGTTCAGGCCTTCTCAAGGGGTTGACAGCCACAGTGGAACACAAGCCTCCCTGTTGATGCAACTGACCACTGCCCTGGGCAATCACACAGGGTGAGATTGGAAGGGAGAGGCTGGGCAGGGCCAGGGCAAGAAGTGGGTGGTCAAGAACCCTTTCTCGGGAATGGGGAGATGGAGAGGGAGGCCAGTCGGAGGCAGGACTGCACGTGAGCTGAGGCTCCAATCCCCTGTGCATGCTCCACTGCCCCATCACACTTCACTTACAAAACACAAATTCAAAGAACACAGTGATAAGAATCACAAGATGACAACCACAGAGCATTCATCCCCAAGTGACGGCCTTCCCCAGGCCCTGTGTGGCTGTCTAGGTCACTCTCCCATGTAGCCAGCCCCATCCTCACTGGATCTTCCAGGTAAGATCCCCATCACAGTGACCAATAAAGGCTTTTTTATCCTTAAAATACTTTTTAAGTTCAGAAACACAACACACACACACACACACACACACACACACACACACACAAAACACACACACAGGACCACTGGCCCTTGTCTTTATCCGAATTAGCCCAGGCACTTGTGACCACATCAATGGATCCTAGAACCCAAGTGATTAGAAGCAATATTTCCACCAATCCCTAAGTCTCCAGCCATCACAAACATCTCTCTATAGATTGATGGCCTTTTTATAACCAATTAAAAGAAAAAAAACGATACATTTTTAAATTAAAATACCATTTATTTAGTGAGAGTTACATGTTCTTTTAGCTGAATAGAATACAACCTTTTAAAATATTTTATTTTATTTTATTTAAAGTTCCAGGGTACCTGTGCAGGATGTGCAGGTTTGTTACATAGGTAAACATGTGCCATGGTGGTTTGCTGCACTTATCAACCCATCACCTAGGTATTAAGTCCAGCATGCATTAGCTATTTTTTGAATAGGATACAACTTTTATCTGAAAAGCGTATTTCAAACTTTGGAAACTAAAGCAAACATTATATATGACCATTAAAATATACATATACATATCATGATAGGTAAACATTATATATGACAATTCTATGCTATACATAAATACATAAAGTCTATGTGTATAATAAATACCCCATTTGTCATAGAAAGACATACTGTGTGGTTTAGCTACGATTGGAAAGGTACAGTTCTCTAAATCACCATATGCACGTTCTTTTAGCAAGTTAGGGCCTATTTCTATATAGTAATGTGATGATTGCTCTAAAAAAGAAACCACATCACCCAGGTGACTCATGTTTGGCTTGTGATGACCACGGCCTATATTCGATAAATGTGTCTATTTGCTTTTTTTCTTACTATTTTTTATTTCTCCTATTTTTTTTTTCTATTCCATTCCCAGATTCAGTAACATTATTTTGAATTTTAATCTGGTTTTCAAGTAACCAACTGCCTTATCCCACTTGGTATTGACGGGATAGTTTATGGGACTGGTCTCTATTCAGATATCTGGGTCAGGGAAGAATTAAGATCCCTTCCTTATGCTCAGAGACAAAGGAGAGTGTCAGGGCAGCAGGTAAAGATGCAGAGAAAGTTTCGAAACTGTCAGGGGAAACCCTCTGCTCATGGTTAAAAAATAAAATAAGAAAAAAAAAAAAACGGCCTGGGTAATCCCCGGCTTATTTCCATATCAGAACACACCATGATTTTAAGAGGAACATTTTCCTATCAAATTCCAGGCTTTGACGAATATCAAAATTAGTCTGCACTGGCCGCTCAGAAGCCCCGAGAGTGAGGGCACTCGTTCCACAAAGATGCCCATCAGGGAAAATGACGGGCTGTCAAAATAATTTACTCTTGGGTAAGCCAGCATCTTCCCTCTCTCTACATGGATCACTCGGACCCCTGCCATTTGGCCCTTCCTTGTGCCTCTTTGTGCCTTTATTGATTCTTGAGCATTCCATACCCACATGGAGCTCTAGGTGCGGCTGCTCTGGGCAGACATCTGTGCCTGCTCAGGCTCAGCAATGCAGGAGGTCACAGCAAAGCAGCCAGGCCAGCCAGAGAGCAGGGACAGGTGCTGGGCTATGTGGACAATTTACACGATGAAAAATAAAGTGAAGGTACTCGAGTGACCTTCTGTTGACCTGCACTCAGTGGCTAACTACAAAAAATATTTTTTGTCTGAGCACAGTGGCTCACAGCTGTAATCCCAGCACTTTGGGAGGCTGAGGCAGGCGGATCACTTGAGCCCAGGAGTTCAATCAAGACCAGCCTGGGCAACAATGGTAACACCCCATCTCTACCAAAAATACAAAAAAAAAAAAGTATCAGGGCGTGGTGGCATGCACCTGTAGTCCCAGATACTAAGGAGGCAGAGGTGGGAGAATCGCCTGAACCCTGGAGCTGGACGTTGCAGTGAGTGAAGATCACGCCAGTGCACTCCAGCCTGGACGATGGAGCGAGACTCTGTCTCAATATATATATTTTACATATATATAATATACATATGTATAATTTTTTGACTAGTCGTGTATCCATTTGACAAGGAAAATTTTCCATTACTCCATGATGAGTTTTGCAAGGCCAAATTAAATGGCTTAATAGGATAAATTTCCTATAAAGCAAAGAAAAATAGTTCATACACACGCAAATCTTGTTTGATAATGGATAAAAAACACAAGACTTAGTTCTTTCCATGTGTAAAAATCTAACCCTCATTTCTGAGTAAAGCACAACCCATTTTGTACTATGAAATGAATGCTATCAACAGCTAAAACATATTTTTTTTGTCTTCAAAGAAAGACCATCTATGGATAAAAGCATTGGAACTCTTCAGAGTTCTTATATGGAAATGAATCTGCATTATTTGCTGTAACTCTTAAAATGGAGATCCAAAAATAGGGTTTCACTTTCTTTTACTGAAATATACATAACTGCAGCCATAAGAAGGAATGAAATAATGGCATTCGCAGCAACCTGGATGGAATTGGAGACCATTATTCTAAGTGAAGTAACTCAGGAATGGAAAACCAAACATTGTATGTTTTCACTCATAAGTGGGAGCTAAGCTATGAGGACACGAAGGCATAATAATGACAATGGGCTTCAGAGACTTGGGAGAAAGGGTGGAGGGGGGTGAGGGATAGAAGATTACACATTGGGTAGTGCACACAGCTCCAGTGATGGGTGCACCAAAATCTCAGAAATCACCACTAAAGAATTTATTCAGGTAATCAAATGCCACCTGTTCCCCAAAAATCTATTGAAATTTAAAAAATTAAGATTTTACACAGAAAATCAGAATCACTGAATATGAAATCCAGAAAGGATCTTAACGGTCAAGTAGCAATCCCTCCATTCAATTTAAATGTTCATTAAATATTGAATAAATGATTTTAAAAAATGAAATATATATAACTGTAGACCTAGCCCTAAACTGAGTTCTTAACATCTCCTGGCTTTATTTAATATTATGGTGGCTCTAATTGTGAAAGAAAAAAGGGTCTCGTAAGGCATAATGATTTACCAAACATTATTCAAAGTCCAGATCATCACATTTTGCTGGAAGATAATTATCTTCTCAAGAGTTAGACATACCTGCAGCCATCTATCATAATATCACAAAATTCAGAGTTTCAACTAAAGTTGGCTTTAATTTCTCCTGGCCTTTTATGCAGATTCTGCAAAATTAGTAACTGAAGATGCTGTGTGAAATTAAATTGTGCACTATTAAGGAAAAAAAGCTGCCAAAAAAATAAAGACCCTCTCAATTGTAATATGTATCCCATTTTCAGAGCTGTTTAAAACATGTATGTGTGTTGGCTGGGGGGTACATTTCTTAAACATGAATATATAGTTTTAAATAATTTGGAAAGGACGATCATCCGAAAATGGAGTGAGATAAAGCAATAACAATTTAATTGCAAATCCAGGATTAAATGGAACTCAGAAGCCTTTTTTTTTTCCCTAGGGAAGTACTTCTTTAGTTGTGATGGCCAAGAAAATGAATTATAAGCATCAGAGGAGAGGAAAAGAGGGTGGTAGGTAATAGACTCCTTTCTCTAAAGAGATGAGAAATTCTGGAAGATATCAATCACAGGGAAATGGTGGGTAGTAACAATCAGAGTCTGCTGCAGTGGAGGAGGGGAATAACCTTACTCTAGGAGAAGCACATCACGATAATCCAGTGAATTCAGGGAATGTGCCCAGGTCAGCAAGGCATGGTGGACAAACAGATAAGACAGTGGGGAGGAGCAGCAGGGAGTTTGTATTCTGTTTGCGTTCTTGTGCCTAAAGAGTAGGAGAAACCAAGGGCATGGCTAGGATGGAACCAAGGCCATCTGAGGTCAAGGCAAAGAGAAACTGAGCATGCTCTACTGTGCACCCTTGCACTGGAATTATGAGAAAAGCCATGGGTAAATCAAGTCAGGGGCACCCTAGGGCAGTGCAATGTGCTCCTTAGCTCCACCTAGTGTATAAATTGAATACCTGCCCACTCCTATTCCACCTTCTACCTGACCTGGTCACAGCAGGGAAGGGGACTTCGAGGCAGGGCGGGTGAGTCAAGTTCTGCAGCCCACTCCAGCTGAGCTAGGTACTAGGCCATTCTTGCATTGCCCTAAAGAAATACCTGAGACTGGGTAATTTATAAAGAAAAGAGATTTAACTGGCTCTTGGTTCTGCAGGCTGTACAGGAAGCATGGGGTCAGCATCTGCTCGGCTTCTCATGAGGCCTCAGAAAGCTTATGATCATGGTGAAAGGTGAAGGGGAAGCAGGCATCTCATATGGTGGGAGCAGTGGCAAGAGGGAGTGTGGGGAGGGGGTGCCACATATTTAAACTACCAGATCTTGAAGAGAACTTACTATCTTGAGAACAGCACCAAGCTATGAGAGATCCACCCCCATCACCCAAACACCTCCCACCACACCCCACCTCCAACACTGGGGATCACATTGCAGCCTGAGATCTGGGCAGCAATAAATATCCAAACTATATCAGCTAGCCATAAGTTAAATACTAACTACCAGATTCAGTCATAGAAAGGAGCTATAAGAAAAATGAATAACAGATCAAAGTCATACACTGCAATGTCGTGCAGGATGGTAAGAGGGAAGAAAGAAAGAAACGGTGTGGCAGGAGGTACGGAGAAGAAAGAAGAAATAAACTCATGAAGGTCAGGAAGCCATGGTAATGGGCAGCTGGGTTTTTATGCAAATGGAAATCTTTGTGTCTTTTATCTTTTATGCAAATGGCATCTTTGTGTCTGCCCAGTGGGAACTTACAATATGAATGTGGGATCCTAATCACAGCTAGGTGGAAGGTCTAGCATGGCCAGTGAGAAACACCTCCATATCCTCTGCCTCGGTATTTTCATCTTTAAATTAAGGCACTGGCTAGATAAGCCCTTCCTAAAACTGCCTCATCATCATCAGAATTACTTGGGGCATTTTTTTTACTTCGACTGGTCACAAGCATTTTTAGAAATTGCAGATTCCTGGGTCCCACTCTGGACTGGGTGGGTCAGAGCTCCAAGGAGAGGTACAGGAACCTACATGCTAACAGTCAGATTTGCAAACCACTGGACTGCGAAGGTGTCTCAGGGCCTTTCCCATTCAAATATTATCTGATTCTATAAACTCTAGTTCTAGAGAATGCGGTGTAACAGATCCAAATATTAAACTGAGCTTTGGGGCCTCTTCCTTCACACATAAACACATGCACATACTGGTGTCTTAATCCATTCCAGCTGCTGTAACAAAATACCACAGGCAGGGTGGCTTATAAACAACAGAAATCTATTTCTCATAGTTCTGGTGGCTGGGAAGTCCAACACTAAGGCCTTAGCAGATTCAGTGTCTGGTGAGGACCTGCTTTCTGATTCAGAGATGGCAACTTCTCATTGTGTTCTCACGTGGTAGAAGGGGCAAAAGATCTCTCTGGGGTCTCTTTTAAAGGGCACTAATCCCATTCATGAGGGCTCCATCCTCCGGACCTAATCAGCTCCCAAAGGCTTCCTCTCATCACATTGGTGATGGGGTTTCAACATAAGAATGCGGGGACAAAAGGAGACACTCAGTCCTTTGCAACTGGGAATAAGGCATAGTGATAGGTGCTGAAAAGGCTTCTGAGAAGAAGAGCTCTTGGGTGAGTGATGGGGAGAGAAGCAAGACACACAGTAATGAATTCAAGGAACCGTCCTAGGCATGCCCACTACAGAAAAAAAGTTGATGTGTAATCAAAGCCCACCTTAGCTGGGTATTTTCACATCTCCATCGCATGTAATGTTCCTAAACAACATGATGAATTTAGATACATGGAAATTATATATCCATAAATAGATTAGGTTGGAGCAATTTGTCCAAATCATGGAGTCAGAATATAAACTTGGGTCTTCTTGACTCAGAGTCCACCGCTCCATTTAAACATCATTTGTAGAGTTCCCTGGCATCCTGCTTTAATAAACCAATCTCAATGTACCAGACTGTTCCAGAGAGCAGAGTTGAAAAGTAATTGTCATGTGGACGTCTATCTTTCAAATCCTCATTCAGTTGTGGTCACCCACTCATCAGTTCATGTCTACAGTCTGTTCAAGAACCCATTCCAATATACCTGACCCTGTCCAGGGTCCCAAAAAGAAATTCAGATATTCCACAGTTCTGAGATTGATGGCATTGCCACAGCTGTAGAAGATGATTTTGCTTCTCCAACTCCAACCAAGGATGCAAAGAACTAGACTCTGGCCACATGCATCCATGTGGCACCCACTCTTACCTTGGGTGTGCTCAATTGTTCTGCCTGGTTCTCCCGCAGCAAGCCTGATCCTTCTCATTCCCCTCTTTGCCGGAAGCCCTGCCAGAGGTCTGCTTACCCAGCTCCAGCCAATCCCTTTCCAGGTGAATGAATCTTGATCACACCCTAATAACCCACTGTTCAAGATCACAGACACATACAGTGGACTGTTCCTTGCCAAGTTCCTGGGCTCCACAGTAAGATTTCATGTGTCCAGACCCCCCTCCCCACTGCTCCCAGTCTGAGGCCAGAGCGATCACTTCCAGAGCTGGGACTGAGGCTTTTACATCTCTTGGGCCAACTGTATTACTTTGCAAGAACAAAACACTACAGACAGGGTGGCTTAAACTACAGAAGTTTATTTTCTCACAATTTGTGTGAAGGCTGGAAGTCTAAGATCAAGCTGTCTGCAGGTTTGGTTTTTCCTGAGGCCTCTCTTCTTGGCTTGCAGATGGCTGCCTTCTCACTGCATTCTCATAGGGTCTTTCCTCTTTGCATACATATCCCTGGTGTCTGCCTCTCATAAGGACACCAGTCATATTGAATCAGGGCCCACCCATGTGACCTCATGTAACCTTGACTACCTTTAAAGGTCCTATCCCCAAATATAATCACCTTTTCAGGTGTGCTGAGGGTCAGGACTTCAGCATTTGAATTTGGGGGCAGCACGATTCAGCCCATAACACCAAGTGTGTGGACCACTCACCTGCCGGCCCCAAGGTCACTCCTGTGTCAAAGTTAACAAGCCGTGTGCTGTGCCCTGTCAGCCCCACCATGCTGAGGACATATCCACATCCTCCCAAACTCCCTGCCAGAAAGGCAAACATTCACTCATGCTGCTACACTCAGTAAACAAAGTGAGATCAAGGCTGAAATATCTGAACGAGCTGTAAGAAACTATGCAGATTAGAGCCAACAGGTTATTTAAGATCAGAGAGGCCACAGTATCCTGGTATATACCGTGTCCTGGCCTACTTAGGTTAGGACAATAAATTATATGCTCACCCTACTTACTAAGCTCTAAATGAACACAGGACACAGAGAAGCAACCGTCTAATTTGTTTCAAAATCCTCAAATACAAAATCTACTGAGCAGTGAATTAGTAATTTTGTCATCCTCTGGGGGCCACTTATCTGAAGGTCAGGATCAAGTGCCCTTTATCAATAGAGTGAAGCTGCTCTGCCCAGCAAAGCTGACCCGGGTCACTCCGTGCATGCACACAGTACCGCTGGGCTGTGCCAGCAGCCTCCTTACACAGACATTCCTTTAGTATCTAGAGCCCCACATCCAGTAGTTGTGCCTAGAAAACACCACCCCCTTTGCTTATTCAACAACAAAATGTTCAAGAAACCATAGAAAATCCAGACCTGGATGCGGACTGTTGTCCCAGTTTATTTGGATACATTCAAGGGGCAAAACAGTGTTGACACTCTTGGGGATTATAATCCCACTGGGTGCGGCAACCCTGACCACACAGGGAGAAAGATGTTTTCAAAACTTGAGTGTTTTTTTTTTTTTCAAAAAGGAGTTTGTAGTGTATCCAATGCATGTCTTTCTTTTTTGTTTGTTTATTTGTTTGTCTGTTTTCAGACAGAGTCTCTGTCACCCAGCCTGAAGCAGTGGTGCCATCTCGGCTCACTGCAACCTCCACCTCCCGGGTTCAAGTGATTCTCCTGCCTCAGCCTCCTGAGTAGGTGGCATGTGCCACCACACCCAGTTAACTTTTATATTTTTAGTAGAGACGGGGCTTCACCATGTTGGTCAAACTGGTCTCAAACTCCTGACCTCAAGTGATCCGCCTGCCTCGGCCTCCCAAAGTGTTGGGATTACAGGTGTGAGCCACTGCACCCAGGCCCAATGCAAGTCTTCTTTTCTACCTGCCAGCATGGAAGGGGAGAACCATGGCCGTCAATTCCAGTGCATGAGGAATTGCTGCAACTCCCCGCTACTCTGTGGCCAAGCCTGAGACAGTAAAAAGCAGTGACAAATATTTGGGCACCAATACTAAGTATCAGGAAAGTCCACTCTGGCCCTGAAGCCAATGGCCACCTTCCAGTTGAACTTTGATGAGCAGGGCCACCTCAAGGCCAGAGACTGTATTGTGTCATCCCAGGTAGGAAAACACTCCGATTCTCTCCTATGGGTCAAAGTAAAAGAAGAAACAAACAACTAAGAGTGGAAGAGGATGTCCATGCTCATGTCCAAGTGCACAAGCATGAGAGAGAACTGGCAGCTGCCTCATGGACGCCATTCCTCTAAGTTCCCTAGATCCTATTTCCAGAACATTCTAAACTGAGAATGAACCTCAGATGAGAATGAATGTTTTTTGACAGCTTTCAATTCTTCAGGTTCCCCCAACCCCAGCTGCTGATCCTGGGACCTCCAGGATCCCTCAGGAGTATTTGAGGGTCAGGGCAAGACAAGCCCCTCACACTCACAGGTCATGGTGCCCACACCGATGGAGACCACACACCTTGACACACGACAGCAGCGCCTGCGGTAACAAAAAAGCCCAGAGGCTACGCACCTGTACGGCCAGGTTTCCTGGAATTCACAGAACCTGCACCTCGAAGGACAAGCTGCAGGTCAGGCTTCCTTCAAGGTTCTTTTATGTGAAGTAATATTTTAATGTCCTGTTTTACACTTTGATTTTTAAAAGAATCTTCAGCAAATAGCACAAACAAGTAGTAATATAAAACTTAATGAAATATCTTAGAAATGAAAAAATTATGATTCTGAAAAAGAACCCCTAGCCTAAGTGAAACTCGGGGCGTGTGTGCTGCAGAATCCACATGGGCCACGGACTCGAGGCGGGCTGTCTCCCAGGGCCTCGTTGTTATTTTGTGAAGTGATGGCATTACCCAATTTTTACAAATAAGAAAACTAAAGCTAAGAAAGAGTAAGTCATTGGACTGGGTTCACCCAGCTAGAAGCTCACCTCTTCCCAGAAACCCCTACTCCCCGGTGGGTACACACACACAAACACACACAAAAAAACACACAGACATGCAAACACACACATGCAAACACACATGCACACACAAAAAACACACACATGCAAACATACACACACACGCACACACACATGCACAAACACAAAAAAACACACACATGCAAATATACCCACACACGCACATGCAAACACACATGCACACACACACATATTTGCTTGCCTCCATAGCACTTATTTCTATTACACCTCAGTCCAAAAACCAATTGAGAGAACTTAAATATCTATCATAGCACAGAATAAATATAAAAAACTAAGGAATTGGGGCAAAGGGAAAATAAACCGAGGAAAAGGAGATGACTTAGGCTGAAGTTTAGCCCAAAAGAATTCAAGCCATAGTTGAGATGCAGGAAGACAGCCACAAATCTGGTTCTGAGATGACCTCTTTAGGGTTAAGAACTTGATACTTCATCATTAGTGAAACCCTTTTGTAACTCAATAGGAGAAGAATACAAACTAACACAGTGAAACGTTCCATATCTTCTTAATATGGAAAGAATCAATCACTAAAACATAACAAGCCTATAAAATAAGCAAATGCCACAGGTAACCACCCCATGCTGACTCTGAGAGCCCGAGAGCCAGAATGAGGACTTGAACAGCAGTACCACCCTGATTTGTTAAAAGTGAGTCGCTGGGGATGTTTGTTTTTAATGCTTTTCCCTGTTTGTCAAAAAGGAGCTATAACAGGAGGAACAAAAGAAAAGGTGATGAGAAGTGTTACCACCCCCTCCCACGCCATTTACCAATTCACATGGCTTTGCTAGAAAGTGCTCCCTTTACCCAGCAGGTCCGCAGATCTCTGCTCCCTTTGTGTGCACACATGAGCAGTACACAGGGGTGCAAACAACCCTAACAACTTTCTCTAATTAAACAAGGGGGACGAAGCCCTCCCTTAGCACAGGCCCTAACCAAGTCCAACGGAAAACATCTGTCTCTCCTGATAATTCCACCTGTGACTTCCAGCGCCATATTTACTCTCCAAACAAGAAAGACAAAGCCCATGAAAAACAATGCAGGGAACAAGAATAAAAGAATAGATAATAAGGGAAGGTGGCAGCTCCTCAGCAAGCTCTCCAAAGGAGTGCCACAGCGTCTGTGTTTGTAACATTTGACATGAAACAGCAACAAGAAAAGAAAATGCCTCACTTCAACCACATGACACCAGTTCATAATCAGCACTGTGAATCTGGACTAGAATAGAGTCTACAACACAATCCTAAGCTTATATTTCAATCAGATGAGAAGTGAATACAGAGGTAAAATAATAACAAAGAAATGCCCTCGGTCGAGCCAGTCTTTTAAAAATAATCCCAATCAATTCAACTACATCAGAACTTCAAGTCCACTGTACCAAAAAAGAATGAACTATTTTGATAAATAAAAATGTGGCTTCTTCCCATCAAAAAGTGGGCAAAAGATAAGAACAGACACTTTTCAAAAGAAGGCATACATGCAGTCAAGAAGCGTATGAAAAAAAGCTCAGTATTACTGATCATGAGAGAAAGGCAAATCAAAACCACCATGAGATATCATCTTACACCAGTCAAAATGGCTATTACAAAAAAGTCAAAAATAACAGATGCTGGCACGATCGCAGAGAAAAGGGAACACTTGCATGCTGTTGGTGGGAGTGTAAATTAGTTCAACCACTGTGGAAAGCAGTATGGCAGTTCCTCAAAGAGCTAAATACAGTACTACCATTAACCCAGCAATCTCATTACTGAATACATACCAAAAGGAATATAAATCATTCTATCATAAAGGTGCATGCACGAGTGAGTCCACTGCAGCAGCACTCACAATAGCAAAGACACAGAATCAACCTAAATGCTCATCGATAGACTGGATAAAGAAAATGTGGTACATATACGCCCTAGGATACTATGCAGCCATAAAAAAAAAAATCATGTCCGGTATGGGAACATGGATGGAGCTAGAGGCCATTATCCTTGGCAAACTAACGCAGGAACAGAAAACCAAATAACACATGTTCTCACTTATAAGTGGGAGCTAAACAATGAAAACACATGGACACAAAGAGGGGAACAACAGACACTGGGCCTATTGGAGGGTGGAGGGTGGGAGGAAAGAGAAGAGCAGAAAAAATAACTATTGGGTACTAGGCTCAGTACCTGGGTGATGAAATAATCTGTACAACAAAGCCCAAACTTTGATATGAGTTCACCTATATAACACACTTGAACTTAAAAGTTTTTCAAAAAAAAAGAAAAGGAAAATGTGGATTCTTTGACAAAAGGCGTTTGCTTCCTAAAGCTCGGCAAAGGCACAACAGTGAACCCCTGACTCACCATCCCATGCCCAGTGGTCACACTCAGCAAGGAAAACTCCACCCAGTCTCCTTAGCAGCCTGCTGTTAAATTAGGTCACCCCACTGCTCCCCCGGAGTGATGTGTTTTCCTTTCAGAGCACGCCTTCTGACTCCCACTTGTATGCTGGTTTGCTTGGCCATTTGTTTCCCATCTGTCTGTCCTTCCCTACCCCATACTACAAGCTCTGTGAGAGAAGGGACCATCTCTCCTGTTCACCACTGTCACCCAAGCACTAGGTCTCTGCATGCCAATCACAGGCACTCAATAAATACTTTTTTGTTTGCTGTTGCTCATTCAGTATTTGTTGTACAAATGATTCAATTAATGTAATTAATTAACCATGCATGTAATCAATGTAATCATTAATCATAAATTCCTTAAAGCACATTATCATAATAATGACAGCTTGCCAAATTGGGGGAAAAAAAAAACTATGGGGAACATTAAAATGTCTATACCATTTTTATTAAAGACCCTTTGGGAAGCATCAGATAACATGAATGGCCCTTGGATATCTGCTTAGACAAATCTTATTTCTTCTCTTTCAGAAGACCTGGCCTCTGATAACCAAGAGAAGTAAATCTAGCTCTCCTAATTTGCCCCATACTAAAGTCATGTTGCAATGGTGTGGCTGAGGTCAAAGAGAATGGTGCTCTGCTGACTCATGTGTCCCTATCACCAGAGGAGCTGCAGCAGATGCACCTCCGTCAAATCTAAGCAGCCATGTTTACTGTGAAAGCCACACCAAATCCGAATACAACGAATGTCTGGCCTTCTTTCTAGACACCTGGTAGTTCCAACAAAAAGCCAAAGATCATCACTGACATTCTGGGGATGGTAGCCCATGATTGGTTCTTTGGCCAACACCCACTGTTTTTCAATGTCACAGGCCCACAGCAAAATGTATTAGATCACAGTCTCACAATCTTAAGATACAACTTGTCTGTACCAGGCAAAACCTACACACAGCAGAGATTTGATGGGCACCATCGGAAACAAAAGCTGGCATGTACACAGAATTAAACTTCTCAGTCATACAGTGCATCGATGTACAAGGGTGCTGAACCTTTTGGCTGTATTCAGTGATACGATTAAGAATCAAAATTTCTCCTGATGCCCAACTTTCATTTTGATAAATGAAAGCTACAAGTTCTAAGTGTATTAGAATAGATTTTTAAATGTGACTGAATGAAAATGAGCCAAACGTGAAATGTCATTGTTAAATATCTTTAAATATGTAGACAACTTTTATAAGAAAAAAAGTTAAACGCTTAACATAGCATTTTTCAGTTGGGCGTGGTGGCTCACACCTATAATCCGTGCACTTTGAGAGGCTGAGGCGGGTGGATCACCTGAACTCAGGAGATCAAGACCAGCCTCACCAACATGGCAAAACCCCATCTCTACTAAAAATACAAAAATTAGCTGGGCGTGGTGGCGCATGTCTGTAGTCCCAGATACTCGGGAGGCTGAGGCAGGAAAATCGCTTGAATCCAGGAGGCGGAGACTGCAGTAAGCCAAGATTGCACCACTGCACTCCAGCCTGGGCAACAGAGCAAGACTCCAAAAAAAACAAAAAACAAAACACAACCACACAAAGCATTTTTCATAGACTACCATCACAAACTGGCTAAAAGTCTCTCACTAAAGGTTTCTGATGTGACAGATGACATAATGATGCAAGGTGTTGTTTTCAATTTATCCAGAAGGTATTTGGAAGTTAAATTCAGAAGGTATGCCAGGAAGACATACATTCATTTCTAAAACAATGAAGAAAGAGATGAAGTAAGGTTTCCAGACTGCAGTGAATATCCCAAGATATACCCATCCAGGTTACAGAAACTCAGTTGCAAGAGAGTTTCATATAATATCCTTCCTTCAGCTTATGAGCCATTTTCTCCATGTGCAAAGATGGTATTTGGATCTATGCAACTCATAAGTAACTGAGCCCCAGACCAGAAACCATGAAGCCATTTCCTGACTCATGGTGAGAGTCCCGTCAGGATGGCGGTCATGCGCAGTCTTGTACACGAGGCCCCCTAAACCTTGCTGTTCTAATAGACCCCTTTAATAGTCCTTGTTTTTATATTTTGTTTTTATTTCACCAGAAAGATCTTTTTTTTAAGCACCGAGTGCATGTATGTTTTGTTTGTAGGCACCCTGTATTATGTTTAATAGCTACAGAAGAGCTTAATTAAAAGAGGTCAACAGCTCTTTCAGAGAGAATTTATTAACCAAAAAAGTCACTGAGTTGTGTTATGATTACTAATATAACTACCATATTAAAGTGACCATGTCCATTTTAACAGGTCTTGGTGTTGTTTTAGCAGACACAAGTAATAACTTGTTAGTTACGAGCATACAACAAAATGTTTCCTTGGAATAGTAAATGCATTTTCAACTGCCAAAAATTCTTCCTATGAAAAGTTTTCTGGAAGGAGTTACTCTCGTCATTAAGAAGGCTACACTACCATTAGCTGAATGTTAAACACCTGTTTCAAGTAGATGTGATCAAATACAAGCTATTACTACTAAGAGCAAGAGGAAGCCCTTGACTGCCTCCTTATATCAAAGTGACTTTTAGCAAACCCGGGCTCATTTGTCAGGGGGGCAAGAAAGGATGGTGAAGTCTGAGACAACGGCCTGAATCTCACAGCTAAGAGCTTTTTAGGGTCCTGGAAGATTACGAGGAGATCTGTCAATACTCCAGACCCTCAAAAGACCCCAAAGACATGGTTGGGCCAATACAGTAAAGTTCCCACACTGACCTGCAAAATATAATTAGTGATTCTCACACTAGGGAACATTATTATTTTGCCTTCCTAAGTTTCATCATGTTCACTGTCTCAACACTTAGTGCATGTAGTTTAAAAAAGAGGTCAGGAGACTCTGATATGGGTCATAATGTCACCAGCTGAGGGACCTTGGGACTTAGTTTCTTCATCTGTAACACGAGGTGGTTAAACTGGAGCAAAGATTTCCTCTCCTTTCATTTCATCATATGGATGCCTTCTTTTGAAAGGTTTTAACTGCCAATGAAACAAATAATATGGTTTACTAGGTCAGAGCTGGTGCAACTTGATCATAGAAATAATTATCTTCCATGATGCGTTTGAAATACTGAAAACAGACTAGTGCCTTCAAAGAACTGGGCAGCTCTGGGATATGATTTCAATATGATTCTTTTGCTGAAATCTGCCACTCCAGAGGCACATTTCTTTCCCTGCTACGCAGACTGGCAAAACACATGCAAAAGCTGCCAGAGTGGCTTTTTGGAAGCTGACAAGGGGAAACTGGCACCCATGTAGCATTAAGCATTACGCTCGAAGCCAAACCTAAAATGTAAGCAGTAGTGACGCTCTCAACTCAATGCATCCTGGTCAATCACAGACTAGAATATTTGTTTTGAAAGTTGTCCTGCTGAGACCAAAGTATGAATTCTCTTTTCATTCAGTTAAGCACAGCCTATTCTAGGATCCGGCAGTTCCCACAAAGCCAGGCCAATTACCTGGCCTGACACGCACCCTCCAGGGCAAAACTCAGCAAAGCCCACAACATCCAGCCAGGCAACCTCACTGCAACTCCAGGGAATGCCACTCACGCTGTTTTCTGTGTGAGTGCCTGGAGACACGTGACAAAGAAGCCCTGTGTCACACCTAAAGAATGGTCCAACTAGAGAATGGACCACAAAAATCTTATGCAGCTTCTATACGCAAGCAGATGTTGGGCCTTGGAAGTACAAAAGGCAAAAAGAAATGCTTTAAGCTTGCCCTGAAGATCTAAAGCATGAGAAACAATAGGACAGGAGTCTGGCTGATTCTCTGCTTACCTATGTACTAGAAGTCATCAGTCAATAGTTAGACTACTGACATTTGTCAGACAACAGAAAAATGCATCTACACCAAAGGACGTGGAAAGAATCCTGAAGAAGTAGGCTGGCAAATGCATATAATGGGCAAAATAACCCAGCAAGTAGAGGATAAACTACAATTAGGCCACCCAGGTGTAAAACAGTTGCAACCACACAAGTGTGGCTGTGTGCCCCTGGCAAGTCACCTGACTTCTCTGTGCCTCAGTGTCATTGTGAATATTAGTAACGACACCTACCTCCTCCAACAGTTGTTATGTATATGGAGTAAGAGACACTACAGGTGAACGGCCTAAAATATCTGACACGGGATAAGTGCTCCACACCCATTAGTTCTGAATTGTAACATTATCCTTATTCACTGATTTGTCACTGTACCTTCATCATTAAATCCAAAAGCATCATAAATCTTAACCCCTAACCTTGGTGCCACAAAAAGCACATTGCCTTTCTCTGCTGGACTCTGAGTACCCTTGGGGAGTCCAGGAGTCTCTCTCAGGATGGCATTCTGCACTGGGCAAGGCCCCACACTCAGCCTGAAGTCAGCCACACCTCCAGAACCCTCCCAGGGAGAAGGGCACTTCCAACCTGCACTGCCCTTGGTCCTCCCCCACCCACAAGAGTGACCCCACCAGTGGCTTCCTATAGAAAACAGACTTCCCCTTGCTGCCCCACTCTCAGCCTCCAACATGTCTCCCACATGCCCCTCCTCACTGCCCCTCAAGTGCTTTCTACAAAGAACCAATCACATCAGTGCCAGGGGTTGTTTGTAATGGCCCGTCAGTTCTCCAGGCCTGAAAGAGGTCCCAGTCCTGGAACTAGTACCTAAGCCCCTGAAGATCTGGACCTGCTTCCTTTCCAGCCTCACCTCCTGTGACCGCTGGCACGACTTCCTTGCCCCAGGGGTAAGGAACTACACTGGAGGGAACTGGGCAGCCCCTGCTTCTGACTGCACTCAGGATGAAACCCAAACCCCTCCACTCCAGTTCCAGGCTCTTCACCGTGCCCTACCTCCTGCCCTGCCTCACCCCCTCCCCTTCCATCTCCCCACCTCCCGACCACACGGAACTCTGTGCACATTTTTGGCAGTCCACACTCCTCCCTCTGGACTTTCACACATGCTGCTCCCTTGGGCTTGGAACAAATCCTTCCCCTGCACACCCCAGCAACCTGGCCAACGCCTACTGACTCTCTACGTCCAGCTAAAATGTCACTTCTTCTAGGTCTTTCCAGACTACAACCACCATGGCTGCCCTTCCTACATACCGCTAGCATGGCACTTAAAAGAATGTGCTGGAAAGGATATCTGACCTGAGTTTCTTCCCCACATTGTGAGTTCCATGAGGGAAGAAGACACCGTGTCCCCAGTGTCTAGCACAGTGATTCTACCTACCATGTTCTCAGTGAGTATTTGCTAATGAAACAAACCAGGGCCGTGTTACTCACTGTCACCCTCGGAGCCTTTGTGACTCCTTCAGCCTGGAAGGCTCTGCTTACGTTGATTCACCCAAACCACTTCTACTTAGCATTCACAACTCACAAAAGTGTGACCTCCCTGCAGTCACCAGATTTGGAGGACTTCTGTTCCTTCCCATAGTAGCAGCAGCCTGGATACCTGTTACTCATATTTGTCATACCAAACTAGTTGCTGCTTTCCATGTCATCTCTCCCAAGAGATTTTAAACACTAAGAACCACCTTTAACCATCCTTTATAACCATCCTTTGTAAGTGATGGACCCCACCAAGATCTTGGAGGACCACTACAGTTAAAGTTCAATGTCAGATCAAGGTAGGCTGAAGACACCTACGATTTAGAGTTTGATACTGGGGCATTTCATTCACAAATCATGCTCTATTTGTTTAAATGTTACAGGCTGGGTACAGTGGCTCATGCTCACCATCCTAGCACTTTGGGAAGCTGAGGTGGGAGGATCACTTGAGAGGTGGGAGGATCACTATGTTACCCAGGCTGGCTCAATCAGGAGTTGAGTGAGACCCCAGAGTGCGTCCCCATCTCTACAAAAAATTTTAAAAATTAGCTGAGTGTGGTGGCACAGACCTGTAGTCCCAGCTACTCAGGAGGCTGATGGGCGAGGGCTGCTTGAGCCCGGAAGTGGAGGTTGCAGTGAGCCAAGATCACACCACTGCACTCCGGCCTGGGCAACAGAGCAGCACCCTGTCTCAATAAAAAGGAAAAAATAAGTAAATTTTTTACAAATAAAAAGAAATGCTGTAATGAAATGCCATTCTCATGCTTTAGTGAGACTAGCTAGAACCAAATATACTCCATTCACTAATATTCTAATCAGTAAACTTTTCAAAATCTAGACACATATTACTACTCAGTAATAAATTATCATCACGCCAATTTTTAATTTAAAATCTATAAAGTGCTGCACTTGGATTGGATAGGAATTATCACAACCACACAGTATTTTGGAAAAGAAATGGGAAAAGAGAAATTCTTCTTCTCAAGGGAGGTGAGCAGAGAACTTGGATACCTTGCCCAAAAGTATGGGAATCATGAGGAAGTGGATGAAAAAGCAGAGGGTGTCACTAAAGTTTTACCCATTCAATTACTGAGCACCTACCATATACCACGGTGCTGGGATACATGCCTGAAGCAACAGACTGCTCTCTGCTCTGCTGGAAGCAGCATTCAGGTAGGGAGGCCAGCCCTGTGGTCAGGCATGGCACACTGAACATGCATATCTTTCTCCTCTTCCTCCCCAAACCACGCCAGAATCAAAAGTAAAAATACTGACAAAGATATGCATGCATGAGGCTAAAAGCAAGCAGGAAAGGAGACAACAGTGGGGATATCAACAAACATCTGGAAGATGGAAAGCAAGCTCCAGGGTGATAACTGAGCGAGCAGCAGAAAGAGCGCTGGGAATTGCAAGGGTGCAAGGGTAAGGCCCCCAAAAGCACGTCCCCCTGAGCTGCAGGTCCCAGGAAAGCGTGGGGGTGGAAGGAACTGGGAGAAGGCAGGGGCGAGGACAGGTGTGAAGATGTCACCCAGGCTGGAGTGCAGTGGCGTGACCTCGGCTCACTGCAACCTCCACCTCCCATGTTCAAGCGATTCTCCTGCCTCAGCCTCCTGAGCAGCTGGGATTACAGGTGCAGACCACCAAGCCCGGCTAATTTTTGTGTTTTTAGTAGAGACAGGGTTTCGCCATGTTGGCCAGGCTGGTCCTGAACTCCTGACCTCAGGTGATCCACCCACCTCAGCCTCCCAAAGTGCTGGGATTACAGGCGTTAGCCACTGTGCCCAGCCTACAAATCTGTATGATGAACAGTTAGAACTTCAGATCTTACTACCCACCCAGCAAGGTCAGGAGAGAGGACCTCTCCTCCACCCCGACAGAAGTAGGAGGTTGTTCTCTGAAAAAATTAAAGTGGAAGGGCTTCAGACCCCGGGGGTAACAGGACAGAAGAGAGCAGGGCAGAGGAACCACGCTGAGAACAGGGAGCTGATGCCAGGCACATTCTGATGGGGACCCCCACGTGTTCATCATCTCCCTGGCACAGCTCCCAGAACACTCGGAGTCAGGCTTCCCCTCCCTGCCCCGCCCCCACAGGAGAGGTCAGCATGCTGATGACCCACAGTGAACGCTGTGAAGTGGCCACTCCTCAGCCCAGCACACTGCGCTCAGCCTTGGAGCCCTTTACTGTGAAACAGGAAGAGGAAATCTGAGGACCCCTTAGATATTTCAGGAAAGCCTTCAACACCTAACAGACACAAAATACACAGAAATAAGGAACTCAGAACACACACAAGAAAACCTCGAATAAACTATCTTCTCCTTTTTATTAAAGAAGAGAAAAATCTAAGAATCA
Organism: Homo sapiens; assembly: GCF_000001405.40. Taxonomy (NCBI): domain Eukaryota; kingdom Metazoa; phylum Chordata; class Mammalia; order Primates; family Hominidae; genus Homo; species Homo sapiens. The sequence continues at coordinate 16,600,864 of NC_000005.10, forward strand.
AAACAAACGCATCTAAAAGGAAAAAAAATCAAAAATGAGGAAAATGTCTTGGAACAAAAAATGAGACCAGAAATTTTAAATCAGTAGAATGCAAAAGATACAAGAAGCTTTCTGAAAGCAGAACAGAAGACAGAGATGAAAATAGAAAAACTGAGAAAATCAGGAGCAATCCAAGAAGTCTGACGTTTGACCAGTAAGATCTCCAGAAAAAGAAGAAAACAGGCTGGGTGTGGTGGCTCACATCTGTAATCTCAGTGACTCAGGAGGTGGAGGCCAGAGGATTGCTTGAGGCCGGGAGTTAGAGACCAGCCTGGTCAACACAGCAAGATCCCATCTTAACAAAAATTTTAAAAACTTAGCCAGGCATGGTAGTGTGTACCTGTGGTCCCAGCTACTCGGGAGGCTGAGGTGGGAGGATCGCTTAAGCTATGATCTCACTGCACTCCAGCCTGAGTGTCACAGCGAGACCCTGTCTCTAGAAACAAAATTTTTAAAAAAGAGGAAAAAAAACAAAGAGGAGGAATTTTCTTTTTTTTTTTTTCTTTTTTTTTGAGATGGAGTCTTGCTGTGTCGCCCAGGCTGGAGTGCAATGGCGTGATCTCAGCTCACTGCAACCTCCACTTCCCAGGTTCAAGTGATTTTCCTGCCTCAACCTCCCAAGTAGCTGGGATTACAGGCATGCGCCACCATACCCGGCTAATTTTTGTATTTTTGTAGAGGCAGGGTTTCACCATGTTGGCCAGGCTGGTCTCGAACTCCTGACCTCAAGTGATCCACCCGCCTCAGCCTCCCAAAGTGCTGCGATTATAGGCGTGAGCCACCATACCTGGCCAGGAAATTATTTTTAAAAGACTTTAAGAAAATTTTCCAAAACTGAAAGACATAAGTTTCCAGCTGAGACTGTTCATAAAACCAAGAACAATAAATGAAAAAAATATCAACAGAGGTCTATCAGTTTGAAATATCCATAATCAAGAGAAAACCCCAGAATCTTCCAGGGAGAAAAACCAGGTCATCTATAAGAGATCAGGCATTGGCAGGCCTTTCGCCAGCTCAAGTGCAACACTGGAAGCGAGCAAGGAGACAAGGAGGCGATGCTTCCAATTTCTAAGGGCAATTCTTCCCAACCCAGAACTCTAAATCAAGCCAGACAAGAAATCCACAGCAAGAGCGGGATAAAGATGTTTTCCGCATACAAGTTCTCAAAACATGTATTTCCTCTGTACTCTCTCAAACCTAGAGAACGTGCTCTCCCCATACAGAGGAGTGCACCAAGGAAGGCTTCAGGAACAGAGGAGAAACAAACAGAAATCAAGAACTCGTGATAAATGTGAAGAAAACCTTACACTCTCATGAATATTCTCAAGAAGAAGAAATGGGGGCCTCCCCATTCAGGATGTTGACTTTGTCCTGACCCCCTGTTTTAAGCAAGGGTCCAGTATCAGGGACTCCAACACAGGAGAGAAGGAAAACGACGACGATGGGCGTGTCCTAAGCTAAGTGAAAAGCGAGCCCAGTGGGGTATCAGAGGAGACCAGAACAGAAGGATGGAAACTGAGAGGAACTAAGAGGCGAGTTCCTGGGAACTCTGGGACTCTTCCCAATTCACTGGGAACCGTGAGGCTGAGAACTCTGAGAGTAACAGCAAAACAACGTTGAACAAGAAAGGAAACGTAAACATGACACTCTACTTAGCTTATATATGAACAATACTTACATAGTCATAATGCTTTAACCCAAACTTCTGATATCATGACAAGGGAAGGGGGATGAGAAGAGTTTATGTGAATCGGGGTGCCAGGAGAAAATTAATGTCTTAGATTGCTGAATCAAAAACCAGCATTTTAAGAATTTCACTTAGAGGCCGGGTGCAGTGGCTCATGCCTGTAATCCCAGCACTTTGGGAGGCCAAGGTGGGCAGATCACCTGAGGTTGGGAGTTTGAGAATAGCCTGACCAACATGGAGAAACCCCATCTCTGCTAAAAAATACAAAATTACCCGGGCCTGGTGGAGCATGCCTGTAATCCCAGCTACTCGGGAGGCTGAGGCAGGAAAACTGCTTGAACCTGGGAGGAGGAGGTTGCGGTGAGCCGAGATGGCGCCATCACACTCCAGCCTGGGCAACAAGAGAGAAACTCTGTCTCAAAAAACAAACAAACAAACAAACAAAACAGAATTTTACTTAGAAAAGTCAATATAGAGCCAAGAGCATAACAAACAACAGTCGCTCCTAGAAACAGGACTGGGAAGTAAGGTGAGACAGGGTAAGAAATTGCTGCATTTTAATTAAAAACCCAGTGGAATTAATTGATATTAAAGATGTATGTGTGTGTGAGGGAGAGACTGATCTTCATCCACAGTATTCTCCACATCATTTACTATATATTCTGTAATTGCAGCTTTCATTTTTTTCTTTGACCCAAGGGATATAAGTATTATATACCCAGAGTTTTAACAAGACTTTAAGATTAGAAAAACAAACACAGAGAAAAATTAACAAAATACCTTCAAGTTGCACCAAAGTCTCTGAAGAATATTTGCAGATCTGAAACTGAAATTAACAAGCAAGACCTAGATGGAGTCTAGGCTGGGGACAACCTCGCTGAAGAGGTGACAGGAAAGACTAATGACAGGGAAGGGACAGAGCAGGGAACAGAGATGCAGGGGGTCACAGTCCTGGTGGGAGAGCGGCTGCCTACAGAGCACGCAGCTTTGCAGAGTGGGTGAGAAGAGGCACTGGCGGGTGTGGCCTCTCCTGTGCTGCCTCCATAACGGCTCCATGCCTCCCAGCCCCCCAGCCCAACCCCACCCTCAGAGTGGCAGTAGTGCTCCTTCAGCACAACATGTCGGTACCCCAAACTCTAGATTCACCTGGGATCGCATCCCACATCACATATTTCACACAGCACGCTACACCACAAAGCAGTGCAATCAGCTAAGAACAGGCCAGAGCCCACATGACATCTTACCTGTAGGGAAAGGGCCACCCACCCCCCACCCGCCACCCTGGGTCAAAAGAGCACACACAAAAGGGAACTGAAATATGATGAGATTGGGCCACTGGACAACTCACAGAAATACACACCCTGCTTTGGTAATCAATGCCTAAAACGGAAAACAAAGGTGGTGGGGTGGAATCCTCTACAGGGATGAAGCCACAGTTGGTGCCGAAATTTTACTTGGAAAAATAAATTAACCTTTTCCTGTAAAGCAGATGGAGATAGCAAGCTCTATGAGTGAAAGCTGATGGCTTGATCTGAGAAAGAAATTAACTCTGTCTTCTAGAAGCAGAGGGAAGAAGTCATATTGAATTACGCTCTGATTACACCCAGCAACCTCCCCTTGCAGTCCAGCTTATTGGGGCGGGGTGGGGAGCAGAAACCTGATCGGAATCCCCATTCTGCCAAATACCCTTACCTTGGGAGAAGTGACTTAAATCCTCTGAGCCCCAATATCCCCTCTGCCAAATGGGGCAATGATACCTTGCAGTGTGGTGTGATAATTAAATAAGGAAACTCCACCAAGTGCCTAGCAAAGCAGGAGCCCCACAAATGGTCACTGCTATTATCAAGGATCACTGCAGGAATTCCGTTAATTATGCAAGGCCACAGAAAGTGTGCCACGAAATTGTCAAAAGAAGAATGGCTGAATACACAATAGCCACAATGCTTTACCTAGAAACTCAGGAAGTCCACGTGGCCACAACTCAGGAGAGCTCCCTCTGTCATCTGAGTTCATCTTTCAGGTGAAAGGTCTGGTGAGTGTCTGGGAAGAGATGGGAGGCCAGCCTCCCGTGGGTGGCTCATGCTCTTTCTCCCAGTCTAGGATTACCGTCAGGAGCGTGGAGGTGGCCACACCTCACCCAATGTGTTTTCACTTAGGTATTGCCTTTTTCATCCCTGAGACAAAAATCTTTCCAAAAACTGGAATCAGCAGCAAACAAAGAGCACTACACTGAATCATTTGGCAAAACATTTTAAAATACTGCACAGCTGCATGCTTCTAAAAGTACGTTCGAAATCGTACATGGATATCTTGGACTCATTTATCTTTAGCAAATGGGAAATTTCCCATAAGACATTTATTGTTAAACTAATATAGTATAGGGGTGACTACAATACTAAAACTAGTACTACTCCATTATATATGCACCTTGGAAAAAAATGGTCAATGAGGACAAAGATGAAGACACAGGAGCCTGATATAAAATGTCTGCACTGAAGAAATGGCCAAACATAAATAAAACAAAACAAAAGTGTAATCTAGCATTTTCCCCCAGTCATTTATGCTTCTCCACTAAAGCTTACAGCCGGTCTCTGCAGGTGCCTTGTCCTGCCTTAACCTCCTCAACTGCAGTAGATTACCATCCTCCTTCAGAGAGAAATCAGACAACACATGTGACTCCTTGCCACTTAGACTACAGGTATACCCATCTTTCCCCTGGGTCCCCAGGAATCAGAAGAAAAGGCGTCCTTCTCACCTAGCCCCTTCGTCCTCCCCAGAACTTCACGCTGTCACATTCCTCCACCATATCATTGACCTTGCCTCTCCATAGTCCCTTTCCCCACAAATTCTAGTGTCCTTTGGAATACCCACCCAGGCATCTCCAGGCATCTAGAGAATGGAACAAGAATGGGAGGGAGTGGGGTGTTAAGAGTCTGCAAATAGAAACACTGGGGACTTGTAGCTTCTGACATTCAAACTAAGGTATCTCATTGGGGTGAAGGCCAAGCATTAGAGAGAGGGTGCTTAGTCCACTTCGGTGGCTGTAGCAAAAATATTAACTAGGTGGCTTATGCGTAACAGAAATTCATGTCTTACAATTCTAGGGGCTGGGAAGTTCAAGATCAAGGCACTGGCAGGTTTGGCATCTGGTGAGGGCTCACTCTCTGCTTTGCAGATGGCACCTTCTTGCTGTGTCCTCACATGGTGGAAGGAGTGAACAAGCTACCTCTGACCCCTTTTATAAGGGCACTAATCCCACTCATGAGGACTCCCCCTTCATGACCTAATAGCCTCCTAAAGGCTCCACCTCTTAAAACTAATGCACTGGGGAGAAGGTCTCAACATATGAAATTTAAGGGGACACAAATATTCAGACCATGGCAGAGAGAAAAGATTTCCTAAACTACTTGAATTCCTGTTGGCCAAGTCAGGAGCCAGCCTGAGAACCAAAACACAGAGAGGCCCAGAAATAGAGTGGATAGCCATGTCCTCCACTGAGCCACAATACTGCAGCGAGGAGGTGGTGCCATGGAGACAGGAAGAGAGTGTCCTCCCCTTCGGGTGTGATTGGAGACCACCAGGCCCCTACAGAAATCGCTTCAGCTAAGGCCAGGAAGGAGCAATTGCAAGTCAAGTACTGGATGACATTCGTGATCGCCACATTGGCTGCTCCAGAACAACCCTCTCCTGGAACTCCCCTCTGCTGCCACTCTCCTTCTCAAGGTGCTCTTTCTGGTCACCCACTGTGGTAATTCAATCTCCCCAACACTCTCCCCCAGCTCTCCCCAGGAAATTTCACACGTTCCCAAGGCTGCAACGACTAAACTCCAACACATGCAACTCCATACTTCAAACTCAACCTGCACTCTGAGAGTCAGTCTGTGTCACTGTAGTGACACGTGGATAATTCACCTGGTAAGCTACAGCCACGTCCACTGCAACATGGCCAAACCTGGGCAACCTCAGCCTGCCGCAACCTCAGCCACCCTTGCATTGGTTAAGGTCACTACCAGGCACTCCTCATCTAGCCCATAGCCTAAGTCATCTAGCCCATAGCCTTTCTCTCCCCCTACCCACCAAATCATTCTGTCCTCCTGATTTTATCTCCAGAGTCACCCCAAATCCATCTCCTCTTCCCCAACCCCACTTACCTTGGCTCAGCCTCTCTGCACCACCATGTGCTCCTGCAATGGTGTCCCAGCTGGTGCCTCGCCCCAGGCTCTTGCTCCCCTAATTCATCCAGAGGGGCTGGCAGAAAGCTGACAAAAAGCCTCTGGCACAGTTGTGGCATGAAGTTCTGAGCTGAATGAACACTGTTTCCCCCTTGCTCACCCAGCCCCAGCCACAATGGCCTCCTTGCTGCCCTGCAAACACCCCAATCCCACTCCCACCCCAGGGCTTTTGTGTGTGCCATTCCCTCTGCCTGGAACACTCCCCTCCAGAGTTACCTGCTTGGATCATTCCCTGACTTGCTCTTCAGGTGTCTACTCAAGGTCCTTTCCTGAAAGGCCAATGATGACCACCCAACAAAGTAGTAACTTCTGTCACTCTCTATCCCTTGTCCTTGCTTTAGTTTTCTTCATAACATCCGGCCTTTTCTGGCATTTTGTATATTTGTTTATTGTATTTTTTTTTACCACTTTCACCACTAGAATATAAGCTCTGGGAGAACAGGGATCTCACCTGTTTGTCCGCTGTTATATCCCCCGCACCAAGAACAGTGTCAGCATATAGCACACACTCAGGAAATATTTGTCATATTTTGGCCAGGCGTGGTGGCTCGGCTGGCCAAGATGGGCAGATCACCTGAGGCCAGGAGTTCAAGATTATCCCGGCCAACATGGTAAAACCCTGTCTCTACTAAAAATACAAAAATTAGCTGGGTGTGGTGGCAGGTGCCTGTAATCCCAGCTACTTGGGAGGCTGAGGCAGGAGAATCGCTTGAACCCAGGAGGCGGAGACTGCAGTGAGCCAAGATCACACCACTGCACTCCAGCCTGGAAGACAGAGCAACACTCTGTCTCAATTTAAAAAAACAAAAAAAGAAATACTTGTTGTATATTTTAATGGAGGTCCTGAAAGAAAGGGAGGAATATTATGGTATTAATATTAGGGTAATAGATGGGTATTGCTTATTTCATGTCATCCAAATTCCTTAGCATGGTCCAATAGTAACCTCTTCAAAACCTGGCCCCACCCTTTGAATTTGCAGCCTCACCTCTGGGTATTCCCCCTAGCAAGCACATAAATCTCCCCTCCCCTCCCCTCCCCTCCACTCTCACTGTTTTTATTTTTTATTTATTTTTTTGAGACAGAGTCTCACTCTGTCGTCCAGGCTGGAGTGGGGTGGCGTGATCTCAGCTCACTGCAACCTCTACCTCCCGAAATCAAGTGAATCTCCTGCCCCAGCCTCCCAAGTAACTGGGATTACAGGCGCATGCCACCATGCCCAGCTAATTTTTGTATTTTTAATAGAGATGGAGTTTCACCATGTTGGCCAGGCTGGTCTTGAACTCCTGACCTCAGGTGATATGCCCACCTCAGCCTCTCAAAGTGCTGAGATTACAATTGTGAGCCACCGTGCCCGGCCCACTCTCACTGTCTTTAAATAGCCCCACCTTATTCACCATAGGGGAATATCCTCTAGTCCAGCTCATTTCACCAAACCTTTTTTAACATCTACAGTGTTTCAGATCTCATGTGGATCCGGCAACCCAAGATTAATTATCTGTCCCCAAAACAGACCCTCAGTGTGAGTCAGGAGAGTCTCTCCATCCTGACAACATCCAGTGCTCATCTCCCATTTCTTCCTGAGTTTGTCCTACATGGAAATCGCTCACCATTAACCTCACTTTTAAAACTATACCTTTTCTTCTGGGCTTATACAATAAATCTCACAAGACTTTCATCAGCTATTCCAAACCTCCCTCATCCCCACTTTGTCCTCAACTGTAAAGCCCTGGAGACCATGACATGCAATTTGGAACTGTGACATACTCTCTCAATCGATTCACCAAATCAGCTGTGTCTCCTAAACCAGTGGGTAGGCTCTCTGAGTTCAGGCACTGGGCTTCTGGTATACCCCCTGGGCCCAGGTATACCCCCTTGACCACACTGGGTAGGGAGCAGACACTCATTCACAGGTACCGACTACTCAGACGGAACAAAGATAAGGCGAGGAACTTGGACCAGGCTGGCTGACAGTCTAAAAAGATCCTTCCCATTCATGCAGAAGCAACCCTCTCCCAATATAATTTTTTCACTCTGTGCTGAAATCATTAAGTATGATTCTGTAATATTGAAAAAAGTAAGCCCTAATAGTCTCCTATTTTTCTTTAGAGAGATGGGGTAGAAAAATCATTGAATTTAGGGAAAATGGACGCTGCTTCATTACCCAGCTTCAGCACTTATCTAAGACTATGCTAACACAGCAGCTACTAGCCTTGTGTGGCTATTTAAACTTACACTTAAATAAAAGTCAAATGGCATTCCGAGTCCCACTAGCCACACTTCACATGCTCAACAGCCACAGGAAGCTACCATAACAGGCAGTGCAAAGGCAGACTATGTCCATCACTACAAACATTCTATTGAACAGTACCGGTCAACGTCATCTTTGGTGTTCAGTTAACTTTTTTCTGGGCCTCCTGTTTCCTCCTGTGTAAAATGGGAACAACACATGCCTCACTGGGTTCCTGCAAGGTTTAAATACGATGCTACATGTGAACACCCTTTATCATAACTTTAGTAAAGTTTGACTTTACTGAAGTCTGTAACTGTATATAACTGTAACTGTATATAACTATACATATAGCCATACTTTGACAAAGCACTAAATGATATATATTTACTTATTTTTAAGAGTCTAACAACCAGCGATAGTAGCATCTGTAAAAGGGAGTTATTGTCAACTGTAGTAAAGAAATTCTATCTCAGGCTGTGAGGCTAGAAGGACGCCATCCAGGAGGAAGGGAGAGAGTATGCAGCGGCCAGGCCACCTAAGGAATGCTGCATTCCAGGCAGAATACAGATGAACTGAAGCCCGGCCAGAAGGATCTGCAAACGAGACAGGACAGCGGTGAGTGGAAGGGCCCAGGATTTCTCAGCCGGGGAAGAGAAGACTCAGTGGGAACCAAGAAGAGAATGGATTTTGAAACACACAAAGGGCGATCCTGGGGAGGGGCCTACATCCTGGGCAGCTGCGGAGACAATCAAGCAATGGCCTTCATGTAAGGAAAACACTGACCAGTGAGTGCCGCCCAGCAATGGAAATGCTGCCTTATGGAGAAGACAGCTCACAATTCCAGAAAGTGCTCAAACATAATGGTTCTCAAACTGGAACATGTATTGAATCACCTAGAGAGCTGGAGAAAACCCAGATGCTTTGGGCCCACCTGCAGAGATTCCTGTTCAGTGAGTGTGGAGGAGGCCCATGATTTTGCATCTCCAGGTGACACTGGTGATGTGGATGCTGCTAGCCCAGGACCTCACTTTGAGAGCCATGGCTCTAACGCAAGCTGGGGCACCCCATTCAGGCTGGCAGAGAAGGGGTGCTTGACATCAAGTGGGAGGTTGAACCCTGCAACCTTCCAAAACAATTTGACTCGGTAGGTCCTGCTGGCATTCAGGACTGCCTGGTGCCCAGCCTGAGACGCCTGAAAAGTCAGAGTGACCCAGGTCTCCCGCCAGGGGTGCCCCTGCGTGGACACCTCAGGCAAATCACTTTCCTACAGTTTTACTATTTATACCAATAGAAGGTAATGCCATCATCATGCAATGCCACAGGCACTAAGGAAAAAGGCCTATGCATGGACTTTTCTAAATGCCATGGTCTCCAACCATGGGTCCAAAACCAAATCACACCATCAGAGTGAACAGGCAACCTACAGAATGGGAGAAAATTTTTGCAATCTACTCATCTGACAAAGGGCTAATATCCAGAATCTACAAAGAACTTAAACAAATTTACAAGAACAAATCGAACAACCCCATCAAAAAGTGGGCGAAGGATATGAACAGACACTTCTCAAAAGAAGACATTTATGCAGCCAAAAGACACATGGAAAAAATGCTCATCACTGGCCATCAGAGAAATGCAAATCAAAACCACAATGAGATATCATCTCACACCAGTTAGAATGGCGATAATTAAAAAGTCAGGAAACAACAGGTGCTGCAGAGGATGTGGAGAAATAGGAACACTTTTACACTGTTGGTGGGACTGTAAACTAGTTCAACCATTGTGGAAGTCAGTGTGGCGATTCCTCAGGGATCTAGAACTAGAAATACCATTTGACCCAGCCATCCCATTACTGGGTATATACCCAAAGGACTATAAATCATGCTGCTATAAAGACACATGCACACATATGTTTATTGCGGCACTATTCACAATACCAAAGACTTGGAACCAACCCAAATGCCCATCAATGATAGACTGGATTAAGAAAATGTGGCACATATTCACCATGGAATACTATGCAGCCATAAAAAAGGATGAGTTCATGTCCTTTGTAGGGACATGAATGAAGCTGGAAACCATTCTCAGGAAACTATCACAAGGACAAAAAAACCAAACACTGCATGTTCTCACTTATAGGTGGAAACTGAACAATGAGAACACTTGGACACAGGAAGGGGAACATCACACACCAGGGCCTGTCATGGGGTCGGGGGAGTGGGGAGGGATAGCATTAGGAGATACATCTAATGTAAATGATGAGTTAATGGGTGCAGCACACCAACATGGCACATGTATACATACGTAACAAACCTGCACGTTGTGCACACGTACCCTAGAACTTGAATAAAAAAAAAAATCACATCAGAGACGCTTTCTAGGCTGCAGATGTAACATGCCCAAAAGAGGAGCTGCATCATAAGCCATTAAATTTCAATACAGCGATCAGCAAGACTTAGGAAACGGACCTTTCACTCCATTCTGTGCCTATCCAAGGCAACCATCAGGGCTTACCACTTTCCTCACCAAAAACAGACACTTCACACAAAGATTTCTACGTGATGTTTTCCAATAGCTTTATTCATAATAGTCAAACATGAAAACTACCTGAAGGAACATCAACTAGCAAATGGATAAACAAATTGTGGTACATCATCAAAGTGGTACACTACCCAGCAATACAAAGCAGCAAATAACTGATACACACAGCAGAGATGAATCACAAAACTACGCTGAGTAAGCAAAGCCAGACACAAAAGACATCACACACTTTAGGAGGCTGAGGCAGGCAGATCACCTGAGATCAGGAGTTCGTGACCAGCCTGACCAATATGGTGAAACCCTGTCACCACTAAAAATACAAAAATTAGCCAGGCTTGGTGGCATGTGCCTGTAGTCCCAGCTACTCGGGAGGCTGAGGCAGGAGAATCGCTAGAACCCAGGAGGTGGAGGTTGCAGTGAGCCAAGATCGCACCACTGCACTCCAGTCTGGGAGAGAGAGAGAGACTCCGTCTCAAAAAAAAAAAAAAAAGGACATCACCCTATCACCCTAAATAACACCATTTATACAAAGCTTTAGGGAAGTCCAACCTAGTCAACAGTGACAGAAACAGATCAGTCCCCAGGGGTGGGTGCTGATAGAACAGGGATGCAAAGAAGCCTTTAAGGGTGATGAAATATTCTAGATCTCAACTGCCAGTATGGTTACACAGGCACATATGATACATTTGACTGTATACTTACAGTATGGGCATTTTATTGGTGGTAAACCACAAAAAGTTGATATTTAAAAAAAAACCAACATTTTCTATTACATTGGGCTCATTCCATTTCAGGATGTGCTTACAAGTACAACATGGGTTGCTTCTGAGAGGAAACTGCGTAGACAGGGACAGGCGTGGGAAGACATCAAAATGTTTACCCTTCTGTACATTTAAACATCTGAACTGTAAGGCTATGTTAGTTAATTTTTAAATAAATAAAATTTTAAATGAAGGAAAAAATTCTAAAAACATGTTCTTCATTGGTGAAATGAGTGAGATAGTATTATCTGAGGCCCCTCATCACCACAAAACTATGGGACTGTTACCCAATCTACTTCAGTTGTGGAAACCCTGCTTTTTGAGACAGGCACTCTATGTGGCCTCTATTTTACCAAACTCCTCTGAGTTCTCATGAATATCATTTTTTAGCATTTTTTCATATTTCAGTATTTTTCATAAAATATACCATAGATAAGAATGCATATGTGTGTGTGTGTGCCTGCACGTCTCGGATTCGAGAATGTCTTTTATTTTCTTTGTAGTTTTATCCCCTATGTGTGTATCCCTAACCAATCCTGTTCAGTTCCTGCACCATTTAAAACTTAATTGAATCATTCAGCATATATTACTTTGTGCATCTTTTGACCAAAATTACATTTGTAAAATTCATCCCTGTTGTTGCTAAAGCTGTATTTTCATTGTTATATGGTATCACAATTTATAATAAATAAATGAACCACAGTGTACTTATCCATTAAATTATTTGTGGATACTTCTACAAAGTATTTTTTTTTTTGGTCCCTGTTGCCTACAGAAAAAACAAATCCAAACACACAACATAGCATCTGAGGCAACTACTGCCCCCACAAACCACCTAGCCAACCTTATCTCCCACTACATTTTCTACCAGCCCATGCTGCCATTGCATCTGTTTACTGTGTAGTGGTTGAAATATTAGGTACACCTTCAAGATGCTATTGTGTTCATTGTATTCCTCAGGGTTAGAATGCTCTTGATCATCTACTAGATCTCCCAAATCATTCTTATCCACTGAGGTTTAAGCATGATCTCCTTATTAAGAACCCCACAATCTCTTCCATCCACAATACCACGTTCCCCAAAACCATATCAAAATGAATTATCCTTTCCTGAATCTTCCACCACACTTAATTCATGCAACTTTTAGTTATACCCATTGGTTACGGCTGTGTCACAATTTTTGCCCAAAATCTTGCAGATAATGGGCAGGTAATAAATGTTGAAGCTTTTGAGTCAAATTCAGACTCCTAAAACCCACTGCTAATGCCAGGTGCTAAATCATTCAAAAATATATCTTTAAAAAGTTTACTTCCACAAAAATGAAATACATCAATTAAAGTGAAAACAACATCCCATTGCTTAAGACAGATTTGGTTGGGTTCCCCACAGTTTTAAAATTGATCTTTTTTTCTCATAGAAAATACAGTGCTTTAGAGTTCCCAAGACACAGAAGGTTAGAGTATCACATAATTTAAGATCATTTGAGAAGAAATACATTATTTAAAGAAAACGTAATGTCCTTGAAAATCATTTTAACCCCCAGAGCAACAAATAAAAGGGAAAAAAAAACAAAATTTTAATGACATTAATAAATGGGTCATAAATTCCAATGAATTATAATGCAAAAGCAACAAGTAATTCTGAACTTAAAGAACAGGACAGTCATTTTTGTCAAAGAAAATACATGCATGGAATGCAGATGCCACAAACAGGAGATGAAATAAAACAGATAAGGAGAAGGCTGTATCTAGGCTGAATGGCTGGCCAATGTTTTCCTCTCCGTCAGTATAAATAAAATGGATGGAAGAAAACACCCCTGGATACTATCAAATATGCCTTTCAATTATTTTATGCAAAAACATTATTTTCAATAGGTGTCATTAAAGAAAACATCATAGAAAAAAGTTTGCAACTCATGTTACAGAAATTAGGCTAAAGTCTTTAATATAAAAACAGCTCCTATAAATCAATAAGGAAAAGAACACTGGCCTACTTGAAAAAATAGACAAAGGTTATTTATAAACAAACAATGCTGATAAATGGTAAATGTGGTAGTTCTTAAACATAAGATAAAATGCTCAATCACAGAGAACTGCAAAATAAAATCATTTTGGGATAGTCTTTTTCACCTATCAGATTTGCAGGATCAAAAAGTTTCATAAAATATTCTTCGCAAGAGTGTGGCAAAGCAGGCAGTCATACACATTGCTGGTGGGAGTATAAATTGTTAGAACCCTAAGGAGCTGCATGCAATATGGTGACAGCCATCAAAATTACAAGTGCACATGCCCTCTGACCCAGCAATTCCACTTCTGGGAAGTTCTCTAAAATACTTGCATATATGCAAAATGATGCATGTACAGGGTCATTAGCTATAATGCTGAAATAGCAAAAGCTTGGAAACATTACTGCCTCAGTAGGAGACAGGTTAAGTAATTTGAGACATCCTTACAATAGAATTCTGAAGCAGCTGAAAAAGAACAAGGAAGCAATCACCAAGAAATACTAGGAAAAGGAAGAGCTCATATGTTATTCCACAATTTGCATAGAATATGGTGTATTTGCTGAAATGTGCACTATCTGGAAAGAGACACAGGAAACTAGCAACATTGCTGGCCTCCGTGAGGAAACTGGGCGGCCAGGGACTGGGATGAGAAAGAGATTTTCAAAATGCTTACCCTTTTGTACCTTTAAACTTTTGCACTGTGAGACTGTATTAGTTTTTTAAAGAAATAAAATTTAAAATTAAGAAATAAAATGTTAAGGCCGGGCGCAGTAGCTCACGCTTGTAATCCCAGCACTTTGGGAGGCCGAGGCGGACGGATCACGAGGTCAGGAGATCGAGACCATCCTGGCTAACACGGTGAAACCCCGTCTCTACTAAAAAAAATACAAAAAACTGGCCAGGCGTGGTGGCGGGCGCCTGTAGTCCCAGCTACTCGGGAGGCTGAGGCAGGAGAATGGCGTGAACCCGGGAGGCAGAGCTTGCAGCGAGCCGAGATCGCGCCACTGCACTCCAGCCTGGGCGACAGAGTGAGACTCCATCTCAAAAAAAAAAAAAAAAGAAAGAAAGAAAGAAAAGAAAAAGAAATAAAATGTTAAAAACATCGTAAACATTAGTGAGACACAGCCCTAAGACTATTAGACTATTGCCCAATCTAGCATAAGACAATATGTCCTTCTTATTTGAGTGCTCGCATTCACTCCATAATAAGATAGATTTGGAATAAACTCTATTCCAAACACAGATACCTAAGAGATCCAAAGTTAATTCACTTTCAGGGACCTCCGACAAGATACAGCTAGTTTTAAGAGAAAACACCAGGACTAGCAGAGATCTGAGGAAAATATTCATCTTGCTCAAGTTAACCTAGAAAATGACAGGCTGTCTATTTTGTGCAATTTATTTATTTCTCAACTTTAAGGTTCAGAAATCTCTGTCCTGTAACAAGGTATCTGTTACCGGAGTCTGATTATTCTGCACTGTGTAGGTCATGTTTGTTATGAGGACACTTAGCAAACAAAGAAGGTTTTTCTCCGCCCTCAATAGCGTGGTAACGGATGACAGGACACCACTTTCAACGAAGGAGACAGACATTTCCCTGGCCTTTCTGAAGAGCGCTTTTTGGAGAGACAAACCTGTTGCTCAGGGGCTGAGCATTCCCGTGTGTTCTCCCTGTACTTCACCTAAAAATATGCCTGTTTTCCACACTGTGCACACCCGGGGGTGGGTGCTGGGCATACTCCACCTGCTTGTTTGCCTCCCGTTTTCTCATCAGGGAGTAAACACAGTAAACCTAACGCTCCAGGGGAAGGAAAAAACAAATCATTCAGGGCCCATCTCAGGTGACTGATGAATGCGGCACCGTTTTGAACGGGTACCTAATCTGGTCCAGATATGCCTGCTGGGGCTGCAAGAACCAAGACACGTTCAAGCACGTTTGCTCCGGCAAGCTTGGGCGAGCAGGTCAAGACCTCAGAGTTTTAGAAAGCAGGGGCGAAGTTTTCAAGCACGATGGGAACACCTGTAGGTGCAGGTGCCTGAGGGTCGGCCGACCACCTCGCATCTGAGGCTGGATCCGCACACGGAGAACGACAACTGCTCACAGGGACGTGCGTCCGGAGGAAAGTTGCGGTGAGTGTCTACCTGTTCGAGACAGGTGGCCGAGAAAGTGGGGCAGGGCTGACAATTCTTCCTCCGCAGTGTCCCGCGGGCTCCCCCTGCACTGGGTCCCCGGGGCCCCGGGCGCCCCAAGGTCACCTGCCCTCCTCAGCGCCCCCACCTTGCCCAAGCTCTCACCAGAACAGCAGGTTGGCAGCGACGAAGCCGAGCAGGCTCCGCAGCGGCCTCTTCCAGCTCAGCAGCTCGTCGGCGCGGCAGCCCAGCCACAGCACCGGCTCCCCGAGCAGCCAGGTTACCGCGGCCGCCGCCCGGCCCGCGGCCTCCTCCACCTGCAACCCCGCGCCCTCCGCCGCCCCAGCTTCCTGCGCTTCCTCCTCCTGCTGCTGCCGCTCTGCGGGGGATGCCTGGGGCGGTGGCGGCGACGGCGGCGCCTGCTCCTCGGCGGCAGGAGCCGGGCATCCCTCCTCGGCGTGCTCCGGAGGCGCCGGGCTCGCCATCTTCAGCTGTGCTTCCAGACAGGGACGGGGCCGGGCGCGCGCGCGGGCGCGCCTGGGTGTGGGTGCCGCCGAGGGCGGGGCGGCGGTGGCGGCAGGTCCCGGAGCGGGGCGCGCACCGCGGGGCACAGGCGGCTGGGGGCCTTGTGACGCCACAGGCCACGGAGGGGGAGCCGCCCGGGAAAGTGGGTGCGGCCGAGTTCGCGCAGGGGCGGGGCCGGGCGCCGGGAGCTGGGCGGTGTCCCCGGGGGGCTCTGGGTTCCTGGAGGGCCTCTCCGGGACTCGAGGAAAACGACCTTTTCCCTTGCAGCGGCGGGAGAGGGCGAAGTGGAGGACTGCTGCTCGGTTCCGTATCCAAAAGAGACCCAAGGCTCCAGGCAAAATAGATTGGACATTTTCACTTTCTCAAGCCAGGGCCACCGGTCGCCCAACCAGCAGCCACTGAGGGTGGTATCGGGGCGCCCCTTCCCCTGGCAGCGTATTTCAGCCCCCAGAGACATCCCCCACCTCGGCCATCCCCAGCGCCTTTGCAGGGACAGCAGCACAACCATAGCAGAGGTCCTGGGCATCCTGGAAATAACGTGCTGGTATAAATGTTGGATTGAGAAAGGAAGAAAAAACATTTGGGGTCAATTTGGGGCCCTCTCGTTTGACACGGGAGGAAACACAAGGCCGCAGCGTTGGGGGAAGCTGCTTCCTTTCTCTCTCTTCTTTCTCTCTGTCTCAGGTGCTTCCTTTCTCTTCTCTGTCTCTCTCTCTCTCTCTGCCTCTCCCTCTCTCTCCCCCGTCTCTCCCCCTATCTTCCCCTCTCTCCTCCTATCTCCCCCTCTCTCCCCCTCCTTGTGGCTAGGTGATCTGGCTCAGAAGTGCACGTTGGCCCGCGCGTGCGGGGAGCTGAGAAGCAAGAGATTGGAACTTTGCACGTGTCAAGCAAGGTTTGGCCTGCTTTGAAGACAGTAATTTCAGAGCCACTCCGGTCTCTGCGTCACAAGCGGGCATCAGGGCAGTGGTGGGGCGGCAGGGGATCCTGAGACCTCCCATGCCCTCTCTTTGGCCCCGGTGCTTCTGGGTGAGTGTGGGGAGAGAGGAAAATAGTTGTTTATGCTTTTCACCATTTGCATTTTTAAATTTTTGTCTTCTTTAATCTTCCTGGT
This sequence comes from Homo sapiens, assembly GCF_000001405.40. NCBI lineage: Eukaryota > Metazoa > Chordata > Mammalia > Primates > Hominidae > Homo > Homo sapiens. The sequence continues at coordinate 16,618,123 of NC_000005.10, forward strand.
CTTACTTTTACTCTAGAATGACAGGTCCTTCCCCCCCATACTAAGGGTTCTGTCTGCGGATGCATCAGGGCATCTCATATCCCTTTACTGGCAACCAGCCTGCCTGCACAGGATGGAAGGGAGGGCAATTAAATTCCCTGCGTCAAGGGAGTCTCTAGGGGAATGTTCTGTAACGCTCCTCTGGGTGGCCATTGTAAACCTCTGTGTATACACACGTGGAATCCATTGATCTGTACATTCACTGCAGGTGTCTGCACTTTACTGCTTGTATGTTGTACTTCAAAGGAGTTATATTCCCAGAGCCCAGGCAAAGGCTTACTGAGCACCTACCGAGTACACAAAGCATTGCTAAGCTCTGTGGATGCAGCTTCCACCCACAGGAAGCTCCCAGTCTGATGAGGGCCCAGTTACAATTGTGATATCTGCCACAGCGAAGAAGCCTTCGCTAAGTGCTAAGAGATTCCTTACTTAAACTGTGCATCCAAAATTAGGGGAGGAGTGGAGGGATCAGGTTTCAAGAGCGTTTTGTAATAAATGGCCTCTGCCCTAAATTGTAGGGCCCCCATTAGTGTGGGGATTGGGGACAGGGGCAATAACTGCTGTTGGGAATTCAACAGGAGAGGAGGCATGGGGTTGCAGGTGGAGACGCACAGTTCCTTAAGTAACTCACCAAAGGGAATAGTGGACATTGAATGGTCTCTAGTAACAGGAGGCTTGGTTTTTAACTAAAGGTGATACAGAACATCTGGCATTTCCGACTCCCCTTCTTAGGAGTATCCTGACAACCCGATGGAAAGTGGCCTGGGTGTCAAGGAAAAAGCAACGTGGAAACAATTCAGGTTTCTTCCATATAAGAGAGACAATCTTTTCCCAGGTGTGGGTCCTCCCTCTTGGCAGTAGCGGAGAAGTTTTTGAAAGATAAATGATGCTTTTATTGTGTCATTTGGCCTTTGTTTGGCGCTTGATACAGCCCAGGGTTTGCTATTCTAAAATCTGTCACTAGACAGATGTGTGCTGCAGCCAGTGTGGAGAACATGGGGCAGGAGAGAGGAAGAACCAGGTGTCCCCGTTCCCCAGACCAGTGCTGATGTGCTACCAGAAATGGGTTTGCAAGATTAATCACCTTCCTCCTGCTTCCCTTGAATTCTAATTATTGTTGTCAGGATCTGTTGAAGTAGTAAAAGCTGCTGGCAACCAAGACACATAAAAGCTAAGCTCCAGTTGCTGTGTGTGGTTTCCAACACTTATTTATTATCTCTGTTTAATAATAAACCTCCTTCCCCACAGCTATGTGTTGTAAAGTCTATCCTTTCTCTCTCTCTCAAAATTACTATGGAGAAAATGCTATGCAACCTGTTTTGCATAAAAGGCTGGGCTAATTAACCTTTCCTTTTCACCTCCGACCTCTAATACTTACAAACTGTATGACAGAAGTAGACACTGGCATAGACATACAAATGGTGCTGCTGGGTGGGATTTTGTTGTTGTTTTGTTGTTTGTCTAATGATCTTTGTGATGCTTGAGTAATTTATTCAGGGCTAAGATTACAGAAACATAATGCTAACAATGGTTGAAATCAACCTTGTCCCCTAGTTTTAAGAACACGCCACATTCTTGAACTCCTGCAAGTAATCTTACTAAGATTCTCTTCTGAAATTTTATTGCTATATATTAGGAACAGAGTGATTAACACTAGTGAGCTAGATGATTTGACAATATATATCTGAGAAAAGGAAACTGGAAACGTGTCTGAGAAAAAAAAAAGTTCTAGCTACTGAATGAGAGTTTAGAAAATGAGACAGCTCCAGTAAAGAAAGTCCAAATGCACATAAGAACTCTCTAACAGAGGCCACTCACTTTTCTCATCTAAGAGTATGTGGAAAGCTTGTAATAGGAGAGGAAAAATTATGAATAATTAATTCCCACTATAGGAAGTCTCCTAGGGCAAAATCAAGCTAAGACTTAGAATGATGGGGAAAAGCCCCCTAGTCATAATATTTTGGGGAAATTTCTTTTCTCTACAATATTATATATTAGAATCTTACAGTAGCTCCATGATTCCTTAAACAAAAGGAGGCTCGTTGATATGGTTTGGCTCTGTGTCCCCACCCACATCTCACCTTGAATTGTAATAATCCCCACGTGTCAAGGGTGGGACCAGGTGTAGGTAATTGAATCATGGGTGCGGTTTCCCCCATGCTGTTCTCGTGATATTGAGTGCTTGCAAGATCTGATGGCTTTATAAGGGGGCTTCTCCCTTCACTCAGCACTCATTCTCTCTCCTGCCACCCTGTGAAGAGATGCCTTCCGCCGTGATTGTAAGTTTCCTGAGACCTTCCCAGCCATGCGGAACTGTGAGTCAATTAAACCTCTTTTCTTTATAAATTACCCACTCTCAAGTGTTTCCTCATAGCAGCATGAGAATGAACTAATACACTTGTGTATATGTTGTATCGTTTATTAGCCTGCAGATAGAATTTTTTTTGTGTTGGTACTTTTATTAAACTAATTCTACCCTCCTCCCCTTGCTATATCCTCTGCTCCTTATTCCTAAGTTTCCATAATTTTCTTCTCACTAAGAAAACCTGGATAGTTCACTCTAAGCACAGATAAATAAGAGTATCATACAGCATCAGCAGGCACAGAGCAATTGGAAAGGAAGGAAGATCATCTCCCGGGTCTCTAACCTGGCTTCCAAGGCCCAGCCCAGTGCCTGGCTCACAGAAGGAATTCACTATTTCTACTTATGTTGAATGTCTGTTGTGCATATACAGACGGAAATATTCAAACTAGCATAGTCTGTGTTTGACAAGCATTCCATAAGGGATGTGCTTACCAGAAAGATGGTGGCCAAGATGTTGGCCACCCAGATATCAGTTGGGGTATTGCTCCCTAATACCTAAAAGAAGTTTTTTTTTTAAGGCTTCAAAATGGTTAACTGAAAAGAACGGAGGTCACATGACAACATGAGTATATCCCCCAAGGAAGCCTACCTGTCTATCCCCAGGTACACACACAAACACACGCACACCTATGATCCACAGGGGTGACTGCAGGACATTAACTTCCAACCCCTTCCCAACAGGAATCTGAACCAGCAGACAAAGCACTGTCGGGTCCTTGCTGCAACCTCTTCCCCCCACCCCCTTTGATGGTCCTGGTTCTGCATCATTGTACTTGCGTATCATTCACTCATTATTTCATTGCTTCATTCACTAGTCATCAGCCATTCCTGAAAGACTGACTGTGGGCTTCTGGTAAGATGAACAGGACTGCTTATTTCTCTCATGGTGCTTAGAGTATAGACAATGGATAAAGACCCTGAAGAAGGCGCTGGGCAAAGGGAATGGGGAAGCATGGTGTGCACAGTCTGGAAGCAGGAGAGGAGCCAGCCTGGCCCTGGTTGGAAACCTGGAGGAGATCTAAGCTGGAGGATGGGGTGGGAGGAGCAGGAGGCTACTCACAGTGGGGCTCCTCCTGTATGATGCTAGAAGCTTCTGCTTTGTCCTGAGAGCAACAGGGAGCCATGGGTGGGCTTGCAGCAGGACACAGAGGGGCTAGCCTGTGTTTTAGAAAGGTATCTCCAGACCATGGAGGATATAAAGCCTGGCAGAGGGAAGGCACTCTCAGAGACTTTTCCCTTGTCATTCTCTAGAATGAGGGAGGAGAAGGAGCCAGTCTGGAAGGGAGGCTGACAAGTTTCATTTTTAAAAATTGATCTGCACTTGGATATCTCTGGAGATGCCAGTAAGGTTGTTGGGTACAGAGGTCTGCAGCTCAGAGACCAGCAGGCATCCTGAACAAGACAGATCCAGGCAGACGGAATGGCCTGTAGGAGAACTTGGCAGAGGGCACAACCAAGAAGAGTTCAAAGGCGCTGGCCAGTTCCATGCGACTGCATGGGGTCATGGTATGTGATAAGACTTTTGAATAAATAGATCAAATAAAAGTTTTAAGTATCAGCGACAGAATTTTAGAAAAAAACTTTGAGCAGTAGAGATTTCCTAGAGTTTGTGGGTTTCTGTGTTGTTATTGTTTGTTTTTACCAAGGAAGTGATAGAATCAAAGCAGTAGTGTCCTGAGGTCCTGGAAACTCCAGCCTGACTTCCATCCTTGAAGCAAAACTGTGTTGTGATTCTCTCTAAATTCAGGTCTCCAAATCAGGCCTCCAGTCTCAAGGGGGTATCTTCCATGCTAAAAATAGATGAGTGGAATGCAATGGAATAGCAATGAAAGTGACATCCCACAACCCTTCCAAGTGTATATTTGGCTTGTCACCTGTTACTAATTTTAGTTCATTAGAAATCAGGCACAAAATCTGGCGATGCTTGAGGCTTTGAAAATGGCTGCAGGCCCTGCAGTCAGACCATGTCACGGGTGCACTCTTCGGTTATGCATACATGCTGCAGTCGGGTGTTTGCTTATGGGGAACCCATAAGCACTGTGAAACCCGAATGTCTCCCGAACCATCCAAGAAATACGGCTCTACTTATTATAGTTCACAGTTCAGTATATGTGCTTGTAGGTTAATTCACTGGAAATGGATGCTCTCTCTACCTCTTGCTAAATAAAAATTAGAGGAGGATGGCCAGGTGTGGTGGCTCGCGCCTGTAATCCCAACGCTTTGGGAGGGGGACAGATCACTGGAGCTCAAGAGTTGGAGACCAGACTGTGTAACATGATGAAACCCCATCTCTACAAAAAACATTCGCCTGTAGTCCCAACTACTCAGGAGGCTGAGGTAGGAGGATTGCTTGAGCCAGGAAGGTGGAGGCTGCAATGAGCCATGATCGCACCACAGCACTCCAGCCTGGGTAACAGAGCAAGACCCTCTCTCAAAAAAAAAAAATATAGGAGGCCATTGTTTGTTGCTGTTGTTGTGAGTGCAGTAGTGAGAAGGGTGGAAAGAGCTGAACAAGGGGTTTGATCTGTAACTGACTGCGAACAATCGGTTGAGGTAACTCACTACCTTCAGACCAGCCAGGAGGCTACTGTTTTGAACTAAGCTCCTGCACTAGGCCCCAGCAGACCAGACCAAAAGTCAGAATGAAGTCACTCATGCTGAGGTTCCACATTGCCAAGCCAAACCTGAGTTGTTAACCGACCTCCAGAGTAATCCAGAACAATCCGGAGACAGAGAAAGCCAAATTTCCCAAACAGGCCAGTTTCAATTTGCATGGTAAGAAGTTTCCTCTACTCTCTCCCTTCCAAGAGAAAGTGACCTGATGTTAACCAATCAGTTATTTCTCTACTGTTCTGTTCCCCATTTCCACCTTGCAAGGAAAGTAACTTTGAAATGACCAATCTGCTTTTCGGTCTTTGTCCCTGCTTTCTTCAGCTTTCTCTGGATGAAACCACCCTCCTCTACTCAGCCCGTTGGAACACTTGTTCTGTTCTATCGAATGAAGTTTGCTGGATTCTGGAATTACAAATAAAGTCAATTAAATTTTTTTTTTTTTTTTTTTTTTTTTTTTTTTTTTTTTTTGTGAGACTGAGTCTTACTCTGTCGCCCAGGCTAGAGTGCAGTGGTACAATCTCGGCTCACTGCAAGCTCCGCCTCCTGGGTTCATGCCGTTCTCCTGCCTCATCCTCCCGAGTAGCTGGGACTATAGGCGCCCGCCACCACGCCTGGCTAATTTTTTGTATTTTTTAGTAGAGACGGGGTTTCACTGTGTTAGCCAGGATGGTCTCGATCTCCTGACCTCGTGATCCACCCGCCTCGGCCTCCCAAAGTGCTGGGATTACAGGCGTGAGCCACCGTGCCCGGCCGTCAATTATGATCTTAAAACTAAACCTGTGATAAGGTTGTCCTTTGACACTCTGAACTGCTTTTACTCCCAATACTTCTGGCACCAAATATGTGAGTTTTTCCATACCAATAACCAATTATTTAATTGTCTGCACACCAGCTGGGTATCAAACAATTCAATTCTGACACTACCTGGTCTAACCCAGCAGCTCCCGTGGGTTAAGGGCTCAGCCCCACAAGACTACCCCCATTTCAAATGCCAACCACAAGTCCTGGACCTCCCATACTTCTGATTGACTGGCTATAAATCAGAGGTTTCCATGACTCCCACTTCAAGCTTGATAGATAGATAGATACATACATACACACACGCATACACACACGCATACACACACGCATACACACACGCATACACACACGCATACACACACGCATACACACACGCATACACACACGCATACACACACGCATACACACACGCATACACACACACACACACAGAGTCTCACTCTGTCACCCAGACAGAAATGCAGTAGCACGATCATGGCTCACTGCAGCCACCACCTCCCAGGCTCAAGTGATCCTCCCATCTCAGCCTCCAGAGTAACTGGGCTCACAGGTGTGTTCCACCACACCTGGCTAAACTTGTATTTCTTCTAGAGACAGTGTCTCTCTATGTTGCCCAGGCTGGTCTTGGACTTCTGGGCTCCAGCAATCCTCCCACCTCGGCCTCCCAAAGTGCTGAGAGTATAGGAATGAGCCACCACTCCTGGCTCAAGTTCAATAATTTTCTAGAGCAGCTCACAGAACTCAGGGAAAACAGTTTACTTACTGTTGCTAGTTTATTATAAAGGAAATTATAAAGAATACGAGTGAACATGCAGATGAAGAGGTACATAGGGCAAGGTCCAGAAGGGTCCTGAACATGGGCACTTCAGCCCCACTGGGGAGTTGGAGCGTGCCACCCTCCTGGCACGTGGATGCGTTTGCTCACTCTCCCAAAAGCTGCTTGTACCCCTTCATGTAAGGGTTTTTATGGAGGTTTCATTATATGGGCATAATTGATTAAATATTTGACTGTTAGTGATTTCCAAAACCTCCAGCCCCTCTCCTCTCCCCAGGGGACCTGGGGGTGGGGCCGAATGTTCCAACCTTGTAATCACAAGGTCAGTTCCTCGGGCCACCAGCCCCCATCATGAAACCATCTAGGGACCAAGGAAGAATCGTAAGTGTAAACTCAAGAATAGTTGACAGGGACTTATGAAAAATAAATGATGCTCTTCTCATCTCTGTCACTCAGGAAATTCCAAGGGTTTTCAAAGCTCTGTGCTAGGAACCAGGGAGGATGACCAAATATGTATTTCTTTTTATATCGCAATATCACACTTCCCTATTTTTACTCTCACTCCTGCCCCTCCCCTGCCCTAAACCAAGTACTTTGGTGTCACATGCAGAACTATGCCATAAAAGGCCTACGGGGGCTCACTCTGGGTTGCCTGGACAAGGTCCTGGATAGGACAGAAGGCCTTTCTTCTTTCTCCAGGGAGAAGAGATACACTTAAACCAGGGTCCCACAGGCTCAATGGGTCTCCTTCCAAAATCAGCTTCCAATGAGCCCTCAGATTCTCCAAATACTGGGCAGCTGGATTTCCCAGACACCTTCTGCAATCTGCTGACATCTAATATACCTGTAGACTGTTCTCCTGCTGACAAGGTTGTTCTTGCTCTTATCCTATAAAGAAGAGAGGTGGCAGAGAGTTGGAGGGGAGGGCCTCCTTCCCTGGCATGTCCATCCGAGGGTCTCCAAGAACATCCTGGCTGTGGCCCACACCTTTCTGTGTGGTTAGGAGGAGTATCGGATGCCTTCTCTTTCCAACCTTGGCTTGTAAGTTTCCCCCAATAAAGTCTGTTCCTTCACCCATACCATGACGGCTGTTTGATTCCTCACAGCTTCTTTTGGGGAGGATGGGGGAAAATCACAGAGACTCTTTGTACAAGAGGTGGCATTTGCAACAGCTCTGTGAACTACAGTAACCCAAAGTCCCCCAAACAAGAAATATTGGAGCAGTTTTGATTCTGATCTCTCCTTCATTCTCTCATCTGCAGTAACCAGCTGTATATCAAGTTTGCCCAAGACAGTGCTGGTTGATGCCCACCTTCTAGCATGGTTATTAATAGTGCTTCACTTTCTTTCTCAGAGGTGTCCGAGTTTGGATGAGAAATTATATGGGCTCCGCATTCATCTCCAACCTATCAACAGCTGCTGATAACTCCTTCTCTGAAGTGTTCTCACCTCACCTAGCCCTTTTTCTCCAGTCTCAAGGCTGCCATCCCTGTTCAAGCTTCAGTGCCTGTCATCCATCTGAACTGCATCAGCCTCATATCTCCTCTTCCAATCCTCCCTGTACACCTCTCCTTTAAAACAGTGCTTTCAACCTGTAGCATCCACCCCCAAGCGCTTACAACGATGCCCAGTTTCCTAGAACTGCTACACCTAAAAGAAATCACCAGCCGCCTTCTAAAGCTGGTTCATCCGACAAATCTCTTTCTAAAAGCTGCATTTCTCACTGCTCCCAAATGTGAACACTCGGCTATTGTCAAACTAGCTCATCTCTGAGTTCACTCTCCAAGCAAACTTTCACATCCATGCTGTTGCTCATGCTATACTATCTTTCCTTGTCTTTTCAACCTTCTGGAAGCCCAGATCTTCTATCTGCAGTTCAGCTTGCTCTTCTTGCATGAACCCTAAATCAAGTGGAAAAAGCATGGGTTTCTTAGTCATGAGGATCTGAATTTGACCCTAGATCCATCACTACCCACTGTATTTCACTGATTATAAGACATACACATTTTTTTTCACTTTTAACATACCTGGAAATGGAATGTACTTTAGAATCTTAAGCATCTTAGATTCAACAAAGCATAGTAGCCTGTGACTTTGTGTTATGTGACACAGACTCTCTGGGTCTCGGTGACCTCGTCTTTAAAACAATTAACATTTAACCCTCGAGACTGCTGTGGGAATTACTTGGAATAACCGCAGTGGGAGACCCAGTGGCAGAATATCTCTGTGAGAATTTGTACCCTGAACCCAAGCATTTTATAATGACTTTCTCTTGAGAAGACCTGGGCCACATGGAAAAACTGTTGCAACTGATACCAAAGTTTGTGTCATCGAATTTCAAAACAATTCTCTGCAGTGTACAAAGCCAGAAAGAGAAACCAGCCTCATTCATGGGTGGTTTAACCACAGCTCTCTGCAGAGAACTCTGTTCAGAGGAAATAGCTAAAGGGGCCATTTCTCCAGGGGTCATGAGCCAAGTAGCTTTCTGTTGGAAAAATGTTGTTTGATGGACAAAGCTACAAAAGCAGCTTTGTCCTTAATTCTTCAGTAAAAAATCTTCTAAAGCTGATTTTATGTTAAAAGTCCACAGGTAGGTTTCTGAAGAATTGGGTCACAGGTGCATGTTTTAATAACATCCAGTTGGACAATTTCCATCTTCTTTCTCTATAAAAGTCTGCCCACTCCAAGAAGGCACTAGCAGCCAGATGCCTGAGGTACAATCAAGCCGACTGGCAAGGGAATCTTTCCTTCCACCTCCCTTTGCCGCTCCAGTGGGTGAGAGTCCCAGCTCCAAACTCAGACCATTGAGGATTGTGTTTACCTCTTGCTTTTAATGTGGGTTTTCAGTGAAGGGATCTAGAACATAAGATGGGGGAGGGAGGGCAGGTAGAGAACCCTGTTACTGCTGTAGTGTAGGATTTGAATTGGAGCTATCAGTAAGTGGGAGATCATGATCTGATACTCTAGCTGTGTCCCTGGAAAAGCTTAGAATCAATAATGCCCCATAGCAATAAGCTTATGTAGGAACCAGGTTTTGGTTTCTGAATACTATTGCCTGCCAAAAAGAACCAGAGCTCCTTAGAGAATTGGCAAATACTAGGTCAGAGTTAGGAACATCTTGTGTATCAGAAAGCAAAGACGTGTTCACAGACCATTTAAAAGTCCATGTCAAAAAAATACAGAAGTCAGCTTGGAAAGGATCCCACTGACCAAATCTGAGAAACTTTGAGGATCAAAAAAAAAAAAAAAATCCTGGGAAATGATTGTAATGCATTGCATTTTTAACATTTCACGACTCTATAGTGATTCTCAAAAGACAGAAAGGACCAGTCTGGGCAACATGGCAAAACCCTATCTCTACAAAAAATATAAAAATTAGCTGGGCATGATGGCATGTGCCTATAGTCCCAGCTACTCAGGAGGCTGAGGTTGGGGGATCACTTGATCCTTGGAGGTCGAGGCTGCAAAGAGCCATGATTTCACCACTGTACTCCAGCTTGGGCGACAGAGTGAAACCCTGTCTAGAAAAAAAAAAAGAACACTTTCTTCTTTATAAAAAATTACAATCTAGCATGTGTAGGCTAAATTTTGGATTTAGGAAAGCACCATTTTGTAACTCTCAGAGTAATAATTGATTCAAGCAATGATCATCAATGAATAATATCACCCACTGGGAGAAAAGACTGTGGGGGAAAGGCTGCTTACAGAATCTCACAGGTTACTGCTTAATTACAAAGGCAAAAGCGTGCCTTTGCATTGCCATCTGTCAGCCTTCACCTCATCTGCCTCCCATCATGCATGCCATGACAATTATTGGAGCAACCTGACCCTGTGAATCCCTGGTCTGATGCCATGGGAGGGACACCCATAACACAATTTGCTGGAAGCATCTGACCTGAATCAAATCCTGGCCAGATGGTCAGAGCACTCTGGAATGTGGGCTGTTCTTTTTTTTTTTTTTTAGGTGGAATTTTACACTTTTAGCCCAGGCTGCAGTGCAATGGCGCAATCTCAGCTCACTGCAACCTGTGCCTCCCAGGTTCAAGCGATTCTCCTGCCTCAGCCTCCTGTGTATATGGGATTACAGGCATGTGCCACCACACCCAGCTAATTTTTTGTATTTTTAGTAGAGACGGTGTTTCGCCATGTTGCCCAGGCTGGTGTTGAACTCCTGACTTCAGGTGATCTGCCCATCTCAGCCTCCCAAAGTGCTGGGATTATAGGCGCAAGCCACTGCGCCTGGCTTTTTTTTTTTTTTTGAGACAGAGCCTTGCTCTGTCCCCCAGGCTGGAGTGCAGTGATGTGATCTTGGCTCACTGCAACCTCTGCCTCCTGGGTTCAAGCAGTTTTCATGTCTCAGCCTCCTGAGTAGCTGGAACTCCAGGCATGCACTACCACGCCCAGCTAACTTTTGTATTTTTAGTAGAGACGGTATTTCACCATGTTGCCCAGGCTGGTCTTGAACTTCTGACCTCAAGTGATCCTCCCACCTCAGCCTCCCAGCGTGAGCCACTGCGCCCAGCCAGGATGTTCTACAGGCCTTCAAAGATTTGGAGATCAAGAACAGCAGAGGCAGAGTATGGGGAAAATAGAGACAGAACAGCCAAATCTAGGTGTCAACCTTGATTGGATTCTGGGTCAAAAGCTACCAAGGACATTTTGGAGGACAATTAGGAAACTTTGAGTCCAGACTGCATGTTAGATCATTCTGTTGAGTTAATGTTGATTCTCTTATCAGGTGTGAAGATGGTGTTATGGTGATGTAAGAGGACGGCTCTATTCTGAGTGATGCAAGATCCAACATTTAGGCATGAAATGCCATGATGACAGCCGCCTACTTTAGCAAAAGGGAAGTTGTGTGTGTGTGTGTGTGTGTGTGTGTGTGTGTGTGTGTGTGTGTGTTTTTACGCGTATGCATATAAATAGAGGAAGTCGCTGCAGCTAGATGGTGAATCTACGTGAGGAGTATCTGGCTGTTCCTTGTACTGTTCTTTCAACTTTCTGTGGGTTTGAAAATTTTCAAAACAAGACAAAAAATGTTTTTCAAGCACTGTTTGAGAGGATAGGAAATAGAAATGGCTCTTATTAAAGAGCCATTCAGAAGACTGTTTTCTTCTATTTCCTTTTCCCCCACGACTATGACCCTCAGTGCCAGCGATTTCTCCTTTCCATAAACTTTTGTTTGACCTTAAATCATTGTGACACCACTGAGCAGGGAATCTCAATAATGGCTGACATATCTGGTAGCAAAAGGAAATGAAGTATTTTTATTTTCTCAGGGAACTAAAGGTTATCTTCTAAATTCAAATTTTTTTTTTTTTTTTTAAAGATGAAGTGTTGCTCTGTCACCCAGGCTGCAGGGAAGTGGTGTGATCTTGGCTCACTGCAACCTCCGCCTCCCAGGTTCAAACAATTCTCCTGTCTCAGCCTCCCGACTAGCTGGGACTACAGGCGCGGGCCAGCACACCTGGCTAATTTTTGTATTTTTAGTAGAGAAGGGGTTTCACCATGTTGGCCAGCCTGGTCTCGAACTTCTGGTCTCAAGTGATCCACCTGCCTTGGTCTCCCAAAGTGCTGGGATTACAGGCATGAGCCACTGCACCCAGCCTCAAATTTCTTATATTGAGCTTCAACTATGCAAGATCCCATGAGAGGAATGATATACCAAGATGAACAACAATATGGTCTCTGCCTTCAAGGGGTATAAAATCTAACCCATACAAATGGGCTCCCAAGCATTTTTTGAGTGGTTATTATGAGCTAAACAAACACTAGGACTAGGGATCCAATTATTGAACAAGATACAGGGGCCATCAAAAAGTTCCTTTTCTTTTGAGAAATACAAATATATTAATTTCAATATATTACATAAGGTTTATGATAAGACCTTTATCATGTTCTAAAAATTATAACCAAGAATCTAGCAACAGTTTCTGAACAAAGAGTACCTCTGAGCCATGGCTTGGATTAAAGTTCAGAGTATTTTTCAGACAAAGCAGTAGGCATTGCAGGGAGATGGAACAGAGCATGCAAAAGCATGAGGGCATGAAATGAGCATGAGGTCTTTGGGGATCAACAACTAGTTAAATATGGCTGGAGGGTGGGTACTTGGGGCAGTAAGAGAGACAGAGCTCGGAACTGCAGCTTAACTTGGGCTAGTAGATAAAGAGCTTCCATCCTATCCTGAAGAGTTTGAACTGTATCCTGAAGGCAATGGGGAGCCAGGAGGAGACTTTGGAGATAAATGATATGATCATCAGGTGCTTATCTTAGATAAGTCTAGTGGTGGAGTGGCAGGAGATTTGGAGGGAGATGAGCCAGCAAGACTTGGTTAATAGTTTGTAATAGTGCTGGTGAGAGATGCTGAGCACCTAAACCAAGATGGGAAGTAGAGACAGAGAAAGGGTGGATGCAAGAGACAGTGTGTAGATTGCAAAAACAGGGCATGGTCACTGAATGAATGCTCGAAAGTGACAGAGAGGGGTCATCATAGATGATGTATTATATTAGGATTCTCCAGAGAAACAGAACCAATAGGGTGAGAGTGTGCGTGTGTGTGTGTGTGTGTGTGTGTGTGTGTGTGTGTGTGTGGATTGAGAGAGAGAGACAGAGAGAAAGAGGCTCTCTATTATAAGGAAACTCCATTGTGGGTGTGCTTGAGTCCAAAACCTGCAAAGTAGCTAACAGGCGAGAAATTCTATCAGAAGTTCATCTTGCAGTCTTGAGTTCAAAGGCAGTCTGGAGACAGAATTCCTTTTTCTTCAGTGGAGTTTCAGTGTTTTCTCTTAACATCCTCAATTGATTGGCTGAGGCCCACATATCTTACGGAGGGTAATCTGCTTTCCTCAAAGCTCACCAGTTTGAATGTTAATCATACCTAAAAAATACCTTCACAGCAACATCCAGACAACTAGGGACCATAGCCTAGCTAAGGTGATACGTAAAATTAACCGTCACCTTTAAGACATTGGTTATATTTGGGTGCCATTAATAATATATGGAATAGAGGAGAAAAGATAACTTTAAGGGAGAAAAAGAACATCAGTTTCAATGTTGAATTTCAGCTGGCGATGTCCAGTGGTCACTTGGGACAGACACTTGGTAGACTGATTTTTCTAATGAGCTCAATTTAGACATCTTAGTGGACGTGGTGTTGTTGGGTTCGTTAATGCATTTGCCACCAATTATCAGATGCTGGATGGCTTCACTCACACTTCTGGCAGTTGGCTGGGGCTGCTAGCTAATGTGCCTCAGTTGCCCCCATGTAGCCTCTCCCAGCTCAGCCTTCCTCACTTGGCAGCTGGGGTTCCCTGAGGGCAAGCCTGATGTGTACGCATGTATCAGGCCTCTGCTTGGGCCACATTTTCTAATGATCCAATAGCCAAAGCAAATCATATGGCTAAGCCTAGAGTTGATGTTGAAGGGGGCAACACAGGAGCCTAGGATTCATTAAGATCCATTAACATAACAGTGGAACACATGTTGGCTGGGTGTGGTGGCTGAGGCCTGTAATCCCAGCACTTTCCCAGGCTGAGAAGGGAGGATCACAAGGTGAGGAGATCCAGACCATCCTGGCTAACATAGTGAAACCTTGTCTCTACTAAAAATACAAAAAAATTAGCCGGGCGTGGTGGCAGGTGCCTGTAGTCCCAGCTACTCAGGAGGCTGAGGTAGTAGAATGGCGTGAACCTGGGAGGCGGAGCTTGCAGTGGGCCGAGATGGCACCACTGCACTCCAGCCTGGGTGACAGAGCGAGACTCCATCTCAATAAAAAAAAAAAAAAAAAAAAAAACAAAGCATGGAACACATGTTAAACAGAGTCTAGAATTCGTTAAGATCCATTAACATAAAATGGAACACATGTTAAATGCAATGAAGAAAAAGAATAGAGTAAAAAGACAGATAATTACATTGGAAGAGAAGGCGGTAGTAGGCAGGGTGGTCAGGGAAGTGACTTTAAGTTTTAGGGTACATGTGTACAACACGCAGGTTAGTTACATATGTATACATGTGCCATGTTGGTGTGCTGCACCCATTAACTCGTCATTTAACATTAGGTATCTCTTAATGCTATCCCTCCCCCCTCCCCCCACCCTACAATAGGCCGAGGTGTGTGATGTTCCCCTTCCTGTGTCCATGTGTTCTCATTGTTCAATTCTCACCTGTGAGTGACAACATGTGGTGTTTGGTTTTTTGTCCTTGTGATAGTTTGCTGAGAATGATGGTTTCCAGCTTCATCCATGTTCCTACAAAGGATATGAATTCATCCTTTTTTATGGCTGTATAGCATTCCATGGTGTATATGTGCCACATTTTCTTAATCCAGTCTATCATTGTTGGACATTTGGGTTGGTTCCAAGTCTTTGCTATTGTGAATAGTGCTGCAATAAACATACATGTGCATGTGTCTTTATAGCAGCATGTCTTATAATCCTTTGGGTATATGCCCAGTAATGGGATTGCTGGGTCAAATGGTATTTCTAGTTCTAGATCCCTGAGGAGTTGCCACACTGACTTCCACAATGGTTGAACTAGTTTACAGTCCCACCAACAGTGTAAAAGTGTTCCTATTTCTCCACATCCTCTCCAGCACCTGTTGTTTCCTGACTTTTTAATGATTGCCATTCTAACTGGTGTGAGATGGTATCTCATTGTGGTTTTGATTTGCATTTCTGTGATGACCAGTGATGAGCATTTTTTCATGTGTCTTTTGGCTGCATAAATGTCTTCTTTTGAGAAGTGTCTGTTCATATCCTTTGCTGATTTGTTGATGGGGTTGTTTTTTTCTTGTAAATTTGTTTGAGTTCATTGTAGATTCTGGATATTAGCCCTTTGTCAGATGAGTAGATTGCAAAAATTTTCTCCCATTCTGTAGGTTGCCTGTTCACTGTGATGGTAGTTTCTTTTGCTGTGCAGAAGTTCTTTAGTTTAATTAGACCCCATTTGTCAATTTTGTCTTTTGTTGCCATTGCTTTTGGTGTTTTAGACATGAAGTCCTTGCCCATACCTATGTCCTGAATGGTATTGCCTAGGTTTTCTTCTAGGGTTTTTATGGTTTTAGGTCTAACATTTAAGTCTTTAGTCCATCTTGAATTTTTGTATAAGGTGTAAGGAAGGGATCCAGTTTCAGCTTTCTACATATGGCTAGCCAGTTTTCCCAGCACCATTTATTAAATAGGGAATCCTTTCCCCATTTCTTGTTTTTGTCAGGTTTGTCAAAGATCAGATGGTTGTAGATATGTGGCATTATTTCTGAGGCCTCTGTTCTGTTCCATTGGTCTGTATCTCTGTTTTGGTACCAGTACCATGCTGTTTTGGTTACTGTAGCCTTGTAGTATAGTTTGAAGTCAGGTAGTGTGATGCCTCCAGCTTTGTTCTTTTGGCTTAGGATTGACTTGGCAATGTGGGCTCTTTTTGGTTCCATATGAACTTTAAAGTAGTTTTTTCCAATTCTGTGAAGAAAGTCATTGGTAGCTTGATGGGGATGGCATTGAATCTATAAATTACCTTGGGCAGTATGGCCATTTTCATGATATTGATTCTTCCTACCCATGAGCATGGAATGTTCTTTGAGCAGTGGTTTGTAGTTCTCCTTGAAGAGGTCCTTCACGTCCCTTGTAAGTTGGATTTGTAGGTATTTTATTCCCTTTGGAGCAATTGTGAATGGGAGTTCACTCATGATTTGGCTCTGTTTGTCTGTTATTGGTGTATAAGAATGCTTGTGATTTTTGTATGTTGATTTTGTATCCTGAGACTTTGCTGAAGTTGCCTATCAGCTTAAGGAGATTTTGGGCTGAGACGATGGGGTTTTCTAGATATACAATCATGTCATCTGCAAACAGGGACAATTTGATTTCCTCTTTTCCTAGTTGAATACCCTTTATTTCCTTCTCCTGCCTGATTGCCCTGGCCAGAACTTCCAACACTATGTTGAATAGGAGTGGTGAGAGAGGGCATCCCTGTCTTGTGCCAGTTTTCAAAGGAAATGCTTCCAGTTTTTGCCCATTCAGTAGGATATTGGCTGTGGTTTGTCATAGATAGCTCTTATTATTTTGAGATACGTCCCATCAATACCTAATTTATTGAGAGTTGTTAGCATGAAGGGTTGTTGAATTTTGTCAAAGGCCTTTTCTGCATCTATTGAGATAATCATATGGTTTTTGTCGTTGGTTCTATTTATATGCTGGATTACGTTTATTGATTTGCTTATGTTGAACCAGCCTTGCATCCCAGGGATGAAGTCCACTTGATTGTGATGGATAAGCTTTTTGATGTGCTACTGGATTTGGTTTGCCAGTATTTTATTGAGGATTTTTGCATTGATGTTCTTCAGGGATATTGGTCTAAAATTCTCTTTTTTGGTTGTGTCTCTGCCAGGCTTTGGTATCAGGATGATGCTGGCCTCGTAAAACAAGTTAGGTAGGGTTCCCACTTTTTCTATTGATTGGAATAGTTTCAGAAGGAATGGTACCAGCTCCTCCTTGTACCTCTGGTAGAATTCGGCTGTGAATCCATCTGGTCCTGGACTTTTTTTGGTTGGTAAGCTATTAATTATTGCTTCAATTTCAGAGTCTGTTATTGGTCTATTCAGAGATTCAACTTCTTCCTGGTTTAGTCTTGGGAGAGTGTATGTGTCGAGGAATTTATCCATTTCTTCTAGATTTTCTACTTTATTTGCATAGAGGTGTTTATAGTATTCTCTGATGGTAGTTTGTATTTCTGTGGAATCAGTGGTGATATCCCCTTTATCATTTTTTATTGCGTCTATTTGATTCTTCTCTCTTTTCTTCTTTATTAGTCTTGCTAGTGGTCTATCAATTTTGTTGATTTTTTCAAAAAACCAGCTCCTGGATTCATTGATTTTTTTTTTTTTTTGAAGGGTTTTTTGTGTCTCTATTTCCTTCAGTTCTTCTCTGATCTTAGTTATTTCTTGCCTTCTGCTAGCTTTTGAATGTGTTTGCTCTTGCTTTTCTAGTTCTTTTAATTGTGATGTTAGGGTGTCCATTTTAGATCTTTCCTGCTTTCTCTTGTGGGCATTTAGTGCTATAAATTTCCCTCTACACACTGCTTTGAATGTGTCCCAGAGATTCTGGTATGTTGTGTCTGTGTTCTCATTGGTTTCAAAGAACATCTTTATTTCTGCCTTCATTTCATTATGTACCCAGTAGTCATTCAGGAGCAGGTTGTTCAGTTTCCAAGTAGTTGAGTGGTTTTGAGTGAGATTCTTAATCCTGAGTTCTAGTTTGATTGCACTGTGGTCTTGAGAGTCAGTTTGTTATAATTTCTGTTCTTTTACATTTGCTGAGGAGTGCTTTCCTTCCAACTACGTGGTCAATTTTGGAATAAGTGTGGTGTGGTGCTGAGAAGAATATATATCTATTGATTTGGGGTGGAGAGTTCCGTAGATGTCTATTAGGTCCGCTTGGTGCAGAGCTGAGTTCAATTCCTGGATATCCTTGTTAACTTTCTGTCTCATTGATCTGTCTAATGTTGACAGTGGGGTGTTAAAGTCTCCCATTATTATTGTGTGGGAGTCTAAGTCTCTTTCTAGGTCTCTAAGGACTTGCTTTATGAATCTGGGTGCCCCCGTATTGGGTGCATATATATTTAGGATAGTTAGCTCTTCTTGTTGAATTGATCCCTTGACCATTATATAATGGCCTTCTTTGTCTCTTTTGATCTTTGTTGGTTTAAAGTATGTTTTATCAGAGACTAGGATTGCAACCCCTGCCTTTTTTTTGTTTTCCATTTGCTTGGTAGATCTTCCTCCATCCCTTTATTTTGAGCCTGTGTGTGTTTCTGCACGTGAGATGGGTTTCCTGAATACAGCACACTGATGGGTCTTGACTCTTTATCCAATTTGCCAGTCTGTGTCTTTTAATTGGAGCATTTAGCCCATTTACATTTAAGGTTAATATTGTTATGTGTGAATTTGTTCCTGTCATTATGATGTTAGCTGGTTATTTTGCTCATTAGTTGATGCAGTTTCTTCCCAGCCTTGATGGTCTTTACAATTTGGCATGTTTTTGCTGTGGCTGGTACTGGTTGTTCCTTTCCATGTTTAGTGCTTCCTTCAGGAGCTCTTTTAGGGCAGGCCTGGTGGTGACAAAATCTCTCAGCATTTGCTTGTCTGTAAAGTATTTTATTTCTCCTTCACTTATGAAGCTCAGTTTGGCTGGATATGAAATTCTGGGTTGAAAATTCTTTAAGAATATTGAATATTGGTCCCCACTCTCTTCTGGCTTGTAGAGTTTCTGCAGAGAGATCAGCTGTTAGTCTGATGGTCTTCCCTTTGTGGGTAACCCGACCTTTCTCTCTGGCTGCCCTTAACATTTTTTCCTTCATTTCAACTTTGGTGAATCTGATAATTATGTGTCTTGGAGTTGCTCTTCTCGACGAGTATCTTTGTGGTGTTCTCTGTATTTCCTGAATTTGAATGTTGGCCTACCTTGCTAGATTGGGGAAGTTCTCCTAGATAATATCCTGCAGAGTGTTTTCCAACTTGGTTCCATTCTCCCAGTCACTTTCAGGTACACCAATCAGACGTAGATTTAGTCTTTTCACATAGTCCCATATTTCTTGGAGGCTTTGTTCATTTCTTTTTATTCTTTAAACTTCTCTTCTCGCTTCATTTCATTCATTTGATCTTCCATCACTGATACCCTTTCTTCCAGTTGATCACATCGGCTACTGAGGCTTGTGCGTTTGTCACATAGTTTTCTTGCCTTGGTTTTCAGCTCCATCAGGTCCTTTAAGGACTTCCCTGCATTGGTTATTCTAGTTAGCCATTTGTCTAATTTTTTTCCAGGTTTTTCAATTATTTGCCGTGGGTTCGAACTTCTTCCTTTAGCTCAGAGTAGTTTGATCGTCTGAAGCCTTCTTCTCTCAACTTGTCAAAGTCATTCGCCATCCAGCTTTGTTCCATTGCTGGTGAGGAGCTGTGTTCCTTTGGAGGAGGAGAGGTGCTCTGATTTTTAGAGTTTCCAGTTTTTCTGCTCTGCTTTTTCCCCCCATCTTTGTGGTTTTATCTACCTTTGGTCTTTGATGATGGTGATGTACAGATGGGGTTTTGGTGTGGATGTCCTTTCTGTTTGTTAGTTTTCCTTCTAACAGTCAGGACCCTCAGCTGCAGGTCTGTTGGAGTTTGCTGGAGGTCCACTCCAGACCCTGTTTGCCTGGGTATCGGCAGCAGAGGCTGCAGAACAGCGGATATTGGTGAACAGCAAATGTTGCTGCCTTATTGTTCCTCTGGAAGTTTTGTCTCAGAGGAGTACCCGGCTGTGTGAGGTGTCAGTCTGCCCCTACTGGGGTGTGCCTCCCAGTTAGGCTACTCGGGGATCAGGGACCCACTTGAGGAGGCAGTCTGCCCGTTCTCAGATCTCCAGCTGTGTGCTGGGAGAACCACTGTTCTCTTCAAAACTGTCAGACAGGGACATTTAAGTCTGCAGAGGATTCTGCTGCCTTTTGTTTGGCTATACCCTGCCCCCAGAAGTGGATCCTACAGAGGCAGGCAGGCCTCCTTGAGCTATGGTGGGCTCCACCCAGTTCGAGCTTCATGGCCACTTTGTTTACCTACTCAAGCCTGGGCAATGGCGGGCGCCCCTCCGCCAGTCTCGCTGCCACCTTGCAGTTTGATCTCAGACTGCTGTGCTAGCAATGAGCAAGGCTCTGTGGGCGTAGGACCCTCCGAGCCATGCGCAGGATATAATCTCCTGGTGTGCCGTTTGCTAAGACTGTTGGAAAAGCGCTGTATTAGGGTGGGAGTGACCTGATTTTCCAGGTGCTGTCACCCCTTTCTTTGACTAGGAAAGGGAATTCCCTGACCCCTTGAGCTTTCCGGGTGAGGCGATGTCTTGCCCTGCTTCGGCTCACATGCGGTGTGCTGCACCCACTGTCCTGCACCCACTTTCTGACACTCCCCAGTGAGATGAACCCAGTAACTCAGTTGGAAATGCAGAAATCACCCGTCTTCTGCGTTGCTCGCACTGGGAGCTGTAGACTGGAGGTGTTCCTATTTGGCCACCTTGGCTCCACCCTCAGGGAAGTGACTTTTAAGCAGACACTTAAATGAAGTAAGGCAGCCAGTAATGTGAAATT
Source organism: Homo sapiens (assembly GCF_000001405.40). Lineage (NCBI taxonomy): Eukaryota > Metazoa > Chordata > Mammalia > Primates > Hominidae > Homo > Homo sapiens. Next base: position 16,638,813 of record NC_000005.10, read on the forward strand.
CTGCAGGCAAGCCAATGCTAGACAGTGAACAGCAGGGGTGAGGATTGTGAAGCCAGAACCAGCTTGAAATGCTCAAGAAACAAGAAGAGCAGAGGACACCAGGGCTGGGGATGGAAAAGCGATGGGGATGAGGTTGGAGAGGTGGCAGAGTGGACCACAGTGCAGGACTTCGCAGACCATGGAAGGAGACTCAATTTTATTCTAAATAGTGATGAGAAACCAATGAAAGATTTTGTGCAAGAAGATACTTGATCCAATTTTCATCTTTATTTATCTTTTTGAGGCAGTCTGACTCTGTCACCAAGCTAGTGTGCAGTGCTGCAATCTCGGTTCACTGCAACCTCTGCCTCCCGGGTTCAAGCGATTCTCCTGCCTCAGTCTGCCAAGTAGCTGGGATTACAGGGGCATGCCACCACACCTGGCTAATTTTTTGCATTTTTAACAGAGAAGGGGTTTCACCGTGTTTGCCAGGCTGGTCTTGAACTCCTGACTTCAAGTGATCCACCTTCCTGAACCTCCCAGAGTGCTGGGATTACAGGCATGAGCCAGCACGCCTGGCCAATTTTCATCTTTAAAAGATGGTTCTGATTACCGATGACGCAACATGCATGGAGGCTGGGAGATCTGGTAGGGGCTACTGTAGTAGTCACAGAAAGAGAGAATGGTAGTGGTGGAGGTGCTAAGAAATGGTTGAATTTGGAAGACCAGGGGAGGTAGAAACAGTACATGTTCATGGACTAGATGTGGAATGTCAGGGACACAGAGGAGTCAAGAATGATGCCTGACAACTGAGCAAGATAGGAAATAAGGGGGAGAGAAAATCAGGCATTCTTTTCTGGACGTGCTATATTTCACCTGCCTAATACACATGCAAGTGGAGAAACCAAGTAGAAGATCAAATAGGAAGACCTTAAGCTCAAGGGAGAGAAAGTCAGCATCTACATGGCATGAAGGCCATGAGAATATGTAGGATAAATTGGAAGATGTTGTAGAAGATGCAAATGTTCTCTGCTAACCATTGGATTTTCACAGTGCAATAAGTGACAAATAGAAGGAATGGCTGCAGGGAGCTTAGAGAGGAGTTTTGAGAAAGTGGTCTTGGGTCAGGAAACAAGAGACTGAATTCATTAGGGAAGGGTGGCAGGATGGATGTGAAGGGGCTGCCAGCTTCTGAAGACTGTGATAAAGTGAGAGCTATCGTGGTTATGTTTCTCCAGCAATATTCAGCTGCTCAAATACAGGGCATTAGTCAGGGGTCCTCAGAGAAACAGATCCAATAAGATATATATAACCAGAAAGAAACGGATTATAAGGCATTGGCTCATGTGATTATGGAGGTTGATTATGGATACTTCATTAAGTCCCACAAGCTTCTGTCTGCAAGCTGGAGACCCAAGAAAGCTTGTGATATAATTCCAAGGCCTGAAAGCCAGAGAGCCAATGGTGTAGATTCCATTCTGGGTCAGAAGGCCTGAGAACCAGGTGCTCCAAGGACAGGAGAAGATCAATAAGGCAGCTCCAGTAATCAGCAGAGAGTGGACTCAACCTCCCTTTGCTAATAGATTGGGTAATGCCCACCCACAAGGGCTTTACTCAGTTCACCAATTCAAATGCTAATCTCTTCTGGATACACCCTCAGAGACCACACAGAAATAATGTCTGAGCAGTTATCTGGGCATCCCATGGCTCAGTCATGTTGACACATAAAATTAACCATCAAATATAGACTTAGAGAGTTGGATTTAGCTGTGGGTGGGATTTTTGAAGACAAATGTAGGGAGGGGAGGGATGAGGAGGGAGCTGAGGGTATATACAAATGAAATTATACTTATGGATGAGAGATTCTAGACTGTGGAAGGAGGGAGCAGTGGACATTGAAGAAAGTGGCCTCACTGGTTTGGAAGTCATCATGGGCTAGCATTGTTGGAGAAGTGTCACTAGAGGGACTGTGCTGAGAAAAAGTGGAAATGAGGCTGGGCGCGGTGGCTCACGCCTGTAATCCCAGCATTTTGGGAGGCCAAGGCAGGCAGATCACGAGGTCGGGAGATCGAGACCATCCTGGCTAACACAGTGAAACCCCGTCTCTACTAAAAATACAAAAAATTAACCAGGCATGGTGGCAGGCACCTGTAGTCCCAGCTACTCAGGAGGCTGAGGCAGAAGAATGGCGTGAACCTGGAAGGCAGAGCTTGCAGTGAACCGAGATTGAGCCACTGCATTCCAGCCTGGGCGACAGAGTGAGACTGTCTCGAAAAAAAAGAAGAAAAGAAAAAGAAAAAGTGAAATGAAATAGTTTGGGAGCAGCAGGCCAGAGTTTGGTGGGGAAGATTACTAGGAGTAAGGAGGTCAAAGGACCAAGAAGCCAGGGCCGCTGGATGGACTGTCTGTGAGAGGGAAGTCTCCAGAACAGTTGGGCAGAGAAAGACAGCCAAATACTTGTATGAGGAAGGGGTAAGGATGGTCTGTTCCAATAGCACTGCTTCAAACAATGTGAGGGTTTTCAGAAAAGAAGGAAGAGCAAGGGTCTGGAGGGGCTAAAAGAATAATCACCTCACCCCAGGCCCAGTGGCACAGAGCTGGGATGCAAACAACCCTCACTTGAGAAGGTTGCTGGGAATACACAGGTTTTCAGTTAGGGGTAGAAGGTCAGAGGAACTTAAGGGGTGGTGGTGATGGTTTTGCAGGTGACAGATCATTCGCTGCAGAGGGCACAGGCGAATGAGGAGAGAAGAGGATGCCTGCTGACTGTGATGAAAGGGAGGATAATCTTTCCTGACCCTTTTCAAGCACAAATGGAATCAGCAAAGCTCACACGAACAGTTATGAGTTACTCACATGAAGCCAAGTTTTGCTTCCTACCAGATTCTTGCCATGTTTTGAATTACTGAGTTCGCCAAATAAGAACCATGTGAAAATTAGTTATTATAGGTGATATCATTTATTACACTTTAATTATGTAACGTCTTTGAAGAAATAAACATATCCTACAGGTTTCATCTATCTTCAGACATCAAAGTTATACATTCTAATTAAAGTTCATTAGAAATTATTTTTAAAAAATGGGATTCCAAGCAAGAATGTATGTTAATTCACATGTAACATCCACTCAGGCCAAGGTATTCTGACCTAGCAATGATATCACACCTGACACAGCAGTTGCAATGGCGACTGCTGCTTAATTGAGTTTGCCATGGACCATTGTCATCCTCCAGGATCTGTCTGGTTTTTGCAGGGCCCACGCTTGTGAATTAAATGGCAACATGATGGGGTCCATCACCCTGCATCTTCTGGTCCTTTAGGGATGACACTAATTTCTGCCATTCATTTTGGAATGCTGTATCGCTTTGGACGCACTGTCTATGGTTATAGAGGGGGGTTCATTTCAGAGGATTCCCCTTGGTCCTTTCTACGATGATAGTCTTACCCTAAGCCTAGGAACCAACAAATGAAGCATGTCTATTTCCATTATACATTTGGGGTCCAGAGACGTGACCACTTGGATGAGTCTGCAGACCCAGTGGACACACCATAAATAGGCAGGATCTGGGCCAGTCTCCATGTTTTAGCTACTCCAATATTCTCCGCTCTAACAGGGGCCCAAGATGCCCGTTTGTGTCTCTAGGTATTAATGTCTACTAAGACCTCGTGCAACAGTCACTCAAATGTTTGGGTAATCCTTGGTATTCAGTGACCCAAGTATATCCCTTTGGTAAAAGCCTGGGAGACCCAGGACCTCACCCTCTTGCTGTGTGGTTTTGCAAGGCTCTGCCTCCTAGGGACACAGTCTTTTCTTTAGTCAATGCACCTGGGGCCAAACAGTGGCTCAACCCCAGAAACTGGACAAGGGATTGTGACTTTTTATTGGTGACTTTCAGGTTCCTGATCACGCATCCTTGATTTCTCTTGGTTATACAGATTGAACAATCTCTTGCTGGCTGCCCATCTGTTTTGTTCCTAGGGATGCAGTAACTCAATAGAATTTTGAGTTAACTCCCTTGAGTGTTATTTTTGGCCAGGGGAAGAATTTTCTGAATTTGGAGAAGAGAGTATTTGTGAATATTTCTTGGCCAGAGAGGCAGACTGTGACAGTGACAGCTAACTGTCCACCAAAGCATCATTCTCTCCTTATGTACAATACAGTTGCTATGGAAAGGGCAGTTGTCCAGCTTGAAGCTGCATTTCCCAGCAGCCGCTGCATCCATTTCTCAGCATCCCTTGCATGTAAGTAATGCCACATGATTAGGTCTTGCTAGTGGATTGGGAGCAGAAGTGAAGTCACTTCCAGGCTGAAAAGGTTAAGAAGTGAATGTCCTTATTCAACAATTCAATGGACTGTTTGTTTCCTTTCTGCCAGCTCTGCCCAGCTCCACCCAGGGAGACCTTGGAAGCTAAATGTAGAAGGCAGATCCCCTGTCAATCTGGGCCCCTGAAGAGCCGCAGGGAGTAACTACCACTCTCCCAACATGATGTCGATATTGGACTGTCACAGAAGCAAAAAATCATCTTTCATTATATTAAGTGGTTGAAACATAGGAATTTGTTGGCTAAAGCAACTAGTTACCCTAATACATACTCTATAAATTCTATATCAAATATAAAAATTGTTTGTCTGAATAGATTTTTACCAATTTTTTTTTCTTTTTTTGAGACGGAATCTTGCTTTGTTGCCAGGCTGGAATGCAGTGGCACGATCTCAGCTCACTGCAACCTCCGACTCCCTGGTTCAAGCGATTCTCCTGCCTCAGCCTCCCAAATAGCTGGGATTACAGGCATGCACCACCATGCCCGGCTAATTTTTGTATTTTTTAGTAGAGACGGGGTTTCACCATGTTGGCCAGGATGGTCTCTATCTCCTGACACGATCTGCCCACCTCAGCCTCCCAAAGTGCGGGAATTACAGGTGTGAGCCACTGCACTTGGCAATTTTTACCAAATTTTAAAGGTGTGTTTGTGATGGTCTGACATAAGAGTAGAGATGATATGACATTAAATTCACTCCGAGGGGCCCAGGGGATGTCTCATGAGGCTCAGTATTTATTCCTTACAACAGCTGAAAATGATGTTCAGCCAGCCCTCTGTACCTGTGGGTTCCACATCCGTAGATTCAACCAGGCAAGGACTGAAAATACTTGAAAAAATGTTGCGTCTATATTGAACATGTACAGACTTTTTTCCTTGTTATTGTTCCCTAAACCATGTGGTACAACAACTATTTACATAGCATTTACACTGTACTAGGTATTACAAGTAACCTAGAGTATATACAGGAGGATGTGCCATTGCATATCAGGGACTTGAGCATCCTTGGATTTTGGTATCCATGGGGGGGGTCCTGCAGCCAATCACCCATGGATACCAAGGGATGACTGTATCATAAAAGGCAGTGATAATACAGTCAACATATACACATTTTCTCTGTCCACACCTTGTTAATATAAGTGATTGTTTTCTATATGGGTCCCTGGATGCTGCCTCTCTTACCTACCTCTTCAGGTTCCTTGGCCTCATCTGTCCCCCAAGCTCTTGGAAGCTTGGTCCACTCAGCACCAAGACAGTTGACTGACTCCACGCAGGCCTTCGATTTTCCACCCCTGAAGACTAACCAGCTGTGTACCTGGAGTCTCAAGATCCTCCTGCCAGAGATTTCGATGAAATGCTACCTTCAGGGCATGTGAATTCGTTTCCTGTTGCTGCTGTCACAAGTTACCGCAAATGTGGTGGTTTAAAGCAACAGAAGTTAGTTTGCTCACATTTCTGGAGGTCATTGTATGAAATGAGCTTCATGCTTCTAAAATCAAGATGCCAGCAGGGTGGATTTCTCCTCCTGTCCTCTCCAGGCTTGCGGAGGTTGCTGGCATTCTCCCCGCCGCCCGTGGACCCTTTCTTGCCTCACTCTTACTCTTGCTTCTGTTGTCACATCTCCCACCCCTGCCTCTGATTTTCTGCCTCCCCCTTCAAAGACCCCTTGGGATTACTTGGATAACCTAGAATAATCGCTCCATCTCAAAACTCTTTTTTTTTGAGATGAAGTCTTACTCTGTCACCCAGGCTGGAGTGCAGTGGCGCAATCTTAGTTCACTGCAACCCCCACCTCCTGGGTTCAAGCGATTCTCCTACCTGAGCCAAGTAGCTGGGGCTACAGGTGCCTGCCACCACATCTGGCTAATTTTTGTATTTTTAGTAGAGACGGGGTTTCACTATGTTGGCCAGGCTGGTCTTGAACTCCTGACCTCGTGATCCACCTGCCTTTGCCTCCCAAAGTGCTGGCATTACAGGGGTGAGCCACCCCACCTGGCCTTAAGACTCTTAATCTTAATCACATCTGCTGAGTCCCTTTTGCCATAGATAACATTCACAGATTCTGGGGATTAGGATGTGGTTATCTGTGTTGGGCCATTATTCAGCCCATGTCGGGGTAGGATATAACTTTTTTTTTAAATTTTATTATTATTATACTTCAAGTTTTAGGGTATATGTGCACAACATGCAGGTTTGTTACATATGTATACATGTGCCATGTTGGTGTGCTGCACCCATTAACTCGTCATTTAGCATTAGGTATATCTCCTAATGCTATCCCTCCCCCCTCCCCCCACCCCCCAACAGGCCCCAGTGTGTGATGTTCCCCTTCCTGTGTCCATGTGTTCTCATTGTTCAATTCCCACCTATGAGTGAGAACATGCAGTGTTTGATTTTCTGTCCTTGCGATAGTTTGCTGAGAATGATGGTTTCCAGCTTCATCCATGTCCCTACAAAGGACATGGACTCATCTTTTTTTTCTGGCTGCATAGTATTCCATGGTGTATATGTGCCACATTTTCTTAATCCAGTCTATCACTGATGGACATTTGGGTTGGTTCCAAGTCTTTGTTTATTGCGGCACTATTCACAGGAGTAGCCTTATCTCTGAAGACACAGGAAGGCAGAGGAGAATCTAAAGAAACAGGCCTTGCTAAATTCCCTGAGTCTATTAACATTAAATCTACGCACTTTGTCCAATCATACTTCTCCACAACTATCCACCTCTTCATCCAACCTAAGCATAAAACATAGTTTCCCGTGTTTCTTTAGGCCTTTATTCTAAAGGTTCCCATGCCATGTAAAACTTACATTAAATACATTTGTGTGTTTTTCTCGTTTACCTGTCCATTTCTTCTAGATTTTCTAGTTTATTTGCGTAGAGGTGTTTATAGTATTCTCTGATGTTAGTTTGTATTTCTGTGGAATCAGTGGTGATATCCCCTTTATCATTTTTTATTGCGTCTATTTGATTCTTCTCTGTTTTCTTTTTTATTAGTCTTGCTAGCGGTCTATCAATTTTGTTGATCTTTTCAGAAAACCAGCTCCTGGATTCATTAATTTTTTGAAGGGTTTTTTATGTCTCTATTTCCTTCAGTTCTTCTCTGATCTTAGTTATTTCTTGCCTTCTGCTAGCTTTTGAATGTGTTTGCTCTTGCTTCTGTAGCTCTTTTAATTGTGATGTTAGAGTGTCAATTTTAGATCTTTCCTGCTTTCTCTTGTGGGCATTTAGTGCTATAAATTTCCCTCTACACACTGCTTTGACTGTGTCCCAGAGATCCTGGTATGTTGTGCCTGTGTTCTCATTGGTTTCAAAGAACATCTTTATTTCTGCCTTCATTTCATTATGTACCCAGTAGTCATTCAGGAGCAGGTTGTTCAGTTTCCAAGTAGTTGAGCGGTTTTGAGTGAGATTCTTAATCCTGAGTTCTAGTTTGATTTCACTGTGGTCTGAGAGACAGTTTGTTATAATTTCTGTTCTTTTACATTTGCTGAGGAGTGCTTTACTTCCAACTATGTGGTCAGTTTTGGAGTAGGTGTGGTGTGGTGCTGAAAAGAATGTATATTCTGTTGATTTGGGGTGGAGAGTTCTGTAGATGTCTATTAGGTCTGCTTGGTGCCGAGTTGAGTTCAATTCCTGGGTATCCTTGTTAACTTTCTGTCTCGTTGATCTGTCTAATGTTGATAGTGTGGTGTTAAACTCCCATGCAATAATAATGTGAGACTTTAAGTCTCTTTGTAGGTCACTAAGGACTTGCTTTATCAATCTGGGAGCTCCTGTATTGGGTGCATATATATTTAGGATAGTTAGCTCTTTTTGTTGAATTGATCCCTTTGCCATTATATAATGGCCTTCTTTGTCTCTTTTGATCTTTGTTTGTTTAAAGTATGTTTTATCAGAGACTAGGATTGCAAACCCTGCCTTTTTTTGTTTTCCATTTGCTTGGTAGATCTTCCTCCATCCCTTTATTTTGAGCCTATGTGTGTCTTTCCTGAATACAGCACACTGATGAGTCTTGACTCTCTATCCAATTTGCCAGTCTGTGTCTTTTAATTGGAGCATTTAGCCCATTAACATTTAAAGTTAATATTGTTATGTGGGAATTTGATCCTGTCATTATGATGTTAGCTGGTTATTTTGCTCATTAGTTGATGCAGTTTCTTCCCAGCCTTGATGGTCTTTACAATTTGGCATGTTTTTGCAGTGGCTGGTACTGGTTGTTCCTTTCCATGTTTAGTGCTTCCTTCAGGAGCTCTTTTAGGGCAGGCCTGGTGGTGACAAAATCTCTCAGCATTTGCTTGTCTGTAAAGTATTTTATTTCTTCTTCACTTATGAAGCTTAGTTTGGCTGGATATGAGATTCTTGGTTGAAAATTCTTTAAGAATGTTGAATATTGGTCCCCACTCTCTTCTGGCTTGTAGAGTTTCTGCAGAGAGATCAGCTATTAGTCTGATGGTCTTCCCTTTGTGGGTAACCCAACCTTTCTCTCTGGCTGCCCTTAACATTTTTTCCTTCATTTCAACTTTGGTGAATCTGACAATTATGTGTCTTGGAGTTGCTCTTCTCAACGAGTATCTTTGTGGTGTTCTCTGTGTTTCCTGAATTTGAATGTTGGCCTGCCTTGCTAGATTGGGGAAGTTCTCCTGGATAATATCCTGCAGAGTGTTTTCCAACTTGGTTCCATTCTCCCCGTCACTTTCAGGTACACCAATCAGACGTAGATTTGGTCTTTTCACATAGTCCCATATTTCTTGGAGGCTTTGTTCGTTTCTTTTTACTCTTCAAACTTCTCATCTTGCTTCATTTCATTCATTTGATCTTCCATCACTGATACCCTTTCTTCCAGTTGATCGCATCGGCTACTGAGGCTTCTGCATTCGTCATGTAGCTCTCGTGCCTTGGTTTTCAGCTCCATCAGGTCCTTTAAGGACTTCTCTGCATTGGTTATTCTAGTTAGCCATTCGTCTAATCTTTTTTTCAAAGCTTTTGACTTCTTTGCCATTGGTTCGAATTTCCTCCCGTAGCTCAGAGTAGTTTGATCGTCTGAAGCCGCCTTCTCTCAACTCATCAAAGTCATTCTCCATCCAACTTTGTTCTATTGCTGGTGAGGAGCTGCATTCCTTTGGAGGAGGAGAGGTGCTCTGATTTTTAGAGTTTCCAGTTTTTCTGCTCTGTTTTTTTCCCATCTTTGTGGTTTTATCTACCTTTGGTCTTTGATGATGATGATGTACAGATGGGTTTTTGGTGTGGATGTCCTTTCTGTTTGTTAGCTTTCCTTCTAACAGACAGGACCCTCAACTGCAGGTCTTCTGGAGTTTGCTAGAGGTCCACTCCAGACCCTGTTTGCCTAGGTATCAGCAACGGTGGCTGCAGAACACTGGATATTGGTGAACCACAGATGCTGCTGCCTGATCGTTCCTCTGGAAGTTTTGTCTCAGAGGAGTACCCGGCCATGTGAGGTGTCAGTCTGCCCCTGCTGGGGGGTGCCTCCCAGTTAGGCTGCTCGGGGGTCAGGGGTCAGGGACCCACTTGAGGAGGCAGTCTGCCCATTCTCAGATCTCCAGCTGCGTGCTGGGAGAACCACTGCTCTCTTCAAAGCTGTCAGACAGGGACATTTAAGTCTGCAGAGGTTACTGCTGTCTTTTTGTTTGTCTGTGCCCTGCCCCCAGAGATGGATCCTACAGAGGCAGGCAGGCCTCCTTGAGCTGTGGTGGGCTCCACCCAGTTCAAGCTTCCCAGCTGCTTTGTTTACCTAATCAAACAACTAACTCGGCAATGGCGGGCACCCCTCCCCCAGCCTTGCTGCCACCTTGCAGTTTGATCGCGGACTGCTGTACTAGCAATGAGCGAGAGTCCGTGGGCATAGGACCCTCTGAGCCATGTGTGGGATATAATCTCCTGGTGTGCCGTTTCTTAAGCCCTTTGGAAAAGTGCAGTATTAGGGTGGGGGTGACCTGATTTTCCAGGTGCCCTCTGTCACCGCTTTCTTTGACTAGGAAAGGGAATTCCCTGACCCCTTGTGCTTCCCGGGTGAGGCGATGCCTTGCCCTGCTTCGCCTGGTGCATGGTGCACTGTACCCACTGTCCTGCACCTACTGTCTGGCACTCCCCAGTGAGATGAACCTGGTACCTCAGTTGGAAATGCAGAAATCACCCATCTTCTGCGTTGCTCACGCTGGGAGCTGTAGACCGGAGCTGTTCCTATTCGGCCATCTTGGCTCCTCCCCCTGAGACAGAGTCTTTGGATATAACTTCTTAAGTGGCTTTTAAAGGCATCAGATAGGCCAGGCATAGTGACTCACATCTATAATCCCACCACTTTGGGAGGCAGAGGCAGGAGGATTGCTTGAGGCCAGGAGTTTGAGACCAGCCTGGACAATATAGAAAGACCCCATCTCTACAAAAAATTTAAAAACTTAGCTGGGTGTGGTGATGTGCGCTAGTTGCTCTAATTACTTGGGAGGCTGAGGCAGGATTATCTCTTGAGCCTAGGAGTTGCAGTGAGCTATGGTCATGCCACTGCACTATAGCCTGGGCAACAGAGCAAGACCCTGTTTCTAAAAAAAAATAAAAAATAATCGTACCAGATGGCATGGACGTGTGGGAGCTGACTCCCCAGGTAGTGAAAATCATCCAGTGGGAAACAGGAGACAGGACCAAGCCGAGAAGATACATTTCTTCTCTCTGGAGGACTGCTCTGAGGCAGGACTTTTCTGCACAGCCTGTGCAGAGACATTCCATAGAGCCAAGCAGATGCTCCACTGAGCAACTGGCTGGATCTCTTTCTGGCTCATGGTGAAGAGGGGTTGGCACAATAAAGCCTTGGCTGGCATTGACTCCCATCCATTTCTGCCTTGCTCCCACATCCTTTCTGCCCTGGGATTGCATTTCTCAAAGCATCAGCAATTCATCTCTGCCTTCATCTCACCTGGGGTAGCCCAAATTGAAAGTCATACTTTATTCCTTCATTTATTGAAGAAATAATCACTAAGAACCTACTCTATTCAGATACAGTTCTGATTAACAAAGTGACAGTTATAAATATGAAAAAATGTCTGCTCTCATTAACTTCCATTCTAACTGGAAAACACATACAATAAACAAGACATCATTTAGTGACAAGTGATATTTAAAAGATGGTGATGCAATAAAGGCTAGTTATTTTATTAATATATTTGGTGGTGAGGAAGGGCCTTTCTGGAGGTGACATGTAACCTGAGGACTGAATGACGAAGAACTATTTATGCAGAATCAGGAGAAGGGGAGGTGGTGTCTTTTTTTTTTTTTTTTTAAGACAGAGTCTCACTCTGTCATCAAGGCCAGAGTGCAGTGGTGCCATCTCAGCTCACTGCAACCTCTGCCTCCCGGGTTCAAGCAATTCTTGTGTCTCAGCCTCCCAAGTAGCTGGGACTACAGGCACAAGCCACCACGCCTGGCTAATTTTTTGTATTTTTAGTAGAGACGGGGTTGCGCCTTGTTGGCCAGGCTGGTCTCGAACTCCTGACCTCAGGTGATCTGCCCTCCTCAGCCTCCCAAAGTACTGGGATTACAGGCATGAGCCACTGCGCCCGGCCAGGGAGGTGTTCTTAATAGCAGGTATCAATGTGCAATCAGTGCTCTTCTCACGTGGATGCTTCTAGATAGGTGGTACGCTCAGTTGAAGAGCAGCAGAAATTTACTTTAAAAAAATTCATAATTCTACCAAGTAACAGAAGGCTGGCTGATATAAAATATAAACATTTCAAGCAGAAGCTCTCTAATAACCAATAAATGGGACTTCCTCTTTGTCGTGAAGGGATGTATTTTATTTTACAAGTTAGATTCCCTTACTATATTTTACACTCAGCATAATTTAGAAGAAGGGTGATCAAAGTAGGAGTTATGAAGCTGTAGCTTTCTTAGCTGTTTAACAAACACATTAGGATATATACCCCTATTTCCTTCCATTGCCAACATATTTTCGCTTTTATGGTTGGCTATTTGTAGCAACAATTTTCCTTTGTCATTTCATATGTTTTGTGGATCAGTTTACATCTTGTTCAGACTGTAGCATCAGGAAGAAGTCATGGGCTTTGACATTAGATAACGCACTATTTCATTTAGATTTTCACTTTCTCTTAGATATTAAATGTTTTTAATAACATCATAAAAGGTATTATTTTTACATTTCTATAATTCATTGTTGGTCCTATATAGAAATGCAGTTAAAAAAAAAACCTGACTTTTTATCTAGTGATCTTGCTACAACCTTTCATTAATTCTTTTTTTCTATTGATTTTTTCTTTTTTTATTATACTTTAAGTTTTAAGGTATGTGTGCACAACGTGCAGGTTAGTTACATACGTATACATGTGCCATGTTGGTGTGCTGCACCCAGTAACTCATCATCTAACACTAGGTATATCTCCCAATGCTATCCCTCCCCCCTCCCCCAACCCCACAACAGGCCCCAGTGTGTGATGTTCCCCTTCCTGTGTCCATGTGTTCTCATTGTTCAATTCACACCTATGAGTGAGAACATGTGGTGTTTGGTTTTTTGTCCTTGTGATAGTTTGCTGAGCATGATGGTTTCCAGCTTCATCCATGTCCCTACAAAGGACATGAACTCATCCTTTTTTATGGCTGCATAGTATTCCATGGTGAATATGTGCCACATTTTCTTAATCCAGTCTATCATTGTTGGACATTTGGGTTGGTTCCAAGTCTTTGCTATTGTGAATAGTGCTGCTATAAACACATGTGTGCATGTGTCTTTATAGCAGCATGTTTTATAATCCTTTGGGTATATACCCAGTAATGGGATGGCTGGGTCAAATGGTATTTCTAGTTCTAGATCCCTGAGGAATCGCCACACTGACTTCCACAATGGTTGAACTAGTTTACAGTCCCACCAACAGTGTAAAAGTGTTCCTATTTCTCCACATCCTCTCCAGCACCTGTTGTTTCCTGACTTTTTAATGATTGCCATTCTAACTAACTGGTGTGAGATGGTATCTCATTGTGGTTTTGATTTGCATTTCTCTGATGGCCAGTGATGATGAGCATTTTTTCATGTCTTTTGGCTGCATAAATGTCTTCTTTTGAGAAGTGTCTGTTCATATCCTTTGCCCACTTTTTGATGGGGTTGGTTGTTCTTGTGAATTTGTTTGAGTTCATTGTAGATTCTGGATATTAGCCCTTTGTCAGATGAGTAGATTGCAAAAATTTTCTCCCATTCTGTAGGTTGCCTTTTCACTGTGATGGTAGTTTCTTTTGCTGTGCAGAAGCTCTTTAGTTTAATTAGATCCCATTTGTCAATTTTGGCTTTTGTTGCCATCGCTTTTGGTGTTTTAGACATGAAGTCCTTGCCCATACCTATGTCCTGAATGGTAATGCCTAGGTTTTCTTCTAGGGTTTTTATGGTTTTAGGTCTAACATTTAAGTCTTTAATCCATCTTGAATTAATTTTTGTATAAGGTGTAAGGAAGGGATCCAGTTTCAGCTTTCTACATATGGCTAGCCAGTTTTCCCAGCACCATTTATTAAATAGGGAATCCTTTCCCCATTTCTTGTTTTTGTCAGGTTTGTCAAAGATCAGATGGTTGTAGATATGCAGCGTTATTTCTGAGGGCTCTGTTCTGTTCCATTGGTCTATATCTCTGTTTTGGTACCAGTACCATGCTGTTTTGGTTACTGTAGCCTTATAGTATGGTTTGAAGTCAGGTAGCGTGATGCCTCCAGCTTTGTTCTTTTGGCTTAGGATTGACTTGGCAATGTGGGCTCTTTTTGGTTCCATATGAACTTTAAAGTAGTTTTTTCCAATTCTGTGAAGAAAGTCATTGGTAGCTGTGAAGAATGCCATTGGGGATGGCATTGAATCTATAAATTACCTTGGGCAGTATGGCCATTTTCACGATATTGATTCTTCCTACCCATGAGCATGGAATATTCTTCCATTTGTTTGTATCCTCTTTGATTTCGTTAAGCAGTGGTTTGTAGTTCTCCTTGAAGAGGCCCTTCACGTCCCTTGTAAGTTGGATTCCTAGGTATTTTATTCTCTTTGAAGCAATTGTGAATAGGAGTTTGCTCATGATTTGGCTCTCTGTTTGTCTGTTATTGGTGTATAAGAATGCTTGTGATTTTTGCACATTGATTTTGTATCCTGAGACTTTGCTGAAGTTGCCTATCAGCTTAAGGAGATTTTGGGCTAAGACGATGGGGTTTTCTAGATATACAATCATGTCATCTGCAAACAGGTGACATTTGATTTCCTCTTTTCCTAGTTGAATACCCTTTATTTCCTTCTCCTGCCTGATTGCCCTGGCCAGAACTTCCAACACTATGTTGAATAGGAGTGGTGAGAGAGGGCATCCCTGTCTTGTGCCAGTTTTCAAAGGAAATGCTTCCAGTTTTTGCCCATTCAGTAGGATATTGGCTGTGGTTTGTCATAGATAGCTCTTATTATTTTGAGATACGTCCCATCAATACCTAATTTATTGAGAGTTTTTAGCATGAAGGGTTGTTGAATTTTGTCAAAGGCCTTTTCTGCATCTATTGAGATAATCATATGGTTTTTGTCATTGGTTCTGTTTATATGCTGGATTATGTTTATTGATTTGCATATGTTGAACCAGCCTTGCATCCCAGGGATGAAGCCCACTTGATCGTGGTGGATAAGCTTTTCGATGTGCTGCTGTATTTGGTTTGCCAGTATTTTATTGAGGATTTTTGCATCGATGTTCATCAGGGATATTGGTCTAAAATTCTCTTTTGGTTGTGTCTCTGCCAGGCTTTGGTATCGGATGATGCTGGCCTCATAAAATGAGTTAGGGAGGATTCCCACTTTTTCTATTGATTGGAATAGTTTCAGAAGGAATGGTACCAGCTCCTCCTTGTACCTCTGGTAGAATTCGGCTGTGAATCCATCTGGTCCTGGACTTTTTTTGGTTGGTAAGCTATTAATTATTGCTTCAATTTCAGAGCCTGTTATTGGTCTATTCAGAGATTCAACTTCTTCCTGGTTTAGTCTTGGGAGAGTGTATGTGTCAAGGAATTTATCCATTTCTTCTAGATTTTCTACTTTATTTGCGTAGAGGTGTTTATAGTATTCTCTGATGGTAGTTTGTATTTCTGTGGAATCGGTGGTGATATCCCCTTTATCATTTTTTATTGTGTCTATTTGATTCTTCTCTCTTTTCTTATTAGTCTTGCTAGTGGTCTATCAATTTTGTTGATCTTTTCAAAAAACCAGCTCCTGGATTCATTGATTTTTTTTTTTTTTTTGAAGGGTTTTTTGTGTCTCTATTTCCTTCAGTTCTTCTCTGATCTTAGTTATTTCTTGCCTTCTGCTAGCTTTTGAATGTGTTTGCTCTTGCTTCTCTAGTTCTTTTAATTGTGATGTTAGGGTGTCCATTTTAGATCTTTCCTGCTTTCTCTTGTGGACATTTAGTGCTATAAATTTCCCTCTACACACTGCTTTGAATGTGTCTCATAGATTCTGGTATGTTGTATCTTTGTTCTTGTTGGTTTCAAAGAACATCTTTATTTCTGCCTTCATTTCTTTATGTACCCAGTGGTCATTCAGGAGCAGGTTGTTCAGTTTCCATGTAGTTGAGCGGTTTTGAGTGAGTTTTAAAATCCAACGTGATCAGCCAATAAGCTAGGGGCTTCATCATATCAGCTGTGAATAATAACAGTTGTATATCTTTTCCATTTCTTTCTTTTCTTCCTCTTTCTGGCTTGCTGAAGTGGCTGGAACCTCCTCAGTGAGCATAGCATGTCTCTATTCCGCTTGGCATCAGACGAGGCAGCTTGAAGGCTGGAGACTGGAATCATGTTAAGAGCCTTGTGGTTGGTACCTGGAAGACTTAAATAGATGGGGGTTGGCACAGCTGGGAATCCTTGGGTATCTTTCTCTTCACCATGGTGGCTTTAGGGCTCCAAAAGCACATGTCCCAAGGGAGAAGGAGACACAAGCAAAAGTTATGGTGTCACCGTCTATGACTTGGCTTTGTGAGTCACACAGTATTTTTCCTGTCACCTTCTATTTGTCAGAAGTGAGTAAACTAGGGCTGCCCCATATTCAAGGAGGGGACAATTAGACTCCACCTTTTCGTGGGAGGAGTATCACAGAATTTGTGGATGTATTTTAAAAGCAGCACAATTGATGTTCTAGCCCAAATTATTTACATGTTTCCTTCATGCAAAATACACTTGCTTCATCCCAGGACTTGCAAAGTTGTATCTATTAAGAGATCAGGTTTAGGTTTGAGGCCCAGGGTCTTGTCATCTAAATCATGTTCCCACATGGGTGAGGCTCCTTGCGGGTAGTTCCTCGAGTGTAGATCATGGAAGATCATTTTCTTGATCTGAAGATCTATGTACTAAGGAGACAAGTCTTCTGTCCTGCTGATGCCACATGCAGTGGTGGGTCTGGCATAAGATAACTGCTATAGACACTCTAACTCACACAGTGGGGAGAAAGAAGCACACAGAACTCCTTGGTCCATGGCACTTCTGAAATCCAGCTGGACACACATGGCTAGTGCCTTGATGAAGGCTCAGTTCCAGCAGCTGGGAAACTGGGAATCATCCTCCATGGTTTCTTGGATATATCCTCTGAGTCAACTTTTCTTTTTCTATAAAATGTAGCCATGTTTGCAGCAGATTAGATTTTTCAGTCTGTGTCCTGCCTGTCAAAATTTTGTTCCATATAATCCTCTTACAACATTTTGGGTTTACTATGTAACCTACTGGAATTCACTCCATTAAACAAAAGCCTCATCTATGTATCTCAAGATAAGTCTTTCTACACTGGGATCCCTGAAAGGTGACTCTGGAATAATTCATTTAAGATTCTTGGCCAGGCATGGTGGCTCATGCCTGTAATCCCAGCACTTTGGGAGACTGAGGCAGGTGGATCACCTGAGGTCAGGAGTTCAAGACCAGCCTGGCCAACATAGTGAAACCCCGTCTCTACTAAAAATAAAAAAATTAGCCAGTCATGGTGGCATGCATCTGTGGTCCCAACTACTCAGGAGGCTGAGGTGGGAGAATCGCTTGAACCTGGGAGGCGGAGGTTGTGGGGAGCCCAGATTGTGCCACTACACTCCAGCCTGGGCAACACAGCAAGACTCTGCCTTAAAAAAAAAAAAAAGATTCTTAGAAGCCCAAGTTGTGTGGTGGAAAGGATCTACCCTGATGATCTCTAGAGAACTTTGATTTTAATTCTAAGAACGTCACATAGAGTTTTACAATTGCACCTTTGGGTTCATCTTTAGACTATGTTGTCCTGACAGTGCCCTGAATTTGATATCTTCCAGAAACCATTTCTTAATTTTAGCAATCACTATGTCAATTGGAGAAACTAAGAATGAAAATCAGTTTTATTTTCAACTCAGAAAGTCCTGGCTCCTTTATATTTAACAGTTCTTTCTTTAGCTTGCTTTAGCTTGTCTATTTTTTTATAGCAAAAAGAAACTGGGTGGTACTTTCAACACACTCTCTGGAAATCTCCTTAGCTGGAACATTTAGCTCATTAGGTGCTTTTTCTATTTCCCACATTGCCACAGGCAACGGTGTTACTAAACTTCCTGCTGTTGCATCACGAAGGTTTTCTTTTTCCAGCTTCCAATAATATTTTCCTCACTTTCCTGTAAGTCCTCACCAGCAATCCTCCAGAGGGTCATCAAGCCTCTGCTAATGATTTCTTTGAAGTCCTTGATGCTTCACTAACATGTTTCTTAAGTCCAGCTTCTTCCCACTGCTCAGTCCCAAAGCCACATGCTTTAGGTTTGGTTATGGCAGCACCTCATGTTTAGAGTGCCAAAATATGTCCAGTTCTCTACAGTTGTGAAACTAACCACCACTGAACTTAGTGATCATTTTAAACAAGTTATTTTGCTCATGAAACTGCAATTTGGACAGATCTTAGCAGGGAGAACTTAGCTCTGCTCCCCTCAGCTTGAGCTGGGGTAATTCAAAGCTAAGGGCTGGAATAATCTAGAGACTCACTGACTTATCTTATGGCTGAGGTTGGGAAGACAAACAGCTGAGGTATGGTACCTCTGGGGTGTGTCAAGCTTTCCTCTCTGTGTGGCCTCCTTAACATAGTCTATTTGGCATGGCATCTTTTGGCTAGGGAGACTTCTTACATGTCAGAGAAACAGTAAGTAAAGATGTACCACTTTTTATGACCTAGGCTTGTAAGTCATGCAGTATCATTTCTTCCACATTCTCCTCATTAGAAGTGAATCACTATGGCTGACCCATATTCATAAGAATTAGACTTCACCTTTTTATGGGAGAGGTAACAAGAAGTTGCAGTATGTTTTAAAATGGCCACACACACTAAGCTGCACATGAGGCTGGGAAATGTATTCTGTGGCTAAGCATGCATTGCAAGCCAAAACGTAGGGGAATTCTGTTACTAAAAGGTAAAAGGAGAGAAAGGCCAGATTACTGGGTGTTAGTTAGCAGTCTCTGTCACAGGCAGCTTTGTATAGAAATTAAAACCTGAACCAAGTTATCATGGATGAAGAGAATGTGAATAGGGAGAAAGGTCATTTCAAGCAAGAGAAGAATATGAGCAGAAACTTGGAGAAGGTAATAAGATTGTGGGCATGTGTGTGTTTATGCTGAAAGTACATGTCTAATTAAAGGGAGCTGGTGATCAGATGGTAAATTATGCCACATAGAATGGGTGTGGTCCTATCAGGAGGCCAGTGAAAAATAGAGAAACTGCTTGGATTTGGCATAGTTTTGTGATGAAACGGCAATGTGTTAGGCCATTTTTCCATTGCCAAATAAATACCTGAGACTGGGTAATTTATAGAGAAAGAAGTTTACTTGGCTCATGGTTCTGCATGCTCTTCAAGCCTGGCACCAGCATCTGCTTGGCTTCTGGAGGGCTCAAGGAGCTTTTACTCACGGTGGAAGGTGGCATGGGAGCAGGCACAGTACATGGCAGAGTGGGAGCAAGGGCAGTCGGGAGGTGCCACACTTTTAGAAACAATCAGATCTCATGAGAACAAACTTGCTATCGTGGCACCAAGCCATGAGGGATCCTCCCCCAGGATCCAAATACCTCTCACCAGGCCCTACCTCCAACCCTGGGGATTACATTTCAACATGGGGGATTTGGAAAGGGACAGATAACCAAAGTATATCAAGTGAGATTTGGAGACGGATGACCCTGGACCTGAATTCCCTGTCCATAATAGTCTTGTGATTTTCAGCAAGTGCTATAGATTACAAAAGTGGCCACAATTCTCCAACTTTTTGTTGAATGACTTTACAGCAACTTCCATAAAGTTATGGAGTCTATTTCCCTGCCTCCTGACAATGCTCTGGCATTATGTCTTGCTTTGACCAGTAGAATGTGGTGGAACGAACAATGTGCCAGTTTTGAATTTTAATCTCAAGAGGACTTGCCTGTTCCCATTCATTTTCTTGGGACCTTGCAAAATGCCCCATAAACTGGCCAAGGCTAGGTAACTGGAGGATGAGCGAACATGTGGAGTGGAGCTCAACTCTCTCATCCAAGGTCCCCAAAATGAGAAAGTTGGACAAGGTTAACTTTGTTCACCTCGCTATAGTTGAACTGAAGAGCCATGAGCGGGCCCAGCAGGGAGAGGCTGCCCAGGTGAGCCAGCTCAAACTGACAACACCTTGAATCATGAGCTAAAGAAGTGGATGTTGGGCTGGGTACGGTGGCTCACGCCTGTAATCCTAGCACTTTGGGAGGCCAAGGCGGGAGGATCACCTGAGGTCAGGAGTGCAGCCTGGCCAATGTGGTGAAACCCCATCTCTACTAAAAATACAAAGAATTAGCTGGGCATGGTGGCACATGCCTGTAATCCCAGCTACTTGGGAGGCTGAGGCAGGAGAATCACTTGAACCTGGGAGGTGAAGGCTGCAGTGAGTCGAGATGTCCCATTGCACTCCAGCCTAGGTGACAAGAGCAAAACTCTGTCTCCAAAAAAAAAAAAAAAAAAAGAAGTGGATGTTATTTTAGCTACTGAAATTGGGGTGATTTGTTACACAGCAAAGCTAACTGTTACAGCAAGTTAAATAAACTCTTTTCTAAATCTCAGTAGCTTCACTAAAATAGATATTAAAATAGATCATAAATAGTGCCTATCTCATGGCAAGGACAAAACCAGACACTTGGTGCCAAGCCTGAAACGTGTGCTGAGCAAATGTTAACTAATGCCATTGATTACATCAAAGAGAGATTATTAACAGAGTAACACAAAGGAAAGAGTGTAAGAAAGAATTACTTTAGAAATCCCCATTCTGCTCATTTTTGCCTCATGACTTTTCGCCATTCTTTGGTTCCACTGCCCTGGCATGTGCTCACTCTGCATACCACAAATCTGCATCTGGGGGCTAAATGTTCTCCCTTCAAAACTTATCTCTTTGAACACTTTCTTTCTGGACCCCTTCAACACAAACCCAGATGGTCCACATACTCTGTTAATTGTCTTATTGCCTTATATATTTATATATTTTACTAACAGCCTCTAAGCAACTTAATAAAGATGGTTGGTGTTGGTCTTTGGGGTTATCTTATCTCCAGTTAAGAGGCCTGTTAAATTTCCTGAATGCCAAGTCATTCAGTGAACTCACAGACAACTATTCCCCCAATAGATGGGATTTGTAGGAATCACTGGGTATTTTCCCCAGCATATCATGAGGGAATGATGAGAACTTGAATGTAACAACTGGTTCCCACCAAGCAAATGTCTGAATACTTTAGAGTCCGTAAATCCTGTTTATGTCTCAAACTGCTTATCAACTGTAACCCAGTTATTACTTGAAAGTAAAAATAGAAGTCCTTGGGAAAACTAAAGATGGAAACAGATGCTATACTACATTTTTAATTTTCCCACCTTAATTACACCCCCTACCAAAACAGGCTGGAGTGCTTAAGGCTTTGTAAGTTTCTTCTTTCTACTTCATTCAGAGGTTGTCTTCTGAACCAGCAAATATCATTTTTAAATTTAAACAAAAGACATCTCTTCTCCATTGTGTTTTGTCGGTGGTGTGCAGGACCTCTGGCTCCTACCGGCTTGCCAGAGGTGACTGTGAGCTGTGTGCATCTCATTCCAACTCCACTTCCAGTGGTGATACCCTGGAGCCTGAAATTGGCCATGGTAGGGTTATTTATTTACACCAGAAAAATCAGCAAATTCTGTGAAGCAGGGTTTTTGTTTTTGTTGTTTTTTTCCCCCAGAGAGCCAGTTGGTAAGCATTTACCAACATATGATGGCCAGATCGCCATGGGCTTAGAAAGTACAGCTTCTGTCACCAGGAAACATTCATCACCTTCGTCATTGCAGAATGCTCTAAGTTGTGAGACTGGTAAAATGGGAACTCAATGAAAGCATGACCAAGACAAATGCTGCTAAGCCACAGCCAGTCCGGCTGGAATATGAGTGAGGTAGAGAGAGGCTTGAGACAAGGCTGGAGGGGCACGCAGAGGCAGAAAACACAGGGCTCGGCCGGGTGCAGTGGCTCACGCCTGTAATCCCAACACTTTGGGAGGCCGAAGCGGGCAGATCACAAGGTCAGTTCGAGACTAGCCTGGCCAACATGGTGAAAACTCATCCCTACTAAAAATACAAAAATGAGCCAGGCATGGTGATGGGCGCCTGTAATCCAGCTACTCGGGAGGCTGAGGTAGGAGAATCACTTGAACCTGGGAGGCAGAGGTTGCAGTGAGCTGAGATTGCTGCACTCCTGAGCGACAGAATTGGACTCTGTCTGGCGGGGCGGGGAGTGGGGGGCGGGGGAAGAAAAACACAGGGCTGTAAAGGAATAAACATTTACGTTTCAGTGGTATAGAAAGTTATGGTTTCACATAGGAAATAAATATATTTGGGTTTATGTTTTCTAAAGATCTCTCTAGGTATCTGGTCTGTGGAGAATAGGATAGACACATGGTGGGAGGGCAAGGGTGGAAGACTAATGAGGACACTATTTTGGATCGGGACAAGGGAGCCACAGCATGGCTTCTGACCCCTGCCTTGCACCTGCCCCATGCCCATCTCCACACCCCACCTGCGCTTGTGCTCCCAGCGCTCTCCACCAGGAATCCCTTCCTCTCCCATCCCAAGTCCTGCCATATTGCAAGGCCAGCTCAAGGTCCACACCCCTCCACCTTGCATCCTCCCCCCCGACCCCCGTCATCCCAGTCACATCAGTCTACCTGCCTTGGCACCTGGAATACTACTTCCTGATTATCACAAGACTTGCTGTGCTACCTTTTGTGGTCATTTCACATTTTATGTGCATTTGTCTGATCTCCATAAGTTGCTTAAAGTTTATTATGGAGATCAGTGGTATGATCTATGGCTAAATTGAGCGCCCAGAACATTCCAAGCAGGCACGATGCTAGATATCTTGGGGCACATAGAGGGAAGATAGAATCTGGTCCCACAGAAGCTTTCATTCATCTGTGGATTTATCAAATACAAAGATAGGTGATGCTAAGCCACTTTGCACTGATAAGGAAATGCAGGGAGGGAGGAGATTCATGCAAAACAGTGGGTAAGAAACACTTAAAGCAACAATCTTAAAACTGGGGACTGTATTCCTTGCATCACACATGGAATCAAAATTCTAACTGTAGCTTTGCTTCTAAAGGAAACATACTTCCATAATTACCTGCAACAGAAGTCAGCACATTCTTTCTATGAAGAACCAGAGAGTAAATATTGTCAGCTTTGTAGGGGGCCTCTGTTGCAACTACTCATCTCTGCTGTTGTGGTACAAATGCATACATAGACAAACCATCCACAAATACACAGAGATCTGTTTCAATAAAACTTTATTCACAAAAACAGGTGGCAGGGTAGATTTGGTCTCTGTACTGTAGTTCACTGACCCCTGATCTAAAAGATTACATACTTTGAAAACAGCAATGCCAAACCTTGAATCCAGGTCCGATATTTTCCAGCAATCGTGATGCTTCTCTGATCAACTGAATGAAACAGTTATAAATGTACTGGCTAAATTTAGCTTTATGCACTTGTTTTGTCCCCTATTACAGTATAAACTTTTGGTGAATAGGGATTTTCAAATTAATTAAAGCGCTTATTTTTATACCCAATACACACAAATACAGAACTTTACTATAGCAGATTTTTGACCCCAATTTAGTGTGCTATCTGAATAAAAGGCTTAGTAACTAAAAAAAGTGCTGTCTTAGATTTCTGAACTATTTTTTTTTTTTTTTTTTTTTTTTGGAGACAGAGTCTTGCTCTGTCACCCACACCAGAATGCAGTGGCACCATCATGGCTCCCTGCAGCTTTGACCTCCTGGGTTCAAACGATTTTCTCATCTCAGCCTCCCCAGTAGCTGGGACTACAGATGCGCACCACCACACCTGGCTAATGTTAATTTTCTGTGGAGACAGGGTCTTGTCATGTTGCCCAGACTGGTCTTGAACTCCGGAGCTCAAGCGATCCTCTTGCCTCGGCCTTCCAACATGCTGGGATTACAGGCGTGAGCCAGCATGCCTGGCTGAAACTATTTTTACAGAGAACTTAGGTGGTGATATGGTTTGGCTCTGTCCCCACCCAAATCTCATCTTGAATTATAGCTCCCATAATCCCCACCTGTCACGGGAGGGACCTGATGGGAGGTAATTGAATCATGGGGGTGGGTTTTCCCATGCTGTTCTTGTCCATAGTGAGTATGTCTCGGAAGAGCTAATGGTTTTATAAAAGGGAGTTCCCCTGTGCAAGCTCTCTTGCCTGCTGCCATATAAGATGTGCCTTTTCTCCTCCTTTGCTGTCCACCATGATTGTGAGGCCTCCCCAGGCATGTGAGACTGAGTCCATTCAACTTCTTTTTCTTTATAAATTACCCAGTCTCAGGCATGTCCTTCTAGCAGTGTGAGAATGGACTAATACAGATGGCCTTATCCTGTTTTTCCACAGAGCTATCTGAGGTACTATATAATCATCAAAAAGAATAAGGCAATTCTATAGGTATTAATGTAGGATTAGAGCTAAAATACTATGCTGAGAAAAAAGTAAGCTACAACAGTTTGTTTCCATCTATTAAAAATGAGGATGGGGATATATATGTATGTATGAGTAAATGATTGGACAGCTTAAATTATTTTTGAGAGAATATTCAATAAAACAGTAAAAATAGCTGTTTCTGGGAAAGGAAAATGGGTAATTAGGGCTACAGCTGGAAAAAAGTAACATTTTACTTCTAGTTGTTTTTTTTTTTTTTTTTTTTTTTTTTTTTTTTTTTTTTTACAAATCACCTATATGTATTAGCTTTCAAAAGATTTAAAAATTAAAAATACTAGATTGTCAGCGTCTGAAGTGATAAAATACTTTATGCTGGTGCCTCCTCAGTAACAGACATTCAAAACTACAGTCAGCCCTCAGTGTTCATGTGGTCTGAATCCAACCACAGATAGAAAATATTTGAAAAAACTTTTTTTGGTGGGGCACAGTGGCTCACACCTGTCATCCTAGCACTTTGGGAGGCTGAGGTGGAGGACTGCTTGAGCCCAGGAGGTTGAGGCTGCAATGAGCTGTGACTGTGCCTCTGCACTGTAGCCTGGTGACAGAGTGAGACCCTGTCTCAAATAAACAATGTTTAAAACACAGACACACACGGTATAACAGCTATTTATGCAGCATTTATGTTGTGCTAGGTATCTGTAACCTGGAGATGATTTAAAGGGTAAGGAAAGATGTGTGCAGGTTCTATGCAAATATTATACCACTGTATAGCAGGGACTTGAGCATCTGTGAATTTTGTATCCTCAGGGGTGGGGGGAGGGGGTCCTGGAACCAATCTCCCTTGGATACCAAGGGACGACTGCACTTCACTGACCTTGTTGAAAGCAACTGACATCACACACACCAATGAGTGCATGTAAAAGCAGTAAAATTGGAATAGGTTCTGTGGCTAGGGGAAGCTCAACGGTACTTTGTCAGCTGTGATGCTGCTCTACAGTGATGGGGGATGCTACCACTGGGGAAACTGAAGGGCACGCAGGCCTCCCTGTACGTTCTGTTGCAACTTTCTCTGAGTCTGTAATTATTTCTAAATAAAAGGCTAAAACAAAACCACAACTATGCCATGTAAAGGCTCACATGTAAATCTATGTTCTAACTATGGTGCTGCTCTAACCCCCCCAATCTGAGTCATGCCTTTCCTTGCCTATTTCCCCATCTATAATTGAGGGCGGGCGACAGCCTTCCAGAGTAAATTAAGTCACAGAGGGAATCCTGAGAGGTGAGCAGTAGAAAGAAGACTTCTGTCAAATTCTTTCTGAGCCTAAAATAAAAACAAAGACAACACACATCCAAGTCTTTGCCGGCTTTCCTTGGGTGCCTGGCGGGGCCACAGGCTTCAGGCAGCACCTGGCTTCAGGTTCCATCCCAATCCCTGCAGAATGGGAAGAAGCCATCCGTGAGCATGAGCAGAGGGTGGGAGTCAGTGGTCTGCAAGAGAAGTGGCGCTTGCTCATGCTAGACGCCTGGCCTGGTGGTTTGGGTACATTGGCAACCAAACTGCCTACCTGTGTGTTCTGGTCCACAGGGAGGTGCAGGCAGGTTCTAGGATCCAGGGTTGCAAGATCAGGCACACTTTGGGGCTGACATAGGGGACTGTCTGACATAAACACATTTCAAGTCCTCAGCTGTGTGTGACTTCATTTACCAGTCCCTTCTTTTGCTTTCTTGAAGTCACACTCAGTGTCTACAAGAGCAGTGGAGACAGCTGCAGATCTGTGTTTAGACCTGATGAGCAAGTCCATGAAACAAACACAAAGCCCAGACACTGAAACCATAGCATTAACACCAAAAAGCCGGCCGGGTGCGGTAGCTCACACCTGTAATCCCAGCACTTTGGGAGGCTGAGGCAGGTGGATCGAGACCAGCCTGGCCAACATGGTGAAACCCCATCTCTACTAAAAATACAAAACCTAGCCAGGCGTGGTGATGCATGCCTGTACTCCCAACTCCTTGGGAGGCTGAGGCAGGAGAATCGCTAGAACCCAGGAGGCAGAGGCTGCAGTGAGCCGAGATCACGCCACTGTACTCCAGCCTGGGTAACAGAGTGAGACTCTGTCTCTAAAGAAAAAAAAAAAAAACCACCAAAAAGCCAAAACAAAAATAAGCCTCCCCTCCATGGTTTTTAGAGCCTCCTCTGATAAAGGAAACACACAGCGTGTTAGCTAGTATCTTTTATTGTCAGAACTTCTGTGAGCCAACAAACAGTTTTGCATGGTTGTACACAAAGGGACAAGGCAAATTTCTTTTTTCGTGTGGGTAGACTTAGTTGGCCCAAGTCCTTAAAACTTTTCCATATAAAAATAAAAAGTCCAAGACCAGATTATTTTTCTTCTGGTCATAAATGCTGATTTATTTACAGGTGCCTTGTTCAGACCACCATTATAAACTTGGGATAAAATATGTGTGTATTAAAGCCTCAGCATTTAATGTCAGGGTCCTTTGAAGATTCACTCAAGTGTTAAGACGTTTCTGGAATGCAGCGTCTCTCCCCCATAGTCAACATGGTTATTATATCTGTAATCTATCCAGAATGATAGAAGCTAACCTTCCAAGTAACACTTTGTTTTTAACTTAAATCTTTTAGACATGAAAGACTCCAAAATGACTTCATTCTTGTTCTAAAACCAGCACTGGAGCCAGCTGTTGAAGAGTGGTTTATAAATACAGTTATCTTGTAGGCTGCTTATCTGTTTATAATACAGCAGACACAGATGGCAGACTTTGCTACATGTAAAACAATGGAGTCAACACGTGTTTTTCAAAATACAGCAAAGACAGGAAAATCCAGGATTTGGGTTTGTTAATAAAACCACCTTATAAAGTAACAATTGAGACTATAGCTCTGCATTATTAAAATATACAGACTGTGTACACCATTACACATCCTTTTTCCCTTTGCTTTTTAATGCTCATGAAACCATGATTAAAGTGTTGAGTTTATGAACACATGCACGAACAGGCAAGCACGTACACTTAAAAGATGAAACAAAGAAAAAAGTTGATTCATGTCATTCCATGAGAAAGGCTGCCCGCAGCACTCCAGCTCAAACACACTGTCCCCTCGAGCTCTCCATCCCCCTTCCCACTCCCTCACCTTCCCTCAGATTCGGGGAAATCAGGTTGGGAGGTTAGTGCATCATTGACAGAGAATGCCCCCCTTCCACGCTCTGTTAAGTCTCCCCCAGAAGGGGGAAAGGCAGTTCCCTTCAGTAGCACAGTTACGGTCGATTAGTGTTGGTTCCACAAGTTAAGGCACTTCCGGCTGCTTTGGTGGCAGCGTGGTTCCTCCCCTCCTTTTTTAAGGCATGTGTCCTCTAAGAGTAGTAAAGCTTTGGAAACTGTGCAGACTGTTAAAGTTGACAGCTTAATACAGGATCAATGAAGGCGGCAGGCAAAAGGATCCTCGGAGACACCTCCCTCAGACCAGAAGCTTCCAGAAAGCCTGGGCAGCTCTGTGTTTGTTTTGGCTGGGCATGGCACACTGGAGCCAGCCTAGGCCAGAGGGTGGTGCGTTCAGGTAGCAAAGACAGGTGGGCTCTGTCCCGCCTTCACCTGGAGCTGCCCTGGCTGCTGGCGGAGCGTGTCGTGCTGTAGCGCTTCTTCACGATCATGCTGATGTAGGCTTTCATGAGCTTGGCCACATCCACCACCTGCCCAGGGGGAAGCAGAACCGACACAGCGTCACAAGTCTCCCCCAGGCAAAGGGCCCTGCCTAATAATCCAGACATTCCCTGGGCACCCTCCCGTAGCCTTCCATGCTAATCGACGGATCCCATTTTGCAGGAAGCCAGAAGTTTAACCACTTTCACCTTCCTCATCAGGGAAAGGTGGAATCTCAGCTTTTCCAAATACAATGTGCACCACCTGGTGGCACAAACGTGCCAACTTGGCTTGATGGAAACTGTCAGACTTTGCACATTAAAATCCAGAACTAACCGAGGACGCTGAAGTTACTCGGTGTCAACAGTGCTGGGATTACTATCCCCGCTTAAAATAAATGTGAAATGACAGAGTCCACAATTACAGCCTTTAAAGACTGGATCATCTAATTCTAGTCAACTCCTTAGGAAGCAGCTGAAGAAACAAGATAACTGAGGCCCCAGGGGCTGGGAGAGCGGCCAGCTCCCCAGACGCCAGGCCAGCTTCTGCTCCACACCAGCCACCTCCTCCAGCTGGGATCTCCATTAGCTCCCTCCCATGATGTCCCCGTCATTGCCACCCCTTCTCACAGCTGGCCTGGATCCCTGTGCAGGCATCATAACCGGCTTCCATATCCCTGTTTGCTCTCTTCCCTTCCAGTCCCACCCCAGAGATCACTGTCTGTAAATTCACTGTTATGCCATGCACAATCAAAGATCCCACAGTGGTTCCTTGTTGTCTACTGGATCTCACCAAATCCTGCAGCCTGGCACCTGGGACCCTTGAGTCAAGGGCTCTCCACCCTCTTCCCTCTCACTGCACGACTCCCCATCAGCCTAGGGAACCTACAATGCCACATCCTCCAAGCAGCTGGAACGCCCTCCTCAATGCCTCTCCATTCCAAACCAGGCAGCAGGTGATTCCTCTCCACTCACCACGTTGACTTGCTAGCTGTTCCCTTTGTGGAAGCCTCAATAAGCTTCTTGTATTATATTTTTTAAACTTGGAGGCTGGTAGCACATATATTTAGAGGCCTTTTAGTGTGTGTGGTTTCACAATCCAGAATGAGCTGCACCCAGGATGGTCATGCTCCCGGCTCCCTCCTGGTCTCAAGAGGCCACCAGAGCCGAGTCTCACAGCTGTGACACCGCTATAATTGCTAACTAATTTTCATAAGGTTTTGTTGCAAATAATATACTTTTTCAGGGACATCTATGTCACTTCCCTTTCTCTGCCTTTCCTCCAAGGGTAAGACTCCTTGGCAAAATGGAACCAGATTCCTCTGTTGCAAAAGTATACAAAAAAAATATGGTGATCTCAGATTTTGGCCTGCAGGGAACCGGCAGCTGGAAAGGGACCACCACACTGTATTTTCGTGTTTTGAAGAAAAATATTCAAAGAAAATGACCTGGTCAAAGGCATGAGGAAATGGGGTCCTGTTTTTCTGTTTTGTCAAGACCATGAATAAAAAGATGAACTTGCTTTGCCTCTTACCTCACTGGTTTCAAAGAGCAGCTCCCTCTCATCGACCACGATCTTATACGTATTCGCCAGGGGTGCCCCAAAAGAGAGGATGTGTTCATACTGGAAGACTTCCAGTGGTCTTCCCTCTCCACGCTTGTAGACGGAGACGGCGTCCGCGCTGACACCCAACCAGAGTTCCTGAGGGAAGCCACCTTCCTTGCACTGGTGGGCAAGAGTCAACAGAAGAGTTAAGTCATGAAGTGGTTGGCAACAGAAAGCATCTAAACCATAAGACAGGCTTTGAGTGAAGTCCTCTGTGCAGAAGATTAAATATATTCGATGTGCATGCATGCATGGAGGGGCCTGAAATATGAAAAATGGCACCTCTCTGGCTATCTTGATTTCTAACTAGTTAATCTCACGCTTTTGGGAAAACCTCACTAACTGGCAGAGTCTAACATCTTGCTTTGACTCTCCACTTCTCAGCATTATTCTACTAGCTGTTTGGATTAGCTACGTGGAAGTGGCCTGGAAACGTACATGCTTGGCCGGGGGACTTAAGGAAGCTTCCCTGCAACCCAAGCCAAGTCTACTCTTGTATTAATATCTCCAGTTCTGCCTCCAATCCTCTTTGCGGATGGTTAGTCTTCAAATACAAAATCTAGGATCACAGAGGAAAATTCTCCAAATCACGCATGCTGAGCAGTTCTGGCTCCTCTTCACAAGGAGCAGCAATGGCCTTCCATATGCAGAGTGGGAACAGGGACTTTACCAGTTTAACTGTAGACTTTCCTGTACAGATTGGTGGAAGAAAATAAGACCCCATATGAAGGGGCTAACAACACAGGGCTGATCCAAACCTGGACAAGCAGGAGGGCTATAAATTGGAGACGCTGAAAAGAGTCTCTAGTTTATATCCCTAATAACCAGACATTCTCTGCATCCTCCATGCAAAAGCCAGTAGCTTTCTTTTTTCTTTTTTTTTTTGACGGAGTCTCACTCTGTCGCCCAGGCTGGAGTGCAGTGGCGTGATCCTGGCTCACTGCAACCTCCACCTCCTGAGTTCAAGCGATTCTCCTGTCTCAGCCTCTCGAGTAGCTGGGATTACAGGTGCATGCCACCACGCCCAGCTAATTTTTTGCAGAGATGGGGTTTCACCGTGTTAGCCAGGATGGTCTCGATCTCCTGACCTCATGATCCGCCCGCCTTGGCCTCCCAAAGCGCTGGGATTACAGGCATGAGCCACCGCGCCCGGCCAAGCCAGTAGCTTTCTATGCTAATTCACAGCTCACGTTTTGCAGGAAGCCAAGAGTTTAACTGCTATTATCTATTCCTTGTCAGGGAGAAATGGAATTATGGCTTTGTACAAAGCACCTGATTTTTTTATACTTAAAAACAGGCATAATTGAACCAACCAAACCAATCAAAAACATCACCTAATGAAAAGCCACCCACGGATTCTAGAATTTATAATATTTAGAATTTTATACAGCCTCAATATAAAGTCATCAGATATACGCTGAATTACTGTGATCATAAAAAATGGAAGCTAATCTAGACGATGAGCTGGCACACTTATCTGTTAAGGGCTGCATAGTAAAGATTTTTAGACTTTGTGGATCACATGGTCTCTGTCACAACTACTCAACTCTGTACAAAAACAGCCAGGGAATATATCTAAAGGAATGAGCTTGGCTGTGTTCCAATAAAACTTTGTTTAGAAAAAAGGAGGCAGGCAAGATCTGACCCACAGACCAGTTTGCCAAACTCTCATCTAGACAATTAGTAAGATTTCTTTTCAATAAGCGGTCTACTTAAAACAAAACAAAAATCAGTACTGGGTTGATGCCAATGGCTAAATTCCATTACGAGATAGACATTCTTCCTTTCAAACAGATGGCTGTAAAGAAAAAACAAAGTAAAATGCAAGTATATCCAAAGTTTCTAATTTGTATATACAGCTATAACATTTTTTTAAATGTAGATTTTTATCAGTGTTTAAAAAATTAGATCTATAGCTTCCCTAAGGAAGGGTAGAAGAATAGATGACATCTTAATTTTGCATTCATTCCTAATATTACAGATGTGTTTACTACACAGGAGAAGAGAAACTGTGAGGAGAAGGGAGGCGTTAATGGTACAATTCTGGGGGCTCGAATAAAAGAGGTTGAGAGAGCAAAATGCTCCATCTTGTCTTCTCTCCACATGAACTTGGCCGTGATCCATGTTCTCAGATGCCAGCACCCAGCCCACCCCAACACACGGCAGCCAGTTCTCACCTCCACATCAAACAGCGTCGAGCCATAGCCAGGCCACTCCTTGATCAAGGCCATGTACTTGGCCATGGCCTGTTCCTGGTTCATTCCCTGAAATTTCCTCCACTTGTCAATGATACTGGCTCGAGCAGAGGAGACTTCTTCCTTAATCCACATGTCCAGCATCTGCTCCTCCTCGACCTTCTGCCGGACCACGGATCCTGTCCGGAAGCTCCGCCTCAGGGTCCCCTCTAGGAAGCTCGTCCGCCTCTTCTCCAGCCGTTCACAAGGGGTGAAGGTTTTGGTTGACTGGCTGATGCGGGCCTTGAGTCTCTGCAGGGAATAAACCTCTTCGAGAGGTGGGATGGCAGCGTGCAGAGTATAATCCCCCTGCAGATACTGGAGTCGCAGGGCAGCAAGAACCTGGAGGTTTTCTTCCGGGGCTGGATGGTGGCCATGGATAACCGCTTCGTGGGCCTGAAAGGAGACAGTCAACAGCTTTCCGGTCAACGCACTGCCATGCCATGGGATGCCCACGTCGCTTGCTCCCTCACTTCATGAGGGTTTCTCTCAAACTCACCTTCCCTGACTGCCCTGGCTAAAACTGTACCCTCACCCCTGGCTCACTGCTTTAAATTTAATTTTCTCCCTAGCACAGATACCATCTAACACACGTCACATATTTTATTCCTTGTGCTCTCTCTCCTGTCAACTAGAACAGTCCCTGGAACGGAGGTTCAAATAAAATGTGTAGCAGGTTTCATTCTACAAACGAATGAAAGAGCAGCTGGTCTTGTCTTTGCTGGGAAATCCACAGGTGTGCCTCATTTCTAAGTACCAGTTAACTTACAAGGCTAAGTATTAACAGGTTTCACCCTTGCTTGCCGGCAAAGAAATCTGTTTCTAACTATTCCTTTTACCTGTTCAAACATAAATGCAAACTCCACACTGTCTTTTGGCACGTTGTCTGTGTCCAGGAAGCAGTAAAGTTTGAAGTAGAATTTCCATGGCAGGTCCCCAACCTCGGATGTGGCAGCCAGCCTACAGAGAGGAGTCAAGAGAGGCTCAGAATATGAACGAGAAGGGCCTTCAGTGACCCGCAGGGACCTGACTTTACATGGTGTATTCTAAGGACACAGACATTCTGTCCGGGCCCAGAAAACAGTGGATAGAGATGGGGATAGAGGAATAAACAGAGTGAAAAAACGTACTTTCATCCTGATTTTGCTTTAAGAAAACAAACAGGCAGCCCCTAGTTTAACCAGCTAACAAGTGTTTTCAGAGAGCCGCATTCGAATTAGTACCAGCTAAGCATTATGCTGAGTCCACGGGAAGAAAAGAAACAAAAGCCTGTTTCTTTATTACCTTTACCAAGCCTCAGATACATTATGATAACATTTATAAAAATTGATGTGAATACTCTTGTATGAGGGCTGTGTTTATACTAAGCAGGAATACCTTCGCGCTACTTCGAGGATATGAAGTCACAGATCAAATAGCGTAGGTCTACAGGCCAGGTGCAGTGGCTCACGCCTGTAATCCCAGCACTTTGGGAGGCCCAGGTGGGCGGATCACCTGAGGTCAGGAGTTTGGGACTAGCCTGACCAACATGGCCAAACCCCATCTGTACTAAAAATACAAAAATTAGCTGGGCGTGGTAGTACATGCCTGTAATCCCAGCTACTCGGGAGTCTGAGGCAGGAGAACTGCTTGAACCCAGAAGGCAGAAGTTGCAGTGAGCCAAGGTTGCGCCACTGCACTTCAGCCTGGGCAACAGAGCAAGACTCCATCTCAAAAAAAAAAAAAAGTAGGTCCATTTTATATTGTAGACATAACACATAGTTTAAAGAGTTTATAAGCTGGCTTCAGTCAATCAGCCCAATTTCAAAGCTAATGACAACTGGAAACCTAAAAAATCAAGAAATACCCAGACGGGTCCAACATGGAACTGAGAAAAGGAATGGGGTAAAAAACCACTGACAAGTTACATCACGTAAGACCGTAGCTTTATCTAGGAATCGAGAAAAATAGCGGATATGCAAAGTTAAACAGGCATCAACACAGGTAAAATAAAACTAACTCCAATACAGCGTGAAGCCACAAATGGAATGGGAAGCTCAAACCCTGAACCCTGCTCTGCAATTTCTCTTATTTGCTCTTCTGACACAGTAGGGAAAAGGAACCTACTTTTCAAACTTGGCTAAGACATCAGCTACGACGGTTCGACTTTCAATGGCTTTGTCGACGTGGCCGTTGTATTCAAACAAAGCAAACATGTTCCTGCTGTCCTCCATGGCCAGGCCTCGGATCAGCTTCTCCACCACCTGGAAGACACACCAGGGGGACTTCAGTTCCACAGGCTGCGGCCCCAACACGTGTTCCCAGAACGTGCCATCACCTGATCCCAGAGGGAGCTGCTGGCACAAGGGCGTCTCCAGCCTCCTAAA
This sequence comes from Homo sapiens, assembly GCF_000001405.40. Taxonomy (NCBI): domain Eukaryota; kingdom Metazoa; phylum Chordata; class Mammalia; order Primates; family Hominidae; genus Homo; species Homo sapiens. The sequence continues at coordinate 16,672,949 of NC_000005.10, forward strand.
AATGTTACCCGTGTGGTCATCCCAGAATTTCAAAAGTACTATTTTCCCTTTGTTCTCTTGAGATTAGGTTTATCTCTTTCTTGCTGAAAATAACTCAGGGTATTTTGCCCATCGGTAGAGGCAGATGCTGGGCTGATTTCTTGCAAACCTATATTAACAGGAAAAGCGGGTGAAAAGCTTCAGTCCTGTCTTTTGGCTGATAAATTTATGAACTCCAAGGAACAACAGAGACTCCAGATGACGTTTTTTTTTTTTCCATAAGAAGCCTTGGGGGGTGGGGGTCGGGGTGGTGGTTATTGGATTACCACCCTTTTGGCCAACTGGTTTTATAATAGTAAGTTCAAATTTTAAAAAGAAAATGTGTTCATCTGATATTCATCTAGCTAGTCACGTGCAAACAAACACTTTGTTGCAGAAGCACTGCAATAAACCCTCATCAAAGTGGCTGGACCTGAGCCAGGTCTGCAGCTCTGCTAGACACTCAGCTGCTTCTCAGATTAGCAAGATTATGTCTCAGGTACTTTATCTCTGTGTTTCCACTCAATATATATATTTTTATCTCTATATTCGTGTGGTTGCTTCTGGGTTACATGCATTTCCTTAGTATTGAGAGCTGTACTAAGCAAACTGCAACTGTGCAGGACAGCCACTCTAATGCTGCACAATGTTCCTGACGCAGGTGTATCTGCAGCAAAGGCATCTAACAGAACAAGCAGCAGCTGCCTCTCCTCACCTCCCCAGCGGTGGTGTGGGAGTTGATGGTGATCTTGCAGGAGCCGCCGCCATGGCAATAGACCGTGGATGTCATTTCCTGCCTGTGGATCAGAGCTTCTATTTCATCTCGGGAAGGCACAAACTCTCGGCATTTGGTTTTCTTAAGAGATTCGTAAGTGAAGAGAGCGTATTTTTCCATCTCGCTTCCTGGAAACTGTTCCCGTATCCTAGGAGGCAAACACTAACTGTTAATTTTTAGACTGATGGGGGCTGGCTGCTGGGAGGAACTAGGCTGTGCCAAGGTTCTGTAGACCAAAGCAGTGAATGGTCCCCCACTGGTGAATGGAGCAAGCACCAGTGACTTCTTGGCAAGGGCCCGCTTCATTTTGTGCAGTTCAATTTAAATACAAAAAACCCCTAAAGAGCCAATGTCTCACTGGGAGCAACTGTGCTGCCAACTCACCTCTGCAGCGTTGTTAATACTTGAAAGAGTCATGCCTCATCCTATCATATGAAAATTCTTGGCCGGGCGCCGTGGCTAACGCCTGTAATCCCAGCACTTTGGGAGGCCGAGGCGGGTGGATCACCTGAGGTCAGAAGTTCGAGACCAGCCTGGCCAACACGGTGAAACCCCATCTCTACTAAAAGTACAAAAAATTAGCCAGGCGTTGTGGCGGGCGCCTGTAATCTCAGCTACTCAGGAGGCTAAGGCAGGAGAATCGCTTGAACCCAGGAGGCAGATGTTGCAATGAGCCGAGATCATGCCATTGCACTCTAGCCTGGGCAACAAGAGCAAAACTCTGTCTCAAAAAAAGAAAAGAAAAGACACTTCTTTTTCTATAGCTAATCAAAATCTCAATTAGATTGTTTCTATCTCTTTGATCTGGAACAAATATCCAAGTTTTTTTTTTTTTTTTTAAATATAGAGCAGTGGTAATTAATTGATCCAATGTCCTATACATTAGGACATTACACCAACGGTGACTTGGTCCCTGAAATAACCTTGTGTGACTTAAAAAGGATGGCAGCATTCTCTAAGCTTGCTCAGGCAACCCACAAGTCTGACCCAGAGGTCCCTGTCCTACTAGAGGTGTCTTCTGTTCAAAAGCCTCTTTATCTGAACGAGGACCCAGTGCCCCACCTGTGTAAGCAGCTCTGCCCAGCTCATCTCCCGTGCCCCCATGCTTTACCTTTTCAGATGGAACTTGAGATACTTGAGAATCCCTCGACTCGGCAGGAAGGTGCAGCTCAGGCATGTCAGGATCTGCCAGCTGTACAGGTTGCCCACACTGCCGGGGTGGGGCACTTTGTTGGTCTGTTTGATAAGCTGGCAGTACAGCTCGTCCCGCAGAGGTCGCAGGTCATGCCCTGTCTGTAGGATGCCCTGGATTATTGGAATTGGGTCAGACATGGACTCCAGTTGCTGCAGGGAATTGAATATCTTGATGGCCTCATCCTGAAGGGTGGTATAGCCTTTGTCTTTGAGCACTAGGACAAGCAAAACAAACACGGAACTCATCTGAGGGGTTCAGAATAGGGCATGAGCATAATCGGAGCAGTAGTCAAGACAAAGGAATAAATGAGGAGGACGGATGCAATGCCCACCACACTCCCTATACATCTCAATCAGTTGAACACAGATCTAAAAGCACAGAGGTGGGTAAGTTGACACTGTTTTGTTATCTAATTGAACTTCTTACCACATAAAATGCTTACTTAAAAGGTAATCTGTTGCTGAACAAAATCCTTTTTTGGAATGCAAAATTACTTAGGATCTGGTTGTCTGGCTACTCGGCCAGGTGCAATGGCTCACACCTGTAATCTCAGCACTTTGGGAGGCCGAGGCAGGTGGGTCACTTCAGGCCAGGAGTTCAAGACCAGCCTGGGCAATATGGCGAAACCCTGTCTCTATTAAAAATTCAAAAATTAGCTGGATGTGGTGGCGGGTGCTTGTAATCCCGGCTACTTAGGAGGCTGAGGCATGAGAACGACCTTAACCTGGGAGGCAGATGTTGCAGTGAACCAAGATTGCACCACTGCACCCCAGCCTGAGTGACAGAGTAAGACTCTGTCTCAAAAAACAAAAACAAAACAAAAGGCTACTCTCAGTTCATGGGGAGAGCTGGCATTTTCTGACTCCTTTAAATCTCTTCTTTTACTACAGCAATCAATCTTAGCATTACTACAACCACACTCTAGAAGTCTTGCTTTAATAATGAATCTAAGTATATTTCATCTTTTCCTTCCAATTCACGACGAATAAGAGAGTCTTTGAGATAAAAACAAATGCTTCTGTGTTAAGCTAAAGAGTTAGCAGGGCAAGTGGAATCATGGTCTCTGAGGAGTCGGGGTGGAGCTCTGGACTTACAGTTGAGATTTATGTCCCCATACGGAAGGGGCAGGAGCGGGGAGTGCAAGGGGTGATGGGTGTATCGAAGGATCGGGTTCCGCTTGTAAATCTGTTCCACCACATCCGAGTTCAGGCAGTTCTCCTAAAAATAAAGCAAGCAAGCTTATTGTAAGAAACCTGTATTTTCCTACATATAAATATTTTTCAAGACTCTCAAATATCCATAAACCTAGTGGGGCAAAGATGGTGGAAATCCAGTGTTAGGTGGTTTCATGGACGAAGATACCCATAATCTGTGTTTGAAGACAAATCACAAAAATACATTCTTACAGCTCATTTCTTATTTTCTCGTGCGTGTACTTCCCCATGTGATTTTAAATTTTCTCCCCTGGAGATTACATACATTTAAAAAATTTCATCTCAGCAGAGCACGGTGGCTCACACCTGTAATCCCCGCATTTTGGGAGGCTGACGCAGGTGGATCGTGAGGTCAGCAGTTCGAGACCAGCCTGACCAACATGGTGAAACCCTGTCTCCACTAAAAATATGAAAATTAGCCGGGTGTGGTGGCTGAGTAGCTGTAATCTCAGCTACTCATGAGGCTGAGGCAGGATAATTGCTTGAACCCGGGAGGCGGAGGTTGCAGTGAGCCAAGATCATGCCACGGCACTCCAGCCTGGCTGACAGAGCGAGACTCCGTCTCAAAAAAAAATTTAGGCTGGGCACAGTGGCTCATGCCTGTGCATTTTGAGAGCCAAAGGCAGGAGGATCACTTGGGCCCAGGAGTTTGAGACCAGCCTGGGCAACATAGTGAGGCCCTGTCTCTATAAAAAATAAGAGAGCAAAATAAAAAAAATTAATCTGATCTTCTGTTATTGATTTAGCCATCAGTAGCTAAATCATGTTATTTTTATCTATAGTTCATTTCATAAACACATTTTGCTAGTTCTTGAATTGCTGTTTTCTATTCTCTCTATACCTGAAAACTACACACATTAATATATTCTTGGGGAGACTGTCCTTCCACGTGCCACCCTTGAAACCTAAGAAAGTCTTTCACGGAATTTCTTCATCATGTACCTATGCTCCTAAAATGGTCATCTGGATATGAAAAAAACAAAGTTACTTTTAGAACCTTAAATAAACAGAAAAGTTGGAGGAGAGGTAATGAATCATTCTATCGTGGTAATTTCATTTCCACTATAAAACTTTTTCAGTAATATCCAATTGAAGGCCATAAAAATTTTTTAATTACTTAAATAATTTATATGGACTGATTTAGGGTAAGTTGACTCATTTCTTAAGAAGCATGGCTTTGTATTTGAAAAATTATATTTACTCTTTTAATGTCTAAATTCAAATTGATTCAAACAATTTTATGGACTTATTTAGGGTAACTTGACCTTTTTTTTTTTTTTTTTGAGACGGAGTCTTGCTCTTTCGCCCAGGCCGGAGTGCAGTGGCGCTATCTTGGCTCAGTGCAAGCTCCGCCTCCCGGGTTCACACCATTCTCCTGCCTCAGCCTCCCGAGTAGCTGGGACTACAGGCGCCTGCCACCACACCCAGCTAATTTTTTGCATTTTTAGTAGAGATGGGGTTTCACCGTGTTAGCCAGGATGGTCTCAATCTCCTGATTTCGTGACCCGCCTGCCTTGGCCTCCCAAAGTGCTGGGATTACAGGCGTGAGCCATCGCACCCGGCCAACTTATTTCTTAAGAAGCATGGCTTCATATTTGAAAAATCATATTTACTCTTTTTTTTTTTGCAGACAGAGTTTCGCTCTGGTTGCCCAGGCTGGAGTGCAATGGCGTGATCTCGGCTCACTGCAACCTCTGCATCCTGGGTTCAAGCGAGTCTTCTGCCTCAGCCTCCCAAGTAGCTGGGACTACAGGCACCTGCCACCATGCCCAGCTAACTTTTGTATTTTCACAAGAGACAGGGTTTCATCATGTTGGCCAGGCTGGTCTCAAACTCCTGACCTCAGGTGATCCACCCACCTCAGCCTCCCAAAGTGCTCAGATTACAGGCATGAGCCACCATGCCCAGCTGAAAAATCCTATGTACTCTTTTAATGTCTGAATTCAAACTGAAGAATACAAAAACAGGTAAGTTCCAGCACCGAAGACTGAGTGTGGCTGATACATGATAGTTTTACTCCTTTCAGAAGAAATCTTCAAAAAATAAATTTTTTAAGGCTAAAAATGAAATTATGTGTAGCCAGTGCCCTGGGTTGCATGGAAAACAACCTGAATCTGGTTCCAACTGGGCTGGGTGTGGTGGCTCAAGGCCAGTCCCAGTGGCTCATGCCTGTTATCTCAGCACTCTGGGAGGCTGAGGTAGGCAGATCACCTGAGGTCAGGAGTTGGAGTCTAGCCTGGCCAACATGGTGAAACCCCATCTCTACTAAAAATACAAAAATTAGCTGGGCGTGGTGGTGGGTGCTTGTAATCTCAGCTACTCAGGAGGCTGAGGCAGGAGAATTGCTTGAACCCGGGAGGCGGAGGTTGCAGTGAGCTGAGATCGCACTACCGCACTCCAGCCTGGGTGACAAGCAAGACTCCGTCCTCCGTCTCAAAACAAACAAAAAACAACTGGCTTGCCAGAATCTGGTTCTAAACACCTAAACACCCAGAGAACATACCACTTTGGAATCAGGAGGCCAATTTGATTTTGATGGAAAATTATCCACCACTGATGGATTAGATCCTCTCCCACCTCCACAAAAACTGAGTTCCCTCTTGGATCTGGTTAGCTAATTTCCTTTGCCGTCCATCAGTAAAATACCTGCCTCACCATCATTCTAGCACCTTCTCTGTCACAGCCCCAGCTCTGTCCCTTGCCCTGGGAATCTGCCTGCAGGACTGCTTGGAGGGCCAGCAGTCTCCCTTGACTTGGTTCTGCACCCGGGACTGACCGGCTACGTGGGCAGTGCAACCAGAACATCCCCCGTCACCGTTCCATTTCCGGAAAGTGAGGGTAAGAATCCCCGCTCAGGGCTGCCATGCAACCATTCATTCCTTCATCTCACATAGATTTACTGAGCGACTACACGTACTTATAAACAGCAATTTGTAATGTAACATGCTCGGTGTTAATAGAGAGACTCAGGAGCTTCTGGAAGTTTGCACGTGCCTGAGAGGGATGCCAAGTGTTCTTCTAGACCACCCTGGGCTCCTTGGGAATTCACTCGTGTGGTCTGGAAACTGTACAGTGACAGTGGAACTAGCCGGTTACTCCTAGAAGGTCTCCAACTGAGGCTGAGGGAGAACCTGACGCAAAGCAGGTGGTCCCCCACGCAGGTCACCACATCCCCATGAGCAGGGAGCCCCACAGTGCAAGCTGCAGACCTCATCCTTCTGCCCACAGAACCCAACAGGTGGGATCGGGTGACTCAGCGAAAATGTCTAACACTTCCCTAGAGACAAAACATTTTTGGTCTAAAGTTTCTCATTTAGATTCCCGAAAGCAGGGTACTCAAACACAAATTTAACCAAGCGCTAGTTTTTTGGGTGTTTTTTTTTTTTTTTTTTGAGACGAAGTCTCACTCTGTCACCTAGGCTGGGGTGCAGTGGAATGATCTCTGCTCACTGCAACCTCTGCCTCGGAGGTTCAAGCAAGTCTTCTGCCTCAGCCTCCTGTGTAGCTGGGATTACAGGAATGCGTCACTACACCCGGCTAATTTTTGTATTTTTAGTAGAGATACGGTTTCATCATGTTGGCCAGGTTGGTCTTGAACTCCTGACCTCAAGTGATCCACCTGCCTCAGCCTTCCAAAGTGCTGGAATTACAGGCGTGAGCCACCGTGCCGGCCAACCAAGCACTAGTTTTGATTACAGAAAAAAAACTGAGCTTCACTAATGCTGAGGTCTTGGTGCTCTAAGGGTAGAATCTCTGAGCTGTAATCACCCACCTTGATGGGCTTGTCTTGGCTTACCTTGATATCTTGAATCAGCTGCTGGGTGGGGGTGTCGATCGGGGCCTTGGTGTCAGTCACGTTTTGAATGGCACTGGACCACCGGGTGGCCTCGTTGAGCAGCTTGGTGTAGAGCCGGTAACAGTGCTTGCGCCCGTACACGGTGACGTTCCAGTAGCCTGCAATGGCAGGGGTGCCCAGCACACGCACGTCAACGCCAACCTCGGGGACTGAGGCAATGCCTGTGTCCTCTCTGACCTCAGTCCCTTTAATTATTCAATTCAATAGACACTGGCTTAATTCCTACATGTGTCCTGTCCTGCCCTGCACTAGGTATCTAGTGATGAAGAAAAAAAGTGTCTCTTGCACTGTGACATTTACAGCTGAGATGGGGAGATGAGTATTAGAACAATAAACCCATCATTAAATATATAAAGATAAATGATAACTGGCTCTGGAAGGGAAAAGGGTAAGTTAATGTCTCTTTTTGGGCTCTGGAACAGGAGTGAAAACTCTCTCTGATTTCTGACTTTCCTTCTTACTTCCTATTTCTTCCTTTCCTTTCTTTAGCCTCTCCCTTCAGAAGACAGCACTTGGCCTGGCAGTGTGTGAGTTCAGAGGCAAGCTGTCCGAACCGTCACCCAAACCTGACGCGAATGGAACAACTGTGTTACACAGAAGCACAAGATCACAACCAGCAACAAAAATCAAAATAAGCCATCTTCTGGAAACACTTTCATAATACTACAAAAATTACAAGAAACCCTCTAAGTTACCTGTGTACTTTCTATGCTACTAGGCTAAGTTCATGGACAGTCAGGATTTATCTTTTACAGGTTGCATAGGACGCTCATCGTACAATGATGGAAAACAGCCTGGCCCACATGGCAAAACCTGGTCTCCACCAAAAAGTATAAAAATTAGCCCGGTGTGATGGTGCGTGCCTGTAGTCCTAGCTACTCCTCGGGAGGCTGAGGTGGGAGGATTGCTTGAGCCCTGGAAGGCTGTAGTGAACCAAGATTGCACCATTGCACTCCGGCCTGGGCAACAGTGTGAGACCCTGTCTCAAAAATGAGAAGAATGAAAATTAAAAGGATGAAAACAGTATATGAAAACCAAGCTTCCCGTACGATGCCCTGCATCTGTTGACATTTTCTTGTCCTTGCGAGAATCTTCCTACCACTCCATGAATCGACCTCTAGTACGGCTTAAACACTAAGTGGTCACATAGCTAACCCCAGACAGGCTTAGAAGATAAACCAAGAGGACAACTTCTTTGGGGGGAAATAAAGTACACACTAGGAAGGAATCTTATTCCTTTGCCCGGAGCAAGCCCAGACTTTAAGATTTGATGCTCAGGGTTCGGGCAGCCAGCCTGGTTACCTGTCTCTTTGAATATCTTCTCATCTGGGGGGACGACAGAGCAGAGGCTGTTGAGGACCAGGGTCCCCAGTTTGAGCGCGTTCTTCTCTGAACTCTTGTAGTAATCCAGGGAATTGTGGGTGAGTACAAACCACCGTTTCTTCAGTTTCAGTGAAGACATCTTTGGACTGTTCTTCACCTCTTTGTGCAACCATCCTGGAAAAAAAGATTAAAGTGTAAATTAAAATCTGTGAGGAGAAACCCCAAAGACCACACAATCATCTGCATAATGCTAACACATGGGTGGGGTTTCTAGCTGTTTGCCAGAAAAAGACCACGAACACCCCAACCCGATGTAAATGGAACGACTACATGAAAGAAAAGCCCAAAATCACAACTAGCAACAAAAAACATGACCCTCTAGAAACACTTTATAATATCACAAATTAAAAATCACTTACAAAATCTCCAACAGTTAAAATGACTGGGAAAAGCAGCTCGAAATGAAAATGCTGCAGATGTCTATATGCAAATGGAAAGGGGAGTCTGTTAAGCAGACCGAGGAAGCAGGGCAGGCAGTCACCTCTCACGATGAATTCCTGGCCCTCCACTCTGGTGTCCCCTTTGGACCTCTGCAGCAGGGTTATCCAGTGGTGCATCTCCTCCGGCGTGTCGGCGTTGCAGTGCAGCACCCGGTTGGCCGTGATGATCACAAACGAGTTGGGTCTGAGCCACAAGATGAGAAGGAAACAAAGCCCCTTAGCCCTACCGTCAGCATCACCTCTGTGTGAACCGAGACTCAGTGCCTTCTTCCTGGCTTCTGGGTCACGGGATATACACTGCTAGGCTATCTGTGCTTTTATTAAGGCAAACGTTGCTCATTTCTGCAGAATTTCTTTTACGCATCATTAACCTTTAAACTTGGAGCAACACATTCATTCTGAAGGTCCTGGAAGGGAAAACATTTCTTCATGCAAAACTTTCCAGATGAAACTCAGTTCCGGGAAGGCTAAACAAGGTGACCATGAGGGAAAATTTTTTTTTGATGCCTCTCCAAAGTCAATTTCTTCCTGCCTTGGGTAATATTTCTGTGGGTTGGTAATGAAATGTCAGACACCAGCAATAAAAGAGGATCAGTAAATAGGTGTAGGTGGAGCATCTTAAATGCTTGATTACGCTTTATACAAAAAGCCACCTGGGTCCGGGTTTCCAAAGTGATCTAACAAGGGTGCATTTCCTAGTCACGGATAACGTGATAATGGAAATTTACTTTCTCCCTCACCTCTTTTTGTCTGGAAATGCCCTGAACCTCTCTCATAGGCCCTTGCTAATATAAATACTAACTCCTCTATCTAACGGCTTAAGCTAGAGAATGTGAACTCTTTCTTGCAAGTCTTCAAATGTTCACTGTAGTTAGGTGACACAAAAATTTAAGAAAAAGAGTAACTGGACTGCAGGACACAGGAAAAGCTATGCAAACAGGCTAAACTTGAGGTGCCCCTTAAAAATAAAAAATAAAAAAAGCCTTTTTCTATAGTTGGCAAGGGAGAAAAGTGGCCAGTTGAGGAAGAGAGAAAACCCTGAATGAGGATGCAAAATTCTAAGGATGGATCATCACATGCCCAGCCTGGAGGAGTGAAGGGCTTGGGAGAGTAAAGATGTGGAGAAGGTAAGGTAGAAACTCACATACCAGAATAAGAAGCACCAGGGCTTTGATTACGGATATGACACATACGTGTTAAAGATTCCTGAGCCAGTTATAAGGGGTGCAAGCTGACTACTAAAAACAAAGGACCCATGGTTCAGAAGGGCTCTTGTCAACGGGAGGGTGACTGACAGAGACCCCAGCACTCTAACTCTGCCAAGGAGGCACTATATTTTGTTGTCAATTTTAACACACTCGTATTCACTTTCCAGCATCTTACTGAGGGCAGAAGACAATTTTGATTCTTTCTCTGGTCCGTCCTAGAGAAACTTTTCTTAAATTCTGCTGCAGGCCAGAAGTAGAACTTACAAGATAATACAGAAAAACAGAGACAATAAAGATGAAGTTCACTGGGCACAAAGACGCGTAAGATCATCTCCAAAGATGATTTGCCTTCAAAAATCAAAACCAAAAAGGGTGCCAAGAAAGAAGAAATGTCAAGGAAAATCAATGTTTGTGGTTTATTAATACTCTACATATACATTATCATCAAAATCCTTTTCAAGTTTATCGTTAAGTTCAGAAAGGAGAATGACTCCCTTCCCCTTTGCTGGAATATCATTTTCCTAAACAGGCATTTTCTTCCTGTATAAATCCCAAGTTTGTCCCTGTATACACATTAAAAATATTCCTCATGCTTTTTAAAATTGTCCAGGTTCCCACGGTTTTCCCCAGGACTCCAAAGATACCCAGAGAAGGAGACTTCCAGGTGATGTAAAATTGGGTACCAAGAAGGAAGACTGGATTGCTGGGGTTGACAAGGTGGGAACACACAGCCTTGCGTGATTTCACAGCCCTGTGAAGAGGGTCGTGACCCAGCAGCACAGACACCTGTGGACACACACAGGTGATGAGCTGTTTTTGTTAAGAGCCACATCTGAGCTTACCTATCAGGGCTGTCAGAGGCACACACAGAATCAATCAGCCCCACATCCAAGGTGCCCTGGAAAAGAACAAAAAGTAAACAGAATGAGAGAAGCACTAAAGTAGGGTGCACACTACAGTAATACCTCTAGCCCACAACTCCCAATCAGACAGAAAAGGCTCTTTTCTTTTTAACTTCAAAATAATAGTTATCTATGAGACGACTCCTCTGTTGTGTGAGTACAAATAGCCTCTACACGGAGCAGAATCTATAGGCCATTTATTTTTTAAAATTACAAGTTAATCATTACCTCTTAACCTTTCAATAATTTATTTCTTTGTTTTTAAAAATATTTTAACTAAGTTTTCTACAAGTACCTCTATTTTAATTTAATTTGTTTGTTTTTGAAACAGAGTTTCACTCTGTTGCCCAGGCTGCGCAATGGTGTGATCTCAGCTCAACGCAACCTCTGCCTTCCAGGTTCAAGTGATTCTCGTGCCTCAGCCTCCTAAGTAGCTAGGACTACAGGTGTGGGCCACCACACCTGGATAATTTTGTGTTTTAGTAGAGATGGGGTCTCGCCATGTTGGCCAGGCTGGTCTCAAATTCCTGGCGGCCTCAAGTGATCCATCCGCCTTGGCCTCCCAAAGTATTGGGATTACAGGTCTGAGCTTCCGCACCTGGCCCCTCTTATTCTTAAAATATGTTCAGTGAACAGTGTTTATGACCTTCTTTCAATAGTACAAATTTCCTGATTATATTGTGTCCTTTAATTAAATCTTACACTTCTTCTCCTAAGAAACTTTATTTCAAGATTTTCTGATGAGGAAATAAAACTTGGTTTCCAAAGCAGGGTTTTGTAACTTTGTGTCTGGGATAGAGGGAAGACAAAGAATACAATTTGGATTTCGGCCCAGCACAGTGGTTCACGCCTGTATCACCACTTTGGGAGGCTGAGGCATGTGGATTGCCTGAGCTCAGGAGTTCCAGACCAGACTGGGCAACATAGTGAAACCCTGTTTCTACTAAAATACAAAAAATTAGCCGGGTGTGGCGGCAAGCGCCTGTAGTCCCAGCTACTTGGGAGGCTGAGGCAGGAGAATTGCTTGAACCTGGAGGCGGAGGTTGCAGTGAACTGAGATCTCGCCACTGCACTTCAGCCTGGGTGACAGAGTGAGACTCCATCTCAAAAAAAAAAAATAAGAATACAATTTAGATTTCACCAAGTCCTCTGAAGAGTAAGTGTGATGTGTACTTCCGTGACTTCATAAAAAGTAGGATTATTTCTTTTGTTCTTTTAAAGGTTTGAGGTGAGAGAACTGGAATGTATTACTACTTACAACCTTCTGTAATTTATTCGTTTTTGTTGTTTGTTTTTTTAGGAGACAGGGTCAGGCTGCTGGAGTTCAGTGGCGCAATCATAGCTCACTGTAGCCTCGAATTCTCAGGCTCAAGCAATCCTCCTGCCTCAGCCTGCCAAGTAGCTGGGACTACAGGCCCATAATACCATGCCTGGATAATTTTTAATTTTTTTCATAGAGGCAGTGTCTTGCTATGTTTCTCAGGTTGGTCTTGAACTCCTGGCCTCAAATGATCCTCCCACCTCAGCCTCCCAAAGTGCTGGGACTACAGGCATGAGCCACAGTGTCCAACTTAATTTACTGTATTTATTATTGTATTATATTGTACCACTTATTATATTTATTATTGTATTGATTCTAAACTCAAATGGTCCTGTTTTTCTCCTTAATTATTCTATATTTACCTTTTAAAAAAAGACTGTCTGGAAATTCCCAATCTTTCCCTTTTTTACCATCCTGACGCCCTCCCCGTCCCTGCCCCTAGACGCCCCACCCCCATCCCACACAGTGCTCCCGTACCACAGCATTCTGTGGGTTTGCCTGCTCATCATGCATCTCCTGGATCTCCTGGTCCGTGGACGCGTGGACCTGACTCAGCACGCTGAACCACTGGCTGTGGGGAAGAGAGAGCAACTGTCAAGGAGAGGCCAACCTCGTACTGGCAAAGCAATAGTGCCCTACTGCACGTGCTCTGTGAAAATGACATCTCTAAGCACCTTTGCTTTTAATTTGATTACTTCTTAGGGGTAAATGTCAGTTTCATTACCAAAGAATAAAGTGAGAAGAAGCAGATAAAGTACGTGTAAATGCCTTTTAGTGCTATATTATGTTCTAACTTTAGGTCAATGGACGGCCTTTTCTCCAGGTCCCATAGACCTTTACAGACATTTGACGATGATGAATGAGTTCCTTGAGAAATTAACAGCAAATAATAAATCCTCAGTTCTACCCAAAATACTTATATCAAGGATCCTTACTTAAGATATTACTTATAAACTAGGGAACATTCAGGTGCTTTTTCTGTTTTAAAACATAAATTTTAAGGTGAGAAGATCAATATAGGTTGAGCATCCATAATCCAAAACAAATCTGAAATCTGAAATGCTTCAAAATTCAAAACTTTTTGAGCACCGACATGATGCTCAAAGGAAATGCTCACTGGAACATTTCAAATTTTCAGATTAGGGATGCTTAACCGGTAAGTCTAATGCAAATATTCCAAACTCCAAAATCTGCACCACTTCCAGTCCCAAGCATTTTGGGTAAGGGATACTCAACATGTAATGGAGAGTATCATATTGGAATGGCCACTAGATGTCTATTTTTTTTTTTTATGAGATGGAATGTGTCTTCTTGCCCAAGCTGGAGTACAATGGCACAATCTCGGCTCACTGCAACCTCCGCCTCCCGGGTTCAAGTGATTCTCCTGCCTCAGCCTCTCGAGTAGCTGGGACACACCACCATGCCCGGCTAATTTTTGGTATTTTCAGTAGAGATGGGGTTTCACTATGTTGGCCAGGCTGGTCTTGAACTCCTGACCTCAGGTGATTCACCTACCTCGGCCTCCCAAAGTGCTGGGATTACAGGCATGAGCCATTGTGCCTGGCCTAGATGTCTATTTTTGTTATGTATTCCCAGGATGGGGTTTTCAACCATCTAACAGCATTTCTACTCAAGTCAATAAAACCACAGGAGAGTTGGAAATGAAAAATAACTGTTTTAAAGTAGAAAACTATTTTGACCAGAGAACTCTTCCATCTTTATTTCAAATGAGTACTCTCACATCCAACCTCATCACAATCAGAAAATAAAGGAAAACGTGTCTGGGCATGGTGGCTCACACCTGTGATTCCAGCACTTTGGGAGGCCAAGGTGGGAGGATGGCTTGAGCCCAGGAATTTGAGACCAGCCTGGGAAATTTACTGAGGCCCAGTCTCTACGAAAAATAAAAAATTAGCTGGGTGTAGTGGTACATGCTTATAGTCCCAGCTACTCGGGAGGCTGAGGCAGGAGGATCACCTGAGCCCAGAAGGCCAAGGCTGCAATGAGCCACGATTATTCCACTGCACTCCAGCCTGGGTGACAGAGCAAAACTCTGCCTCACAAAAAAAACAAATACAAAACGAAACAAAACATGTCAACTTAAGAAAAATCAAGCAGAACAAAGCATCAGGAAAATGACTATGAACAGACATGCATCCATCTAGCATTTACTGACCAACTACAAAATGTGAGCGCTATCAAATATGAAAGAGACGCTAGGGTATCCTTCTCCTGCTGGGGGCTTATAAGACACAAAATATATATATACTCCTACTGTTTAAGGCAGAGGGGAAGTACTTGGTATCCAATGGCATGTTTAAGTTAAAAAAATGACACCATATGTAAAGGTAGGCTGTGCAAACGATTTACAGCAAAGCACTAAAATCTATCTCGCGTGCTTCCTAAGGGAGAAAAATGTGACTACAAGCTTGAAAATATTCAACATATACAAGAGATATGCATATCTCTTGTATACAACAAGGAAAACACTTTAATATAAATTTGCACTATCCATTCTGGTTAACCAAACAGCAAGACTTCATTGCTTTGCTCATCTCAAAAATATCCCAAATTAAACATTGAAAAAGACATACATTCAAGTTGTAGGAATCACATACACAAAGGCATCAAATTTGTTGCACTTTCAATTCTGTCTAGATTAGACTCTTAAATTTATAAATTTCTTCTCTTGAATCAAGTATAACTTGGAATCTGAAAAGGAATTTTTTTAAAATAGTGTTCCACTGGTCAGGAGAAAAAGTCCTTGGCTAAAATATTCCAAAGGTTAAATTTAGCAGGTTCATCGTGGCATAAAACAGACAGGGCAGCTGCCAAACGCTGGGCCTATAATTCAGCTGAAAAGCTGCAGGCATTCCCTGGGCCACAAACAACCACATGTGGTCTCCAGGAGTCCCAGACAGAATGATGGGCTATAATTCCAGGTTTGCTTGTTTTTCCAGTTTGTGTTAGAATTTATGGGTCTAAGCAGGTGTTTTAGTTTGTTCCCATGGGAAGAATTATTTTCTGGTGTCTTTACCCTTAATGTTGCTATCATGGTACTGTATCAACTCAGAAAGATTCAAAGGGCAAGGGGTAGTGAGGGGTCCTGAGAACATACTAGAAGGTCCTAATGATCTTGGGGCTGAGAATTGAAGAATTCGGCTATTGGATGTTACCCTCGTAAATTAAAAGACGTTCTCAGCCAGGAAGAGGCTCACGCCTGTAATCCCAGCACTTTGGGAGGCTGAGATGGGCAGATCATCTGAGATCGGGAGTTCGAGACCAGCCTGACCAACATGGAGAAACCCCATCTCTATAAAAAATACAACATTTGCCAGGCGTGGTGGTGCATGCCTGTAATCCCAGCCACTTGGGAGGCTGAGGCAGGAGAATTGCTTGAACCTGGAAGGTGGAGGCTGCGGTGAGCCAAGATTGCACCAGTGCACTCCAGCCTGGGCAACAAGAGAGAAACTCTGTCTCAAAAAAAAAGAAAAAAAAAAAAAAGATGTTCTCTGGCATTGCTCAGACACCTCCAGCATAACCCTGCAGACTCACAAACTCACAAGCTGCAGGAATAGACAGGACAGACGTTCCACGGTGTCAGATCCACAAGGTGACCCTGTGATCCATCACACTGAAGAGCAAATGCTAAGTCTCCTTAATTTTGTGCTATGTCTCCTCAGCACTCCAGCATGGAAACCTGAAGTCCAGGAAGCTACAGACAACTTGCCCCAGCCAATGAAGGCCTCCACCCTCTTCTAATCTCAGTCAAAAGTTAAAGCTCCTTAGGAGCAAATGTTTTTAAGAAGTTCAATGTCTCCATTCAACAGAATTGAGGTTGCACTGCATTACAAATGATACTAACCGTTCTCTGTACCCTAGTCTCTTATTCTGCAAAGTATGGATGATGGTAATAATTAATGTCTACCTTGCAGGATCCAAGAGAATCAAAAGAGTTAATATTTATGAAGCATTTAGAATACTTCCTGAAATACTTAGGTATGAAACATTTAGAATATTAGCCTGAAATATAATTGTGATTACTTTTGCACCAAGCTAATAGTAAGTTCTGTGTAAGTTAGTACCTCTTCCGTTGAATTCTTCAATATTAAGATCTTTAAAACCCCCCAGTGCCATAGCACTATCAGTTACTTAAACAGCCATTAGTTACTGCTCCCTGCCCTTTTTCGTCCTTATGCAAACACAAATGATTCACTTTCAAAGCTCAGAAGCTTCCAGAGGGTAGATTTTCAGCTTCATGCAGCTGTATAATTTACACACGCTACCGGTGACAGTAACAGCCTGAGAGACAGGTGACAATGGATCTGTCTAGTGGCACTGGAGGCTGGAAATCCTGAACTCTGTGCTGTACTTGAACACATTTGCCCAGGGAAAGATTCCCCAAGGGACAAGTGCATCAATCTCGTATGACTCTTGGTTCTTCAAAAAAAGTCAATTAAAATTTTTCAAGGCCAGTACAGTAAACAGTGCTCTGTGTGATGCTCACACCTGTGCATGAGGGAGCAGGATGTGGGTAACACAAAGTCAACAGCGCAGACTCACCTGGCATCTTCTGGGGACTCTGCAATCAGGTGGAAAGTCCTATCGGCCATAATGATGTCGATCCCATTCTCCTTGGTGGTGTTATCTATGATCTCTCTGCAAAGAAGCAAAAGCAACAAACGCACATCAGGAACACCAAATTCTGAATAACTGAGGAAAGCAACTAATGAAGCCAATGACTAGAGTTGGGAACTGTCTGTTACTGACGAAACGGTACACAGTTGGCTCTCCATATCTGCGAGTTCAGGATTTGTGGGTTCTGCACCTGTGGATTCAACCAGCAGCAGATCAAAAATAAAAATCCAATTTAAAAAATAATAATACTACAAATTAAAAAACAATACAGTGTAACTACTATTTACAATGCATTTGCAACATACTAGCTATTGTAAGTAATCTAGAGACGATTTGAAGCATGTGGGAGAATATGCATAGGTTACATGCAATGACTACATCCTTTTATAGCAGGAACTCGAGCATCTGGGGATTTTGATGGCTGCAGTGGGGTGGGGAGTGGGGTGGTGGTTCTGGAACCCGTCACCAAAAGACATGGAGGGACCTACAATGGTTTTTCTTTTAGCAATGATGAAGACACCCTCTAGGGGGAGCCAGTCTCATCTCTGCTGCCCAGGGAGGAGGCTGCTGGTGTGGCCAGGGATAGCAGGGTTCCCCTGACTTCTCTAGGGGAGAGGCTCTCTCCCCTCACACTGGTCTGCCCAATGCCCACCCCTGCTCAGGACCCAGACAGGCCAGGGGCAGCAGCCCCCACTCCTGCCTGCAACTTCCTTTGGACCCTTTCTCAAATCTACAAAAGCCAACCTCGGCCCGGCGTGAGCTCTTTCCCTAATTCATCACAGCTCTCTCCCAGCTTAAGGCCAGGGCATCTGCGTCTGAATTCTGCTTGAGATGTGCACATTATTTCCATCAGGGGTGCTGGGAGTGAGGCGCAGGATTTGGGGTGTTTGGTCTCAATACCATCTTGATCTCATCTGCAACCCTCCCTAAACAACACTAGAGAAATAAAATTGGTGAACCAGGTTAACAAAATCAGGGTAAAACAGCAGCAGATGTTAGGATCAGACCAGAGATAGTAATACGTTTGATGAAGAAGGGTTTGGGGCATAAAGCCAGCTTGCTCTGATAACTAAAGAAGTGCAAATGTTCGGCCGGGCGTGGTGGCTCACGCCTGTAATCCCAGCACTTTGGGAGGCTGAGGCGGGCGGATCATGAGGTCAGGAGATCGAGACCATCCTGGCTAACACGGTGAAACCCCATCTCTACTAAAAATACAAAAAAATTAGCTGGGTGAGGTGGCAGGTACCTGTACTTCCAGCTACTCGGGAGGATGAAGCAGGAGAATGGCGTGAACCCAGGAGGTGGAGCTTGCAGTGAGCTGAGATCGCGCCACTGCACTCCAACCTGGGCGAAAGAGTGAGACTCCGTCTCAAAAAAAAAAAAAAAAGTACAAATGTTCACAATAAAACATGTATTTTACAGCAACAAAACTAAAATAGTCTGGTTAGAAAATAAGTATTATCTGACCTCATAGCTAGAATCACTGAGATGAAATATTTAAAAAAAAATCAAGATCAGGGCCGGGCGTGGCGGCTCATGCCTATAATCCCAGCACTTTGGGAGGATGAGGCAGGCGGATCACTTCAGGTCAGGAGTTTGAGACCAGCCTGGCCAACATGGTGAAATCCCGTCTCTACTAAAAATACAAAAATTAGCCAAGCTTGGTAGTGCACACCTGTAGTCCCAGCTACTCGGGAGGCTGAGGCAGGAGAATCACTTGAACCCTGGAGGCAGAGGTTGCAGTGAGCCGACATGGTGCCACTGCACTCCAGCCTCAGTGACAGAGCGAGACTCTGTATCAAAAAAAAAAAAAAAAATCAAGATCAGAACTACTGCTGACATCACAAGAGGACAACCAGCTACTCTAAGCCTTCTTAACAGAAATCAATACCAACACAAGTGAAGCACTCTTAAACAGAAAGAAAACCTGAACTCGATCACTCTCTAGGTCTAATGACCAATTCACAAGAAACAAATGAGAAAGAGAAACACGTTCAAACACATGCCCATATAGGGTTGGTGAAATCTAGAAACCATGGGATAAGCGAGCTAACATGTTCCATTACAAACAGCAAGTGAAAGAAAGGCAGAGGGGCATCTATACATTAAAAGAGACTTGAGTGATCTAAAAACCAGTGACAACATCTAGACCTCATTTGGATTCTGACTTGAAGAAAATAACTATAAAACCAACCCAAACCAACAAGAACACTACCACCTCCACTTATAAGGAAACTGCAGGCCAGGCACAGTGGCTCACGCCTGTAATCCCAGCACTTTGGGAGGCTGAGGTGTGCGGATCACCTGAGGTTAGGAGTTTGAGACCAGCCTGGCCAATATGTGAAACCCTGTCTCTACTAAAAATACAAAAATTAGCCAGGCATGGTGGTAGGCACCTGTAATCCCAGCTACTCAGGAGGCTGAGGCAGGAGAATCGCTTGAACCAGGGAGGCAGAGGTTGCAGTGAGCCAAGGTTGTGCCACTACACTCCAGCCTAGGCAACAGAGTGAGACTTGGTCTCAAAAAAATAAAAATAAAAATAAAAAAATAAGGCCACTGCAGAAATCTGAACAATGACTGGGAGTTTGGATAATATTAGGAGCTAACATTATTTTTTTAATGTCATAATGGTATTGTGATTATGTATTAGAATGTTTAAATACCTACTAAATATTTACAGAAGAAATTATATGATAGGGACTTGCTATAAAAGGAGGTGGTTTGCTGGGGGAGCGGACTGGATAGAACTGTGGATGAAACACTCTTGGCCATGGGTGGATAGCCACCGAAAGCTCTGGAATAAGTCCGTGGTTTATTATATTCTTCCACCCACTCTTGCCCATGATTGAAGTTTTCCATAATAACTCACTGTTCCTGTTCTATAGGAGGTGACAGAAATGGCTGAATAAGAGCTAACATTTCCATAACTCAGTATAATTCTGATGAAGCACCTAAGAATAGAGCTTTTATTAAGCAGCATACAAAGTGAGTTGCAAAAGAAACATACATCAATGTACTCTGGTGAAATTCAATACTATGCCTCCCTCTCTCACAGCTTCTTGGTGCTTGTGGCCCCTTCTATGGGATAATTAAAGAGAAACATCATGGCCGTAATCCCAGCACTTGGGAGACCAAGGCAGGCGGATGGCTTTGAACCCACGAGTTTGAGACCAGCCTGGGCAACATGGCGAAACCCCGTCTCTACCAATAATACAAAAAATTAGCCTGGCGTGGTGGCACACACCTATAGTCCCAACAACTCGGGAGGCTGAGGTGGGAGGATCACCTGAGCCCAGGAAGTTGAGGCTGCAGTGAGCCGAGATCGTGTCACTGCACTCCAGCCTGGGCAATGGGAGTGAGACCCTGTCAGTCAATCAATTGATCTATAGACAGATGAGGAACATCACGGTATGTGAGGCTGAGAGAAGATGGCAGAGGCAACAGAGCCATGCCTTGCTGTGAACCCTTGCAGGATTCAGACCCAGGATTCTCACAAGCGCACTCCCGCACCTCATGAACTCCAAAGGGACAGCCTGGAAATGTCCAATATTCTGCCGTCTGCAGAGACATGAGTTTTCCCTTACAATCAAATACATAAAAGACTTTCTTCTCCTCATTTAACTTTCCACTTTACAATGAATACTTTTCTGAAGTTGCGGATGCTGGCTGATTAGAAACATTTTACTTTTAAGGCTCCTGACTTCAGGCATTAATTTGATCCCTCAAAGATTATTTTACTACTTTTCTAAATATTTGAGGTCACTCAGTTTTGAGTGGAGTACGGCTACAGGTTATCCCCAAACATGTTTTCAGGCTTAGTATCTAGTTACCCCAGAAAACCAGCTGCTTGTAACTCCCAACAATTTTCTGGAAACATTACTTAGTCTTTTAACAAAAATAATAGGCCCTCAATAGTCCAAAGCTTTGGTTCTATAAGGGTGTGGCAGAAAAGGGGGCATGTTGGATTTGAAGACCAGCCCTGTTCCTCTCACTGCTGGGAATGGGGATGGCTAGTATAACCAACACTGGTATAACAGAAGAGAAGTGATTTATTTCGGAAAACTCCTCCAGTCTGTCTGCTTTTAATTTAGCTAATTTATCTGCTGGCAACAGCTGGAGTAAGGAATTGAAAGTGATACATTAACCCATAAAAAGACTCAGCCACTTGTTCCAAATTCACACCATTCTTCCTCCACACATTCAATTCCGTTTCCACCAGGCAACTTCCAGATCCAATTGGCTGGCCATCTTCCAAATGACAGCCACATGTCTGAGTGTAATCACAAAAAGCAAAGTACTCATGGATTAAGTCTTGCTTCCCAGTTTCCTAGTAATTTAACCTACTGAACTGAACTATCAGGACACCTGCTACAGGCTACTGCCGCTGCAAGGAACTTGCACAGCATGGCTCTATGACCACCAGCATAAACCATGAGCAACCCATCGGGCCACAGCCAGGCTTAGCAACCTACTTTGCCGTTCGCACTTCTACGGTGCCCTTGAGCTTCTCCTCGCTGTCGTTTTCAAAGTACATCAGCTTGGACTGGCGGAGGACAAACCAGCGCTTCTTCCAATTTCTCCTGGACAGCGTGGAGGAGCCCCCCCCTTTTTTGTGGAGCCAGCCTTGCTTGAGGGCCTCCTGCTTGGAGCGGAACCACAAGAAGGTTTCATCCTTGAGGACGCACCAGCGGCGTTTCCAAGAGTTCATCAGGCCACCTGTTCCCCGTGAGATTGGGTAGAGAGGGGTGAAAGAAAAGTCAGTCAAGTTGGATGACAACAACATGCATAGCAGGTGTTAAGGTCTAGCCGAGCTTAGACTCTGCCCCAGCCGCAGCACCGCAGAGACCCCTCAGTGAGGAGTGGCACTGCTAGCTCATGTCTGGGGGCACCACACAGATGTCACACCAGCCAGGCTGGATTATACAAGAATCCTTCTATCCAAAGGAGTTCCTGCTCACTTAGCTGAGAAAGCTTTGAAAGGAGCCAATAGAAAAGCAAGTAATGAACTGACACTCTAACCCAGGAATGAGTCAAAAGCCAAGGGTGAGAACCATGTCCCTATGTATGGATCAGGCTTATCCCAAAATGCACCAGAGAGGGAAAATTATTTTAACATGGTGTCAAAGTTTACCAGTTTCTTTACCCGTTTTTTGGGCCAGGAGCGGTGGCTCATGCCTGTAATCCCAGCACTTTGGGAGGCCGAGGCGGGTGGATCACTTGAGGTCAGGAGTTCAAGACCAGCCTGGCCAACACGGTAAAACCCTGTCTCTACTAAAAATACAAAAATTAGCCGGGTATGGTGGTGCGTGCCTGTAATCCCAGCTACTTGGGAGGCTGGGGTAGGACAATCGCTTGAATCCGGGAGGAGGAGGTTGCAGTGAGCAGAGATTGTACCACTAGACTCCAGCCTGGGTGACAGAGTGAGACTCCGTCTCAAAAAATAAACAAAGTTTACCCATTTCCTTCCATATTTGGTCAATGTGCGAACAAGAATTATCAGTGATTCCAGGGTTGACTGATAAAGTCTAACTTACACAGGTAAAGACAATATGGCTTTTTGGAGAAAAACATCTTTTCAAAGAAAAGCATCATCTGAAAATGGTTTACAGGTATAAGACTGAGACTATGAAAAAAAAAAAAAGAAAGCAAGAGTACAAACTACACTAAGATTTGAACTTAAATATACAGATGTTATCTTTCATAGGATAAAAAAATCTTGCTATGCTCTTCAGGGAGGATAATTTTGTATTCCAGATTCCCCAACCTGCTCAAGATCAACATCTGACACACATCTGTTATTATAAGACTGTCCACACATTATTTTCTTTTGACCAACCAGTAATGAAAATAAGGGTCATTTAAACATGGGATATTTAAAGTAAGTATAATCCTATCCTTTTATGCGTTCACTGTGTGAAAACCAGACAGTGCACTTGCTTCACTGAACTTTCTAGACTCCTCTCCCTCCTTTTGTCCAAGAGGCCCCTGCTCATCTAGCTGAGACATCTTTGGTAATTGTGCCAAGCTGCAGAGCCGTGTCCTAACATATGGCAAACTTGCCAACGGCTACCAGAATGAAACATTATTAGTGTTTTGATTTGTGACTTTAATCTGGGTTTCTCAAAACAAGCCTGGAGGAAAACTGTGCAAAATTATTCTATTATCTTGTTGTTGTTAAATGATAAAGCTTATTCACAGTTGTTTCAAAGATTAGAAGAGTCATCACGACAGCTCTCACCATTAGTTTATTTAATCTAATTGATTAATTAGATTTATTTATTTATTTATTGATAGCACTCACTCTTGGCCCTCCCTTTGCAATTTCAGGCCCTCTCTTGATAATTCATCATTTAGAGAATCACTTAATGCTATAATTTCCTAATTGCAAACATCTTTAGTAGGTTATTTGGTTGTAAAAATTTATTTATGCCCATAAAATATAAATTGGTGATTAGATTTTCTTTTTCATTCATTCGTTGCTCTGAAACTTTTTGGCTCTGCTTTAATTAAAGTTTTATTAAGTATTAAATGAGGCTGCATTTACACAATAGCTTTAAGAGATGCCGAAAACTCACCCATTTAACTTCTTTGACCCTGATTTTAATACTTTGAATGTGTCTTTACTTTTTTCCTACTCTTACTGGTTTTAATCCAGTAACTGTATAATAAATCAATGCTGCCGGGCGTGGTGTCTCACGCCTGTAATCCCAGCACTTTGGGAGGCTGAGGCGGGTGGATCACAAGGTCAAGAGTTCAAGACCAGCCTGGCCAACATGGTGAAACCCCGTCTCTACTCAAAATACAAAAATTAGTCAGGCGTGGTGGCGCACGCCTGTAATCCCAGCTACTCAGGAGGCTGAGCCAGAAGAATAGCTCAAACTTGGGAGGCGGCAGTTGTGGTGAGCCGAGTTCGCACCACTGCACTCCAGCCTGGGTGACAGAGCGAGACTCTGTCTCAAAAAAAAAAAAAAAAAAATCAATGTCATACATTAAGAGGAATATTGAAGAGAATTTTCAAATTAACTTAGGGAATTAAAAATTGAGGAATGGGAATTATATATTAGTAAAAACAGTTAAGATGATTTCTAACTGAGAAAATCTTAAGATGCTATGATTAAATACTTATTGGATCAAAGGTTCTGATTTGCAATGACATTTTTTCCTTTGTCAGGTGTTCCAGTGCTGGCTACCTCACCCTTGATGTTTTTCATTCCAACAGTCCTACTAAAAGTCTCCCCTAAACCAAACCTTCTAGGGGTTTCATGAGCACTGTGGGGCTCCAAAGCTGAGGATGGCAGAACTCTGAAAGGCAAATGACTGACAGTCGTCACTAGACCCATGTTTTCTAAGAGGAGCAGGTGAAGCAAAAAAGGAATCCAGCAAACAAAGCCACAAGTGAAGAAAACAGAAAAAAAATATTGAAGATAACAAAAGAAAAGACGTGGAAAAAAACGTAAAGAAGCTAACAGAAAAGAGAAGCACAGAAAGAAAGAAGGGAAAATGGAATAAAAGGGTTTTCATGGCTGGGCGCGGTGGCTCACTCCTGTAATCCCAGCACTTTGGGAGGCCAAGGAGGGCAGATCACAAGGTTAGGAGTTCGAGACCAGCCTGGCCGACATGGTGAAACCCTGTCTCTACTAAAAATACAAAAATTAGCTGGGCATTGGCGTGTGCCTGTAATCCCAGCTACTCAGGAGGCTAAGGCAGGAGAATCACTTGAACCCCGGGGGTGGAGGCTGCAGTGAGCCACGACTGTGCCATTGCACTCCAGCCTGGGCAACAGAGCAAGATCCTGTCTCAAAAAAAAAAAAGGTTTTCATGGTGGTGAAGACAAAAAAAAGAAAATGTAAATGTAAATGAAGAAAGACGGCAATAAAAAGGAAAGTGAAGAAAAAGGAAGAAGACAAATTTAAAAATCAAATATGGGAGAAAGCAGGAAGAGGAGACCTGGGGAGGAAGGTTCTCATATCCCTGCCCATCTCCACCTTCTCGACTCTCTCCCCTCTCCAGTCTAGGTCCATGCGAGAAACAGGACGGTCCCTTCTTTTTAACCATCCACGTAAAACTCCTGCCCAAAATTGGTGATGATTATGGTTTCTTATTATCCCTGTCACTGAGTTACGAGTCAGAGTCAAGAACAGGAACAAAGCATAAATATGAGGTCCCAATTAAATAATTAAATAATTTTCTGGCTAGGCATGGTGGCTCATGCCTGCAATTCCTGCACTTTGGGAGGCCAAGGTGGGAGGACTGCTTGAGGCCAAGAGTTGGAGACCAGCCTGGGCAACATAGTGAGATTCCATCTCTATAAAAAATTAGCCTGGCATGATGGTGTGCGCCTGCAGTCCTAGCTCCTATGAAGGCTGCGGCAGGAAGATGGCTTGAACCTGAGTTCAAGGCTGCAGTGAGCCATGACCACACCACTGCCCTCTAGCTTGGGTAACAGAGCAAGACCCTGTCTTAAATAAATACCTAAATAAATAGATAAATAAATAGTAAATAATTTTCCAAAAGGAGTGTGCCTCAAGGCCCCTAAGTGTTAAGGTTCAGCAAAGTATACTCAAATGTTAGTAACAATCAAAGCATACAATGCAAATGCTCATCATGAAGTAGGTATGGTGAGCAGTTCAAGCCAGCAGTGGGCCTCAGTGAGATCTTCACTTTCCCCCATGTCTAGCACATCCTTTTAGGCTCTCTAATATCCCTGGCAGGAGAGAACATGCAGTTTTTTTTTTTTTTTTTTGAGACAGCGTCTGGCTCTGTCGCCCAGGCTGGGGTGCAGTGGCGCGATCTCGGCTCACTGCAAGCTCCGCCTCCTGGGTTCACGCCATTCTCCTGCCTCAGCCTCTCAGGTAGCTGGCACTACAGGAGCCCGCCACCGCTCCCGGCTAATTTTTTGTATTTTTAGTAGAGACGGCGTTTCACTGTGTTAGCCAGGATGGTCTCGATCTCCTGACCTCATGATCCACCCGCCTCGGCCTCCCAAAGTGCTGGGATTACAGGCGTGAGCCACCACGCCCGGCCGAGAACATGCAGTTTATCATGAGAATGGGTCTCGACCAATTCCAGCAGCAGCAGCAACACACACATTGGTTTGTATGTCTGTATATATGAGAGAGAGCAATGAGACTGAGACAGAGAGGGAGACAGTGAAAGAGAAAGTGGGAGAGAGAGGGAGAGAAAATAGAAGGATGAAGAAAGAGCTAAGAAAGGAAAACGAGACAGGGAGAGACAGGGGAGAAGGACTGATACTGGAGGCAGTGGTTGCAAATGCTTCGTCCTGCCACTCTGCACCAAACCAGGGGAGTCACGACTGTGTTCATGCTGGTAGGACCACAGCACCCATGTCACACCAACATGACAAGGTGTCCCTTCATTCATCTAAGTGGCCCAACACTGAGGTAAGGGTAGGTAGAACGACTTTCCCAGTCCCCATCCATCAGCCCAGATACAATAACACCTCCGTTATTTCCCACCGCCATCCATCAGCCCGGATAAAATAACGCCTCGCTCTCCCCCTAACCCAGACTCCATGGCGGCTGCAGTCATACCTTTCATGTACAGAAAGCTGTGGAAATACGGCAGAGTGACACAGCTGTACACAGAGTCACGCCGGTATGAAAGCTCATCATCTGTATCAAACCTGGAATCAAAGTCCTCTTCACTATCTTCAAACTGGACCGAGAGAGAGAAGCCAACGGTGAGGGAAAAGGCCACAAAGCAAGCCACGAAGATACCCAGCATGTATCATCATTGAAAAAATACAAAAATACAGCTACTCAAGAGGCTGAGGCAGCAGAATCACTCGAACCCAGGAGGCAGTGACTGCACTGAGCAGAGATCGTGCCACTGCACTCCAGCCTGGGCAACAGAGCAAGCCTCAGTCTCAAAAAAAAAAAAAAAAAAAAAGGGAAAAGGAAAAAGAAAAAAAACAACTGACAAGCAATACGCCTGATTTACGGTAGCACACAAATAATTCGGAATTAAAAATACCAACTTTTAAGGTCAAATGGTCAGTTGAATTGATACATGAAAGACAAGATATACTTGAATCCAAAGGCTATCTGCCCTAAAACTAACAATGCTTTTTAAGGCTATAATTTTAATCAAACCATGCAAGAGTTCACCCCCTCTGAATTACTATATTAAATATATTTTCAAATCTTTGAAAGTCAAGAGAACATTCAATGCACGACCAAAGCGACAAAATAAAAGTAAACTACAGATAAATCCAGAAACTGGAAAAGAGTACATTTAAGCCCTGCAGCTTCTTCCTTTACAGCCACTATAAGAAATAACATCGTGTGGTTTGGATTGTGAAGTTAGTACAAGGAAAGTTTGCCAGTTCACCCCTGGCAAGTCTTGTTCCAGTTCAGGATGTGTCTTCATTTCCTAACGCAGCACGGCAAAGCTAAAAGTTCCATTCAAATTGTAAAAAAAGGGAAGGAAGAAATAAAATAAAATAAACAAAAGTTCCATTTAAAAAGCCAGTTTTAAGCCGGGCATGGTGGCTCACGCCTGTAATCCCAGCACTTTGGGGGTCCGAGGCAGGTGGATCACCTGAGGTCAGGAGTTCAAGACCAGCCTGGCCAACATGGTAAAACCCCATCTCTACTAAAAATACAAAAATTAGACCGGTGTGCTGGCGGGCATCTGTAATCCCAGCTATTCAGGAAGCTGAGGCAGCAGGATAGCTTGGACCCGAGAGGTGGGGACTGCAGTGAGGCAAAATCCTGCCAATGCACTCCAGCCTGGATGACAGAGAAGACTCCACCTCAAAAACAACAACAACAACAATAAATAAATAAATAGCCAGTTTTCTGAAGTCTTGGGCACAGCTCAGCTCTAGGCTTTGTGCTAAAACTGAAACAGGCACATCAAAGTTCTACTTATGAATGCAATTGGCTTATGGAATAAGCAAAAGGTTTAAGATGATCTCTAAGACCACGACTCTGCAATCTTTGCACAGATATCCTACGGGTATCTTCATTCAACTTGAGGATGCAACAGGGGTGGGTGTGACCGGCCACCCATTTCACTGGGACACGCCAGGCAGGTACTTACCGAGGACTGCGCCCCCTCAGAGCTGAACCGGTAGGCACCCGAGCTGTTGTAGGTCCCCACAGAGCAGCGGTAGTCGGGGGACCACTGGCTGCCGTAGGAGTTGGAGAAGGTCACGCTGCTGCCGGAAGTGATGGCACCGTCCTCATAGTCATCCTGGTCGTAGTCGTAGTCGCCGTCTGGGGAGGGCAAGTCCCCAGCGTTCTGGGGCATGCAGTAGGTGGACTCGCCGCTGGAGGAGTTGTGTAGGCTCCCGGAGTCCTGCACTGATGGGGCGAGCAGCACCGTGCTGTCCGCACTGGGGCTGGTGGGCACCACCGTGTCGTTCATGTATGGGTCCTCCTCTGAAGAGTCATCGCTGGTCCGGATGCCACTTGTTCGCTGGTCTGAGTGGCCGTGCTCGCTGGGGTTGGGGGAGTCCTTGAAGGCGTCGTCGTCGGCTTCGAAGCCCTCATCGACCTCCTCCTCTGGGTAGGGCTGGCTGAAGTTGAAGTTGGGCTTCTCCTCGCATGCGCTCTCAGCCAGCTCGCTGGAAAATTCGCTTCCCACCGACAGGGACCGCTCGATATTCCGGACACACTCGTCGATCTCGTCGAAATTGAGGGACTCGAGGAACTCCTGGGCCGCCCTGCACGCTTCCTCCTCCAGCCTGCGGAGCTCCTGGTCCCGCCGCTCCTGCAGCTTCTGCAGGGAAGCCTCGGTCAGCGACAGCTCCTGCTGCTCCTTCATGCGCTGCAGGTCCTCGATTTCTTTCTCCAGACGGAGGATCTCTTCCACCTGCTTATTTTCCTTCTGTTTCTCCAGTTCACGGGTCAGTTCAGCTTCCTTCTGGCTCTTCTGCAAGGCTTCGAGTTCTTGCTGCTTCCTCGTTTCTTCTTCCTGGACAGAAGCAGAAGGGAGATTTCAGAAGGCTTCAGTACAAAAGTCCAAGCATAGCTCCCGCTTTGCAACCAGGATGAAATATGGTCATTATGAGTTGGACTGTGTCCCCATAAAGTCTATAGGTTGAAGTCCTAACCCCAATACTGCAGAATGTGACTGCATTTGGAGATACAGCTTTTAAAGGGGAGACTAAGTTAAAATGAGTTCACTAGGGTGGGCCCCAATCCAAGATGACTGGTGTCCTTTTGGGAACAGGAGACTAGGTCACACAGAGAAAAAAGGCTGCGTGAGGACACACTGGACAGACGGCCACCTGCAAGCCAAGGGGAGGGGCCTCAGAAGACATCAAACTTAAGGATAACTTGATCTTGCAGTTCCGGCCTCCAGAGCTGGGAGAAAATCAGTTTCCACTGTTCAATCCACCAGTCTGTGGTATTTGGCTGTGGTGGGCCTAGCAAACTAACACGCTGGTTATACCGATTTAGAGAAATTATACTCTTGTGATGCACACTAAAACCTCAGCCATTCACTACGCTTTACCCAATTGTAATAGGTCAGAAATTGGATCATAAACACATCCTCTTAAATTGTTCTTCCTGTTATCTTTCTACTTTAATTCAGTTTTGAATCCTAGAGTCCAAGCATTAGAAGTGGGAAGGAAGTAGAAACACAAGAGGCTAAGTTGTCACTGCACTCATTACCTGCTGGGCGCGGAGCTCGGCTTCTCTTCGCTCTCTCTCTCTTTCTCTAAAAATAGTAAAGGAAAAGTGAAAATCAACAACAATAACCCTGGAACCACTTTTCAGAGAGATCTACGTTTTTAAAACAGCTTTGCCAAAGACAGAAAGCATGAAAGACAGAGCCCCTTCCTCTGGCCATGGATTTATTCTGTATGAATAAAAATATTCACAGAACTGGGTCTTTAATGCTGCCAAGGAATTTTATATTCTAGCCACCTAGAGTTACTGTTTCAAATTGTAGGTTCTGGGGCATCTGCTGGGATTTCTGGCTGCACAGACAGATACCGAGCACAGCACTCAAAATGTATCCATTTGTTTCATCCCAGCAAGAAAGGTACTGTACCTTTCTTCTTCCTCCCGTTTCTTCTTTTCTTCCTCTTCCTGTTTCTTCTTTTCTTCTTGCTCCCTTTTCTCTGCCAGCAATTGTCTGTAAACTCTCCGAGCAATCTGACCTCTGAGTTGCTTCTGGAAAACTATGGCTGCCTTTTTCAGGTGCAAAAATCTCCTCCTCAGAAGGAATGCTCTGTAATTCTTCTGTATTATCACCACACAATAAAGGACCTTTCTGTATTGTTTTCTGAAAATGAAAGAAAACAAGAGAATCGGCATTGAAGTAATGAGGCTTTGAGCTATTCAAATGAGCTCACATCAAGGCTACAAGACAAAAGAGGACCCAGTTTTAGAATGAGACTCTCATTATGGAAACTGGAGAGAACAAGGAGGCCCCTTTGGTCAAAACAAAACAGGAGAAAAACAAAGAAATAATAACAAACAAAACTAAAGTAAGAAGCCTATCACTATCTTGGCTAAATAAACACATAACCCCTCATGTTGGCTTTAAGTAGTCTTGGCAGAAAGTTGGGTAAATAGTTCCCAAAGAGATCTGATATATTCTCCTGTTCATATGAAAAAAATCATCACAGCAGGACAGCTTTGTGCTTCAGAAAATGTAACACGTAGTGTTTCACGGGCATAGTGGATGCAACTAAAACGCACATGAGGAGAAGTTGCCTCAGGCCAGGTGCGGTGGCTCATGCCTGTAATCCCAGAATTTTGGGAAGCCGAGGCAGGCGGATGGATCACGAAGGTCAAGAGATCGAGACCATCCTGGCCAACATGGTGAAACCCTGTCTCTACTAAAAATACAAAAATTAGCCAGGTGTGGTGGCATGCACCTATAGTCTCAGCTACTTGGGAGGCTGAGGCAGGAGAATCACTTGAACCCGGGAGGCGGAGGTTGCAGTGGGCTGAGATCGCACCATTGCACTCCAGCCAGACGAGCGAGCGAGACTCTGTCTCAAAAAAAAAAAAAAAAAAAAAAAAAAGAAGTCACCTCATTCCTCAAACAGCTGGAGGATGGGTCTCTATAGCCAAAATGATAACACCAAGGTGAACAGCCAGGCCGCTGTGGCTTCAAGACCTGACGCAGAGGAAGTAAGCAAATAATTTAAATATCAGGAGAAGGCTGGGTACGGTGGCTCACACCTGTAATCCCAGCACTTTGTCAGCCGGGAGGATCCCATGAGCCCAGGAGTTTGAGACCCTCCTGGGCAACATGAAGTGACCCATCTCTAAAAAAAAAATTTTTTTTTAATTAGCCAGGCATGGTGGTGTGTGTCTGTAGTCCCAACTACTTGGGAGTCTGAGGTGAGAGAATTGCTTGAGCCCAGGAGGTCAAGGCTGCAATAAGCCATGATCGTGCCACCACACTCTAGCCTCAGAGACAGAGTAAGACCCTGCCTCAAATAAATAAATAGATCTCAGTAGAGTTCCCTGCTGTCACTGTTCTTTCTACCTGAGAAGTCAAAAAGTGCAGAGCTCCCTTTCCTACCTGCTGCCCAGTCAGGCTAGCTAGGTTTCGGGAGTGGCTGCTTAGGAGGCCTGACCTGAGGCTCCCCTCAATTCAAAAACCTCAGGCCACTCCACTGGAACACACTGGGAAGGAAGGACCCCCTCATGGAGCTTCCTGCCTTATCCCCTCAGCGTGGGGTTCTTACCGTGCTAAGAAGCCCAAGACATGGGCCCGAATCACCATGGCCGCGTGGCTCACTTCCTCTTCCCTCCGCTTCTCCAGTTTCTGTTCCAAGGATTCTCGAAGAAAGACCTGCTCAGGACGGAGTCACATGTCAGAAGCAAAGAACATGGCCAGCAGAAGGAAGGCATTTCTGAGTCAAAGATATCTTCTGGAGTTAAGGCTTTTTTCTCTTAGTTTGATCCACCACATGGCCATGCTTTCTAGAATAGTGCTTTTTAAAGGTTCCACCTGTCATGGGCTAAAACAGTTGCAAAATCCAATAAAGATATATTACAAGGAAAAACAAAAATGCTGCATACAAATACAAGTGCCTTTTATGGTTATTGTTACTGAATTCAACAGGCATAAGATGACTACCAAATTGCTATCTAAGCTTCTCAACACTTAACACATCATGGGCTGGGACGAATAGTTCATGGACCAGCATTGGTCACTACATTGAGTCTACGTAATATGATTCAGAGATACAGAAAGCAGAGGAAGGAAAGGAGGAAGGAAGGGAAGCCAAGAAATTTCTAAAACGTTATTTTGCCTTTATGTGGAAATCCTCTCTTTGTGCCTGCTATGTGATTACAATCAGAGTATCTTGGCTTCAAAAACTTAAATGCACTCAAAATATTGACGTTAAGAACATTATTCTGAAAACTGAGTTTAAAATGAGAACTGAATTATTTCAGCTACATCTCAGTTTGACTAGCACAAGCACAGTGGAATCAGGACTAAATAAATTGTAGCTGTTTGCTTGCCTATGTCTGAGAATGGACACGTCCATCCTCTGCTTATCAAATAAGTGTGTCAGGTAATTGGCACTTTGTATTAGAATTCCTAGTTTTTGAAAAGATATGAAAATACCAGGACCTTCTCTTGATAAAGTGGCTTTTAATTTTGCCATTTCAGATTTAATACACGCATAAGAAATTTTGAATGATTCCCTATAACAACCAGTATCAAACATTTTCATGCTTTTTTGTTAACAATCCACACAGATGCATTTTGGTGTCTCCGCAATTTTTTACTTTACGCTTCCATGCGTCATTCTGGCCTAAAATGGTGCATCACGTTCTCCCAATGGCACATTTTTCCAGGTTCTCTGCTCTGTGTCCTCCATGACATTTGGGCAAAAAAGCAAATAAAGAGTCCTACCACCTTGTGACTCACAGCCGTACCTATTCCTGCTCTGGGTAAAACTCCATCACAAATCATTCTCCTAGGAAAGCTCTTCATACAATCCTCTCCTTATAATACAATTATTATTGTATTATATATACAATATATATTCTGTTGGCCGGGCGCAGTGGCTCATGCCAGTAATCCCAGCACTCTGGGAGGCCGAGGCAGGTGGATCACCTGAGGTCAGGAGTTGGGAGACCAGCCTGGCCAACATGGGGAAATCCTGCCTTTACTAAAAATACAAAAAATTAGCCAGGCATGGTGGGGGTGCCTGTAATCCCAGATACTTGGGAGGCTGAGGCAGAAGAATCGCTTGAACCTGGGAGGCAGAGGTTGCAGTGAGCCAAGATCATGCTGCTGCACTCCAGCCTGGGCAACAGAGTGAGATTCTGTCTCAAAGCAACATATATACATATATATACACACACGTACATACTCATATATATACACACTCATATATATACACATATACTCATATATACACATATATATTCACATATACATATACATGAGAATATATATATACACACACACACACTCTGTTGGTGCAGAAGCTACAAGTGTAAAGTTTGTTGGATGTAATCATCATTAAAGATGTTCAGAAATACAGAATTCCCTGTACATATCAAAATCACGTAGCAAAAGCAGTTTTCATCAAGACTGGACTTTTAAGGAAGCATTTCAACTTCTCTGAGATTTTTGTTTGGTATTACATATCTTACTCTAATGCTTTTGCTCTTATGAGTGCTTAAAAGGAAAAATAACAGCCAAATCTTGGGGAAGGGGGTGGTGGTGACGAAAGAGACAAAAGTGTCAACTCTCATGAGTGACACAGCGATGACGTGAACAAGTGGAAACCTTTGTGAAGGAACAAAGGTCTTCTCCACCATTGGAAGTCAAAAGAATGTCTTGGTTAGAATCAGAATCAGACAAATACTTGCTTTAGTTTTCAGTCCATTAAAAAGACAGCTCTCAAAATAAATAAATAAATATGTTTTTAAAAAGCATTCTTCCACATCTTTATTTACATTCTCCTTCACCAACCTAAAGGGCAAACAAATAGAGAAAATGCTTTTAGGGACCTGTCAGTTTCATTAAGAACACGAACCCTGAATTAGACAATGACAGAAGGAAAGTGATAGGTTTGGCTGTGTCCCCACTCAAATCTCATCTTGAATTGTAGCTCCCATAATTCCTATGTGTCATGGGAGGGACCTGGTAGGAGGTAATTGGATCATGGGCGCAGGTCTTTCCCATGCTGTTCTCACGACAGTGAATAAGTCTCATGGGATCTGATAGTTTTAAAAAGGGGAGTTGCCCTGCACATGCTCTCTTGCCTGTTGCCATGTAGGATGTGCCTTTACTCTTCCTTCATCTTCTGCCATGATCATGAGGCCTCCCCAGCCATGTGGAACTGTGAGTCCATTAAACCTCTTTCTTTTATAAATTACCCAGTCTCGGGTATGTCTTTATTAGCAGTGTGAGAACAGACTAATACAGAAAGTGTTTCTGTGAGCCCTTGTGTCACTTTGCCATGTTCCCAGGACTCAGCCAAGACCAAGTTGGCACAACCTAGTGACTGGGAATGTGGCATCAAAGCAGGCACCAAAGCAGCTGAGCAAAGGGTGGTACCCACTCAGGCGCTGCTTGGCTGAACTTGACTCAATATCCAACAGGAACCATTTCACGTGGTTCTTTTTCACTTTTATCTTCTTAGGTAGCTTAAGATCCTGTGGGTTATTCTAGTACACTGTCTTTATAAAAATACCTCCTGCATGCTTCATTGCCACAGAACTGAGGAAGAAAAGTCTGACACTGAAGTCCAGAGGGTCAGAAAAGTAAAAGTCTTGAGTCTTCAGGAATCCTTGAGGCAGTGGGAAAAGCCAAAACCAGGAAGGAGAGGGACCAGCTGCCCACCTCAGTCACCGTAAACGCAGCTGTTCAGCAGGGAAATACATTGCAATCTCCTCCCCACGGGCTGTGCCGTGAAGCATCCGACAGGCCGCTTCAATTCCTAGTAATGCTTCTCCAGTCCTCTAGGTAAGAATGCTTGCCTTACAAGAACAAATATGTTTTGGATAAGTCAGCCAGTTCAGACCTGGAGCCATGTCTAATTCGCTGCCTTCGACACTGGCTAAACTTGCCTGTTGTGTACGGCAGACATTCCTTTACCAGAAGACCAGAAGTTCATTAGAGGTTTGAGGCTTTAAACAGAAAGACCTTCTGGTGGCAACACACCAAAACACCTGCTATCCAACATGTAACTCAAACACTGGTCAAGATCAAAGCTATCAAGAAGCCACAATTCAAATGCTTTGATGTTTGCATTTACTTCCTAACATGTCTGTGGAAAAATAAACTTCCATCCAACTTCTACTCCCAACTTTTCACCAATTAAAACTGAACTCCTCTTTAAAAACTTCTTCATCTTGAATACTTCCTTGATCATTTCAATCCATAGGGATCTCTCTCCTGAAGAAGCTGTTTCCTTACTCCTTTAAAAAGATTGTACTGCATGATTTAATTCATCCACTGTGTGTGAATATCTTATCTTCCAACACAGTAAACTGAGGACAACGCCCATGTCTCTGTGTCCCCTATGCTACACTACGTCCCAAGCCTGCCTTGGGCCTGATTTCCATAATGTAAATTCTAAGTGAAGCTGGATTAGTACTTGGAGCCCAGAAAAGACTGTTAATGGCTGGGTTGAGTTTTAATGATCTCTAATGTTACTCCACTGTAGAAGGCAGTGAGGTGACTCGTTTATAGAGAATGCAATTTCTTTTTGTTTTTGAGACAAGGTTTCACTCTGTCGCCCAGGTTGGAGTGCAGTGGCATGATCAGGGCTCACTGCAGTCTTGACCTCCTGGGTTCGAGCAATCCTCCCACTCTAGCCACGCGAGTAGCTGGGACTATAGGCACATGCCACCACGCCTGGCTAATTTTTCTGAATTTCAGTAGAGAAAAGGTCTCACTATGTTTTCCAGGCTGGTCTCAGACTCCTGGGCTCAAGCGATCCTTCTGCCTCAGCCTCCCAAAGTGCTGGAATTACAAATGTGAGCCACTGTGCCTGGCTTGCAATTTCTTTTTGATTAAACAAAATCAGAGCAGATTGTATTGCACTGCCAAGAGCTCCACTTGAGCCATTTTCTTCAGAAAGTTTTCCTAATAAATGTATGACATCCTGTGTCACCTCTTATAGTTTTTCAGCACCTCATAGACACTGATTAAGCTCAGCACTGTGTAGAATGAACAATCAGCTCTACATGCTCTACTGGGTGATCGTAGAGAAGCCAACAGCAAGACAACAGGACAGCATATGAAGTCTACATCAGGGCTAAGAAGAGGATGACCTGGGACAACAGAGGAGGGGGCTTACCCCAGCTATAGGGTGCACTGAGGAATGTCAAAAAAGGAGTCCTTTCAAAGTCTACCTCTAAGCCAAGACCTAAAGATGAGTTGGCTACAGGAGTGGAGAGTAAGATTCCAGGCAGAGAGACCTATCACCTGCGGGGGGCACACCCTCAGGTGGCCCCCAGTGGGTTACAACCCTCTTTAATCTTCCTGAGTGGGGGTGCAATCTGGGACTTGCTTCTAGCCATTAGACTGCAGCAAAGGTGACGGGATATCACTTCTGTGAGAACGCTACAACCCTACGCTGGAGCATGTGGTTATCCTGCTGGCCTGAAAGAAGTGAGCTGCCATGTGTCAAGGAATTTTGAGGGCTTCTAGGAGCTGCGAGTGGTTCCCAGCCAACAACTAGAAAGAAAACAGGGACTTCAGTCCTCAAAAACACAGGGAAATGAATTTTGCCAATGACCAAGTGAGCCTGGAAGATACCCTGAGGTCCAGAAAAGAACAAAGCCCCAAGATACAGGGACTGCAGGCTTGGGGGACCCTGATCAGAGGACCCAGCTCAGCTGTGCCCCAGCTCTGACCCTTAGATACTATGAGATAATCAATGTGTGTTGTTAAAGCCATGAAGTTTGCAGTAATGTATTACAAAGCAATAGCTAGCTCATGTGATTATCTCTGCATGCTATCTCTACCCTGTTTTGTGTTTATATCTCAAATCCGTCAGCAGTAAAAAATTTCCCTAGAGCAGGGAGGTAGTAGGTCCATCATGACTTTCCCTTGCTGAATGTCCAGGAGGTGAAGCCTAAGTACTTTTCATCAATCTCACATTGGTCAAACTGCAAGACATACGTCTCTCTCTTCCCCCGCTTTCTCCCTCTTTCCTTTCCTCTTTTTATAAAGCAAGAAACTTCTAGATTAAAAACAGCATATTATGAGTGGAAGCTTTAAAATACTTCTCTGACATTGCACTGCTGTGTGTAAGGGCAGAAGGAGCGGGAATGAGGATTCACTCTTCGAGGACACATGTGTCCTCAGCTGCCTGCATTTCTGTGTCAAGTCACATTGCTGTCTTTCCCATGTGACAAGTCATTGAAGGTGGGTGGGGAATGAGAGTGGAAGCCAAACGAGGTTCTTGGCAGTTCCCTGATCCAGAAAGAAGAAGTCATACAACAAATTTTGTGACTAATTTTTTATGTTCAGGCCCGACTGCCCATACTCTGCTCCTATCTGGAAAAGGGGGTTAAGGAGCCTCTGCCCCAACAGCATCTTCAAACGTAGATTTTCCTTTTTGCTTTCTGGACTGAGTTTTTGACAACCAGAAGGATTTCAGACCGGCTACTGATCTCTCGCTCAGTCGCTGCTCTGGTTGCAGGGATAAAAGCCAGTATTTGAATTAGAGAAAGTTAGAAGGGTCTTGGGGTATCGCTTTGTAGACACTGGGGGCTGCCTCCTACTTCCAAAGTACTGTTATTCGTCTGCCAACATTTGTTACTGCCTGAACAAATACCCACACACAAACAATTAGGATGAGATGTTTCAATGTGTTCTCTAATGAAACAGAGTCCCTGACAAGTCAAGGACTTCACTTCAAATAAAATAGTAACTGTTTGGGAGACAAAAGGTTATGGTAGGCATGGCAACAGGAGTATCTTCCCAATGTGAAAGAACAATTGTATAGCGGTGTCATAGAGCCCTAAACCCTGTGAGCATCACCCCGAGATCTGTCAGGGATTCGGTGGGAGTTGCTCTTTCTCCGCATCGTACCTTGGTCTTCCCCAGCTGCCACTCGCTGTTGGAGGCATCATAGAGCTGCAGCAGGCTCGTGCACTTCCCTCGGACGTCCTCAGGCAGAGCCAGATTCCTCATCAGCACTTTATACCTGCAACGTGAAGACACACAGGGTCACCTTCTGCGATGGTTCCCTGTTTTCTCCAACCCCTTTGAAAAGAAAGAGAATCCAATTCAGCTCCCTCTTGCCTTTTGTAAAAGTCCTGAAAGGGTCTTCGGACCGCATACCCAGCTTTGCGGATTCTCACAGTCTCCAGCATCCCTGAGTACCGCAGCTGGTTCAGCACAACCGCCTGGTCAAACTGGTCTGGCATCTAAACCATGCAAAAAAAAAAGATGGGATACCATTAGAAAAAATGGAATTCGATAAGGGAGGCTTAATAAAGCCACCTCCATCATTGGTTTACCCCGCTTCAAAACACATACGAGAATCTTGAACCTACACAGAAATAGAGACTAGCACAGGAACCCCAGTGGAACCATCACCTCGCCTTAACAACCGTCAACCCCTGCCAATCCTGCCCCATCCACAAGCTACTTCCTCCCTCCCCTTATGTTTAAGAAAATCCCAGCCGGGCACGGTGGCTCGCGCCTGTAATCCCAGCACTTCGGGAGGCCGAGGCGGGTGGATCACAAGGTCAGGAGTTTGAGACCAGCCTGGCCAATATGGTGAAACCCCGTCTCTACTAAAAATACAAAAATTAGCCAGGCGTGGTGGCACGCGCCTGTAGTCCCAGCTACTCGGGAGGCTGAGGCAGGAGAATTGCTTGAACCCGGGAGGCAGAGGTTGCAGTGATGGCGCCACTGCACTACAGCCTGGTGACAGAGCAGTCTCAAAAAACAAAAAGAAAAAAAGAAAAAAAAAAGGAAAATCCCAAACATCGCATCACCTCATTTGCAAAGATTCTACTATATGTCATGTGTTAATATAACACTAGTATCATATCTTAAAAGATAACAATAATTCCTTTATATTAATATCCATGTTCACATTTCTGGCTGTATCACAAATATCATAAATGTACCACCACTTTAAAATCTATTTTTTCTGCAAAGACTTTAAAGTGTCATACAAATGTCACTTTATTTTACTTTTTAAATTTGAATTTAAAGTCATTTTTTACCTAAGAACACAGTGACTTGGTGATGGGTGGATACCCACACTGTGGCAGGTGAGGTGGGGGTGGGGGTGGGGATGGGGAAGGGGAGATGACCACGCTAGCCGGTTTGGAAGACATAGAGGCGAAAAAGAGTTTGACTTTGCTCAAATTCTAGTCAAATACTTATTTATTGAGAGCTCCATACTCTGATCACTAAATAAGCCTGAGAACACACAAATTAAAGACAGAGGAAATCAGAACCAAGACTTAATGCTCTGAAATGTGTTCTTTTATTTGTTCAGCTGCCAAACAAACTGGCACTGGGGCCAGGACAATAGGTTTTCAGAGGAAAGCAAAAAAGTGGGCCATTTAGGAACTCTGGGGACAGTGGTTTGTTTTTTCAGTCCACCCACCCGTGTTCCCTTTAATTAAGCTGCATGTTGTTATCCCACACAACTGTGAATACAATGACAAAAAAATAGTGCCATAGGACCTAACTGTTAAAAAAATACAAGAATGCAAAGTGGCTTAATTTGTGACCCTTAAAAATGCAGTCATTAACACAGAATTAGGCATAAAGCCGTGTTATTCTGCAAGCTTTCAAAATTGGCAAAAAAATAAATTTAAAGAATGCTTTGCAACTGTCCCTCACAGCTTTTGATGGAATAGCTGCCATCAGCCCTAGTGGGCTGACTTCTCTCATATTTAATTTCTTCTACAAACACTGTGGTCAAATTGTCTTTATTTAGCAGTATTCCAAACAAGTGCAGCCAGCAAATTAGGGCAAACATCCAAAGAACTGTGGTTCTCTGTTTTTAGTCTTGATTAAATTATCCTCAGAAAAGTAAGAAAAGCATAAAAATATGAAAACAAAATTAGCCTTGGTGACTCTTATGCCGTATCTCTGGATTTAAAAATGCGGGTTGGGGGGTGGCTGACTGTTCTGAAGGCATTTGGTTACAATGCTTCTGTGAGATTTATTTGGGAATATAATCTAAGCAGCACTGTATAGAGCAAATATAAAAGGAACACTGAATAAAGTATCAGACTTACTTAACTTTGTTAAATTTATACTACCAGAGAAGCCTTCTAAACTTAATATTTAATCACTTGATGCGCAAAGACTTTCATCCAAAATATCTCTATCTCTCAGGCTTTCCCTGTTCCTGATCCCCTCTTTTCTCCCAGTCTCTATAGAACAAAGTCTGTACAATTCCCCAGTCCGAAGCTCGAGTTATTAAAACTAAAGATATTACACCAAAAGGGCCTCCCCATCCAAAAAGTTCAGCCACACTCACCATCTTCCTGTCTCTCCAAGGGGCATCTCACCTTCAGTTTGGCTCTTGGGCCAAAATTCATATGGAAAACAACTGCCACACTGACCTTTTCCCCACAGCTAAAGACATGGAACAATAATGAACACCATTCCTGTGCTTTAAAAAGTGCCCGGTCGCCATGACAACCCCTTCCATTCTCGGGCTAATTAGTGTGGTGTGGTTGTAGGATTTGACACAGCCAGGGGAGGGGAGGGAGGGAGCAAGGAGCGGCCTCGAGATCCAGGCTCCCATTGCGATTGTGTCCCTGCCCCTTCCCAGTAACTTAACCAGGGGAGGGGGATCTATAGGCTGATTGTCGCCCCGGGCAACCCACCCTGCGATCACAATCACGAGGGGGTAGATCTGGATTTCCATTGGTGGTTTTCTTTTCGGCTGCAATTTCCTTTTCTGGTGAATTGAATGTTCAAAGATGACACAGCTGGAGGCTGGACAAGGCACAACTTAAAGGCATTTCGCCTTTCAAAACTCTGCTACTGCGCTGCCTCCACTGGTAACTAACTAGTTTTCCAGAACCTGAGCTCACTCCAACAAAGACTGCCTGCAGTGTACCGACAGGGAAGTCTCGATGGCGACAAATAGGTTGGAGTTTGGAAGAAACAGCCTCTAACCAGGGCAATTACAGTCACTTGATCCATTTACTGAATATTTACTGAACACCTACTATGTGCAAGGTTTTGTAATTCATGATCAGGGAAGATTTTTTTCAAAAAGGTGGAAGCTGTGTTTTGTTTCCAAGGACCCTGCAATTTAGGAGGGTGGACAGGTACATCAGTACTTAGATAGCGGAAAGCCTAATATTAAACTATAATTAAAGATTAAAATTAAGTTCCTTGGAGAGAGAAAAATACTGAGGGGGCATGGGAAGTGCACAGATTTGAACTAGAGCTCGGACTCTTAAAATGCTGGAGGGAAGGGGCATTCCCCACAGGAAAAAAAAAACAGGAAGAAAAGCCAAGAGGAACCTGGCAGGTTCAGTCAACAGGATGGGATGGAACAGAGGGGGAAGGACCTGGGTGGAAGATGGACGCATGGTTCTTGTATTCAAGATAAGAAGGAGTCACAAGGAGTCACTGGAGGCTCACAGTAGAGACCAACGGGGTCAGATCTGTGCTGGGTAAGGATCCCCTCGGTGGCAGCAACAACACTAGGAACAAGAGCATCCCCAAATGGGCAGCAGCTGGGTATATTCTGATACCACGCACGTCATAAAAATGTCATGCAGCCAATAAGACCAAATGCAGGAGATTGAGACCATCCTGGCTAACAGGGTGAAACCCCGTCTCTACTAAAAATACAAAAACAAAATTAGCCGGGCGTGGTGGCGGGCGCCTGCAGTCCCAGCTACTCAGGAGGCTGAGACGGGAGAATGGCGTCAACCCAGGAGGCAGAGCTTGCAGTGAGCCAAGATTGTGCCACTGCACTCCAGCCTGGGCGACAGAGCGAGAAAACAACAACAACAACAAAAACAAATTGTAGCAGGGAGTGGCGATGGTTACTGGGTACAAAAAATAGAAAGAATGAATATTTAGTATCTGATAGCACAACAGGGTGACTATAGCCAATGATAATTTAGTTGCATATTTAAAAATAACTAAAAGTATAGCTGGATTGTTTGTGACACAAAGGATAAATGCTTGAGAGGATGGATACCCCATTTACCTGATATGATTATTACACGTCATATGCCTGTGTCAAAATACCTCATACATCCCATCAATACACAACAAAAATAAATTAAAAAAAAATTTTTTAAAAGAACAACATAGGGCAATTGGACAAAAAAAAAAAAAAAAAAGATCAAATTGAAGACATACCTATTGACTCTAGGGCCTTTCATGAGGTATTATTGAGTGAGAAAAACAAGCTAGAAAGAATCTTACTTAAAAAAAAATAAAGATGATCACTCCTCTCCAAAAATCCCTGCTCTAGCTACATATATGCGTATAAATGTAGTCATGTACCACATAATGATGTTTCAGTCAACGACAGACTACAGATATGGCGATGGTGCCGTAAGATTGAAATTTTTTTTTTTTTTTTTTTTTTTTTGAGACAGGGTCTCGCTGGGATTACAGGCATTTGTCACCACACCTGGCTAATTTTGTATTTTTAGTAGAGATGGGGTTTCTCCATGTTGGTGAGGCTGGTCTTGAACTCCCAACTTCAAGTAATCTGCCTGCCTCCGCCTCCCAAAGTGCTGGGATTACAGGCATGAGCCACCTCACCCAGCCTGGGGGTTTCTTTTTGAGGTGACGAAAATGTTCTAAAATTGACTCTGGTGACGGCTGCACATATCTGTAAAAAATTTTAAAACTCACTGAATTGCAGATTTTAAATAAGGCAATTACATGACATAAGAACCATATCTCAAAAAAGCTGTTAAAAAAATTTTTTAAGTACATTAAG
This sequence comes from Homo sapiens, assembly GCF_000001405.40. Classification (NCBI taxonomy): domain Eukaryota; kingdom Metazoa; phylum Chordata; class Mammalia; order Primates; family Hominidae; genus Homo; species Homo sapiens. The sequence continues at coordinate 16,715,775 of NC_000005.10, forward strand.
GCCAGGCGCGGTGGCTCACGCCTGTAATCCCAGCACTTTGGGAGGGCGAGGCAGGTGGATCACCTGAGGTCAGCAGTTCGAGACCAGCCTGACCAATATGGTGAAACCTTGTCTCTACTAAAAATACAAAAATCAGCCGAGTGTGGTGGCATGTGCCTGTAGTCCCAGCTACTTGGGAAGTTGAGGCAGGAAAATTGCTTGAACCCAGGAGGCAGAGGTTGCAGTGAGCTGAGATCGCACCACTGCACCCCAGCCTGGGCAACAGAGTGACACTCCGTCTCGAAAAAAAAAAAAGTACATTAAGTACCAGTCTAACACTGAGGCATTTAAAATGGACAAGAAATGGATGGAAGAGAAAGTTTGCATCCTGGAGACAGGACGAAATCTATGTAGTTTTAATGTATACTTTGGATAATTTAATCCTACCAAAAATAAGTAGAAATACTTATTTCCACACAATCTGAAAAATACTATTTCAGAATGCCTAGATGATTAATAATGATTAATAACAGGGCACACTAAACCCTCTACAAAAATCACTTACAGGCAATCCTTACCTCCTGCAGCTTATTTAGATAAAGGACAACAGAGGTGCTGACAAACAGGGACACCAAGAGCAGGGAGGGTGCTTCCCAATGAAGACAGAAATGCATTTATTTATGTATCAATGAATCCAATTGCCCTGAACATTACCGAGCCTTCCATAATTTCATGAACAGTGCATGACAATAAGAAGTATGACAGTGGATTTGGAAACAGCCATTTGCCTATGGTAAGGGGACATTCAATCTGTGCTTATTTAATGAAAGAAAATACAGTGAGTTTATTATCCATGGACCATTAAAGTTATAATGTTTTTCAGCATTTGAGAAACTCGCAAAAACCAACCAAGGCATCCTGAGAAGAGCCCAGGAAGACGTGGCTGGGGGTGGTAGGAATCCAGCTTGTCACACAGGAGCCATGGGTTTTTCCAGAGCCGGCCAAGATTTTAGGGAAAAGCCATTTTGTAGATAACGAGACTGGAAATTAGGAAGGCAAAATGACTTGTTCAAACCGGTTATTTTTTTTATTTTTTTGAGATGAAGTCTCACTCTTGTCACCCAGGCTGGAGTGCAGTGGTGTGATCTTGGCTTACTGTAACCTCTGCCTCCCAGGCTCAAGCAATTCTCCTGCCTGAGCCTCCCAAATGGGTAGCTGGGATTACAGGCATGTGTCACCACACCTGGCTAATTTTGTACTTTTAGTAGAGATGGGGTTTTCCCATGTTGGCCAGACTGGTCTTGAACTCCTGACCTCAGGTGATCCACCCACCTCACCCTTCCAAAATGCTGGGATTACAGGCTTGGGCCACCACGCGCGGCCTTAAACTGGTTTTAACATTTGCTTAAATCAAGAAGTTAAAAAGTAAGTCTCAAAGAGCTTTGCGTTCCTGAAAACTAGCATGTAAATCAAACTCGTATGCATCAAACCTATTTTCCTACTGACACATTATAAAACTGGGAAATATTACCATGGGATATAACTCTGAAAGGAATGAAAACTTCTTTAGGGAAAAGATTAAGTGGAACCTAGGCAGAGAATGTGGTCTATAAGGTATCATTCCCAGTGGCAATCCGTCTTCTGGAAACACAGACATTCTCTGGAGATTTAAGCACAAGGAACATTCCTAGAGATCAACTTGTCAGGTACTGACTTGGTCTAATACAGGCGACTTAAAGATCACAATTTTAAGGGCCACGACCACATCGATAAGAAATCAGTTTGCTACATTGTGAGTTCAGCCAAACATCTGCATATGGAAGCAACTAGAGAATAAAGAAGAGCTTTTAGAAAATCAAATTGCAAACTGAGCAAATCCAACTCTGGCTACTCCCATAAACACGGACAATCATCAGCGGACCATATCCTTACTTCGCATATCAACCTCTGATCACTGACAAACAATTCAACTGTTCTTTGACCCACGGGGATTTAACTCCATTTGCATCTCATACTGAGAGGTGACAGCACACTGGCAGTCCTCAGAGCCCTCACTTGCTCTCGGCACCTCCCCTGCCTGGGCTCCCACTTTGGTGGCATTTGAGGAGCCCTTCAGCCCCCTCACTGCACTGTGGAAGCCCCTTTCTGGTCTGGCCAAGGCTGGAGCCCACTCCCTCAGCTTGCAGGGAGGTGTGGAGGGAGAGGCACGAGCGGGAACCGGGGCTGCGTGCAGCGCTTGCGGGCCAGCTGGAGTTGCGGGTGGGCGTGGGCTTGGTGGGCCCCGCACTCGGAGCAGCCAGCCAGCCCTGCTGGCCCCGGGCAATGGGGGACTTAGCACCTGGGCCAGTGGCTGCGGAGGGTGTACTGGGTCCCCAGGCAGTGCCAGCCCACCGGCGCTGTGCTCTGTTTCTCGCTGGGCCTTAGCTGCCTTCCCGTGGAGCAAGGCTCGGGACCTGCAGCCCGCCATGCCTGAGCCTCCCACCCACTCCATGGGCTCCTGTGCGGCCGGAGCCTCCCTGACGAGCACCGCCCCCTGCTCCACGGCGCCCAGTCCCATCGACCACCTAAGGGCTAAGGAATGCGAGCGCACGGCGCAGGACTGGCAGGCAGCTCCACCTGCAGCCCTGGTGCGGGATCCACTAGGTGAAGCCAGCTGGGCTCCTGAGTCTGGTGGGGACGTGGAGAGTATTTATATCTAGCTCAGGGATTGTAAATACACCAATCAGCACCCTGTGTTTAGCTCAAGGTTTGTGAGTGCACCAATCGACACTCTGTATCTAGCTGCTCTGGTGAGGACGTGGAGAACCTTTATGTCTAGCTCAGGGACTGTAAACACACCAATCGGCACTCTGTATCTAGCTCAAGGTTTGTAAACACACCAATCAGCACCCTGTGTTTAGCTCAAGGTTTGTGAGTGCACCAATCGACACTCTGTATCTAGCTGCTCTGGTGAGGACGTGGAGAACCTTTATGTCTAGCTCAAGGATTGTAAATACACCAATCGGCACCCTGTGTTTAGCTCAAGGTTTGTGAGTACACCAATCAACACTCTGTATCTAGCTGCTCTGGTGGGGCCTTGGAGAACCTGTGTGTCCAAACTCTGTATCTAACTAATCTGATGGGGACGTGGAGAACCTTTGTATCTAGCTCAGGGATTGTAAACGCGCCAATCAGCGCCCTGACAAAACAGGCCACTCGGCTCTACCAATCAGCAGGATGTGGGTGGGGCCAGATAAGAGAATAAAAGCAGGTTGCCAGCATTAGCAACCCGCTCGGGTCCCCTTCCACACTGTGGAAGCTTTGTTCTTTTGCTCTTTGCAATAAATCTTGCTACTGCTCACTCTTTGGGTCCACGCTGCTTTTATGAGCTGTAACACTCACCACGAAGATCTGCAGCTTCACTCCTGAGCCCAGCGAGACCACGAGCCCACCAGAAGGAAGAAACTCCGAACACATCTGAACATCAGAAGGGACAGACTCTAGACGCGCCACCTTAAGAGCTGTAACACTCACCGCGAGGGTCCGCGGCTTCATTCTTGAAGTCAGTGACACCAAGAACCCACCAATTCCGGACACAATACCCCCTCCTTGGGTGCCTGCTAAGGGCAGGTGTCTGAGCATGAGATGACACACCACAGTGGACAAGGGACACACTGGTAACATGTGGCACTGTATCCCAAGGATGATGCCCTGCATGTGACAACGTATATAATAACGACTGCTTCTGCTTTAATAACAAATATCAAATACAGTGTGACAACTCCTTGGGTGCTTCTGAATACATGTTATAATTTATTTCTAGAGTGGATCCTTTCCTATCATTTTTGGAGAGAATTTACTCAAGGTCTAAAACTTTCATGTGATCACAATGTCTTGAAGATTATGTAAAAGTAAACAATTATTTTAATCAACTAAAAATATTTATTTGGGCCAGGCACGGTGGCTCACGCCTATAATCCCAGCACTTTGGGAGGCTGAGGTGGGTGGATCACCAGAGGTCAGGAGTTCGAGACCAGCCTGACCAACATGGAGAAACCCCATCTCTACTAAAAATATAAAAATTAGCCAGGCGTGGTGGTACATGCCTATAATCCCAGCTACTCAGGAGGCTGAGGCAGGACAATCACTTGAACCCAGGAGGCGGAGGTTGTAGTGGGCCGAGATTGTACCATTGCACTCCAGCCTAGGCAATAAGAGTGAAACTCGGTCCCTAAAGAAATAAATGTGTGTGCGTGCGTGTGTGTGTGTGTGTGTGTGTGTGTGTGTGTGTATATGTATGTATGTATTAGAAGCCTCCCATAGACTAAGCACCCACACAAATAACTAATGGTGTGGGATGTCCAAGAGCAAACCCAGTCCCTGCTCTGCCCTGACAAATGCAGGCCCTTCCCAGATTAGATCTGCTTAGGATGCAAAATGGTAGAGAGCCCGAGATCTGGCAACACAGGAGATCCTCAGAGCCCTGACAAACAGCCCCAGAAAGCCAAACAAAGGAGCTGAGCATCACACCGACAGTAAGTCAATTGCCTTTACTGCCTTAACTTGGGAGCTTATTAAAAGAATTTTTTGAAGACTTTATGTCTTATAAGACCAACCTCCACATTGCTAGACTATTTCTCAAAGTGAGTGGTACTGCATTCAAAATTTAGAGTTCTACTTTTCCACTATTTTATTTTTATTTTATTTTATTTATTTTATTTTATTTTAATTTAATTTTTGAGACGGAGTCTCGCTCTGCCGCCCAGGCTGGAGTGCAGTGGTGCGATCTCAGGTCACTGCAACCTCTGCCTCCCAGGTTCAAGCAATTCTCCTGCCTCAGCCTCCCGGGTAGCTGGGATGGGAATATAGGCACGTGCCACCACACCCGGCTAATTTTTTGTATTTTTAGTAAAGACGGGATTTCACCGTGTTAGCCAGGATGGTCTCCACCTCCTGATCTTGTGATCCACCCGCCTTGGCCTCCCAAATTGCTGGGATTACAGGCGTGAGCCACCGCGCCCAGCCTCCACATTGTATTCTTTAATGGCACCTGACCTACTTTAAATGAAATACTTTAAACTTTACATTCATATTGGGTCTGCAACTGAGGGACTCATCGCACAGTTCATATTGTGGAGATTAGTATGCCACTATCTTAAGAAACATAAAATATGTGAATTATGTAATAAGAAAAGCCATTACATAATTCATTACATGAATACTGTATGTGTGGGGCAGGGGGCACTGCTACAGAGAGGATTTAAAATATTAGGTATATTTGTATTTGCATTTCCATTATGGGATATACCTCTACCCCATTTAACTTTAAAAATAAACAACCTTATCTTCTGATAACCCCTCTTCAACTTTAAGAAGTTAAAGACTCCATAAGAATTACCCAAAGACAATTACGCTACATAACAAAATATCATTCCCAGTCCTGTAACTACTAAGAAAGCCTCACAACAGGACTCCCATCCCCTCCTCTTGCTGATTCACAAAGAACTCTGCAAGGAATCTCAGTCTATTTGCTTTCTTTGCTACAATAAACTCTCAAGAGTGGTGAATAAATATTCTCAGATAAGAAGTTTATCATGCTTTGAACAATGTTCAAAAGCATCGTAACTAAAGCAGCAATATAACTTTCCTGACCTTGAACAGAAGGTAAATAAAAGTCACTTCAACTGGCGACAAAAGTCCTTTGTACTTACATCAGTCATTTCACTCCGGGGCTGTTAAACACTTACACAGTGGTTGCTACTTGCTAATTTTCACATTTTTAGAAAAGAGGCAGAAACTAATTTCCCCTAGAGAAGAGGCAACCCCCGCAGGTGAGGAACAGGAAGGTAGTAAGCAGGGCCTGACTGGCGAGCAAGCTGTCAGTCAGTCCTGGAGGTCAGATTGTAGGGTCTGGAAATTTCTCACTCACCAAGTACAACCTTCAACCCACATACCCGCTGAGACTAAGTACAGCTGTCACCCTGAGCAAGGACACTCACACTCTGTTACAGCTGCAGGCGCTTACCTCGGACCCACACAAACCTCAACTACCTAATGGGAAAGAAAACACTGGAACATAAATAACATGCACACATACATGTCAATCTTTCTAAGGGATAGCTCTGGTTGTATCACAGCCCTGTTCACACAGAGCCAGCACATGCCAGTTTAAGACAAAGGCTTCGATTTCCCATTCGAGGTCCTCACAGTATGGCTCCAATTTACCTTCCCAGTCAATACGCCCTTATACAAATCCTACCTTTTAGTCCAACCATAGATCATTCTACTTGTTTCTTGATTAAAATGCTCACTTCCTGTCTCCACCTCAGCTGAAACTGGCCTCTCCACCTGAAATGTACCATCTGTTGAGCCTGATGGATCTTTTAGGTGTCTCTCAAATGCTCCCTCCTGCGTAAAACTGTCCCGATGCATCCCACAGGTGCCATCCGTGATGCTCTCACCCCTAGGTTCCCAGCACACGCTGTACTTGCATGAGGATGTGACCCCTGGTCACACTCTTTTTCATCTTAAGCATGTCCATGTGAACTCCCCATTAAATTACACATTCTTGCAGCGGAGCAGCTGAATTCTATGAATGTCTGAGTTCACTACATTGCCTGGTGTGTCACCCTACGTATCAGATACACTCTCACTTACGCTGGTATATTTGCATGAACAAAATTGTGCTTCTGTTTACAGCTGTTTCTAATATATTTGTTTAATTAGCATTAAATAGGTTTTGCCTCTCTTACAGATTTTGGAGAAATGAAAACGTTTTTTTGCTTTTTAAAAAGTATGTCAATCTACACAACTATAATCAAATGATTTTTGAGCAATGTGCAAAGGCAATTAGAGAAAGGATAGTCTTTCTAACAAATGGTGCTAGAATAATTGGACAGCAATATGCAAAGATATAATCTAGATGTGGACATTACAACTTTCACAAGAATTAAGTAAATCATAGACCTATGTATGTAATGTAAATCACAAAACTATAAAACTCCTAGATGATAACATAGGAAATAATCTAGGTGGCTTTGGGGATAACTTTGATACAACAACAAAAGAATGTTCCCTTAAGGAAAAAATAGATGTGTAGGATTTCATTAAAATTAAAAACCTTCTTCCGAGAAAGATGCTGTTAAGGCAATGAAAGACAAGTAACAGACTGAAAAATATTTGGAAAATACACACTAAGAAAGACTGTATCAAAAATTTACAAAGAACACTTAAAACTAAACAATATGAAAATCCAATTTTTAAAATAAGCAAAAGATCTGAAGAGACACTTCACCAAAGAAGATAGGCTAATAAGCATATGAAAAGATATCACCTGTCATTGGGGAATTACAAATTAAAACAGGCCAGGCGTGGTGGCTCACGCCTGTAATCCCAGCACTTTGGGAGGCCGAGGCAGGCGGATCACGAGGTCATGAGGTCAGGAGATCGAGACCATCCTGGCTAACACAGTGAAACCCCGTCTCTACTAAAAATACAAAAAAAAAATTAGCTGGGCGTGGTGGTGGGCACCTGTAGTTCCAGCTACTGGGGAGGCTGAGGCAGGAGAATGGCGTGAACCTGGGAGGCGGAGCTTGCAGTGAGCCAAGGTTGCGCCACTGCACTCCGGCCTGGGTGACAGAGCGAGACTCTGTCTCAAAAAAAAAGAAAAAAAATTAAAACGATAATGAAGTACCACTACATACTTATTAGAATGCTTAAAATCCAGAAAATTGACAATATCAAATGCTAGCAAAAATGTGGAGCAACAAGAACTCTCACCCAGAATTGGCAGGAATGCAAAATGGTGCAGTCAATTTGGAAGACAGTTTCTTAAAAGCTGAACACAGTCTTAACACATGATCCAGCGACTGCCCGCTGAGGTATTTTCCCATTTAGGCAAAAACTTACGTCCACACAAAAATCTGCACATCAATGTTTATAGGATCTTTGTTCGTAACTGCCAAAAACTGGAAGCAATCAAGACATCCTTCAACAGGTGAATGGACAAAGAAACTACGGTATATCCATACAATGAAATATTATTCAAAAGCTATCAAGCCACAAAAAGATGCGGAGGAACCTCAAGTGCATACATAGTGCTAGGTGAAAGATGTCAGTCTGAAATGGCTATATACTATTTGACTCCAATTATATGACATCCAGAAAGAGACAAAACTTCAGAGACAGTAGAACAATCAGTGGTTGCCAGGGGTCGGGGGAAGGATGAAGAACTAAAGCACAGAGGAATTTTAGGGAAGTGACACTATTCTGTGTGATACTGTAATGGTGGATACATGACATCATGCATTTGTCAAAACTCGCGGAACTTTAGAGCACTAGAATAAACCTTTGGGGAAACCAAGAAATAATGTAGATTGTCACAAGAGAATCTAAATGAATCGACCTCACTAAACAGGGTGAGGGAAAAGACGCTGACTTAAATAACGCTGGAAACATATAGAGTCTATAAGACTAAAAGCATAAAGAACTGCATTTCAGCTCTGTACTATAGTTGATAAAGTTGTTTTCCCCAGGGGTATGGAGTCACAACTCTGGATACTACTGTACATGTACACTGGAATTAAACAAAAAAATGAATGGCAGATGATGGGAGCCAGGTTTCTTACTGTTGGAGCGAGAATTTTGCAAGAAAACCTAAACAAAACCCATTCTGTCCAACTGGATTTGATTTACTGTCATGAAAACAGCACAGAAAATCTCAGGGTCCTGACACTAGTTCAAATATGACTCTAAAGGAAGCCAGCATAAGGTCCAAGTAGCCCTCACAATGTGTTTCTAGAGAACATGCCCAAAACGCAGCTCGATACCCAGTTATTTTTTTTTAATGACTCACATGACACGACTGGAATGTGTTTCTATGGGGGTTCCACTGCAAGACGTCATGAAGTAACTCTTCAGTATAGTGTTTAATGAGGAGGGATGCAAAAGAAATTGGGAGATTACAGCCATCTCTTTTTCCCCACTAACTAATTTGTTGTTGTTAAATGAAAAAATAATACACGCAAAGGATCTGGGTGTATATATGCATATATAATACATACACATACATACATATACAAAAAAGCATCTGCCATAAAAACCCCACAGCTCTCCTGAGGAAGACCATTCGTACTAGTTTCCTGTGTCTCCTTCAGGCACAGTCAATGCATGTATAAACACAGTATGCATGTGTGTGTATATGCACGCTCACGTGTGTGCAGATAAATACACGCACTGCTTTTTTAAAAATGCAAATAAAAGTGTTCCACATTTTGCTTCTCTTACCTAACAGAATCTTAGAGACAGTTAACCTGTCAGGATATACAGTTCTCTCACCTTCTTCTTCTTTTTTTTTTTTTTTTTTTTTTTTTTGAGACAGAGTCTTCCTCTGTCATCCAGGCTGGAGTGCAGCGGCATGATCTCAGCTCACTGCAACCTCAGCCTCCCGGGTTCAAGCGATTCTCCTGCCTTAGTCTCCTGAGTAGCTAGGATTACAGACATGCATCACCATGCCTAGCTAATTTTGCTAATTTTTGTATTTCTAGTAGAGACGGGGTTTCACCATGTTGGCCAGGCTGGTTTCGAACTCCTGACCTTGTGATCTGCCTGCCTCGCCCTCCCAAAATGCTGGGATTATAGGGGCGAGCCACTGTGCCCAGCCAAAATACTACATCTTAAATTGAAAATCGAGTAATAAAAATAGCAACTACCCAGCCCTTGAACAGGAGCTATGTTTCTACCATTGAACTGAGCACTTTACATGTGCCCACTTAATCTTTACAACTACTCTATGAATTAAATCAGTCCATGATGATAAAATTAAGTGTGTGATATACATTTTTAAAAAAGCAATCGTGTGGGAAATGCTCTCAGCTAATATTTCCACAACACTCTACAATTTCCAAAGTACTTTACCTACAATTTGCTCTATCACCCTGTGAGGTGGGTAGGGCAGCCATTAATTAGCATTTTCATTAAATAGGGTCAAAGAATGTTGTGTGACCTGAGTCATATCATACAGCAATTACCAGGCCAGAGAAGCAACAGGTACCCCCTTTTTTTTTTTTTTTTGTGAGGCGGAGTCTAGCTCTGTCACCCATGCTGGAGTGCAGTGGCGTGATCTTGGCTCACTGCAGCCTCCACTTCCTGGGTTCAAGCGAATCTCCTGCCTCAGCCTCCCAAGTAGCTAGGATTATAGGCGCACGCTGCCACGCCAGGCTAATTTTTGTATTTTCAGTAGAGACAGATGACCATGTTGGCCAGGCTGGTCTCAAACTTCTGACCTCAAGGTGATCCACCCGCCTCAGCCTCCCAAAGTGCTGGGATTACAGGTGTAAGCCACCGTGCCCAGCCCACTCAAGTCTTTTAACATTAAATCCTTGCAGATCATGCCAGATCTCCCCTAGAGTGCAGTAGCACATCTGCTGACTGACAAGTTTACGTCCAAAGTGATACCATATTAGTGGCCACTATGGTCATCTGTGGACGATCATCAAGTCAGCATGGTTCCATTCTGGCACATAGGTTGGTTTGTATGTATGGATCTCTATGGTGGTGGTGGTGATGGTGGTAACAGCAGTACTAACACCACTAGTAGTAACAGTACAAGTAGTACTTCCAGCAGCAACATTAGTGGCAGAGGAATAACAAAAGCTATCATGTACCAAGGGCTTACTGTGTCAGCTTTCATTTAATTTTAGCAACTCTATGAGGTAGATATTATTGTCATCCCCATTCTACAGATGCATAACCTGAAGTGCAGGGTGGTTAATTAACTGTCTAGGGTCACAAGGCTCATGCTTAATTAACACAGCTGAGCTTCAAATCCAGGCATCGTGACAGCCAAGCCAGCACTAAGCACCACTAGCTATGCGGCTCTTCCTGAAAGGTGCAAATTCAGGAAAGGGGGAGTTCCTGTAGTTCCAACGTATTCATTATTTAACAATGGAGTATACTTCCTGGTACATATTTCCTGAATATTTCTGAATGAAATTTATCACAATAGCTATCTTGGTAGCAGCCCAAAATAGAAATCAACTTCTGAGCATTAAAACCCACGAGATGATACATTTAGTTAGAGTGAGGGCTTGTAAACCACAGCCTGCCAGCCATATCCGGCCTGCCACCTGTTCTTGTAAATAAAGTTTTATTGGAACACAGCCACACATTGTCTGTGACCACTTCCACAATACAATAGCAAAGCCTAAAATACTTACTATCTTGCCAGTTACAGAAGTTTACTAATCTCTTGAGTTAGAGAATAAAAGCTAGACAAACAGGGTGCTCAACTGGTGCAAATTGAGTTGTGCTCTAGAGATAATTACACACCAGATTTCAAAAACTTAGTATGAAAAAATAAAGTATCTCATTAATCATTTTGAAATTTATTACATGTTGAAAGGATAACATTTTGGATATAGTAAAAAAAATATGTTGTTAAAACTGCTTTCACAAAAAAAACAATTTTTTTTTACACTTCTAAATGTGGCTACTAGAAAACCTAAATTAGACATGGTGCTCACATTCTATTCCTATTGAACAGTGTTATTCTAAAAAGTTAGGGCTTCTGGTTTATAAGGACTTGGAGAGTAAAACAACAAGGCTTAAAATTCTAATTTGATTACAATTTTGTTTGATACCTGCAGCATGTTTTGTATAAATACACTGTCAGACTATTTTGATATAAGGCTTGCATGTTTAGAGACTAACACATATTCCTTTTCATAACATTACCCATTTTTCAAAGATAAAAAACAATGCTCATGCAAATACTGTGAAATAAAGGCCCCATGAAGGGTTCTCACGAGGCTAATGACTCTGAACAAATAAATCAAACACGAAGAATTTCCATTAACATCAAATAAAGTGTCAAATAATCTTTCAAGATCAAGACAATGATTCTCAAACAACATATAACTAACTACTTTCCCTAACAAATTTATATTTAGTTTTCAGGGATCCCCCAAAAGATTCCTAGGACATTAACTTTGATTTTTGTTTTTTAAAACAAACTGTTGAAGCCAGCATCTTCCTTGCCTATGGGGATGCTGAAACAGAGCCAGCGCTGAGGACAGAGCTGTAATAAAGCTGGATTAAACAAGATAAAACTGGGGCACATACACTCCGATCCTTCCCCCCAGCCCAAAAAAAAAAAAAAAAAAACTAGCAAAGAAATGCCTGGAAAAGCTATGCCTAACAGCTCTCCAGTGTTTAGTACAAGCCCTTTCTCTTTAATTATGTCCATGGGACATTCACTCATTTGAATCTTGGCTGCCTCTGTGCCTGGTCACATACTTGTTTCCAAAACACACAAGTGGCCTGAAAATCACGTGTTGAGCGTGTGATTGAATGCTTCCTTGAGCTCTAGGAACATAGGCCGCCCTCCGCCATGGCTTCTTCCTTCCATTCTGGTTTCTGCCTCCTGGCTTCCTGCCTTTCACAGCCCTGCACCTGCCGCTCCAACTTCCTCTCTCTCAATGGCCCTGCGTGTGCATGGACTACTGCACACGGCCAGGGTCGCTTGTCTCCTCTCCTGCACACTGGACAGATTTCTCAACTCTGCCTCCTTCTGCGGGCTGCCCTCTGGGGAAACCCTGTAGGCAGATCCCAAACTTCAGGCCACACACCAGCTTGCACACCAACTCCTTGGGGATGAGGTACCTGGGGACTTTCTTTTGGCTCCCACCCCTCCAGCTCTTTGGGAAGATAGAAAGCAGAACTGCCTTTTGCTGCAAAAAGGGAACCCCTGGATCGCCAAAACTAGAGCTTTTTAATTTTCAACACTGAAAAAAAAAAAAGCTACATATAGTCTCCTTCCTGAATTAAAAGTTAAACGGCATATAATGACACCTAATATTTAAATATGAATTACCATGTACCAAGGCTTTCCATGAGTCTAATTGAATATCCAAGAGCCAGTGGGCAAGACAAGACTATTATTCCATTATATACCTGGAGACCCTGATCCAAGTGGAGTGGCTTGCTCAAGGTCACACGACTACTGTGCACTAGGACCTGTGTCTAGTTCTGTGCCCTTCGTCCTCGTGGGAAAACCAGAAGAGCGTGACTCCAAGTGTGGCCTGGGACGGCTGCCTGTCCATGGCAAGATGGCCACCAAAGGTGAGAATAAGCATTTAGGAACTCTTACAGCGATCTGATGTGGCTGCATCGTTTTTACTGTATTTTTTTACTGTATTTTTCTTTTCTTTTCTTTTAAGCAGCAGCAAGAAGGGGACCCTTTTCTTTTCTTTTAAGCACAGCGTGGAAGGGGACCCGAGTGGGTTGCCGATTTTTACTGTATTTTTCAAATGCACCAGTCCTCAATGAATTGGCAATGAAAAACAAAACACTGCTCTTTTGACTCTTTGAGATGCATTGTTCTAGAAGGTACTAAGGTCAATTTTGAGTTAAAGCTCCTAAGATATTTATTTGTATTGGTGTATATAAAAATCCACTGTTATTACAATATTATTCTGTAATTTTGCATGACGTACTAAACTTTCTCTTCCTATAGTTTAACATCAAGTCAGACTCAATGGATAAGAAAGTGTCCTTATTTAAATTCTTCTTCAAAACTACCACAAGTCTAAAACGTGGATTCAGAAAATCTGATATTACATCTATTAAAAGTTACCTAAATTGTACAACGATAAAATCCAAATATTTTTGTATTTCTCTCTACCTTCACCCCTTCCACTCTTCATCTAAAGTTGTATTTTCTATTTTTTTTTTTTTTTTGAGACGGAGTCTCACTGTGTCACCCAGGCTGGAGTGCAGTGGCGCGATCTTGGCTCACTGCAAGTTCTGCCTCCCGGGTTCACACCATTCTCCTGCCTCAGCCTCCCGGGTAGCTGGGACTACAGGCACCACACCCGGCTAATTTTTTGTATTTTTAGTAGAGATGGGGTTTCACCGTGTTAGCCAGAATGGTCTCGATCTCCTGACCTTGTGATCCACCCGCCTCGGCCTCCCAAAGTGCTGGGATCACAGGCGTGAGCCACCGCACCCAGCCTAAAGTTTTATTTTCTAGTGTGGCCCAACAGCAACGCTTTGCTAAAAGAACTCCAACTGTACCCCAGCCAACCCTACGAACTCATCCACTCACTTTCTCAGCTTCCTGTGGAGTGAGGCTCAGCAACCAGGCCCAGTCCTGGCCAAAGAACCAAGCAGAGAAACGAGGAAGATGTCACGCAAAACTACTGAGGGGCTCCTGGGGAAGATTTTCCTTCCTAATTAAAGGAAGAGGGGCACCGAGGGGAGTCTCTTTGGTCCCAACCCTGATTCTTTCCAGGATTAATGTTTACTCTAAGAGGGTGAGGTCTTTATTTGCTTTACTCAGAGATGTATCACAATGGCATAACAGATGCTCATTGAAAAAAATGGAATGACAATGTTTTGTGAGGAGGTGATGGCTGTAGCTATGGCAACCATTTTGTAACCTTGAGGAAGGACCAAGAGAACTACAGGCACATGGATCCAAGTCCTGACCCTGTGGAGCCTCTAAACAAACGCTTCTTATTAAATGTGGGGTTTTTACATATTAACCGTGTAGGTCATTATTGGCAGAATTACTCTGTCTTAGTGCTGAAAAGTTGGACTCTGCCTGGAGAGAGAGAAGGGTATGTGACATACCGGTACAGTCTGTTGGTAGATGGAAGAGGTGCTGTGGTGGAAGGGAAGGATTATCCCTGGGAAGGAGGGAGGCTTATGGGGAAGGGGCTTAGTCCTCAGTGGATTAAGGTGCATGGAGATATTGCAAGGCTTGTATATAGTTTAAAACTCTTCAGTGGTTAACACTGTGAGCCTCAAAAATAACCAGAAGACAAATCAGTATGGAGCAGAGGTCAACAGGGGCAGCATCAGCTGGTACGGGATGCCAAAACCAGAGGGACATCACGGGGCAGTGTCAAGTTCAAGCCCAGCCAGAGAAGCCAGAAACAAAGACAGAATACAGAGACCCAGGTTCCCTGGCCCCTGTGAGAATTACTAGGTGGGGGCCACATCTGAAGCAGCTAAATGCCTAGACAACCTGAGATGGGAGAGACTTAGGAACTCAAATATATTCAAAATATAGAGAGGATCTGACAAAGGCAGAAAGACAGGGATGCAGCACGCTGCGGAGGATGGAAGGTGGGGTGGCTGATGTTAGATGCTCTCAGTCCTTTGATGAATTACAAGGTGAGGTCGTGGGCTGTCATGGGAAGGTTGAAATCAGGTTCAGGGATGTGGGAAGGTATGGGGGGAGTTGGTGAAGAGCAGGGAGGCCACCTCCAAGGCTGGCACAAGTATGTACTAGCATTGATCAAAACACACTTTTTTTTTTTTTTTTTTGGAGACTGAGTCTCGCTCTGTCGCCCAGGCTGGAGTGCAGTGGCACGATCTTGGCTCACTGCAACCTCCACCCCCTGGGTTCAAGCAATTCTCTGCCACAGCCTCCTGAGTAGCTGGGATTACAGGTGCCCGCCACCATACCTGGCTAATTTTTGTATTTTTAGTAGAGATGGGAGTTCACCATCTTGGCCAGGCTGGTCTTGAACTCCTGACCTCATGAGCCACCCACCTCAGCCTCCCAAAGTGCTGGGATTACAGGCATGAGCCACCACGCCCAGTTTTGTTTTGTTTTGTTTTTAAGATGGAGTCTCACTCTTGTCACCCAGGCAGGAGTGCAGTCATGAGATCTCGGCTCACTGCAACCTCTGCCTCCCAGGTTCAAGCGATTCTCCTGCCTCAGCCTCCTGAGTGAGTAGTTAGGACTACAGGTGTGTGCCACCATGCCTGGCTAATTTTTTGTATTTTGAGTAAGAACAGGGTTTCACCATGTTGGCCAGGCTGGTCTCTAACTCCTGACCTCAAGCAATTCGCCCACCTTGGCCTCCCAAAGTGCTGGGATTACAGGCGTGAGCCACCACGCCAGGCCAAAACATGCTTCTTGATATTGTCCAGCAACCCTGTGGAATTGGAGACAGAGAGGAAAGCGTGGACATTACCCAAGACAAGGCTGGCAATCTGGACAGCGTGGAGGGCATGAAGCCCCAGGAGGTGACGGAGGCCACCAGCTTGGGATAGGGCGGCTCCCCATCTCCTGCCTGGCCTGGGAGTGTTGTCACGTGCTGTGTTCACTCTGGGATCATTCACGGCTGGACACATGACTTGAGAACTCATTTTTTAGTATGCATGCTATGCTGCCATCAGAAAAAAATGGAAGGCTGAGTGATAAACCAAGCAAGGAAAGAAAATGAGGAAATTCTGAAGGGGGTTCATGGAGATACCAAGAGCAAGGAGGGACTGAGGGGGTCTGTGTGAGGAATAGGAGCAGGTCCGTGCTCTCCTGGAAGGGTGAGAGATAAAGCTGAAGGGGAACATTTCATATTTTGAGTAGATCATATAAACTTAAAATTAGGGGTTTAATAATTCAACATATAAGAAAATGGATACTGCAAATCAATTAAAGTATGCTGAAAGAGACTTTCAGAAAAACCCAAAGAAACAAAGGAAGGAAGGAGGGCAGGAGGGAAGGAAGGAGGGATGGAGAGAGGGACTACAGATTTGTTCCAAATCAGACCCAAAGCCCTGGTGAAGACAACAGAAGGTTCAACCCTTTGCACAAATCCCATCTGGAAATCCTCACAGGGTAGCCTCCCCCTTGGGTATAATCTGTTGCCCTTTTATCTAGTGAACCTAACGAAACCTTTTTATCTGGCTAAACTAAACCTCCATCTCACTCTATTCATCTGTGTTCTATTTCTACTTCTCTGTCCACCATATTGAACAGGTCATCAGCTCCTTTATTCAGACGTGTTCTGAAAAATCATGCTGAGAAATACAAATTAGGAGGGCAGCTGTCTCTCTTTGTAGATGTTGCCAAGGAGGCCCAAATCGGTCATTAAAATGCTAAAATAGCTGTGAAACTCACTAAAGCACTTACACGATCACTAAGGTTATGTCCACGCAGTGAGGACTGAGCAAGAAAAAGAAGGGAGGAGATGAGGAGGGAAATAAGAGGAAAATGCATCCAGCAGCCACAAGTTCCTCAATATCCAAAGCCGGGAAAGTGGTCAAACTGAGATTTGGAATGCTTGGCTGAATATTTTTTATAATGCTGCATTAACGGTATTGTAAGAGCTGAGCGCGGTGGCTCATGCCTGTAATCCTAGCACTTTGGGAGGCCGAGGTGCGCAGATCACTTGAGGTCAGGAGTTTGGGACCAGCCTGGCCAACATGGCAAAACCCCATCTCTACTAAAAGTACAAAAATTAGCCAGGCATGGTAGCGGGTGCCTGTAATCCCAGCTACTCAGGAGGCTGAGGCAGGAGAATCACTTGAACCCGGGAAGTGGAGGTTGCAGTGAGCTGAGATCGTGCCATTGCACTCCAGCCTGGGTGACAGAGCAAGACGCCATCTCAGAAAAAACAAAACAAACAAACAACAACAACAACAAAAATACACACACTCAGAAAAATCTGAGCTAAACATCCAGTCACCAAACAGATGCCAAATATTAAAAAGACCACAAGGTCATCAGATTTATATTAGTGGAGTGCTGGAAGGGGCTTGAGAAATCACCCCACCCCATCATCCCATTTCTACAGGAAGAAACTGAGATCAAGTCAGCCCTTTTCATTTCATTAAAAACATAGCTAAGAAAAGAGTTACTTCTTTGATAATAGATATAGCTGATTTATAAATATTCATGAATATATACTGAGATACCAGAAGAAAAAAAAAGTCACATGGAGAATTTTCCTTGAAAATTGCTCAGTGCCGTCTGCTCTGAGATAAATGGTAATTTATTGGCAAGTCCTCGGTAAATTCTGCTTTCCAGAAGGAAGGAAGGCCTGGTGGGAAGAGGGTATTGGTGAGCTGCGCATCCTAGGAGTCCTTTTCTTGCTTATTCATGTATTAAAGTGGTTGCCTGAAAGTCATAATGGGAAATTAGCCAGCCTTAGATCACAGCCAATATCTGTTAAGTATAAATTAGAAACACCACAAAATATCCCATTGAGCAGTTGGGAGTTGCTAGGAAACGGGAGGTCAGGCAGCACTCAAAGGCCAGGTTATTCCCATCCCCGGGCCTCTTCAGGACTCTCCAGGCTGGACTCTGGGCAGGGGGCGCCACGAGTTGACGGCTCGGCATCGCAGCATCCACGTCCAGGCAGGGAGTCCAGGCTTCTGAGCTGGGTGACTCGAACTGCTTAATTGTTAAGTGCCTCCCTCCTGCTACCAGCAGGAAAGGGTCCAATGTGTGACATGCCAGGCTGGCTTCAGGGGCAGCCTGACGCTTTCTCTAAGATAGGAGTGCCTGAGAATTCGTATGAAAGAGTTTTAAGTTGAAGACTCTTCCACAGATTAAGCACAATGTTAAAAATAAAAGGGATGCAAAAAAAAAAAGAAAGAAAGAAAACAAAGGAGTATATGCTCCTAAATCCAAGAAGCAGCAGACAGAAGGCTATTCATGAGTGACAGCTTTCTCCTCACCTGTCCTTATTAACACATTTCATCCACTTCCTTCAGCGATCCAATTTGCTTTACTTAACATCTACCACATCTTTCGACTTAAAAGAACAGCTTTCAGGGTTCTGATCATATTGCTTCCATGAATTTGATATTCCCCACGCCTACCCCAAAATGAACGTACGTCCTTCACAAATTCTACCTGGCAATGTGCTGCTGAGTTCAGTCAACGGTGCCCACGTTCAAATGACAGATCACGAGAAGAAACGAACACACCTGTTTTTTGCTGGGAGAGCCACACAGTGAACACCAGAGTTCTCTACCAAGACTCCCGATGTCAGGCCGGGCATGGTGGCTCATGCCTATAAATTCAGCACTTTGGGAGGCCAAGGTGGGCGGATCAACTGAGGTCAGGAGTTCGAGACCAGCCTGGCCAACATGGTGAAACCCCGTCTCTACTAAAAATACAAAAATTAGCCGGACGTGGTGGCGCACACCTGTAATCCCAGCTACTTGGGAGGCTAAGGCAGGAGAATCACTTGAACCCGGGAGGCGGAGGTTGCAGTAAGCTGAGACTGCGCCATTGCACTCCAGCCTGGGTGACAAGCACGAAACTCTGTCTCAAAAAAAAAAAAAAGACTCCAATGCCACTTCTTTCCATAATGATGACTATGACTGCTGTTTATCAGCCACCACGGCCATCAGTGGTGTCTCCGTCCGTGCCAGAGTCTGAGCCAGGAGTTTTACAGACTTGCTCACAGTTCCTCTTTGTACCTACCCTACAAAGGGTGGCTTCTGTACTCCCTTCCCTGATGGGAGAACAGAAAACTAAAGTGACAAACCAATGACCTGTGGCTGGTAAAAGGCAGGCCGGATCAGTGTTAAAACCTCATTTGGTCCACCATGATGTGTGGCCTCCCAGGACAGCCTCATCCATCATTTTACTCCAGAAATGTTGAAAGAGTAACTTGCTTTATCATCTTGTTCGCCATAAATTGTCTAAAGGAGAGGTTGCTTTTATTCACTGAGCAAACAGCAACAAATCAACTTGTTCCTTGAGAGGAAAACCTTATGCTGTTAGCCCTGGAATAGGTAGAAAAACGCCCAGGTTAATGAATTGCTATAGAGTCATCAGGCTAATGGAGAGAGCTGTAGGGCAGAGTCTAAATGCTGTGATTTACACGAGAAAACCGTGGGACCAGGCCACGGTGGTGAATGTTGTTTAAAAATGCTACCATGAGGCCAGGTGCAGTGGCTAACACCTGTAATTCCAGTAATTTGGAAAGCTGAGGCAGAAGGATTGCTTGAGCCCAGGAGTTCGAGATCAGCCTGGGCAATATAGGGAGACCCCATTTCCACCAAAAATAAACAAAATTAGCTGGGTATGGTAGTGCATACTTGTGGTCCCAGCTACATGGGAGGACTGTTTGAGCCCAGGAGGTCAAGGCTGCAGTGAGCCGAGATCCCACCGCCACACTCTAGCCTAGGCGACAGAGCCTCGGGAAAAAAAAAAAAAAAAAACCCAAACCCAGAAAATGCTATTATGACACATTACACACTGGCAGACACTCTAAAAAATCCTCCCTGTCTGTCTCCGCATTCAACTCCAACAATATCTTGGCATCATGAACTATGATCTGAGGCTGGTCTGTGACACAGTAACAGAAACAGAAAAAACTCAGACATGAGCTGCTCATCTCTTCACTCTTTCCTACATTTTTGCACCCAACCCTCACTAGAGCTAAATCTCAACTGAAGAGTCTCTACTCATCCACACCCGCAGATCAGGGCCCCTTTCCAGGTACTGCTGCTAGTTTCTACTCTCCACAGCACCGAATAAAGCACAATCTATGTCTCAGATACGCGACTACACATTTACCAAAACGACCAGGACAAAGAACAAAAAAAGCCTTTGCATCCAGGCCAGTTGCTATAGAGTCTTTGAATATTCCCAACCTGCCTTCTCTATCATCTAACTACTTTGTAGCGACAGGCTGGAACAAGAAGAATGGATGTGCTGTGAGCAGGCAAGGTGAGAAGTGGAGAACAAGCGGCGATTGTACTGTAGTTAATTATTTTAATTGAGCATGAGAAGGGAAAGGCTTGAACTCTAAGGACGTTGGCAGAGCCCCAGAGTTTATGTAAACCAGGAAATGCCTCTAGCACGCCCCAGATAGCAGGAGCAACTGAATAGAAGTGGCCCATCTGCTGATGCAACAGCGCTGCAAACAATGGCTGCTCTGAGAGAGGGTCAGTTCCACAGAGTTTTCAGAGGTTGTACACCTCTTTGTTCCTGCATGCTCACAGGCTGTGTTAGAAGCCTGGAAATCCCAGTCAAATGATGTCACGACCAGGTCCAACCTGCCCTTCCACTTCTGCACAGGACCTTATTTCCCTAATTCGCAAGGTACCTCTGATTAAAAGCCTCTAAGAGCTGCAACTCTGTACACTTGTAGTCCAATGTAAACTGACTAGCTCAAGCTTTACTGAAAGCAATGCCATGCAGTCAGTGAATCAAATGCATAGGCCAACGTTTCAGTCAATACCAGAAAAAGAAAAGAAGAAAAAGAATGTGGTAGGCTAATTTTCCTTCTGCAATTCCTCAAACCACAATTAGCATAGTAACAATGCCTTATGTTTGGCCTTCATAATCCAGCGGGATTTGTTTTGGCTCAGCAAAGGGGATTTGTTTTAGCTCAGCAAAATTTGTCGTAGACCCCTACTTATGTGTTATAATAACCATATTTAAACTTCTGTGGTCCCGTAAGAAAACACGACCAAAGTATGCCTACGAGATTTCATATTCAAATCATGGTCTTTTGCCAAACGGCTAAAAGCTGAAATCTCAGTTATTCAAACTTATTATGCATACTCTTACTTAATATTCTTATTTATCTGAAGAGTTCTTTCTTAAAAAAATCACTAAATAGGGTCTAAAACATTGGTTTGCTAGTGAATTTTTCACCATCCTAAATGTGGAGGGTGAGGGGAAAAATGTTACTGTATCTTTAATAGGACCACTTTAATTTTGTAGAGGCAAACTTTGGGTATATTACAGAATTCCAAAGCCAAACAGTATTCCCTTTTAAGTGAAATACTGACAAATGAAGCATCTGGCACACTTTAATGAGCTGTTTTATCCTTTCAGAGTGGCTGAAACTAGGACAGCCATTCATCTGAGACAGTGGCTAGCACAGAGCAGTTACACAATGACACAGGACGCACTGATACTAAGCCCACCACCACCATTTCCCATCTCCTAACACGACTTACTAAAAAGGGAAACAAAATAGACATTTAACTGAATGACTAAGTACATCCAGAAAGTGTGAAACGATACACCATTTTCTATTTTAGTTGAATAGTAAAACACACAGTTAAAAGCAATAACAAATGCTATATAACAAGTTAACTTACATGTAGATGCCGTTTTTATTGACAGCAAATAAAAAATAAGAATAAAAACCAAGAAATCATCAGCATCGACAGCCCAGTGGTTTTCAAGAGGAGGTGGTTTTGCCCCCTGGGGGGCACCCGGGAAAGTCTGGAGACGTTGAGAGAGGAGAGTGTTACTAGCGTCTAGCAGGTAGATGCCAGCGCTGCTTTGAAGCCTCCTTCAAAGCTCAGGCTAGAGCCCAACAACAAAGAATAACCTGTCCAGCTCAAAATGCCAGTACTGCCGAGGCCAAGAACCCTGACTTATCCTGATACATAGGAAAAGGGTTAAGCAAGAATCATCTGTTTGAGATAGCTGACGCGGAAGGAAAAGGATGTGAAGTTTAATTATGGACACATTTCAGTTCAAAGTGCTAAACAGGTGAAGCAGAGTAGCACGGAACTAGAAAATCTAGAAAACTAGGAAAATCAAGTAAGTTACAAAATTAAGGGAGATGATGAGGCCAAAGCTTAGAGGAGGGTTTTGAGGTGGAAATACACAGGGGAGAGGTACTCACCTAGCCTGGAGCTGAAGGAGAGAAGCCAGTGTTTCTTTTGGAGCCCAGCGAGTGAGAAACTGGGGGCAGAACCCGAGGCCATGCCTACCTCCAGAGGAACCAGTCAAGAGGAGGAGGGGTGGTCAGAGAGGTGTCAGGAAGGAGGGGTGGTTAGCAGTGTCCCAGGCCTGGGAGCAGGGGTGGGGATTAAGAGGCAGGGCAGAGAGAAACTGTGCTGGCTGGGAAGCTTCCTGCAGAAGGGTAGCAAGTGCAGCCTTGATTGCCTGGCATTAGAAAGAAGAAAATAGTCACAGACTCTTTTTGGAAATGTTTAGCAGTGAGGAGAAGATTGCTCAAGGTGAGGGAGCCCAGTCAAGTTCCTATTCGCCCTCACTTCTCCCTTCTCAGCAGGTGTATGTGTATGTATATCTATATAATCATTCAGCTCCCAGGGGAGGCAAGACAAAGTTAAAAAAACAACAACAACAAAAAAAGAGGCCGAGCATGGTGACTCAGGGCTGTAATCCCAGAACTTTGGTATGTCAAGGCGGGTGGATCATGAGGTCAGGAGTTTGAAACCAGCCTGGCCAACATGGTGAAACCCTGTCTCTACTAAAAATGCAAAAATTAGCTGGGCGTGGTGGTGCACGCCTGTAATCCCAGCTACTCAGGAGGCTGAGGCAGGAGAATTGCATGAACCTAGGAGGCAGAGATTGCAGTGGGCCAGGTTTGCACCACTGCACTCCAGCCTGGGCAACAAAGGGAGACTCCATCTCAAAAAAAAAAAAAAAAAAAAAGTACACAACTGTTCTTCAGAAAAGGTTGCAACAATTTATACTCCCAGCAGCAGAATAGCAGAATCCATTAATGGCAGTTTCTTCAAATAGTCACAGAAACCAAGAAGTGTTATTAAAAAGCAACACAGAGCCAGGAGCAGTGGTGTGCCCCTATAGCCCCAGCTACTCCAGTGCCGAGGCAGGAGGATCTCTTGCAGCCAGGAGTTTGAGACTGTAGTGTGCTATGATTGTGCTTGTAAATAGCCCCTGCACTCCAGCCTGGGCAACATAATCATGTCCCAAAAAAAAAAAAAAAAAGCATAAAACCATTAAACCATTCAATCCTCACACTAGCAAAAGTATCTCATTTTAAACTTCATTTATTTGATTACACTATTGAGAACTTCAAGTAATTTTATATTTCACCTTTTGCAAATTTCTTGTTTCTGTTTTTTACTCGTTTTTCTACTAAAACATGTTCTTATTGATTTGTGAAGGCTCTTTATATATTAAAGCTATACATCCATTGTTATACACATTGGATATATATATCTTGTTTGCTGTTGGCTTTAATGAGGGCAGTTTGGCTATATATACATCAAAGTCATAACAACGTGCATATTCTGATTGGCAAATACACTTTCAAGAATTTACCTTAAGGAGAAAGTATTTGTGCACATGAAAAATACAGTACTATTATTTGCAACAACAAATAAACAATCCAGTAATAGAAATCTGACTTGAAAGTATAGCCACTGACAGAATTTTATAGTCATGAAAAAATGCGAAAGAATGTTTCAAGATTTATTAAGTTAAAAAAAAAAGTAGGTTACAAAATTAAGGTAAACTATGATCCCAATTTAAAGGGAAGAAAAGTATATACACAACAAATATAAAGAGGGTTGTCTCTGGCTGGTAAAATTATGGGTAACTAATTTTTAAAACATTTCACATATTTCCCTAATATTTTATAATCAGTAAGAATCGTCTTTATATTGAGGAGGGGTGAACGCAAACCCCAGCATCTAATGCGGTGGTGTTTTTATTATTGTCACTATTCTTTGTCGCATATTTTTGAGGGTCATAGAAAGAACTTGCCGGAGAAAAAAACAAGGAAAGTACCCCTAGGATGAAGAAGAACAGAGTGAAGTGCTGAAGAGCTAATGAAGCAGAGTGGACCATCTGCACAGATGAGAGAAGACCCAGGGGAGTTTCAGACCCTGATCTTGAGAACCGCAGTCCACCCCTAACCTCTGGTCTCCAGTCTCAAACCTGGCCCTTTGCTCCAGAGTCTTCTGAGGGAGTGACAGCTGGGAGGGAGGCTGATGGGGATTTGGGAATTGGTCCTTTGTAGCCGCTGGGGGAGCAAAGTGAGCTTTAGAACAAAGTCACTACCAGAAAGCACACATTGAGGGGGCTGCCCGTGAAAACGTTAATTCAGGGCGGCTAATGCTTAGAGGGGAAAAAAAAATATCTCAGTCTGCATGAGCTAGACGGACAGGGGTGGGAGTTGGGGGTGCAGGTAGGGGAGGGAAGGGATTTGCTCACAGTGGGAGCAGGAGTGCCATTCAGATTGGACATGATTCAGTAAGTTCATCAGGATAAGCCAAAGTAAAAATGCAGTGGTGGAAGCTGCAATTATGTACACCCCATTTTAGCAGCTGGCACCTCCCGGGAGGGAAGCCGACCGACTGGGGTCGCCTCTCTAATTGCACCACCTTCCCGTACATATCCTTCAGCCACCGAGGCATTCAGCAGAGAGAGGGAAGCACTTCTGTATTCCATCATTCCAGCCCTCTCGCAAGCAGCAATGCGGTTCCGGACCTGAGGACCCACATTTGTAAACTAAACAGAAGCGAGGTATGAGAAAACCAGTTTAACGTTGTAAGAGAGGTAGAAAATATGTGGCATTTTCCCATAGACAACTTACCTTTGCCTCTTTCTTATGAGGGTAATAAGTGTGTGTCAGATTAATTACTCTCTAAAATTGATGGCAAAAAAAAAAAAACCCAACATTCTCATACTTGGTTTTCGCTTAGCACCAGAAATCTTATCTACGCGACGAAAGCAGATTTAGCCTAGTAGCAGTCAGCCAAGTGCTTATTCATTTCTTTTAAATGTAACTCGATTTAATATGAAAGACCACTTTCACAATGAAAACACCTCCCTTCCAGGGCACATTTAGCAACTGAATAGACATCAACTGAACACCATTCCTCCATCGGGGGGAGGCAGAGATTAGCATTTCAGTCACTCTTTATTTTGTTCTTTCTTTGGGGACCTCTACTTCGGGGAGTAAAGGGAATCCCAACAGAATATGCCTCATCAGGTTTTTCCAGGCCGATTGCAAAATTCCAACATGTGTATGCTTGTGTGAAACAAGCACATGATATTCAACAGATGACCATTCAACTCCGATAACATCTCACATTTCCATACTTGCGTATGAACAGGTTTATAATGCGATTAAAAAAGAGATTATTCTTGTGCAGATTTCTTTAAAGGTTCCTATAAAGCACGAGGCAGGGAAAAGCTGGATGACTGCAGTGTATAAACTCTTAAAGAAAAATACTTTGGAAAAAATTCAAACAAAAGAAACCACCAATTTCCCCCTTCAACCTAATATTAAAAAAGAAGTTTTCCTATAAAAGGTGAATTCCATATGAAAATATATTGCATTATCAACGCCTTAACTGATCAGTGAATTGTGTCCTTCATTTTTACAAAAAAAAATTTGTAGTTCAAACTTGTACATGCAATCAAAATCAGCACTAACCCACTTGTAAACACTTCCGTGCCTGGAGAAACAGCAAAATCTGTTCCCCGTGTATGATCTCTGCAGTTTTACAATACCATCATCATGGCAAGTTACATGAAACTTTTAAGCAGAACAAGAAAGAGAAAAATCCCTACCTTGGGTTTTCTTTCACCCCTTCAGTTTCTGTCCACTGTAAATAGCTGCATCTTTAGCAGTCCGGGCAAGGGCATCTAAGCTGACAGACACAAAAATGGGCTTTCTTCGGCTGGCTGGTGTTCCCAGCCTTTTATGTGGTGCGTCTCGGGCTGTGCTGCTTAATTCATTCCTGATTCTACTCAAAGGAAGTCCAGCCTGGCGAGGCTGACGTGATAGGAACTGCTGAAGACACTTTTGACTGCAGGGGCAAACTAACCATCATGCACGCATCAACAAATGTGTAATTACATTTCAGGGCCCAAAGATTCTTGATTTTAAAAGCCAATCAATAATTTTTTTTTAAAAAAAGTCCCAGGACAAAATCAAGCAGTTTAGTTGTGATCTTGGAAAATCCACCCAGAGAACAAGAACAGCACTCTTTGCTGGTGCTGAGCTTCACTCGCTGCAATTTATCCTGATCTCTACAGAGCTCTGATGAATAGTTTCCATGACAACTTGGTAAACAGGATGGAAGTGACCACTGAGGGCTTTACTGGGATTGTTTTGTTTAGGGAGAAGAATGGTTGCTTTAAATGCTTCCTTTACTAAAATTTCCTCCAAAGGTAAAAAGGCAGCTTTTTACAGGTCTTCTATATGAAATGTTTTCAAAAGTCAAAGATGCTGGCAATGGGTGCTCCAGGTGCAGGAGACAGTCAAAACAACAGGGGACATGAGTGGCAATCAAAAACCAGAAGGGCCCGCATGGTGGCTCACGCCTATAATCCCAGCACTTCGGGAGGCCTAGGTGGGTGGATCATTTGAGGTCAGGAGTTCGAGACCAGCCTGGCCAACATGGTGAAATCTCATCAACACAAAAATTAGCCAGGCATGGTGGTGGGTGCCTCTAATTCCAGCTACTCGGGAGGCTGAGGCAGGAGAATTGCTTGAAAACAGGAAGCGGACATTGCAGTGGCTGAGATCACACCACTGCACTCCAGCCTGGGTGACACAGAGCAAGACTCGGTCTCAAAAAAAAAAAAATACATACATAAAAAGGCCAGGCGTGATGGCTCACGCCTGTAATCCCAGCACTTTGGGAGGCTGAAGCGGGTGGACTGCCTGAGGTCGGGAGTTCGAGACTAGCCTGGAGAGCATGGAGAAACCCCATCTCTACTAAAAATACAAAATTAGCCGGGCATGGTGGTGCATGCCTGTAATTCCAGCTACTTGAGATGCTGAAGCAGGAGAATCTCTTGAACCCGGGAGACGGAGGTTGCAGTGAGCAGATACTGTGTCACTGTACTCTAGCCTGGGCAACAAGAACAAAACTCCACCACAAAACAAAACACCAGGAAGGATTATGGAATGTCAACGAGGTGCTTTCCAGTAAGTACACAGAGGAAATGAGCCATTCCCAAAGACTAACCAAATGCACAGAGGAGTGAAAGGGGCTGACAACCTGGATAATTCTAAGAAGTCCTAACTCGCAAGTTGATGCTTCTGCCCTCTCTATCCTTCCATTAATCTTGTCCATATCATTCACCAGTTCTATAGTGAGCAACAGAAACTTCATTCTCAGCTGGACACGGTGGCTTACGTCTGTAATCCCAGCACTTTGGGAGGCCGAGGTGAGTGGATCACCTGAGGTCAGGAGCTTGAGACCACCCTGGCCAACATGATGAAATCCCATCTCTATTAAAAATACAAAAATCGGCCAGGCGTGGCAGTGCACACCTGTAGTCCCAGCTACTCGGGAGGCTGAGGCAGGAGAATTGCTTGAACTCGGGAGGCAGTGGTTGCAGTGAGCCGAGATTGCACCACTGCACTCTAGCCTGAGTGAAAGAGTGAGACTCCATTGCAAAAAAAAAAAGAAACTTCATTCTCAATGCTTCACCCTTTGACCAGGGAATCAGAAACCTCCCATTCTTATAGAAAATGACTTGGAAAAAAATGTTTGTTACATTATGAACTGATAATAAACATCTGGCATTTTGACACATGACAGTACTTATTTGTCAAAAGTCAAAGAACCATACAACACAGACAGTGGACTCCTAATATCAACTTTGGACTTTAATAATAATGTAGCAATACTGCTTTATTATAACAAATGTACCACATTAGTACAAGATATTAATGAAAGGGAAAATGGTGGTGGAGGGGGGCAGTGTGGAAACAGTCTGTAGTATATGCTCACATTTTCTGTAAATTTTTTAATGTTCTTTAAAAAAGTCTATTAATGTTAAAAATCAAGATAAAAATGTCCATCCCGTGACAATGCCAAAGACTAAAGGAAAAACTTTTTTAAGGCTCCTTATGACAATCTGTCAGAAGTGATTTAAAACTTAAGAGAGAAAAGGTCTTAAAACAGTTAGATTTTCCTGTGACTCAGCTTAAATTTGGGATTAAATTTGTTAGGACAAAATAAGTGGTAAAAATATAAACATATAATGTAAGTATGTGTTATTTTACATACACAATAACATGTAGCTGTATCATGTCCCCATGACCTCACTTAATACACATAACCACCCTCCCTCAGTAGGTACTGTCAATACACACACGTTAAACACAGGGAAAGGACGCCCGGCCACACAAGGTGTAGTGATGAGGCCTGGGCGAAACCTGGGTGCACACCTTTGATCTATTGTATCGGTGGCTTCATGGCTCCTCTGCACCTGGGTGGCTGTGCGATACCCTTCCCATGCCAACGGGATTATGGTGTATCATAATGTGCTAGACCCAGAGCACCCCGACACCCTGGGTCTCAGCAGGCGCGGCGCAGGGCTTCCTGTGCCCTTGGTGCAGGACATGAAGGACTGAGTCACCCAGGCCCTGCGGGTAACTAAGCAGGCTTGCAGAGGGAGCGGTGGCTGGGGCTGGGGAACAGGTGGGGTAGTGGTCAATGCAGCTGTGGGAAAACAGTCACAAAAGATGAAACAGAAAATAAAAACAAACAACATGAAAGCAAACACAGGCAGTAAAAAGGTAAGCAAAGCTCTAAAAAAAAAAAATCCTAATCGCCCACAAGAGCTTTGAGATGGTATTGCATAATGTGTTGATGTTTAAACAAAAATTCCGAGATAAAATTATGCTCAGAGGCTGTTTACTGGAGCAGGAAAATGTATTCTTATTAAGAGCTTAAAAATATTTGACACGCTCCTATGAACGAATATCTGACATTTTCACATTAATCTCAAATGGCCAGAAGAAGAGCAGCGAATGGAAGATGCAGAAATGCAGATTTCATTCATTACAATTAAGACCTTTCCCAGGCCGGGCGCGGTAGCTCACGCCGGTAATCCCAGCACTTTGGGAGGCAGAGGCGTGTGGATCACCTGAGGTCAGGAGTTTGAGACTATCCTGGCCAACATGGTGAAACCCCGTCTCTACTAAAAATACAAAAATTAGCTGGGAGTGGTGGCGGGTATCTGTAATCCCAGCTACTCTGGAGGCTGAGGCAAGAGAATTGCTTGAACCCGGGGGAGGTGGAGGTTGCAGTGAGCCAAGATCGTGCCACTGCACTCCAGCCTGGACCAAAAGCGAGACTCCATCTCAAAACAAAAATAAAAACCTTTCCCATGAACACTAAGGGCTTAAAAAACAAAAATTCAAAAGCAGACCAGGCACGGTGAGTCACATCTGTAATCCCAGCACTTTGGGAGGCCAAAGCAGGAGAATCGCTTGAGGCCAAAAGTTTGAGACCAGCCTGGGCAACACAGTAAGACCTCGTCTCTATGAAAAATTAAAAAATTAGCCAGGCCCAGTGGTGGTGTATGCCTGTACTCCCAGCTATTTGGGAGGCTGGGGCAGGAGATTGCTTGAGCCCAGGAGTTCAAGGCTTCTGCGAGTTATGATAGTGCCACTACGCTCCCGCCTGGGCAACAGAATAAGACCTTGTCTCTCAAAAATGAAAAAATTAAAATTAAAAAATTAAAAAAGCACCTGGCTACCTTTAAGTGTTAGGAAAGATTAAATTCTCTGTTTCTGAGGGTTCCTTAGGAAAAGGGAGGATGATCCCTTTATGTAACATTTAAAAGAGAGAACTAGATCATATTTCCTCAATTCTTAATGCATACATGCTCCCATGTGGACATGCTGAAACTGGGATGTGTCTCAGACATGCTGTTGTTCTAAGAAAGAGGTCCCCGTCCAGACCCCAAGAGAGGGTTCTTGGATCTCATGTAAGAAAGAATTTAGGGTGAGTCCATAGGGTAAAGTGAAAGCAAGTTTATTAAGAAAGTAAAGGAATAAAAGAATGGCTACTCCATAGACACAGCAGTCCCAAGGGCTGCTGGTTGTCCATTTTTATGTTTATTTCTTGATGATATGCTAAACAAGGGGTGCATTATTCATGCCTCCCCTTTTTAGACGATATAGGGTAACTTCCTGAGGCTGCCGTGGCATTTGTAAACTGTCACGGTGCTGATGCGAGTGTCACAGTGAGGACAACCAGAGGTCACTCTCGTGGCCATCTTGGTTTTGGTCAGTTTTGGCCACCTTCTTTACGGCAACCTGTTTTATCAGCAAGGTCTTTATGACCTGTATTTTGTGCTGACCTCCTATCTCATCCTGTGACTTAGAATGGCTGCGTCTGAGAATGCAGCCTAGTAGGTTTCAGCCTCATTTTCCCCAGCTCCTATTCAAGATGGAGTTGCTCTGGTTCAAACATCTCTGACACTACCACCCAAGCAGCCACCATGCTGCGACCAGTGCCTGGATGTGAGTGAATTTCATCATAATTTTTGTACTATCTTTGCAAATTATGGACACTACTGCCACTCCTCACATCAAGTCCAGCTGTCTTTTAAGCGGAGTTGAAATATCACACTACAGATTTACCAGTGAAACAGAAAGTTATTTTATCTGCAAAAAGGCCTGGAAACAGAAAAGCAAGGTGCCTATTTGTGGTGGATGAATGACCTCCATTTCATACTTTCTGCAAAGCAACGAGCAAGAGCTAAGCGATAAGAAATCATTGTGCTCTGCTGTAATCGGTGGTGCCTTTGCTTCCACAGTGACAGGAAACAAGGATGCATTTTACACTCTTGGAATTTAGATTCTGTGAAACATGGCAATAAATAATGTTTGGACAGAGTGAATAGTCTATAATTCCAGAAAGTTCCATCTCAATGTTAAAATCTAATGTTTAATTAACCTTTCAGTTTAAACCTTGTCATGTGGCAGACCCTCACACCCAGACTCCCTGCCCAATTGTGGCAGATAACAAAGGCCTGTGGGTGAATACCCATTTGGAGATGGGGATATTTGTATATGAAGCATCAGCCCTCAGATCAAGAAGTATTTGTGAATGAGCCCCTGGTGCTGTGCTTGGCTGTTCCTAAAGGGCCCTGAACCTGAGGTGGGGCTATGTCTAGAAGGGGTCAGCTGAGGGAGGTAGACAGGGCGAAGGAGCATGTCAGCATAAAAAGATTGATACACATTAAAGACACCACCCCAATACTGACCTACTGGCGATGCCCGGGTATCCTCCAGCTACACAAATCAAAGATGATCAGAAGAGAAAAGCATGCCAAAAATAAAATAAATCAACTAAAACAGAATCTATGGCAATAGTTACGTTTTTATCTTTCGCACAGTTGAGCACTCACACACCATGAGCAATTTCTACAATGTACCATGATGAGTAACTCAACGTTACTGAGCACCTATAAATAGTCTGGACCCTGAGGTGTGCAGCAGGGTGCAAAGGCTGAGACAGGCCCTGCAGAGCTGCACTTGGTCTTCTATATTCACTGAACACTTTATTCACAAACTAGCATTAGGGCAAAGAGACCAAAGTCAAAAGCTTAGTAAAGCTAAAGAGAAACCAGATGCATAAAAGAAGATAGAGGCTGGACGCGGTGGCTCACACCTGTAATCCCAGCACTTCGGGAGGCCGAGGCGGGTGGATCACGAGGTCAGGAGATTGAGACCAGTCTGGCTAACACAGAGAAACCCCCGTCTCTACTAAAAATACAAAAAATTAGCCGTGCGGGGTGGCAGGTGCCTGTAGTCCCAGCTACTTGGGAGGCTGAGGCAGGAGAATCACTTGAACCCTGGAGGCGGAGCTTGCAGTGAGCCGAGATCGTGCCACTGCACTCTAGACTGGGCGACAGAGCGAAACTCCGTCTCAAAAAAAAAAAAAAAAAAAAAAAAAAAAGAAAAAAAAAAAGATACAGGAAGAAAAAAAAAGAGAAAAAGATAGAGGAAGAATAACATGGGACCCAAAATTCAAGGCAAGAAATGTGTCACATTATCATCCGAACTTTTTAAAGAAATATTTTGTCTTTGTTTTTTTCTTTGAGACAGGTCTCACTGTGTTGCACAGGCCGAAGTGCACTGGTGCGATCTCGGCTCACTGCAGCCTTGACCTCCCAGGCTCGGATGATCCTCCCACCTCAGCCTCTCAGGTAGCCGGGACTACAGGTGTACACTACCACTCCTGGCTACTTTTTGTCTTTTTGAAGTTTTTTTTTCTGAGACAGAGTCTCACTCTCACCCAGGCGGGAGTGCAGTGGTGTGATCTCAGCTCACTGCAACCTACACCTCCTGGGTTCAAACAACTCTCGTGCCTCAGCCTCCCAAGTAGCTGGGGTTACAGGTGTACACCACCACGCCCAGCAAATTTTTGTTTTTTTGGTAGAGATGGGGTTTCACCACGTTGGCCAGGCTGGTCTCGAACTCCTGGCCTCAAGTGATCCGCGCCCCCCCGCCCCCCATCAGCCTCCCAAAGCGCTGGGATTACAGGTGTGAGCCATTGCTCCTGGTCAGGTCTGAAATAAAGAAAGGAAATGAAGAAAGGAAGAAAGAAAAGAAAAAGAGGGAGAGAGGGAGAGAGGGAGGGAGGGAGGGAGGGAGAAATAGCAGGCAGCACCTGGATTACATAAATATAAATCCCCGGGAGGAAATGTGCTAGATTCATTAAATTCATTCATCAAATTATTACACCTCTGGAAACAAAAGGCTCATGCTTCCATAATGTCTGCACAGAGCTCTCACTGCATGTGTGTGGTCATGAGTTGTCTAGGATGTTGTCAACCTGAGGGGCTGAGTCTGACCTAAGAAGGAAGCCCCGTGGAAGAGAGGAATACAGGTCATCAGGACTCATTTATGTGAAAGGAGCTGACATCCCCCCAAAGTCCTTTACAGAAGACCCCTGTGTGAGATGGTTTACACATCCTCATCTTCATCCTTGTGTCTCGGGGTAGAGACAGATGGGGCTCCAAGATCGACAGCCCACAAGGCTCACGTGACCTCCCTAACTCCACTCCACGTCTCCAGCTTCCTTCTCTCACTTGATATTCCATTTTCCAGCAAATTTGGCTGCATGGAAACTCTAGCCCTGCTGGTTTCCCTCCCCTGAGGCCTGGTCTTCAGCCTCCCCCAGCACAGGCATCTTTCCCTTCTTCCCTTCCGTAAACCTTACTCCATGCTGCACGCAGTGGCTCCCAGCACTTTGGGAGGCTGAGGCAGGTGGACCACTTGAGGTCAGGAGTTTGAGACCAGCCTGGCCAACATGGTGAAAAGCCATCTCTACTAAAAATACAAAAATCAGCTGGGCGTGGTTGCACATGCCTGTAATCTTCGCTACTTGGAAGGCTGAGGCAGGAGAATCGCTTGAACCCGGGAGGTGGAGGTTGCAGTGAACTGAGATTGCGCCACTGCACTCCAGCCTGGGTGACAGAGAGACTCCACCTCAAAAAAAAAAAAAAAAAAGATAAACCCTATCCCAAGAGGCTGCTTGTGCTAGAGGCCTTCTTCCACCAGAAACCAGTCCCAGAAACATTAGGTGATTAGGCCCCTGCCTTTCTGGAGAAGGCTGGACTGAATCTTTGAGGGTATTGTTCTGTCAAGTCAAAGATTTAAAGATGATGCTGCTGGAACCCATGACGTTTCCTTCCTAGAATCTGCATCCTGGACACAGCAAACCTAAAGACCAAACAGGGAGGAGAGCCAGCCAGACGTGTTCCAAGAGGCAGCCCAGGCTGAATCTGCAGGCAACTGCGGGCAACTGGTTCTCAAACCCCAGAAGGTGTTCCTGATGTGTATCAGTCTGTTCCCTTCTTTAATTCTGCCCTGAACCTCCTCGGGGCTTTTCTGAAGAATGTTAATGAGAGACTTTTCTGCCTGGAACTTACTTGCTAAAACACCAGGCAGGGACACCCTTGGGGAGGTTCTGATGAGGAAAAGCAGGTTTTCTATCTTAGAGAAATCTGTGGTTGGCTGGAGCACTTTTGGGTACCACCGCCACCGCCCAAGCAAATCACAATCAAAAAAGCTAGAAGTCCTCATTACCAACGAAAACTCGTGGAATGGAGAAGTCTACCCTTTGTGAACTCTGAAAACTCTAAGTTCAGAGGAGGGTAACATCCAAGGACAAGGCCCACTGCAGACTGGCGTCTCTCGGGAAGCAGGCTTTTCTAGGTGCTTCCTCGCTGAGCGCCAGTGAGGCTAGCAAACTGCCTTCTATACAATACCCAAGATTAGTAAAAGGCTGTTTATAGAAAAAGAAAAAAGCCCACATATTGTGACAGCCGAATTGACATATGCGTTCAGCATTTCAATTATACACTCCTCCTTTGCACCTGTTTTTCAAAACAATACATAGAAAACCCAAATTAAAAAAAAAAAAATTAACAACCCAAACAAAAGCTCACAAAGGATTTCTAGATTCTTCAACCCCAGATGCGCGTTCTGGGGTTCAAACACTTGGCAAGGAGGAGAGGCAGCCTGCCGTAGCAGCCAGGGCGGGTAAAGGGGGTGTGCTCCCACTAGCCCGGCGAGTGTGTGAGTCTTTATGCCTGAAGGCACAAAAGCAGCTACAGGTGTTTCTGTTGTTCCAATGCTACAGGTCTCTAGGTTATGGACTTTACAGCTGCCATTCTTATGTCTTTAAGATCATATAACACACACAAAAAGATACTTCTGACCAGGCTCAGTGGCTCACACATGTAATCCCAGCACTTTGGGAGGCCGAGGCAAGGAGATCACCTGAGGTCAAGAGTTTGAGACCAGCCTGACCAACATGGAGAAACCCCATCTCTACTAAAAATACAAAATTAGCAGGGCGTGGTGGTGCATGCCTGTAATCCCAGCTACTCAGGAGGCTGAGGCAGGAGAATCGCTTGAACTCGGGAGACGGAGGTTGTGGTGAGCTGAGATTGCACCATTGCACTCCAGCCTGGGTAACAAGAGCAAAACTCTGTCTCAAACAAACAAACAAACAAACAAAAAACTTCTATATTTTCTAAAACCCATGCTCCTTGCTTCTGAATAATACACAAAATACCTAAATACACACATATTTGAATACGATCTCCCAAGTCCTTCGGTGGACTGCGACTGGAGAGGAAAATGAGGTGAGGAGAAACCGTCTCATCCCTCCACGCTGAAAATACACATTCCCCATCTCTGGAGAGGAAGAAGGCAAGATTTTTCCTGCGAAATTTCTATAAGAATCTATCTTTGGATTAAAAAAAATATATAAGGAAGTCTAAATAAAGGTCATTTGCACACATTTCACAGAACATAATAGGTGGTGACAGTCCGATATTTCCAGTGGAACCAAATGAATGCTAATCGAGCCATAGCTATCTTGCCATAATCAAATTAGCATCTCCATCTACCATCACACCTGCATTTTAGGCCTCAGACAAGTCAGCTCTTGTGCCTCTGCCTTCACTTGCTGAGTGCCTTTATTTTTTCATTTTTTTGAGACAGAGTCTCACTCTGTCGCCCAGGCTGGAGTGCAATGTCGTGATCTCAGCTCATGGCAACCACCACCTCCCAGGTTCAGGTAATTCTCCTGCCTTAGCCTCCCAAGTAGCTGGGATTACAGGCACGCGCCACCAAACCTGGCTAATTTTTTTTTTTTTTTTTTAGTAGAGACGAGGTTTCACCATGTTGGCCAGGCTGGTCTCCAATTCCGCCCATCTTGGTCTCCCAAAGTGCTGGGATTACAGGCGTGAGCCACCGCCCCCACCGCTCCCAGCCTTCTGAGTGCCTTTAAAAGGGCACCAAGACATTCTTGGAAAGGTTTCTATAGCCTATCACTGGTGCGTTATTAATTAGTGTCTGCCATACTTCAGGACATGTAAAGTGAGCCAATACAAATGCAAACGTGAGGTTGAGTTAGTTCATTTTCTAAATGCAAAATTCAAAGCAATTAGGTACTATCAAATCTCAGCATGGAAAAATAAGGTCGGTTCTGCAATAGTCTGGCTGCTGAACTGCTTCCAAGCAGGCCTAATTTCAAAAGCTAGTACAATTTATAGGAAAAACTAACTCTGTGCCATCCAAGAGAGAAAACAGAAACACTGGGGACTGAGTATTTCAAATTAAAGTTTCTACTTTATTATAGCACTGCCAGGGCAGGAATTTAAGATGCCTACGATTGTAAAACTGTTTCACACCACGAAGAATGGGAAAAAAGCTTCCAATTAGACTATGGCTCACCAGAAACTGTGAGATGCATCCCAGCAACCGAGACTTTATTTTTTTAATTTGTATTTTTTGAAACAGAGTCTTGCTGTATTCCACAGGCTGGAGTGCAGTGGCGTGATCTCGGCTCACTGCAGCCTCCGCCTCCCGGGTTCAAGCAATTCTCCTGCCTCAGCCTCCCAAGTAGCTGGGACTACAGACGTGTGCCACCACGCCTGGCTAATTTTTGTATTTTTAGGAGAGACAGGGTTTCATCATGTTGGCCAGGCTGGTTTCGAATTTCTGACGTCAAGTCATCCAACCTATCTCTCAGCCTCCCAAAGTGCTGGGATTACAGGCGTGAGCCACCACGCCTAGCCAAACACCCAGGACTTTAAATTGACAAAAGACCTTGCACGTTTGAAAGATTAAATATGGCACTATCATCCTTATTGTAGAAAGAGGAGAGAACGCCATCGGATACTGAGCAACTCCTGGGAGTCTACATCAAGCACCAAAGCCCACTTCTATTGTCTGGTAAATACTGCCCACCAGAGTGTACAAAGCAAACCAAGTGGAACATAAACCAGCTACGTGACATAGTGTTATCTATGGAGAGATGTTCCAACTATTAATTTCCTACACTATGTCCCCAAAAAAGCTATGCATTTTTTTATGTTACCATTTTTTTGGTGATAACCTTAAATATTTTGACATACTTTTGAAAAACGGAAAGATGGGTTACTTTTTAAACTACCAGAATCATGCACATAAAGTCAGCACAGATCTTCAACAGAAAACCACTTTGTCACTTCAGGTCACACAAACACCAAATTCTCACCATCATATCTCACAGTAAGGTAACAAACTGAACAGGTTATTTTCTCTTAAAGAGATGTCCAATTTTGCCTCTCTAGAAGACAGATAATTCAACATTGTGGTTCTGGTTTTTTGTTGTTGTTGTTTTTGTTTGTTTGTTTTGAGACAGTCTAGCTCTGTCGCCCAGGATGGAGTGCAGTGGCATGACCTCAGCTCACTGCAAGCTCCGCCTCCCGGGTTCAGGCAATTCTCCTGCCTCAGCCTCCCAAGTAGGTGGGACTACAGGCACCTGCCACCACACCCAGCTAGTTTTTTAATATTTTTAGTAGAGACGTGGTTTCATCATGTTAACCAGGATGGTCTCCATCTCCTGACCTTGTGATCCACCCGCCTCGGCCTCCCAAAGTGCTGGGATTACAGGCGTGAGCCACCGTGCCCGGCCTTTTTTTTTTTTTTTTTTTTTGGGAGACAGAGTCTGGCTCTATCTCCCAGGCTGGAGTGCAGTGGCAGATCTTGGCTCACTGCAACCTCCACCTCCTGGGTTCAAGTGATTCTCGTGCCTCAGCCTCCTGAGTGGCTGGGATTACAGGCACGTGACACCATGCCTAGCAAATTTCTGTATTTTTAGTAGAGATAGGGTTTCACCATGTTGGCCAGGCTGGTCTCAAATTCCTGACCTCATGTGACCCGCCCACCTCGACCTCCCAAAGTGCTGGGATTACAGGCGTGAGCCACCATGCCCGGCTACTGTGGTTCTTATAAGCATACATCTTTAAACTATAAATGAGGAATCCATGCAATATTAAGCCAAAGGCAACTGGTTGGCATTATAAAAGATAAGATCCAGCATCAGTCAAATTACCAGAATATAATAAACCAAGTCTCATGGGAAACAGTTCAGATCAGATTTTTTACCTTAAACCTTATGAGGATGGCATCTAGTTCTTTAACATTAGCTCTTAAAATTACAATTAAATTTTACAATTTAATTACATTACAATTAAATTACATAAAAATTACATTACAATTAAATTACATAAAAATTACATTACAATTAAAATTTGTAGGGGTTTTCTCACATAAGAAGCATTCCTAAGAGGCTGTTTGCTGAATCAAAATAATTTAAATGTATTAACAATACTTTAAGACAAGCTACCTAATTAGCTGTGGATTCAGCGACTGCATATATCTAACACTATAGTTTCTTTGTTTAGGTAGCTTTTCCTTTTTAAGCTCACATTCCTTGTAATCGGATTATGAAATTAGAAAGCTAAAATCAAAGAGCCAAGACATTAATACTTATGACAACCTTTAGAGTGCTTTCTAATTAGTTATAAACAACTATTTAAAGTACTTAAAATCTAGCATTACTACTTAAAGCCTCTTCATCGTGTTTAAAATAACAATAAAGCAAAAAAAAGAAGGAAAGAAAGACAAATAAAAACTTTAAAAAAAAAATCAGCCACCACACATCAAATATTTCCTGTAAAATGATGTATCACACTCTGAAACTTTTCCCAAGAATTTTAAACCAAACGCTAAAAAAAAAAAAAAGTAAAGGCTTCACAATGTTTCCTTTTCAAATAGATGTCCCTAAAGCTTAATAACATCACTCAAAAGCAGACTAACAGGCCCAAGGGACAAAGGGAACTTTTTCATTTCATGTCAAGTTATAATAATGTCATATCCATTTCCAACCATCTACAATGAAAGGACTTTGGAGAAACCAAATCTGTGAGTAACCACCCCAGGAGGCTGTGTCCCTCGAGACAGATCCCAGCCTAGGACTGTCATCAATCTTACCTTCTGCATGTTTGGCTTGATACAGCGAACAAAGAAAGGATTAGAGGAGCTTAGCGTTGCCATTAAGGAATGCAGTGAGTCCTATTAGAAAAAGTATATGTTGATTTAGTCTCTTATTATGTCATTCTTTAAATTTCTCAGTACTCTAGGCACTTAGAAACAATAATTTAAAAAACACAATATAAATCATAGGACTAATAACTTAGAGGTTTTCATTTTTTAATTGTCATTCTAATATAAAATAAACATACTGAGTCAATGTATTAATAATTGAAATTATTCGATAATACACCAAACTCATTTATCACTTCCTTTGAAATAGTAAAATTCTATTTTATTTATTTATTTATTTATTTGAGACGGAGTCTCGCTCTATCACCCAGGCTGGAGTGCAGTGGCGTGATCTCGGCTCACTGCAAGCTCCGCCTCCCGGGCTCATGCCCTTCTCCTGCCTCAGCCTCCAGAGTAGCTGGGACTACAGGCGCCCGCCACCATGCCCGGAGAATTTTTTGTATTTTTAGTGGAGATGCGGTTTCACCGTGTTAGCCAGGATGGTCTCGATCTCCTGACTTCGTGATCCACCGGCCTCAGCCTCCCAAAGTGCTGGGATTACAGGCGTGAGCCACCGCGCCCGGCCTGAAATAGTACAATTTTAATAAACCATTCTGTCAACAAACAAAAATCATCCTAGGATATTTCAACGTTTAGTACAGAAAAACTGAGAAATAGCCACTCTTCCACTGTCATTATTCTTCCCAATTCATTAGTTCCATCGAAATGACAGTCTATGCCAGCACTTCACTGGTCTCTGAGCCACAATCTCTCACTCTTACCTTCAAATCGCCAGACTTACAGACTCCAGATCAATCTTTAATACTACTTTCTTTTCCAACTTTTTTTTTTTTTTTTTTTTTAGAGTTTTTAACATTTACCAAAGCAGACAAAAGCATACAATGAGTTCTCATTACCAGCTTCAGCTCAGGGCTAATCTCATTTCGCCTGATCCACACATACTATACCCACCCCTGTGGAAAAGCAAATCCCAGACATGATGTGATTTCCTCCAGCAGCATTTCAGTATGTAGGATTAAAGGCTAAACACTTTAAAGCACTGTGTAACCACAGCATCATCACACCTGAAAAGATGACATTAATTCCTTAAACTAATATTAAAATGTGCAATGGTCTCACATTTCATATTAAAATGCTCAACTGCTTCAAATTTTATGATTTTTAAAAATTTTATTATTTATTTATTTATTTGAGACAGGGTCTCATTCTGCCACCCAGGCTGGAGTACAGTGGTGTGATCACAGCTCACGGCAGCTTCAACCTTCCAGACTCAAGTGATCCTCCTACCTCAGCCTCCTGAGTAGCTGGGAATACAAGGGCATGCCGAATAACTTTTTAATTTTTTTTGTAGAGATGAGGCCTCGCTATGTTGCCCAGGCTGGTCTCGAACTCCTCGACTCAAGCAATCTTTCCACCTAGGCCTCCTAAAGTGCTGGGATTACAGGCATGTGTCACCATGCCCAGCCCATAAATTTTAAAGGGTTTGTTCTTTTGCATCAAAATGCAAATATGGTCCATTCATTGTAATTGGTGGATGCATCTTTTCAGTCTCTTTTAATCCACTGGCTTTCCCTCCATCTGTCTCTTTTTTCTTCTCATAATCTTGTTGAAGAAAACTGAACTGTCTGAACACTACATGGATTAATTACTTCTCCAGCTCAGAAAACTTTAAAATTTCTCACAAGACAAAACATCCTGACATTCACG
The DNA here is from genome assembly GCF_000001405.40 of Homo sapiens. Lineage (NCBI taxonomy): Eukaryota > Metazoa > Chordata > Mammalia > Primates > Hominidae > Homo > Homo sapiens. The sequence goes on from NC_000005.10 coordinate 16,756,607, forward strand.
GCCCTTCATATTTTGATACCATCTTAAATTCTCACGAGGTGTCCTGTCCGGCTGGTGTTCTACTGTCTGTTGACAGTCCTCAGAGACAGGACTTGCATCTCTGTGTCTGGGCTCTTCTCCTGCCTTCGCCTGCACCTGGAAAGCTCACCCACCCTTTTCCATTTCCTTCACTGCTAGTCCAGTTTAAAGTCTCAAACATTTCAAAAACCCAAGGGTGGGTGCAGTGGCTCACGTCTGTAATTCCAGCACTTTGGGAGGCTGAGGCAGGAGGATCGCTGGAGGCCAGAATTTTGAGATCAGCCTGGGCAACATAATAAGACCCCATCTCAGTAAAACATCTAAAAATTAGCCGGGTATGAAAAATTAGCCATGCGTAATGGCGCATGCCTCTAGTCCCAGCTACTTGGGAGGCTGAGGCAGAAGAATCTCTTGAATCTGGGAGGTAGAGGTTGCAGTGAGCTGAGATCGTGCCATTGCATTCCAGCCTGGGTGACAGAGCGAGACTCTGCCTTTAAAAAAAAAAAAAAAAAAAAAAAAGTCGGGTGTAGTGGCTTACACCTGTAGTGCCAGCTACTCAGGAGGCTGAGGGGGGAGAATCACTTGCGCCTGGGAGTTTGAGGCTGCAGTGAGGCGTGATTACACCACTGCACTCCAGTCTGGGTGACAGAACAAGACCCTGTCTCACACACACACAAACACACACACACACGCACACACACACACACACACACACACACGGAAAAAAAAAAAGCTTTCTCAGAGAAGTCCTGGCAAACCGACCTTCTAGAAAAAGAAAACTGAAAACCTCTGCTGGAAGATTAAGAGCCTAGGACAAGGTAACTGACATCAGTCTCATCTAACCAGGGGGAAAAAACATCCAGATATGAGAAGAAATATATCCCATTTCCACATGAGTCTCTAAATACAAATCAGAGTGGTCCCAAATGGCCTTAAGGAGTTTGCTATTTCAAAAGCTTAGAAGAAATAGCCATTTATTTTTTTAAAAAGGATCTACATGTTTTCATCTGACTCAGAGAAAAAGTCTATTTTATTTCTTTTCTCTCTTTTTTTAGACAGAGTCTAGGTCTTACGCTGTCACCCAGGCTGGAGTGCAGTGGTGCAATCACAGCTCTCTGCAATCTTGATCTCCCAGGCTCAGGCAATCCTCCCACCTCAGCCTCCTGAGTAGCTGGGACTACAGGCATGCGCCACCGCACCCAGATAATTTCTGTATTTTTTGTAGAGACAGGATTTCACCATGTTGCCCCGGCTGGTTTTGAACCCCTGAGCTCAGGTGATCTGCCCACCTCGGCCTCCCAAAGTGCTGAGAATACAGGCGTGAGCCAAAACTCTATTTTATTTCTAAAGCACTATCTGGTTTAAAAGCATGATATAAAAGGAAACAAAAATAAACAAATATTCTCATAGACTTCACATACACCCAAATCCTCTTTTCAGTTCTTAAAAATACAGTAACGACGGATTCCTCTAAGCCAGCAGTGAAAACGAACCTTGAACTGTGAGCTGACTGTAGGCCGCCGATGTTTGCTTCCACATTTCAAGGTATCCTGGTTGTTGCGGCTTGAAACATGTTCAAAAAGATCGTAGATAAAGTCAAATCTGTGTGAGGCAAGAGCAGGAGGTCAGTGAGGCACACACACCCATTATTAGGTGCAAGATTATTGTAATTAATGGTGCCCTTTCTCAATGATAATTCAAAGTAATACACCCTAGGCCTGGAAGAACTAAGACAGCTTCCAAAGATTTCAAACCAAACACTGCCAAAGAGCTTTAGGCACTGAAAACACGTGGCAGTGTCAGAGACCAGAGTCTTGCAGAGAAGGGGACTGGCATGACAGTGACAAAGGGTGGAATCCCACTTAGGAGCTCTGTGCTTTCTGGAATGCCATCTAAGCCTCTGTAGCCTCGGTCTCCTCACTTGCAAAAGTGAGTTATTAGTTTTGCCATCTTGCAGTGTTGCAAAGATTGAAGCAGTTAACGGATGGAAAGGTGCTCCTGGGGAACACTAATTACAGGGTGAGGCAGGCGATGGTTCAAATCCTGTCTCCCCACTTCCCAGCTGTGTTGCTTGGGCAAGATGTTTCATCTCTCTCTAAGCCTCAGTTTTTTCATCTGGAAAATGGAGATAATTTTTTAATTTATCCCCTAATGCCAGGTGAGAATGAAAGGAGAACATGCATGTAAAAGGCAGAAAGCATGCTACCTGGCATATCATATATATTGATATTAGTTATTATTTAAAAAGTTCTGTAAAATCCATTGCTACTATTAACAAGGTAAAAGTGAAAAGCTTCCCAATAATTTTTTTTTTTTAGACAGAGTTTCGCTCTTTCACCCAGGCTGGAGTGCAGTGGTGCGATCTCGGCTCACTGCAACCTCTGCCTCCCGGGTTCAAGCGATTCTCCTGCTTCAGCCTTCTGAGTAGCTGGGATTATAGGCGCCTGCCATCACGCCTGGCTAATTTTTATATTTTGTAGTAGAGACAGGGTTTCACCATGTTGGCCAGGCTGGTCTTGAACTCCTGACTTCAGGTGATCCACCCGCCTCGGCCTCCCAAAGTGTTAGGATTATAGGCGTGAGCCACCGCGCCCGCCCAGCCTTCAATGATTTTTAAATCTTCCTTGCATGGAAGGTATCATGGGCTATGGAGCTGGTGGGGTTGGTGGCTTCACTGTCACCAGGACAGTCAGGGAAGACTTCTGAGCATCTGCCTCCCCACAAGCGGCAATATTAGAGCTTTCCCTGGTCGCTTCTTGCTTTGCCCCAACCTTTTTCATTTTTGTTCTCGGGTGCTCTTTAATGCTCACTCTCTTAAGTTCTCTAACTGTGCTTTGAGCTCTTTGGAGAGAAGCTTTGGTTCCATTAAAATGTCACAGATGTCAAAGGTGAAAGAGAGTGAAGCAAGTGAACAGCCCCAGCTCCTCGGTTTGCAAGGGGAAACCTGGGGTTGAGACAGGAAGTTCTTTACACCACTCACAAAACTGCTTCACGCTGGCACAGAGGCAGCTGGCGAAACTCCACCTCGCTGGTCTCCAGGCCTGCAATCTTTTCACTACGACAAACTGCCTCTACTTAACATCAATACAGGGCTTTTATTTAAACGTATCGCATTAAACTAAGAAATTGCTTTGACAGCATGCTATGGTGTTTTTTAAACACCCATCATTTTTACAGGTCTGAAAACTCACCTAAAAATAAAATAGCTAACAATGTTGTATATAGTGAACCCTCACATAGAAGAGTTAAAATAAGTTTGAAGATCAAATGTTTCAAATTCTGAGTTTCTAGGCTGATACTACCTTATATGGGCTCCCTTTGTCCCAATTCATTCCTATCTAAGTGACAGGTGGCCATCTAGTATTTACATTTCTAAAAGTATTACAGCTTTTAAACTTTTTTGCTACTTTCCTTCCTTAGATATAAACATGTGTTTTTGTTACAGATTCCCACCAGATCCAACACAGGTGCTGAAAGCTTTCAGGAAAGGGTTTTTTCCCTAAACTCTTTCTCTCTTACAAAGCCTCCTAAAAATAGTACACTTCCGCCGGGCATGGTGGCTCATGCCTGTAATCCCAGCACTTTGGGAGGCCGAGGTGGGCGGATCATGAGGTCAGGAGATGGAGACCATCCTGGCTGACATGGCGAAACCCTGTCTCTACTAAAGATACAAAAAAAAAAAAAAAAATAGCCAGGCGTGGTGGCGGGCACCTGTAGTCCCAGCTACTCGGGAGGCTGAGGCAGGAGAATGGCGTGAACCTGGGAGGTGGAGGTTGCAGTGAGCCGAGATTGCGCCACTGCACTCCAGTCTGGGTGACAGAACGAGACCCTGTCTCCAAAAAAAAAAAACAAACCAAAAAAAAACCAAAAAGGACACTTCCTGGTCTAATACATACAAATAACTTATCACTGCAAGTTTCTGTGTGTTTTCTTTATTGATTTAATGGTGTAAATTTATAATTCATGAACGAATAAATGAATATGTAATAAATTTATAATTATAGCTGAATTAAGGCATTTATTTTACTAACTAGAGACACAGGAGTCCTATAAAACCAAGGCTGAAATCAGCTTAACCACGCAGCTCTAAGCTCCCTGTGAAGACAGCAGACCACACTGCTTAAGATATTAAGGTTCTCAAGCCAACCAGACCAGATCAAAACTGGACTCGATGGCTCACTGGTTACCAGTTGAGAGGTCTTGGGGAAGTCACTTAACAGCTTTAACTGCTTCAAGGCTCGGTTTCCTCATCTGCATAAGAGGATTAATAACAGTATGTTACTTATACCTCTGTGGTTGGTTTATTTCAGTACCTCACTAAATGGCAGTCATTGCTTATATTATTATTATTATTATTAATTTATTTATTTATTTATTTATTTTGAGACAGAGTTTCACTCTTGTCACCCAGGCTGGACTGCAATGGCGCAATCTTGGGTCACTGCAACCTCCACCTCCCAGGTTAAAGCGATTCTCCTGTTTCAGCCTCCCAAGTAGCTGGGATTACAGGTGCCTGCCACCATGCTTGGCTAATTTTTGTATTTTCAGTAGAGATGGGGTTTCACTATGTTGGCCAGGCTGGTCTCAAACTCCTGACCTCACGTGATTTGCCCACCTTGGCATCCCAAAGTGCTGGGATTACAGGCGTGAGCCACCATGCCCGACCTTGCTTGTATTATTGTTATACTTTTGAGTTACTTCATTGATGAAGTATTACCTGGGAAAAACAATACTAAGTTTCTTACATAACAGCAATTTGTTCTATATTTGTGAATTAAAAGCATTTGCACAAATATTCATTTGCTTGCTAAGTACTTCTCGGTGAGAAGACTGACATACCGGCTTTCTCTTAGCAAATTGAGAAGGTCATCTCGAAATGTATCTCTGTTCTTCTCCAAGATACCTCGGACATCATATTGCACCTAGTTTTAATAAATAAGAGAGGAGAAAACTGATTGAAAGAATAGTTTCAGGTCATAAGCAACTTCCCTGAAAGAGCCACAAAAAGAAATCATTCCAAGAAATTTATTTATTTATTTTTTAAGAGACAGGGTCTTGCTCTATTTCCCAGGCTGAAGTGCAGTGACGTGATCATAGCTCATGCAGCCTCAAATTCCTATGCCCAAGCAATCCTCCCACCTCGGCCTCCAGAACAGCTAGGACAACAGATGTGTCACCATGCCAGGCTAACTTTTTAAAAAATATCTTGTAAGATGTTTTTTATATCTATGTTGCCCAGGCTGGTCTCAAACTCCTGTCCTCAAGTGATCCTCCTGCCTCAGCCTCCCAAAGTACTGGGACTGTAGGCTCATGTGAGCCACCATGCCCAGCCCAATAAATTCATGATTGGCTTCTGAAACCACTGTTTTCTCTGAATACCAAACAGGCAAATATCAATAGGTATCTTAATAAAAAGTTACCTCTCCAGCATAGTGCTTCACTCCAAAATTGTTAACTGCAACTCTGGGCTTCACATAAAAGTGGTTATTCTAAAAAAAAAAAAAAAAAAAAAAAAAAAAATACAATGCCTTATTTCACTCACTGATTTCCTTTGACTTCCAGAGAACACTAAATACAAAAGACAGTGAAAATCATTTCCAAACTTGCCATGGATCTGCGTTTCAGGACACGGCATATGGTGCACTTTATAAAAACCATGTTAACTCTCGATTGTGTCATTATAATAGATTAACAATTTTACGTTCTCTAAATAAGCTTGGGCATTCTAACAAGTAGCTCCAAATCTAACCCTTTTGCTTATTTCAATTTAGTTCTAGTAATAGAAGAACAGCTTTGGTTTGAGAATAAATGTTCAATGTGGGAGGCACAGTTGGGCCAGCGGACTGACATGTCTGGTGTGTAATCCCAACCCACAGACGTGCTACTCCAATGTGATGAAGAATTGCAGGTTTTGACATACCGCATGCTGACTGTGTAGCTTCTCCAATAAGGTGCTGTCTGTGGCTTGAGGAAAATGGCTTTCTTCATTGATAAGGGCTAGGAGGCCAAGTTTCTAGAAGAAGAAAAAGAAAAAATGAATTAAAAGTTGAATGTGGCTGGGTGCATGGGTAGCTCATGCCTGTAATTCCAGCACTTTGGGAAGCCAAGATGGGCAGATCATTTGAGGTCAGGAGTTCCAGACCAGCCTGGCCAACAGTGAAACCCTGTTTCTACTAAATATACAAAAAAATTAACTGGGCGTGGTGGCATACACCTGTAATCCCAGCTACTGGGGAGGCTGAGGCAGGAGAATCACTTGAACCTGGGAGACGGAGGTTGCAGTGAGCCAAGTCTGTGTCACTATACTCCAGCCTGGGCGACAGAGTGAGACTCCGTCTCAGGGGAAAAAAAAAAAAAAAAAAAAGTTGAATGTGTGCGTCCCAAACTATTTGAGAGCTCTTCTCTACTCTCTAACAAATGAGTGGTTAAAAGAAAAGGCATGGTAATTTCTCGATTGGAAAATCCATAATGATACACTATAGAGAAAACCAATTAAGTTCTTATATAAATCTTAAAAAAAAATTGAACCCGTTGCAATTTTGGGGATAAAACTTTTACAACTGGCAAATCTATATTGGTACTGGCAAGGCTTTGCTTCTGACTTAAAATCTAAGGGAAGCCAATTCACACACTGTTGATTCTAAAATACTGAGTTCAATGAGACAATAGGTTTGAAGCAGCCAAGTATTTAAATTCAACCTTGCACATTTACATTTATGTTTCCAAATGGTCCATTGTGTTCTAAACATTCACATCGTTGATGTGCGTGTTCGTGCACGTTATTTTGTTCCCATAAATATGAATCAGTCCAGCTGGACCCCCTTGGGACTGTAACCATTCTTCAAAAATACATTACCTTCTCAATCAAGTCCAGGCATTCTCCATTGTCTATCCAGTCAATATCTTCCCACACTAATCCTTCCCTGTAGAAAGATTTTAAACAGCCAAGTTAAATGAAAACATAGCTTCAAAACGAATCTAGTTGCTGCTTTAAAAAAAAAAATTGAAATGGAATTCTATGAGTGCTTACCGGCTATATTCTAGTTGTTCTAAAGAAAAAATATGCTTGTTGAAGTACTCCTGAAGTTTCTCGTTTGCATAGTTTATATTGAACTGTTCAAAGTGATTAACCTAAGGGGGGAAAGCATTCAATAAGTATCTTTAGTGTACTCACGATTATATAGAAAGGTGAAGAAAAGACAAAGAAAAGATCTGCAGAGAAAAATATCAATGCCTGTTGTCTGGCACAGTGGCTCACACCTGTTATCCCAGCACTTTGGGAGGCCGAGGTGGGCAGATCACCTGAGGTCGGGAGTCCAAGACCAGCCTGACCAGCATGGTGCAACCCCGTCTCTATTGAAAATACAAGAAAAATTAGCCGGCTGTGGTGGCAGGCACCTGTAATCTCAGCTTCTTGGGAGGCTGAGGTGGGAGAATCACTTGAACCAGGATGTGGAAGTTGCAGTGAGCTGTGATCACGCCACTGCACTCCAGCCTGGGATACAGAGTGAGACTCCTTCTCAAAAAAAAAAAGAAAAAAAAAGAGTTTGCTCACAGAGATTTGTTCAATAGCAGCTAATCATGGACAGAAGAGAATTCACGTGCTGCACTGTTAGGAAACCTACCTCAAAGTTTTCAAATCCAAAGATGTCGAGGATGCCAATAGACTTGAAGTCCTCATTGCCTTTGATCCTGCTGTTGATCTTCTTGATTACCCACTCAAAGCAGCACGCATACAGAGCCATGGCCAGGGAGTCCCTGCTGTCTACTGCCTGTGGGAGAGAAACCAGCACAGACTCAGCTGACCCCGGGCACCCCAGACAGGCAAGGCCATCCATTCCCCACTTGAGAGACACACACAAGACTAGCATAGCATCTGGCCCTCCAGTGTGAAGTCAATCGATCTCATCTAGGAAAGGACAGATATCTAAAGAAAAGATAAACTGGAATTCACATATTTCTCTTCTGTTAAGATTAAATACCAGGATTCCAAACTCAACTTGCTATGCTGTTATACAAAAGAATCTAAACCATATATACAGGTACAAATGTTACCAGGTTTTTTTTGTTTTTTGTTTTTTTGAGACGGAGTCTAGCTCTGTCACCCAGGCTGGAGTGCAATGGCGTGATCTCGGCTCACAGCAACCTCCACCTCCCAGGTTCAAGCGATTCTCCTGCTTCAGCCCCCTGAGTAGCTGGGATTACAGGCATGTGCCACCACACCTGGTTAATTTTTCTATTTTTAGTAGAGATGGGGTTTCTCCATGTTGGTCAGGCTGGTCTCAAACTCCTGACCTCAGGTGATCTGCCCGCCTCAGCCTCTCAAAGTGCTGGGATTACAGGTGTGAGCCACCGCACCTGGCACCAGGTTTAAAACAATAATTAAGATGTGAGCTCTTTTTAAAATTTTTCTGATTTTCTATTATACTTTGTATTTACAAAGTTTTTCTTCATAATATGGTCAGCATTTTCATTTATCCAATTAAAAACATATTAGAGGAGTGTGATGGTTAATACTGAGTGTCAACTTGATTGAAGGATACAAAGTATTAATCCTGGGTGTGTCTGTGTGGGTGACATCTGAGTCAGTGGGCTAGGGAAGGCACATCCATCCTTAATCTGGTGGGCACAAGCTCCTAGTGAAAATAAAGCAGGCAGAAAAATGCGAAAAGGCGAGACTGGCACAGCCTCCCAGCCTACATCTTTCTCCCATGCCGGATGCTTCCTGCCCTAGAACATCGGACTCCAAGTTCTTCAGTTTTGGGACTCAGACTGGCTCTCCTTGCTCCTTAGCTTGCACACAGCCTATTGTGGGACCTTCTGATCATGTAAGTTAATACTTAATAAACTCCCCTTTATATCTATCAATCTATCTATCATATTCTGTCCCTCTAAGAAAACCCTAATACAAAGAGCTAGCACATATACATTGGCTCAGCGCAGTAGCAGAGGCAAATATAAATAAAACATATTATTATATTGTTTTCATTATAACAACACATTATTGTCGTAAGTAATGTTTATTTAGCACTTACTCTGTACCAGACATTAAATGCTCAGCATATATTTGTTATTTTTCTTATAAGAGTCCTATGAATTAGGTATAATTATGCTTGTCTTATAGTGGAGGAAACTGAGGCATAGTGACTAAATTTCCCAAGAGCAGACAGTAGTAAGTAGAAGGGTCAAGTTCAAAGTCAGGCAATCTGCATTCGACCCATCCTCTTAAACAACAATTCGATGTTATTTTAGACAATTAGACAGCAATTCAATAGCTTTGTCTATTCCCAATCCTTTGGTATCTTCTTTATTTTTATCATGAACCAGTCATTTGAACAGTTATTAATATATTACAGTTACAACTGTTATTATAATTACATATTTCAATCAAACCTATGGATCTGAAAACCCAGGAGTGTCTAGTAACGCAAGATCAGATGGCAAAGCGTGTGTACCTGTTGAACATTGAGAGGCGTGAGGATCTCTTCTCCCCTGAGGAACATTGATCTCTGGGTCAAAGCATCTGTGAGCTGTGTTGGGTCCAGCCCAAGTAACTCCGCAGATCTGCCCAAAGCTGCAGAGAATAAGACAAAGGTGAATGAACCCACCGCCCCCAAGAAGCTAACCAGGCTTAGCGATACCTTAACGCAGAGAACACACCTGAATCCCTCACGCAGAGTTTAGAGATTGCATGTTATTGCTAAGTTACTCATTCCCTTAGTGAATCCTAGATTAGTAGCATAGAGCCTCGTGCTTGGACGAAGTGTGGTCTGGGAATCCTATGGGTGTCCCCAAGATCCTGTCAGAGATTTGCAACTCCTTTTTTTTGAGACGGAGTCTCGCTCTGTCGCCCAGGCTGGAGTGCAATGATCTCGGTTCACTGCAAGTTCTGCCTCCCGGGTTCACGCCATTCTCCTGCCTCAGCCTCCCAAGCAGCTGGGACTATAGGCACCCGCTACCACGCCTGGCTAATTTTTTTGCATATTTAGTAGAGATGGGGTTTCATCATGTTGGCCAGGATGGTCTCAATCTGTTGACCTCCACGTTGGCCAGGACGGTCTTGATCTCTTGACCTCATGATCTACCCGCCTTGGCCTCCCAAAGTGCTGGGATTACAGGCATGAGCCACCATGCCCACCTACTTTCTTTTTTTTTTTTTTTTTGAGATGGAGTCTCACTCTGTAGCCCAGGCTGGAGTACGGTGGCATGATCTCAGCTCACTGCAACCTCCGCCTCCCTGGTTCAGATGATTCTCCTGCCTCAGCCTCCTGAGTATTTTTAGTAGAGACAGGGTTTCACCATGTTGGCTAGGTTGGTCTTGAACTCCTGACCTCAAGTGATCTCCCTGCCTTGGCCTCCCAAAATGTTGGGATTACAAGCATGAGCCACCATGCCCGGCCTACTACTTTCATTAATAACACTAAGATGTTATCTGCTTTTTTCACTCTAATTCTCTCACCAGTATACAGAAGAGTATTCCAAAGGCTACACATGAGGTACCTCAACAAATTAAAGGCAGAAGAGATATGACAACCCAACTGTCTTTTTTTTTTTTTTTTTTTTTGAGACAGAGTCTTGCTTTGTCTCCCAGGCTGGAGTGCAGTGGCATGATCTCGGCTCACTGCAACCTCCGCGTCCTGGGTTCAAGCGATTCTCTTGCCTCAGCTTCCCAAGTAGCTAGGATTACAGGTGCCCGCCACCAAGCCCGGCTAATTTTTGTATTTTTAGTAGCGACGGGTTTCACCGTATCGGCCTGGCTGGTCTCCAACTCCTGACCTCACGTGATCCACCTACCTTGGCCTCCTAAAGAAAGTTCTGGGATTACAGGTAGAAGCCACTGCGCCCAGCCCCCAACTGTCTTTCAATATGCCAGACATTAAAGAAATTTGCAAAAAGATAAGACAATGTGACTATCCTTCCTGTTTTCTGATTTGGAAAACAGTCTTTTAAATAAAAATAGAACATTTATTTTAGTATGCAATGGGTTTATTATTGTTCTTTTTAAATTAATAAAGAATATTTTTTAAACATCTCATTTTAACTTTTGATTAGAAGTTTTCACTTTTTTTTTGAGATAGAGTCTCACTTTGTCACCCAGGCTATAGTGCACTGGCATGATCTTGGCTCACTGCAACCTCCACCTCCCAGGTTCAAGAGATTCTCGTGCCTCAGTCTCCCAAGTAGCTGGAATTACAGGCGCACACCACCACGCCTGGCTAATTTTTGTATTTTTAGTAGAGACGGGGTTTCACCATGTTGGCCAGGTTGGTCTCGAACTCCTGACCTCAAGTGATCCACCTGCCTCATCCTCCCAAAGTGCTAGGATTACAGGCATGGGCCACTGTGCCCAGCCAAAAAGTTTTAACTTTTAATGTGGTAAACATCAACAGATACAACCCACATAAACAAAAGCTCTCGGGGGTTCTATGATTTTTGAGAATATTAAGAGGTGCTGGGTAGAACCAGACATTTGAGAATTACTGGCCTACAGTTCTGGTCTCCTCTAGAACCACTCTGAACTTGAACTCATCCAATTTCCAGCTTCCATGACCTCATCTCTTGCTTCCATCAGAAAAGTTTTAAAAATTAATACATAAATCACTCAAGCAAAATGACAACTGACGTAGCTATATGGTAACTCATTTTATCTTGACAGCAAATCTCTGAGACACTGTACAGGTGAGAAGTCATGAGTATTCAGGGGATAAAGAACACAGGAAACAGTATGAAGCAGGGGAGGGCTATGAAGCCAGCATACTGGCTTGCAAAACAAAGGGACTTAATTAACCATTCTACCATGCTGGCACTCAACAGGACAATGCCACCTGACTCTCAACATTTTCCTATGTCGATTCCTGGTTGCTCATATTTCCACGTACTTGACTCATTTTCCTTCTTTTTAAAAAGAGAAAATGGCTGCTATCCCAATTGACTAGTAACTTTTCATATACTCTGAGCCTTTCCTAACCGACGCTTCATATCTGACACAACTAACATTCTGTAGCTCTCTATTCAAGGAGTCAGAACATTTTCTCTTTTCTTTTTTTTTTTTTTTTTTTTTTTTTGGTGATACAAGATCTCACTCTGTTGCCCAGACTGGAGTGCAGTGGCATCATCTCAGCTCACTGCACCTTCAACCCGCAGAGGCTCAGGTGATCCTCCCACCCTCTCCTCCCAAGCAGCTGGGACTACAGGGGCACACCATCATGCCTGGCTAATTTTTGTATTTTTAGTAGAGATGGGGTTTGGCCACATTGCCCAGGCTGGTCTCGAACTCCTGGGCTCAAGCAATCTGCCCGCCTCCACCTCCCAAAGTGCTGGGGTTACAGGCAAGAGCCACCGCACCTGGCCAGAATTTTCTTTCTGAAAGGCTAGACAGTCAATAATTTAGGTTTAAGTTTCCCACGGGGAACAAAGGGAGCGAGGAGGGCAGGCAGGCATAATCTTACCTGTTTTGAAGGAAACCTGTGCCCCACCAGCAGTGATAAATTCTATGTTCCCAAGATGCAGTATACCAGCAAGCAGCCTCGACACTTCCCGAACTTCCTCCTTGCTGAACTGCATCACGTCCATTGCCGTCTAGAAGAAAATAAATGTATTTAATTTTATGTCGTTTTTTCACACTGAAGAAAATGTAGAATATCCCTGATAATATAAAATTACTAGGTGTTATTGAAAAGGCAAAGAAACAAAAAATAGATGCATAACCACTCACTTGTTTTTTTGTTTTGAGACAGTCTCGTTCTGTCACCCAAGCTGGAGTGCAGTGGCACGATCTTGGCTCACTGCAACCTCCGCCTCCTGGGTTCAAGCAATTCTCGTGCCTCAGCCTCCCGAGTAGCTGGGATTACAGGTGTGTGCCACCATGCCTAGCTAATTTTTTGTGTGTGTTTTTTGTAGAGACTGGGTTTCACCATGTTGACCAGGCTGGTCTTGAACTCCTGACCTCAAGTGAGCCACCAACCTTGGCCTCCCAAAGTTCTGGGATTACAGGCGTGAGCCACCGCGCCCGCCCAATAGCAACTCACTTTTAAAATGATGAGGACATTACATAGTGCACATAAGAGGAGGAAGATAAAGAACTATAGCATGCTCAGAGATAATCAATGAAATAAACATAGTGTCCCCCTTACATACAAGCCTCCTATATATGCTACAAAAGAATTACCTCAGGGAGTCACAGTCATGACAACAATAAAGAAACAGTTTTCTGTACAGCTATCAGAGTGTAATGAAATATTTATTATTTTCTTTAGATGTAAAAATGTGGAGAGGGAGTACTTGGAGAGGGGGTGTATTTTTGTTTTGTTTTGTTTTGTTTTGTTTGTAGAGATGGGGGTCTCATGTTGGCCAGGCTGGTCTCAAACTCCTGGCCTCAAGCAATCCTTCCAGCTTGGCCTTCCAAAGTGCTGGGATTACAGGCGTGAGCCACCATGCCAAGCCAAGAATTTTAAAAAATTAGCCAGGTGTGTTGGTGCACACCTGCAGTCCCAGCTCCTGGCTTGGCTGAGGCAGGAGTATCGCATGAACCCAGGAGTTCAAGGTTACGGTGAGCTATGATCGCATGTGTACTCCAGCCTGGGAGCCTGGGTGACACAGTTAAGACCCTGTCTCTTAAAAAAAGAAAAAAATTAAATAAATGCTGATGGAAAATCTAAATAGATCTGGACCTATCTTCCTTAGGCACTCATCACATCTCTATTTTTAATTTCTCCAAAGGATTTTTTATGGTCTTATCTTGGCCTGAGGATACTAAGTGGAAGTTAACATAATGCTGTTTGAGGAAAAATAAAAATAAACAGGCACTTACAGGAATCTGTTACCAACAGTATCTAAACAACTGAAGCCAGGTGTTTTCTGAATCATATCTAAGATTTGCTGATTTTCTACTGTGACTGAGGAGCTGCATTCTTGTGACCAAAAAAAGCTATTAAAAAAGAAAAGAAAACCAGACACGTACACACAAACTTGGGGGCAGACTTGTTGGCAATATCGATGAAAATGACCTACAAAAAGAACTTGGACTCACACAAGGACCATAGGAGAGTGGGAAGAAGGAAACCACGCACCGCTCTGAAGCAACATAAATTGCAAAAGGAAACAACTGGAGATTTAACACTGCGAAAAGTTCAATTTCTTTCCCTTTTTTTTGTTTTCTTTCTGAGATGGAGTTTCGCTGTTTCGCCCAGCCTGGGGTGCAGTGGCACGATCTCGGCTCACCGCACCCCGTGCCTCCCAGGTTCAAGCGATTCTCCTGCTTTAGCCTCCTAAGTAGCAGGGATTACAGGCATGCGCCACCACGCCTGGCTAATTTTGTATTTTCAGTAGATACGAGGTTTCTCCATGTTGGTCAGGCTGGTCTCGAACTCCCAACCTCAAGTGATATGCCCACCTTGGCTTCCCAAAGTGCCAGGATTACAGGTGTGAACCACCACGCCAGGCCAAGATTAATTTCTTTATAAAGAAAAAGCAATAATGGCAGGAAAGAAAAGGCAAACAATGGAGAGGGAAAGAATTAAAAGATCCACTGACATATACATGAGCGATAAAAATAGGGAGAAATGCAAATCCAGAGTACTGTTTTTTTCCTTCCTAGAAATCGAACATGTACAAATTAAGGTAAATATGAGATCAGTTCTGTCAAATTAGCAAAAAATTTCAGAATGACAAAGATTAGTAGAAAAGAGACATTTATACAATGGTTGTTAGTACTATAAATTAGTATAATCTTTTTGGAAAACAACATGATTATCTGACAGAATTGTCCTAGGTATATAATATGTATATAATACTAGAATTTTCATATCTGAGAGAAAAACCAACAACAAAGGTTCAGAGAAGAAAAATAACTTTCTCAGGGTCGCACAACCAAAATTCAAACTCTGGCCCAACTGACCCAAATCTAGGAACTTACTATTATGATTTATTATTATTATTATTATTATTATTATTATTATTATTATTATTATTTTGATACAGGGTCTCACTCCTGTCACCTGCACTGGCGGGCAGTGGTGTGATCAAGGCTCACTGCAGCCTCGACTTCCCAGGCTCAGGTGATTCTCCCACCTCAGCCTCCTGAGTAGCTGGGACAACAGGTGCACACCAACACACCTGGCTAAATTTTTGTATTTTTAGGAGAGATGGAGTTTTGCGGTGTTGCCCAAGCCAGTCTCAAACTCCTGCGCTCAAGCAATCTGCCCACCTAGGTCTCCCAAAGTGCTGGAATTACAGGCATGAGCCACCGTGCCCAGCCAGGAACTTATCATTATTATTATTATTATTGACCCAACTCTGTTACTTTATAAAGACATAAAAAAGAAATCTATATAATCTCCAATAATTTCAATGCTGAAAATTTGTTTCAAGGAAAATTTCAAGAAAAGAAAAAAAACCTTTAGAAAACATTCACTACAGAGTTACCTTAATTAACACTTTCACAGAAAAAATAATTCTAATTATTCTACAATTATACAAGTCAAATATAGTAAGTTATATGAATATTGCATACTTTTTTTTTTTTTTGAGATGGAGTTTCACTCTTGTTGCCCAGGCTGGAGTGCAATGGCATGATCTCGGCTCACTACAACCTCCGCCTTCCGGGTTCAAGTGATTCTCCTGCCTCAGCCTCCCGAGTAGCTGGGATTATAGGCATGCACCACCACACCTGGCTAATTTTGTATATTTAGTAGAGACAGGGGGTTCTCCATGTTGGTCAGGCTGGTCTCGAACTCCCGACCTCAGGTGATCCACCCGCCTTGGCCTCCCAAAGTGCTGGGATTATAGGCGTGAGCCACGGCGCCCAGCCTATGGTATACTTTTTAAAGAAAATTATGCACATGATATAGAGGCACAGTTATATTTACAGTAGCTTTTTGTAAAAAAGCAAAAAAGCTATTTTGTACCTATATTATTTTTAAAATGCAGTCTGGGAAGAAAATTTACAAATTTGAAACTAGTTCCAATAGTTACTGTTAAGGGTTAACTGTGAGTTAACAGTGCTGGCAAGCTCATGAACATTCTATTCTATCATGTCTTTTAATGTTGCTGGCAATAAATACTTTTACAACAAAAAATGAGACAATCAATGGGTGAATGGATAAACAAACTGCTGTCTATTCAACGGAATACCAAAAAAAGCAGTGAATAGTGATACGTGCCACATGGATGGCTGGAGGAAGCTGGATACAGGACACTACATAGTGCATATTTTAGTTACATGGAACTCTAAAGAAGATAACCGTATACCAGAGGGACTAAATTAGATCAGTAGTTTCCTAGGGCCAGGTGTGGGGGGGTTGGGATTGCCTGGGAAGGGGCACAGAGAAACTTTTGGGGCAGAGGATTCCCTTTTATCTTGATCACAGTTGTGGATAAATGGGTGTGTAAATTCAAAATTCACTGAAATGTATACTTTAAATGGACGTATTTAATTATGTGTTCATTATATCTCAATAAAGTTGATTATAAAAATTAAAATACCATAAATTACTTGAAGGTGGGAAGGCTATCATTTCATGCATACAAACAGAAACAAAGAATAAGAACTATTTGCCAAGTGCTTATCAATTTTAAAAAGCCTATGAGAAAATAATTATTCAAATTTAAAGATATTTATCAGTGATTTCTTCTAAAAGGTAAAAGCAAAGAAATACGGTTAAGAAATACAAATAATTTGTTATTCTCAAGACTTTTTAAACTGTGTTAAAGACCATATCAGATATCAGCAAAATAATTATAATGCACCTACACTGTGCAAAAGTTAAATTTTTCCCTTTCTATGATTAAAGTTTTCTTCATCTATGACAAGATATATTCATAACTAATATATAATCATTTTTTAGCCTGGCAACATAGCAAGAACCCCATTTCTAAAAAAAATTAAAAATTCGCCTAGTGTGCTGGCATACACCTGTACTCCCAGCTACTTGGGAGGCTAGGGCAGGAGGATCATCTGATCCCAGGAGTTCAAGGGTGCAGAGAGCCATTATCACACCACTGTGCTCCAGCCTGGGCAACAGAGTGAGACCTTGTCTCAAAAAAAAAAAAAAAAAGTGAAATAAGTAGTAGAAAATTTCTAACTGCCAAATAAAAAATATTGACACATATCCCATAAATAAAAATTTTTGGTTAAGTTCTAAAAAAAAATACAAAGGTTGTATAAGAAGATATGTAAGCAAATGAACAAATGTGTTTACTATATTAATAAATTTGTGGACTTCTTTGCTTTCTAGTCTAACTCTAAGTGATTGGGCAAGTAGTTAGTAGTGTTGTGATAAGCGGCAACTGCATTAATCATAACATGGAATAATTTAATGTCTAAAACCAGTTCTCGCCAATGCAGACATGTATGCTAAAACTCCAGCAAGAGTCTCTATTTATTGTTTCTTACTCTCCTATTTACAATCTTTGTTAATAAGCAATCTCCACCCCTTTGACAAGAGTAGCCACTTCAAGGCTTATTATAATTAGTATTTCAACACTAGGCTTCAAGACTGAAAAAACCATGGGAAATTCTATGATTCAGCACATAAAAAACAGATGCTTGTGAACGTGAATGTGTGTTGGGGGATGGTGGCGAATACACGGCAGAGTCCCAATCATCATGCACAAAAGGAGCTCAGCTTGTCACCCTGGAAACAAAGGGAGGAGTGTCACCCTCAGAGAAGGTACCTCCAGAAGAAGTCAACAAATGGTGTGTCTGAAAGGGTGACAGGGGAGGCTATTTTGGGCACAGTAAATTACAAGTAAGTAACTCAGTAATAATTTATTACATCATGTTACTTATTTATTTATTTTTTTAATTTATTTTTTTGAGACGGAGTCTCACTCTGTTGCCCAGGCTGGAGTGCAACGGTGCAATCTCAGCTCAATGCAAGCTCTGCCTCCTGGGTTCACGCCATTCTCCTGCCTCAGGCTCCCGAGTAGCTGGGACTACAGGCGCCCACCACCACACCCGGCTAATTTTGTGTATTTTTAGTAGAGACGGGGTTTCACTGTGTTAGCCAGGATGGTCTCGATCTCCTGACCTCATGATCTGCCTGCCTCGGCCTCCCAAAGTGCTGGGATTACAGGCGTGAGCCACCGTGCCCGGCCAATGTTATGTTTTATCAAGTAATATTATATTATTTTAAAAATACTTTATAATATAAAATTGGCTGACCACCCAAGTTTTCCAACACTGAAAGAGACTGACATTTCCAAGTTTCACAACATGAAAGTAAAAAGTTGGTCCTTTAAATTTTAATAAAATCTGACTCATGACAAATGAATTCACGCATGCGTACACAAGGTCACACACCATTCAAGCCCCACAGATATACCCAGGAAGGTCCATATGGTCAGGAAACCCCAGCCCTGCTCAGTGCCAGGCACGCTGTAAACATTCGATATTTGTGGAGTAAAAGAATAAACAGATGATCACTCAGCAAAGACTCCTGTTACTTCATACACATTTCATCAGCCACCAACCTGGTGGGCCAAATGCAAGCAATAAAATAAACCAGTTGTTACTACTGACTTGAAATAGCTTTTCATCCTGACCTAACACTTTAAGGGGCAATTTGAAGGGCTGTATAAGAAATGCCTATGAAATTTAGCATAGGTTCATTGCCTCTGCCCCAGGAAAAACCAAGACGCTCCTAAAACTGTTCAGAATACCTCATAGGTACTTTTTTATATTAATGTTTATTGCGACCAATGATAAATTTTAAAAATACATTAAGGCAAATTCTCAATGAAATAAGCAAAATTCTTAAAAGGTCCTATTGCCAGAATACACTAACATTAAAGTTGATAAAAAGAATCATGTTTTTTGTTTTTGAGACAGGGTCTTACTCTGTCATCCAGGCTGCAGTGCAATGGCATGATCATGGCTCACTACAGCCTCGAACTCCCTGGGCTCAGGTAATCCTCACACCTCCAAGGTAGCTAGGACTACAGGTACACCACAATGCCTGGCCAATTTTGTTTGTTTGTTTGTTTGTTTGTTTTCTCGAGACAGAGTCTTGCTCTGTCGCCCAGGCTGGAGTGCAGTGGCGCGATCTCAGCTCACTGCAACCTCCACCTCCCAGGTTCAAGCAATTCTCCTGTCTCAGCCTCCTGAGTAGCTGGGACTACAGGCACGTGCCACCACGCCCAGCTAATTTTTGTATTTTTAGTACAGATGGGGTTTCACTATGTTGGCCAGGCTGGTCTTGAACTCCAGACCTCGTGATCCATAGCCTCAGCCTCCCAAAGTGCTGGAATTATAGGCATGACCCAATTCTTTTTCTAATTTTTTTATTTTTGAGATGGGGCCTGGCCCTGTCGCCCAGGCTGGAGTGCAGTGACATAATCTCGGCTCACTGTAACCTCCATCTCCCAGACTCAAGCCATCCTCCCACCTCAGCCTCCCAAGTAGCTGGGTTTACACGTGTGTGCCACTACACCCGGCTAATTTTTGTATTTTTTTGTAGAGATGGGTTTTTGCCATGTTGCCCAGGCTGGTCTTGAACTCCTGTGCTCAAGTGATCTGCCCACCTCAGCCTCCCAAAGTGCTGACATTACAGACATGAGCCACTGTACCCCGCCTATCCCCCAATTCTTGATTCTCATAGGTTTGGGAGAAGAAAATCTTATTGTATATAGAAAGGAATATATTTTCCTCCCTCTTTCCCAAAAGTTACACTTTTTTTTTTCTTTTTCTTTTTGCTGCACTGCTTAGAATTTCCAGTACAAGGTTAAAGAGTAACGGGTTAAATTTTGCTATTATTATAGCAAAAATGTCATGTTTGTGATATTAATAAACATCAGCTAAGTTTTCATTGATACACCTGCTAGACTAACACTAAAAAGTAATTGCAAATTAGATATTTAAGGATCTATAAATATCTTTTATAAGTAGAATGTATTAACTAGAATAAATTTGTTAGGTATGCTCATTATGTCAATTTCATGTATAAATTTCTCTTCCTTTCTAGGTGATTGACATATCCTTTTGTCATAAAATCAAATTTCAAATGCCAAGACCTATTATTTCAATGTAGCAATAAAAGCTAGCAATCACTGAAGGGAAGCCAAGTTCCAAAAGTTTACTTGTAGCTGACAAAAAGAACAGACAGTTCTGAAGTGGAAAATGATGTCCCGAGAGAACACAGAGTACCAACGGAGTATCTGATTTCTCAGGGCCTTCCCAGGACAAGGGAGCTGCCACTGCCAAGTGCTCCCTAGCGGCCAACAAGCGAGCTCGCAGGTGATGGGACCTGCAGTGACACTGCCATGTGGATAATCAGGTGTCTTGTCTGTATTCTTTTATCACAAATTATTGTTCGTTACTTCAAGAAAGAAACAAGAAATAAAATAGGAAAAAAGCCAGAGACAAGTCTTTTTTTTTTGCCCTGCTCCTCAAAAACGAGAATGAGAATTTATTCTAACACATCATCTTTTCAGCAGACAGTAATAAATGAACCGTGATGGAAGGTTTGAGTAGTGAGAGGTCTAAAGGGCCAATATAAAATTGGAAAAGATAATTAAAATACTTAGAAAAACACTGCATAAAACCCAACGTGCAAGGCCAAATCCCACACCTCCGCAGGCAGATGCCAAAAGGTGCTGTCTGCAGGAGGGTTTTTGTTAACAGGTTAGAAAATAGGAGAGATGGAGCGAGAAACCGCTCTGCATTATAAATGGCAGGTTGTGACATCTTTAAAAGGGAGGCAGAGTGGAAAACAATCATGTATATAGCCTAGTCCGTTTGGAATTTCATTTTCAACTTAAGGAGACACATGTTAGCCATAGAGAAATGATGCATGATTTATATCCATTTGTTAAAAATATTCTGATTTCATTCCACAGACAGTTGTAACAAATAATCTATGACAATGAAAAGGAAAACAGAATGAAGAGCTGCTAGTCTTCCAGCGGCAGCCTAGGAGGACGAATCTGAGGTGCACTGAAACCAGGTATTACTGCATCGCGGTTTAGAGTGTGGGATCCAGAGTTAGACTGTGTATGGATATGGGCTGCACCAGGTACTGGGTAAGGTTAGGCTGGTCACTAACTTCTCTGAGTCTTAGAATGGAGACAACCATACTTCCTACCATCAGAGGGTTGATGAGAGTGATTGGAAAGTAAACTCCATGTGAAGTTCATAACAGTAAGTGCTCACTAAATGTCAGCTGCATTTGTGATGATTAGAATGATAATGACGCCACCCTAGGTGCATTGCATCTAACTTTTTTTTTTTTTTTTTTTTTTTTTTTTGAGACGGAGTCTTGCACTGTCACAAGGCTGGAGTGCAAAGGCGTGATCTCAGCTCACTGCAACCTCCGCCTCCCAGGTTCAAGCGATTCTCCTGCCTCAGGCTCCTAAGTAGCTGGGACTGCAGTCGCCCGCCACCATATCCAGCTAATTTTTTGTGTGTTTTTAGCAGTGACGGGGTTTCACTATGTTGGCCAGGCTGGTCTTGAACTCCTGACCTCGTGATCCGCCTGCCTCACCCTCCCAAAGTGCTGGGATTACAGGCATGAGCCACCGTGCCCGGCTGCATCTAACTGTTCTAATAAGGGCTCTGGTAAAGAACTTAAGATCACAGTGATGAAATCTCCTGGCCAGGCCCGATTGGGTGGGGCTGTTCGCAACGCTCGATGACTGGGCTATCTTAAATGCAGATACCTTGTAACAAAGCCCTTGCAAGAGACCATGGCATGCCACAATGCAGAGACAGGATGACTAATGCTCACGCAACCAGAAATGGCCATCACAAGCCACGAGGGCTGGATGATACCTTAACATGAGACAGCCAAATGCTTAGGCAGATAAAATGGGGTCCCTGGAGAATCTCCAAGCGTCCCAAGAATGTTTACATTAGATGCTTTTGGGTCGATGAGGGAACCTGCCCAGGGCTTGTCTGGGCATCCCACAGTGAACTGGAGCCTGACGTACGCACTGGGGGAAGTGGGTGGGGCCACGGGGAATTCTTCCACGGGGAAGAGAAGCCTGCTCTCTTCCGCTCCTGTAGTGACCTGGAAATCAACATGTGAGGTGGGGGCCTGTTAGCAGGAACACCTCTCGCTTTGCTGAGGTTTTTTTTTTTTTTTTTTTTTTGAGACGGAGTCTCGCTGTCTCCCAGGCTGGAGTGCAGTTGCGCGATCTCGGCTCACTGCAAGCTCCGCCTCCCGGGTTCACGCCATTCTCCTGCCTCAGCCTCCCGAGTAGCTGGGACTATAGGCGCCCGCCACCACGCCCGGCTAATTGTTTGTATTTTTAGTGGAGACGGGGTTTCACCGTGTTAGCCAGGATGGTCTCAATCTCCTGACCTCGTGATCTGCCCGCCTTGGCCTCCCAAAGTGCTGGGATTATAGGCATGAGCCACCGCGCCTGGCCATCTTCCTTTCACCCAATAAAACCCTGCTCTACTCACCCTTCAACGTGTCCCTGTGCCTAAGTTTTCCTGATCGTGTGACAAGACCCCAGGTTTTAGCTGAACAAAGGAGCAAAATTCTGCAACAACAGTCACCTGGGCCAATGGCTGGCAGATTTGTTATTAGCTATAGAATTTGTTTTTCAAAGAAATCTTACTTGTAAGCCCCAAAATGGAGGATCTGCTGGTTCCAGAGTGAAGCCCATGATTTGGGGGGTTTTTTGGGGGTGGAAGGTACACTTTCTGAACACACTGTCCCAAGTAAACTGCCCATCTGCCCTGAATGACACATTCGCTCATCTTCTAAGGAAAGAAGAGTCCTCAAACCCCTTTCAGCCTAGAACTTGGAACAAGTTCATGACTTGGAACAAGAAGGAAATACCTGTTCTCACCCACTGGTCCAAATGGAATTACTTCTATTTCTATTTAAAAAAATCTTTTGAAACCGAAAATGAAATCTGTTACTCTTAATAAGGTATCTGATATCTTAATAGGGAAAACATTTAAAAGTAACTTACAATAACTTCCCTAAAGGATTCCTGGTCACTGATTGTCTTGTCTTCTACACATCCAGACTGATTCAAGTAGTGGTAGTTTTCTGGCGTAGATAAATAAAATTCTTCTACAGAAAGACAAAAACATGATGTCACAGTTCTCCAGGACAAGATGAAATTCAGAGTTTTCACTCTGACTTTTTAAAGTATATATATATAATTCTGTGCTCTTAACAGTCTCCCATAAAGATAATAAAGTTCCCTCTTAGTTACCATCTAGGGAAAATAGAAAACAATTACTGAAACTAAATGAGATTATTTAAAAAATGTTACTGAAAGAACAACTGATGAGGATCCTGTTTGTTTTCTCTTAAAAAATCTTTCTTTTTTCTTTTTAATGAAACAGAGTCTAGCTCTGTCACCCAGGCTGGAGTGCAGTGGCACAATCTCAGCTCACCGCAACTTCTGCCTCCCGGGTTCAAGCGATTCTCCTGCCTCAGCCTCCTGAGTAGCTGGAATTACAGGCACGAACCACCATGCCTGGCTAATTTTTGTGTTTTTAGTAGAGACGGAGTTTCACCATATTGGCCTGGCTGGTCTTGAACTCCTGATCTCCAGTGATCCGTCTGCTTGGCCTCCCAGAGTACTGGGATTACAGGTGTGTGCCACTGCACCCAGCCAAAAATCAAATATTTAGAAATTAACTTTATTCAGGGTGGCTGAAAAGTGAAACCAGCTGTAATATGTATTTTTAATAAACATCCTTTACATTAAAAATGTACCAAGACTCAAAAAAAAAAATCTAAGGTTTCTCTACTGATAATTTTCTCCCTATTATTTCTCCCTACTGTAAATTCAGCATCTTTTTGGTGTTCGCATAGTGTACATTTCATTGCTATCGGTGAAATGTCAACATTAAAACAGATGTTCTCTCATTTACTGACATCTATTTAAATGGAAAATGAGTTGCTAGTCCACATTATCCAGCTGTCGTCCCACTCACCTCTTTCTTCATGTTCCAGCCCTGCCAGCAGTGCATAAAATATGTGATAATTCCTTTCCCCGGGATTTTGCCTTACTACTCGGTTCTGGGAAGATAAATCAGATTTATATTCAGAGATGTGTCCTGTGCTTAATTCACACAAACCAATAATTTCTGAAAATTGTTATTATGGAAGAAAATGTGGATTAAATCACGTTTACTTACTTTTTCTAATAAATCTTCATGTGAAAAGCAATGGCAAGTCAAGGAAAAAAACAAAGCTATGTGCCATGCTCAACTAGTCTTTCATTTTCTATTCTTTGGTGCTCAAATAATTACAGTTCCCTGTTCCTTTGACATAGAAGCTTCCAGTGCCAACAGACAAGCAAACAAAGTATAGACTATTTCATCTAAATCTAATTCCAGGCCTGACACATGGTACCCTGTCAGGTACCAAACTAACTGACACAGTTGATTTCAAACAAATACCTGAAGTTTAATGATGAAGTCAATGTTTCAGATTATGGAAATTATATCAGAGATTTATAAAACAAATACGGTTCTTTATTTCACAGAATTTTTTTTTTTTTTTTTTAACACAGTGTCTCGCTCTCTCGCCCAGGCTGGAGTGCAGTGGCACGATCTCGGCTCACTGCAACCTCTGCTACCTGGGTTCAAGCGATTCTCCTGTCTCAGCCTCCCAAGTAGCTGGGAATACAGGCACACGCCACCAAGCCTGGCTAATTTTTGTATTTTTAGTATCGGTGGGGTTTCACCATGTTGGCCGGGCTGGTCTCAAACTCCTGACCTCAAGTGATCTGACCACCTTGGCCTCCCACAGTGCTGGGATTACAGGCATGAGCCACTGCGCCTGGCCGCACAGAATAATTTTTAAAAATTATTTTATTTTTTTAAGAGACAGGGTCTTGCTATGTTGCTCAGGCTGGCCTCTAACTCTTGAGCTCAAGCAATCCTCCTGCCTCAGCCTCCCAAGTAGCTGTAACTATAGGCACATGTACCATGTCCATCTCATAGAAAAAATTAACAGGTATACTAACATTAGAGCAATAACTAACTGTCTAATTCGTTAAAGAACCAGAGAAAGAAATGTTTCACATTCTTTTTCAATCCTTATAATTAGTGAGAACAGTTTCCACTTAGAGAATCAATTACTATAGATAAAAATAAATGAAAGAGGATACAATCTACAATTCTCCCGCCCTGAATATTTCCTTTCTGACAGATGTTCAGCTGAACAAACTTCCCAAAGCGACTAGAGTTGTTGTTGTACACGGTCTTCGCATTGCCGAAAGCTTCCATGATGGGGCTGTGAAGACAGTGAGGGCAGCAGACAGCATTAATAAGGGTGGGTCTGAAGACAGCAATAGCACTTCTCACAAATGTCAAAATATACAACTGCAAGAAAAATCTGAAACCAAAAGGACTGAGGGTGGCAATGTTTATTTCCGGAAGAGCCAGATTTTCAAAATGCTTGTTGAAATGGGCTTATCTGCATATCCATCTTAGTGAGCGTAGCTGTGCTGCCAAGGGATGCCACACAGTTAAGGGGACCGCAATGGCTCGTTCCTGCACCAGTGAGTGTGGCCTTACATGCACAATCCAGGGACTGCACAGAAAAAGCCCACCCCAATTCTAGAAACTGAAGAAGTTCCAGTCCTGGAAATTTCACCTATTTGTTGTATGTCCCGGGGGCAACTCATTTAATTTCTTTGGGTCTTTTCCAAGTGTAAGATGGAGTCTGACTAGATCAGGGGCCGGCAAACTTTTTCTGGAAAGGACCAGACAGTAAGTATTTTAGGCTTTGCAGACCACGGGATCTCGGTTGCAACTACTCAGCTCTGCCACTATAGCCTAAAAGCAGCTGTAAACACTACTCATGAGTGTGGCTGGGTTCCAATAAAACTTTATTTATAAAAACAGATTACAGGAGGAAGATGAAGTTTTGGAGACAGATGGCAGCAATGGTTGCATAACAAACATGAATGTACTTAATGCCAACGCCACTGCGCCGTACACTGAAAAACAGTTAACACACATTTAGTGCTAGGTATATTTTACCACGATTTTAAATGGTGTGTTTACATGCTAAAAAACAAAAAACAAAAACAGGCTGCAAGATATGGGCACGAGGCTGTGGTTTGCCGACCCCTGGACAAATCTCTAAATAATAGGGTGTATAAAGTCCCTACCGGTTCTAAAGTCTTATAAGGCACAAACCATCTATCAGGCAATGACATAGTTTATACAACAACTCGGGTGACACCTAGCCCTCTTTCTAAGTTTTGAGGCTCCCTGTTATATAGAATGCATCACTCATCTTCCACACACGAGAGGCCCGTTCTGCTCATGTTAAGCCTCCAAGCGGTGGATGCTGACCTGAACCCTGCTCGTCTCCACGCTAAGCCCCCTTTTACACAGTGGCTGGGGGCTGACATTTCTGCTGCTAACAAGGCCTCCAGAAAACTAGTCAAGTTTATTCTTCTCCATAAACTCCAATACAAGTGCCTTATCTGATGCAGGTGCTTCAAAAACACATGAAGCTGGAGTCAAAGGCTCTGCAGACAGCCATTGCGCGCCACTCAGTCCCCATCTCAGACCTGGCCTGACGATGAAGGGGCAGGAGGCAGAAGGAGTTGTTGCTGGGTTCATGAGATATTACTATGTGCATGGCAAGACCTTTTCTTAAGGAATTGTAAAAGAGAAGTCAAGAAAAAGAGAAACGCGACCAACTAATTTTAACTCTTCTTTAAATAAGCCATACCATAAGGAAAGTGAATCCTATTAGTTGGAAACAAGAAAATCAATAAATACCTGCTTTCAAGAATAGCTCGTTCAACACAGGATGTCTTCTCCTTTAAGGACAATTCCAAAGACTGTTGACTGATGACTGACAGAAACTTGAGGATCAATTTAGTGCTTTCGGTTTTACCTGCCCCACTTTCACCACTGAAAGACAAAACGGAAAAGTTTGTGCTTCTAACTATAATTTTTAAAAAAAAATCAGCTTTGGTCAATGGCACTATAATTACTCAACAGAACAATGGTAGAAAGGTGGGAAGAGGGAGATCAAAATGCCTGTTTCCAAAGAGCTGAGTTAAAAGAAAGCAAAAGTCCTTTCTCCTGCTGGCCACATTGTGTCTGGCCTTACTCGCCTCTTTTGGCAAATGAGGCAAATAGAACTACCTTTTCCTAAGGAAAGGTCATAAGATGTATGGTGCCTCACAGGGAAGGTAAGCTCTGGGAAAGAGGGATCTTCATTTTGTTCACTAGTTCATCCCAAACACCTCCACTGTGTAAACGTTTGGTTAAATGCATGAGCTCACTAACATGATCTTTCTGAGAAACTTAAAGCAGGTACACATGAATAAAAATGCAATCATTCATGAGTAATACTGAGGGGACAAGGCAATGAACCTGCGGGTACACAACCCACACTAACTCATGTTATTCCCACAATAATCCCATGAGGGAAGCATGGCTGAGTGTCCGAGTTGGACTCTTAATGCCAGCTCGGCCTGATCCAAAGTCCTGCCAAGGTCACGTGTTAGTGATAGTTAAGGACAAGTGAACAAAAAATCCAGAGGGAAGGGAGGCAAAGGACAGAAGTAAATAAGGGATGAGTTATGCCTTAAAAGACCAGCAAACATGAGTCAGGCCAAGAAAGCACAGAAACCACAGAAGCTGGGAAAGATTCTTATGGGAGAATGAGATCCAGGTCTGGTTAGGTCAGCTGGGCTGAGACGAAAGGCGGCAGAGAAGATGAGCTGAGGTTCAGCTGGATGCTTCAGAGGCAAGTGCAGGAGCTGGAGGGTGGTGATGACCTCATCAAGGCCACCTGTAGGAAACGCAGCTCTGGAGGAAAAGCTCTAGAAGGACCGAAGGGTCCCTCGGGAGACCAGCTGCTGCCGTTGTTTAGGCCCGCGGTGGCCAGGTCCCAAACACAGTTAACAAGGCTGGAGACGGAGAGGAAGATACGGACATGAGAGAGACTTGAACGGAGAAACCCCATCCATCTGGCATATGGCACCATGCTTGGTGTTGTGCAGAGAACAGAAGTAGCAAAGAGGCTGGAAACTTACAAGAAAGGTAAACTGAAGGGATAAGCAAGAGCACAGCCATACAAACGCCATCACGAGGCAGCACGCTGACAACCGCTGAATGGTGGGATGGGCAGATGAGCCCCTTTTGCGTTCTAAAGAGAAGTCCTGTGGAGTACCAAGAGCTGGGACGTTATCAAGAAAGAGGAATTTTGCTAAAAATGTGAATCAATTGCATGTAATAAAAGAGAAGAAATGACTCAGAGATGACGCCAACATGCCGGGCTGGGTGCAGGGGTCCCAGGGATCTCCACTGGTCTAGACAACCACAGTCCTTTCACCTGCTCTGCTAGCGACAGGCCTGGGCAGGGGCCAGTGTCACGATTCCACAAAGACATAATGTCGTAATGTCAAGGGTACTGTGGGCTCCTAGGGGAGGTTTGCGCGCACACACACGACACTGGGCGGAAATGTCCCTTTTGCGGCAGACAACAAAGATCTGACGATCTAAACCTGTCTTGAAATCATAAAGCAAAAGCCAAGAAAATCAGAGGCAAGCCCAGCCGGGGCGGGGGCTGAATCCACATCCCTGAAACTGCCCTGCCTCATGTAGTCTGAAATAGTAAAAGGCAGCATAAATTAGGCCACCTTTAGTTGGGGTTTCCCTTACCAGCCACCAGAATCTTCCCAGTACAGAGCTTAGCATACATTGAATAACTGGCATCTGCTCGGCCCAGTGCCTGGCACGGGGGAGGCATTCAACAACAGTGCACAGAATGACTCACAGAAACCAAGAGAGACAGTTTCAAGGAACGATTTAAATCATCTTCCATATTTAAAACATATCTATATTGACGCGACAGCTGTTGGTGGCTGAGTTATTAAAACAAAAACTAGAAGGTTAAGTTGTCTAGTGAAAATGGTGAGGCCGAAACAATGTTATGTGTTCCTCAACCTACCTCTTTATCCTCGGGCACACAGAAGCCGAAAACATTTAGACTCCCTTGCAGTAAAAACAGCAGGCAGAGGCCGGGCACTGTGGCTTGCGCCTGTAATCCCAGCACCATGGGAGGCTGAGGCGGGTGGATTACTTGAGGTCAGAAGTTTGAGACCAGCCTGGCTAACATGGTGAAACCCTGTCTCTACTCAAAATACAAAAATTAGCCGGGCGTGGTGGCGCACGTCTGTAATCCCAGCTACATGGGAGGCTGAGGCAGAAGAATCACTTGAACCTGGGAGGTGGAGGTTGCAGTGAATGGAGATCACACCACTGCATTCCAGCCTGGGCAACAGAGCCAGACTCCATCTCAAAAAAATAATTAAAAAAAACAAAAAAACAAAAAACCCGGCAGGCAGGCAGTAACAAGGGGACCAAGTGTAGCCAGTTGAACAACTGAGCCATGGGGCTATCAGCCACTTCTATGCCTGGTAGCTAAAAACCCCCTTCACAGTCCTCTGGGCTCCACCTTCCGCTTGCCACCTAAGTGTCCTCAGAGATGGTACATCTCCCAAGCAAAGAAGCCTACAGAGTAGACTCGAGTCCCTCCCCTACCCACCAGGGGCCGGAGAGGAGCAAGAAATAGACCATCCCTGTGTTACACCCCTAAGATTTGATGGCTGTCTGTCATAGCAGCCAGCCTACCTTGGCTCACCGAATATGGCAAAAATACAATTATGGAGAAGATACGATACTCTTCAAACTCTACAGCAGAGGCTTGGTCAAAGAAAGAAAACCCAGGATTCTCGTCGTCATAAAGATGCTTCAAGAGTGTATGACACATTGAGAAAAAATACGGCTGGAAATGGACCAAGTCATGGATATCAATCTCTGTCAATCTCTTATACAGGTGGAAGATCTCCTATCTGAAATGCTGGGGACGAGAAGTGTTTCTGATTTCAGATTCTGGATTTTGAGAATATCTGCATTACACCAACTGAGTAACCCTAAATCTGAAAATATGAAATCTGAAATGGTCAAGAATCTGAAACTTTTTTTTAGTGCCAACATGACATTCAATAGAAATGTTCTTTGGGGTTCTTTGGGGCAAATTTTCACATGAGGGATGCTCGACCAGTATAATGCAAAGATTCCAAAATCCAAAAACATTGGAAAAAACCTGAAAGCTGAAATATGCCTAGCCCAAAGCATTTTGGATAAGGGATACTCAAGCTGTGCAAGTAAAACTTGGAAAAACCCTCAGATTTGCACAGAGCTCTACGGTGGTGGCTCTCAACCCTGGCTGCATATTAGAATCACCTAATAGGTCCCTCGTCCAAACCTGTGGGTGTAGAACTCTGTCATTTTTATTTAAAAAAAAAAATTTTTGGCCGGGGGCAGTAGCTCACATCTGTAATCCTACCACTTTGGGAGGCCAAGACAGGGAGATCACTTAAGGTCAGGAGTTCGAGGCCAGCCTGGCGAACATGGTGAAACCCCGTCTCTACTAAAAATACAAAAATTAGCCAGGCATGGTAGCGGGTGCCTGTAGTTCCAGCTACTCAGGAGGCTGAGGCAGGAGAATCACTTGAATCCGGGAGGCGGAGGTTGCAGTGAGCAGAGATTGCATCACTGCACTCTAGCCTGGGTGACAGAGCGAGACCCAAGACCCTGTCTCTCTTTTTTTTTGAATGATTCTACTATGAAGCCAGGTTGAAGAACTGCTACTCTGGAAAGCAGCCTCACATAATTCAGATAGGACTCTACCAGGAGGTAAGTGGTGTCTACTCATATATTGGGCTGTGGAAGTGTTTTACAAACAACAGGGCAAAGAAGAAATATAATTAAATAACTCACAAACTGCTAAAACCCAGAAATATGCCAGATGTCCCGAGATACTAATGTCAAGGTCACAGACTCTGCAGGTAGTACATTTCTGTCTAACCCGTCTCCTCCTCCTCCAGCCTGCAGTTCCACTTGGTCCTCATTAGCCCAAGGCAATTACAGTTCTATGCCTTGTGCCAGCAGGCCAGCCAACACAAACACAGGCTTTGGCAAAAATGTGTGCATTCAGATTAACCAAAAGGAGCTTATATTGTTTTGTTTTGCTTTAAAAAAAAAAAAAAAAAAAAAAAAACTTTCTAACTATAATAATGAAAATGTGAAAACAAACCCAAAGCACTGATGGGGGGCCACAGGCTGTATTAAAAATTGTGAGAATTTTTTGTAAGCACAATGGAAAGTCACAAGACAGTTCCTAAGCAGGAGAGTGTCATGATCAGATTTAAGCTTCTAAAGGATCGTTCTTTTGTGTGTGTGTGTGTGAGTTTCGCTCTGTCTCCCAGGCTGGAGTGCAGTGGCGCAATCTTGGCTCACTGCAACCACCACCTCCCCAGGTTCAAGCGATTCTCCTGCCTCCCGAGTAGCTGGGATTACAGGCGCCTGCCACCACGCCCAGCTAATTTTTGTAATTTTTAGTAGAGACGGAGTTTCACCATGTTGGCCAGGCTGGTCTCGAACTTCTGACCTCAGGTGATCTACCCGCCTCGGCCTCCCAAAGTGCTGGCATTACAGGCATGAGCCACCAGGCCCCAAAGAATCATTCTGACTGTTGCGTGGAGAATGGACAGAAAGGAGGCAAGAGAAGAATCAGGGAGACCAAAAAGGTGATGCGGGAAGGGCCGCGGGGGCAGCAGAGATGAAGTGAGAGGCCCAAGAAAGACTGGAGGGAAAGGGACAGGATTGCTGAGGGGCCTGGCCAGGGGGTGGGCAGCAAGTGACAGGGAGGCATCAGGGATGACTCCTGGGGCCCCTGAGTGTTTGCTGGCGTGATGATTCAGGAATTGGTACCACCAGGTTTGTGCATTTGTCAAAACTCATCAAACTGGATGCTTATGACTGGCATACTTTACCGTGTGTAAGTTTACCTTAATTTGGTGGCGGCGGGGAAGAATCACTTCCAGATCTCAGGCTTGGGACAGGGTAGGATGGAGAGGCTACTGGCTGAGAATAGGAGGCACAAGAGGAGGGACAAGTTTCTGGGAGAAGATGATACTGACTTTAGAACATGCCACCCCTGAGACATCTCAGTGATGACACCTAAGGGGCACTGGGACTTAAGTCTGGGACTCAAATGAGAAGTTGAGGGTGTATAAACTTGGAGAGTCCTGCAGACTCAGAGAAGAAAACGCAGGTGGGTGAGAAGACAGCAGATGAAAAATGACTGAGAAGCTGAGGAGTGGCCGTGGAGAGCCAGGAAGAAATATAGGATGGGGCGCCATGGTGGGGGGCGTGGGGGCAGCTTGCTGAGACGAAGGAGTAGTTGAATGAGGCTGTGGAACCAAACGAGCATCTTTTGTATTTTTTTCCAAGATGGAACATACTAAAAGATTTTGAATAACGTCAACAATCCAGTTGAGAGAGAGGTCAAAGAATCCAGGGCAAGGAGGCTCAGAGATGCAGCAATGTCCTCGGGTGAGCAGAGAGGAGGGATCCATGACACACCTGAAGGAAAAGGAATCTGATACGAGCAGGGCCTTTGGTGCACAGGACACGCTAGCCTCCCAGCAGCACACATCAAGGCTGGCAGTTTTCTAGATCCAGCCCATGTGTCAGCAAACAATGGTCCTCAACTCTGACCTGCTGCCTGTTTTTATAAATAAAGTTTTATTGGAACACAGTGCAGGCTGTGCGTTGCATACTGAGTGCTTTCACACTACAAGGGCAGAGTTGATTAGTTGCAACAGAGGTGCTTTCGCCCACAAAGCCTAAAATATACACTCTTTGGCTCTTTACACAAAACTTTTTGCTGCCATCTATAACACTACTTAGAAATCAATTCCCTTGATCCACATGATTTTCTCAAAATATAAATCGGATCATTCCTTCAATTGTTAGATGAACTTGGGAAACTTCTCTACTGCCTAAAAGATTAACTCCAAAGGTCTTAGCAAGCCAAACAAAGCCCTTTTGTTTGGAAGCTGTACCAGAAAGTAGGATTCTGTTCTGGAAATACAGACTTCACTCATGCCTGTAATCTTAGCACTTTGGGAGGCTGAGGCAGGCAGATCATTTGAGGTCAGGAGTTGGAGACCAGCCTGACCAACATGGTGAAACCTCATATCGTAAAAATACGATAAAAAAAAGTTAGCCAGCCATGATGGTGCACGCCTGTAACCCCAGCTACCTGGGAGGCTGAAGCAGGAGAATTGCTTGAACTTGGGAGGAGGAGCCGAGATTGTGCCACCGCACTCCAGCATGGGCAACAGAGCAAGACTCTATCTCAAAAAACAAACAAAAAACAGAAATACAGACTTCACAGGCAGAGAGACTGAAGTTCAAATCCTATGTTTGTTGCCAATAGCTAAAGTTTCTTCAGCAAGCCAACCAAACAGTTCTGGGCCTCGGCTTCCCTACAGAAAATGCCTCTTGGGCCCCTCTGAGGAATACACAAGAATAAGTCTTCTCGATGAATTTCAGTTCCTTTTTCTTTGTGTTTCCCACTCCACCTCTTTCATCTGCTATATTACAAGAGCACGCCCCCATGCCTTATTCTGCTTGGTGCCTTTCTAATCGAGGATGCAAGTTTTGTTCCGCATTCCAACACTATCACCTCTAAATGTATTTCTAGAAATAGAAAAAGACCAAACACTCAATTACCAGTCCAGGACATGGTTAAGTAGAAATCACTCAAGTTTTGAAAAACCAAAACACACAAAGCAAGCAAAGATCCTGAACCAACAGTCATTCTGTATATTCATCCTTTGATTGGCAGCTGTTGAATGCTGGTCCTCTCCCAGACACTGTGCTGGGTACCAGGCTGCAAAGATGAATTAGCCACAGGCCTTGTCTGTATTATACACCTTAAGAAGTCATATGTACTGCAAAGACCACATGATATGGTTTGGCTGTGTCCCCACCCAGATCTCATCTTGAATTGTACTCCCATGGTTCCCGCCATGTTGTGGGAGGGACCTGGTGGGAGACGACTGAATCATGAGGGTGGTTTCCCCATGCTGTTCTCGCAGTAGTGAGTGGGTTTCATGAGATCTAATGGTTTTATCAGGGGTTTCTGCCTTTGCATCTTCTTCACTGTCTCTTTGCCTGCTTCCATCCATGTAAGACGTGACTTGCTTCTCCTTGCCTTCCACCATGATTGTGAGGCTTCCCCAGCCACGTGGACCTGTAACTCCAATTAAACCTCTTTCTTTTGTAAATTGCCCAGTCTCGAGCATATCTTTATCAACAGTGTGAAAACGGACTAATACACCATAATAAACTAAACCCTGTCTGGCCTATACGGTGTATGAAAAACTAGAGTCAATGTCAAATGTACTAGAGATCAACCAAAGTCAAACACTGACCTTATGAGATGGAAAATTCAAGTAAGTTTTAAATTTATATATATATATATATACACACACACACACACATATATTCAAAACTGTAATAGCATGAGCATTCATTTAAATGTACACAAAAATGGCAAAATTAAAACTAGACCTTAAGAGAGGCAACAACCTTGAAAATGAAATCAAAGGAAGAGGCTTGGACTAGAAGCCCAGGGACCTGGCATTGCCACCAAGTAGCAGAGGAGCCTATCCAATCGATGTTCACTTATAAAGCGAGAGAAAAATTGATCTATGAAGTCCTATATAATTCAAACAGGCTTATTTTCTCAAGCATGAGAATGTTTTTAAAGTAGTAAAACACATTTTAGCCAGCAGGGGGCAGATCATGCCCAAGGAAATCTAAACAGGGCTCCTACGTCCAGCAACTCCTATTTCTATATTCCATTTTCTCTTAATTCCCACAGCTTCAACCCCCACTTTAAAAAACTGCTGAAGAGAGCTATTAAAACTAAAACACATTTTAATGAGAAATCTATTCTTAAAGTCTCTGTTTCCTGAATTAATTTAGATAAATACAGTTACTCTGTTCACATCAGCATTGCATAATTGGAGCTTTCTGTTTGGGATCCACCCCCCTCTCCCCCTTATTTTTAAATACCATGAAAATGCCAACCTCCTTCCGTTTTAATACATACATACACACACACACACACATACACATATGCACAATGATCTCATTTGATGTTTCGCTTTCTTCTTTAGCGGCTC
The DNA here is from genome assembly GCF_000001405.40 of Homo sapiens. Classification (NCBI taxonomy): domain Eukaryota; kingdom Metazoa; phylum Chordata; class Mammalia; order Primates; family Hominidae; genus Homo; species Homo sapiens. The sequence continues at coordinate 16,791,617 of NC_000005.10, forward strand.
TGTCTAGCAAATGATATATTAGTCATGCTCTCATTTTTTCCACTGAATGTAATAAATACAAGCAATTATCAATGGCAATTATTTAAGGATCTAAGTGTGGACACCAACTTGATCTGTTAAAATAGATTGTTTTCTTCCCTTCTGTTAATCTTCTTAAATTATATTCTGTATGCTGAAATAATGATCTTTAAATTCTAACTCCAGAACTTTTATGAAGTCATTTAGAAGAGCCCACAAATAGTGGTTCTAGTCACAGATTAAATTGTTTTATTGGGTATGTGAATCTTAAAAGCTGTTTCTATATTAAGCAGCCGCTTCATTTCGATTAACTGCAAGCCGTTATGATCCCTATCTGTTTAACTGAATACACTGACAGTCCCTCTATCCAAGTTGTTTCTATGGCCCAACACATTATTAGTCCTGTTAGACTTTAGGTAACGAGAAGACAGTACCTCTGCCCATATGCTCCCCTCCTGTTAGACACACACATACATACACACACACACACACACACACAGAGAGAGAGAGAGAGAGAGAGAGAGAGAGAGGGAGAGACAGAGACAGACAGAGACAGAGACAGAATTCAGCTGTTCATATACATGTAATCCCCATTTGTTTAAAAAAAAAAGGAACTACAAAAAAGATAACGGGTAAAAACTGCCAGTGAGAAGAACACAACCCCTGCAAATGGCTTTCCGTGTGTGGCACCTGCAGATATCATCATAGAGCACCCAAATCAAAGGGCTGTCAGGGGTTTCAATGTGCCGATGCCTGGCAAGCTCTTGGCACAGAGTCCAACACGCAGAATCCTTCAGAAACCATGAGCCATTATTTCTTATCCATCCTCAATCAGCTCTCACATGGGATAATGCTAACATTCTCCATCCATTTCCCTGCCCCAGGGTTTCAGAGGGGCCTCCTCTGGCACCTCTGTCCTCCCCCAACCCCAGTCCCTCCCCACAGGAGCGGGGGGCGGGGGGCTGCTCTAAGTGCTCTGGGGTGAAAGGAGAAAGGCAGCACCTGCCTGCTTTTCTCCACCATCTGGGAATCAGTTTCCCACAGTCATCATGGCCACCAGTTACCTGGCTATACCCATGACCAGGTGGGTCTGTCTGTGTGATTCGGGGCTGCAGTGCTCACAGGCCCACTTGGCTGGGAGTCTTAGGCTGACATATGGCTCTCCATATGTCTCCTGTGGTCTTACTTCCACTGAATCGGAAATCCGGAGAGAGGGGTCTTTTTAGTGTCCCCCCCTCCCCCGACATCACCCGCCAAATCCAAACCACCCTTTCCTCTCCCTTTCCCATTCCTCCTGAAATAACATAATAACTATTCTGAGGAAATAATATAATTATTCTGAGGACGAGAGCCAAGTTGCCACAAGTTGGGACTAGAAAGCCATCTGAAGCAGATGTCGGAATCTTCGTTCACACTGGCAGCTTTACAAGACTGTGGCTCCTCAGTAACAACTATACCCCGTGAGTGAACTCCTGCGAGGAGAAATGAATGAAGAAATGCTTGGCGCCTCCACGGAAACCTCACTAGAAGAGACTGACATGCATCCCGTCTGCTCTGAGTATCACCCAGGGGTGTGAGGATCATCACTAGAGCACAGGTCCAATAGAAATAATTAACAAACTCCAACAGGATGTCAATAGCATACATGTGATGAGGTCAATTTGAATGTTAATAATAAAAATTAAGAAATTTTATTTATTTATTTATTGAGAAGGAGTCTCACTCTGTCACCCAGGCTGGAGTGCAGTGGTGTGATCTCAGCTCACTGCAACCTCCACCTCCGGGTTAAAGTGATCCTCCCATCTCAGCCTCGCAAGTAGCTGGAACTATAGGCATGAGCCACCGCGCCTGGCTGATTTTGCATTTTTAGTAGAAATGGGGTTTCATCATGTTGGCCAGGCTGGTCTCCAACTCCTGAACTCAAGTGAACCACCCTCCTTGGCCTCCTAAAGTGCTGGGAGTACAAGTGTGAGCCATTGTGCCCAGCCAATAAATATTTATTTTAAAAATACTCGCCGGGAGCGGTGGCTCACGCCTGTAATCCCAGCACTTTGGGATGCTGAGGCAGGCGGATCACCTGAGGTCGGGAGTTTAAGACCAGCCTGACCAACACAGAGAAACTCCGTCTCTACTAAAAATGCAAAATTAGCTGGGGTGGTGGCGACGCATGCCTGTAATCCCAGCTACTCGGGAGGCTGAGGCAGGAGAATCACTTGAACCCAGGAGGCGGAGGTTGCAGTGAGCTGAGATCGCACCATTGCACTCCAGCCTGGGCAACAAGAGCGAAACTCCAACTCAAAAAAAAAAAAAAGAAATTCTACTACTTTTTTAGACAGTTTCTAGTAATAAAGGAGCTGATATTGGGGCTCCTAATAGTTTCTTTGTAAAAGCGAGTACGACTCAGCTAAAATAGACATGCCAAGTGCCTTCTCACCCACTAAAAAAAAATATTGAAATAAACATGCCCTTAACATACACACAGTAAGCCCCTCTTCTGTGGCTAATTAACTTTAAGAGCACCCTATTATTAAAAATTCCTAAATTTGGGAGATTCTATCTAGAGTTATTTTATTGCAGTAGAGAAAAAAGAAACCTTGTTCACATACATAAGCCTTGTGAGTAGCACTGTAGGCTATATAAAACATTTAAATTTGAAAGAACTATGCAAGATTTCCTTAAACAGATAGAAGGACCATGCCTCATCATTGAAATAAATCAAAGAATAATTAAGGCAAATAAATGTTGCTTTAAAAAAAAAAAAAAAAAAAAGGAACAGAATGGAATAATTATTCTGAGGACAAGAGCCAAGCAACATGGTCCATCTGCTTTGCTAAGTAAGCTCCTTCTGAAAGCTGAAGTTACCATGCCATTCAAAACAGAAAACTCTGTCGGAGAAACTCAGGCGGTTGTAAAAGCTTCCTCTGGTTAATGCCCTAAGGAGGCTGGGGTTGGGGGTGCGCGGAGGGACTCCTGGGCCATGGGAAAGTCCGACTGGCTGTGAGCCCCGTTACCTGATGAGGATGCACTGGTTGTCGTGGCGCTTCCACAGGCAGCGGTAGCACTCGTTGGCGATGGCGAAGATGTGCGGGGGCAGCTCGCCCAGGTGGCGCCGGCTGTACTGCTCCATGGTGGCAGGCTCGTACAGCCCGGCGATGGGCTGGTAGGGGTTCACGGAGGCCAGGATGGAGCCGATGTAGGTCTGCAAGCACAGAGTGAGACAGGGATGCGTCACTTCTAACCCAGGCCACTGGATGAGCTCCAACAAAACCCACCGAGTGTGCGCCAGGGGGAAAGACGTCTTCTGTCTCCCGGGTGCACACTGTCCCTGCCTTTCTGGGTACCAAATCTTGATATTCTGGACAAATGAATGAAGCCATTTCAAAGAGGGATGGCAGTGAAAGGGAAACAAGAGAAGGAAGATGGTGAGGCGGCCCAGGCCCAGTCCCTGCTCCCCAGGCCCAGATCCCTGCTCCCCGCTGACCTCACCAATCTTAATCCCTTCCCATGGGCAAAGGACTGGCCAGGTCCAGTCTCCTGTCTCATTAAATGGCTACTGTGAAACAGCATGGTTAAAAAGTGACGGGACAGAAAGGAGAAGAGAGGTAGCCAGGGGTTGGGGGAGAAGGACATTTACAATTTAATGGGTGCAGAGTTTCTATTTAGGGTGATGGGGAAGTTCTGGAAGTGGGCCGGGCCTGGTGGCTCATGCCTGTAATCCCAGCACTTCCAGAGGCTGAGGCGGGCAGATCACCTGAGGTCAGGAGTTCAAGGCCAGCCTGGCCAACATGGTGAAACCCCATCTCTACTAAAAATACAAAAATTAGCCAGGCATGGTGATGCCTGCCTGTAATCCCTACACAGGAGGCTGGGAAAGGAGAATCACTTGAACCCAGGAGCCAGAGGTTGCAGTGACCCGAGATAGTGCTACTGCACTCCAGCCTGGGCGACAGAGTGAGATTCCATCTCAAAAAAAGTTATGGAAGTGGTTGGTACTTGTGGATGCAGAACATTGTGAATGTCCTTATTATTATTTATTTTTATTTTTAATTTTTTTTGTAGAGACATGGTCTTGCTTTGTTACCCAGGCTAGTCTCGAACTCCTGGTTTTGAGTGATCCTCCCTCCTTGGCCTCCCAAAGTGCTAGGTCTGTGAATGTACCTAATATGACTGAATTGTACACTTCAAAATAGTCAAAATGGCAAATTTTATGCTATGCAGAGTTAGCTACAGCTTTTAAAAGATAACGTGACCATTTCGAAAATGCTAGGTATCAGACCGAGCGCAGTGGCTCACGACTGTAATCCCAGCATTTTGGGGGGCCGAGGTGCGAGGATCTCAAGATCAGGAGACCAAGACCACCCTGGCTAACAGAGTGAAACCCCGTCTCTACTAAAAATACAAAAAATTAGCCAGGCCCGGTGGCACACACCTGTAATCCCAGCTACTCGGGAGGCTGAGGCAGGAGAATCTCTTGAACCTGGGAGGTGGAGGTTGCAGTGAGCCAAGATTGCGCCACTGCACTCCAACCTGGGCGACAGAGCGAGACTCTGTCAAAAAAAAAAAAAAAAAGAAAGAACAGAGAGAGAGCGAGAAAGAGAAAGAGCGAGCGTGCGAGAGAGAGAGAGAGAGAAAGAAAGAAGGAAAGAAAGAAAGAAGAAAAGAAAGAAGGAAAGAAAGGGAAAGAGAGGAAGAAAGGAAAGAAAGGGAAAGAGAGGAAGAAAGGAAAGAAAGGGAAGAAAAAGAAAAGAACAGAACACAACACAAAAGAAAAAGAAAGGAAAGAAAGGAAAAAGAAAGAAAAGAAAGACAGAAAGAAAGAAAGAAAGAAAGAAAGAAAAGAAAAGAAAAGAAAGAAAGAAAGAAGGAAAATAAATAAATAAATAGAGGCTACAGAGTTACCAAAGCTTAATGCCTTAGGCCTCTCCATGTGGACATAACTATTCACTTCTACTTTTACAGGAAATACTAACTCTGATTACCTGGCTTCCAGGCTCAGACACAACTAGGGAAGTCAGTCAGACAGGGGTGGGAGCAGAGAGTCCTGCAACCACCATCAACCACTAACCACCAACCAACTTTTACAAAGCTCGTACAGTGTGTCTAGGGCTTTATGGGCTGTTAAGGGCTGATTCATGCCTTCTCCCCAAATTCACATGCTGAAGCCCTAATCCCAAGTACTTAAGAATGTTACTATGCTTGGAGATAGGGGCTTTAAATAAGTGACTAACTTAAAATGAGGCCATTAGGGTGGGCCCTAATCCAATCTGACTGGTGTCTTTGTTAGAAGAGGAAATTTGAACACACAAAAAGACACCAGGGATGCATACACCCAGGGGGGTTGGCGGAGGGTAACAAAAAACAAGAAAACTAGACAGAAAGTCCAAACATCCTGAGAGCATCTATACCATATTATAGCAATTTGTAATATTTTATATTCATAGTATCAGCCAGGAACATCAAGCAAAGTATTGTTTTGTTCAGTATAACTTTTCAAATGCAAATAAGTCCATACAGGTTGAGTATCACTAATCCGAAAACCAAAATCTGAAATGCTGTAAAATCTGAAGCTTTTTGAGCACCAACATGATGCTGAAAAGAAATGTTCATGGGGGCATTTCAGATTTCAGATTTTCTGATGAGGGATGCCCAACTGGTAAGTATAATGCAGATACTTCTAAATCAGAGAAAATATCAGAAGTCCAAAACACTTCAGGTCCCAAGCATTCTGGATAAGGGTTACTCAACCTGGAATGTGTTTTGGAAATAATATGAAGCAAAAGATTTAAAAAAAGGTTAAAAACATAAAAGATATTACCATATGACCCAGCGATTCCACTCCTAGATACATATCAAAAAGAAGCGAAAGAAAATACTCAAACACTTGTACACACATGTTCACAGAAGCACCATTCACAACAGCCAAAGGTGGAAACAATGCCAAGGGCCCATCATCAGATGAATGGATGTGGCATACCCACACCATGTAATATTACTTAGCCACAAAAAGGAATAAAGTGCTGATCCATGCTACAATGTGAATGAGCCTTGGAGACATATTAAGCCAGACACAAAAGTTCACATATCCAGAATAGGTTAAGTCCATAGAAACAGCAAGATGGGTGGTTGCTAAAAGCAGACAGTGGCAGGAGAGGGGAATGACTGCTTCACTGGTACAGGGTTTCCACCTAAGGTGATAAAAATATTGTAGAACTAAGATACAGGTTGTATGGTTTGAATGTTTGTCCCCTCCTAAACTTGTGTTGAAATTTAATTGCCATTGTAACAGTATTAGGAAGGTGATTACAAAGGTAAGAGCTGATTATGTCATGGGGCTCTGCTCTCATAATGGATTAATGCCATTATTGCAGGAGTGAGTTAGTTATTGCAGAGTGGGCTCTTAATAAAAGAGTAAGTTCGACATGCATTCTCTCTGTCTCACACTCAAGCTTTCTCATCATGTGATGCCTCAGGCCATGACACAGCAAGAGGGTCCCACCAGATGCCAGCGCCATGCTCTTGGACTGGCCAGTCTCCAGAACCATAAGCCAAGTAAACTTTTGCTCCTTATAAATTACCCAGTGTGTGGTATCCTGTTTTGGCAGCAGAAAGCATACTGAAACAGAGTTGTTGGTTGTACAGCATTGTGAATGTACTAAATGCCACTGAGTTGTACACTTCAAAATGGTTAATTTTATGTTAAATGAATTTCACCTTAATTAGAAAAAAAAGATCTGGTGCTTTTATGAGTAAATGTTCAGGTCCTTGGAAACATCAACTCTCTAGAAAACCCATTTTGTCCTGTCGGAGCACTATGGGGAAGATTTGGCCAGAAAAAAAAAGATGGAAGTTGGAAAAAAAAAAGTGTCCTACTCCTTGGGATGCCTCCATCCTCCATCAGTGCCTGGACCACAGACACTCCAGTGCCTCCTTCTATCTAACATCTGCAGAGGTGAGGGAGCAGGCAGACAATACTTGAGGCTGTGAGTGCCTGGCCCCTTCCACTACTTTGTTTAAAATGCCATGTTTGTTTTCTACCTTTTTGATAGTTGTTTACATTATTTTCTTTTTTCTGCTAAGTATCAAAAATGTTCATTTTTACTGTGAAATACATTCTTATTTTTTTCCCTACTGTGACAGGACTGTCACTCTTTATGCAGCCAGGTAGGTCAGAGGAAGCTGACAAGCAACAGTCAACACTGCCAACCATCAACACGGCGGGCTCAACTGAGCACACACCAATCCTCTTCCTCAGTTGCAAGCAGAGGGTGAAAGCCACAGTCATGGGCATTAAGCTTATTATTAAATTTAATTAATTTATTATTAGGATATTCACCCATCATTAACACACCTTTTAAAAAATGATATGCCCATATCATTTTGCATGCCCCATTCATGACACGTTTGTATGGTTGCTGTAAAATTCTAAGATGAGCCTTTCTTTCTTAAGGCACTGATTTACTTATAAAACCATTATTAAAACTTCTTACACAGCTTTCTTCAAAAGAATGATCATGTTTTTTAAACCATATTCCTCCTCCTGGTTGGGGAACCTCACTAGCCATAGAGCATCCTTTTAAGATACTGCTCGTTCTGACAGTGTGGATGACATGGGCTTTGAATGAAGGTAGAAGACAAAGTGGCATTAAGCCTGTTAGCAAAGGTGAAGACGCAACATCCAAAATGGTCTCATGCTTGACTTTTTACAGTAATTCACACCACACCTTGTCCAGTGAAATAGTTTTTAAATGTTTCAGAATGACAATGTAGTAGCTGTGGCAACTAGAGACAACATATGCAACCCAGAAATCAATGTCCACAGGTCCTCTTCCACCAGAATCAGCAGTGCTTTAGAAGAGAAATACTTTTTTTTTTTTTTGAGACTGAGTCTCGCTCTGTCATCCAGGCTGGAGAACAGTGGCACAATCTCGGCTCACTGCAACCTTCGCCTCCCGTGTTCAAGCGATTCTCCTGTCTCAGCTTCCCAAGTAGCTGGGATAACAGGTGTGTGCCCCTACGCCCACCTAATTTTTGCATTTCTACTAGAGACGGGATTTCATATATTTTGGCCAGGCTGGCCTCAAACTCCTGACCTCAGGTGATCCACCCACCTCAGCCTCCCAAAGTGCTGGGATTACAGATATGAACCACTGTGCCCGGCTGAGAAAGGACTCTTAACAGCGGACGCTCCCTGGGGAGGCAGCCCACAGACTCTGCAGAATTATGTGGCATCCTTGCTGATGGTCACGCAGCTCACAAAAGGCATCGGGATACTCTCCTCTGCTAAGCCGAGTCCCTGCCACCCCACACTACTGCCACCAATCAATTCTGAGTCACCATCTTTCAGAAGAAAAGATAATCGGGCATGCTGTGAAACAGAACACTTTACCAGATGGCCTCAAAAAGCACACGGTTCGAGAGTGAAAGACCAAAACCATCCAGCTGGTTTAGTTATAGAAGATGTTAATCATGGCCAATGACCAGCACAGCTCTGGTGGTTGCACACTTTTCCTACAATAATATTGATCTTTGTATCTGACTCTTACAATAAAATGCATGCTTCATCTGTCAGTCAGCCTAGTGAGTTACCATGAAAAAAATATGGTCCCTCATTACTACACATTGTCAATAAATTTAAAATCCCGGCCAGCTACGGTGGGTCATGACTATAATCCCAGCACTTTTGGAGGCCAAGGTGGGAGAACTGCCTGAGCCAAGGAGTTCAAGACCAGCCTGGGCAATATAGGAAGACCCCATCTCTACTTAAAAATATATTTTTAAAATTCTGCATAAATATTAATAACAGACTGTTGCTGCTTTAGGCAAGAAAGCCTTGATTGTTCCCGTTTTGATGAGAAGCTTCTGAAGGGTACAGCATGTGCTCGTGGGTTCTTTACCCAGGTTAGGAACCTGATTTCATCTTTTCTTGAGGATTCTGGGACTCATTCAGGCTCTCCGCCCATAAAAGCGATGCCCACAGCAAGTGAGGAAGACTCTATCTTCTAATCTACAATGAAACCACCCCAGGCTCCTAAGCTTCCGCTGTTCTCCAATCTGCTTGGCCTCACTACACTGGTTCTTTCTCAGCCTTGCCATGCGCCACCCCCGTGGCTGTGTTGGAAGGAAGCGCCAAATCTCCTGTGGAATGAAAGGCTTTTCCTCCAAGGGCCACTATGTCAGGGGGTATTGAAAAGTGTTTTCAGGTAAAAGGTCGTCTGAATGCGTGGTTAACGTAACAGAAGATACCAAGCCAGGCTTTTATTTTGCTTTTCATTTTACACACCATATATCACATCAAGTGAAAAAAAAAAATTCTTTTCCAAAAAGATTTGTATTTCAGTATGTTTAAAACCTTTCACCTTTTAAGGTAAGTAATAAATAAAAGTTACGTGCACCCTAGAAGCTGCCTGCCTCAGATGTGTGACGATCTTTCATGCCCCATGATCTACTTTATAGCTTTAAACTGAACCATGAGTTGAACTCCCCAAATTCCTCAAAAAATGGTCAGGACCCTTTCTGCTTGTTGGGTAGAGAAAGAGCACTTAAACAGCTGCTCCTGATTTTTAAAGATCAATCATGCATTTATTTATTTTTGAGACAGAGTCTCGCTCCGTTGCCCAGGCTGCCGTGCAGTGGTGCAATCTCAGCTTACTGCAGCCTCCGCCTCCCGGGTTAAAGCAATTCTCCTGCCTCAGCCTCCCGAGTAGCTGGGATTACAGGCGCCCACAACCACACCTGGCTAATTTTTGTATTTTTAGTAGAGACGAATGGGGTTTCACCACATTAGCCAGGCTGCTCTCAAACTCCTGGCTTCATCTGGCCTGCTTGCATCAGCCTCCCAAAGTGCTGGCATTACAGGCATGAGCCACCATGCCTGGCTAAGATCATACATTTAATGGTACATGGCTATATTCCAACATGACTCTGTAAGAATGTAGGTGCTACTGCTGTGGTCCTTCTCGTTTTGTGATTCATATTCTGAAAAGAAAAAATTCATACTCTACAAAAATTTCTAAACCTATGGTTTAGACCATATTTCGTACTCTAAACAAGAGAAAACTAAGATACATATGTTCATAACATGTCCGGCATCTGCTGTTTTCAAGATTTTCCTTAAACCCACATCCTCCAAGCACTTTCTTATTCTTTTTTGCATATTGCCACTAACTCAAGGATGTTTTTTCAAACTTTTTATACCATGTATAAAAAATATTCAGTAAACAACAGCCAAAAGGTAGAAGCAACCCATGTGTCTGCCAATAAATGAACAGATACAAAAAATGTGGCACATCCATACAACGGAATTATTCAGCCCTGAAAGGGATGGAAATTCAGACCCTTGCTACAACATGGATGAACCCTTAAGACATTATGCTAAGTGAATTATGACAGTCACAAAAAGATAAACACTGTGCGAGTCCACTTGTATGAGGTATCCAGAATACTCAAATTGATAGAGAAAGTGGAAATGTACAATTCCACTTATATGAGGATCCAGAATAATCAAATTGACAGAAAGTGGAAGGGTGGTTGCCAGGGGCTGGAGATGGGGGAAATGGGGAGCTGTTGTTTAATGAGTATGGATTCAGTTCTGCAAGAGGAGAAGAGTTCTGGAGATTGCTGCAGGGTAACGTAAATATACTTAACGCTATCGAACTGTGCATTAACAACGGCTGTGATACATTTTGTTCATGCATTTTACCAAAATAAAATTTTTTTTTTAGTTTAATAAAGAAAAAAATAGGAGCCGGGTGCAGTGGCTCATGCCTGTAATCCCAACACTCTGGGATGCTGAGGCGGGTGGATCATGAGGTCAGGAGATTGAGACCATCCTGGCTAACAGGGTGAAACCCCGTCTCTACTAAAAATACAAAAATTAGCCGGGCGTAGTGGCAGGCGCCTGTAGTCCCAGCTACTCAGGAGGCTGAGGCAGGAGATTGGCATGAACCCGGGAGGCAGAGCTTGCAGTGAGCTGAGATCACGCCACTGCACTCCAGCCTGGGGGACAGAGCGAGACTGTCTCTAAAAAAAAAAAAAAAAAAGAAAGAAAGAAAAATTAAAAAAAATAAGTAATGCTGGGAATTATGGTGTTGTATAGAATACATTAATCTCTAAGTATAAAGAGAGATTAAAAACAAGCACAGACTTGAGAGGAAATAACAAGAAACATTATGCTCCTTAACTTTAAATAAAAAGTTTTAGAGGTTGGGTGTGGTGGCTCACGCCTGTTATCCCAACACTTTGGGAGGATCACTTGAGCCCAGGAGTTCAAGACCGGCCTGGGCAACACAGTGAGATCCTCTCTCTCAAAAAAAAAAAAAAATTTACCCATGTGTGGTAGCACATGCCTGTATTCCCAGCCACTAGGGAGGCTGAGGTGGGAGGATGGCTTGAGCCCAGGAGGTCAAGGCTTCAGTGAGCCGTGATTGCATCACTGCACTCCAGCCTTGGTAACAAAGTGGAAACCTTGTCTCTTTAAAAAAATTTAAAAAAAAAATTAAATTTAAAAAAAGGCCAGGCCTGATGGCTCATGCCCGTAATCCCAGCAGTTTGGGAGGCCGAGGCGGGAGGATCACTTGAGTCCAGGAGTTAACCAGCCTGGGCACTAATGTCAAAACCCTGTCTCTACAAAAAATACATTAAAAAGTTAGCCAGGTATGATGGTGCACACATGTGGTCTCAGCTACTCAGGAGGCTGAGGTGGGAGGATCACCTGAGCCCAGGAGGCAGAGGTTGCATTGAACCAAGATTGTGCCACCGCACTCCAGCCTGACAGAGTGAGACCCTATCTCAAAAGAAAAAAAAAAGTTTCAGCATACACACCTTCAAATTTGAACCCAAATTAAATAAAAATGTTCTGGTGACAAGCTATAGACTATTCAGGAAGAGAGAACAAAAGGCACTGATATTTTCAGGGAGACAGTAATGTCAGAGTTTAAATAATTAATAAAGATATTATGTTGTGGCTGGCGGTAAATTCAGCAAATGAACTCCCACAAACCAACAGGAACATCAAACGACCAGATTTAATTGGAACCAAAACTCAATAATCTGAAATCTCTTCCTTGAAAAGCAAAAAAGGAAAGAATATGTAAAATGTGTGTCTGGCTGGTACAAAGAAAGAACCTGATTTCTTAAGATTATAGAAAATTTTGCCTCATTGTATAAAAATTACTCAGTAGACAACAGCCCAATATTACTTACTTATTAATAATTCAAAGGCCTCCCTTAGACTACCTACCTCCATTTAGTACCTATGGCCAAAAGGATTGTTTACACATTCGCACACCCACTCATTTGCTCTTCCATAACCCTGTGATGGGCAGCAGAGGTCACTGCTCCTGCCTCTTCTGACAGGTAATGGAACCGGCAAGGGGACAATAAGATATTGTCCCTACGGTCACGGAGCCCGTGAGTCAGAGTGAAGGCAGGAACCCTGGATTTTTGAGAATGTGCCACACTGTGGATCTACAGCGAATGCCTTCTCCATCACCCATCCACCCACAGGGCTCTGTCAGCCTCATCACCTCATCACCTCATCACCATGGCTGACGTCTCCTTGTCCCGTGTGTTCCACTTTTCATTAACTCCAGGGCGACCCACCCACTCCCTTCATCTGTGCTGTCCTGGTCTGCTCAGGGCCTCACCTTGCATTGACTAACTTCCACAAAGGCTCCTTCCTCTGAGATTTCCCTCGGGGTCTTTACCCCCTTAATCCAATCACCAAAAGGTGATACAGCAGCCCAAGCCCTAATGAAGTATTTTCGTAACAGGTCACCAAAGGGAGTGGGGGAAGGGCTTCAGCTCACAGAAGGACTTCACTTACTACTGGGTTTTTACTGTTTGTGTCCATGCACATGACAAATGGCACTTCTGAACCTGCTAAAACAGGGATGTAAAATAACACCGGCAACCATAGTCATAGTTCCCAATCGTTTATTTCAAGAAAGACAAATTATGGTCGCGCGCAGAGGCTCCGGCCTGTAATCCCAGCACTTTGGGAAGCTGAGGCAGGAGGATCACCTGAGGTCAGGAGTTCGAGACCAGCCAAGGCAGGAGGATGGCTTGAGCCCAGGAGTTTGAGACCAGCCTGGGCAATGTGGCGAAACCCCATCTCTACTAAAAATACGAAAATTAGCTGGGTGTGGTAGTGCATGCCTGTAGTCCCAGCTACTCGGCAGGCTGAGGTGGGAGGATCACCTGAGCCTGGGGAGGTCAAGGCTGTAGTGAGCCATGACCACTGCACTCCAGCCTGGGTAATACAGTGAGACCCCACCTCAAAAAAAATTATTTGAAATGTCAAGCATTCTTTGGCAAAAATAATTACAGTCAAGGACATCTTATCTCCCCCATCTTAAACTTACCACCCCACTCTTCAATTTGCATGGATGACTTTGTCACTGAAGTATAGGCTACATGTGTAAGAGGTTCACTGAGTAATAAGAAAAGTTCAACATGTAACGTGAGTAAAAATGGCAGCTGGAGGTGGGGAAAGAGCTAGCTTGTTAAGTGTCAAGTGAAGCAAAGATAAAGTGTGGTAAGAAATTCTGGCTGGGTGCAGTGGCTCACACCTGTAATCCCAGCACTTTGGGAGGCCAAGGCCAGCAGATTACTTGAAGTCAGGAGTTCAAGACCAGCCTGGCCAACATGGTGAAACCCCGTCTCTACTAAAAATACAAAATTAGCCAGGCGTGGTGGCGGATGCCTGTAATCCCAGCTACTCGGGAGGCTGAGGCAGGAGAATCGCTTGAACCCAGGAAGCAGAGATTGCAGTGAACCATCATGGCACTGCACTCTAGCCCGGGCAACACAGTGAGACTCCATCTCAAAAAAAAAAAAAAAAAAAAAAGAAAAGAAAAAAAAGAAATCCTAAGGTCTATGAGACAACATTTGCCATGGGCTCACGTCATTTCTCACTCTATGAAAAGATATTGTTACCGCTCCACAAACGGCCATGATGATGCCATGCAGTTTAAGACTGTGGACACATGCAGCTCCCAAACACGAGGTGGGGCCACGTACCGGTTTCCTCATGTTGGATTTCAAATTCCACAAGAATAAATAAGCTGGTCGGTTTAATGGCTTTTCAGAAATAGGAAGTACATTCTATTTTGAAGCACATAAAAACATTTTCTTGTCAGAAAAGTTCCACATAACTCACCCCCAAAATACATTCCCTTGCCCATTTTAATAATTTGGAACAGCTGCAGCACAAATTGCTTAAAAATGTTGGAGAAGCTCACTTCATCTCTTCAATCTAAAATCTACCAAGTCAAGGTTTTCAAAAGGCCTAAGGGTATAACACCTAGTGTCAAATTTCACACCCCCAAAAAATCAAGTATCATTTGACTTCAGCATGCATATGTATATCAAAATATCATGTTGTGTATCTTAAATACAGCCAATAATTTTTTTTTAATCAAGTGTAACTGGCCGGGTGCAGTGGATCACGCCTATAATCCCAGCACTTTGGGAGGCTGAGGCAGGTGGGTCATTTGAGGTCAGGAGTTTGAGACCAGCCTGGCCAACATGGCAAAACCCCATCTCTATTACAATTTAAAAAAAAAAATTAGCTGGGCATGGTGGCGGGCACCTGTAATCCCAGCTACTGGGGATGCTGAGGTAGAAGAATCGGGAGGTGGAGGTTGCAGTGAGCCAGAGGTTGCAGTGAACCGAGATCACGCCACTGCACTCCAGCCTGGGCCACAGAGTAAGACTCTACCTCCAAAAAAAGGCCGGGTGCGACGGCTCACACCTGTGATCCCAGCACTTTGGGAGGCAGAGGCGGGCGGATCACGAGGTCAGGAGATCGAGACCACGTTAACACGGTGAAACCCCATCTCTACTAAAAATATAAAAAAATTAGCTGGGCGTGGTGGCGGGCGCCTACTACGTAGTCCCAGCTACTCAGGAGGCTGAGGCAGGAGAATGGCATGAACCCAGGAGGAGGAGCTTGCAGTGAGCCAAGATAGTGCCACTGCACTCCAACCTGGGCGACAGAGCAAGACTCCGTCTCAAAAAAAAAAAAAATCAAGTATAACTGAGAAAACTTAAAGTGACTCAGTGGCCTCATACAGGATGCTTATAGAGACCAAGGGACCCAGGTTGGATATCACAATCCCAATGCAGAAATAACTCATCTAAACAGCATGGTTTGGTCAAGTCAGAAGACACCAAGTCCACAGCCCTGAAGAACCTCCCCTGGCACTGCTTCACTCCCCCGGGACTAAGATTCTGATCAGTAACAACAAGGGATCCTCTGTTACCCCACATGACCGCTATGTGCTACAGAAATCAGAGGTATGTATCATCGCTATTGTTAATGAAAATAAAACCACAATGCTTTTCGTCATGTAGTCCTGAAAAGCTGGATGTAGAAGATACAATTTGAAATGCACTGGGGAAATGGGTTATTTAAAGTCTGTGCTATGGCAGCTAAAGGGAAGAGTTGTTAAGAAGTGAGATCCATTATCCAGATTTATTTCGTACTCACCATCCCCCCGTTTCCTTCTCTCTCAAACACCTCGGCTAAATACGGCAGTGACTTACTTCCTAAATCTTTATCTTGAGTGCAACTTCAGCTGTAAGTTACAGATCCATATGTTCAGTGGTCCACTGGCTCAAGCTCAACAGACATGGCTAACCTCCCCCAAACACCTGTTACTTCACACATAGTGACAACTTGACAAATGGCACCACAGCCTACCCAAATGAGTAATCCAGTAATCCTACAGAAATTCAGCTTACTTGGCCCCCAAACCCAGTTAAACACTTAGCATCTACCTCTCGGTATCTCACACAGTAACCCCTCCTAACTGGAAGCCCCTCCTTTCTCATCCACCACCCTGTGACCAAGTGACGCTTCCCCAAAACGCATGCTTAAAGTTATCCCCTACAGCTTTCATGAGTCCGTTCAAGCTCACTGAGTTGCACAGAGCCATTCCTTCCTCCATTGCTCTCGACCGCCTTGCCAGCCAGCAGCATGCAACCTTTGTTCTGGCATCTAGAATGTCCTGCGTTGGATATTAAATAACAATGCATCACAATATTTCCGTCTTTCCACATGATGATCTGCTGCCAGGACAGCTATCCTCCTTCTTGGCCAAATTCCTCTACATATGCTCAAAACTCAGGCCAACTATTAATAGCACCTCAGTGAGGAATCATTTTCTGACCCTCTCATCCCCTCCTCATTGTGACGCTCCTTCTTTGTGTTCCCATGTATTTTTATCACACCCATTGTCACCCTGAGCTATTGTTCATCGTTTGCCTGTGTCTGTCTTCACTAATCAATTAGGGACCTTTCATTTACTCAGTCTTTCAACAAGCCATTCCTGTAAGCCAGAGTCATTCTGCATCCCTGGAGCCTAACACAGAGCCTGGTACCCAGGCAGGGCGGCATCAGCATCGATATGCTGAGGACACATGATTTCACCACCAATCCACCAAATAAATTCATGTTTTAACTGTCTTCTAGTGCTTTATGCCCACTATCTTCTACATAACCCAATTGTCTGATGTTGTCCAATTAAACAATTAGAAACATTTCAGCCACGTGTAGTGACTCATGCCTGTAATCCCAGCACTTTAGGAAGCCCAGGTGGGAGGATCGCTTGAGGCCAGAAATTTGAGACCAACCTGAGCAACACGACAAGCCTCCATCTCTACAAAAAATTTTAAAAATACAAAAAATTAGCTGGCTGTGGTGGCACGCACCCATAGTCGCAGCTACTTGGGAAGCTGAGGTAGGAGGACTGCTTGAGCCCAGGAGTTGGAGGCTGTGGTGAGCTATGATCGCACCACTACACTCCAGCCTGGGCAAAAGAGTGAGGTCTAAATAATAATAAATAAAAATAAAAAATAAACACTTAGAAACAATTTTTTAAAAATCGTGAAGCATTCAAGTTTGTTGAAAATTAAACCATCTCAAGAGACAAGCTGTTAACTGAAGTCAAGGTCTTCAAGGTAGAGGCTGGCATTTCCATTTCACCTGAGTGACTTTCTGACTAAAATTCTCTCCTGATTGAAAGGAATGTATCTTTTTTATTATTATTATTTTTGAGACAGTCTCACTCTATTGCATAGGCTGGAGTGCAGTGGCACAATCTCGGCTCACTGCAACCTTCTCCTCCCAGGTTCAAGCGATTCTCCTGCCTCAGCCTCCCAAGTAGCTGGGACTACAGGCACCCGCCACCACGCCTGGCTAATTTTTGTATTTTTAGTAGAGATGGGGTTTCACCATGTTGGCCAGGCTGGTCTCAAACTCCTGACCTTGTGATCAGCCTGCCTCGGCCTCCCAAAGTGCTGGGATTACAGGCATGAGCCACCACGCCCAGCCTTGAAAGGAATCTAAACCCAAAGAGAGACAAGGAAGAAAAAAAAAAATCACAAAAAAACAAGTTTCAAATTGCCACTCTCATGTGCTGATGTGGAAGCGGCCACTCCGGAGCATAAATGTTTGGTAAAGTTTTAAAATACATATAGTCAGACAGATGGTTACAATCATCTTTTGGCTACGAGTCTTGATTTCATGTGGAAAAAAAAAAAAGCCAAAAAAACCCAGAAAGTCCTGACTGTGTTCATCTGCCCCAAGTGTGTTCAAACTGCACTGCGTTCATCTGTCCCAAGGGCACCCCAATGCCAAGGCAGTGCTAACCAACCAACCACGCGGCCTTCAGGCCACGCTGCCTCCGTGAGAGGCGCGCTGTGACTTGACTCGAGCCTTGGAAAGGGATGTAAACAAGCCAACCAAGTCTACCTTGGGAAGACTCAACTCAAGAAAATGAAACACAGATTTCAATTTGCAAGATTCCCAAACAGTCCAGTCCACGGCAGGGTATGCCCAGCCTTCACATGGCAAGCAGGCCGTGACTTCCCTGCAGGTGAACTCTGTTCAACCGGCTGCTAAAATCAATAGGCCTTTCTCTGGCTGATGCCTGCTAACACATTTTGCCTGACAGATGCAGGCTTCAAAGTTAATTCAGAAGCAACATCAAACACATTTGCAGATTTGGGCTGGAATGCCACCTAACCAAAGGAGGATATTTTTGAAACATCTAAAAATACATTAGCTGTGAAGCATAGTTCGTGCTTACTGAAGCATTTATCTTTAGAAACAGCCCCATTTCTTAAAATTGGCTCCTTTGATTCTGATCTCTGTGCTGTTTGTTCGGCAAGACAAACAAACTAACCAAAAGGCTGGGTGGAACAGGGAAGAGCTTCCTCTGGAGCCAGCCTCAACACCATAATTGCAGGCGACCGCTGAAGTTCCCTGCAGCTCTCCCCGTGATGTGGTTTTGAGCCATTCCTTAGAGACTGGGAGAGGAGTCTCCTCTGCGCAACTGACCCAGAGCTCCACAATCCCTGTAATGAAGAGAATGTGCTTCTCTTCCATTCAGCAGGAAACAAAACTGCCACGCCTCGGAACCTGGCAGCCCTTCCACTCTGGCCACTGAGCTTGCCTTCGGTGCAACAGAAACCTCTCCTGCTCTTGTCAACACTGTGCTTAGATGCTGGGTACATAATAATTTGAGATGATCCAGGGCCAGAGAGCACAGGAAGACAGAAAACAGGCACCTAAAAAACACTTGTTCTCACTCTGCTCAGGAGCTTCCAGGACGGTGCCACGTTTTCACAGCCACAGCACTTGACAAGACCGGGAGACAGTGACATGGAGCCTCTTCCATCACCTCCCTCCCTACAGTCCCCATGACTTTTCTCCCATCTCTACCCTGGTCTAAAACCCTCAGCCCTCCCCTACTGAATTACTGCAACACGCCCTCAGCCCATCTGTCCTTTCTCATCTCAGCCATATCACTTCCCTCTTAAATCTTCTGAAATTTTTCTTAGAGAAATTCTCCTTTCAGAAACCTTTAAACAGACTGGGTGCAGTGGCTCATGCCTATAAATCCCAGCACTTTGGGAGGTCAAGGTGGGAGGATGGCTTGAGGTCAAGAGTTCAAGATCATCCTGGACAACATAGCAAGATCCCAGTCTTGACAAAAATTTAAAAATTAGCCAGGCGTGGTGGTGCGTGCCTGTAGTCCCAGCTGCTCTAGAGGCTGACCTGGGAGGTCAAGGCTGCAAAGAACTATGATCACACCATTGCACTCCAGCCTGGGTGACAGAGCGGGATCCTGTCTCTAAAACAAAATAAAGGCCAGGTGCAGTGGCTCACGTCTGTAATCCCAACACTTTGAGAGGCCAAGGCGGGTGGATCTCCCGAGGTCAGTTCGAGACCAGCCTGGCCAACGTGGTGAAACCCTGTATCTACAAAAAAATACAAAAATTAGCCGGGTGTGGTGGCGGATGCCTGTAATCCCAGCTACTCAGGAGACTGAGGCAGAAGAATTGCTTGAACCCAGGAGGCAGAGGTTGCAGTGAGCCGACATGGCACCACTGCACTCCAGCCTGGGCGAAAGAGCAAGACTCTGTCTCAAAAAAAAAAAAAAAAACAAAAAGAAAACTTTAACAAATATAGTGGGGTCTGTGTACCATCAGCCCCAAACTTTCCAGGTGAGCTGATGGTAAGTGGGGGGGGGATGTTCTGGCACCACTGACATCTTAGGCCAGATGACTCTGGGGCTGCCCCAGGCACTCCGGGATGTTTCTCAGCATCCCTGGCCTCTACTCAGTAAATGCCAGTAGCGTCGCTTGACCGTAGCTATGAGACCAAAAATGTCTTTTAGATATTACAAAATGTCCCCACGGCAGAATCATCCTAGGTGGGGAACCAATGGTTTAAGGCTTCTAACCTCAGGCTGCCCATCCCACCTAATTTCTGCACATTCCCCAGCCAGCATCTGATTCCATGAGCAAAGACAGCCTTCTCCCGCTGCGATGAGGCCGCATCAAGCTCACTCTCAGCTCTCCATCTTCATGTATGGTGTTCACTGGCCTTTCCTTCTCATCAGTTCTTTTCTTTTTCTCTTTTGTTGAGACAGGGTCTTGCTCTGTTGCCCAGGCTGGAGTACAGTGACACAATCTCGGCTCACTGCTGCCTCAACCTCCCCGGCTCAGGCAATCCTCCCACCCCAGCTTCCTGAGTAGAAGGGACTACAGGGGCACGCCACCACGGCTGGCTAATTTTTGCAATCTTTTGTAGAGATGGGACTTCGCCAAATTGCCCAGGCTTGTCTTGAACTCATGGGCTCAAGCGATCCTCCCGCCTCAGCCTCCCAAAGAGCTGGGATTACAAGCATGAGCCACCATGCCAGGCTTTCTACTCAACCCTGATTGATCTCATGCCTTTGTAGCGTCACCACCACCACCACCTCCATAGGGCTTCCTGAGCCACACATAGGTTATGTCTCTGTACCACAAACACATACCCTGCTCCTCCTCTCCTTAGCGGGTATTTGCCCTTGCCAGGTCTTAGCAGGCGGTGACAGGAGATGAAGAAGTCTAGGCCCTCATCAGACCCATTCCAAGGAAGGGGACAATCAGGAGAGAGCCAACCCCCTCTCCTCAAGGCAGCAAACCCATAGCCAAGAGGTTCAGGGTGGAAACCTGGGGCCCCTGGCTGGGAACTGGGAGCAGAGCAGGGCTCTAGTCTTGAAGTGGCCAGAGGAAGGATAAGATTGATGAGGGGAAGTCTCAGGCAGGAAGAGCCTGGGGTTCCAGGAAGAGAATCTAACAGGGGCATAGAAGGCCGGGCTTCTGCACAGGCAGTTACAGCCAGCGCAGAGGGGCTCTAACCCAGGCACTGCAGCTTAAACCACGCAGTCCAGACCTATGGACACTGGCATCAAACTCGGTACGGCCTCTGTCCCCTCAGCGACAAGCCTGGGACAGGAATGCACCCACAGGAATAGCTAAAGGGCCCAGCGGTAAGGTTCAGGGGCTTCATAAGCACACTCAAACCCAAGCCTGTGTCATCATCACATAACCCTCAATGACAGGACTTCAGCTATCCAAGGCCATGTGCTGTGAGCTGGCCTTGGTGTTATCTCCCCACTAAATTGCAAGCTTTGAGGCTAGGGATGATGCTGTAAACTTCTTCCAAATCCCCCTTAAAATGGAGCCAAGTTCGAGGCAGGAACTTTCTAAATAAACACTTGTTGCTATGAGATGGCTAAGATGGAGACAAAGGTACAAAGGTTAAAGTTCCCAGAGCTTTCACTTCTTTTACTTTAAAACATCCCTGTTAAGAGGGATTATGATATCTGACCTTTGAAAACACGTTTATTTTAAAAACTGGTGTTCAGAAAGATTCAATTATCAATACGGAGCCAAAGAGGAGGTTAGTGAAGAAAAGGGAAGATCAACTCTAACTTGACTATTCTGGGTGCTTTTATTTTTTTTTTTTTTTTATCACTTTCTACCCCATTTCAATAGAAGATGCCAAAAGCTACAATAAAAAAATATTTTCCTGGTTTCTGACAAAGTTCTCAGATAAAAAGACCAGTCCCCAAGGAGAAAAAGCTAACATTACTCCTTAGCAAAGAATGGCAGCCTCTCTACCTGGCGATGAGCCACTTGCCAGCAACCCATGGAACCTGACAGCTCAGAACAGAAAGTCAACAAATAATGAAACATCCAGACGCCAGCAGGGGGAAAATGCCACAGGAGTCCCTCCTCAATGATATGACTCAAAGGAGAGTACCTGGCTGGATGCGGAGGCTCATGCCTGTCATCCCAACACGTTGGAAGGCCCAGGAGGGAGGATCACTTGAGCCCAGGAGTTCAAGACCAGCCTGTGCAACATAGCAATGTTTTATAAATTTAAAAAAATTAAAAAAACTTAAAAATTAACCAAGTGCAGTGGCTCACACCTATAGTCCTATATATTATATACTGTAGTACTATATATATACTCAGGCGAGAGGATCACTGGAGCCCAGGAGTGAGTTAGAGGCTGCAGGGAACAGCGATCATGTCACTGCATTCCAGCCCAGGAGACAAAGTGAGACCCTGGCTCTAAAAAAAAAAAAAAACCAACAACAACAAAAAAAGGAGGACACGTATGGTGGGCAGAATAATGGCTCCTCCCGCAAAGACATCCATCCACACTCATCCCAGAGCCTGTGACTAGATAATGTCACATGGCAAAGGGGCTCTGCACAGGTGATTATGGTTATGAAGCCTGAGATGGGGAGATCATCCAGGGAGGCCCAATCTAATCATGTGAGGCCTTAAAAGCAGACAGCCTTTCTTGGCTGCAGTCAGAGAGAGAGAAAGAAGACAGTGGAGGAGAAGGAGGAAAGATTTGAAGCCATGAGAGGGAAACAATACATGGTTACTGGCACTGAAGATGAAGAAAGGGAGCCACAGATCAGGAGACCAGGGAATGTGAGCGGCCTCTAGAAGCTGGGAACAGCCCTCAGGTGACAGTCAGCAAGAAAACAAGGACCTCAGTCCTCCAACTGCAAGTAACTGAATTCAGCCAACGACACAATGAGCAGGAAACGGATCCTCCTCTAGAGCATCTGGAAACAGACGCAGCCCTGCTGACCCTTTGATTTCTGCTGGTGAGACTTATGGGACTTTCAACCTACAGAACTGTAATCTTCATTTATTTATTTTTTCCTGAGACGGAGTCTCGCTCTGTCACCCAGGCTGGAGGGCAGTGCGCGATCTCGGCTCACTGCAAGCTCCGCCTCCCGGGTTCACGCCATTTTCCTGCCTCAGCCTCCCGAGTACCTAGGACTACAGGCGCCCGCCACCACACCCGGCTAATTTTTTTGTACTTTTTTTTTTAGTGGAGACGGGGTTTCACCATGTTAGCCAGGATGGTCTCGATCTCCTGACCTCGTGATCCGCCCGCCTCGGCCTCCCAAAGTGCTGGGATTACAGGCGTGAGCCACTGTGCCTGGCCGTTTTGTTTTTTTAAGTTGGTACACTTATGGTAACTGGTTATCCAGCAAAAGAAAACTAATGCAACATCTCTGGAACAATTCAAGTCATTTTATTTTTTTTCTCTTTTAAAGATATAGACAGGCATTGCTCCGAGCCAGGATCAAATGTGGAGAAGCAGTGGCTGTTCTGACAGGTGGCGGTCTTGTCTCGATGTGAGCGGAGTCCAACAGACGCTGACATCTCCGGTGAATGGCTTCAATGATAATTTTAAAAAATCATGGTGGCTGCTTTATGGATAATATACAATTTTGCAAGCCTCAAACGGAAGGTCTACAATGGCATAATTAACTGAACTGAACTGCAAATTGGATGCACAAAAATCCTACGGGTTTCCCCTTAGAAAGGAAGAATATGACCTTATTCCAAGACCAAGATCTTATTCATAGTATGTATTGGCAATTTAGCTGTCAGGTTTAACATTATTATCATGAAAAGAGGAAAATAAATAAAAAACTTTTTAAAAGGGTCTGCCTTTTAAACCCTTGTGTAGTTTTTTTTTCCTTCTAATTTACTTACTTTTTCTTGACTATTGAAAATGTACAATAACAACTTGTGTCTAGGTGGGCATGCTGGCACGTGCCTGTAATCCCAGGTACTCAGGAGGCTAAGGCAGGAGGATCACTTTAGCTCAGGAGTTTGAGTCTAGCCTGGGCAACATAGCAAGACACTATTACAAAAAAAAACAAACTTGTGTTTTTTCTCTAATGACAGCAAAGTATGAGTTTCAAAATATAGATTGAGCATCCCTTGTGTGAAATGCCTGGGACACAAAGTGTTGTGGATTTCAATATTTTTTGGATTTTGGAATATTTGCATACTATGTACTGGTTAAGCATAATTTAAGTTAAATTCAAAATCCAAAATATTCCCAATGAGCATTTCCTTTCAGCAACACATCAGCATGCAAAATGTCTTGGATTTTGAAGCATTGTGGATTTGGAGTTTTTGGATTAGGTATATTCAACCTATCTGCACCTACAAGAGACATACACCAATAAAAAATTTTAAAATCCAGGTTCACATTTTATCAACTACAAGACTTTGTAATATGAATGGCATTTATTTTATAAACATTTATTGCACAACTACCAGGTGCCTGGCAGTGTCCTTGGTTCCAGGAAGACAAAATAAGTCCTTGACAAACCTAGCAAAGAAACTGCTATGTAAACAAATAGTTACACGACAGTGTCAAATATTTAATAATAACAACACACGCACAGTGCAGCGGTCATGTGGATACCTATGCAGTGGTATTCTATGGGAAAGAGGTGGTTCACTGGTCATCTACAAGGGGATCTTTGAGATGAGAACAGAGAAATAAATGCACATTATGCCAGCTCATGCAAAACACAGAATGCATCGCCACTTTCACACCAACAGGTATAAACATTACCTTTTCTGAACATATGGAAAATATTTTAATCTAAAGACAGGACAAGCTAGCTCAGCAAGTCAGAGGAAGACAGCATGATTGAATTTCTCTGGACAGGGCTGTTTGAAAACATTTGGCAAACATTAGGTCGATTTGACAAAAATGACACTTTCACAGTGTAAAAAAAAAAAAAAAAAAAGGGCGGGGCACAGTGGCTCATGCCTGTAATCCCAGCACTTTGGGAGGCCGAGGCGGGCGGATCACAAGGTCAGGAGATCGAGACCATCCTGACCAACATGGTGACCTTGTCTCTACTGAAAATACAAAAATTAGCTGGGCGTGGTAGCACACGCCTGTAGTCCCAGCTACTCGGGAGGCTGAGGCAGGAGAATCACTTGAACCCAGGAGGCGGAGCCTGCAGTGAGCCAAGATAGTGCCAGTGCACTCCAGCCTGGTGACAGAGTGAGACTCTGTCTCAAAAAAAAAAAAAAAAGGCAAATACACTCTTTTTTTTTTTAACTGAGGAAAATTTAGCAGTTTAAACCCATAAATATATAATTCTTTCTCTTTCCCAGCTCCTTTCTCAGTCTAAGGGTAGATAAATTGGAAGAACCTGAATATTAAGCATGCCTTGAGTTTCAATTAGCACCTACTATCCATTTTAAGGCTGATTTTTCTTTTTTTTTTTTTTGAGATGGAGTCTTGCTGTCGCCTGGTTGGAGTGCAGTGGTGCGATCTTAGCTCACTGCAAACTCCGCCTCCCAGGTTCAAGCGATTCTCCTGCCTCAGGCTCCCGAGTAGCTGGGATTACAGGCACACGCCACCACGCCCAGCTAATTTTTGTATTTTTAGTAGAGACGGGGATTCACCATGTTGGCCAGGATGGTCCGATCTCTTGATCTCGTGATCCGCCCGTCTCAGCCTCCCAAAGTGCTGGGATTACAGGCGTGAGCCACCGCACCTGGCCTTTTTTTTCTGAGACAGAGTTTCGCTCTGTCACCCAGGCCGGAGTGCAGTGGCGCGATCTTGGCTCACTGCAACCTCTGCCTCCCGGGTTCAAGCAATTCTCCTGCCTCAGCCTCCTGAGTAGCCGGGATTACAGGCATGTGCCACCATGCCCAGCTAGTTTTTGTATTTTTAGTAGAGATGGGATTTCACCATGTTCGTCAGGCTTGTCTCAAACTCCAGACCTCGTGATCCGCCCACCTCGGCCTCACAAAGTGCTGGGATTACAGGTGTGAGCCACAGCACCTGGCAAAGGCTAATTTATTATTAATCATAATCACAAACATATTGGCAAAGAAATGTAACTCCTAAAGAATAAAAATGACTAAAAGATCAAGAGTTTTTAAAGTATTATAATTTTGGCTTAAAAACTATATAAATTTGAGCTGGACAAGAGAAATAAACATACATAACCAGTTGCCTTTAGTTTCCTATAAAGACTTGCAAACAGGCAGATGGAAAAGGGGAGAAAATCTGCAGGTCAACTGATCTTGACAGATAATGCAGTATCTGTACTTTCACGTCAAAAATTTATAACAAGTGATTCTTAAATATCACTTTATAATACAGGTATAGTCACATTTCATAGAAGTTGAGAGAAAAATGTGCATGACCACTTTTTATGTATTTCTCCATTCAAAATAGCAAACAGGAATCCCACAACTTAGAAAGATGGGTTCCCTTGAATGCAAGTTATCACCCTAGGGTGGGCTTCAGAGCCAGAAAAATGACTGAAAATCCACAGAAAGAGAAAAATCCAGAAAAGACAGCTTAAGCTCAAGTACTCATGTCCACAAGTCAACATTTTCCCTCGGTCAGTCTACAACTCCATGACTTCTTTCCGTGGCAGAACACTTAGAAACTGAACACAACACAGCGTATTCACAAGCAGCAAGGTCAAACTACCTCGATGTGCAGAAGGCCCTTCCACAGAAAGTAAATCCCCACTAATAAAACCTAGGCAATAAACTCTAGGAAAACATGATTTTTGACCCAAGTTTCTAATGTGGCAAATCCCTTGAAAACATAATTTTACTTAGATTAACAAGAATTCTCAAAAGGCAAGAAATACTCTCTGAAAACAAAAATAAGCATTCACTCAAACGTGAGGATCTTTTTAAAGGAATTACAAGTGGAACTTACATATATTTGATTTCTCTTATACCGCTGGAATAAGTTATACATGATGGAGCCGCCATGGAGCTCTGTCAAGGACGCCATGTCATCCACGCCCTCCTCGTTCGTGGGGTGCATAGCAGTCACCTTCTGGTGGGTAATTGTGCTCTGCTTGTAAGTGAATACCTGAGGGAGGGAGAGGAATTCAATTATTTCATTATCAGCAGTAAGTGATTTTTCACACAAGTTTCCCAAACTGACAATACAATCTCAGTATAATTTCAGGAAAAAGATTCTAAATTGGACAATCAAAAATATATCGCAAAAATCTCTTTCATTTTATGTCACCTATCTCTCTCTCTCTCTCTGTGTGTGTATGTATGTGTGTGTGTGTGTGTGCGTGTGTGTGTGTGTGTGTGTGTGTGTGTGTATATATATATATATACACATATCTTTGTTGTTGTTGTTGTTTTGAGGCATGATTTCACTCTGTTACTCAGGCTGGAGTGCAGTGGCATGATTACAGCTCACCGCAGCCTCCACCTCTGAGACTCAAGTGATCCTCCCACCTCAGCCTCCCGAGCTGGGACTACAGGCATGTGCCACCAGCCAGCTAATTTTTGCATTTTTTTTTTTTTTAGATACAGGGTTTTGTCATGTTGCCCAGGCTGGTCTCAAACCCCTGGGCTCAAGCAATCCACCTGTCTTGGCCCCCCAGAAGTGCTGGGATTACAGGCATGAGCCACAGAGCCCAGCTGTCACCTATATATTTCTAAAAGAAGCAATTATTTTGACCATTGCTATTAGATGTTCCTAAAAGATATTAGTTCAAGTATGAACCATCTTTTGGGAATCACAGAAATTATAAACTTATAGTTCACTTCTCTGCATTATTTCTCCATTTGATATAAATCAGTAACAATTAAGAAACTTTCTAAGTTTTAGAAAGTAATTTGGTTTCCCTATATAATGTTTCATATTGAATCACATAATTTCAAAGCTTTATAATAGTTATTCCATTTAATTATTAATTTAAGTACTTTAAATATGGTATACGTTCATATTGATTAAATAGTCTATATATCTTTTCAAAGACTGGAACGCATCATCACAGGAATGTTTAGAAAATCTCCTTGGACAATATTCCCTTTCAACCAGGATATATAGCATTTGTGTACTCTCTCGGCAGAACAAATGCATTCTGATTTAAAATAAAATTGGTTTTTTTGTTTGCTCAAGAACCTATCTTCTTTAAAATTCCAAAAACAGCAATGAGCGCTACAGACATGTTATAGCATGTACATAAGGTGACTCTGGTACCGTCAGATTGCTGAATTTGCATGGATTTCTAATGTCTACTCAGTGCTCTTCGTCCTAAGTGATTTGGTTCAGGATTAACCACATCACATTAAGCTCCATCTGTTGACCAAAGCTTGACCAGCTTTACAAACTCAAGCAATAACAAAATCATTTGATTGCGGAGTTCCACTCTGTATTTACTCATTTACTAGAGTTGGTAGTTTTTAAATACTTGGATTACAATCCTCCTTTAAGTAAAATAAAAACATCAAGAGATTTAAAAAAAAAAGGATGTTAAATAACATGAAAAGTGCTCAGCCTTCAGACACGCACAAACTGGCATGTGCATGTGTGCACACAAAACAATTTTCTGCAATCATATGTGTGGAATGTTTTTATTGGAGAGGCTATTTTTAGATACTGACTGGCTGCCTACATGGCAACAAATGGTATGTTATTGCAAAGGAGAATGACACACTAAGAAATGCAAAAGTACCAATCCAATGGTTTTTTTTCATGAGCCATGACAAATGGCATGTTTCATTTTTCTAGAGAAAAATTACAACTTCAGCAGTAGCATTTCTGCCACATGAACCACTAGAGTTGGTCAAGCCAGTCCTGAGAAACTGCTCGAGGCCAAGATAGGGACCCACCCGTCTCTTATGAAGAAAAGCCACTGTCCCCAGCTGCTTCCTGGGCTCAGACATCCACCAGGAGAGGAGACAGTCCTAGTGGCCCCATCTCATGGTAAGGTGGCCAACCCTGCCACATGAGCCCCACAGGGCTGGCAGAGGCCTGGGGCCACCTAGGGAGCAGGGTAGAAGTGCTTCGCACCCAGAAGGC
Organism: Homo sapiens; assembly: GCF_000001405.40. Classification (NCBI taxonomy): domain Eukaryota; kingdom Metazoa; phylum Chordata; class Mammalia; order Primates; family Hominidae; genus Homo; species Homo sapiens. Next base: position 16,820,124 of record NC_000005.10, read on the forward strand.
ACAAGGACATTCAAGAGTGAAGAAACATGTAGACCCTTCATTTTAAGTCATCAACACCATGGAAGAAAGTTAAGAAACAGAAACTTAGGCCAGAGTCAAAGCAGCCTTGGGGCAACCTAGAAATTCCCAGAAGTTAAATAGCTAGAATGCCCTGCCTTCCCCTAGCACGCCACATCCCCATGATGCCAATCCAGGCACATTTTCAGAAGAGCTACAACCAGACAGGTACTTGCGTCTTCCAAAGAAAAGTGCCGACCAGGGTGGGGCAGAAACAGAACTTGCCTGCTGGTCAACTCTCGGCCAACCAAGTAGTATAAAGTAGGGCCCATGCCACCTGCCAGCTCCCGGCACACACCTGAGGTCTCATCTCACTCTGCTGACTCAAGGCTCCTGCCAGCGCAACTCGAGTTCCCTTCCCAAATTTTCTTCTAAGCAAGAAGACAGGGCACTGAAGCCAGCACAACTATCTCCCTCTCCAGCCCCTGCAAACTCACCAACAGCAAGTCCTTCTCAACGTGAAAACAAACAGCTTCTACTAACTGTCACTCTAGGTATACTGAGAAATCCAGATTTTGAAGATTTAGAATATTATAATTTTTACTTGTATTTATAGATACATATTCTGCTTTCTGGAAATAATCATACATAATACTTAAGACACTACAAAACACAGACACTAATTATATTTTACATATATGTAATATACACATACTTATTACATATAATGTGTATGGTATATATTTCACACATATAAAACATCTTATATGTAATACATATATCTTATATGTATTTTACATATATAAAACATCTTATATATTATATATTATACATCTATACATATAAAACATCTTATATATATTATATAAGATCTTATATCTTAAGATACCTTATATCCTAATATATTATGTAAGATGTTTATATACATATATGTATAATATATAATATATAAGATGTTTTATATACATATAATGTATAATATATAATATATAAAATGTTTTGTATATGTATGTATATGTATGTATAAAATATCTATATAAGGTATATATATAAAATGACTTAATGTTTACATCCTATGTAATTATCTTGCTGTTCCTGGTGCATCAAAAAAGACAATGAAATGTGTACATCCTATGTGTACCTCCTATGTGTACATCCTATGTACACATTTCATTGTCTTTTTTGATGCACCAGGAATAGCAAAATCATGTATAGCCCAAGTGAACAGTTCAGAGCTGGAAACCATCACTGAAAAATAGGGCTATAACCTGTAAACTAGAGTTCCCCACCTTCATACATTTGACTTCCTTTCCTCCTATTTTCTTTTTTTTTTTTTTTTTTTTTTTTTTTTTTTTTTTTTTTTTGAGACGGAGTCTCGCTCTGTCACCCAGGCTGGAGTGCAGTGGCGCGATCTTGGCTCACTGCAACCTCCACCTCCCAGGTTTATGCCATTCTCCTGCATCAGCCTCCCGAGTAGCTGGGACTACAGGCGCCCACCACCACGCCCAGCTAATTTTTTGTATTTTTAGCAGAGATGGGGTTTCACTGTGTTAGCCAGGATGGTCTTGATCTCCTGACCTCGTGATCCACCTGCCTCGGCCTCCCAAAGTGCTGGGATTACAGGCGTGAGCCACCGCGCCCGGCCCCTTTCCTCCTATTTTCAGGAGCACATTACGCATGCCCATTCCAGGGGTGGAAAAATCAAGAGAACTAGAACCATTCCTTCTCAGGACCACAGGAAGACAGAATCATGACGGGAGACAATCGCTACATGAATAAAACAGAAGGCTAGGAAGAGGGGGAAAAAAAAAAGCATTATTTCAAGATACAGGATTGCAGCTGCTCAAAACAATGTGTATTTCAAAAAAAAAAAAGAATAGTAGAGAAAAATGTATTTGTGGAGGAAAAGCAAGGATAAACCATCCATTCAGAGGTGGGCTCCAGTTGGTAAAGACCTTAGAACATTGTCTGGCATTCAGAAGGTGCTAAATAAGGATCAGATACATTTAGAAATTTGGGGAGAGCATCAGGAAGAATAGCTAATGGATGCTGGGCTTAAGACCTAGGTGATGGGATGGCGTGTGCGGCAAGCCACCACGGCACACGTTTACCTACGTGACAAACTAAACTTAAAATAAAAGTTGGAAAAAAAAAACGAGTCAAGCAAATAATTCCTATGAGGAAAAAATTTTAGAAATTTAGAAAATCACTCATTCAAGCAAATTTTTAAACATTGTTTGGCTGGTGTGTTCTAGGCACTGGGGATCGAGCTTACATTCCAATTCAAGGGAAGAAAATAAAAAACAAATATACAAGTGAATAGACAGTATCGCAGGTGGTGATGGAGTCTATGAAACGTAATGAAGGTCAGGGTGGACTAAGGAGTACCTGGGGGTTATAATTACATCAGGTATTCAGGGGCAGCCTGATGGATTAATATTAAAGGAGAAACCCTAAGGAGGTGAGAAACAGAACCAGCGCCCTGCGTTCTAGTATCTTAATACATTATTGGGTGAGTGAACACCTGATTTAATTTGGAAATATTTTTTTTTCTTTTTTATTTATTTTTATTTTTTTTTTTTTTTGAGACGGAGTCTCCCTCTGTCGCCCAGGCTGGAGTGCAGTGGCACAATCTCGGCTCACCGCAAGCTCCGCCTCCCAGGTTCAGGCCATTCTCCTGCCTCAGCCTCCCGCGTAGCTGGGACTACAGGCGCCCGCAACCACGCCCGGCTAATTTTTTGTATTTTTAGTAGAGACGGGGTTTCACTGTGTTAGCCAGGACGGTCTCGATCTCCTGACCTCGTGATCCGCCCGCCTCGGCCTCCCAAAGTGCTGGGATTACAGGCGTGAGCCACCGCACCCGGCCTAATTTGGAAAGATTTCAAAGGATTAAAGAGACCCACAATCTTACTGAAGAATTTCTTAAGAGAGATTCTTGAACTATCAAAAGTCACCTCTATGTGCAACAATTAGCAGGGTATTAGTCGTGCAAGGTATACAGCAGGAAAGAAAACTCTAAGTTTAAAGAATGGCATTACTGGCTGGGCTCAGTAGCTCACGCCTGTAATCCCAGCACTTTGGGAGGCTGAGGCAGTCAGCAGATCACTTGAGGCCAGGAGTTCAAGACCAGCCTGGCCAACGTGGTGAAATCCCGTCACTACTAAAAACACAAAAATTAGCCAGGCATGGTGGCACGTGACGGTAATCCCAGCTAATCAAGAGGCTGAGGCATGAGAATCACTTGAACCCGGGGGGCAGATGTTGTAGTGAGCCGAGATGGCACCACTGCACTCCAGTCTGGATGACAGGGCAAGACTCCATCTTGCGCGGGGGGGGGGGGAGTGGGGATTTTTTTTTTTTTTTTTTTGTGAGACAGAGTCTCACTCTGTCGCCCAGGCTAGAGTGCAGTGGCACAATCTCGGCTCACTGCAAACTCCGCCTCCAGGGTTCATGCCATTCTCCTGCCTCAGCCTCCCGAGTAGCTGGGACTACAGGCGCCCGCCACCACGCCCAGCTCATTTTTTTTGTATTTTTAGTAGAGACAGGTTTCACCGTGTTAGCCAGGATGGTCTCGAACTCCTGACCTCGTGATCTGCCCGCCTTGGCCTCCCAAAATGTTGGGATTACAGGCGTGAGCCACTGCGCCTGGCTGGGGGCGGGGGGCGGGGGGCGGTTATTTTTATGGAACTTTTCCTGAAGGAAACAAGGGCCACAATACTGTAACAAGATGTTTTTCTAAAAATCACAAGTTGGAATAAACTGAGTTACTTTAATGGAGCATAAACTATGGAAAAGGAGGGAAGGAATGAGCAAAACATGGAGGATTAACAGACAAGAAATCCACTTGGATAAAATGATACCTGAGAACAAACTGTTCTGTTCTAGAAGTACAAACCGCTGGTAACATGGTGAACTGGATTGGCGTGGGGGCAGAACAAAGGAAACTGATCAATACGACTGAAAACATAACTTGGAGAAGGGGCTTATACACAGATTTCTTTTATTACAAGTCATTAGGAGCCCCCAGTCTTAAAACCTAACTTTTCCAACTGAAGGGAAATTAAAATGAAAAAATAAAAACCCTAATCGCTAGATGACATACAGAGTATTCTCAAGCACAGCATCTTCCTCTCACACTAGCTTGGCTTTTCTCCTAGAGTAGAGGTTCTCAATCTCCTTCCCGCCCCCGCCACTGCTGGGGACACTCGACAACACCTGGAAAGATTTTTGGTTGTTAGAATTTGGGGGAGAGGAGAAGGGTGCTACCTGGCATTAAATGGGCACAGACCAGGAATGCTGCCAAACATCAAAGTGATACCCAATACTACCCAAAATGACAATAGTACGGTCTAGAAATGTCCTGAGATGCCAAACAACCAGATGTCTACCCAGACACTAAGTAAAAATGATGACAATAAGCCAATGCCTGTAAGTAAAACTTTTCATAAATCATAAAAACATCTTTCAGCCGGGCGCGGTGGCTCACGCTTGTAATCCCAGCACTTTGGGAGGTCAAGGCAGGCGAATCACGAGGTCAAGAGATTGAGACCAACTTGGCCAACATGGTGAAACCCTGTCTCTACTAAAAATACAAAAATTAGCTGGGCGTGGTGGCACGCACCTGTAGTCCCAGCTACTCAGGAGGCTGAGGCAGGAGAATCGCTTGAACCCGGGAGGCGGAGGTTGCAGTGAGCCAAGATCACACCACTACACACCAGACTGGGCAACAGAGCAAGACTCTGTCTCAAAGAAACAAAACAAAACAAAACAAAAAAACTTTCAAAAACAATCGAAGAAATAAAAACACTGAACAGAGGTAAATCAAAATCAGCATGACAATATTATGTCATATTATATTCATTCGTTTTTATTTGACCCAAGTTAAGGAGGAGGAGGAGGATTTCTAGGAATTGGAGACTGTTTACATTTTTGAGATTTTCTAATTGTACTGCATTAATTATGGTCAAACAATATGGTCCACACTATCTCTGTTTCTGAGAATATTCCTTTGCTCCTTCCTGGCCCTGGATCTTGCACCTCTTCCCATGTCTGGGCAACTGTCTTCCTGCTACTCTCCTCCTTGGGGTCTCAGCTCAAATGCTATCCTCTCGGAAGACACCAGTGGTCTTGCCCAGAGGCACCCCTGCCACTCTCTTCCTTATTCTATCACGTGTGTGTCCTCATTGCTCCTTATGACACATTATAATCACTTATCCATTATCTTGTTTAAAAGCCATCACACGCCCACCCTGGAACCTCTTGGTCAGGATCTTTCACACTCTTCTGACCACGACCCACAGTGAGAAATGTTTTTCCCTGTGAACTACTGTAGTTTAACAAAAGTTTCCTAACACAACACTCAGCATCACAACGTTTGATGCCTCCCTATATTTTATATCCTATTTCATTTCTTTTAAATGCCAGCTATGACCCTCTCAGTTGACTTCACGTTTCACTACTCTGAGGCAGGAACCCAGCCCATCTTGTCCCCAGTGCCCAGCCCTGGCAGACTCAACAAATACTGAAGGAATGGTCCTGGCCCTCAAAATGGGTATTATACATACAGAAAGGCAGAGTGGACAGCCGGATGCAGTGGCATATGCCGGTAATCCCAGCTATTCAGGAGGCTGAGGCATGAGAATTACTTGAGCCCAGGAGGCGGACATTGCAATTTGCTGAGATCACGTCATTGCACTCCAGCCTGGACAAGACAGCGAGACCCTGTCTCAAAAAACAAAACCAGGCCGGGCACGGTGGCTCATGCCTGTAATTCCAGCACTTTCGGAAGCCAAGGTGGGCAGATCAAGGTGGCAGGTCAGGAGATCGAGACCAGCCTGGTCAACACGGTGAAACCCTGTCTCTACTAAAAATACAATAATTAGCCGGGCATGGTGGTGGGTGCCTGTAATCCCAGCTATTTGGGAGGCAGAGGCAAAAGAATCGCTTGAACCCGGGAGGCGGAGGTTACAGTGAGCCAAGACTGCACCACTGCACTCCAGCCTGGGTGATATAGAATGAGACTCAGTCTCGAAAAACAAAACATAGTAATAAAAAAAAAAACACAACAAAAAAGAGTGGAATAAGAGGCAAACATGGCCTTAGAATCATTTCTAGCTGGATTGACCTCTCCTAGATCTATGCTACCTATAACTTAAGGACAACAAACAAGATTTTCATTTCTCTGGCCCAGTATTTTCTCCGTCTGTAAAATAAGGATGATGATCAGAGACAACTCATAGAATTACCATAAAAACTAAGGAAAATAATCTAGGTAAAAGTCACAGTGACTGGCATACAACAAGAACACAATAAAAGGTAGCAATTCCTATCAGGGGAACAGAATACAAAGAACAACACAGAGCATTCTATGAGGAAAAAGCAAGAGTCTCAGGGAGTGCGGCAGGAGGAGCCCAGGCTCTGAAGATGAGAGAGAACACACTCTCCGGAACAGCTCCTGTGCGGGAGGAAGGAGCGGGCAAAGGGAGGCTGCGTGTGCGTTCTCCATGTTTTATGACAACCTTGCCTGTAAGCTCTCTGATGAAAATCTATTTGTCATAACACTCTCTTCTCCTATTTTAATCCCTTTGCACGAAGTTGGCTGGCCTCGTTTAGATTTTTCCTGGAATTCCACGTTGTTTCTGGGGATGTCGCTCTTATTTTCCTCCTTTCGTGTATTGGCTCTTTAATTCATGAATCAAAGTAGTGATCAATAACAAAGGTTGTTAAGATATCTGCCTCCTGACATATGGCTGAAATTAGCAATCATGTAAACAAAAACGAGCTTATGTTCAGCTTCACTGACCCTGTGCTTTCAATGACTGGTGTATGCGTGCTTAAGCTCCATGATTATTTTGTACTGAGTAATTTATACTTTTATGGCGTTCCTTTGCAACCAAGAAGAGTCTAAGAAGAAAACAATCCACCTAACTGCAAATCTGCCTTTTCCTATTGTTTTTGCTGCTTCCTCACAAGACTGGAGAAATTATTTGGGGGCAAGAAAACGTCAAGTCCCCTAGAGAATTTCATTGGAATCTAATCAAAAGGAAATTCACACAGGTCTACTCTGCTAGCGTGCGGAGGAAAAAATAGCAATACTGCCCTGTTTTCAGCTCAAACTTGTCAGAGATTTGGCACTCTAGTTACTATAGCCTAGGGGTTAACATTATCTTTTTTTGTTTTTTTGGAGACGGAGTCTCACTGTCACCCAGGCTGGAATGCAGTGGCACAGTCTCGACTCACTGCAACCTCCTCCGCCTCCTGGGTTCAAGCAATTCTCCTGGCTCAGCCTCCCGGATAGCTGGAATTACAGGCAAGCACCACCAAGCCTGGCTAATTTTTGTATTTTTAGTAGAGATGCGGTTTCACCATGATGGCCAGGCTGGTCTCGAACTCCCGTACTCAAGTGATCCGCCCACCCTGGCTTCCCAAAGTGTTGGGATTACAGGCGTGAGCCACTGCGCCCAGCCAATGTTATCTTTATATACGTAACTCTTCTGCTACTTTGTTAGATAACTATGAAGTATAGATAACACAAAGATTGTTAGTTTCTTTTTCAAAGACTCAAACTAGTTTGTGAAATTAAGTCCTTTAAACTGTCATCAGGTTTTCAATGCCCAGTGTATCCTTTAGGTGCCAAAACAAAATAAGAGGGCCAAGCAGAGGGAACGGGTTTATTAAGTGCCAGCTGCATGCATCAGACATTGCTAATGTTACCTCATTTGATCCTCAGATGGGGAGGTAATACTGATGCTCATTTTTAAAAGGATGAATTCACAGAGGATCAGAGAAGTCAGGAAACTTCCCCAACAGCACACAGCACAGGGAGAGTTCAATTTCTTGGTATCATGGGGAAGCATGCGTGGTAGAGTCAGACCTTAGAGGGCCACGTGTTCAGAGATGGCCTTTTGAATTCCAGCTCCGCCACTTCCTTACTGGCTATGAGTCCCTGGGCACATTCCTCACCCTGAATTGATGTTCGAATGTATACGGTAAAGGCATTAGTATCTCCGCGGCAGAGATGCTGAGGCTTAGATTGGTGAGGGCAGCACACAGCTCACCCCTGCCTGGCCCACTGCTGGTGCTACTGTCCCCTTAGCCCTCCACTTTGCTTGAGTTGCTCCTCTTTTAAATTGACAAAGAGAACGTGGTGTGATTACATCATGAAGATGAAGGCAAAGAGATCGCTGAGGGTGGATGCCCTGGGAATGGAGTCAAAAGCAAAGAAGGTATAATCCCAGCACTTTGGGAAGACGAGGTCAGCATTTTGGATCACCTGAGGTCAGGAGTTCAAGACCAGCTTGGCCAACATGGTGAAACCACCACCCCCCGTCTCTACTAAAAATAACAAAAGTTAGCAGGGCACAGTGTCACATGCCTGTAATCCCAGTTACTTGGGAGGCTGAGGCAGGGGAATCACTTAAACCGAGGAGGTGCAGGTTGCAGTGAGCTGAGATTGCGCCACTGCACTCCAGCCTGGATGACAGAGAGAGACTCTGTCTCCAAAAAAAAAAAAAAAAAAGCAAAGAATCCCAGTGACCCTTCAAAGGAGAGGGCAGGGTAGAGAGGAGGAAGGACAAGCTGATTTTGCATCACTTTCCTGGTACACTAAGTTTGTTTTGTTTTGTTTTGTTTTGAGACAGGGTCTCACTCTGTCACCCAGGCTGGAGTGAACTACAGCCTGGAACTCCCGGGCTCAAGCAGTCCTCCCGCCTCAGCCTACAGAGTTAACTGGGACTACAGGTGCACACCACCATGCCCAGCCCCAGTGTACTAGGTTTAATCTCACTCATTTATTCCATTACTTTTCATTTATTTACTCTCTTTTAAGTTTCCTCAATCACTCATGGTGGCCTGTTAGCTGGACCCTGGGGATACAATGATTAATTAAACAGCCCCTCCCTGCGAAGAGTTTACAGTCCACTGAGGGTTCTGAAAAATAGGCAATCCTGACAGTGCAGTAGGGGCTGTTATGGTAGAAATGCCCAGGGCACAATAGAGATGATCCATGTGGGACAGGTAATGGCCAGGAGGGACACAGATGCAAGGGTGATGTGGCACGGGGCATCTGTGGTTGAGCGTGGCTGCAGCAGGGGCTGACTTGGGAAGGGCCCCCTGTGCCCTGGGTGCTGCCTGGCTTCTGACCTGAAGGACATGAAAGGCACATAAGTGGTTAGGGAGGGCACAGAATCTTCTCTACCTGCTCATCATCATGGGCAACACTAACATCAAACACAGCACCGAGACTTTCTAGAGACAAGAGATAAAGAATAAATCTCACTGCAAGATGCAATTCAACAGAAACTCCACAGGAAAGCAATCTTCTGAATCCTCTTGAGGAGCAATCGCCACAAACACTGCTGTTCCCAAAATGGAAGGTTTCTTCCTGCCGTCATGTACACAAATCGCGCACCCCCAAAAGTATCAGGGATGGTGCACACAACATCATAAAGCTGCTGGCAGACCAGTCACTGAGCGGTAAATACTAACCATCCAGCTCAAACCTTTCTGACAGCGCCGCAGGGCTGCAGGCAGGCTAACAGGATAAGTCAAGAAGTCTGAAACATCCAGGGGCTAGTGTGCCAGCAGCACATCTGCCAGTGGAGATGCCACACAACAAGCAGTGCAGACGCAACGAACACACTTTCACAGTAACTACTCAGCAACCAGAAAGGCCTCGGTGATACCCAGGCCCTGAGCACTCTTGGTAACTTAAGAGGAAAAAGTTAAATGCCACACAAAGTTAGCTCAGTTGGAAGGAACGGCTAATACACACACACACACACGCACACGCACACGCACACAAGAATATACTAGGATAGTTGTACATTAAGGAAAACCAGCCAGGTGCGGTGGCTCACACCTCTCATCCCAGCACTTTGAGAGGCCGAGGCAGGCGGACCACGTGAGGTGAGGAGTTCGGGACCAGCCTGGCCAACGTGGTGAAACCCCTACTAAAAATCACAAAAATTAGCCGGGCGTCATGGTGCGCGCCTTTAGTCCCAGCTACTTGGGAGGCTGAGGTTGACGAATTACTTGAACCCAGGAGGCAGAGGTTGCAGTGAGCTGAGATTGTGCCACTGCACTCCAGCCTGGGCGACAGAGGGAGACTCCATCTCAAAAAAAAAAAGGGAAAACCAGACCTCAAATTTGTATTTATATGTAAGGTCAGGAACTGTGATTTTATAGACTCAGGTACAGATTTCCTTTAAATCCTCAACTACAGTACTTTGTTTATTCACAAAAGAAAACTTTCTGTATAATTTTTAAGGGACATCTACTGCACAAAGAAAAGCATCCTTGTTGTTTTCGTTATGCTAAGATGTGTAATTAGAACGCTTTCTTGTTGCTTATACCCACTATGCAGGCCAAGTCTATCAAGAAAAAAAAAAAGATGTTCAAACTCTTCGAGCCAGTCTTTCCACATTTAGGAATTTAGTGTGCAGAAAACAATCACTGTATAAAAATGGTTTTTTCATTGTGGAGTTATACTAAAATGAATTTGTAATAAAATTCTACTATGCATATATGTAGTATAATCCTAACGTTATTTTTTTAATAGGCACACACACACACACACACACAGGGCGACTGTACTCTTGGGCCTTCATTCTAAAAACTTACATTTGCAAAAAAACTTGCACACAAATATTTATAGCACATTTACAATAGGCAAAAGCTGAAAAAGCCAATTCCTGGTTACATGCTATGTGATTCTATTCATAGAATATTCTTGAAATGACAAAATTACAGAGGATGAAGAACAGACTGGTGGTTGCCAGAGGCTAAGGAGGGAACTGGGCAGGAGGGTAATGAGGATGGCTGTGAAGGGCAACAGGAGGGTCCTGTGCTGATGGAAATGATCTGTATCCACTGCGTCAATGTCAATATCCTGGCTGGGATGTTACGCTCTGGTTTTGCAAGATGTCACTGAGGGAAGCTGAGTAAAGGAGACATGGGACCAAAAGATGATACACAAATGGCCAAGAAACATATGAAAACATGTTCAACACCCCTAATGATCAGGAAATGCAAATCAAAACCACCATGTGACACCACCTTACTCCTGCAGGAACGGCCACAGTCAAAAAATTAAAAAAGAATCAATGTTGTCATGGATGCGGTGAACAGGGAACACTTCTACACTGCTGGTGGGAATGCAAACAAGTACAACCACCATGGAAAACGGTGTGGAGATTCCTTAAAGAACTAAAAGTAGAACTACCATTTGATCCAGCAATCCCACTACTGGGTATCTACCCAGAGGAAAAGAAGTCATTATACAAAAAAGATACTTGCGCACGCACGTTTATAGCAGCACAATTCGCAATTGCAACAATGTGGAACCAGCCCAAATGCCCGTTAATCAATGAGTGGATAAAGAAACTGTGGTATATATATATACAATGGAATACTACTCAGCCATAAAAAGGAATGAATTAATGGTATTCACAGCAACCTGGATGAGACTGGAGACTATTATTCTAAGTGAAGTAACTCAGGAATGGAAAAACAAACATCGTATGTTCTCATTCATATGTGGGAGCAAAGCTATGAGGATGCAAAGGCGTAAGAATGACACAATGGACTTTGGGGAATCAATGGGAAAGGGTGGGAAGGGGGTGAGGGATAAAAGACTACAAATTGGGTGCAGTGTATACTACTCAGGTGATGGGTGCACCAAAATCTCTCTAATCACCACTAAAGAACTTATTCATATAACCAAACACCAACTGTTCCCCCAATAACCTATGGAAATAAAAAAATTTATATATATCAGAACTCCAATAATGTGTGGCAAGTTTATAGGTTTTTGGGTGTGTGTGTGTTTATTTATTTATTTTTGAGACAGGTCTCACTTTGTCACCCAGCCTGGAGTGCAGTGGAGCAATCTCAGCTCACCGCGGCCTCCACCTCTTGGGTTCAAGTGATGCTCCCCGCCTTAGCCCCCAACCAGGTAGCTGGGACTACAGGCGCATGCCACCACGCCCTGCTAATTTTTGTGTAGAGACAGGGTTTTGCCACGTTGTCCAGGCTGGTGTCAAACTCCTGAGCTCAAAACAATCTGACCACTTCAGCCTCCCACAGTGCTAGGATTACAGGTGTTCCCCACTGCACCTGGCTTTGTAGGTGTTTTTAATACTTTTCTATGACTCTTTCCCTGTTTTCTAAAGCTTGTATACATTTCTAGGCTTAAAAAGGAAATCAGTCCAATCAAAATCACTATCAGTGAATGTATCTGGATAAATATAAGGGGTTTAATACATTTTTATAAAATGAGCATTGTAGAACAGCTTTCAAAAAACAACAAAAACAAAACAAAAGATCTACCCAAGGAGTCACAAGCTCTCAGAAGGAAAAAAGGGCTTCTCCTCTAACCCTCTGGTTTTAAACATAGTAAGTTTCAGTCTAGAGAAATTCAAGAGGCATGGATGGAACCCCCAATTCTTGGCTGCTTGCTCCTCAACTACTGGTGGATGAGCTCTCACCTCTGAGGGCCCTTTACTCCTGACCTCATGTCCCGGTCTTAATTTTAGAACCCCTTTTGGAGCCCTGTCTTCTCAGTCATAAGCCCAGATCCCTTCAGGTAACATGGCTATCACATGAACTTAAACTCTGCTGTAAACCTCCATTCCTACGACTCCAAAACACCTTGATGTTTCACAAGCATCTCAAAACAAAAACTGACCTCGGCATCTCCTCCTGTTCACCTTGTGGCTACTTCCTTACCCCTTCCTCAGGGAATGACACCTTTGCTATCAGCTACCCAAGTCAGAAACCAGAGTCAACCTAAAATCCCTCCATTGCCAACCACTGCAGCCACATTGCAAGTCCTTGGGATCAGATAATAACACAATCTAGAATCCACCTTCTCTCCCCTCTACTGCCTCCCCTCTACTCCACCTCCTCCTGCCTCTACTGGGGCTCCAGTACTAACATCTTTCAACCCAGACCTCTACAACTGCCTCCAAATTCATCTCTCTGCCTCTAGCATCCTGTGGCATAAAGCCAACGTTTCTCAAATTAGAGTCCAAGATATGTTTCTTTAAATTTTGAACTTTAATTTTAATGATGTTTTAAAATATATTTTACTAGGTTTGTTTTTTTTTTTTTTGAGATTGAGTCTTACTCTGTCGCCCAGGCTGGAGTGCAGTGGCATGATCTCGGCTCACTGCAACCTCCGCCTCCCAGGCTCAAATGATTCTCCTGCCTCAGCCTCCTGAGTAGCTGGGAGTACAGGTGTCCACCACCACACCTGGATAATTTTTGTATTATTAGTAGAGACGAGGTTTCACCATGTTGGCCAGGCTGGTCTCGAACTCCTGACCTCGTGATTTGCCCACCTCAGCCTCCCAAAGTGCTGGGATTATAGGTGTGAGCCACTGTGCCCGGCCATTTTACTAGTTTTAATGACAATTTTTCTTGGCCTTGATAATATAGAATTGAAAGGTATTTTCAGAGATAAGATTTTGGTTTCTTTGGCTGCTGTTTCCCAAAACAGGATTGACTAGAATCTTTCCTCCTTCAAGGGAAACTGCTCAAGTTTGCAGAACATGAGATTTGGCAGTGCTGAACTCCACTCTGCACCTCACTGGCTGAGCAATCTTAACTTGTTCCAGTTACTCTGCTCTCCAATCCTTAGTTTCCTCATCTATAATATAAGAATAATCCAAATGGCTATGTTTCTTAGTGCAAACAGAGTGAGATCATGCACATAAGTATTGTACACATTTAGCACAGTTCTTGGTACTGTGTAAGCAACTCTGATATTTCAGTTAGTCATATTACTGTTATCAGTGATGTAATCTGGCCATACCCTGATTGGAATTCTCTGACAGTTGTTTCCCAATCACTTCGAGGACAAAATATCAATTATTTAATGTGGTTTCTCTGCCAGGCCCCCCCGAACGCCCCATTGTTTCACCTGCCAAGCTGACTCCATACGCATTAGATTAACTTTGAGTCCCTGTAAGGGTTAACTCTCCTGGGGTCTGTCTGTCTTTCCTTCCTTGGCTCAGCACACCCTCCCAGTCACCCCTCTTTTGAGTTTCCCCACCACATCTAGTCTGAGCGGGCTGGCCTTCTCTCCCACAGCACCTTGGACAGAAACCTCTCAGGTCACTTACATTCTATTGTAACCTCGGTTTTCTTACCCCTGCCTAGTAATCATCAATCAAGGAGAGAAACTTCCAGCTCATATGCCGAAGTGGCTGATTTCCTGGTGCACCGTGATGAGGACGTGGAACTGCATGTGGGTAGATGGGAAGGAGGGCAAGAGCAAATCCTGGTGTCTACAATAGCAGGGGGTGCTGAGGACCCCCTCTCACCACCCTCGTATGGATCAATCTGTGGGGACCAGGACTTGTCTCACAAAAACTTCTGGGTTCTCACTGTCTCATCAAATTCCTGGAACTAATGGCTGCTTAATAATTTTCTGCTAAAGGGATGAACAGCAGCTACCACGTGTGGTACTAAGATTACATGATGAGGACTTTACGTTTGTCATCTAAAACCAACTCCAAAGACTGGGTCACAAATCAACACTTTTCATTTACAGGTCACCTTGAAATTTTCTTAAACTAAATAATAGGACAGTAATTCCTTGGCTGCCCTTAAGTGAAATGAAAAGGACATATTCAAACCAAATATGAATACACCTCTTAGTTTTAAACAAAAATCAATGGAATGAGTCCTAGCTTTAAACATTATGTGTTTTCCAAGCCATTTTTGGCAGATGGGCACATTTCCAAGTGCCCATTGAGAATTTAGAGATAACAGTTGGGCGCAGTGGCTCACACCTGTAATCCCAACACTTTGGGAGGCCGAGGCAGGCGGATCATGAGGTCAGGAGTTAAAGACTAGCCTGGACAACATGGTGAAACCCCATCTCTACTAACAATACAAAAATTAGGCGGGCCACCGTGGTGGCACACGCCTGTACCCCAGCTACTCGAGAGGCTGAGGCAAGAGAATTGCTTGAACCCAGGAGGTGGAGGTTGCAGTAAGTCGAGATTGCGTCACTGTACTCCAGCATGGGCGACAGAGTGAGACTGTCTCGGGTGGGTAGAGGGGTGGGGAAGAATTTAGAGATAACACACAAGGTATTTATTAATCCAGTAAACAAAAACAGAATCAGGGCCTGGCGTGGTGGCTCATGCCTGTAATCCCAGCACTTTGAGATAGGGTGGGCAGATCACCTGAGGTCAGGAGTTCGAGATCAGCCTGGCCAACATGATGAAACCCCATCTCTACTAAAAAATACAAAATTAGCCGGGCGTTGTGGAGCATGCCTGTAATCCCAGCTACTCGGGAAGCTGAGGCACAAGAAGCTGAGGTTCCAGTGAGCCGAGATCACACCAAAGTCATTTTTGGCTGTTTTTTTTTTTTTTTTTTTTTTTGGTGAGATATGTACAAAGACAGCAAGATGTCAGCTTGGCTCAAACTTATGGTACAAAAACTAGGAGAACTCACAACATCCAGAAGATAACAAGCCACATCAGCTCAGAATATGACATAATTATCTCCCCACACTCTTCCTGTCCACCAACCCCATCCCCACTATCAAGGAAATCTGTAGAAATATCAGGAAAACACTCTCTGAATTAATGGAAAGATTAGGGAAAGGCAGAAGGCCAGAAAGAAGAAAGACCCCAAAAAAAAGTAGGTTACTAATTAAGGAGGGCAAAAGTCTTTAAAAAAAAAAAAGACATTTTTGATAACAAAAACATTAATATCATGCTCTGGGAGAGTTTTCCCAGTACATGGATCATAATAAAAATAAGGTCACTTGTTCCCCCTACTCCTCTCAAATGTGTCAACAAGAAATTGCTGTGTCTTTGTAAGTGTCTATGAAAGCAAAGGATGTAAAAGCCCTGCACAGCTTGTACCAGAAATCTGGTCTGAATATCTAAGAGCCAGAGGATCTGAGGGTTAGGGAAACTGATGGGAATCAGGGTGAAACCTCCTAAGAACAAAGTTTAGGAGAGATAGGGGCATACTATCGTCAGTATCCTCACTCCTTGCCTAACTTCTCATCCCCCTCCCAAAAAGAGTGTCTGGAGATTCTTTCTTTCTGGTGATATCCTTGTAATCTTATCTATTCAAATTTGCATTTTAGAATGCGATGGAATCAAAACACAGTGTAAGGACAAAGGGGCTCTTACACTCTTTCAGTAGATAACAAATGGTCACTATTCATATGAGAGAACAGCTCCTCCTCCACTGTTACAGACAAAAATAGTAAAAATTTAACCCCTATTCCTACTTTGGTTATAACCCACCTCCAGTGGTTTGCATCTTCATCCATCAACTCCACCTCATTTTCTACATTCCAGAGTCAAAGATAATGAAGAAGGCCAACAGCAAAAACTCAATGACTACACATGTGCCCAAGAAGATGGGCAGATGGAAACTGATGAAAATATGACGGACATGCACCAAGGGGTATACAGCCCCCACCTTGCGGATATCTGAAAACTGGGAAAAGCTGTATCTCATTCAGAGCAGTCACGTCCTTCAGAGACTTTGAGATTTGGATCAGGATTTTTTTAAAACTTAAAATTGTTCTCTGCTCACTTGATAGTTGTATTTATGCCTTTTAAATATATATGAGTTAACTCATGGCTGGTGGGAATGTAAAATGGTGCAGACGCTTTGGAAAACAGTCTGGTCATTCTTTGAAAGGCTAAATACAGTTACCATATGATCCAGCAATTCACTCCTAGATATATACCCAAGAAAAATAAAAACGTATGTCCACACGAAAAGGTTACCATGAATGTTCGTACCAGCATTTTTCCTATTAGCCAAAAGTGGAAACAACCCAAATGGTTGTAACAGATGATAGATAGACATAATGTGGTGTGACTATACCAGGGAGTATTATTTGGCAATAAAAATGATGTACTGATAGGCAGGGAGAGGTGGCTCACACCTGTAATCCCAGTACTTTGGGAGGCCGAGGCGGGCAGATCACCTGAGGTCAGGAGTTCGAGACCAGCCTGACCAACATGGAGAAACCCCATCTCTACTAAAAATACAAAATTAGCAGGGCGTGGTGGCAGAGGCCTGTAATCCCAGCTACTTGGGAGGCTGAAGCAGGAGAATTGCTGAAACCCGGGAGGCACAGGTTGCGGTGAGCCAAGATCACACCATTGCACTTCAGCCTAGGCAACAAGAGCAAAATTCCGTCTCAAAAGAAAAAAAAACATACTGACGAACCTTGTAAATATGCTAAGTGAAAGAGTCCAGACACAAAAGGCTATATATTATTATGTTTCCATTTACATAATATGTCCAGAATAAGCAAATTCATAGAGACAGAAAGTAGATTAGTGGTTGCCAGGGGTTAGGAGGAGGGTTATAGGGACTGGCTGCTAACAGGTACAAGGTTTTCTTTCGGGGTGATGAAAGTGTTCTAAATTTGACTGTGGTGATGACTGCACAACTCTGTAAATACACTAAAGAAGTTGCTGAATGGTACACTTTGAGTAAAGTCTATGGTTTGTGGGTTACATCTCAATAAAACTGTTATTCTTTTTTAATACACATGAGTTAGGCACTTAGCACAGAACCCAGGGAATGCAAGGTGTCTGATATATGCTGGTGCCTTTCCCTCACTGGCAAACTGAGCCCACCTCAAATACAGGCACACCTCGTTTAATTCACAGACACTGCATTTTCTTACAAATCGAGGGTTTGTGGCAACCCTGTGCAAGTCTACTGCTGCTGTTTTTACAACAGCAGGTGCTCACTTCACATCCGTGTCATATTTTGGTAATTCTCACAATAATTCAAACTTTTCCATTATTATAATATTTGATCTTTGATGCTCCTATTGTAATTGTTTGGGGGCGCCACAAACCACACCCATACAAGACAGTGAACCTAATGTGTGTTCTGACTGCTCCACCGACCAGCTGTTCCCTGTCTCTCTCCCTCTCCTGGGGCCTTCATATCCTCTGAGACACAACAATATTGAAATTGGGCCAATGAAATAACCCCACAATGGCCACTAAATGTTCAAGTAAAAAAGAGTCACGCATCTCTCACTTTAAATCAAAAGCTACAAATGACGCAGCTGAGTGAGGAAGGCATGGCGAAAGTTAAGACAAGCTGGAAGCCAAACAGCCAAGTTGCAAAGGTAAAATTCTTGAAGGAAAATTTCTTGAAGGAAATTAAAAGTGCCACTACAGTGAACAAATGAATGAAAAGAAGGTAAAACAGTCTTGTTGCTGACATAGAGGAAGTTTGAGTGGTCTGGATAGATCAAACCAGCCACAACAATCCCTTCAGCCAAAGCTTAATCCAGAGCAAGGCCCTCATTCTCTTCAATTCTATCAAGGCTGAGAGGTCAGTAAGCTGCAGAAGAAAAGTCTGGAGCCAGCACAGATTCGTTGATGAGATTTAAGAAAAGAAGCCGTCTCCACAACACAAAAGAGCAAGGGGAAGCAGGACATGTTGACAAAGAAGCTGCAGCAAGTTATTCAGAAGATCTAAATAAGATCATTGATGAAGGTGGCTACACTAAAAAGGTTTTCAGTGTGGACAAAACAGCCTCCTACTAGAAGCTGCCATCTAGAACTTCCACAATTAAAGAGGAGAACTCAAGGCCTGGCTTCAAAGGACACACAGACTCTCTTGTTAGGGGTTAATGCAAATGAGGACTTTAAGTTGAAGCCAGTGCTCATTTACCATTCTGAAAACGTTAGAGCTCTTAAGAATTATGCTAAATCTACTCATCTCTATAAACGGAATAACAGAACTGAGATGCCAGTACATCTGTTTACAGCATGGTTTTAGTGATATGTTAAGTCCACTGTTGAAACCTACTGCTCAGAAAAAAAGATTTCTTTCAAAATATTACTGCTCACTGACAATGCACCTGGTCACCCAAGAGCTCTGATAAAGATGTACAAGGAGATTCATGTTTTCATGCCTGCTAAGACAACACCCATTCTGCAGCCCACGGATCAAGGAGTAACTTTGACTCTCAAGTCTTATTATTTAAGGAATGCATTTCATAAGCCTATATACCTAGTGCCATAGTAGATGGTGATTGCTCTGATGGAGCCAGGCAAAATACATTGAAAACCTTCTGGAAAGGATTCACCATTCTAGATGCCATCAAGAACATCTGTGATTCATGAAAGGAGGTCAAAATATCAAGATTAGGAGGAGTCTGGAAGATTATTCCAACCCTCATGTATGACATTGAGGGGTTCAAGACTTCAGTGGAGGAAGTCATTGCAGATGTGGTGGGAATAGCAAGGGCACTAGAATTAGAAGTGGAGCCTGAAGATGGAACTGATTTGCTGCAATCTCATGATCAAATTGGGACACACAAGCCAGGTGCAGTGGCTCACACCTGCAATTCCAGCACTTTGGGGGGCCAAGGTAGGAGGACTACTTGAGCCAGGAGTTCGAGACCAGCCTGGGCAACATGGCAAAACCCCATCTCTACAAAAAATACAAAAATTAGCCAGGCACGGTGGCGTATGCCTGCAGTCCCAGCTACTCAAGAGGCTAAGGGGAAGATCACCTGAGGCCAGGAAGTCAAGGCTGCAGTGAGCCGAGATCGCACTACTGCACTCCCACCTGGGTGACAGAGTGAAACTCTGTCTCAAAAAAAATAAATTAATTAATTTAATTAATAGGCTTTGTGTGAGATGATTTTGCCAAACCGTAGGCTAATGTAAGTGTTCTGAGGATGTTTAAGGTAGGCTAGGCTAGGCTATGGCGTTCAGTAGGTTAGGTGGATTAAATGCATCTTTGACTTGAGATATTTTAGACTTATAATGGGTTTGTCAGGATAGAGCCTCATTGTAAGTCGAGGGGCGTCTGTACTTTAATTCCAAGCTCAGTGGAAAAGTAAGGAAGAAAGTGAGAGTCTAGATTGCAGTGAAAGATGGGCTGACCTGTATATGTGAGAAGGTGAGAAGGTACAAGGTTAAGCAGAGCTCTGCCAGGTTTCCTACAAGTAGACAGTAACACGGCAATTTAAAAGAAAGAACAGGCCGGGCATGGTGGCTCACGCCTATAATCCCAGCACTTTCGGAGGCTTAGGTGGGTGGATCACTTGAGGTCAGAGGTTCGAGACCAGCCTGAACAACATGGTGAAAACTTGTCTCTATGACAAATACAAAATTAGCCAGGCATGGTGGTGCACACCTGTAATCCCAGCTACTTGCGAGGCTGAGGCAGGAGAATCGTTTGAACCTGGGAGGCAGAGGTTGCAGTGAGCCAAGATTGTGCCACTGCACTCCAGCCTGGGCGACAGAGCGACACTCCATCTCTGAATGAATGAATGAATGAATGAATGAATGAATGAAAGAAAGAAACAGAAGAGCTTAAGCATACCTGTCCTGTGAAATCCTTTGCACATGTCACTAGCAAAACACGATCCTTTCCATTCTAAGAAGCCCTTGTGGAAAATACTCTGGTCCTGGCACTTATGACTCTTATGACTACCAGGAACAGAGCCACTACAAGCACACTGTACACCAAATCATACACATAAATGCATATGTGTCTTCACAGTGGGTGTTATAATTGACAAGAAAACACAATAAAAAAATGCAATATGCATTTTTGTTGTGCAATATGCACAACAAAAATATGCAAGCCCATATTTAAAATGACTAGTTCCTACTAATAAAGTTAAAACCAATACATGAGAGAAAAAAGGAGATCCAACATAGGGAGAGTTATCTTTAAAATTTTTTTTAAAAAAGGAGATTTCAGGCCGAGTGCAGTGCCTCACACCTGTAATCCCAGCACTTTGGGAGGCCAAGGCAGGCGGATCACCTGAGGTCAGGAGTTCGAGACCAGACTGGCCAAGATGGTGAAACCCCATCTCTACTAAAAATACAAAAAAAAATTAGCCGGGCGTGGTGGCAGGTGCCTGTAATCCCAAGTACTTGGGAGGCTGAGGCCAGAAAATCGCTAGAACCTGGAAAGCGGAGATTGCAGTGAGCCGAGATCTCGCCATTGCACTCCAGCCTGGGCAACAAGAGCGGAAATGCATCTCAAAAAAAAAAAAAAAGGAGATTTCGAATGTTTAGGAGCTGCTTACATAACCCTGAAGACAGATTCAGAAACAGTTATTATTCAGAAACAATGCACATTTTCAAATGAATCAGTTTTAAAGTCATTTAGGTCTTTTCATGGTGTGCTAGAAGAACTGAGATATTAAAGACAATTATTTTGTGAGTTGAACTACGCCCATTAAAAGTTCTGTACAAAAGGTCAGTACTTATTACTAACAACACAAACAACTGTGTTAAGCAGGCTGAAACTCCAATAGTCAGAAGGATTTTCCAGATTTTTAGAAAAAGGGCTTAAAATGTCTTTAAGTTAATCCTGACACCAAAATTTATCTCTGCGAACTTAATACCCTTTTTATTATGCACGAGCAAGCATGAAACGGCAAAGCTGGAGATTAATGTTCATTTGAAAACTTTAAATTTTTCCCATTTCTCTGAGAGAGAAGGATGGTTAGGTTCCATGAGCTCCACAGACCATCACAACGCGGCAGCCTTTGTGGTCTGAGACACTAATAACTAATTCAGGCTCTCCTTCAACAAAGCCAAGTTCTATTTGAACTTTTAACAATGGAAGCTGACTTGTTTGCCAACTCTTCTCGCAAACTGTTTTTCATTAATATGGCTTTTTTGTAAGTGCGTCTAATAATAAAGCTCATGATCTCTTTGTCCTGGCTTCATTATTCCGGACTCTGGAGGGCTCGAGGGCTTGGAGTTTTTCTGAACATATTACGGTTATGTTTCAAACACCCAGGCAAAGCCATAATATTTCCTGCTGAGATTAGCACAATATCTGATAACTAGACAAAGAGGACTCAATCATAGAAGGCATGACACTTGACTTTGGGGTGGGGGGGCTTGGTGGGGGTGGGGGCAGTTCCACATAATAGGCAGAAAAGCAGGTGGCACAGATATTCTTGGTTTCATAGTATAAAGTAAAACTTTAAAAAGAAGCATCTTATAGAACCCTTTATATGTATAAGCACATTTAGATCATGTGCCCCCAGACCTATCGCAGTTTAGATATGTGTAATTTCTGACTCTGGTGATGGAGGTAGAAGTTGTATGCTTGCCTGACCTTTGCTAAAAGCTCCACTGTTTAAAATGTACTGATTCCAGCCCACCACTGCACAAGAAGCTACAGAAAGAGAGACAAAGGAGAAGAGGTACTGAGAGCCAGTCAAGTGAAGAGCAGAAGGGGAAACTGATCCCCAAAAGTGCCTTTAGAAGATGCTGCAATCAAAGCGTAGGGGCTCCAGGCAGAGGGAGCCCAGCTCCACCAGGGAAGTCATATCCTCACCAGCCCTGGGCTTCAGCGGCAGCCTCATCACTACGAGATGTGGCCTGACACATGTCATACCTCTTCTCAGAAACCTCCCTTTCTGTCTTCCTAATCTGTCCAAAGGAGGTAAGAATACTTCCCCCTTCCCTCGCTCACAAAGCTGCTGTAAGCATCAACACAACTGATTACAATGCATAAGACTAAGGAACTTGGAAGGTTCACGCCTGTCATCCCAGCACTCTGGAAGGCCAAGATGGGAGGATCGCTTGAGACCAGGAGTTTGACACCAGCCAAAGCAACTTAGCAAAAACCCCATCTCTACAAAAAATTAATAGTCCCAGCTAGTCGGGAGGCTGAGATGGGTAGATTGCTTGAGCCTGGAGTTTGAGGTTAGAGCAAGCTATGATTGCACCACTGCACTCCAGCCTGGATGACGCAGTGAGACCCCGTCTCTACTAAAAAAAAGAGAGAGAAAAAAGAAAAAGGAAAAAAAAAAAAAAAGGAACTTTGAAATACAGGCTGCTGCCAAGATAAGATGCCTGCTCCTACTTGACACCCGTTGGCTCAATCATGAAACTGTCAGGACTCATTTCCTTGGAAACCCTGCTATGGTTTCTGGTTCTGCTTCATTCCTCCTGTTCCCCTTGTACTCGGCCCCCGACCACACATGCACCAGCCCATTCCCTGACAGGCCTCGAGCCAGCTGAAACCACACTGAGCTAGCCCGGTCCAGCACTGACTTCCACACGTCATAGAAGCTTCCACGTGCTCCAGCTTCAAGTATGCTCCACGCCCCATTCTCCCCTTCTAATTTTCTATGGCAATGACCTAATCTAACATTTTTGCAACTTGCATGTGTATGCAAATGTCTATATACCCATATATGCATTCATATATACATACACACATACATACATATAATTATGGCCATTCTTACCTGTATAACCTGGCAAATGCCTCTGCTGTATCCAGCAATCAGCCCTCTGGCAAGGTGATATTCTTATCCCAAAAGACTGAAGCCCACAGAGCTTAAAAATCTTGCCCAGGGTCCCACAGTTAGTAAGCAGCAGGCAGGGCTAGGAGTCTAGCATCCAAGTGTTGGAACAGGTCAGCTACTGGGCACCATCACTATGTTTCAAAATATGTCTTATTTGTCTCCATAAGGTCCTGGACTCCCTTGTCTAACTTTCTATCAGCAAGCACTCTTGACTGCCCATTGCTAAAAATCAAGTTAAAATGAAACAGTATTTTTAAATGGCATTAAGTATTTGGACTTTAGTAGAGCACATCAAATATATAGTGATGGGTAAATTACAGAAAAAAAAATTTTTTTGAAGGAATGGAACAGGCACAGGAAATGGAAAAATATCCCTTAACTACAAAAAAGCTTCTAGGTCTTCTGAAGTTCATTAACAGCATCAAAACCAATCTGCACAAGTTAACCTGAAAAGGTTAAGTGAAGACACTACTAAATAATAATTACATGGTTATACAAGAACTTCAAATACTTAACTCATATTATTTTATTATAATTTCTCCCAACAAGCACAAAGATTGACACGCTGCAAGTGGGGGAAAACAGACAGCAGATAAGTGGGTTGTCCCGTCACTCATGAATCAGCTGCTGACTAGCAACAAATCACAATCCATTTGCTTTTTCTCCTTCACCCCAATAAAATTGGGAGACTCTGTTTCATTTTTCCATTCATTGTTCCCCAAGTATCCTTAAACTGATTCTCTCAAATCATATTACTAGATAATAATTTTCTTCCAAACTATTTTTATCCACTCCTTTTTTTTCTTTGAATAATTATTTATCGAATTCAGGATCGGACTCTGAGGATTTTGCATAAATCACAGGAGAAACAAATATTTCACTATCAGGTCCACATCACGCATTAACACAGATCTTTAATGATGTCAATATTTATCCGCTTTCTCCAACGATTTATCTAACTGGCTCTTCTCTTTTCATTTTTTTTTTAGTGTCACAAAGTGAAAGGGCAAATAGTCATGAAAGTAATTATGGTAAGAAAAGAGGAATATCTAAAGTACGAAGCAAGAAAACTTACTCAATTTAACTCTTTGCTAGTTAATCTACCAGAACTGAATGGTTGCTTTTTGAAAAGCAAAGGTGGTGTTGGTGCATATTATGATGTAAAATTGGCATAAACAGGATTCTAGTGCCTAATCTATACTCAACTACTAATTCTAAATTTCACCTTGTATATTAGGTTTTGCCCTTAAAGCTATGCAAAACCAACTATAGAATTAGCTGAAAGTTACAGCAATATTAAAAACAAATACCATTGTAGACTAGATTATGCTCAATCAATAGATTTTAAATCAAGATCTGCAGAACTCTAAAAGTTTCACAGAAACCACTGCTAAGAAATGGGGTGGGGGGTGGGAGGCTGCTGTCCACCCCTTCTTACATTGCCAGTAAAATTTGTTAAACTCTCCAACAAGATTTTATTCCAACAAAGTAATTCCAGATACACACACACACACACGCACACACACACACACACACACACAGTGTATTTCCCTTTTCAAATATGACTGATCTATATTATCTTACCAAAGCCTACAATTGACACTTTAACTTGATGTATTAAAATGCTCAAAAACCTTACCTTTAAGCAAAGGGAATGAGAACAATTTAAAAGTGCTATACAGAACTGAACCTCTTCCTGAGACACGGCCCAGAGATTATACCTGCAGGTGGCAGTACATTTTTTCCTGAAAGGTAACAGATCCTTACTGCTGAATTATCTGTAGCAGAAATTTCCAAACCCTTAACTGAGACTAATTCTCAATAGCCAAATGAGAAATATAAGACCACAGAGATAATTTCTCATAAAGTTTAACTCCTTCCATTTTAAAGAGCTGTCCCACGATTATGTCCTTCCCATTTTCGGCGTGTTAAAAAAATGTCTTTTAGGCTGGGTGCAGTGGGCTCTCACCTGTAATCCCAATATTTTGGGAGGCTGAAGCAAGAGGACTGCTTGAAAGAAGGAGTTCCGCACCAGCCTGGGCAACAAAGCGAGACTCACGCCTCTTAAAAAAATGTAAAACTTAGCCGGCGTAATGGTCCACACTTAGAGTCCCAGCTACTCCAGAGTTGAGGCAGGAGGATTGCTTGAGCCCAGGAGCTCTCATGGCACCACTGTACTCCAGACTGGATGACATGGTGAGACCCTGTCTCTTGAAAAACAAAACACATCTTTAAAGATGAAAATAAGCTGGGCACGGTGGCTCACACCTGTAATCTCAGTACTTTGGGAGGCCGAGGCGGGTGGATCACAAGGTCAAGATATTGAGACCATCCTGGCTAACATGGTGAAACCCCATCTCTACTAAAAATACAAAAATTAGCTGGGCGTGGTGGCACGCACCTGTAGTCCCAGCTACTCGGGAGGCTGAGGCAGGAGAATCACTTGAAACCAGGAGGCAGAGGTTGCAGTGAGCCGAGATCACACCACTGCATTGCAGCCTGGTGACAGAGCGAGACTCTGTCTCAAAAAAAAAAGAAAAGGAAAAGAATGGCAAGAGTTATTAGATGCCCTTACTTGATAAAATAAAAAATGGGACAACTCTATGTTGGTCTCCTATAATTCCCAGATGCTCAAATCCAAAGTTCTGGGAGCCACAGAATACAGTGTCCAGGTGTTAAGGTGTATCAAGTGCTCACAGATCTTGGCAAACTTGTTTGCATGGGCTACATACTGACTTTGTTTTCAAAGTGAAATGAAGCCAAACAGAAAGACAAGCTATTGGCAGACTAATTATAACACTACCGTCTCTAAGTACCATGAGACTAAACAGGATTTGGATGAAGTTTCCTGCCTGCCAAACTTTCTGCAACATTAAAAACCACCTTGAAGTCACTCAAGGATGACAGTCACTTCTGTGTGTGAGACAAAATGTTCTAGAATGGACCTGCCAAGCCTGTTTTCTTCCTCCTTCCCACACCCAAGCATAAAGGCTAACACCTGGGCCCGCAAAGTCTACAATCATAAAAAGAAATTCTCCCAGATTTTGGTCACCATGAAAGAGCGCAGGCTTCACTGATTCACTTTCAAAGGCTATATTATCTTGATTCTTTGCTGTCAAAAATAGTTGAAACCGGTTGAGAAGGAGGGTGGCCACAAACAGGTCCATAATTAGCATGTTTGGTAGCAAAAGGTGGGAAAGGTCATCATCATCGTTGTGCAGGGACTGCCTTTGGGATGACAAGTCATAATATGTGACAAGTGTTAAGTATTTACAACATCGGACACATCCCTAAGCAGGCTCATACATTCCCTCCCTATTCTGCAAACCAACCTAGAAAGGTAAGTATTGCCATCAACATTTTGCTAATGTGTAAACAGGGCATTAAAAGTTATTTAAGGCCACGTGCGGTGGCTCACGCCTGTAATCCCAGCACTTTGGGAGGCTGAGGCAGGCGGATTACCTGAGGTCAGGAGTTTGAGACCAGCCTGGCCAACATGGTGAAACCCCATCTTTACTAAAAATACAAAAATTAGCTGGGTGTGGTGGCACACACCTGTAATCCCAGCTATGCGGGAGGTTACGGCACAAGAATCACTTGAACCCAGAAGACAGAGATTGCAGTAAGCCGAGATTGCACCACTGCACTCCAGCCTGGGCAATAGAGTGAGACTCTGTCTCCAAAGGAAAAAAAAAAGTATTTAAAAATTGCTGGCCGGGCACAGTGGCTCATGCCTGTAATCCCAGCACTTTAGGAGGCCGAGGCAGGTAGATCACGAGGTTAGCAGACCATCCTGGCTAACACAGTGAAACCCCGTCTCTATTAAAATACAAAAAATTAGCTGGGCATGGTGGCAGGTGCCTGTAGTTCCAGCTACTCAGGAGGCTGAGGCAGGAGAATGGTGTGAACTCGGGAGGCAGAGCTTGCAGTGAGCCGAGATGGTGCCACTGTACTCCAGCCTGGGCAACAGAGCGAGACTCCACCTCAAAAAAAAAAAAAAAATTGCTAGGCAGGGCCAGGTGCAATCACTCACACCTGCAGTCCCAGCACTTTGGGAGGCTGAGGCGAGAGGATCGCTAGGCCCCAGGCACTGGAGATCAGTCTAGGCAACATGGCAAAACCTATTTACAAAAAATACAAAAATTAGCCAGGCATGGTGGTGCACAACTGTAGTCCCAGCTTCTTGGGAGGCTGAGGTGGGAGGATCGCTTGAGCTTAGGAGGTTGAGACTGGAGTGAGTCGTGATTGTGCCACTGCCCTCCAACCTGGGTGACACAGTGAGACCCTGTCTCAAAAAAAATTGCTGGGCACTGTGGTGCACAACTGAAGTCTCAGCTACTCAAGAGGCTGATGCAGGAGGACTGCTTGAGCCCAGGAGTTTGAGGCTGTAGTGCTTTATAATTGCACCTGTGAATAGCCACTGCGCTCCAGTCTGGGCAACATAGCAAGACCCTGTCTCTAAAAAAATAATAAAGTTACTTTAAAATACTAGAACATCCAAATGGTACTCACATGCAAGTGATAGCCTAGAGAAGACAAGGTTGATATTAACTGATTAACATTGGTAATAAGAACCCAAATGAAAACAGCAACCACAAAAAAGGAAGCATCACCTAGCCAGCAGTTCCCAAAGTGAATTAAGGTGAATGGGCACTGATTTTATGAACAGCTTCTCTGGCAGTTTGGGAAGCATGATTAAGCAAAGAACTACACATTTCTTTTTTTTTTTTTTTTTTGTGAGAGAGAGTTTTGCTCTTGTCGCCCATGCTAGAGTGCAGTGGCACAATCTTGGCTCACTGCAACCTCCACCTCCTGGGTTCAAGCAATTCTCCTGCCTCAGTCTCCCAAGTAGCTGAGATTACAGACATGCGCCACTACGCCCAGCTAATTTTTGTTATTTTTAGTAGAGACAGGGTTTCACCATGTTGGCCAGGCTGATCTTGAACTCCTGACTTGAGGTGATCCGCCTGCTTCGGCCTCCCAAAGGGCTGGGATTATAGCCATGAGCCATCGCACCTGGCTAAACACATTTCTTTACTGCAGAAATTAAGATCAAATGCTGCTCTGATTTTCTAAAAATAATAATGATGATGTCGCCTTTCTCAAACTTAATTTAATCCACCCCCCACCACCCACTTCTCCCAACATCACGTGGGGTTTGTGTTCCCTCCAAGAGTCTTTGGGAAACGCTCGTCGTTATGGCTGCCATTAGTAAACACCTGGCGATACCTCCCCGCTACGGATGGACGGCAGAAGGGCTAGTCTCTGCTCAACAATTCAAGAGGCTAGTTTGTCTACAGCGGCACCATCACCAACACTGCTGGTCTCAGTGGCTATAATTGGAAACACTGCCTTAGGGTGTTAAGTCCTGAGGATAGAGACCATCTTCAGCTCTTCACAGCACCTACATAACCTGTAGGCACATAAGTTTTTCCAACTACATTTGTAAATATAAATACTACTCAGGAAGGTTAAAATAACGGCAACCAGGAAAACACCAAATATTATGTATTTGAATTAATTATTACTTCTTCTTGAAACAGGGTTTCCCTCTGTTGCCCAGGCTGGAGTGCAGTGGCGCAATCATAGCTCACTGTAGCCTCGAATTCCCAGGCTCAAGTGATCCTCGCCCGTCAGCCTCCCAAGTAGCTGGGACTACAGGTATGAGCCACGGCGCCTGGCAATTAATTAGGTATTTTTAAAGTACTTTTGCCCTTCCTATTTGATAACTGAAAAATAGCTTCAGTCTATAATCTGCACATAACATACATTTACTGATTTCTGCAACCTCATCTGCTATTAGAAAACATTAGAGATTGTATCCCTCTCTCTTTTTCGGTAATATAATGGTTTTTCCACAGGTAACCGAAAATAAATTCAAAAGCTGGCTTCTAGGCATACTCTTCAAAGTGGCAAAGTCACATAAGTCAGTTATGAGTAAATGTTTACTAATGGTAGAGTTTGTGCCACTAGAATCAAGTTTGTATGTATAAAAGCACAAGTTAGCAAAGAGAGATAGAAGGGAATTAAGTGGATATATCCAGAGATTCTTATAAGATTTTGTGGTTCAGAGAGCAAATGTTATTCCACAACATTTTCCCATATTATGTTAATATGTTACCAATATATTTCAGGATCCGATATTCTTTCCTTGCATATGCTGAAACCAAATCCTAGCTGCATGATTCAGATGAAAGTTAAACATCGGGCCAAAGAAACAGATTAACAACAAATTTGGAGAAACATCTAAATGATGTTAAATTAATGTACTTATTTCAGGAGATACTTGTTCGCAAAATACTTGAACTAGTAAACTTAGTTGTGGGGGAAACAAAAATCAATGTATTTTGTTCTTTCCCAACTTGGTTTGAAATCTTTTCAACATTTCAAAGCAGCTAAAATATCCGCCAACCCATACAAAAGAAATTAAGATGGCAGGCTGCATACATCTGCTTTGACCCAAAAACAAAAAGCCATTTTGCGCTGTCTTTAGAGCCAGCATAATGAAAGCACAAAAGCCCAGATGGCTTAGATTTTTCTTTACACAAAGTAACTGAGAGGACTGACATCTAAACTATCTATTCAGCAAGTCTGATCCTAATGGCAACTTTAGACCCGGAATTTCTATAAGACAAAGAGGAATGCTTTTAGGCAAGTAAAAAATTTATTGGTCTACACTGATATCCTTCAGTGTATTCGTATTTGTCCACTGTGCCTGGAGATATTAGGGAAAATGTCTTCATCAAATGGCACCATCGATTCATTCTGCTATTCTTTATTTACAATGCCTTAACTTATTAAATCTGACACTCCAACCTCCAGTTGCTTATTTATTTATTTATTTTTATTTATTTTGAGATGGAGTCTCACTCTGTTGTCAGGCTGGAGTGCAGTGGCACGATCGCAGCTCACTGCAACCTCCACCTCCTGGGTTCAAGCGATTGATTCTTCTGCCTCAGCCTCCCGAGTACCTGGGACTACAGGCGCGCACCACCACACTCAGCTAATTTTTGTATTTTTAGTAGAGATGGGGTTTCACCATGTTGGCCAGGCTGGTCTCCAACTTCTGACCTCGTGATCCAGCTGCCTCGGCCTCCCAAAGTGCTGGGATTACAGGTGTGAGCCACCATACCTGGCTGCTTATTTTTTTAAATAATTTTAGAAAGAAAAATGAAATATATCCTCAGTTAAATAGTATATGACTCAAATGTCTGTTGGCAGGAAGGAGGAGGAGGAAAAGACCACATATAGGTAAGCTCAACCTAGTATCAATTCTGATGCCTTAATGTGATCGCTCTAAAAAGTTTGGGGAAGGGGGCTGGTCTAGGTTTTTCCTGCAGAGTAAAATGGCTTTTTGGAGGGGGTTACGGGCGGGGGGGTGGGACATGGAGTCTTGCTCTGTCGTCCAGGCTGGAGTGCAGTTGCATGATCTCAGCTCACTGCTATCTCTGCCTCCCGGGTTCAAGCAATTCTCCTGCCTCCAAGTAGCTGGGACTACAGGCATGCACCACCATGCCCAGCTCATTTTTGTATTTTTTCTTTTTTAGTAGAGACAGGGTTTTGCCTTGTTGGCCAGGCTGCTCTTGAACTCCTGACCTCAGGTGATCCACCCGCTTTCAGGCTCCCAAAGTGCTGGGATTACAGGTGTGAGCCACCACACCTGGCTTCAAATGCCTTTTAACCAAAATAATAGACAGCGTAAGACTTTATTTCTACCATGAGCTCAATTATACATTTCTGAACTTGAAGTCCTTCAGGGAAAGAATGAAAAAGAAGACATTATGTTCCGGAGACTCTGTTATTTGTTCCCTTCATGATTTCACATTTTTTTAAGAAAAAGTTATACTTCAACCCAGAGCAGTGGCCTTAGTAATCACATCCCAGCTATGCTAGTTAGCTTGGTTTTATACTGGAAAGTAAGGTCTCCAGTACTGACTGATCCTGGAATTGCTTCAGTATATGCAACAGAGAAGTAGCAATCAACACATCTTTACAAATGACACTTTAAAACTCGGAAACTTGGGTCACATGTTTGTTATTAGGATCAATATCAGAGCACTCAAATGAAAATATCTTATGAACGTTAGAGAATTGTATAAATGTAAGGCCCAGAAAGCACCTCCACACAGGTGATCTCTTTAGTGCCCAGGTCATAATGTGAGCTCACTGTCCTTTTGAGGATGAAGGATGTGAAACCTTCATCATGGTTTCACATTTATTTGCCATGCTAAGTCCTCTGCGAAGATCAAACCAAATAATGCAAACTTAAAATGATGTCAATTAATATATAAATTAGGATATCACTTGTTAATTTAATTGAAGAAAGACTTAATGGCCGGGCGTGGTGGCTCATGCCTGTAATCCCAGCACTTTGGGAGGCCAAGGCGGGCAGATCACGAGGTCAGGAGTTAGAGACCAGCCTGGCCAACATGATGAAACCCTGTCCGTACTAAAAATACAAAAATTAGCTGGGCATGGTGGCAAGTGCCTGTAATCCCAGCTACTCAGGAGGCTGAGACGGAAGAATCGCTTGAACCTGGGAGTTGGAGGTTGCAGTGAGCCAAGATCGTGCCACTGCACTCCAGCCTGGGTGACAAAGCAAGACTCCATCTCAAAAAAAAAAAAAAAAAAAAAAAAAAAGAAGACTTACTGATCACTGGGAAGGAAAGAAGGAAGGAAGGAAGGGAGGGAAGGAGGGAGGGAGGGTGGTTGGTTGGTTAACTGAACAAGCCCAGTAAAAAGACTGTGTATAACTTTAGGTACATTAAAAGGACAATATACAATTGAGAGTACAGGCTAAAAAAAAAAAAAAACAGGCACAAAGAAACAAAAAGTATAGATTCTAGGTCACCAGTGACATTTATTATTGCTGTCACTGAATGTGCAAAGGGGCTTAATCGTAGATGTATAGAAAAAGTTCTTCTCCCCATGCATATGTAAATTAACTCAGTCATCAGTTAGGGTCTTATTTTCAGTTTTTATCCTAAATGCATTCATTCAGAAGAGTTTTTTGGCCAGCAGATATAAACAAATTAACTGACCTTTTTTTTGCCTCTGGCTTTTAGACACTAATCAAATTTCTTAACGGTTTTGTGAATTCCTGTCATGATTCCCTAACCTGCTGGCTGACTACTCAAGGGTTCGTCTGTATTATTTTCCAGGCCCAGACTAGCTGGACCTCATTACCTTCAAGCAGAAGATAGCCCGCAAAAATTGAATGAGGCCTGATCCATACATGAGAAGCCCTCTTTTCTCCCTATTCTTCTGTTTTCTCATGTGACTTTGATCAAAGCGCTCTGGACTAAGCCTGGTCACACGTAAATGACACAGCAAAACTAAATGATCTGGAAAGTCCTTTCCTGCCCCCAAATTCCCTGAGTTTAACAGACACCCAATAAATGCTTGAATTAAAATGCCCCACATAAACCTCATGGGAATTTCTTCCAGGAATTCCTCAAAAGCCTTTGCCAAGAAGGCACAGAGAAATTGAAGAATAACAACAGTAAACTGTCCACGTCAGGACTAGTGAGGGTAGAACTAGGAATGAAATGGGAATGGTTCTCACCCTAGAGCTGACATAAGCCAATATTAGTCACTACCTAAAAAGAGAGCCTCGAAATCCATTATAAAAAAAAATCATGATCATATGTTGGCCGGGCGCGGCGGCTCACGCCTGTAATCCCAGCACTTTGGGAGGCTGAGGTGGGCGGATCACACAGTCAGGAGATCGAGACCATCCTGGCTAACACAGTGAAATTCCATCTCTACTGAAAATACAAAAAAAAAATTAGCCAGGCATAGTGGTGGGCGCCTGTAGTCCCAGCTACTCGGGAGGCTGAGGCAGGAGAATGGCATGAACCCGAGAGGCGGAGCTTGCAGTGAGCTGAGATCGCGCCACTGCACTCCAGCCTGGGCGACAGAGTGAGACTCCGTCTCAAAAAAAAAAAAAAATTCATGATCATATGTTATGTCAGTTCTCTTCTTAAAAAGTTTTATCTTCCATCTTTAAAGATTCCTACACTTCTACAACATTGCCAAAATGTCAAAGCCACCTGCAGTGGTCACTGTCTCTCCTTTTGAATGCAAGGAAATATTCATGACAGCCTCTCACCTACTTCAACAGAAGAGGCATGAGGAAAATGATCCCTGGTAATACCCAGGTGTAAAATCTCTGGCATTACTCTTTTCCCAGACAGCCAAGAGGCCAGCTATTTATTGTCAAAGGCTGTCACCCCATCTGCTGTTGTGCCATCCTATACTTAGGGGGCCTCAGTGTCACTTTGCCCTGTGTGCTATCATCTCTCCCGTCCAGGATGACATCCATTCTTCACAGTGGGAGAGAAGAGCGGGTCCACACTGTCTACGTAAGTGTGTTCATCAAACCTCTGCTTTCAACCTCCTATCCTCCTCCTGGCTACAGAACCCTTTCCCTGAGCTCCTGTCACAGAGCCCGTTTTCTAAGCCTTCCTTATCTTTCAATCTTCTCAGGACTATTAAAAAAAAAAAGCTGTGCTCATTTTCAGATATGAGACTATAACTAGAAATAGTGCCTAAGAGTCTACGGCCTTACTATCCTGAAGGTTCGTGATCTCGTCTGATCTCGTGAAGCTAAGCAGGGTATTGGGCCTGGTTAATACTCGGATGGGAAACATAGTCCTAAGACAGACAATCTAAACTGATTTTTTCTAACAGCATGTAAGAATTATCTCACTGCTCTTAACTATATTTCTGATCTTAAGTATATATAATATCACTCTTACTTTTAGAAATATGAAATGCATGGCCCAATATTAATGCTGTAAGAATTAGTCACACATGGCTAGCTATATTTCTTCTAGGTTTTATCTTTTTCTTTTCTTCTTAGGTTTAAAAGACTATTCCTTTTAAATAAAATGTAGCATATTCATATAATGGACTATTACTCTGCAATAAAAAAGAGTGAAGTGCTGGTACATGCTGCACCATGGGTGACCCCTGAAAACATTATGCTAAGTGAAAGAAGCCAGACACAAAGGACCACGTATTGTTTGATTCCATTTGTAAGAAATGTCCATAACAGGCAGAGCTATAGAGACAGAAAGCAGCTGCCCAAGGCTGGGGGAGGAGTGAGGGTGGAGGGAGAGCTTGGGAATGACAGCTCAGGGTTACAGCGTTTCTATTTTAAATAATGAAAATGTTTCAACATCTATTGTAGTGATAATTTCACAATTCTGTGACTATACTAAAAGCCACTGAATTGGCAGTTTAAGTGGGTGAATTATATCACAATCAAACTGTTCAATTAAAACAAAACAAAACAAAACAAAACTATTGGCCGGGCATGGTGGCTCACATCTGTAATCCCAGCACTTTGGAAGGCTGAGGCAGGTAGACTCCCTGAGGTCAGGAGTTCGAGACCAGCCTGGCTAACATGGTGAAACTCTATCTCTACTAAAAATACAAAAATTAGCCGGGCGTGCGTGGCGGGCACCTGTAATCTCAGCTACTCGGGAGGCTGAGGCAGGAGAACTGCCAGAACCTGGGAGGCGGAGGTTGCAGTGAGCCGAGATTGCGCCATTGCACTCAGCCCAGACGACAACAGTGAGACTCCATCTCAAAAAAAAAAACCAAAAAAACTGTTGCTTTGTATTTCAGACCATCACTCAAGCTAATGCAAGTTGTTAACGAATCAAATCCTAGGTGCTAAAATGTGGCTTTAGCTGCTTTTCCTCTTGTAGCTAAAAGTAACATCTGCAAACTATTTTAAAATCTCCATCAAAGATAGCAATGAGCCAATAATGAATACTCAAGAGTATGGCTTTCCTCAAATGGCAGGAATTATTTTTTCTCTATGGTATTTACTTCATCTTAACCATTGCAGATAATGTCCCGAACAGGGAACATCCAAAATTCAGGGAGTGGATGCTGAAGTCTACACTCGCTGGTGCTACCTCCAAACATCCATGAGGCCCATGTATTACTTTCCAAGGCAAGTTATGACCTTTTGGTGGAGGGAAAAAAAATAAAGCGAGATACATGTTTTAAATAAACTATCTTCAGATGTTAATTATAAATACATCTTATATCAGAAAAAAATAAATGCTAAAGTTGAAATAGCTGCAAATTTTAATCTCCCTGGTTTATCACTGCTCGGGGAAGGAAATTAGGTTAATCGGACAGGATTTGCCCTTTACAAAGGCATGTTGGCAACATTCCCTGGAGGCCTGATCTCTTTTGAGTCCTTTGTTACAAAAGCTTCCTGAAACTCGGGACAGCATATGCTCCAACCCATTGTCATAAGAGTGACTGTCTCTCAGCTCAGCCAGTTAACATCTGTCATTAGCTCTGTTTGCAGGAGCAAAAGCAGATGCTTGGAACAAGGCACTGTGAACTCTGACGTGGCGGGGAGATGGATGCATTTTAGAACAGCAGATCATTCCAGGAGACTGAAATGCTCACTGAATTCTCAAGGGTTAGCTACCTGTTACCCTCACTGGAAGACCTACGCTATTATTAATTATCCCAAAATGATTCCCAGAACCATCTGTAACATCCAAACAGCAGCCAGATGAACGACGGACTTTAACGTCTGAAACGAAGCAACTGCATTTGAAACTTCTAACACAGGCCACGAGCTGAATTTACAAATGGAACAGTATTGTTTTCTGTGAGATTGCACACGCCTGCATTCAAGTCTTCATCTAGGAAACCCTCTGGGGATTTCTTTTCCCTTAAAAATTCATTAGAATAATCAATCGTATGACACATCACAGCTTGTACTGCAGCCGTCTCATCTTTAACAAGTTCAGGAAAATGTGTCAACACAGATATTTGCAAATTCTAAAGAAAGACCTGTTCAAGACCAGGCACTGTGGCTCACGCCTGTAATCCCAGCATTTCAGGAGGCTGCATCATTTGAGGCCAGGAATTCAAGACCAGCCTGGCCAACATGGCAAAACCCCATCTCTACTAAAAATACAAAAACTAGCTGGGCGTGGTGGTGTACACCTGTAATCCCAGCTACTCAGGAGGCCAAGGCAGGAGAATCGCTTGAACCTGGGAGGCGGAGGTTGCAGTGAGCCGAGATCGCACCACTGCACTCCAGCCTGGGTGACAGAGTGAGACTGTGTCTCAAAAAAAAAAAAAGAGCGAGCCGTTTCTTTCCTTGGAGTATTTTAAAGGTATCAATGAATCATTCAAGCAAAGTAAGTGGAAGAAGGGAGGTGGAGTCTACAGATGGGGCCTCTTGTCTTAGAGAGTCTTGCTCAAGCTTCCGGGATCTGATGGGGGCAGGGACGAGGGTAAGGAAGCAGGTGCCAGCATGCATGATTTAGGGATGAGTCCAACGCTGCAGTCATGCATGACCCTGAGTGAGTGGTTCTTAAAAGTTTCCACCCAAGGGCCTCCCCTTGCCTCAGCCTTCTTCTGGCCATCTTTCTGGTTCCTTCATGCCAGGTGGCATGGACAATGGGATAAAAGACCATATTAGAAATCTATGGAAACTTTGGGAGTTCCAACAGAAGCATTTAAATAGGAATCGAGCTTAGAAAACAAGCAATATGTATCAGCCTATCATGGCAAATGATAAGTTAACGATTTAACTGATCTTCCATGTTAAAAATAGGCATTATATGTGTCAATTAGGTTAGTATATGCACAATCAACTCGCTTTCTGAAATACTTCGAGGAGGAGAGCTTCCTTGGAAATGTGCTGGGCTCTGATGAACACACAACACACAGGCTTGTCCTCATTTTGCTGTCCCTGAAAGCAGCTCTCCCTTAAGCCAACCCAGAAAACAACACTGGGTTACAGACTAAGCCACTGGCAGGTGTTAGTATTTAAAACTAAGCACTCAAGACTACATATGGTTTCTGACACAATACTGCTCAATAAGGATTCCTTTACGGCAGCAGCAGTTGAAAAAGGTACTCAGGCTGTGAAAGTGACCACCTGTATTTTTAAAGAACATGCTTTGGGAGGAAGACGGTGTATGAGATGCTTTTATTTAGAGCATGGATTTCAAAAAACAAATCCCCACACATAGCCTGCCAACCCCTGCAGACCCATTTTCAAAGTATGGCTTCTAGACTAGCAGCATCAGCAGCACCTGGGGACTTGTTAGAAATGCACATTTGCAGGCTCCTAAAACACCTGCTGAATCAGAAGCTCTGGATTGAGACCTAGAATTCAGTGGTTTCACAGGTCTTCCAGGAGGTCCTCATCAATTGAGCCTACTCAATTTTGAGAGCCACTGCCCCACAGGTAGCAAGAAACATGAGTTTTGCCACGGGCTACTTTAACCTCTTGAGCAAGGAACCTCCTCTCACTGGGAAAACAAAGCAATTGGGCTTAACAACAGACTCATCCTGGCTGGTCGCACTGGTTGCAAAGAGTCCTGGGCTCACCTCCAGGGAGGCTGTACCATTTGGTGTGGCATAGTGGCCCAGGAATCTCATTAAGTAGCTCCTCAAGTCATTCCAATGTGTAACCAGAACTGGGAACCCTGGAAGATCCCCTGAAGCACTAAATATCATATCAGAAGTAATTGGGGTAAAT
Source organism: Homo sapiens (assembly GCF_000001405.40). Lineage (NCBI taxonomy): Eukaryota > Metazoa > Chordata > Mammalia > Primates > Hominidae > Homo > Homo sapiens. The sequence goes on from NC_000005.10 coordinate 16,857,974, forward strand.
GAGCCTTTAGATCAGGCTTGGCAAACTTTTTCTGCTAAAGGACTGACGGTCCATACGTGAAGCTTTGCAACTCCTCAGCTGTGCCACAAAAGCATCTGCAGGGACAAAGACCATAGCAAGGCCTTTCCACAAGACGCTACCTGCTGTGAACGCAGTCACAGATAAGAGGCCGATGAATGGGCATGGCTGTGTTCCAATATAACTTTATTAAATTTGAATTTCACATGATTTTCACGTGTCAAAATATGCTTCTCGTGAGTTTTTCCAGACATTTAGAAATGTAAGAAACAATCTCAGCTTGTAGACCATACAATTCAGGCTGTAGGCAAGGGCTGCAGTTTGCTGCCCCTGTTCAGTCGCACACTGGAGTCGTCACATAAGCTTTACACAGGAATGCTGTGTTGATAACATCTGTCACTTCAACATACACACACAGCTGCTTTCAAAAAAGCTAGATGCTACTTTTGTAAAAAAAAAAAAAAAAATCGAGGTTTAATTTGCATGCAATAAAATACACAGCTTTGATGAATCACGCAGAACAATATATTGAGCATTTCTGTTACCTTTGAAAATTCAATCCTCCGAGGTAACCATTTAGTCTGATTTTTTAGATGTCTGTTATCTTTAAAATGGCAGCACAATCATATGGTTTGAAATAAAAGCTGAAAGTTCAGGCTTCCATTGCAGTTCTACGTAACACACAGGGCCGGGTGCAGTGGCTCATGCCTGTAATCTCAACACTCTGGGAGGCCGAGGTGGGCGGGTAACGAGGTCAGGAGTTTGAGACCTGCCTGGCCAACACGGTGAAACCCCATCTCTACTAAAAATATAAAAATTAGCCAGGTATGGTGGCATGTGCCCGTAATCCCAGCTACTCAGGAGGCTGAGACAGAAGAATCACTTGAACCCGGGAGGTGGAGGTGGCAGTGAGCCGAGAGTATGCCACTGTACTCCAGCATGGACAACAGAGCAAGACTCCATCTCAGGGGAAAAAAAAAATAAGTAACATACACCACTTGGCATAAGCTCTGGTCTCTCTCCAACATGGGGCTCCTGTTTGGGATTTACCCGCCTGCTCTTTATCCTGTGTTCTCATCCAGCCCACAGTGGGGTCTTTTAAGCCAAGGAGGGCAGGGGTACCCCTGGAGTAGAGTGGAACAAGCTGGCTTTAGTCCATTTGGGCTGCTGTAACAAACTACCACAGACTGGATGGCTAATTAACAATAGAAATCTATTTCTCCTGGTTCTAGAGGCTGGGAAGTCCAAGAGCAAGGATATTCTGCATCTGGTGAGTGTTGCTTTCTGGTTCATAGATGGGACCTTGTAGCTGTGCCCTCATGTGGTGGAAGGGACAAACAAGCTCCCTTAGGCCTCTTTTATATGGGCACTAACTCCATTCATGAGGGGCCCACCCTCATGACCTAATCACCTCCTAAAGGTCTTACCTCCCAATACCATCACATTGGGGGCTAGGATTTCAACATAGGAAGTTTGGGGCCAGGTGCAGGCACCTTATAATCCCAGTGCTTTGGGAGGCTGAGGCAGGAGGATCATTTGAGGCCAAAAGTTTGAGACCAGCCTGGGCAACACAGTGAGATCCCATCTCTACAAAAAAGTTGAAAAATTACCTGGCCATGGTGGCACATGCCTGTAATCCCAGTTACTTGGGAGGCTGAGACAGGAGGATCACTGAAACCCAGGAATCTGAGGCTGTAGTGAGCCATGATCATGCCACTGTACTCCAGCCTGGGTGACAGGGTGACACTAACTCAAAATAATAATAATAATAATTTTGGAGAAATACAAACATTCAGACCATGGCAAGGCCCTTCCACAAGATGTCACCTTCACCCACCCCCAGAGCTGTTCACTCCCTGAGCATCCCTGGCCCACCCCCACCCAGGGCCGTGCCCTTCCTTCAGGCCCCAATTCTCTCTCTCTCAAGATAGAAACAGGTAAGGGAAATTTCCTCAGAAACATAAATATAACTTAACTGAGTTATCTGAACCCAAAGACCACCCTTGATGGCCACCATGTATGTAGCTCAATGGAGGGGAAAGAAGATATTTCAGGAAGCTGCTTTATCAGTGGGATTTCTCTACAAATTAGAAAAACCTGCACACTATTAACTCACAACGTGGAAGAAGCGGCCAATCACTGGGTTCTGTTTTAGACACAAAAAGAAAAGAGGGCAGGGCCATAAGAAAGGGGGAGAAAAATGAGAGAAACAAATGTCTCTGGAGATTTATACCATCAGAAAGGCCAGCCCCTCCTCCCATAGCCCCTACACCCACAGGGCAGGAAGTAGCTCGACTGGAAGTAAATAGCAAATAAGTGGAAAGTTTGGGGTAGGGGACACAGTGAGAAGAGGAAGAAGAAAGACTTTCCAATTGATCTCAGATCAAAGTACCCACTGAGTCAGTGGTTCTCTAATTTCAGTGTGAATAAAATCATTCGGGCAACTCGTTAAATGCAGATCCCAGGCCCATATTTACTGAGAAATGGATTCAGGCAATTTTGAAATGAGTCAAAAAACCCTGCATTTTTAACAAAGGCCCCAGTGGTTATGAAGCAGCTGGTCAGAGAAACGCACTTGCAGAGACACTCCGTTAGTATCTGGGACACTTAAACCCAAATGTCCTCCTCTAACAGAGTGTTCAACTTGAGAGGATGGGAGAAGGAAGGAAGAGATGGGAAAATCAAGAGTAAGCAGAGGCTCTTAAGAGAGTCAACGGATGAACTCCAGGGCCTCTGACAGATGAGGGCCCGTGATGAACGATGGGTGGGTGGAGGGGTGGATGGACGGATGGAGAGAGGGAGCTATTCCAAATCAACGCAAGCACCGAAGACATTCTACAGAACCAGCTAAGAAAGGATGGCCAAAAAGGAGCTGATTACTACCTAGGAAAAACAAAGGCCTCGTTAGCACTTTCTAAGCCCAGCTTGCAAAAGTGTGCTTTCACAACAATTTTTTAAGGCAATTATTTTGATACGATGGCCATTTCATCTATGAAATAGTTCTGAACCTGGTTGCTCATTAAACAGCACCCAGGAGGCTTTTAAAAAACATACCATGGCCTGAGTCTCACCTGAGATTCTGATTTCATTATTCTGAGGCAGAGCCAAGGCCCTTGGTAGAAGCTTCCCAGTGAATTATTACGTGCAGTCAGGGTTGAGAACCACCCTGTCAAGGGCGCAGCGTGGAAGCTGAGATTGTGAATACAAGACTAGGGAACATTTTTTTTTTTCTTTAAATTGGCCCTTCCATTTCCCTACAGCAATAAAAAAAAAAAAAGTGAAGAAAAAAAGCAGCCAGGCGCAGTGGCTCATGCCTGTAATCCCAGCACTTTGGGAGGCCGAGGCAAGTGGATTACCTGAGGTCAGGGGTTCGAGACCAGCCTGGCCAACGTAGTGAAATCCTGTCTCTACAAAAATAAAAATAAAAAAATTAGCAAGGCATGGTGGGCAGGCACCTGTAATCCCAGCTACCTGGGAGGCTGAGGCAGGAGAATCACTTGAACCCAGGAGGCGGAGGTTGCAGTGAGCTGAGATCGCGCCATGGCACTCCAGCCTGGGCAACAAGAGTGAAACTCCATCTCAAAAAAAGAAAAAAAGCTATTGCAAAGTAGGGGTAAGTGAGAAGTGGCATGAGAACCTTCCAATCTTAAAAAGTAACTTCAAGAGAAAGCATAAATGTCATTGCAAGAAAGCGGAGGACAGGTACACTTAATCCCTGGGGCCTGCAGAGAAAAGAAGTGAACACAGCAAAGACACCAACTCCCATTACCAGTCTCACTCCGTCTTGGAGAACTAAGGTGAAAAAGTGGAAAGATGATAAACTCTGGATGCAAACCCCAATACTATCACTCCCCACTAGCCAGGTGTGGACTCCTGGACGTGTTATTACACCTAGGCTCAATTGCCATCTCATTAAAATATGGCTGGTTAATATTGCCTTCCTCATGGGATACTTACAGGAATTAAACAGGACAAACAGATTGGCATGTACCAGCATGGTGCCTGCTGGAGAGATGTCACCCAGCAAATCTCAATCTCTCCCCTTTACCCATCCGAAATGCCAACCCTGATAAGGCCCTCATCCTCACCAACTATGAGGAGGTCATGGCTTAGAACTGGGTGCCCCTCTTCCCACCACTCAGCAGAAAGGGGACCACGGGAAGAATGGGATTCCCTAATGTCAGAACTGTGGCACCCTGGGTTGGAACTCCAAACACACGTTTAAAGTTGGAATGAGGCAACAAGAGGGCTTCAGCATCATCCCTGCCCTCAGTGCACTGTGGATGCCTGGATAGGTCTTTGCAGACCAGCTGGATGATCAATTCACCATGTATATTACTATTTGGAAAGACTTGTTCCAAATAACAGGCCTAAAAAATGCATTTTTGAAACGGAATGCAACTCATTCACAGACAGACAATTGCCTGTATTGAACAAACTGCCTCTGATTTCTCTTCTGAAATCACACCGGCATTAAATGATGCTGTCTGATTCCCAGGGATAATTTCTGAACTGTTTTTTGTTCCCAAACAAGGCCTTCGCATTTTTCACAAAATATGACTTTGTTAAAATAAATATAATTTTATTATACAACAAAAGCATAGTATTTATTTAAGCATTCAAATAAAAGAATTACGTTTGATTCCGTCCGTTTTCTATTTTATTCCAGTCACAAATTACTGCCTGGTCGGAGCTTAGCATCCAGTATTAATTAGCGGATTATTTTCAGTATTCACAGGGACCAAAAATACAAGACAGTAGCCCACTTACCTTCAATTTAAATTTTCAAAGCTAACCACAAAATCGAAAGCAACCACAGGGGTCAATAGCACCAAACATGAGCCCTTTTCTTTGTGCCCAACACCAGCACTGCAAGACCAGGAGGCTTGCCAGTCATGGGAAAAATCTGGACATACAACAGGCTTACACAGGACTAAGGGGGCTGAGCTACCTAGAAGCTGAGTCTGGAATCTGGAAGTCAAACAAAGACTGGAAGGATAGGCCGGTCAGAGGCATGCTTGAGTCCAGATAAACAGACAGATTCTAAGGGTTGGGAAGAAGAGGTGTAGTCTACAGACCCAGGGAGGAAAAAGGAGGCCAAAGTCTAGGAAGATCCACTAAGAAGAAAATCAACAAATGGACCCAAAGGAGAACAGGAAACCAAAGAAGGTCACGACCCAGGGCACAGGCCATTTGCTCTCCCTTGCAAAATATTTAATGCATGTGCATTCGGCTAGAACCTCGCTGGGCCAGTAAATAGTCCTAACAGATCTGATCCCCTCCCCACCCATCCACCCACCCACTGGGGAGAAGCCCAGCTGTTCAGTCCAAAGGGGCTGGGGTGGGAAGGCAAAAGCCATGTTCTAGGAAAAAGGGTCAGAAATAAGCTGGATTCACTTAAAGGGGCCAGGCCCCAGAGACCTCCTGGTCTCACCCATGGATTTTTCAGTGGTGCTGGGAACAAGGTGGGTAACAGAACAGAAATGCTGTGTACCTTTGGCAAGCTAAGGTCTACAACACCTCACATAGCCCACATTCCTATAACACAAACGTAGCTCATAATGTTTGCCACTGTAAATGGTTTCAATATGACTGTTGAAATATACAAACAACAATCTCAGGGTTTACAATGCCATACTTTAAAATAAGATTCTGAGCCAAACTCAACACTCACCCCGAGAGATGAAAACAGAATATGTTTCTAGAGTTACTAAGTCAAAGAATTCCCTTGAAAAAGCCTCTCTTCTACCCTCTTCATTTCATTCTGGCCCTAGGGCCTGAGTGGTTTACACACTACCAGAGTAGAAACAACAGTGAAACTCCGGGCCAGGTGCGGTGGCTCATGCCTGTAATCCCATTACTTTGGGAGGCCAAGACAGGAGGATCATTGCAGCTCAGGAGTTCGTGACCAGCCTGGGCAACAAGGCAAAACTTCATCACTACAAAATATACAAAAATTAGCCAGGCTTGGTGGCACACACCTGCAGTCCCAGCTACTTGGCAGACTGAGGTGGGGGGATTGCTTTAGCCTGGGAGGCGGAGGTTGCAGCGAGCCAAGATTGTACCACTGCACTCTAGCCTGGGTGACAAAGTGAGAACCTGTCTCCAAAACCAAACAAACAAAAACTCCCACCATGATTCTTCTGCTATGTGGCTATTTTTTTTTTTTTTTTTTGTCACTTGTGGTCCTTTTAAGACTTGTAACTTCCTTATGAAAATGCCATATGATCACAGTCTTAATGAAGCATGCGCCATTCTGATGACTTATTTGGCTTCATGCTGATTACAAATGGAGCTTCATTCATCCATTCAGTGTTCATTATAAGGGGCCTCTCTGGGCCAGGCTCGGCTCCGAGGTGCTGATGACAAGTCCCCATTCTAAGAGACCTTGGTGAGGAGAGACAGAAAAAAATCTAACACACACACATGATACAGGTGGTGGCTCTTTGAAAGGGGGCCTGAATAGGTGTGTGAATACACACCTTGTATTCAGAGCCTTGTGTATTCAGCTAGAGCCTGCATATTTGCGTTCGTGCATTTATCCCTGAAGGAAGGCAGAAGAGACAGACATCTCTGTAGGAACCAGGTTCCCAGGAGAAAGGACAAGAGCGTGGCCTGCTTGAGTGAGAGTCTCCCAGATTACAATAAATGAGCTTTCTGTGCAGATTTGTAAACATGCACATGTTTAGCCTGGAGCTAAGTGCGCTAATAAACAAGCAGACGAGTTTTTTTTCTTTCTATAATCCCAGAGTGAAAATTAATGGAAACATCTGACTTTCCATCTTTGAGCCACAAAATGCCAAAGCAAATTCTTGGAAGAGGTCTAGGGAGTCAGAACCACGTGGCTTCCAGAGCAGAAAAGATTCTTAAACTCAAAACCAAGTTAAGCTGGACAAGTTGCATTTTCCTTGGTCTTGAAAGCAAGAATGAAAGTCCCAGTGGTGTTCAATCTCTGGAGTATAGACCGCTGATTTTAAGGAACTCTGTAGGCTGGTGTTTAGTGTCCATCTCAGAGGTGGGTATTTCCAGGAGCAACAGCAAAATGTGGGAAAAGCACAGAGAATTGAAGAGCTTCCCAGCTCAATGCTGTCTTTTTCATACAGCTGCAACTGTTTTGATTGAAGTGAATTCCAAGAATAACAGATGGAGCACTATTAAAGTTTCAAAAAAAAAAGAAGCCAAAAACTATACATCGGATTTTAAAAAATTATCTGTCACTTATCACTAGCACAGTCCTCTTTCCCTTTACTTTTAGGGTGGCTGTGCAACCCACCTTCCTCCAGAGAAGGACCCTTCACCCGCATGCAGGGATAGCCCACCCACCCCGATATTCATAGCACGTGGCCAGGGCTCAGCGGTCTGGCATCCTCAGCAGATCTAAGCTGGGCTATCGGATTCTCCATTCCTAGAATCTGGGGCTGAGTCTCAACAAATCTTTCTTGACGTTGTCTATTTCTTAAGAAAAGATACAAACCATACTTTCGAATGTGCTATTATTTTGTAAAACAGTACAAAAAAGGTATCCAAGAGGAAAGCAGTTTAAAAATAAATTACAATGCCTGTAATCCCAGCACTTTGGGAGGCCGAGGTGGGTGGATCACCTGAGGTCAGGAGTTCAAGACCAGCGTGACCAATATGGTGAAACCCCGTCTCTCCTAAAAATACAAAAATTAGCCGGGCGTGGTGGCAGGCGTCTGTAGTCCCAGCTACTCGGGAGGCTTAGACAGGAGACTTGCTTGAACCCAGGAGGTGGAGGTTGCAGTGAGCCAAGATCGCACCACTACACTCTAGCCTGGGTGACAGAGTTAGACTCCGTCTCGATAATAATAATAATAATAATAATAGTAAAAAATAAATAACAAACGGAGTTATTGCTTAACAGGCTCGGAGTTTTTGTTTGGAGTGATGAAAAAGTTTTGGAAATGGTGTGATAACACGACATTATAAATGTGATTACTGCCACTAATACATTTAAAATTGTTAAAATTAAATGGTAAGTTTTATGTCATATTTATTTACCCAAACACACACACACACACACACACACACACACACACACACACACACAAAACAATAGAGGAAAACCCAAGCTCTAGTCCAAAAAAAATTGTGTATTTATTCATTTTCCTTTCAATTCAAACGTGGGTATTTGCCGAAGAAACTAGTAATAGCAAATCCTTCAGACACCCAGCAGAAAAAGTGAAAACCCCAAAAGGAATACAAATGTTACAGCTGTGAGCAAATGCACATACGCAACGGCACCAGCGTTAAAGCTGGCAGACTATTTTAGGGATACGCTTTGCCTCTCAACTGGACTGCGGAAAAACATTTGTATTTTGTTGAGCCATACTGTCATCAGACAGAAGAGTCACCAGAAAAATCCTATCTTTGAGCCATGAACAACAGATCAATGATAAGCTAAAAGATACCACATTAAAATGGAGGGCCATTAACTTGCTATTAGGCTGAACCATATGTGATTGCCGATCTCTAACCCTTTATGGCCTCTAGAAACGGCAATTTCATATGGTTCACAGGAACCCAGAGGTTAATTGGGTTGGAGGCAGCAGTTGCAATACAAGAGACATGTAAGACTCAGGGGCTACAGCCATGATGCAAATGACCTCCTGTTTCTTTCCTCTTGAGAGAAAAAGGGGTAAGATGTCTCCACTTTATGATGAAGATAAAAATATACATTTAAAAAAAAAAGACAAAAAAGCAAGGGAATTATGTCCAGGCCAGCTGACTGAAAAGAATCTAACCCTATCTGTCCCTGAGTTTGGTTTTGAGAGTCATTAGATCCTAACCACACTATGTTTGCATTATAAATGTGGCCCCCAACTGCCTTTTCCTCCAACCTCACGCATTTACTGCCTCCCTGCTGGTCTCCACCCACAGCCGCTCTTCCCGGGAACCTGGAGCTGCCCTCCCGGACCCCAGGTGGTCCCCTCCTGCCAGCTGCCCGACCTGGAGAGCGGGCCAGCTGCCACTCACTCAGTCTCCCTCGGGCTCCACATACAAGGAAAGAGTTCACAGTGAGCAGTGGGACCGTGCTCCTGCGCACCCGGGCAGCTGCCTTGGCACAGCAGCTGGCTTTGCGTGAGAAGCCTGGAATGCAGCTTCCCTAGCTGCTGGAACGTGTGGGCCTTCCTGGGCTCTCAGATAAGATTTTTCCCTTGGCTCAGATGTCTAGATCTGCCACTTCCCTTCAGCACTCAGATCGGTCCTCCTCAAGTTGAAGTCACTGGGTTCTAGTTGCCCAATTCTTCCTAATAATTCCTGGGGTCAGCTCCAAAGGACAGACCCGCCAGGCTGTCCCCTACTGACCATTTTCCTGCATTCAACAGGCTTGCGGAAGATTTTTCTGGGAGACAGGAGTGTGTGCAGATGGTGTACTGAACAGGAGGGTGTGAAAAGGTCAAAAGGTCGCCTACATCCACAAGGCATTCAAGGGACATAAAAACGACACCAATAGGGGCAAAGGGAAGGGGAGGGGGGAGCAAAAGAAAACCAGCTGGACAGGGTGGAAAGTGTGTGAAAACAACCAAAAATGCAATGAGAAGTCACTACATTAACTCACCTCTTACCAAGTTTCACAAAATTGGGCCGATGGCATTAACTCCAACAAACCAAAACCAGAGAGTCAAACCAAAAAGTCAGAGACGGCTTTAAGTGGGAGCTGCGATTGCTTTAAGTGGGAGCTGTGATTATAAATAATTAGTGCTGTGTTCCCAGTGTGGCTTGAAGAAGTCTGACTCTCTTAGCAGGTGGGAATGACTTGAAAGTCCCATGCAATCCCATGATCTTTTAGTGGATTAATAAAATGAGAAGAATTTTTTCAACCAAGCTTAGTTATCCTTGTTGCAAATAGAGAGAAGGACATGGAGGAGGTTGTCTACTTGCAGATTTGGATGATTAAATCCTCAACTAGTGAATATTTTGGAAGACCCTATAGAGAGACAATTCAAACAGAATACCAAACGGAATCCCTGCACAGAGTAATCGCCTTGATGAAATGGGCTGCAGTAAACTGAATAACTACCCCTTAAAATACAATTAGATAAACTGATATCACTCTAAACTATTTCAGAGCAATCAAATTAGACTCTTTCCAGAAAAAGATAATAAAATAGTTCTAATCACCAAGGTGAAAAATCTAATTTAAAACTTATTAATCAATTTTACAATGTTCCTAAAGAGTGCTACAGTGACTGCTCGTGCACCTCCTGGATGTTCCAGAAAAGACAAACGTTTAGTGCTGTCTTCCTTCTTACCCTTTTACATGAGTTGATCACCTGCAGAACCATGGTGCTTTTAAAAATCTGCTCTTCAGCTGGGCACGGTGGCTCATGTCTGTAATCCCAGCACTTTGGGAGGCCAAGGCAGGCAGATCACAAGGTCAGGAGATCAAGACCATCCTGGCTAACACGGTGAAACCCCGCCTCTACTAAAAATACATAAAATTAGCCAGGCGTGGTGGCACCTGCCTGTAGTCCCAGCCACTCGGGAGGCTGAGGCAGGAGAATCGCTTGAACCCGGGAGGCGGAGGTTTGCAGCAAGCCAAGATCGCGCCACTGCACTGCAGCCTGGGTGACAGAGCAAGACTCCGTCTCAAAAAAAAAAAAAAATTCTGCTTTTCTGAAACTCTGTCCAAAGCCTGTGGTCCAAGAAGACAACTGATTTCTAACTTGCAGGATATGTGCTGACCCGCCTGTGTGCTGGGGCCTTCAGAGGCCACAGTTACATATTTTTCAATAAAGTGTGAAAGAGTGTCATTTGCTCATTTCTTTTTCCATCTGTAAATACTTCACAGCAAGTATAAGTTACAAGTCAAATGGAATACTTTGGTTCTCTGTATTCCTAGTATCAACCTATAGTAGTTTAAATTTTAGAGTGGAATGAAATTTTAAATTAACATTAGAACGATCTCCTTGGCAAAAACAAACAACAAAAAAACAAAATTCCTTAAAGACTGAATGAAATAAGAAAGCATGGGTTGGGCAGTGGCTCACACCTGTAATCCTACTGCTTTGTTTTTTGTTTTTTGTTTTCAGACAGAGTCTCGCTCTGTCGCCCAGCGTGGAGTGCAGTGGCGCCATTGCGGCTCACTGCAAGCTCCGTCTCCCAGGTTCACGCCATTCTCCTGCCTCAGCCTCCTGAGTAGCTGGGACTACAGGCACCCACCACCACACCCGGCTAATTTTTTTTTTTTTTTTTTTTTGTATTTTTAGTAGAGACAAGGTTTCAGCATGTTAGCCAGGATGGTCTCGATCTCCTGACCTCATGATCCACCCACCTCGGCCTCCCAAAGTGCTGGGATTACAGGCGTGCACCACCGTGCCCAGGCCTATTGCTTTCAAAGACTGAGTCAGGTCACCTGAGGCCAGGAGTTCCAGACCAGCCTGGGTAACACAGTAAGACGCCACCTCCAGAAAAAATTTTTCAGGCATGGTGCACCCCTGTAGTCCTAGCTACTCAGGAGACTGAGACAGAAGGATCACTCAAGCCCAGGAGTTACAATGAGCTACGACTGGACCACTGCACCCCAGCCTAGATGACAGAGCAAGACCCTGTCGCTAAAAACAGAAGGTGGCCGGACGTGGTAGTTCACGCCTGTAATCCCAGCACTTTGGGAAGCCAAGGCAGGTGGATCACCTGAGGTCAGGAGTTCAAGGCCAGCCTAGCCAACATGGCAAAAGCGCATCTCTACTAAAAATACAAAAATTAGCCGGGCGTGCTGACGCATGCCTCTAATCCCAGCTACGTAGGAGGCTGAGGCAGAAGAATCGCTTGAACGCAGGAGACAAAGGTTGCAGTGAGCTGAGATTACACCACTGCACTCCAGCTGGGGCAAAAGAGCAAGACTCCATTTCAAAAAACTATAATAATAATAATAACTTAATAAAAACAGAAGGAGAAAGGAAGGGAAGGGGAAGGGGGAGGGGGAGGGGGAGGGGAAAAAAGAAAAGGAAAGGAAGCAGGCAGGTGTGCCCTTTAGTGATCTCACACGAAACAATACACTGTGATCTCCTGACACCCCGTGTTTCTGAGGTTCCATTTTAGGATTTTAGACACACATGGCTCTGCTTTTTCTCCAACACTAAACAGGATTTTAAAATTGCTTTTTAATTCACCTGAGAATTATGATGCCGCAGTCAGCCCAACTCCTGGCCGCTGGAGGGGAGGGCTCAGAGAATAAAAAGGAAAGGAAAAGCTTCGAAGTGCAAGAAAAAAACCTTCTAACTTTACCCAAAGCCCTCCTTCTTTGCTTTATCTTTGCTTCCTCCAAAACACTAATACTGGTGGAATACGGAAGGGCTTGAGTGCTTCTTGCTCTTCATTTTAAGTAATTATGACCCTAAGGCATTTTTCAGGAACGTCTTCAAAATCCTTACTACTCCAATGTGGTTGGTCCAGCAACATAATATCACCAAGGAGCTTGTGAAAAATTCAGCCCGCTCTCCAGCCCCACCCCAACCTGCCTGTCAGAATCTGCATTTTAACAAGATCCACAGGTGATTCGTATGCACCACTCTAAATCAAAGGAAAATTACACTAATAGTTTTGTAAACTCTTTGTGGATTCTAAGAGGTCACCTTTGGGTAAAATAAAAATTTCGCAGCAGGCACGGTGACTCACACCTGTAATCCCAGCACTTTGGGTGGCCAAGGCGGGTGAATCATCTGAGGTTGGGAGTTGGAGACCAGCCCGACCAACATGGAGAAAGCCCATCTCTACTAAAAATACAAAATTAGCCGGGCATGGTGGCATGCGCCTGTAATCCCAGCTACTCAGGAGGCTGAGGCAGGAGAATCACTTGAACCCAGGAGGCGGAGGCTGCAGTAAGCCGAGATCGCGCCATTGCACTCCAGCCTGGACAACAAGAGCAAAACTCAGTCACACACACACAAAAAAAATTCTCTGAAATTGTTTTTAAAGATATAGACAAATTGTCATTTGACAATTTCTACCATTTACCCACCATCTGACCTCAAACATGGTATTTCCTCTGTTGTGTGTGTGTTTACATATATGCTAACATAAAATGTTTCAGCTTAAGCATGTTTTAGTGCACAGTCTAGTGGCATGAAGTACAATTACAGTGTTGTGCAACCATCACCAGCATCCATCTTCCAAACGTTTCATCTTCCAAAACTGAAACAATATCCCCATTAAACAGTAATGTCCAAATCTCCCCTCCTCTCAGAAATACCAATATCTTAACATACCAAGCTGGGTCAAAATTAACCAATTTCCTTTAAAGTAACCAAGGACAGGCTTGATCAAGGACAAGACCATGCTCTAAACTTTTGACTCTGACTCCTTCAAGAATCTATGCCTGGCCCAGCACAGTGGCTCATGCCTGTAATCCCAGCACTTTGGGAGGCCAAGGCAGGCAGATCGCTTGAGCTCAGGAGCTGGAGACCAGTCTGAACAACATGGCAAAACCCCATCTCTACAAAAAATGAGTCAGGAGTGGTGGCATGTGCCCGTGGTCCCAGCTACTAGGGAAGCTGAGGTGGGAGGATCACTTGAGCCCAGGAAGTGGAGGCTACAGTGAGCCATGGTCATGCCACTGCATTCAAGACTGGGTAACTGAGCAAAATCCTGTCTCGAAAAAAAAAAAATCTATCCCTGGCCAGTTAAGTGCAGTGTTCCTGTCCTAGGCACCAGAACCAGTTAAAGAACTTCTCCTAATGCTTGGCGACGATTCCTGCATGTTCCACAGTGAACTTGTAACGTAAAGAGGGGAAGACTATGTAGGTCAGTAGAAAAACAAACTAGAGTCTTTGGGCCACTGACAGTTCTTGATCCAAGCCTGAATCCAATTTTAAAAATCTTGCCTCACTTTTCTCATAACCCCGCAATTCCTACATGAGTCACCAAGCTAATTATACTTGTTATATTTGGGAATGACAGAGTGGACAACATAAAACTAAGCATTCGATGACCAAATGAAGATTAGAGGTCAAGGCTCAGCGTTGTTTTCACATTTAAGTACACATTATCATAGTTCAGTTCCTTCCAAACCCACAACCCATAAATACTGTTGAAAATGATCAGAACTACTGACCCAACCAATCCATTCCACTCCCACCTCACTAAGAGCTGCCCATGGACAACAGCTGGCAAGGGCTTCACATGGCCCAGACTGCCGACCACAAGTCAAGGGCAGTGGCACCCAGAGACTGGTAGAGCTGTTGAGCTAGGAGCCTTTGTCAGAAAGCTTAGTTAGAATAGGAATAAAAAGTATCTTGAGAGCCTTAGGGACATCATGCTAAGTGAAATAAACCAGCCACAAAAGCACATATACTGTATGAGTCCACTCACTGAAGTATTTAAAGTAATCAAAGTCATAGGAACAGAAAGAAGAGCAGTTACCAAGGGCTAGAGGAATTAGTGATTAGTGGGCATAGAGTTTCAGTGCTGCAAGATGAAAACATTCTTGAGATCTGCCACACAACAATGTGAATAAACTTAACCCTAGTACCCTTAAAAATAGTTAAGATGGTAAAGTTAATGTTATGTGATTCTTACCATAATTTTTTTAAAAAAGAAAAAAGTTAAAAGACTAAAAGGAAAACATCTTTGGGATTAAAATATAATTCAATAAGAAAGGGAAAGAATGCTATATTAGTCTGTTTTCATGCTGCTGATAAAGACATACCCAAGACTGGGAAGAAAAAGAGGTTTAATTGGACTTACAGTTCCACATGGCTCCTCAGAATCATGGCAGGAAGCGAAAGGCACTTCTTACATGGTGGTGGCAAGAGAAAATGAGGAAGCAAAAGCAGAAACCCCTGATAAACTCATCAGATCTTGTGAGACTTTTTCACTATCACAAGAATAGTACAGGAAAGACTGGCCCCCATGATTCAATTACCTCCCCTCTGGGTCCCTTCCACAGCATATGGGAATTCTGGGAGATACAATCCAAGTTGAGATTTGGGTAGGGACACAGGCAAACCATATCATTTCATCCCTGACCCCTCCAAATCTCATGTCCTCACATTTCAAAACCAATCATGCCTTCCCAATGGTCCCCCAAAGTCTTAACTCATTTCAGCATTAACCCAGAAGTCCACAGTCCAAAGTCTCATCTGAGACAAGGCAAGTCCCTTCCACCTATGAGCCTGTAAATTCAAAAGCAAGCTAATTACTTCCTAGATATAATGAGGGTACAGGTATTGGGTAAATAAAGCCATTCCAAATAGGAGAAATTGGCCAAAACAAAGAGGTTACAGGGCACAGACAAGTCTGAAATCCAGTGGGGCAAATTTTAAAGCTCCACAATTATCTCCTTTGACTCCAGGTCTCACATCCAGGTCACACTGCTGTAAGAAGTGGGTTCCCATGGTCTTGGGTAGCTCCACCCCTGTGGCTTTGCAGGGTACTGCCTCTCTCCCAGCTGCTTTCATGGGCTGGCGTTGAGTGTCTGCAGCTTTTCCAGGTGCACAGTGCAAGCTGTCAGTGGATCTACCATTCTGCGGACTGGAGGACAGTGGCCCTCTTCTCACAGCTCCACTAGGCGGTACCCCAGTAGCGACTCTGTGTGGGGGTTCCAACCAACATTTCCCTTCCACACTGCCCTAGCAAAGGTTCTCCATGAGGGCCCCACCCCTGCAGCAAACTTCTGCCTGGGCATTCAGGCATTTCCACACATCTTCTGAAATCTAGGCAGAGGTTCCCAAACCTCAATTCTTCTGTGCACCTGCAGACTCAACAACACGTGGAAGCTGCCAAGGCTTGGGGATTCTACCCTCTGAAGCCACAGCCTGAGCTGTACATTGGCCTCTTTCAGCCACGGCTGGAGTGTGGAGTGGCTGGGAGACAGGGCACCAAGTCCCTAGGCTGCACACAGCACAGGGACCTGGGCCCGGCCCACTAAACCATTTTTCCTCCTGGGCCTCTGGGACTGTGATGGGAGGGGCTGCCGTGAAGGTCTCTGATATGGCCTGGAGACATTTTCCCCATGGTCTTAGGGATTAACATTAGGCTCCTTGCTACTTATGCAAATTTCTGCAGCCAGCTTGAATTTCTCCCCAGAAAATGGGATTTTCGACTGGGCATGGTGGCTCACGCCTGTAATCCCAACACTTTGGGAGGCCAACGTGGGTGGATCACAAGGTCAGCAGATCGAGACCATCCTGGCTAACACGGTGAAACCCCATCTCTACTAAAAACACAAAAAATTAGCTGGGCATGGTGGCAGGCGCCTGTAGTCCCAGCTACTCAGGAGGCTGAGGCAGGAGAATGGTGTGAACCCGGGACGTAGAGCTTGCAGTGAGCCGAGATCGCGCCACTGCACTCCAGCCTGGGCGACAGAGCAAGACTCCATCTAAAAAAAAAAGCGGGGGGGGGGGGGGGTTTCTTTTCTATCACATAGTCAGGCTGCAAAATTTCCAAACCGTTATGCTCGCTTCCCTTATAAAACTGAATGCCTTTAACAGCCCCCACATCACCTCTTGAATGCTTTGCTGCTTAGAAATTTCTTCCACCAGATGCCCTAAATCATCTCTCTCAAGTTTGAAGTTCCAGAAATCTCTAAGGCAGGTGCAAAATGCCAACAGTCTCTTTGCTAAAATATAACAAGAGTCACCTCTGCTCCAGTTCCCAACAAGCTCCTCATCTCCATCTGAGACTATCTCAGCCTGGATTTCATCATCCATATTTTTATCAGTATTTCTGTCAATGCTATTCAACAGGTCTTGAGGAAGTTCAAAACTTCCCCACATTTTCCTGTCTTCTTCTGAGACCTCCAAACTGTTCCAACCTCTGCCTGTTACCCAGTTCCAAAGTTGCTTCCACATTTTCGGGTATCTTTCCAGCAAGTATCCATGCCTGGTACCAATTTACTGTATTAGTCCATTTTCACAACTGGGAAGAAAATGAGGTTTAATTGGACTTACAGTTCCACATGGCTTGGGAGGCCTCAGAATCATGGCGGGAGGCAAAAGGAACTTCTTACGTGGAGGCGGCAAATGAGGAAGAAGCAAAAGCGGAAACCCCTGATAAACCCATCAGATCTCATGAGACTTATTTGCTATCACAAGAATAGCATGGGAAAGACTAGCCCCCGTGATTCAATTACCTCCCCCTGGGTCCCTCCCACAACACATGGGAATTCTGAGAGATACAATTCAAGTTGATATTTGGGTGGGGACACAGCCAAACCATATCAAGTGCCATGAAAAACCTATTTTACAACGCTTTCAGGAACACAGTTTTGTTAAACGAATGACACTGTTTAGATATTGTTTTCCCTTTTCACATCATCTTGAGAAGTATGTACAGGTCCTGAAAGAAACCAAATTCTCATCTGGGGAAACTGAGACAGAAGACAGGCGGAGTGACAGAAAAATGTGGCCAGTCCTATCCTACAGGGAAACTTAAACATTTAAGCAGTGCCTGATACTAAAGTTGAGCAAAATTCACTTATTTACTCCCTAGACTACAGATCATACTATACTACCCGAGACTCTGATGGAGAAGGAACTAGACTGGGTGTTGGTGAAGTGTCCACACTGTCAGTGACCATTAGACATGCTGTCTCTTTGTTCCCCCTCTCTCCCCATACCCTGAAATCTATATCCACAAAGCACAGTTATATCTATATACTGAAAATCCATTCAAGACTCTCAGAAGAAAAAGAAATGAAGGAGTTACAAACACAGTATTAACTACAGCTTATCAAATCAAGAACTAAGAATGGTTCCACCAAGTAGACCGCCCCTGCTAAGAAGTTTTGATAACCAAGTAGCCCGTCTGCCTCAAATTATGGAAACTGGCCCTGAAGCTTTTATTCTCAACACAACAACTTACAAACTCAATTCATAAACTATGTGGTTTTGGCCAGGGATGGTGGCTCACTTTGGGAGGCCAAGGTGGGCAGATCACTCGAGGTCAGGAGTTCAAGACCAGCCTGGCCAACATGGTGAAATGAAACCCCATCTCTACTAAAAATACAAAAATTAGTTGGGTGTGGTGGCAGGCACCTGTAATGTCAGCTACTCAGGAGGCTGAGGCAGGAGACTCACTTGAACCCAGGAGGCGAAGGTTACAGTGAACCAAGATGGTACCACTGCACTCCAGGCTGGGCAACAGAGCAAGAATCCATCTCAGAAAATAAAAAAATAAATAAAAATAAAAACATAAACTATGTGTTTTAGATCCTTGCATTTGACTATCTTTTATTTCCTTAAGTCTTAAATTTTAATATGTACCTCTGAGGTAGAGGCCAATTTATAACATTAAATTAGTTTCCTTAGTAAAATGGACGTGCCAGGTTTCTCTTATAATCATCAGAATATAATCAAGCAAACCAGTTTTTGGATTTACATATTTAATTTTAGTGATAGGACTTTTCATTCATTTTACACTAAAGAAACAAAATCAGGAACAGTGGTGCTCCTATAAACAGGAGAAACTTCTTCAGTTGCTTAACAAGGTAGATAAATAGGCTCAGCTTCAGTGATTTAGTCAGTCTTCTTCTTACAGTGATCAGGACAACATTACCCTAAATTCTCAGTGGGATCCTAGTATTTTCAACACTCTATTTGTGATTAACTGGTTTGTTTTCTGAGAAGGAGTCTTGCTCTGTCACCCAGACCTGAGTGCAGTGGTGCAATCTCGGCTCACTGCAACCTCCGCCTCGCAGGTTGAAGCAATTCTTCTGCCTCAGCCCCCCAATTAGCTGGGATTACAGGTGCCTGCCACCACAGCTGGTTAATTTTTGTATTTTTAGTAGAGACGGGGTTTCACCATGTTGGCCAGGCTGGTCTTGAACTAAGGACCTCAAGTGATCTGTCCGACTCGGCCTCCCAAAGTGCTGGGATTACCGGCGTGAGCCACTGTGCCCAGCCTGAACTGAATGTTTGTATTCTCCCCCCAAATTAATATGTTGAATTCCTAATCTCCCATGCAGTGCTGTTAGGGTCTTTGGCAGGTGACTTGGTCATGAAGGTGCAGCCTTCATGAATGGGATTAGTGCCCTTATAAAAGAGGCCCAAGAGAACTCCCCCTTCTACAATGTGAGGCCCAGCAAGAAGCTGGCTGGCTATGAACCAGTGAGCAGAGGCCTCACAAGACACACAACTGCCAGCATCTTGATGGCCTTGGACTCTCCAGGCTCCAGAACTGTGACATCGATATTTGCTCTTCATAAATCACTCAGTCTATGGTATTCTGTCATGGCAGCCCAAACTGACTAAGACACTACGAAAGTTTAAGAATTTTAAGAGAAAGTAACAAGTTAATCAGTCAGCAAATATCATATACTTGAACTTTTGCTCAAATTACTTGCATCCTCTACTTCTGATAGCTGAAAAAGATGAAAGAAGGCAGAAAAGATACCCAGGAGGGAAACCAGGCCAGTGCCATGCCCTTCTGTCCCCACACTAGTTGGAATATTTGCTGTGTTCCATTTGAGAGAACTGTATTGTATCTATTACACACACATGGTTTACATTCTACATTCCCACTGGGATTTTGAATTATCACTTAGGAAAAAAATGTAAAGCGTGTGTATGTGTAGGGGGGCCAAGCACACATGCCCTGGGCACGAATAGCTACAAAGCAGACCATGGATGTTGGGAAGCTGCAGGGACTTGTTCTCACCTGACCATAGTCTGTCCGGAAGACGACGATGCCTTCTGCACAGGAATTTACAGTACTTGGAAAATGCTGGCCATTTTCTCTCAGCCAGACCCGTGTTCCCTGTAAACAAAACAAACAAGACTGAACTGAGTTTGGATTGCATTTTGTGGCGAAACTGTACTGTCGAAATTACCCTAACTCCTATATTCCTTTAAAAAAAATCTTCTTGAAAAGTAAATGTCTTTCTCAAGCAAAGAACAAATCTTCGCAAAGCATCATCCACAGGCTTTACTATCCACAAGTGTGACTGAGAGTCCCATCAGACATAGAAGGCAAAGAGGGACTAAGAAAATAGTAGCTAGCCCCTGTGTTCTCACCATGCAACTGATTTAGGTGGATTACGTCATTTGAGATGATGAAGCAGGCACTATGACCATTCCCATTTTACAGATGGAGAACCAGAGGCCTAGAGGTAAACTAACTTGCCCAGCATCACAAAGACTGAGCGAGTGCATGACAGGCAGTTGGGCTCCAGAAACCAGAAGTTTAACTAGGTCTCAACAAGCCTTCACCCTCTTTGAGAACTCTTCAGAAACTAATGGCTCCCATTCTCTTAGGTCAAAGTCCGGTACACTTGCCCACTTGGAGGACATTAGACCACTCCCTTGACTCCTACTTATACCAAAATCCATGTGTAAACTGGACTCTCCAAAAGAGGAACTGAAGTTTCTAATATTTATCAGAACTCAGTCCACCAGCACAAATTTTGTTAGGATTACATGAGACACCTAATGAACTTCAAAGTTCAGGATTGTATCTTAAAAGATGGCAACTTCCAGATCCCACGTTTTAAATCTTGGGCACATTTTTTGGCATTGATCTCATTTCCACTTATTTATTTCCCCACTGGACAAATGAAATATCATATTGAGCTTTTTCAAGGCTCAATTTCATCTTCCTTTGATTTAATCACATGAAACTTTTTCAAACACAAGTGATAAAGTTTGGAGGAATTACTGGGTGTTCACTGGTCAAAGAATTACCTTCATGAATACTACTCAGCCATAAAAAGGAATGAAATAATGGCATTCACAACAACGTGGATGGAGCTGGAGACCATGATTCTAGTGAAGTCACTCAAGAATGGAAAACCAAACAACATACGTTCTCGCTTATAAGTGGGAGCTAAGCTATGAGGATGCAAAGGCATAAGAATGACATGATGGACTTTGGGGACTCAGGGAGAAGGGTGGGAGGGTGGCGAAGGATAAAAGACTACACAACAGGTACAGTGGACACTGTTCGGGTGATGGGTGCGCCAGAATCTCAGAAATCACCACTGAATAACATATCCATGTAACTAAACACCACCTGTCCCCCCAAAAACTAATGAAATTTAAAAAAAAAAAAGAAAAAAAAAGAATTACTTTTATGACGTTTACCCATATGATGGAATGCAACACTGAGCTTCAGTATCTCATTAAACTTTTTCTACTCTGCTCAACAATTTCAATTCCAACAAAAATGACACCAAGCACATCCTTATGAATCAATGTATTCAAGTGGAAATAGAACAAAATTATCACTTGACATAGCACTTGATTTTTTTCTCCCTCCCTCCCTTCCTAAAATAGCACTTTAACTGAACAACTCCTTTTCTAGAATTTTCTACCTCATTTCATTTATTTCTGTTTTGTTAAATATTTGAAATATGCTGGTTATGGTATGTTCCACTTCTAGTTCAAGGAGGTAGTACTGCTCTTTAAACACAGAGTTGGCAGGGGATAAATGACACACCAGTAAACTCCTCATTTTACGCTACTTTAAATGGTGCCAATCAATAGCAAACATAGTCACCTCCAGTAAAGGAGTGCCCCAGATATATCAGGGTCATGTGCTAAGAAGTCTCAATGACATTATATTGAATACTAACCTTCTGTAAACTAGGAATCCTCTCAATTCCAAGAGGAAATTGCAGCTTGGAGCTTAAGACTTTGCCCAGTGCCACACAGCTAGTGACCTAGGCAGGTCTCTCCAAATTCCTAACCCCATGCTCTTCCCACACATCACACTGACTCCACTTGTCTCCTGAAAATAATTCATAAATAAATCAAAGGCACTCATAAATCAGCCAGCAATTAAAATCTAACAACACAGAGTCACCTTAAATGGCCTGTTATCACACGTAACTATTTGTTCTCTCTCATCTTCCTAGGAAGGAACATTTAAGACGACACAAAATCTGACGTAAAGGTTACTCCATTCCCTCAGTGCCCATGATAACACTGTTTAAAATCCACGAGCCAGAGGCCGGACGTGGTGGCTCACGCCTATAATCCCAGCACTTTCGAAGGCCGAGATGGGTAGATCACTTGAGGTCAGGAGTTTGAGACCAGCCTGGCCAACGTGGTAAAACCGCGTGTCTACCAAAAAAGTACAAAACTTAGCCAGACATGGTGGCGCATGCCTGTAATCCCAGCTTCTCAGGAGGCTGAGGCAGGAGAATTGCTTGAAACCAGGAGGCAGAGGTTACACTGAATTGAGATCGTGCCACTACGCTCCAGCCTGGGTGACAGAGTAAACTCTATCTCAAAAAATAAATAAATAAGTAAATAAAATCCACAAGCCAGGACCTCAAATGTTAACTGTTACTCGGGATCCATAGTTGTCACTCTTTGTTTGATGAATGAATCTGGGGCGGGCCAACAGGAATCCCCAGAAGGAGGTTCTACAAACATTTCTAAAATCACAGTGGCTGGAGATCCCAATATTGAGGTGGAACAGACTCCTTTCCCCACTGACCAACTCACAGAGTTCCCCGGAGAGTTATACGACTCTCCTAGTATCCCCTATTGTGACCTTATCTATAAGAGGCCCTCCCCATAGGCACTCATTTCCCTGGTACATGCTATGGAGATTCTAAGTTGTTTACTCCATTCATAGATCTTCAAAGATGCTCCAAACAGGAGTTTAAATCCTCTGCTATAAAGATGGAAAATAGCATCAAAAATGAATATTAAGTGCTCCTATATAAATCCTGAGGCCTGCCTATGTAAAGAACACACAGCACCAACAGGGGCCAGTACCTATTTGCACACAAGTCCCTCACCCCCTACTCTTGCTTCAGCCTGAGACACTGATAACACACATGAAGAATGAGACTTAACAACTGCCTGTCAGTCCTGATTTCTTTATTAGCAAACAGCTGCTTCCAAAAAGAACACTGACTTCAGGCATCTGCTACGACGCTGGTCTCTCAAATATCACTCCATACCCAAGCCACATTATTTGTAACATTCTAGAAAAAGATTTCAAGTGCCTGATGACTTTTTTCGGCCTCTCTTTAATTCACATGTCAGGGACTGCAATATTTGAAAGCTTTTAAATATACACCTCCCAACACACATACACGCCCATGCTCGCAGCAATGAAAATGTTCAAAGTGATATAAGGCAAGAACTTTTACTCATTAGGTTAAAATCAGGAAACAATAACTCCCAGTGTAACTCCAACCCAGAACCCCTAGTCCAAAGCTTTCTGTGTATTGTGACCATCACTAGCATTGTTTTCATTAAAAAGGATTTCACACACCTGTTTCCCAATCAAAATTGTCTATTTAGTAAGAATGAAATTGAGATTATGCAACATTATCAAATTAATATAAACTGTCAGCAGGATTAATATGTACCCTTTTGGCTTCCACAGGCCATCCAGAACATATTTTTTCACTCCAGCGTGCAGTTTCTTTGACTTAGCATCTCACTGTGGGTCTCTTTACCCTTTCGTTTGAAAGTACTACAAAAGCCCTTTGTTGACACAGTGCTTTATGATCAAATACACAGTTCAGCTCCTGCAGTCCAAAGGTCTTCTCCAACAGGTGTGAAGAACTGCTGATAAGCAACTTTTACAAAATCCAGCCCAGATTTCAAATCCACAGCCCATTGGCCAGTTTTCCTAGGTCTATCACAAACAGCTGTCTTCCACAGGTGGGAAGGGAAATGCATTCAAAACACCCCCTTTGTTCTTTGAAAAAGTATTAACTGGCAATTTTCATAGAATCGGAATTGCAAAGTTAAACTGCTGAAATAGGTATTTTTTACATAGATTGTTCCTGGTGCTTTCTCTGAGACCCCAATCTTTCTACTTCCACTCTATTAGAACACATGTGCCCAGGTCCGAAAGAGGCCACCCACAAGCATTTGAAAACAAAGTCACAGGCAGACATTTACCAGACCATCTAAGTTGGAGTGGGAAAGAAAAATTTGCCCACCGTATGCAAACTATTACATTCAGTCATTGTTAAATAAGGCTGATAATTTAATACATTATATAGGCAACCTAGCATATGGAAAAGGCTCACAATTTGATTAAAAAATTGCCTTTATAAGCAGGTGGAACAAGTTTGATCATAACATACACATTTTATTAAAACGTGGACAAGTTTGCATCTTAATTTCTGAGACAAATATGTGAGTGTTAATATAATGGCTAAAAATTTTTCTGTACATAATCACCAGAAATGTTTCTGCAATATAAAGCACTTATGCATAAATTCCTATCCCCCTTTGAACTTTAAAGCAATCCTATAAGACAGAGAGGCAATACCGTCCCTTTCTTCAAACGTAAGGTTCACAGAGGTTCCATTTTCTACTGCCAACAATGATTTCCTGGATATAATAAAAGGGGCTGACTTTATCAAATGTTGGTGAGGATGTAGAGAAACTGAGAATGTAAAATGGTACATCTGCTTTGGAAAATGGTTTGGCAATTTCTTAAAAAGCTAAACATAATCTTATCATATATGTCCCAACAATTTAACTCCTAGTTGTTTACTCAAAAAAAAATTTTTTTAAGTCTTGTGTGCAAATATTCATAGCAGCAATATTCTTACCAGCAAAAATACTGGAAACAATTCAAAGGTCTAGTAACTGGTATAGAGATACTCAGAATAAATCCATACAATGAGACTCCTCAGTTATTTAAATTAAAAAAAAAAATCACTGATACATTCACCAACAAAGATGGACCATACACATCATGGTAAGTGAAAGAAGCCAGATACAAAAGGCTACATATTGTGTGGTTCCGTTTATATGAAGTTTCTGGAAAAGGCAAATCCATAGACACAGACAATAGATGAATGGCTACCCAGAGCTGGGTGCGGGAGGGACAGTGACTGAGTGAAAAAGGTGGAAATCTGTCCTAACACTGCCCTGTGGTGATGGCTGCACAATTATATACATGTGCTGAAAATCATTCTACTGGGCACCTATAATGGGTGAATTTCTCTCTATGGAATTATAACTCAATAATATCAAATCATTTTTATTTATTTATTTTTTTTTTGAGACGGAGTCTCACTCTGTCACCCAGGCTGGAATGCAGTAGTGCAATCTCGGCTCACTGCAAGCTCTGCCTCCCAGGTTCACGCCATTCTCCTGCCTCAGCCTCCTGAGTAGCTGGGACTACAGGTGCCCACCACCACGCCTGGCTAATTTTTTGTATTTTTAGTAGAGACGAGGTTTCACCGTGTTAGCCAGGATGGTCTTGATCTCCTGACCTTGTGATCCACCCGCCTCGGCCTCCCAAAGTGCTGGGATTACAGGTGTGAGCCACCGCGCCCGGCCATCATTTTTAAAAAATTGTTTTCCCAGCCTACGTATTTCTCAAATGCACATGAACATTCTTAACCATTCCAGAGTAGGAAAGCCCAATCACATTTCTGTAACTGAGCAACAGAGGTGTTGAGAAACATATCAAAACCACCACAACCCCATAATGATGAAATTCAAGGGCCATGTTGAATTCATTAAGTCTCTGCTCTCCAGTAACATAGACTAGAGGGGCTAACAGACCACGCAGGAGACTTGCCCAAGCTAATCTAAGGATGAGGTTGTGATGGATTGTACCATGGTGTCATTGTGGACAATTATCCCCTTCCCTGGAAGAAAATCATAAAACCCTGGCCAACGGCCTCCTGCTTGGTGATACCTCCCCATCTGGCCCATTCATCACCTATTATCTATGACTCCTTCCCACTCCAATGGCAAAGTGAAGCTGCTGCACAAGGCCTAAAATATTGACACACAAAGTTGCTGACCTCTGCTTTAAGATAAAGAGGATAGTATCACCATCACAAATTTTAACCTCCTGTTGCCCTTTTAAAAACTATTACATTTCTCTTCTGATTTCAAAAATGATTTTCTTTCCTGAACTCTGATTGAAAAAATAAGTTTAAAAATAAGTTAGAGAAACAACCCTAAAAAGAGATGACAGTGGACTTTAAATACCATTCTGTACAGCATGTTCTAATTACAGGTTCACGAAAAAGAGAACATTCTTTAGCCAAACATACAACTTAGTCTCAGCCCCGGAACAGGGCACTGTGCCTGCTCATCTCCCACAGCTGTTTCTCTCGCCTATGTTAAGTACCTCAGTTCAGGATTCTCTGGCCACCTACATGACAAACTCAAAATTTGCTCTTGAAATGTGATCTGCTTTTTCCTTTTTAAAGATGCAGAGGGCTGGCACAGTGCCTCATGCCTGTAATCCCAGCACTCTGGGAGACCGAGGCAGGCGGATTACCCGAGCCCAAAAGTTTGAGACCAGCCTGGGCATCCTGGAGAGACCCTGTCTCTTATTTTAAAAATGCAAAAAATAAGCCAGGCGTGGTGGTGCATGCCTGTGGTCTCAGCTACTTGGGAGGCTGAGGTGGGAGGATCACCTGAGGCTGGGAAGTAAAGGGTACTGTGAGCCATGATTGCACCACCTCACTCCAGCCTGGGAGACTCTGTCTCCAAAAAATAAAAATAAAAAATAAAAAGACACAGAGGTCAAATAACTTTGTAATGCATAAGATAAATTAATATGGCTATTTAAATCTGCAGTAAATTCAACAGCCAAAAGAAAGTTTTCCTCTTTTTGCCTGCAATGACTCAGTGAAGAAGTCACCTGGTTTAGGAGATCTCTAATGTAGGGCCTAGGGAGTGGGGATATTGGTTCTTGATGAACTGCAGAAACGGGTTGTGAGCACCAAGGACTTAAGCAGCACTTTTTCTCCTGTTTTCGTCTTTTTTTTTTTTTCCTTCTGTTGGAAGTAGGAGTTATCTTTCCAACTTACCAGATGCTTTTTTTTTCTGATTCTTATTACTCAAAGACACATCAAAGCACACGTGGCTTTTATAACATGAAGTTGTAATACAAGTTTCTCCACCTCGGTGCTATTGACATTGTGGACTAGATGATTCTTTGTTGGGGACTGCAGGATCATTCTAGTTGAGAATCACTATTCTAGAGTAATACAGTGTTCTAGAGCCATGGCCAAACTGAAGGTGTTTACAAAACCATTCACTGTCAGTGACCTAGTTAATTGAAAGCAGACTCTGTTGTCTAAATCCCATGAACTTCAAAAATCCCAACAGATAAAGTATCGCTGGGGCAGACCTAATTTCTGGTATCATTAAAACCGGGTACACAGAGAATAGAGAAAGCAGCCTCTGCAGTCTAATTCAAATCCTTTGACAAACATAAGGAAAAGAGGAGCAGAGGCCGACAGGTGGGCAGTGGTGCTAGAAGAACACTCTTCCTCCTCTCTGTCCACTCTGCTTTTTTTTTTTTTTAAGGGAGAGCCGACTTTTAATGCAGATTATTGGAACCATGCAGACACAGCCTGTCCACTGTGCTCTTTAACCTCAGATGCTGTCTCAACTCCCAAATGCTTGCAAACCCCAGTGCAAAGCTTGTCAGAAAACTTAGCCATGTGCAGATAAGAATGGAGAGAAGAGCAAAGCAAGGTGCTCATCGGCCGGGCACAGTGGCTCATGCCTGTAATCCCTGCACTTTGGGAGGCCAAGGCAGGCGGATCACCTGAGGTCAGGAGTTCAAGACCAGCCTGGCCAACATGATGAAACTCCGTCTCTACTAAAAATGCAAAAAATTAGCTGGGCGCAGTGGTGGGTGCCTGTAATCCCAGCTACTTGGGAGGCTGGGCAGGAGAATCACTTGAACCCGGAGGACAGAGGTTGCAGTGAGCCAAGATCATACCACTGCACTCCAGCCCAGGCAACAGGGCAAGACTCTGTCTCAACAAAAACAACAAAAAAAAACGGCGGGGGTTGGGGGGTGGTGGCATCATCACAGGTATAAAATGAGTATGACAAATGCAGCGCTAACGCGAGCCACAAGGATGAGGGAGCACTGTGAGCTGGGGCACAACCCTAAGATTCAGAAATGAAGGGGAAGGTGAAATCTAAGACTTCTCCCCTGCAGAGACAGCCACCCTCAGCAGGGGACCTGAAGTGGTAGCAGCCAGTCCCCAAGCATCCCTGGACACCCAGGCATCCCCCATAGCAGTCGGTGGCCTTCATAGGTCCTTGCCATAGAGTACTCAAACAGAGTAGGGCACCCACGACAGCTAAATGAGTCCCTCTGACTCAATTCCTTGTCTTGAGACTACAGGGTTTTAAACCCGAAGCTGGCAATCATTTCTGAAGAACTGCATCCAATTCTACAGAGGAAAGCTTCAGTTCAGCCACGGCCATGTAGGCCCTGAAAGGAACACAGGCGGTTTTTAGGCTCAGGTCAAAGGATGCGGAGCTGAAGGAGATGGCAAGTCAAAGCTCCACCCTGACCAACTACAGAGGAAGGAAAAGTAATAAAGTGAGTCTCAAGAGAGAAACTTGGTGAGCACATAGTTGATAAAGTTGGAAATGTGTGGTTTGAGAGTCCCGAGTTTGTAATATTTTTCTTTGGGCTGGAGAACAATTATAGACGTTTGTTCTCTATATAGGCAACCGCAAGAACAACTGTCCCGTGCCCATCAGAGAGCTAATCCCAGGGGAAAATGTGTTCCTGACATTGTGCTTCAGAATTCCGACATAATTTCTTCTCAAAGGCGCTGCCAGAAGTGTTGGGTAACTCCCCAGACTGGCCTATTGCTGAAATGCTCTACATTTTTTGAAGGAATATATTTCAGCTATTTATAGCTTTCAGCTACATCATCATCGTCATCATCATTTCTCAAGCTTGCCTATGGGCTAAAAGATCATTTGTAACACTACTGCGGCTGGGCACAGTGGCTCCTGACTGTAATCCCAGCACTCTGGGAGGCTGAGGAAGGCGGATCACTTGAGATCAGGAGTTTGACACCATCCTGGTCAACATGGTGAAACCCCGCCTCTACTAAAAATACCAAAATTAGCTGGATGTGGTGGCACGGGCTTGTAATCTCAGCTACTTGGGAGTCTGAAGCATGAGAATCGCTTGAACCAGGGAGGCAGAGGTTCCAGTGAGCCAAGATCGTGCCACTGCACTCCAGCATGGGTGCCAGAGCGAGACTCCATCTCCAAAAAAAAAAAAAAAAACAAAGCAAAAACAAAAAAACACTATTGCCACTGAAGACCACAGTGTTCCAAATACTAATAAACACACCTAAAAAAAACACAGTAGGGTTGTAAACTGAGGCCTGCCTGTGCTCATTACCATAAAGTTCACAGACCAATTTGTCCCATGTTTTTGGTCCTTCCCAGCTCTCTAGTGCACCGGATGGGAAGGATCGAATAGCACCCACATTCCTTCCCCTTATCCTGCCCACAGTGTCAAACTCTGTCACCACTAGGAATAGCAGCTTTCATCCAGAGGATAACATGAAAAGTTTACGATAGTAAGAGGTGGAGAGGAAAAGAAAGCGGTAAAAGGTATCACCAACAATACACTAATCTTTGGTCAATGTTCCAAAGGAAAAGATACAAAGATTCACCGCCATCCCACACTTCCAATCAAAATCAAAACCAAAATGAACTATGCTAAATGGCAGGATGCCTCAATTATAAATGTGTGATTCTGTAAAGAGTTTATTCCCATAGTTATGGGTTCCAACTTGCCAACTGATTGAGTCCTGAGTTTTATTATTATTATTATTTTTAGATGGAGTCTAGCTCCGCCGCCCAGGCTGGAATGCAGTGGCATGATCTCGGCTTACTGAAATCTCTGCCTTCTGGGTTCAAGTGATTCTCCTACCTCAGCCTCCCAAGTAGCTGGGGCTACAGGTGCGCACCACCACACTGGGCTAATTTTTGTATTTTTAGTAGAGACTGGGTTTCACCATGTTGGCCAGGCTGGTATCAAACGACTGACCTCAGGTGATCCACCCACCTCAGCCTCCCAAAGTGCTGGGATTACAGACGTGAGCCACCATGTCTGGCCTCAGTCCTGAGTTTTATAATCTGATTTCCCCCACCTTCCTCACAATTCCTTAAAACACCTTTTCAGTTAATCTTTTAAACTACAGTGACCAGAAATAGTCCCAGAAACAATTTTTAACACTAAAAGAAATGAGACATCTCCAAATTGCTGAGAGTACCTCAAACATTGTAGGAATGTGACGATACAACAAATAAAAGTCAAATTTTTCCATCTATTAGTTAACCATCATTATGTAGCCAACACATATATGTTTATTAGAAAGTGGACCTAAAGAATCAGCCAACATGCCTAAAATAATTCATCCATCTGTAAATCGTTCCACCCACTCACCCATTCTTCCATCCCTCATACTTCCACAAGTCCATCCTTCCACCAAATATCTCCTAACACCCCCTCCCCAATCATATACCAGGCACTAGGAAAGAGTGGACGGCATGTAAAATAATTCTAGCTCTAGGCTGGGCATAGTGACTCACACCTGTAATCTCAACACTTTGGGAGTCCAAGGTGGGAGGATTACTTGAGCCTCAGAGTTCAAGACCACCCTAGGCAAGATGGTGAGACTTCATCTCTACAACATTTTTTTTAATTAAAAAATTACTCAAGACCAGCCTGACAAACATGGAGAAACCCCATCTCTACTAAAAATACAAAATTAGCTGGGTGTGGTGGTGCATGCCTGTAATCCCAGCTACTCAGGAGGCTGAGGCAGGAGAACTACTTGAACCCAGGAGGGAGAGGTTGTGGTGAGCCGAAATTGCGCCACTGCACTCCAGCCTGAACAACAAGAGCGAGACTCCGTCTCAAAAGGAAAAAAAAAATAGCCAGAGATACTCCCATAGTTGGGAGGCTAAGGCAGGAGGATCCCTTGAGCCCAGATGTTCGAGGATACAGTGAGCTCTGATCGTGCTACTGCACTCCAGCCTGAACAAGATAAGCCAAGACCCCCATCTCTTAAAAAAAAAAAGTAAAATTTGAATTAAATAAAATAGTTCTGGCTCTAAAAAGCACAGAGGTAAACTATGCCCACTCTAATGCCCTTCCTATCTGTTCTCTCTGTTCCATAGGGAATAATTACATAATATAAACAATAGGCCAGGCCAGGCAATGGTGACTCATGCCTGGAATCCCAGCACTTTTGAGAGGCTGAGGTGGGAGGATCGTTTGAGCTCAGAAGTTTGAGACTAGCCTGGGCAATATGGCAAAACCCTGTTTCTGCAAAAAACATAAAAATTAGCTGGGCATGGTGGCACATGCCTGTAGTCCCAACTACTCAGCAGGCTGAGGTGGGAGGATGGCTTAAGCCCAAGAGGCGGAGGTTGCAGTGAGGTGTGATTGTGCCTCTGCACTCCAGCCTGGGTGACAGGGCAAGACCCTGCCTCAAAATTTAAAAAAATTTAAAAAAAAAAAAAAAAAATCAGCCTGGCCAACATGGTGAAACCCCATCTCTATTAAAAATACAAAAATTAGCTAAGCATGGTGGTGGGTGCCTGTAATCCCAGGCAGTCGGGAGGCTGAGGCAGGAGAATTGCTTGAACCCAGGAGGCGGAGGTTGCGGTGAGCCGAGATCACGCCACTATACTCCAGCCTGGGCAACACAGCAAGACTCCATCAAGAAAGACAGAAAGACTGACAGAAAGAAGGAAGGAAAGGAAAGGAAAGAAGGAAGGGGAAGGGAAGAAAAGAAAGAAGGAAGGAAGGAAGGAAGGAAGGAAGGAAGGAAGGAAGGAAGGAAGGAAGGAAGGGCGGACGAAAGGAAGGAAAGGAAGGAAAGAAAGAAAGAAAACAGCAGAACAAGCCAAGAAAGACAAGTAAGTAAATGGAGCTAGGAGACACAGATTTTATAAAATGTATAAAACTGTCCCACTAAGAACTCTCAAAAACTAGTGGGAAATCCTGTTTTTAAAGCACACAAAACAAAACAGCTGGTTTAAGAACTGCATTCCACTCCTCTTGGTGGAAGCAGTAGGAGGTACAGGACAGAAAGGGCAATAAAAGACCAGCACAAGATGTTTGCACTCTGCGTGAAATCTGATACCAGACATCCTTACCTCCCATTTCCCAGTTTATTGTCCTTTCCTCCTCTTGATAAGAATCATTTTTGTGGGGAGAGGGGGAGAGAAATGCCTACAAATAAACAAACTGATAAGATTTTCTTAATGGAATCCCAGTTGTGTTCTGGCTACCATCTGTTTTCAGAAAAAATACACAAGTATGCTCAGAACAGGAGTTTGTTGTTACTTCATAAAAATGAACGACCCAAGAACACAGTGGGAAGAAAATAAACTTAAAACAGCCATTTGTCATTTCTGTTTCATACATATTAATTAATTCCTTTGCAGATTTCTATCACATATCGAAAACAAATTTTTTTTCACAAAATCATACTTCCTGGATTAAAAGGTACATAAAAGATAACCTAGTCCAATCAAAATGACACATAATGTGTTGGCAAGAATGTGGAGAAACTAGAACCCTCGTGCACTGCTGCTAAGAATGTGAAATGATGCAGCTGCTGTGGAAAACAGTTTGGCAGTTCCTCAAAAAGTAAAATATAGAGTTAACCATATGACCCAGAAATTCCACTGCTAGGTAAATACCCCAGAGACGTGAAAACATATGTCCACACGAAAACTTGTACACAAATGTTCATAGCAGCATTATGTGCAATAGCCTGAAAGCAGAAACAACCCTCATGTTCATCAACTAGTGAATGGATTTTTTTTTAATGTGGTCTATTCATACAATGGAATATTATTCAACTATAAGGTTGACGTGGTGGCTCACGCTTGTAATCCCAGAACTTTGGGAGGCCGGGGCAGGCAGATCACCTGAGGTCAGGAGTTCGAGACCAGCCTGGCCAACACGGAGAAACCCTATCTCCACTAAAAATACAAAAATTAGCCAGGTGTGGTGGCACATGCCTGTAACCCCAGCTACTCTGGAGGCTGAGACAGGAGAATCACTTGAACCCGAGAAGCAGAGGTTGCAGGGAGCCAAGATCATGCCACTGCATTCCAGCCTGGGCGGCAGAGCAAGACTCTGTCTCAAAAAATAAAATAAAATAAAAATGAACAGAGAACTGATACATGCTATAACATGGATGAGCCTAGAAAACACTATGCTAAGTAGAAGAAGGCAGTCACAAAGGACCACATGTTGTATGACTCCATTTATATGAAGAAGTTAAATCCATAGAGACAGAAAGTTGGTCAGGCACGGTGGCTCACATCTGTAATCCCAGTACTTTGGGAGGCCGATACAGGCGGATCACATGAGGTCAGGTGTTAGAGACCGGCCTGACTAACGTGGTGAAACCCAGTCTCCACTAAAACATAACATTAGAAAATTAGCCAGGCGCGGTAGCAGGTGCCTGTAATCCCAGCTACTTGAGGCTGAGGCAGGAGAATTGCTTGAACTCTTGAACTCAGGAGGCAGAGGTTGCAGGAAGTCAAGATTGTGCCATTGCACTCCAGCCTGGATGACAGAGTGAGACTCCGTCTTGAAAGAGAGAGAAAAGGAGAAGAGAAAAGGAAGGAAGGAAGGAAGGAAGGAAGGAAGGAAGGAAGGAAGGAAGGAAGGAAGGAAGGAGAGAGAGAGGAAGGAGGAAGGAGGGGCAGGCGGAGGGGAGAGGAGAAAAGAAAGCTCACTGGTGGTTGCCCGGGGCTGGGAGGAGGGGAGAATGGAGAGTGGCTGCTAACAGGTACGGAGTTTTGTGGGGGGTTTTCTGGAGTAGGAAAATGTGATAAAATTAGATAGTGATGATGGTTGTACAATCTTGTGAAGATACTAAAAACCACTGAATTATATACTTTAAATGGGTGAATGTCATGATGTGTGAATTATATCACAAATTAAAAGAGACAGGGAGGGAGAGACAACTATGCAGACAAATAGGTAGACTCACACCTGACCTCATTCACTCCCTGGAATCCGTTATCCCAACCACCATCTTCATTCTTGACCCTCCTTATTACATATGCAAGAAGGTCCTCTTTTCAGTTTGCACTAGTTTTTGTGGAGTTTCCATTATTTGCAAGTAAAGGAATATCAGCTCTCATTTTCATCACACACAAATGTTACAGGTTTCAGAAAACATCTAGAAAGCAGTTCACAAGCGAGACCTGTACAAATGTCTCTAATTTTTATATACTTTCTCTAGAACACCAAAACAAGTTATTTCAGTGCTTTGACTAGTATTTACATCATATTTATATCATTTGTATTATGGGAGGCAGAAATGGATTTTACTTGCTGTGGAATCCTCAGCACCTAGAACAGGGCCAGACTTATTGCTCCGTTGAATGGTAAATGCATCTACAGAAACCATGCTACCAAGAGAGAGAGGCAGGGCTGCTGGAAGGTTTCAGTATGAGGTTACAGAAATGGCACTGGGTGCTCCCCTAGAAGACAGGGACTCAAGCTCCAGCTCTTCTACCCATAGCTCAGCACAGTTATTCATTACTTGAGATCTCTCTGCACAAAATGAGTTGACACCTAGCTTATCTGATACATAACACAAAAAGATCACATGAGACGGCTAACCAAAATGCTTCAAGCCATGGGGTTGCCGGGCACGGTGGCTCACGACTGTAATCCCAGCATTGTGGGAGGCTAAGGAAGGCAGGTCACTTGAACTCAGGAGTTCAGGATCAGCCTGGGCAACATGGTGAGACCCCCGTCACTACAAAAAAATTCAAAAATTAGCTGGGCATGGTGGCATGCGCCTATAGTCCAAGCTACTTGGAAGGTTGAGGTGAGAGAGTCTCCTGAACCAAGGAGGCGGAAGTTACAGTGAGCCAAGACTGCGCCACTGCACTCCAGCCTGGGTGACAGAGCGAGAGCCTATCTCAAACACAAACAAACAAACAAAAGATGCCATAGGTCTTCAACCCAACAAAGCAGTACCTGTATTTGGGGTCTTGCTGCTGGCACCTTACTGGGTCACATCCAGATGGCTTTCAGCCCTCATATTGCTTTAATTTAACTCTCCTCTCAAGGCCTTGCTACAGAACCAAAGAATGCACAGGCCTCGTTCAACCAACGCACCACAGTTTCTCCAAACCAACAACATTACCAGCCCAGCTACTTTCCAGACACAAAACATTGAAAAAGAACTTACAGGCCAGGCACGGTGGCTCACACCTGTAATCCCACCACTTTGGGAGGCCGAGGCGGGCAGATCACGAGGTCAGGAGATCAAGACCATCCTGGCTAACACGGTGAAGCCCCATCTCTACTAAAAATACAAAAAAAATTAGCCGGGCGTGGTGGCGGGCGCCTGTAGTCCCAGCTACTCGGGAGGCTGAGGCAGGAGAATGGCTTGAACCTGGGAGGCGGAGTTTGCAGTGAGCCGAGATTGCGCCACTGCACTCCAGCCTGGGTGACACAGTGAGACTCTGTCTCAAAAAAAAAAAAAAAAAAAGAACTTACAATTACAAGCTACCCCCAACAGAAAAGCGATAAGGAGGCTGAAGAGGATGAGAAACATTTAAATGACATAAATGCCTCTTTGGTCCTCTTGACACTAAGATTTTGTCTATAGAAAATTATTTCTCTCCTGCTGGGCACCATGGCTCACGCCTGTAATCCCAGCACTTTTGAGAGGCTGAGCAGGCAGATCACCTGAGATCAGGAGTTTGAGACCAGCCTGGCCAACATGGCAAGACTCCATCTCTACTAAGAATACAAAAATTAGCCAGGTGTGGTGGTGCATGCCTGTAGTCCCAGCTACTCAGCAGGCTGAGGTGGGAGAATCGCTTGAACTCGGGAGGCAGAGGTTGCGGTGAGCTGAGATCGTGCCACCACACTCCAGCCTGGGTGAGGGAGTGAGACTCTGTCTCAAAAAAAAAAAAAAAAAAAGAAAATTATTTCCCTCCTACAGCAAAATTCATTTTCATTTCTCTCCATATTACACCTCCTGTTGGGTTCAACAGAGACTTTGGAACAGACTACACTGCTAAAAACATAAATAAATAAATAAATAAGTGGGGGCAGCACTTCTGATGGCCCTGTGACTAGCCCTAGTTATATCCCTCCGTCACTGTTACGTGCTGAAATTGGAGGGGACTCTTCTCCGAGGACACAGCCTCTCCCCAGCAGTGGGTGGGCACCAGGCAGCGAGGAGTGAGGGTACCCAGAGTGTGTGACAAGCCAGCCAGGCAGTGGAGTGCAGTGGGCTTAGTGGTGGCATTGTCATTAAGTTGTTAAGTAAACTTTTCATTTTAGAATAGTTTTAGATTTTCCAGACAAGTTGCAAAGATAATACAGGGAGTCCCTGTACACCTCTCACTCTGGTTCCTGTTCTTATATCTTACATAATGTGGACATTTATCACACTAAGGAACCGACACTGGCACCTTACCATGAACTCAATGCCACACTTCATTCAGAGTTCTCCAGTTTCCACCTAATGTCCTTTTTCCGTCCCAGGACCCCTTCTGGGACATTGGATGTAATCGTCATGCTCCTTCTTTGATAGCCTTGACGGTTTTGAGAAATGCTGGTCAGGTATTCTGTGAAACATCCCTCCTCTGTGGGCTGTCTGAAGTTTTTTTTCCTGGCTAGACCGAAGGATAGTGGTTTTTGATAATGGCTCTATCCAGGGGGCCAAACCGCCTGGACAGGAACCCTGGCTTTACCACATCTTAGCCATGTGGCCTTGGACAAATGAACCTCCACGGGCCTTCATTTCCTCATCGAATGTAGAGGAAAAGCAAATACAATCTACCTCCCAGGAACTGTGGGGATTAAAGAGGCTAACTCTGAGAAAGAAGGTGAGTGGATAATCAGAAATGCTTCATGGAAAGCAGAGGTGGCCACTGACGCATTTAACAACACAGATACTGTGCCAGAGATCCAGCGCAAAGATTAGTAAGGGACACGCCTCATTCCCAGATGCCTGCAGTCCAATGGGGATGAAGTGCAAACAGATCATTGAAACTTGACACCAGGAGGACTAATGTGGGGATACACAGAGGACTGGAGCCTGCGGTGTTGGAGGGGAAGCCAGACTGCTGAGGGATGAATAGGAGAAGCCCCCACGGAGTAGAGGGAGGAAGCCCCATGTTGAAAGGTCCAATTTTCTGCAAATTAGCCAAGTGCCAGTGTAGACTAAGACACACTGTAAATTGGCTTATGCAGCGCTACTTAATCACCCTCCATAAACTATTAACAGCTCTACACAATGAAACAATGAAGACATTCACCTTTGTCCAGCACAAGAAAAAACAGTCTCAGACTAACCCGCCAAGCTCTACAAACCACTAAGGACTAAAATCACCTCCACCCTTACCAATAAAATGTGGGCAAAATTACTGTTTTACAATGCAGTATACTCTTTTCAAATTATGTTTTAAAAGAACCACACAGTAGACAAGTCATTTTGAAGGATCCATTTTTAATTCTTTCTCAGTTTGAAAGGCCTTCAGTCACTCAAAATTTGGAAATTCCCAAGATCTCCCTCAGGGGAATCAAGGGGTGGGACAAAGCAGTGGCAGGGGGGCTGCAGTGAAGACCCTGCTGCAGTGAATGGAGAATGGGCCGAGCCCAGGAGGCTGACGTCTGAGGTCTGTCCATCAAATACAGCCATGTCCTGGTGAGGCAGCTCACCGGAGGCTCTGAGGCCCGAAGCCAAGGAAGGAAAGTTCCTCCTAGTTCCTACTGGCTCCTCATCAGCTTCTCCACTACCCCTGGATGACACGCCCCATCTAGACCAGAACAAAGGCCCTCTGCTTCCCCTATCTCGTTCCCAGGAAGCCTCTCACCTCCTGAGGACCAATGGTAAGAACACCCAACAGGCTCAACCCAACAAGAGCTCCTTCCCCAGCAGGACACTGAGACACCCAAAGGAATTTCCTAGGGGTGGATTCCAGCATCCCCATCCATCCATCTCCCTCCCACCCCATCCATCCTTCCCAAATACTCTGGCCATGATGTAAGCCGCCCCCTCCCCAACACCACAACACACACACACACACACACACACACACACACACACACACACACACACACTCTGCCACCTGGTAAAAAGCCAAACTCCTGGCTAGAAGCAAGGACATGCGTGCAATAAACTTGCAAAACCCCCAGTGGTAAAGCCTTAATGCAAGGGGGGCCCTGCCGCACAGCAGGGCGGGGGCAGGGAGGAGCAGGGCAGGAGCTCCCCTGGGAAGCCAGCATGCTGCTCCTCAACCGGACTGCAGACGACAGCCCCAGCTCCTGCCCTCTCCGCCTCAACACTCCTGGCCTCGCTTCTGCTCTCTGAAAAATGGAGTCCTTCTCTCCTTCTTAAGCCTCATGGAAGGAAGGAAACTACAAGCAGAGTAATCTCAGGACTCAGAAGGCACAATCAGCAGTAGCCAGGCAAGCTCCCAATAAGCTCTCAGGTGTTTAGGTGATATGGCTCAAGCCTGTAATCCCAGCAGTTTGGGAGGCAGGGGTGGGAGGATTGCTTAAACCCAGGAATTCAAGACCAGCCTGGACAATACTGTGAGACCTTATCTCTATATTTAAAGAAATGGTCTTGGCCAGGCACGGTGGCTCATGCCTGTAATCCCAGCACTTTGGGAGGCCTAGGTGGGTGGATCAACGGAGGTCAGGAGTTGGAGACCAGCCTGGCCAACACGGTGAAACCCTGTCTCTACTAAAAATACAAAAATTAGCTGGGCATGGTAGCACATGCCTGTAATCACACCTACACAGGAGGCTGAGGCAGAACTGCTTGAACCCAGGAGGCAGAGGCTGCAGTGAGCCGAGATCGTGCCACTGCGCTCCAGCCTGGGCAACAAAGCAAGGCTCCATCTCAAAAAAAAGAAAAGAAAAAGGAAAGAAATGGTCTAGAAAGGAGGCTCTCACCCCTGTCTTTACAGCAGAATCAGACAGTACCCAGGCACCAATCCAGCTGTGCAGAAGTGGAATGACAGGAGCTGGATCTTAGCAGCCCCCCCAGGATTCTGGGGTGCAGTGGGGTGGCAGGGCACTCCTGCACTGAGCCAGTGCTCCAGAGGGTGAGGTCAGGGCCTTCTGGGTGGTTACCAAAAACACAAGGGTGCCTTCCCCACCTCTTGTCTGTGGATTCATCAATTCGGTGATTCTCAAACCTGGTCTGCCTCCAAAACAATCTTGCATTAGCTCCGAACAAAGGAAGGAAGGAAGGGAGAAGGGAGAGAGAGAGAAGGAAAAGAAAGGAGAGAGGGAGGACGGGAAGGCAGAAGGAAGAAGGCAGGCAGGCAGGAAGGAAGGAAAGAAGGAAATCATATAAATTTTCTGTCAAGGAAACAACGCATTGCTCCTGAGTAATCTACTACAAAATGCTGGTATATACACCTCTGTGGCTATGATTTATTCCAATAATTAATGCTCACTGCAATTCAAGTATTTGTTTTGAAACTGTTTAGTTGAAAGACCAGTCATTTTAAAAGATACCATTTAAAAATTATTTTAGAAGTTCCCACAGAAGTATACATAACAAAACTGGCTTGCTAAGTAAATATCGCCTGAAATTTACACTTCGTAAAAAAAAAAAAAAAAAGTCCTTTATCAGCATGATTCAGAAACTCTGCAACGCCACCACAGATACTCCAATAAAATACCACAGCATCCTAGTCCAAGACATCCAAGACCTATGCAAAGACGTACGCCCTACTGGTGTTTGAAACAAGCATCCCTAGATGAACCCACGTAAAAATCTGTGTTGAAGTGCATACCTTGGCTTTTCAAAGGGCAATAAATCTTCCTTGCAGACTTCTACAGAATGCAGATGTGCTGCTCTCTCTCACCAACACCAGCAAACTGGAAGGCCTCCTGAGTCCCACGGTCTAAACTCTTTGTTCTCTGTGCAAATGCCACAGAGGTTTGTCAACAGACAATGAAAATCTAGTGCAACATCCACTTATCTCCACGGCCTCCATTTACAGGCTACCCTGACAGCTCTCCCTGCGGGTGTGCCGTCATGGGCTACAAGATCTAGCGTGATTGTAGGGGGGCAGAGCCAAAAGGGTTGAAACCCCTCCAAGAGGTTTGTTTAAAATGCAAGAGTATCCTAGAAAAAGTAGCAACAGCAAACAATGCCTAAGTGGCTAGCAGAATTCAGAACCATTCTCGCCAACCAACTGCTTTTGAGCATTTCAAGAGTGTTACTCAAACTCTGCGGACCCTAATCATCTCAAGAACCCCTTGAACTCTTTTGTTCTAAGAAAGAGCTGGTCTGCAGGCCTGCGTGCCCTCTTGCTGTCATCAACCCCAGGCTGGGAGATAAGCACTGCTGGCAGGTAGGAGGGTCCCAGCAGCTGGACCAAGTATGGACAGTTCTACTTGGGGAAAAGCAGCGAGAATGACCACAAGCAGCTCACAGGGCCCCAGGGATAAAGCTTTCGGGAGCCCCCAGGTCAGCGTCTTTCAACCAGAGTTGCTGGGCAGAAATAAGGCAAGCCACATATGTAATTTTAAATTTTCTAATAATCACATTAAAAAAAACTACAAAGAAACAGGTAAGATTACTTTTAATATTCTGTTTTTTAACCCAGAGATCCAAAGTATTACCGTTTCAAAATGTCATCATAAAAAAACACATCAATGAGCTAACTGGCATTCTTTTTTCCATACCCATTCTCAAATTTCTTTCTCTTTTTTTTTTTTTTTTGAGACAGAGTTTCACTCTTATTGCCCAGGCTGGAGTGCAGTGGCGTGATCTCAGTTCACTGCAACCTCCGCCTCCAGGGTTCAAGCGATTCTCCTGCCTCAGCATCCCGAATAGATGGGATTACAGGGGCCCGCCACACCCGGTTAATTTTGTATCTTTAGTAGAAACGGGGTTTCACCATGTTGGCCAGGCTGGTCTCGAACTCCTGACCTCAGGTGATCCACCCACCTCAGCCTCTCAAAGTGCTGGGATTACAGGTGTGAGCCACCATGCCTGGCCCCATTGTCAAATTCTGATGTGTGTTGCATGTTCCCTGCACATCTCAACTTGGAACAGCCATATTTCAAGTGCCCAAATATCACAAAGTCATAGTGGCTAAAGCACTGGACAGACCAGTTCTAGATGCTAAAATCTAGAGATGTAATTCAGTAGGCAAAAGTACATGGTGGCTCACGTCTGTAATCCCAGCACTTTGGGAGGCTGAGGCGGGCAGATCACCTGAGCCTGGCCACCTGGCCAACATGGTGAAACCCCGTCTCTACTAAAAATACAAAAATTAGCTGGGCATGGCGGTGGGTGCCTGTAATCCCAGCTACTTGGGAGGCTGAGGCAGGAGAATCACTTGCGCCCGGGAGGCAGAGGTTGCAGTGAGCCGAGATCATGCCGCTGCACTCCAGCCTGGGTGACAGAACCAGACTCTGTCTCAAAAAAAAAAAAAAAAAAAGTGCTAGCGTGTGAGCAAAGATAACAGACACAAATGCAATGTTTTCATTATGTTTGCTTTTCCTCATTTTAGGAAACAATGTACAAAATTCCCCAGTGACAACCAACCTGCCTCATCCTAATCTACTTTACTTCAACATTCACCTGAGGAGACAAGCAGAAAAATATTTTTCCCTACTTCTGAAATAATAAAAGAATGTGGCTGGGCGCGATGACTCACGCCTGTAATCCCGGCACTTCGGGAGGTGGAGGCGGGCAGATCACCTGAGGTCAGAAGTTCGAGACCAGCTTGCCCAACATGGTGAAACCCCCGTCTCTACTAAACATACAAAAAATTAGCAGAGCGTTGTGGCGTGTGCCTGTAATCCCAGCTACTCAGGAGGCTAAGGCAGGAGAATCGCGTGAACCTGGGAGGCAGAGCTTAAGCCGAGATCATGCCACAGCAGGCCTGGGCAACAAGAGCAAAACTCAGTTTCAAAAAAAAAAAAAACAAAAAACAATGTGATAAATCAGAATTGCTACAAGAATGTAAATTGTACAGGTCCAGTGTATAAAATAATTTAAGCCAGGTGCAGTGGCTCTCGCCTGTAATCCCAGCACTCTGGGAGGTCGAGGCAGGTGGATCACCTGATGTCAAGAGTTCAGGGCCAACCTGGCCAACATGGTGAAACCCCAACTCTACTAAAAATACAAAAATTAGCCAAGAGAGGTGGTGGGTGCCTGTAATCCCAGCTACTTGGGAGGCTGAGGCAGGAGAATTGCTTGAACCCAGGAGGCAGAGGTTGCAGTGAGCAGAGATCGCAGCACTGCGCTCCAGCCTGGGCAACACAGCAAGATGCTGTCTCAAAAAAAAAAAAAAAAAAAAAAAAAAAGATTTAAACAGCTCTGGGAAACTTAGTATAAAAATTGCCCTGTGATATCTTTCATCAAGAGAAGGAGGAAAAACACATCTGTTTCCTAAAGTACAAAACTCACAGCAATTTCAACAGCAATGTTTTCTAAATTCTTGAACACTGAATTGCACAGGTCGGTTCCTTATTTAAGTTATTGGTCGTTCAGAGTTAAGACAAATAAAACTAGACAATTAATTATATGCCAAATAGCAGAAAAATATGTGCTTTCACCTAAAAACTGCCCTCTCTGCCTCCCAACCATGCTCAGATAATTTCAACATGATCATGGAAAGAGAGGAGTTTTGCAGATGTAGAAACAGCGGTCTAAGGCAAATGTGTTTTTAATTAGAGTTTGCAGGGGCTACAGGTTAGACACTGTAGTGTGCCTGAACAGAGAAAAAAACTACCCTGGAACCTAGAATGTGACAGGTCTGAAGACTGACTGCAGAAAAACGTGTAAATTCCCACCACCTCCCAGCAGGGAGGTGAGCAGCTTTCAAGAGGCAAATTAGCTTTTCAAAAGACGGGGGACCGATCCATCCGGTGACAATTGGATAGAGCAGCCAGGCCATCTGTTCTCACCACCTCCCAGGTCCAATTCCTCTCCCTAGTCCCCCAAACCCACCCCATCCCTCTTCATTCTATGCCAACTAGCAACCAGCATGATCCTCCCAAAAGTACACACCTCCCTAAATCTTGTTTTTTTTTTTTTGAGACAGAGTCTTGCTCTGTCGCCCAGGCTGGAGTGCAATGGTGCCACCTCGGCTCATTGCAACCTTCTCCTCGTGGGTTCAAACAATTCTCCTGCCTCAGCCTCCCGAGTAGCTGGGATTACAGGCACCCACCATCACACCTAGCTAATTTTTATATTTTTAGTAGAGACGAAGTTTCACCATGTTGGCCAGGCTGGTCTCAAACTCCTGACCTGAGGTGATTCACCCACCTCGGCCTCCCAAAGTGTTGGCATGAGCCACCACGCCTGGCCCCTTGCTTAAAATCTTTTTTATTCTAACAAAATTCCTCCGGAGCAGCCTGTAGACTGTGCATGATCTGGCTCCTGCCTGCCCCTCCAGCGTTGTCTCAGCCCCCCTCTCCCGAGACTCTTCTCAGCTCTCACCCAGGCTGAGCTCATTCTCACCCCAGCCTGTTGCTTTGCCAGCAACACCAATGCATCCTCTGGCTTCGGCATTCACATACATTACCTCCTCTCAGAGGCCCTCGCTGGCCTGCTGGGCGCCCCTCCTCCGTCAGTCAGCTTGCTGCATGTACCTTTGTCCCCAGGTGCCAGCCCTCCCTGCCAGACCACCCGTGCTGGTTCTACTCTCCATCCCAGCACACAAGGTGGTGCCCAGCAAAGAAGGCAGGAAGGAGGATTTCCAACAACCCAAGAACCTGGTGAACTTCAGTATAAACTCCACCCATCTGGAAACTTTGCCAGAAGAGCGTATTTGTCTCTTACCAGCCCTGCCCTATTAACAATGACCTTCACCTTTCGCGTCCAACTCACTTCCCCAAGCTTACCTCTACGGCATTTAAATAGGTGAGAAGACTCCTTTTACAGATTCTACAGTTCCCATTTATAGAAACCAATAATAAAAGTGATACCCACACCCTAAAAATACATCAAAATCCTAAATTACCTACTGACACCCGCCATCTTTTAGACTTCCCTACAATGAGTACCAGGCACCTGATTCACTCACAGCCTTGCCCTCTGTGCTACCCCAGTGCAGAGCGGCCTGTCGTTTTCTAGATGCAGAGAGGGCAATAGGAATTCCCATTCCCACCCCTAACTGCTTGGTTCCCTGGCACGTTCTAGAGCCAGACCATCATGAAGCCATATTTTCCACACAGAAATGAGTTCATTTAAAATGTCTGATTTTGAGAAGCTGTTTGCTTTTTCAGCCCAGGCTAAGGTACACAAAAGTATTTTCCAGAAGTCTAACACAGCGTTCTGCTTCTTTCATGCACCCCAAGTTATGTTCTTACCTTTTATTTTCTTTATTTTTTATTTTTTTAAATTTGTTTTGAGACAGATTTTCCAGGGTGGAATGCAGAGGCGCAATATGGGCTCACTGCAACCTCCACCTCTCAGATTCAAGTGATTCTCCTGCCTCAGCCTCCCAAGTAGTTGGGATTACAGGTGCCCACCACCAGGCCCGGCTAATTTTTTTTTTTTTAAAGTACAATTTCCATTTTATTTTTCTCCAGAGAATAGTCTGTCTTCAGTCTTTAAGAACTCAGCTCCTTACATGGGCTTTGGTAGGGGACATGGGGCAGCACCCGCAGTTCTAAATCAGGGTGGGGGTGTTCGGTCCTTGCGGGCTTCACGAGATCGATTCCTGACTACTTTGCTGAGAACTGCACAACTCAGACAGTAATGTAACTTCACATACAGCTTGGGAAGCACATAGGCATCGAAGACGCTCGCTTCAGACATGTCCCTGACTGCTGCGGCCTCCACTATGTTTCGAATGACGAATTTCTTGATGGCCTTGTCCTTGGGCACGCATCGGGCACAGTTAGTGCAGCGAATAGGCTGCACGTGGCCGCGGCCCTTTTTGGCACGACCATTGTTCCTTCTTTTCTTTGTCATCTTGGAAGCATGGACCGGAGAGAGGCCCGGCTAATTTTTTGTATTTTTAGTGGAGATGGGGTTTCAGTCAAGCTTGTCTCAAACTCCTGACCTCAGGTGATCCACCCGCCTTGGCGTCCCAAAGTGCCGGGATTACAGGCGTAAGCCACCGTGCCCAGGGCCA
Source organism: Homo sapiens (assembly GCF_000001405.40). NCBI lineage: Eukaryota > Metazoa > Chordata > Mammalia > Primates > Hominidae > Homo > Homo sapiens. The sequence goes on from NC_000005.10 coordinate 16,902,805, forward strand.
TCTTTTAAGTAAATTCATTTCACCTGGAGAACAACCACCATCAAAAATTTCAAATGCATTTATTCATGCTACAAATATTTATTTAGCCCTCGTGGCTGACAAGGCACAGTGCCAGGCCCAGAAGGACATGGAATTCAATGGCAAGGACATGGGCTTCTGAATCCAGACCAGGCTCTGATCTCCCAATGCCTCGTAACCTTGGAGAATAATCCTAACAGCTGACACATTGACCATGTGCAGGCCTCTGTCCTAAACGCTTCACACGCACTAACTTGCTTAATTCTTAAAACACCCTGTGAGTGAGTAACTAATAACACTCCCTACCAGGCGCGATGGCTCACGCCTGTAATCCCAGCACTTGGGAGGCCAAGGCGGGCGGATCATGAGGTCAGGAGTTGAAGACCAGCCTGACCAACATGGTGAAACCCTGTCTCTACTAAAAATACATAAATTAGCTGGGCGTGGTAGCGCATGCCTGTAATCCTAGCAACTCGGGAGGCTGAGGCAGGAGAATCACTTGAACCTGGGAGGCGGAGGTTGCATGCAGCGAGCTGAGATCGTGCCATTGCACTCCAGCCTGGCGACAGAGCAAGACTCCATTTCAAAAATAATAATAATAATAATGCTCCCATCTTACAGACATGGGAAACGAGGCATGGAGCAGATAAAGAACTTGCCCACGGTCCCAGAGCTAACAGGTGGTAAACGGGTTCAGTTTTTCTCCTCTTTTTGAAATAGCTTTACTGATTGGCTTTCATAAGCCACTTTCCTATTAATATTTTACAAATGCAGATAATAAGCATCAGTCCACAAAGCAGCTAAGAGGTTAAATAAGGGAACAAATATTAGAAAATAGTCCAGCCTAGCACCTGGCATAGAGAACTGCTCAACAGCCTGAAAAAGGAATAGAAGCCAGCCTGCTCTCAAACAGTTTAATCAGAGAAAAACCTTGTAAATAACAGAAAGTGGCCATAATAAAGTGCAGAGAGGAATGACATAAGAAGTGCACATAAAATACAAAGGGAGATTATGGGCTTAGATGGGAGTGAGGACCTGCGTTCCATGAGCTGAAGTATTTGAAAATGACAGGCTGGGTTGTGGGGTATTGTGAAATACAGATTTGGTCAGCGTCATTGTCCTCTGACATCCAACTCTAAGATCCTTGCAATCTTCAAAGTGTAAGTGTCTTGTATGCCATGAGTTGACTGGTGGCTGGTAGCCCCTAGGTGGTTTCAGGATGGGGGCTGCTCACAGGAAAGACCAAGGCAGGGAAAGGAAAGGGGCTGAAGGTTGACCAGTAACCAGTGAAAGAAATCAGTCATGGTTGCGTCATAAAGCTTCTATAAAAACCCAAAAGGACAGAGCTTCCGGACAGCTGGACACATGGGGGTTTCTGGAGGGTGGCACACCTAGGGAGAGCACAGAAGCTCCCAGACCCTTCCCACACACCTAGCCCTATGCGCCTCTTCATCTAGTAGTCTGGGTAACCTTTGTGATATCCTTTACCACTAGCCAGTAAACGTAAGCCAGTGTTCCCTTGAGTTCTGTGAGCTGCTCCAGCAAATTAACTGAAACCCAGGAGAAGATCAAGGGAACCCTGATGTACAGGCTGCTGATCAGAAGCACAGGTGCAGCAACCTGCGGCTTGTGACTATCATCAAAAATGGGGAGCAGACTTACAGGACTGAGCCCTCAACCTGTGGGGTCTGACGCCGGGTAGACAGTGTCAGAACTGAACTGAATGAGGGGACGCCCAGCTGGTGTCTGCTGCAGAACTGATTGCTTGCCTGGTGTCTGGGGAACCCCTCACCCCACAACATCTGGTGTCAGCAGTGTGTTGTGAGGCTGGGCGCGGTGGCTCACGCCTGTAATCCCAGCACTTTGGGAGGCCGAGGCGGGCAGATCAAGAAGTCAGGAGATCGAGACCATCCTGGCTAACACGGTGAAACCCCGTCTCTACTAAAAATTCAAAAAATTAGCCGGGCGTGGTAGCGGGCACCTGCAGTCCCAGCTACTCGGGAGCCTGAGGCAAGAGAATGGCGTGAACCCAGGAGGCGGAGCTTGCAGTGAGCCGAGATCACACCACTGCACTCCAGGCTGGGCGACAGAGCAAGACTCCATCTCAAAAAAAAAGAAGTGTGTTGTGAAAGTTTAGTAGAAGAAACTCAGTTTACTTATTCCTCTACCTCCTCAGAGCTCAGATTGCTGAGTTTAATACTGGGACTAAATCACCCAAAGCACAAACTATATCAGAACAACCCAGTGCCTCTACTCAGTGAGTCTTGCATATGTAACACACCGAACATCAGGCAGCAAATCTCGCTTGATGCGGAGGGCACGCTGCATCCCTTGTTCTAGAGATGGTATGGCGAACTGTAAGCTACCCAGCACACAGGTGGCTTCCCAAGCTTCTGAAGGAAAGCACCTCCAAGAATGGACTCGGTATTCCACAAAGACTCAACCTCCCATCCTTGTCTGGGCTCATTCAGCAAAGCTCACTGTTACTAATATCTTCGGAGGACAACAATCTCCCTCACCGACCTTGAGCCCTTACTGTGTCTGAGTGTGCCCTTACACCCAGAGTCCACTGCTCTCAACAGAAGAGAGGGCAGGGGGACAGCTGGAGGGAAGGAGCAACAAAAGGAATATTCTCCCAACCCTAAGGCTAGTAGGTCTCCCTGCAATCAGAGCCACCTCCCTGACACTCACCCTCCCGTCCTGCAGGAACAGCCACCAGCCAGCCAGCCAGCCAGGGCAATGAGTCCATCTCAGACCTCCACTGACCGATGAGTGCTGCAAAACAAGAAAGTTCCATTCCAGAGTCTGCCAAAGAAAAAGATGGGTACCTTGGATGCAACTCACTTCCAAATACATGTTGTGGCTCTCAACGACCCAGTGACACCAAGCGATCTTCTTTTGTTTGCTTTAACAAATAAATTCCCTGCCACCAGTAAAAGTAAGAAATTTAACTCCTGATTGCAAAGATCAGGAGTGGGTGGGTAGCGTCTTCACACATGAACAATGTGTGTGTCAAGGGTGAGAACTTAAGGAGTTAGAGCAGCTTGTTAACAAGGTGACATCTGAGTAGGGACAACCACTCAGTAATTGCTAAGTCCAATTTCCTGTTCCCTATCTTCCATGGCAAGTTGAAAAAAAGAAAAAGAGAAAGAAAAGCACTCATAGATTAGAATGGATACATCCTCAACTGCAACACCTGTCAAATGCAACAGAGATTTCTTACACTTGGCATTTCCACAAAAAAAGTGACAACAGTGTCACACATACCCCATATCCCTTAACAGGCCTTGAAGGCAACTCCTGCCTGGCAGGACGGCTGCTATCCCAGTCCCCATGCCACTGGCAGACTTTAGGGTGCACCTGGTAGGTGCCAGGGGTAGGGTCCAGAATGGACCCCCCCATTCCTCAACACCACACCCTGGAATGAGGAGCCAATGGGGCGCTCCTAGGATGAAAAGAATTTGAGTCCTTCAGCTCGAGGGTCTAAAGCACTTTTCTCAGCAGCAACACCACTGACACTTGGGGCTGCATAACCATATCCTGAGGACGGTAGGAAGTTTAGCACCATTCCTGGCTTCTACTCCCTAGATAACCCTGCCCCTAGGTGTCACAAGCAAAAATAGCTCTAAATATTGCCAAATGTCCCCTGGAGGCAAAATCGCACTGTTGAGAAACCACCACTCTAGAGAGAAGAGAGCTACTGCTTCTTCAGGCCCAGGAACATCCCACCTGGAAACAACTTTAAATCATTAACTACCAAGGGCTGGATGTCAGAAGCCAGCATGGCCAAAACCACTTTAGCATCATCATCTCTCCAACTTCCTCCTTCTCTATGCCTATCTCGAAGGTCACTGCAATCACTAGGTTGGCCAAAAAGGACAGTCTCAACACTTTCATCCCCCACATCCAAGAAGTGCCAGAAGTTACCCTTCTGCAGTAATGTCTCCTGACCCATCCCCTTGCCTCTCAAGCCCCTTGGCTGATGTGGAGAAGAAAGAAAAGTATCTGGCCAGGCACGGTGGCTCACGCCTGTAATCCGAGCACTTTGGGAGGCCGAGGCGGGTGGATCACCTGAGGTCAGGAGATCGAGACCATCCTGGCTAACACGATGAAACCCCGTCTCTACTAAAAATACAAAAAAATTAGCCAGGCATGATGGCACACGCCTATAGTCCCAGCTACTCGGGAAGCTGAGGCAGGAGAATCACTTGAACCCGGAAGGTGGAGGTTGCAGTGAGCCAAGAACATGCCACTGCACTCCAGCCTGGGCGACAGAATGAGACTCCATCTCAAAAAAAAGAAAAGAAAGAAAGAAAGAAAAGCATCTATATTCAGGAACCCACAAGAACATCGCCATTTCTGGTAGCCACTTGAAACATTTTATATCCTGTTTCTTTACTTGCCTCTTTGTTAACTTTTATTTATTAAATGTTGGAGCCAGGATTCAAAACTGAAGTAATTCCAGGGCACACGCTCTTGTAATTATACTACACTGCCTCTCAAATGGGAGGCAGAGAATGAGCCAACAAAGGAAACCAAAAATAATGGTTTCAGCACAACAGACTCAGAAGACCCAAGGAGAAGGCATCCAACACTATGGAAAAGAATAAAAGTCCCCACTGATCACCAAGTCTGCTGATCAACAGGTCACGGGAGATTGCATTTCCCTTTAGAGTGATTTATTGAAAAAAAGAAAAAAAAGGTTACACAAAAGGACAATTTCATCCATCCTGAAATGAGCCCGGGCACTAACAATGTCCGAAAGGATTATGCAGACAATATTAAAAAATATTTTTCATTACAGGATTTACATAAGGAGACATATGCTTCCTCTTTAAGAAACTACCCACAGAATACACAACTCACTGTGGGAAAAGGGCAAGCAAAGTGTATTTATGGTTTGGTTTTTAAATGTAACTATCATAGAAAACATAAGAAATCTATGCTTTGGCATTTCCAGAGAGCAGCTGCTGAGAAGGCAATGAGGGTGGGTAAAGGATACATTCACATGGTTTCCTTTTTCTGAGCTTTCAACTTTACTGGAAAATGTAATATAAAAATTTATCTTTACCTCTCTTTTATTAAAAAAGCAAAACATTTGATGATCACTTAAAACTAAGGCAAACATGGCCAGGCTCGGTGGCTCACGCCTGTAATCCCAACACTTTGGGAGGCCAAGGCAGGTGGATCACTTGAGGTAAGGAGTTTGGGACCAGCCTGGCCAACATGGCAAAACCCTGTCTCTACTAAAAATACAAACATCAGCTGGGTGTGGTGGCATATGCCTCTAATTCCAGCTACTCGGGAGGCTGAGGCAGAGAATCCCTTGAACCCAGAGACAAAGGTTGCAGTGAGCCAAGATTGTGCCACTGCACTCCATCCAGCCTGGGTGACAGAGTGAGACTCTTGCTCAAAATATAATAGGCTGGGCACAGTGGCTCACACCTGTAATCCCAGCACTTTGGGAGGCCGAGGTGGATGGATCACTTGAGGTCAGGAGTTCGAGAGCAGCCTGGCCAATATGGTGAAACCTGGTCTCTACTAAAAATACAAAAATTAGCTGGGTGTGATGGCACACACCTGTAATCCCAGCTACTCAGGAGGCTGAGGCAGGAGAATCGCTTGAACCCAGGAGGTGAAGGTTACAGTGGGCTGAGATCATGCCACTGCACTCCAGCCAGCAAGACTCTGTCTCGAAAAAATGAAATAAAATAAAATAAATTTGTTAGGTAAACCAATTAAAAACAGAGGTACAAAGTGGAGCCTTTGGGAAATATGCCATGACACTAATAAAAACAGATCCAATCCAATCTCTTTAAATATGGGCCTTCTTGCCAATAGAAATCAACATAAATATTGAAACATACACATTATATATAGATAGATATAGATATGATAAGTATATAACCATATTTGTTACAATGCATTTTACACACATTTACTCATATAAAACAGAGCCAACACTGGAATATCGGAATGTACTGATGCATGCTACAACATAGATGAATCTTGAAGACATTATGCCCAGTGAAAGCAGCCAAACACAAAAGGTCACCTATTGTGTGACTACATTTACATGAAATATCCAGAACAGATAATTCCATAGAGACAGAAAGCAACTTGGAGGTTGTCAGGGGCTGGGAAGAAGGGAGAATAAGGAGTGACTGCTGAACAGGTGCTATGTCTTGGACATTGTATTAGTCCATTTTCATACTGCTATGAAGAAATACCTGAGACTGGGTAATTTATAAAGAAAAAGAGGTTTAATGGACTCACAGTTCCACATGGGTGGAGAGGCCTCACAATCACGGCAGAAGGTGAAGGAGGTGCAAAGGGCATGTCTTACATGGTGGCAGGTAAGAGGGCATGTCCAGGGGAACTGCCCTTTATAAAACCATCAAATTGGCCAGGTGCGGTGGCTCACGCCCGTAATCCCAGAACTTTGGGAGGCCGAGGTGGGCGGATCACGAGGTCAGGAGTTCGAGACCAGCCTGACCACATGGTGAAACCTTGCCTCTACTAAAAATACAAAAAATTAGCCAGCTGTGGTGGTGCACGCCTGTAATCCCAGAAATCAGGAGGCTGAGGCAGCAGAATCGCTTGAACCCAGGAGACGGAAGTTGCAGTGAGCTGAGATCACACCACTGCACTCCAGCCCAGCCAACAGAGCGAAACTCCAACTCAAAAAAAAAAAAAAAAAACCATCAGACCTTGTGAGACTTATTTACCATCACTATTGCGAGAATAGCACAGAAAAACCCTGCCCCCGTGATTCAATTACCTTCCACTGGGTCCCTCCAACGACACATGGGGATTATGGGAGCTACAATTCAAGATGAGATTTGGGTTGGGACACAGCCAAACCACATCAGACATGATTTGTTTAGCCCTACCAAGTCGCATGTTGACATCTGATCCCCAGTGATGGAGGCGGGCCTGGTGGGAAGTGTTCATGATCGTGGGGGCAGATCCCTCATGAATAGCTTGCAGGAACTCATTCTTACAGGGAAGAGTGAATTCTCACTCTTAGTTCCTATGAGAACTGGTTGTTGAAAAGAGCCTGGCACTCTCCCCTCTCTATTGCTTCCTCTCTCACCGTGTGATCTGCATACGGAGACTCCTCTTTGGCTTTTGCTCTGAGTGGAAGCTTCCTGAGGCCTCACCAGAAGCAGATACTGGTGCCATGCTTCTTATACAGCCGCAGAACCATGAGCCAAATAAACTTCTTTTTCTTATAAATTACTCAGCCTCAGGTATTCCTTTATAGCAACAAAAATGGACTAAGATAACAGGTATGGGTTTTATTTAGGGGTATTGAAATTGTTCTGAAACTAGAGGTGATAGTTTCACAACAATGTAGATGCACTGGCTGCTACTGAATTGTACATTTAGAAAAGGTTAATTTTGTTATATGAATCTCACCTTAAAAAATAAAATTTTTAAAAATCAGAGCTGAAAATCCTGAAACAATCCAGTTTGTCTTTGTTTTTGTTTCTTTTTTCCCTGTTTACATCCAGGAAATTTGAGTTGAGTCCAGAAAGACTGACTTGCCCAAGTTTGCACAGCTGACAAATGACCAGGTCAGAGATCCACCCAGGTCTTCTGCCCTTTATTCCATAGTGTGACATCTATAAAATGGGAATCATAATTTGTTCTTCATAGAGTTGGAAGGACCACGTGAAAATGATGTGAAAATACCTATAACAATGTCCTACACTAAAGGGGCTCTCAGATATTTTATTATAATTAGTAAAAACTAGTAATAGAAACTAAACTACCTAATGCTTTTTCAGTGCTCACTAGGCATCCATCACTCCTCTAAGCATTTTTAATGCATTCACCATTTCATTCCCTAGCGACCCTGCGGGATGGGTACAGTTAAGATTAAACCCATATTACAAAAGGGAGCCTGAGGCACAGCATGGGGGTGTGGCTTCCCCAAGGTCATATCCCCAGCAAGCATCAGAGCAGTGTTCAAACCCAGATACTGTGTTTCTAGAACCTTCCCATTTATGCTACACTCTGTCTGAGGTAGTCTATGGGGAAAGGGACTCAGTCATTAAACAAATGCCAGGTTTTATGAACAAGTATCTTAGTATGACATCTAGTCCTCCAAACCTCACAGCTCTTAAATAAAAAAAAAGACATTAAGTAAACGTTTAAAATAGAAAAATAAAAGCTTTTCTCCCCTTCAAGAGACAAGATTATCCAATTTCTACCCCTGCATGATCCATAAAGAATGGGCCAGGCCAAGAGGATCACTTGAGGCCAGGAGTGTGAGACCAGCCTGGGCAACATGGCAATACTCCATCTCTAAAACAAAATTTAACTTAATTTAAAAAGACTAACAGAGATCTATGAGGATCCATTCAGAAAATACATAAATCTAACCTAGATACCACCCTCTCAAAACTACTTCACAATAAATATTTTTTGGAAGCAAGCTAAAACTAACCTAAACCAACCCAAAGGAAAACATAAGCCATTCCATTCCCTTCCTTTGCTCCAAAGTTACACAGCAGCACTTCTTCACCATCTAAAACAAACTTGTCCAACCTGCAGCCAAGGACGGCTTTGAATGCAGCCCAACACAAATTTGTACATTTTCTTAAAACATTATGAGATTTCTGCTGGGCACTGGGCTCACACCTCTAATCCCAGCACCTCGGGAGGCTGAGGCGGGGGGATCCCTTGAGCTCAGGAGTTCAAGACTAGGCTGGCCAACATGCTGAAACCTCGTCTCTACAAAAAATACAAAAATTAGCTGGGTATTGTGGTGCACGCCTGTAGTCCCAGCTACTTGGGTAACTGAGGCAGGAGGATCGCTTGAACCTGGGAAATCAAGGTTGCAGTATGCCGAGATCGCACCACTGCACTCCATCCTGGGTAACTGAGTGAGATCCTGTCTTAGACCAACAACAACAACAAAAATTGGCCAGCCGCGGTGGCTCATGCCTGTAATCCCAGCAGTTTAGGAGGCCGAGGTGGGTGGATCACCTGAGGTCAGGAGTTCGAGACCAGCCTGGCCAACATGGTGAAACCCCATCTCTACTAAAAATACAAAAATTAGCCGGGTGTGGTGGTGGGCACCTGTAATCCCAGCTACTTGGGAGGCTGAGGCAGAATTGCTTTAACCTGGGAGGCGGAGGTTGCAGTGAGCCAAGATCATGCCATTGCACTTCAGCCTGGGCAACAAGAACGAAATTCCGTCTCCAAAAAAAAAAATTAGGTTGTTTGTTTGTTTGTTTGTTTTTAAGCTCATCAGTCGTCTTATTGTTAGTGTTAGTATATTTTATGTGTGGCTCAAGACAACTCTTCTTCCAATGTGGCCCAGGGAAGCCAAAAGATTGGACACCCTGATCTAAAGACTTTAAGCCACAGCCAAGTTTTGTTCGGCCCACTAGGTAAAAACCAAAACATTTTATGTTACTTGTCAACATTTTGCAAATTGCAACATTTCACAGAAATCTAGGTTTCTGATCTCTCTTTAACAACTAGAAGGCCTGGCAACACTGAGCCCTAATTCTTCCAGGTCAGTGAGCTCCGGTGAGCCACAGTCCCCACCACTCCCTATGGCACACGACCTAACTCAGTGCACGCACTTTCCTTACCTGAGGCCCCATATTTGTAGCCTTTGTACACCGTGCCTTACATAGTCTGGGTCTCAATACTGGTTTTGAAAAATGCATTATTTGGTACATAATGCCTCCATTCAGGGTAAGCTTTGGAAGGGAAGTTTCAGTTATTTAATGGGCTTGTCAAGCAGTGATTTTAATTAAACCTGGCTCTAATCAAAAGAAAAATGAGTATGTTTTTAGGCCAGCGTTGGATATAATATATTGAATCATACCTTAATTCTGACCAAATGGCAGACTAAAACCCTTTTAAACAGTCTGTATTTCAGCCACCCAAGTGGGTTGAGTATTCTGTTTATAGCTGCCAAGGGTACAACTTCCAGACTTCCTTCACCTACCACCCTGCACACACACACACACACACACACACACACACACACACACACACACACCATGGTACCTCCAAGATTGAATTTCAGCCTCCAGCAAGTCAGGCTTTTTCTCTTAGTTTGGGATGATTCCTAAGCTACAGGCATGCTTTCTGGCCACCTGCCAATTGAACACCAGAACGCAAGGATATTGTTTATTCCCAAAAAAAAAAAAAAAGCCAATTCTATCTTCCCTTTGGTTTTAGTAAAGTTCACCAAAAAAGGAGCTTACATTTCTCTCAGTGCCTCCCTTCTTTTGTGACTGACATCAAACACAAAAATAAACCATTTCTTTCTCCCCAGTTATAAAACAAACTCTTTTCTCACTTCCAAGATTAGGTTATAGAGGAAAAAAAAATCATGCTTGGCATTTAAAGGTGCTAAAAACTCAAAGACAAAGATACAAGCCACTGCCAAAATTCTCTTAACACTCCTGTCAGGTCATTTTAAAAAATCAAATCTTGAGTAATAGTCAAGTCTCCTCTAGCAATAAAGCACAGAGATGCATAGTTGGTAATGCTAGAAGGAATCCAAGCCTTTAGGGTATGAATTGCATATGAACATTTCAAACTACAATCTTCTGCTTCTCCTTGTATATACGTGTATGGCTGTCTAAAGCTCAAGACTGAATGATTAATTTTGGTTTTCACCCTGGTATCGCAGAATTTCCTTCTTCTCAAGTTTGTGAATGAAGTCACTTTTGCAAAACTGCATCTGCCACTGTGGAGGTGGCCAGTGCCCAGAGTGCCAGGGAAGGCTGGCAGTGGAAGACAGGCTACTGACCTGCCTGCTTACAGAAACACAGCCAACCCCAGGCAGTGGACAAAGCAAGCGTAGGTGTGCAATGTGGGGTTTGGGTGTGGCTAGGAGCCTGCAACATCTTGAGTCAGAACAAGAGAGACAAGTGAGAACCAGGATACGTAAGTATGAGCTGAAGTTCAGAAATAAGGCCAGCAAAATTCTGAGCTCCAAGAACAACAGGCCAGGCAAAGACTAGACCACCATGTGGCAAGAGAGGGAGGAGGTTAGGATACAGTTGCTCGAGACAAAAAGACAAGAAGGAGAGGGAGCCAAGAGGCACCAGGAGGAGGAATGACCTGGATCACGTGGGATACTACACTCAGCCCCTTTTATGGGATTTCAGTTAAGACAAGAAACAATACAACACAGCTAACCTGGGCTCCTCCCTGGAAACACACCTGAAGATACCAACTTCAGTGGTGGGGCAGGAAAAGCAAAGGAACATGAGCAAGTCTGTCCGATCCTGACCAAATGATAAAGACCTTAATGTTCCAGCATGGTACTGCAAGCTGGGCCAAGGGTTCAAGGTGGCATTTCTTCCTACAGTACCTACGGGAAGCTGGGTAGAGACCAGGGTGTTTTATAGGAAGTGCGGGCGGCTTGGCTGAGTGCCCACTGCCAGAGCCAGCTCTGCCGATCCCAACAGCTGGCCATGCCGCCTTCCTTCGCTGCCATTCCACATGATTCCTGCCTGTGACAAACTTCCCAAGGACCTTCAGGAGCTTCTGCTGGAATACACTAAGAAGCCTGCAAGCCCATTCTTATAAGAACCTAACATGCGTTATCAGTATCAGATAGCGGTCAGCAGAACAGATCAATATGCCCCATGACCTCACTGGGATCAGTGATATCTGACAGAACCTACGTGGCCCACCTATGCCACTGTTAATTCTGCAGACCTGTTCTTTCTGCTGAGTCTACTACTTTTGTTTTGCCTATTTGTAAATACTAATTTTTCTAGCCCCAGATATGTCTTTCCTACATTTAAGGGAGTCCTAGACAAAACATGCCTTCCACTGGGTACCCCAGACATGAAAATAACCTTGAGATTTAATCACTGCCTAGTATGGGATCGTATCGCACTAGAAAAAGTCCAAATATTTTATAAGGTCACTGCCAGTCCTTGGAACCGGCAAGCCACCTGGCCGTGAGAGCAGTGATAAGCTCTTGAGACATCAACTTGTAAGAGAAGAAATGAACACACAAGCTCTGGGGGAGCCAAGAAACTTGGGATCCCATCTGGCTGTGGGACTTTGCAAGGGTGGAACTTTCGCAGCTGATTAGAAATTAATATTGTAATATACATACATCACAAGATTAAAAGTATAACCTTAAATAAACGGAAATTTCCCAGAAATGCCAAAGTCACCAGCAGCAAAGAAAAAGGCTCTGGATTCATGAACAAGCTCTTCAAAGCTGGGCAAGGGACTTACATCTTGGGGTGAAGATTCTGTCTACAAAATGAAGAGGTGAGAATAGATGATCGCTAATGGCCAACTGCAAAATAATATTGATCACACAAATAAAATCCAACAACCAGGCCCTTTACACTGAACTAAGGTATATAGTGCAAGACAAAAAGAGTACTTTCTGAAGTCAGAGTCCCACCAGGGAACACAACTGGGTTCCAAGCCATAGGTAGTTCATCTCTACATGAGATTAACAACAGTTCCTAAGATGCAGAGGATTCAATGAGATCCAGGATATCTGTATATAAATGGCTCAGCACAGCAAATGGCACCAAATAAGTTCCTCACAGATGTCCTCTATGATTATCGTTATTTTTAAGGGTTTATAGATAAATCTGAGGGACCCTCCAAGGTGCATCAGTCAATCAGTCGTACTTCCTTGGTGTCCTCCGCATCCCCCTCCACAGCATCATGGTCTCAGTAATGGCAGGGGATGGGAACCCTCCTAGCTACCAGTACAACCACAGCAATGGCAGGCCAATCAGAGGTCAAGTGGCAGAGGTGAAGGCACGCTGAATTCCATCAACAGTGGTCTTCAACAAGCAGTCATCTCTGATGCAAAGAAATCACTCACCATTGGCTGGGCGCAGTGGCTCACGCCTACAATCCCAGCACTTTGGTAGGCCAAGGCGGGCGGATCACCTAAGGTCAGGAGTTCGAGACCAGCCTGGCCAACATGGCAAAACCCAGTCTCCAATAAAAATATAAAAAATTAGCCGGGTGTGGTGGCATGCACCTGTAGTCCCAGCTACTCAGGAGGCTGAGGCACGAGAATTGCTTGAACCCAGGAGGCAGAGGTTGCAGTGAGCTGAAATTGCGCCACTGCACTCCAGCCTGGGCGACAGAGCGAGACTCTACGTCAAAAAGAAAAAAAAAAAAAAAATCACTCACCATACATTTCTTATCCTGAATCTGAATTAACAGAGCTGGTGAGTAAATATTCAAAGCATGTCGCTTACCAGTTGAATCGCTTGGTCCCGAGTGTTAAGCCTCAGCCTTGGTAAAGATGTCATCGCTGAAGTCTCATTACCGACCCATCAAGCCCAGATTTCCACCATGAACCATCTCCAGAGACCTTCGTTCCGCCACGTCAGGGTCAGCTAATGCTCAGCAAATTATCCACTTAGTAAATTCATTTCACCGTCAACAGATAGTGGTGCAGACTCGTGTTCTAACAAATTAAATATCCCATTCGGAGTTCTGAGGAGTCTTTTTAAGTTATTCCCAATCAATAAGAAAAGCACACATGACACTAAAGCTCCTCTAGAAAGATGGCTCATTTCTCTTCCAATGTCAAAAAGCCATGAAGTAAAAAAAAAAAAAAAAAAAAAAATCAGATTACATTAAATTACTTGCTTTTTTTCTCCTCTTGCTAGGAAGGGAAAAGAGGAGAGGAGAAGCATGGAAAGAACTCACTCCTAAATCACAGATTAAATCCAGGAAGTTTAAGATGATCCAATTTCATTTCCCTCCTGCCTGAAGATTTGATGAGAGCAGCAAGGGTGTGAACCTATAAGCAGCCTTCCATTTATTTTCAGCAAATAAAAAAGTTTTGCCTGCTGATTCAACTGCCCTCACCAAGCTTTTAGAGTGATTCATCACTGTGGCTGGCAAGAAAACAATAGGCTTGATGAAAATTAAGAAGAAAAACCACACACTTACTCATCAAAATTGGGAGAAACGGAAAAGAAAAAAGATATGAATTCACTGGTAAAGGTTCACGTACCCCATTCAAAGAGGCTGCCTCTTGCATTATCAGGGTTGGTAACAAAAATGTTGGTAATTAACTAAAATAATTAGATGACACGAAGAGGTCCAAAGAATATAGTGTAGATTGCTAACGTCAGCCCCTTCAATCTTTCTTTCATCTCAGAAATATACAAATCAGGTCCGTATTGTCTGTTCCTTCGCTTCTTAGGATCAGTGGAAACTCAAAGTTGAGAAGGCCTAGAAATAAAAATGGCTTAATATCCCAACTATTAACCAATGCTGCAGAAATCAATGTTGGAATAAATAAAACAAACATATAACTATAGATCTAGATATTTAATATAACCAAGTTGTACTAAATATAATGCCGGTATTAAAATTAATAAAAATCAGATTAATGCATCATTCACACACACCCCGAAGAGTACACTATGGAAATTACTTTAGGAATAATGATTTTATTTAGAAAATGCAGCATATTAAAATAAAATACAAGAGGGAAGATTCTTGTAAGTCAATCTTTTATATCAGGTTTTCTTACCCTTAACACTATTGACCTATTAGACTGGATCAATCTTCATTGTGGGGGCTGCCCTCTGCAATTGAGGATGTTTAGCAGCATCCTCAGCTTCTACCCACTAGACACCAGTAGTCACCTCCCATCAGTGTTAACAACCAGAAATGTCTCCTGATACTTCTAAATATCCCCGGTGAGGCAAAAGTGCCTCCAGTTGAGAACTACCATTCTATGCAAACCAGTAACTCTAGCAGGACATGGTGGGTCATGCCTGTATTCCCAGCACTTTGGGAGGCTGAGAGGGGAGGAGAGGATCACTGGAACCCAGAAGCTCAAGACCAGCCAGGGCAACACAGGGAGACCCATCTCTACAAAAAAAAAAAGGAAAAAAAAAAGAAAAAATCAGATGGGCATGGTGGCACACATCTGTAGTCCCAGCTACTCAAAAGGCCGAACGGGGGAGAATCTCTTGAGCCCAGGAGGTCCGGGGTATAGTGAGCTGTGATTGCATCACTGCACTCCGGCCTAGGCAAAAAAGCAAGACCCTGGGTCCAAAAAAAAAGTAATTCTAACCTATGTATCCATCCCTTGATAACTTCCAGGCTACATACTTTACAACAAAGAATATTTCTGCTGATCTAACCATGCTAGCCACTTTCTTTTTAAACTACAGAATACGTATTCCATAGGAATAAAAAATATTAGCAGCTGCCAAGTAGCACCACCTTAACTAAATCACAGCCTTCAAAAGCTGGTTTAAATGTAAACCATCCATTACCTTTTAAAGTCTCACACTACTAGGAGAGTCAATTTCCAAAATAGTTTCTTAAAATTGTTATCATTAAACTTGAAAGAAACAGTTTCAAGTTTAATGGGTAAGGAAGATGTGAAGAGTCCAAAAGCCCAAAGCTGTGACTAGACAGCTGCGTGTCACTTCCATCTACAAGGCAGATAGAAGCATCAGCTCAGCAGCTCAGCAGATTACAAGCAAGATTTACAAACTGCATATGGATTCCAAAGCAAATACACTTTCCCTCAATATTGCTTCATGGAAGCTAGAGTTTACCAGAAATAGACGAAACTCCAAAAAAATAACTGATGAAATTCAGTGTGGCCTTGGCATTCCACACGGATGCTCCCTGGAAACACAAAATTTCACTGAAACTATTTTTCTTTTCTTTTTTTTTTTTTTTTTTTGAGACAGAGTTTCGCTCTTGTTGCCCAGACTGGAATGTAATGGCACAATCTCAGCTCACTGCAAACTCCGCCTCCTGGGTTCAAGCGATTCTCCTGCCTCAGCCTCCCGAATATGGGATCACAGGCATGCACCATCACGCCTGGCTAATTTTTGTATTTTAAGTAGAGACAGGGTTTCTCCATGTTGGTCAGGCTGGTCTCAAACTCCCGACCTCAGGTGATCCGCCTGCCTCAGCCTCCCAAAGTACTGGGATTACATGCGTGAGCCACCGCGCCTGGCCCACTGAAAGTATTTTTCGAGCCCTCACTCGGAACAGGGATCACTTACTTACGCCAATCACTCGGGATGAGTGTGCAGTTGCTGTCATCACAAAAAGAAGCAGAAGGTCTATGTTTCTGCTTTTGCTTGGCTATAGGAAAATTTCTATTCCTTGTTCCAGTCACTGGCAGAAATCAGCTAATTCCTTTTGGACTTGTATTACCTGACTGTTCTGCTCTGTATGGAGAAGCAAATATGCATTCCTGAAGATTTCCACACAGTCTCTATTCTTCCGACTTCAAAAGCCTACCAGAACGGCCAGGAGTGATAGCTCACACCTGTAATCCCAGCACTTTGAGAGGCCAAGGCAGGCGGGATCACTTGAGGTCAGGAGTTCAAGACCAGACTGGCCAACATGGTGAAACCCTGTCTCTACTAAAAACACAAAAATTAGCTGGTCGTGGTGGCAGGCGCCTGTAATTCGAGCTATTCAGGAGGCTGAGGCATGAGAATCTCTTGAACCCAGGAGACGGAGGTTGCAGTGAGCAGAGATCATGCCACTGCACTCCAGCCTGGGCAACGGAACAAGACTCCATCTCAAAAACAAAACAAACAAATAAACAAAAATCTACCAGAACAACTGCCTTCCCCTCCAAATGAGTTCATGGAGCTAGAGCTCTCTGGCCTCCTATCCTGGCTCTATCATTTCCCAGCTGTGTGAACTTGAGCAGACTACCTCCCTTCTCTAAGACTCTGTGTTCTCATACATAAAATAAAGATGTAAACAATACAATCACTTAGGACTACCAAGCAGATTAAATGAATTAATACATGTAAAAAGCTCAGCACAGTCCTAGCCCATGGTAAGTGTCCAATAAACCTTCACAAGTTAAATAATGGAATAAATAAACACACAGGCCGGGCGCAGTGGTTCACGCCTGTAATCTCAGCACTTTGGGAGGCCAAGGCAGGTGGATCACCTGAGGTCAGGAGTTTGAGACCAGCCTGGCCAACATGGAGAAACCCTATCTCTACTAAAAACACAAAAATTAGGCCGGGTGTGGTGGCTCACACCTGTAATCCCAGCACTTTGGGTGGCTAAGGTGGGTGGATCACGAGGTCAAGAGATCAAGACCATCCTGGCCAACATGGTGAAACCCCGTCTCTACTAAAAATACAAAAATTATCTGGACATGGTGACACATGCCTGTAGTCCCAGCTACTCGGGAGGCTGAGGCAGGAGAATCACTTGAACCCAGGAGGCGGAGACTGCGGTAAGCTGACATTGTGCCACTGCACTCCAGCCTGGCAACAGAGCGACATTCAGTCTCAAAAAAGAAAAAAAATTAGCTGGGCTTGGTGGCACATGCCTGTAAACCCAGCTGCTTGGGAGTCTGAGGCAGGAGAATCACTTGAACCCGGGAGGCAGAGACTGCAGTGAACCGACATTGCGCCACTGCACTCCAGCCTGAGTGACAGAGCATGACTCCATCTCAAAAAAGCAAATAAGATAAACAAAATAAATAAAAGTGTTCCTGAACAATGCAATATTACTTAATAATAAAAAAGGAACAAAACCGGCACGTGTACCAACATGGATGGGCGGCAAAGGCACTGAGTGAAGAAAGTCCGTCTCAAAAGAATATGTACTGATCGATTCCATTTATACAATACTCTCAAATAACAAAACTATAGAGAAGGAGAAAAAAGAAGTAGGTGCTGGGGGTTAGAGGGAGGGAGGCTGGGGTGCCACCAAAGGTGAGCCCAAGGGACTGTCATGGAACAGTTCTATATTGTGACTGCTGGTGGTTGTACAAGTCTACACATGTGATAACACTGTTCAGAATCACACACACATAAAAAATGCATGTATGCAAAACTGGTGAAACATGAATAAGGCCTGTAGACTGCAGGAATGTCAATTTCCTGATTTTGACACTGTATTTTGTTATGTAAGATGCCACCACCAGGGAATGGCAGGTACACAGAAAGGGCCTCTCTGTACTATTTGGGTGACTTCTGAATCTAGACTTCTTTTTAAAATGGATACCAGAATAGGCCGGGTGCGGTGGCTCACGCCTGTAATCCCAGCACTTTGGGAGGCTGAGGTGGGCGAATCACTTGAAGTCAGGAGTTCCAGACCAGCCTGACCAACATGGTGAAAGCCCATCTCTACTAAAATACAAAAATTAGTTGGGGCGTGGTGGTGGGCGCCTGTAATCCCAGCTACTCGGCAGGCTGAGGCAGGAGAATTGCTTGAACCTGAGAGGTGGAAGTTGCAGTGAGCCAAGATCGCACCACTGCACTCCAGCCTAGGTGACAGAGCGATACTCCATCTCAAAAAATAACATAAGATAAAATAAAATAAAATAAAATAAACGTATACCAGAATAACACCATCCAAGATATATGTGGGAGAAGGCAGCAGATGTAATTTACCTTGACATAACTTGACATGCCCTCAAAGCTTTGCGAGAGAATACGACCTTTTTCCTAGTGGAGAACAACTGTCAGTTTAATTACTCAGTATAATAAATATTTCTCTAACACTCTAGGGAAAGGAACTAAAAAAGCACTTAGGGGGTGAGGGGTCTGAGAACGGGGACCAATGAAAGCCTTAGCGCAGTGGTTCCAGCTGGCCAGGAATATTCTAACTAGGCTGAACAACTGAACACATGACTCAGACAGTAAATAATGATTGTAAATGCCCAAACCTTATGGGGAGAGTTTGGATCCCAAAGAATAAAATTTCCACACTGATAAATGTGTGGTCTCCCACACATTTACTACTGTGAAAGGCCATTAGGAAACAGTAGATCTGGTGGAATTCAGGGTCTGGAAAAAAGAAAAGGAAAAAGAAAAAAAAAAAAAACGAAAACAGTGGAGATGAGGAAGATCGAAAAAATACTATCAAGTTTCATCTGTGGCCTTAAGAGTATAGACATGATACAGTTGTTCTCAACTGGGAGCAATTTTGCCTCCTAGTGATGTCTGAAGACAGTTGGTTGTCACAACCAGGAGGTGAGGGTATGATCCTGGCATCTAGTGATTCAAGGCCAGGGAGGCTGCTCAGAATCCTACCATATGCAGGACGGCCACCACCGCCCTCACCCACCACTGCAACAAAGACTGATCTAGCCAAAAACGTAAAGGGGGCCGGGCACAGCAGCTCCCACCTGTAATCCTAGCATTTTGGGAGGCTGAGGCAGGTGGATCACCTGAGGTCAGGAGTTCGAGACCACCCTGGCCAACATGGTAAACCCCATCTCTACTAAAAATACAAAAATTAGCCAGGCGTGGTGGTGCGTGCCTGTAATCCCAGCTACTCGGGAGGCTGAGGCAGGCAAATCACTGGAACCCGGGAGGCAGAGGCTGCAGTGAGCCAAGATCCCACCACTGCACTCCAGCCTGGGTGACAGAGCAAGACTCCGTCTCAAAAAAAAAAAAAAATCAAGGGTGCCAGGGTTCAGAAGATCTGAAAAAAGGGCACATGGGCCCACATCTGAGAATCCGAGGGGGAAAACTTCCAGAGGGCTGCACACCTTGGCCCTTAGCTCCAAGCCGCCTGCAATGATCAGATAATCAGATGTTAAGAGAATCCAGCTTGTGATAGCAAAGTTTCAGAGAGATAAAACAACAACAGTAACAAATTTGGGGAGATATAAGTAAGATCCAAATAGATGACTGGCTCTCTAGAAAATGAAGTGTAAGGGAAGGCTGAAACAGCTCAGTATGTTACTGGTCTAAAAGGAGTGTGTGACCCATTCAGCAACCTCTAGGGTCAGGAGAGGAGAGTGTGAGCTGCAGCAGGCAGCAGAGGAGGCAAGGCTAGCCAGCAGGTCCATGGTCACCGTCTTCAGGATCCTGGGCCAAGGCAAAGTGTTCATGTATCTACTCTAGGGTTGTAGTTTCGTTTCTGAGAATGGTTAGCTCAGCCATCTGGACAGGTGGGTTTTACAAACTTGTGCTCAGCCATGTGTGATGGCTTACACCTGTAATTCCAGCACTCTGGGACGCTGAGGAGGGAGGATAGCTTGGGCCCAGGAGTTCAAGACCAGCCTGGGCAACATAGTGAGACCTTATCTCTATAAAAAATTTGAAAATTAGCCGGGCGAGGTGGCACATGCCTGTGGTCCTAGCTACTGGGGAGGCTGAGGCAAGAGGATCCCTTGAGCCTGGGAGGTGGAGGCTGCAGTGAGCTGTGATAGTGCCACTGCACTCCAGCTTCAGAGACAGAGCAAGACTCTATCTCAAAAAAGAAAGAAAAGGAAAAAGAGAAGAGGGGAGGGGAGGGTGAACTAGTGCTTTTTCCTGCAATAGTAAGTTGTCCAGTTTCAACGAGAGTTCTAGTTTCTTCAGCCTTCAACTGCTAAATCCCCCTGGGTCACATCATGAGAAGAACAAAACATGGGTAGAAATAAACAGAAGTAAACCTGTATTAAATGACAATTTAAATGACAATGGTATATACATTGTCAGAGATGTAGTGTATTTTCACCTGGCACTAAACTCTTCTTTTTTTTTTTTGAGGCGGAATCTCGCTCCGTCGCCCAGGTGGAGTGCAGTGGCACGATCTCAGCTCACTGCAAGCTCCGCCTCCTGGGTTCATGCCATTCTCCTGCCTCAGCCTCCCAAGTAGCTGGGACTACAGGTGCCCACCACCACGCCCGGCTAATTTTTTTGTATTTTTAGTAGAGATGGGGTTTCACTGTGTTAGCCAGGATGGTCTCGATCTCCTGACCTCGTGATCCACCCGTCTCGGCCTCCCAAAGTGCTGGGATCACAGGCATGAGCCACCACACCCGGCCACCTGGCACTAAACTCTTATTTCAAAGTCCAGAAAGATTTCCTAGGTTAATAAATAATAAGCCTTAAACACGCCCATACACACACACACACACACACACACACACACACTCCCTAACATCCTGGCCACCTAACATGTGAACCACCACGACATAGTAACTGTTGTTGCCTAGGGTTAACTCACAAGGATACTAAAATGCAAAGAAATAAAAATCAAAAAATTGGCCAAGTGCGATGGCTTGCACTTATAATCCCAGCACTTTAGGAGGCCAAAGGGGAAGAATCCCTTGAGCTCAGGAGTTCGAGACCAGCCTGGGCAAAACAAGGAGACCTCATCTCTACAAAAAATGTAAAAATTAGCCAGGCAAGGTGGCACAGGCCTGTGGTCCCAGCTACTCAGGAGGCTGAGGTGGGAGGATCGCCTGAGCCAAAGAGATCAAGGCTGCAGTGAGCCATGATAGCACCACTGCACTCCAGCCTAAATGACGGAGTGAGACGCTGTCTCAAAAAACTAAAGTAAAACTCCATACAAATAATTCTCCAAATGAATGTCCACTGGCTCCCCAGGCAATGTACAGCCTAGTCCCTTGAGTGTGCTTTGGCCTTAAACGAACATCAACAACCACGCTGGGGGGTGAGATGAATGGAGCATGTGAATCAAGAGCCTTGTTTGCAATTAACAGAAAAGATGGCCTTCTCCTGGTTCACAGAAGACCTAAAAATGGAAATGAAAATCTAGTATCATGAGCTAACTTCCTCCGCTAATCAATGTATTTCCTTAAGCTTCTAGTAAGGAGTTACAAAATCCCCGGGGTCATAAATACATCATGACAGGGTCTCTCAGCTGCGCAGCTGCCAGCTGCACTGACACCTCTCATGAAACTTCCACTGCCAAATAATCCAAATAAGAATCTGCAAACTTTGTGATCCAACATTTCCACTCCCGGGAAATTTTACTCCTCAGGAAATAATCAAATAGGCACGCAATGACTTAGGTACAAAAGCGTTCATGCGCTGTTTTCTAGAAACAACCTAAAATTGTCATATAATTGATGATACAGCCACAGGAAGAATGGGCAGACTACTCTTGGACCCTCACACCCCTGCACATCAAAATGGCAAAAAAATAAGTAAATATGCAGAAACTCCTCAAATAAAGTACAAATCATGGTCGTGGGTGGAAAGTGATATTAACTTTGAATTTCTATTGGCAGGAGTTATTTGGTATCAACTATCACTTTATCACTTTTTTTTTTTTTTTTTTGAGACAGAGTCTCACTTTGTCACCCAGGCTGGAGTGCAGTGGCACGATCTCTGCTCACTGCAAGCTCCGCCTCCCAGGTTCACGCCATTCTCCTGCCTCAGCCTCCCAAATAGCTGGGACTACAGGTGCCCACCACCACACCTGACTAATTTTTTGTATTTTTTAGTAGAGACAGGTTTTCACCGTGTTAGTCAGGATGGTCTCGATCTCCTGACCTCGTGATCCGCCTGCCTCGGCCTCCCAAAGTGCTGGGATTACAGGCATGAGCCACTGCACCCGGCCTATCACTTACTATTAATAATATTAGCAAAAGTTTCCCAAAACCCAAACAGAAATAATTTGGCCATTACACTTAACAAATGTTTTGAATAATTTTAGAGAAAACTTTTCCTCAATCAGAAAGGACCTGGATGTGAAACATGCAACAAAAGTAATAATTGAAGAAAATATTTAAAAATCAGAATGAAATAAAACATCTGCATGACTGAGAAGGAAAAGATTCACATAGACCTAATCCCCAAACATTTCACATAGACCATTTTCTGGCCAATATGCATTATGGTACACGCATTACGGTATACTCCTGGGTTGCCCAGGCAACAGAGTAAGTAAGAGTAGGTGGTGCAATCTCGGCTCACTGCAACCTCTGCCTCCTGGGTTCAAGCAATTCTCCTGCCTCAGCCTTCCCAAGTAGCTGGGATTACAGGCGCCTGCTACCACATCTGGCTAACTTTTGTATTTTTAGTAGAGATGAGGTTTCACCTTGTTGGCCAGGCTGGTCTCGAACTCCTGACCTCAGGTGATCCACCCGCCTCGGCATCCCAAAGTGCTGAGGTAACAGGCATGAGCCACCGTGTCCGGCCTCAGTTTTCTTTATAACATACACAGCATTGAAAAGTTATAAAGAACCTCAGAAATACCTGATTTAAGAAATGGTGATAAATCACAATATCAGCAATAATGACTCACATAGACTGCCTGGTTATCTCTTATCCAGAAGTCTTGCTGCCAAAAGTGTTTCAGAATTTGGAATATTTGCAAGACACCAGTTCAGCATCCCTAATAAAAAATCCAAACTCCAAAATGCTCCAAACAGCATTTTCTTTGAGTGTCATTTCGGCACTCAGTAGAGTGGCTATGGTTAACATTAACTGATTGTACATTTCAAAATACCTAAAAGAGGATAATTTGAATATCCCTAGCATAAAGATAACAATTTAAGGTAATGGATATCCCAATGACCCTGATGTGATTATATGAAAGCATCAAATGATCACATGTACCTGGAAAACGTAAATCTAATATGAAAAATTAACAATAAATATTTTTTTCAAAGTTTCCAATTTGGGAGAATTTCAAATTTTGGATTTTCAGATTACGGATATTCAACCTGGATAATGAAATTAAAATACTTTGTAGTACTTCTTAAAATCA
Source organism: Homo sapiens (assembly GCF_000001405.40). Taxonomy (NCBI): domain Eukaryota; kingdom Metazoa; phylum Chordata; class Mammalia; order Primates; family Hominidae; genus Homo; species Homo sapiens. The sequence goes on from NC_000005.10 coordinate 16,926,283, forward strand.
ATAATCTATCATATGCAATCTCATTCTTTTTTTAATCTAAATAGTGCTGTATGAATTTCGCTGACAATGTCAGTAACTACTGTCCTGCCTCAGCAAAGCAGGCCATCTCTAGACTTAGATTAAGAAAAGAACAATCTGGCCAGGTGGGGTGGCTCACGCCTGTAATCCCAGAACTTCCGGAGGCCAAGGCTAGTGGATCAATTGAGGTCACAAGCTTCAGATCAGCCTGGCCAACATGATGAAACCCCGTCTCTACTGTAAATACAAAAATTAGCCAGGCATGGTGGCACACACTTGTAATCCCAGCTACGTGGGAGGCTGAGGCAGAAGGATTGCTTGAACTCGGGAGGTGGAGGTTGCAGTGAGCCAAAATTGCGCCACTACACTCCAGCCTGGGCGAAAGAGGAAGACTCTGTCCCAGCAAAAAAAAAAAAAAGAACAATCTAAGAACCACAAAGAAAGGTTCTCCACCTTGGTATTACTGTCCGTAAAACAAACTATTGTGACAATCTTGACTCTAACCACATAACAAGTGAGTTTGCTAAAATATGGACAAAAAAATAGATTTATGAAAAATATACTATGGAGTATACGTATTTATTACTCATGAAACATCAACAGAACACCCAGACATAGGCAACTGTAATTAAATTCACTCATGTTTGATATTTTGCTGACTTTCAGCAATAAAACCCATAGCTTTAAACATGTTTGTTGATTCTGCCCTAATGACAGATGTATTTGTCCAGGCAGAGTAGAAGCCATTTTATTTACCAATTTGTAAGCATGGTTTATAACTTTTAAATGTTTAGGTATGTGATATGGGAACTGAATTTGTACTCTTGCCTCTGGCCCCACAAATGATATTTAAAGCTTTTCTCAATCAACTCTTCAGTGAAAAACATTACAGGTGTGTTTTATCAGAAACATATATATGAAGGCATAAAAAAAAAGTCTCAATGCATCTACCACAAACATGAAGAGCCACACCATGGGAGCTTCTTTGTGTCTTCTGCTTATGGTATTTTCTTTTGTTTGTTTGTTTATTTATTTATTTATTGAGATGGAGTCTTGCTCTGTTGCCCAGGCTGGAGTGCAGTGGCACAATCTCGGCTCACTGGAAGCTCCGCCTCCCAGGTTCATGCCATTCTCCTGCCTCATCCTCCCGAGTAGCTGGGACTACAGGTGCCAGCCACCACGCCCAGCTAGTTTTTTGTATTTTTAGTAGAGACGGGGTTTCACCATGTTAGCCAGGATGGTCTGGATCTCCTGACCTCGTGATCCTCCTGCCTCGGCCTCCCAAAGTGCTGAGATTACAGGCTTGAGCCACCGCGCCCGGCCTTTAACTGCCGTAATTTAAAATGCTTTTATACGGAGGCAATTTTAATCCTTAAGAGCAGGCAGGGAGTCGGACTGGGTGAAGGTAGAGCTATTAGTTGGACAATTCCCATATGTTTCTCCCTTGTTCTAGCTGTATTTCAACAGATGTGTTGTGGCTTTGTCCCCAAAACTCTAATGTCTTTTCCTGTAACTGGCAGCATTAGATGACATGATGTCATGTGACATGAGGTGCTAGATTTACTTTAGGCCTGGTGGAAATATTTTCTGAACACCTCTTAGCAAGGCAGCAAAATGTTTTATTCAAGGAATGCTCTTGGGAAAACGACCCAATGTCCTGTCAATAACTGTTCCATGGGTATCGATAAGCTAACAAGCAAATGATAGGTGATATGAAGAAACTCCAACAAAGCACTCAGAATCTTTAACTGAAAAAGAAGATTCTATCAAAAAACCTCAAGTAACACTTCACTAATTAATTGACAGCTGGAATTAGGGAAACAAATGAGTCCCACATTTTCTTTTAATAAACACTTCTCAAATCATCTTGTTTTCTAAGTGCTTTATTTTGTTTTAATATTTTTATTATTACTATTACAATTTTGGAGACAGTCTCCCTCTGTCACCCAGGCTGGAGTGCAGTGGCTCACCGTAATCTTCACCTCCCGGATTCAACCGATTCTCCTGCCTCAGCCTTCCAAGTAGTTGCGATTACAGGCCCATGTCACCACGCCCAGCTAATTTTTGGATTTTATTAGAGACAGGGTTTCACTATGTTGCCCAGGCTGGTCTCGAACTCCTGACCTCAGGTATCCACCTGCCTCGGCCTCCCAAAGTGCTGGGATTACAGGCATGAGCACATGGCCCTAAGTGCTTTAGTATGTAAACCTTCCTACTATCCTCATGAAGTTGGGACAACCAGCTTTAGAAACCACACTTTATGGGCCGGGCATGACGGCTCACACCTGTAATCCCAGCACTTTGGGAGGCTGTGACGGGTGGATCACAAGGTCTGGAAATCGAGACCATTCTGGCCAACAAGGTGAAACCCCATCTCTACTAAAAATATCAAAAATTAGCCGGGTGTGGTGGCAGGCGCCTGTAGTCCCAGCTACTTGGGAGGCTAAGGCAGGAGAATCGCTTGAACCTGGGAGGTGGAGGTTGCAGTGAGCCGAGATCACACCATTGCACTCCAGCCTGGGCGACAGAGCAAGACTCCATCTCAAAAAACAACAACAACAACAAAAACACACACACACATTTTTAGAAGGAAACAGAAGGCGCTTGGCTTTCCCAAAAAAAGCAAATCAAATAAAAATTAGTGGCATGTTTTTTTTTTGGTTTTTTTTTGAGACGGAGTCTTGCTCTGTCGCCCAGGCTGGAGTGCAGTGGCGCGATCTCAGCTCACTGCAAGCTCCGCCTCCTGGGTTCACGCCCTTCTCCTGCCTCAGCCTCCCGAGTAGCTGGGACTACAGGTGCCCGCCACCATGCCCGGCTCATTTTTTGTATTTTTAGTAGAGATGGGGGTTTCACCGTGTTAGCCAGGATGGTCTCCATCTCCTGACCTCGTGATCCGCCCACCTCGGCCTCCCAAAGTGCTGGGATTACAGGCATGAGCCACTGCACCCGGCCAAATCAGTGGCATGTTCAAAAGCTGATGAACATTTTCCTGCGGAGTTTTCAACATTTCTAGGGTGTGGACTACTTGTTTTCCTAAACTCCCATGCAGTTTTCCACTTGAAAATCATTTAATAACTGCCCACTTTTAGGGCATTTCATCAGAGAGCCTAGAGAAGATGACGCAAGTTTAAGGCAAAGGACATCAACAGGACAGAAAAGCATGGCAGTGAAGAACTCTCTGTGGCTCTGGACACAGCCTGTCTGGGTTCAAATCCTGGCTATCGTTTTCTAGCTGTGTGACACTGAGTCAGTTACTTAACCTCTCTGTGCCTCACTTTCTTCATCTATGGATTGGGTATAATTATAGAGCCTTTCCCATAGGGTTGTTCAAGGGATTAAATGAGTCACTAAATGTGAAGTGCCAGCAACATGCCTGGCACATGGTAAGTACAGTTGTCCCTATGTATCTATAGGGAACTGGTTCCAAGACCTTCCCCAGATACCAAAATCCATGGGGAAAAGTCTACATGTTCAGTACAGATGCAATTTTTTTCTTGAATATTTTCAATCAGAGGTTGGTTGAATCCAGAGATGCAGAACCCACAGATACTGAGTACAGGGCTGACTGTACTCAAGAAACACTAGCCATATTTATTATTGTCTTCAAAGAACTGTAAGATACTTCATAATCAAGGGAAAAAGTTAGAAGCATCTCCCCTTCCCGCCATAAAATAATCTGAAAATAACCATTATGCAAGGATTGAATCTCAACCATGAGGACATTTCAATGCCAAGGAAGTGATGAAACTTACTTACAAATAAGATATTTAACCTCGCAAGGCTGTTTACTCATTTGAAAAGGGGAGAGGGTTTGTAAAGCATGTAAAGCCTCTAGCTAACAGCAGTAAATCCCTCCTAACAAGACCAAGACAGAAAGAGAGCCAGGTTTAGAGGTAAGAGAATAGAGGTCACCGTGAACTAGACCTGTTAGAGACGGTTTCAAAAAGGAGCCAGACAGGTGGGACATTCGATAGACAGAGAGGCCTGCCTGCACAAAGGATGGAGTGGAACTGGGTAACAGATCCTCTGGTGTAGGATCACGTGCGAGAAAAGAATAAAGAGAGAGTTACAAGATCAGAAAACCTTGAAAACCAGACTGAGGAATGTGGACTTAATTTTATAAGCAATAAGAACATGCTTTAGACAGAGTTCTGGAAATACAAAATCTGCCAGAAATGTACAGGCTGAAAAAGAGAAAACAAATAAATGCAACGCACCACAGGAAGCTACCTCAGAACAAAAAGCTCTAAGGTCGAGATTTCCCTGCACCAGGAGTACTGACATTCCATTCACCAAGGGCCACTGGTTCTTAATTTCAAAGTACAGTTACTGTGACCAAGCCTTTGTTATTACTCACCTACTATGTGCCAAGGGCTCTGTAAGTCCTCTCTCAAATTCGGCTGATAACCATGCAAACTAGGAACTATTACGCCCATTTACAGACCAGAGAGCTCAAGTTCAGGATTTAGAGCATCTGGCTGAGATCCCATCGGAGGGAGCCAAGCGCTACTGCTAAGATAGGATGCTCTGCACTCAGCCTGGGGGCAGTTAGGCAAGGGGAAACGCTTAATCCAGACTTCACCGGAGGCTCATTCTTGAACGTCCCCTACTAGCTAGTGACATGAAAATGTTACGTAGCAGTTACTCTAAGTCCAAACTGTTGAAACTCATGAATAATAAGGTACTCCCGGCTGGGCATGGTGGCTCATGCCTGTAATCCCAGCACTTTGGGAAGCCAAGGCAGGCGGATCACCTGAGGTCGGGAGTTCGAGACCAGCCTGACCAACATGGAGAAACCCCATCTCTCCTAAAAATACAAAATTAGCTGGGTGTGGTGGTGCATGTTTGTAATCCCAGCTACTCGGGAGGCTGAGGCAGGAGAATCGCTTGAACCCGGGAGGCGGAGGTTGTGGTGAGCCGAGATCGCACCATTGCTCTCCAGCCTGGGCAACAAGAGCAAAATTCCATCTCAAAACAATAATAATAATAATAGTAATAATAATAAGATACTCCATGTCCTACCAATCACAACAGCAGGAGAGCACATTCAAGGTTTACATCCTCAAATGTGAGCCCACTTAAAGCCAGCTGAACTGGAAAAGCAAACACTCTGCTCTCTCCCTCCACCACTCTGGTTAAACAGTGAGGGACCTGCCCATGCCAGCTTGTTCCTGGTTTGTGCTTGATTTTGCAGGAACAGCCGGCCACATGATATGGAGTGAGGAAGCAGTCCTACCCTGCCCGCCCCAGCCAGACAGCTTATTGCTCCTGCTGCAACAACTGTCCCACTGCAGCTGCTCCCCCTGGCTTTGCTGTCCCCAACATAGCAGGGGGAAAAAAAAAATGAGTACTTGACAATAGAAATGTTTTCAAACTACAGAGAAGAGGCAACACGCTATATCTCCATTGTGAGAAAAGGGAAAGGGACCCAGCTAATCTCCTGATATGATTTTATAGTCATCAAAGGGGTTGCCTTCAGGAATTGGTGATACAAGAAGTCCTCAGCAGTTCCCCTTTACACATGGAGACATATCGAGGGTGAGGAGAGAAAGCTGCCAAAAATAACAATGTCCACATTTTTCTCTAACAAGAAAAGATGTCAATAGATCACAAACAAAAAAAATATACAACCAAATGGGGAGAAAATTGGCTTGGGAACTCTACTCACTTAAAAAGCTATTTGAACAACTCCAGATAACCAACCACAACCACAGTCCCTTGTCAAGTTAAGTAGAAGAGGTTGGTGTTTCCACTTAACGTCTTTAGAATGAAGTCTGCTCTAATCCAGAGTGAACCAGACTGGAAGAAACAGGTATGTCTGGAATATTTTCCACTAACAATTTATCCCTTAAACATTAATACCTGCTTTCTGTATTTGTATTTGTGAGTATCTTACTTGTGTACATTTTACATATTTATTCTGAAAATCAAGGTGTTTGATTAGTCTCACTAATAATCCTCCGAGATCTTGTATTTGAACAGACACATCACACCTCTGCCTAACAGGGAAACAGAAAGGTCAATTTCATTTGGTACTTACTGGCCCCTACTATATTCCAGGCACTGTACTTGGCCCTGAAGACATGAAAACAGTGTCCACTTCAGCACATCAACACAAGTTTGCACAGTAGCCTTGCCCCTTTCCTGGTTGAGCCTTTTCTGTTTGCTTTTTTTATTATTATTGCTTCTGGTTACAGACACATCTAAACTTAGTTTCTGGCTGAAGTAAACTTAACAACTTACTTAGAAATGCTGAAAAAACAAGCTTCCCCAAAGCATACACACAATTAACTCGAGGGGAGCCATAAAATTCTAATGAAGGCCATGAAGAAACTGAAACTGAGGAATGTGGCATGCTCAGTTTCTCTAATCCTGGAGAACATTTTGAAGTCAGCAGCTGTCAGCTGACTGGCACAAGCTTTGCAAGCTTCCCCCTGGCGCGCAGTAAGACACTATCTATCTAATTAATCAATCAATCTAGCAGGCAGTAAGAGTCTATCTATTTTGTGACACAGGGTCTGTTGCTCTGGAGCGCAGCGGTGCAATCATGGTTCACTGCAGCCTGGACCTCCTGGGCTCACCTCAGCCTCCAGAATGGCTGGAACTACAGGTGCATACCACCACACTCAGCTAAGTTTTGTAGAGATGAGGTTTCACCATGTTGCCCCGGCTGGTCTTGAACTCCTGGGCTCAAGCAGTCCTCCCACCTCAGCCTCCCAAAGTGCTGGGATTACAGGCTTGAGCCACCGCACCCGGCCAAATCCTATTTAAAACAGGGAAGCGCAGACAAGGCTGTGCCTGCAACACAAATAGGAATTAATACCGCCAAACAACTGCTTCACAGGTCTAGCTCAGTGGATCTCAACTGGGAGTGATTTTGCTCCCCTGTCATTCAGCAATGTCTGCAGACCTTTCGGGTTGTCACAACTTGGGGGATAGGGTTAACAATTACTGAGTAGAGTCCAGGGATGCGTTTAACCTCCTACAACACACAGGACGGCCTCCAACAACAAAGAATTACTCAGCAATGGTACCAGGTTTGAGAAACCCTGGTCTAGCTAGAAATAGCAGTTGCGAATCACAAGCAGCTCCCATTTCCTTATTATTTGGCCATTCATACACAAAGCTAAACAGGCAACATCTCATTCAGTAATTTTTCCCCAATTGTTAGCACTGGCTTTAAACTGTTGTCCAACAAGCAACAAGTCATTTACCCCTAAGCCACAATGGGAAAAGTTAGCAAAGACAGAATTCTACTTAGTGATAAGGAGGCCAAACAATTTAGCTGTCCTTGGGGAATATATCACTTCCACACTCGCTGTTTCTATTCTAACAGGACATTAATTACAGCATTTTCTTCACTGGACAATTTAACAAAAGGATGCTCCATTACAAGACATGAGAGAGAGAAAGGGGAGCTGGGATCTATGTTAAGAGTATGTCTACAATTAATACCTCACTATTTAACCTCTCTGACTGGCCCTGCTTCCTTCCCACTCAAAGTGATTAGATTTAAGGGTGGAACTTTCACGGCTGATTAGAAGTTAATATTGTAATACACATACATCACAAGATTAAAAGTATAACCTTAAAATAAGCGAAAAGTTCCCAGAAATACCAAAGTCACCAGCAGCAAAGGAAAAAGGCTCTGGATTCGTGAACAAGCTCTTCAAAGCTGGGCAAGGGACTTACTCATATCTTTGGGTTAAGATTCTGTCTACAAAATGAAGAGGAGAAAGTAGAAGATCACTAATGGCCAACTGCAAAATAATATTGATCACAGAAATAAAATCCAACAACCAGGCCCCTTACACTGAACTAAGGTATCCAGTGCAAGATGAAAAGAGTACTTTGAAAAGTCAAAGTCTCACCGGGTAACAGGAGATCAGGACGCTGTAGCGCGTTATCCTGATGTTCCCCCCACTTGCACTAGGGGGCAGAGTTCTCCCCAAGGGGGAGCCACGGACCCCTGTGGTGCTCAGACAGGCTACAGGAGGAGTGAGATCCGTGCAAACTGAATACAAATTTCTATATTTTCATCAGATTTTCTAAGGGACCCAGAACACAAAAACAACAAAGTTAAGAATCATTGCCCTAGGGGCAGGGCCTCCGTTTTCTTACAGATGCAAGCAATTAAACACCGGAACTCACTGTAGCCCGAGGGTCCTTTACCACTGGACAACGTGCAACTCTTGCAGAAAGTTCTGGTGCCTTTCGACAAGCATGAAAACAAAAGTCTATGGACTAGAAAATGCGAGCGTCTCACAATTATATATATTTCACTTTTTTTAAGAAAAGGAAAAATATGTATTGATGGATAATTCCTTTCTAGTCTTCCTTCCACAATGAATGTGGGTATCACATCTGAAACACCACTTTTAAAAACTAGATATGACTACTAAACAAGAATGCATTTATCACTTTGGCCAGTATGAATAGCTGTCTGAGAATACAGTCAGTGAGCATGCAGAAAGCAGAATGACTTGAAATATTATATCCAATTAAATCAGATAAACCAAGTCGGCTAACACAGAGGCAAGCCCTCATCAATCTGATTTGCTGGAAGACTCCAAAGCGGTTCTGCACTCAGAAAACATTCCCTGGCTTTCAACGAAAATCACATCAGACTCTCTCAAGTCAACTAAGTTTACTTTGAGCCACTTCAAACCTCAAACTTAAACAGAATTTATTAAATAAACACAACCAAGAAAGGAAAGGGAGCCAAGAAACCACAGTAAGTCTCGATCCCAAAGGGGGAAAAAGGGTTCTCAAGTTAAGTTTCAGTGTCCCACCCTCAACGACCCTAAAGAGGGCATCCGTTTCATCTATTAAAATAGCCACTGTTTGCCCTAAACGAATTTTCTTTACATTCGAATTCAAAATCTGCATGGACACTCTACACAAATACATGATCATTTGATCCCAGGGTCTGGAGTTATCCCAAGCCTTAAAAGAGCACTTCTCGGCGAGCAAAGTAACCGATTAAACCCTTGCCTCTCCTTCTCACACTTCATTAAGCCGTCTCCTCTGGAAGTGTTTGAACCCCTGCACAGGAAGCCCGCACGTTTTGCAAAGGAAATACCAGACAAGACCTTTCTTGGAGAAAGGCAGGTCCCCGCTGAACATTTTATTGGGCTTCCTGCACCCGGGCAGTCGAGCGGGCGGATCGCCCCGCCCGCGCCCCGGCGCGCGCCGCCTCACCTGGCGCGGGTGTCCCAGGGCGCCCCGAGAGCCAGCCACCCACGCAAACGGAAACGCACCTTCGCTACCTCCCGGAGCAAAATGCGAGCGCGGGACAGGACGAAACAAAACCTGCCCGGGCTTACTCATCAGAGACTCCGCGGGGGGATGGGGGGTGATTTCAGGAGACTCCCAGAAAGTTGCGCCTTCCAGGGCTTAGGAAAAAGTACCCAGGGCGCGCGGCGTGGTGGGCAGACGCCTCTCTCCCTGGGCTCCGGAGGCCAGGTCGGACTGGGAGCGCACTTACCTCGGTGAAGAAGTTATCCATTGTTCCAGCGCAGTCCCGGACTCGCCGAGTGCCGCTCCGACTCGCGGAAGTCAGCGCCGCCGCGGGTCCGGGGAAACCATGCGTGTCACGGCGCCACTCCCGAGGACGCGCGCCCGCGGGGCTCCCCTGCTGCCATCGCCCGGTCCCTTCTTGTCCTTCTCACCTTTTGTTCGCCCAAACCCAAGTCCCTAACTCGCCCGTCCCGACGGCAGCCTTTGTCTCTTCTTCCTCCAAGTTCCTCACTACTGGGCGCAGCGCTCGCAAGCGGAGAACAGCTGGTGGCACATTCTTCCCCCAGGCGGGGGAAGGCGGCGGGGTGCTGGCGAGCGCGGCCCCCTCCCTCTGCGCTCCGGCCGGGGGCCCTCGGGGCGGGCAGGAGGACAGCGGGCCGCAAAGTGAGCAGGAGCCGCGATCCCCGCGCGAGCGCTTGGAGGTGAGCAGTCCCGCGCCGCGGCTCAGCCAGCTCTCGCCCGCGGGACTACAGCCCAGCGACCTCGCCCCGCCCTCCCGCAGCCGGCCCCGCCCTCCCGCAGCCGGCCCCGCCCTCCCGCTCGCGGCCCCGCCCCCAGGAGCTTGGCCCTCCGCCAACCACACCGTCTGGCCCCGCCCGGGCGGAGCGCCCCGCCCCCTTCCCGACCAGGCCCCGCCCACTCTAAGCCCGAAGCAGCCGCAGGCTCGTTAGCGGACCCGGGAGGGGGCCGCGTGTTTCCCCAGGTCTTCCCACGTAGGCGTGGGGAGGGGATTTAACTCTTCCCTCTGCAGAGAGAGACTAAACAATCACTTAGAGGGGAGGAGAAGGGACTGGGGGCTTCTGTGCCTTTCATGTTTAGCAGACCCGGGAACCGGCTCAACACGGATCTCATTAATGCAGCCCGGTAGACTAGCAATCTCGGGAAGGAAGCGCGGTCAGCGGAGCTGCCGGGGCTGCGGGGCCAGATCAAAGCGGAAGACGGAGGCTAATCAGAATTTCTGGAAGCTGCATTCCCGTGTTGACTTTCTGTCCTGCAGTCGGGTTTGCTTAAGACGTTTGCGTAACAGCGGGGAAATGTAGTTTTGAAACTGGAAGGGGACGTGGCCAATATCACCTTTAAAAATGTAACCCTTTTCTAGACCTCAAGGAAGCAGAGATGGCAGATGGCACTGAGATGGACGAATGATCAAACCCACCTGGCACTGAGTCCCGTTTCCCCTAGGGCAGTTCTTTTAACTTTATGCTGTGCGAGGGTCACCTGGGAACCTTGTTAGAACGCAGGCTGGAACAATCTGCTTTCCAGGTGCCCCTCAGGTGCTACCTGGTCCTGTGCTGAACGAAAGCTTGTAACAAGTAGAGAAATTAAGAGTAAACGTTTGTAGCAATTTAATAATGCCACGACATCCAAGCACATGATCAGTGGACTCTTTGAACCGAGTATAAACCAGTTTGGGTGTTGTCAGACTCACGTGGTGAGTCACACCTGGCGCCGCAGTGTATTGGTACCTGGCCGACTGGGAACAAAAATGGCTGGTTCTTCAGCACAAAAGATTTGAGATGCTCTCTCCAGGGAATTTGCCAACTGCTACTCAACCTTTAAAACTCAGCTCACAAAGTCACACCTTCCAGGGGAAGGAACCCTTCCCAAAGATGCTACTCCACTCACCCCACCCAAGCTCCCCGTAACCACTGGGCTAGATGCCCACTCTAGGATTTATTCCTAAGACTGTTGGGGAAGGACTGTGCTTTAAGATGAGTATCCCCAGGCTGTCTCACAGCATGAATGAATGAATGAAACATCCTTCTGTAATCCTTATGGGGAAAGTCAAGCATGTTTGTAACTTATCCCAGTCCAGTTCTTCACCATTAATATCATTGCTCCCACCTCACTTCCCTTTAGAAAGAGTCAAGGTGTAAATTAGTTAATGATATTGTGCAATGTTGTTCTGTTTCACAGGTTTACACGCTTAAGGCGCTGAGCCATTAAAGCTTGTGTCCAAGGTCGCAAGGAAAGTGAAGATGGAGTCAGGATAAATACCAACAATCCCAGTGCTTAGTCAAATGGGTCCTGCAACCACTGGTGTTCAGATACTGGAGCAGAACAATTACAGTCATTATGGTATTAATCTGCACACAACATCTCTGCCAGAGAAATTACCAGGGAGATTGTTGAAGTGAGTGTGTGGGTGTGACGTGGTTCCCAGCATCAGCCCAGCCACTGATACGTTGGGCAACCTCGCCATGTCATTTCAAAAGTCACTTTCCATATCGGCTCATCAGTTATAACAAATGTACCACACTAATGCAACATGTTAATAATAGGGGCAAGTGAGGGTGAGGGGCTGGGAGGGGTCTATGGACACTCTCTGTACTTTCTGGCCAATTTTTATGTAAGCCTAAAACTGTTTTTTTAAAGTCTACTAATCTTTTAAAGGTGATTTTCCTGCCAATTATGAAGATATCGTTAATAATTGCCCCCAATTTGACTCACGTAAAGAATGGTGAGCCAGATCCAATATATAAAGTTTAGATTTTACTGAATCATTTTATTTCTTCAAAAAGCTTACATCATCAGTTAACAGGGTAAGAAAGTTAAAAAAAAAAACTTACATCAATGTTTTATCAATGTTGATCCCTAGATCACCTTATCAGTTGCTAAAAAGAAAAAAAAACTGACTCCAAATCTCTGTGGCAAATTGATTTCCTAAGAATTTGCATTTTTTATTTCTTTACCTGTGGATTATATTGAAAGAATTTGCATTTTAATAAGCACCCCGATAACCAGTTCAGAGCTTGGGAATCGCCACTTTATCAGAATTCATCAGCTTTTCTATATATCCCCATATTCTCAAAAAGGTGTAAGATAAGCTGTGGCAGCGAAACTCTTACTTGCTGAACAGCAAAATGCATGTTCTAAATAAGATATCTAACCCTCAAGTATCTGGGGTTGAATCAGTTGTTAAAAAGCAGCGTGTTAAATTTATAAGGGCTTTGACAGGATTGGACAGAGACTGGGAAGCATTTTAAATCAATAGATTTCTAAGAATATCTAGTCTTATTACCATTTCTTAAAATTTGAGTGCTTCCTCTGAGAGAGTTGTGCTAACCACTGGACAAAGCAGTTTAGACCAAATCTATTAAACCCTGCCCTCTGAGAAGCGACAGAGGCACAAGAATGGTAATAATAGAAGGATGAGTGTGTTTCCATGAGGCAAAGGTCTGTCTCAACTCTCTGTCCTACCTGTCTTTCAAATAAACCAGGCTAACAGAGTATGACATTTTCAAAATAAAACACCCCCAAAAGCTCAAGTTAAGTTATCTTATTTAGTGGCATACATTAATCTACAATCAACAAAATTTTAATACTGATTGGATCATTTCCCCACTGAAAGAGAGAGTTGCATATGTATATTTGTGAGTTAAGTAATAACAATCTTCTGTTTTTGTTCTCCACCAACAGTTTGTTCGTTTTTAGTTGAAACGGGTTGTCTCATTTCCTTTGTGAATTCAAACTGAGTTCCTTTTGTTGTTGCTGCTGCTGCCATTCCTTGTCTTGATGTGTCTTGGGGCGTAGAGTCTTTTCCATTATCTTTTTTTTTTATTAAACACTCACCCCTTAATTGCCCCTGTTAGAATAATGGCTTAATTACTAGTTATAGAAAGGGAAAGTTCTCAAAGTTTCTTTCACACAAATTAGAAGTTAATAACTGACAATTCTAAAGTCCTTTCATGCTTAACTAAACAGCAGTCCATCCTTTGGGCTCACTTACCCTCTTGGATGTTTAAAACATCAAATGTTTTTACCTTCTCAAACAAAAGGGAATTTTTTTAATGTGATTTAAATTTTTACACAAGTGTTTCTTTTATTTCTCATACCTTAGCATTCAGAAATCCTCAAGGGAATTTTTTTCTGCTGAAACTGAAAACAATTGTAGGTGGTTTCAATAGAATAAATTTGGGAGAAAATACCTGAAATGTTTCACATTGTAATAGAAGTAAGTACAGAAGAATAAACATAGAACTAAAATGGGGAGAAGACACTGGAAGAACTCATTTCTGCCAGCGGTTGTATTTCTCTACAAGATGAGCTAGGGCAAGGATGTCATTCACCTCATTAGAGAGCATGTGATGGACAGTTAATTCTAACTAAATCCCCATCACTTCAAACTACAGCAAGAATGCCTCCTACAGCTGATAGCCTACAAAAATCATGGAGTGTTAGTTTCACAAATTAATCAGTTTTCATGTTTGGGGCTGGTCCTGTTGCGTATAATAAAGAAAAAGTACAAAAATCCCTGAAACCCTGAAAAGCTGCCTAATGATTAAGCCCGCTCGGAGCTATGTTTGACATCTCGCTTTCTCTCTTGATGTTTTTGTGTCTTTATGACCCTCTCTCTTCCATTACTCCAGGGTGGCTCAGAGACTGACTGCAAAGTTTATCATCTCTCTACCATTATTGTTAATCACAACATGTTTGCCACTTCCAAACCTTGTGTCCTCACTTATTCCTCTTGCTTGCATCTTCAGCCTTTCCCACTCAGTATCCAAGCCAATAAACAAGATCGTGTCGGCTCTATTTGAAAACAGCTGCTCGTTAACCCAATTGCTCTCTGAACTACTGGACCATCTCTCTTCAAATGCCCAACTTCTCACTGCTGTACTTCATCCTCCAAGCAATCAACCCTTAAACCCCTCATGATCTGATTTTTGTCCCCCACCCCACTCTCTTGAAAGTCTCTGTAACCTCAAATCATCAAATTCAACAGCCTGTTTTCCAATTTCACTCTCCTTGACATTCCCCTCTTTAAAAATTCTTTAACTTCTTAGCTTCAGGGCAAGCTTCATAGGTGTGCAACCCATATAGTTAATTGTATAGAGCCCTAAGCTCCTCACGCTTGGTTTAATATTCTGTTGTTCCTATCTTAAAATTATTTTACGTATTTATGTACTTATTTTTTTTGTTAGGCATCAGATAACAGCAAATACAACTTTTTCTTAATAGGATGAATGAAGAACTAGTATTTGATAGCACAACAGGGTGACTACAGCAACAATAATTTATTGCATATTTTTAATTAATTAAAAGGGTGGAATTGTAATGTTCATAACACAAAGAAATGATAAATTCTTGAGGCGATGAATACCCTAATCACAATTACAAATAATGCAATTATTACACATTGTATGCCTGTATCCACACATTACATGTACCCCATAAATATATACACTATGTATTGATAATAATTAAAAATGAAAATAATTGCCGGGCGTGGTGGCTCACACCTGTAATCCCAGCACTTTGGGAGGCCGAGTCGGGCGGATCACGAGGTCAGGAGATCGAGACCATCCTGGCTAACCCAGTGAAACCCCATCTCTACTAAAAATACAAAAAATTAGCCAGGCGCCTGTTGTCCCAGCTACTGAGGAGGCTGGGAGTCTTGAGACAGAGTCTCGCTCTGTTGCCCAGGCTGGAGTGCAGTGGCGCGATCTCAGCTCACTGCAAGCTCCGCCTCCCGGGTTCACGCCATTCTCCTGCCTCAGCCTCTGGAGTAGCTGGGACTACAGGCCCCTGCCACCACACCCAGCTAATTTTTTTGTATTTTTTTAGTAGAGACGGGATTTCACCATGTTAGCCACGATGGTCTCCATCTTCTGACCTGGTGATCTGCCCGCCTCCGCCTCCCAAAGTGCTGGGATTACAGGCGTAAGCCACCGCGCCCAGCCAAAAATAATTTATTTTATTTTATTTTCTTGAGACCGAGTTTCACTCTTGTCGCCCAAGCTGGAGTGCAATGGCGTGATCTCCGCTCACTGCAACCTCGGCTTCCTAGGTTCAAGTGATTCTCCTGCCTCAGACTGCTGAGCAGCTGGGACTACAGGTGCCCGCCACCATGCCCAGCTAATTTTTTGAATTTTTAGTAGAGACAGGGTTTCACCATGTTAGCCAGGCTGGTCTCAAGCTCCTGACCTCAGGTAATCCACCCGCCTCGACCTCCCAGAGTGCTGGGATTACAGGCGTGAGCCACCGTGACTGGCCTGAAAAGTTTTCAACATATATATTTTTTAAATATAAACTGCTTCATGAATTTGTATGTCATCCTTGAACAGGGGCCATGCTAATCTTCTCTCTGTCTTGCTTTAATTTTAGTATTTGTGCTGCCGAAGTAAGCACAAAAGAATTTTCATTTTAGACAGAGGGTACAGTGGCACAATCATAGCTCACTGCAGCCTTGAACTCCTGGCCTCAAGAGATCCTCCCACCTTGGCCTCCCAAAACACTGGGGTTACAGATGTGAGCCACTGCAATGGCCATTAATATTCTTTTTTTTTTTTTTTTTTTTTTTGTGACAGAGTCTCACTCTGTCACCCAGGCTGGAATGCAGCAGCATGATCTCCGCTCACTGCAACCACCTCCACCTCCTGGGTTCAAGCGATTCTCGAGCCTCAGCCTCCCAAGTAGCTAGGATTACAGGCTCGGGCCACTACGCCCAGCTAATTTTTGTATTTTTACTAGAGATGGGGTTTTACCATGTTGGCCAGGCTGGTCTCGAACTCCTGACCTCAAGTGATCCACTTGCCTCGGCCTCCCAAAGTGCTGGGATTACCGGCATGAGCCACTATGCCCGGCCAATATTCTTAATAATTGTTGAACAAACGGCTCTGCCTTTTCATTTTGCATAGGGTGCTACAAATCATGAAGCTGGTTATTTTTAGCTTTTGTGACCCTCTGTTTGTCTGGCTCTCCCATCTCTTTGACCACTTTCTTCCCCTTGTAGGCTCCCCTTCTCCTTCTCCCTCCAAAGTATGGTGGATCCCGAGCACATGTTCTTCCCCCTATTCTTATGTTCTCACCATTAATTCTCTGTACTTCACCTGCCATGTCTTCATAAATGATCCCCAAATCTATAATTCAAGCTATAAGAAGTCCCAGCCACAGGCCAGGTACCGTGGCTCATGCCTGTAATCCTAGCACTTTGGGAGACTGAGGCAGGTGGATTGCTTGAGCTTAGTAGTTTGAGACTAGCTTGGGCAACATAGAAAAACGCCATCTCTACTGCAACAAAAACAACAGCAACAAAATTAGCCAGGTGTGGGGGCGCATGCCTGTTAGTCCCAGCGACTTGGGAGGATCACTTGAGCCTGGGAGTTGGAGACTGCAGTGAGTGGAGATAGCACCACTGCATTCTAGCCTGTGCCACAGAGCCAGACCCTGTCTCAAAAAAAAAAAAAAAAAAAAAAAAAAAGCAGAAGAAGAAGAAGAAATCCCAACTACATTTCCAACCATTCGTTGAATTGTTCCTAGTGAGGTTCTTCTCACACTTCAAAACCTTCTTCACTCTCCCATCAACTTCTATCAACTTCCCTATATCTATTAATGTAATAGTCATAATTCAGTCACTGTAATGAGAGGGTATCTGTCTTTCAGAGCTGCCCTAAATCTTCTGATGATCTTACACACATGCAGGTCTATCCCCATCAAAGCCTCCCTTGCTTTACATATGTGACTTCGGTTTTATTAATCGATACCCTCATTTGTGGGTTTAATCTAGGAAACAAACTATGAGGAGACCAGGGAGACTCAGAGCATCAATTTCAGTGGTTCAGGTCATGGCAGAGGTAATGTTTTCATAATTTTTAAAATCAAATTATGTACATCTCCAGGGATCCCACCCACCCAAAGGGAAGCAATACAAAACAAAACAAAACAATATAAAATGGAGAGCAATACAAAACAACAAGAGGCTGGCCGCCCAAGAAAGTTGAGACTAAGATTCATGGGGTTCATCACAGGGCCAATTTTATGTAAACTCTTATTAGTGAGGCTTTGTTTTCCCCACCGAAAATTGCCTGATATCACCACTATTAATTTTGCTTCTGGAATGAGTTGAGAATATTTTTGGATTTTTTATTTCCAGAGCTTCCATCAAATGCAAGTGTGTGCTGCTGAAGTATTAGGAAAAATCAATTAAGTGCACAGAGTTGTTTATATAAGAATATCCGGACAAAATTGTTTAGAAAAGTTAAAAACCTGGCTGGGAGAGGTAGCTGATGCCTGTAATCCCAGCACTTTGGGAGGCCGGGACAGGCAGATCACCTGAGGGTCAGGAGTTGGAGACCAGCCTAGCCAACATAGTAAAACCCTGTCTCTACTAAAAATACCAAAAAAATTTGCTGGGCCTGGTGGCGCGCCTGTAATCCCAGCTACCCGGGAGGCTGAGGCAGGAGAATCGCTTGAACCCAGGAGGCGCGGTTACAGTGAGCCGAGATCGTGCCGTTGCACTCTAGCTTGGGCAACAAGTGAAAACTCCGTCAGAAAGGAAGGAAGGAAGGAAGGAAGGAAGGAAGGAAGGAAGGAAGGAAGGAAGGAAGGAAGGAAGGAAGGAAGGAAGGAAGGAAGGAAGGAAGGAAGGAAGGAAGGAAGGAAGGAAGGAAGGAAGGAAGGAAGGAGAGAAAGAAAGAAAGAAACAAAGAAACAAAGAGAAAGAAAGAGAAAGAAAGTTGGTTAAAAACCTGGACACAACCTAAAAGCCTCTCAGAAGGAGATAGGTTAAGCAAACTATGGTAAATGTGCATAGTGACATACTCTTTGTGTTAGTTGTCTGTTTTGTATAACAAGCCACCTAAAACTAAGTGGCTGAAGACAATGACTTGTTATTTCTTGATGGGGCTTGACCTCTGTGCTGTTATCTGGGCTCTCTCGGGTGACTGCAGTCAGTTAGCTGCTCAGCTGTGTCTTGTGATCTAGGATGGCCTCCCGCACAGGACAGGAGCTCATGGGGATGGCTTGGATAGCTGGTTCACTCTCTCCACGTGGCCTTTACACTACGACAGTCTCAGGAATGCATTAGGATGACAGCAAAAGCTGCAAGACCTTGTGCAGTTGCTTCTGCCATATTTAATTGGTCGAAGCCTGACATAAAGCCAGCCCAGACCCCAGACCTCAGACCCCAGACTCTTTTTTTGTTGTTGTTTTTTGAGACAGGTTCTTACCCTGTCACCCAGGCTGGAGTGCAGTGGCATGATCTCAGCTTACTGCAACCTCCTCCTTCCGAGTTCAAGAGATTCTCCTGCCTTAGCCCACCATGCCTGGCTAATTTGTTTTACATTTTTAGTAAAGACAGCGTTGCACCATGTTGGCCAGGCTGGTCTCGAACTCCAGACTCAAGCAATCTGCCTGCCTTGGCCTTCCAAAGTGCTAAGATTTCAGGCGTGAGCCACGGAGCTTGGCCCAGATCCCAGACTGTCTTGATGGAAGGAATTGCAAGGAATCTGTGGCCACTGGTGGGAGAGGGAAGGGTAAAATTCACATAACTCCAAATTTAGCATTCTCAAGTGTACAATTCAGTGGCATTTGGTACATTCACAGTGTTGTACGAGCATCACCACTCTCTAGTTCCAGAATATTTTCATCCCTCCAAAACTAAACCAATACTCATTACTTCTCTGATTCCTGTCAACCCCTAGCCTCCATTAACCACTCATTTGTTTTCTGTCTTTGTGGATTTGCCTATTCTGGATATTTCATGTGAATGGAATCATGCAATAGGTGACCTTTTAGACTGGCTTCTTTCATTCAGCATAGTGTTTGCAAGGTTCATCCATGTTGTGAATTCATTCCTTTTTATCACCTGAGTAATATTCCATTATATCAAGCTTGTCCAACCTATGACTTTGAATGCCACCCAACAAAAATTTGTAAACTTTCCTAAAACATTATGATTTCTTTTTTGCAATTTTAAAAAACTCATTAGCTATATCATTAGTGTGTTTTATGTATGGCCCAAGACAATTTTTCTTCCATTGCAGCCCAGGGAAGCCAAAAGATTGGACACCCTTGCATTATATGAATATACCTCATTTTTACAATCCATTCATCCGTTGATGGACATTTGGGTTGTTTTCACATTGGGGCTACTGTGAATAGTGCTACTACGAACATTCATGTACCTGTTTTCAGTTATGTGGGGAATATACCTAGGAGTGGAATTGCTGAATCACATGGTAATTCTATGTTTAACTTTTTGAAGAACTGCCAGACTGTTTTCCATTGTGGCCATTTTTAATTCAATATACTATCAAACAGCAAAAATGATTAATATATCGGTATTAATGTGGAGGTATGAATATGTAAAAGAAAAGTTACAGAATGACATGTTTCATTGGTACCTTATAGAAATGTTTAAAAAACAGTGACTTCAACCAGCCTGGCCAACATGGTGAAACCCCGTCTCTACTTTTTTTTTTTGTATTTGTAAAAATACAAAAATTAGGCCAGTCACACTGGCTCACACCTGTAATCCCAGCACTCTGGGAGGCCAAGGTGGGTGAATAACCTGAGGTCAGAGGTCAAAACCACCCTGGTCAACATGGCAAAACCCCATCTCTACTAAAAATAACAAAAATTAGCTGGGCGTGGTGGCGGGTGCCTGTAATCCCAGCTACTCGGGAGGCTGAGGCGGGAGAATCACTTGAACCTGGGAGGTGGAGGTTGCAGTGAGCTGAGATCGCACCACTGCCCTCCAGCCTGGGCAACAGAGTGAGACTCTGTCTCAAAATAAAAATAAAAATACAAAAATTATCCAGGTGTGGTGGTGCATGCCTGTAATCCCAGCTTCTCGGGAGGCTGAGGCAGGAGAATCGCTTGAACCTGGGAGGTGGAGGTTGTAGTGAGCCACTGCACTCCAGCCTGGGCAACAGAGCAAGACTCTGTCTTAAAAAAAAAAACAACACAAAACAAAACAAAAACAGTGACTTAAAGCAAATATGCTTATTTTTCTCTCATGAAGGGTGGAGTGCTGGGCATGGTGGCTCATACCTGTAAATCCCAGTACTTTGGGAGGCCAAGGTAGGCAGATCACCTGAGCCCAGGAGTTCAAGACCAGCCTGGGCAACACAGTGAGACCTCGTCTCTATTTATATAAATTAAAAATTAATAATGGATATGGTTTGGCTCTGTGTCCCCACCCAAATCTCGTGTTGAATTGTGACCTCTAGTGCTGGAGGAGGGGCCTGGTGGGAGGTGATTAGATGATGGGGGTGGACTTCCCCCTTTGCTGTTCTTGTGATGGGGAGTGACTTCTCATAAGATCTGGTTGTTTAAAAGTGTGGAGGACTTCTGTCTTCACTCTCTCTCTCCTGCTGGTCATGTGAAGATGTAGTTGCTTCCCCTTCACCTTTCACCATGATTGTAAGTTTCCTGAGGCCTCCCCAGCCATGCCTCCTGTACAACCTGTGGAACTGTGAGTCAAATAAACCTCTTTTTTTCATAAATTACCCAGTTGCAGGTAGCTCTTTATAACAGTATGAGAATGGACTAATACAATAATTTTTTTAAAAGGCTGGAGGACAGGGATGTTCCTTAAGGTACTCAGGACACCAGCTCCTTGCAGTTCTCTCACCAGTATTCTGGTGTGGCCCTCAGCCTCACCCATCAGGAAGGCAACCTTGCTTCCTCGGCAGCAGGGCATGGCAGGAATAAGGAAGGAGGAAAAATGAACCTGCCTGCTCTTTTAGGGACAATTTCAAAACCTCTTTCTTTTGTAAATTGCCCAGTCTCAATATGTCTTCATCAACAGTGTGAAAATGGACTAATATAGGGCCCTAATCCATTCTGACTGCTATCCTTAGAAGAGGAGACTTGGACATACAGAGAAACACCAGGGATGCTCACTCACAGAGGAAAGACCACATGAGGATGCAGTGAGAAGGCAGCTGTCTGCAAGCTAAGGAGAGAGGCTGCAGGAGAAATCAACCCTGCTGAGACCTTGATCTTGGACTTCCAGCCTCCAGCATTGTGAGAAAATGAATTTCTGTTGTTTAACCCACCCAGTCTGTGTTATTTTGTTATGACATCCCTAGCAAACTCATACAGGGAGTCAGAAGAAAATTCCCAAAGAAAGCTGTACTTGAACCAGGGCTCCATGGACGAGTCAGAGTCCACCAAATGGCGAAGACAGGAAAGCACATTCTAGGCACATGGCATATGGAAGGACCCAGAGGTATGAGAAGCATTTTTAGCAAAGGGTACCAAGTTCAGAGCGCTTAGGGCAGAGAGTGTGTGGGTGGAGTCATAAAAGACAAACTGGAAAGTTTGCTTTAAACTCCCATTCAACTGGTTTAAAATTAGTAGTATGCTGGTTAACATTGGAGAATTGACTCTTTGGAGAGGTTAGCTGTGATCTGCAACACTTACCAGTTTCTCTGGTGTAAATACTCTCACCATGGCTGATTTTTGTTTGTTTTTTTATTTTTATTATTTTTTTTGAGACAGAGTCTCTCTCTGTCATCCAGGCTGGAGTGCCATGGTGCAATCTCAGCTCACTGCAACCTCTGCCTCCCAGGTTCAAGCAATTCTCCTGCCTCAGCCTCCCGAGTAGCTGGGACTACAGGCGCCCGCCACCACACCCGGCTAATTTTTTTTTTTGTATTTTTAGTAGAGACAGGGTTTCGCCGTGTTAGCCAGGATGGTCTCGATCTCCTGACCTCATGATCCACCCACCTCGGCCTCCCAAAGCGCTGGGATTATAGGCATGAGCCACCGCGCCTGGCCTACATCTGCTATTTCGTAGGTTACTGTACTTGCCCTTGGCAGGTTTAGACTCAACAAATGAAGTAATGCATAACCAATTTTTCATCTAGCCGAAGAGATCACACAAATGCATGCACAGACAAAAGGAGCTTGAGGTGATTGCTGAAGAAGATAAGAGATTTTGGGCCTCAGAGGAGAAGGCATCTCCATGGTGGCAGTGGTAGTTTCAACCATCACAGGGCGGGAGAGATGAACCTGAGCCTTCAGGAAGAAAAGGAAGGGTAATTTTGGGCATTCAGAAGAAGATAAAAAGGTGTAGAGCTCCAGAGAGGTAGGGAGAGAGAAGACTGTGAGATGGAGAGGGGTTTGAATGAGGGAGTTTTCTGTTTCTTTTTTTAATTTTATTTTTGAGACAGGATCTGGCTCTGTTGCCCAGGCTCTAGTGCAGCGGCATAGTCTTGGTTCACTGCAACTTCCACCCCCTGGCTCAAGCAATCCTCCTGTCTTGGACTCCTGAGTAGCTGGGACTACAGGTTTGCACCACCATACCTGGCTAATTTTTTTTTCTTTTTTTTGTAGCTGTGGGGGTTTCACCATGTAGCCTAGGTTGGTTTTTGTTTTGTTTTGGGTTTTTTTTGAGATGGATTCTCATTCTGTCGCCCAGGCTGGAGTACAGTGGCATGATCTCGGCTCAGTGCAACCTCTGCCTCCCGGGTTCAAGCAATTCTCCTGCCTCAGCCTTTTTAGTAGAGATGGTGTTTTGCCATGTTGGTCAGGCTGGTCTCGAACTCTTGACCTCAGGTGATCCAGCAGCCTCGGCCTCCCAGAGTGCTGGGATTACAGGCGTGAGCCACTGCGCCCCACCTACCAGATCCTTTTGAGGCTGATAAAGCACTTTGGGACCTGCCTCCTGCCTCTGTCTCCTCCAATCCCCACCCCATAACCACATCGGCCTCCCTGTGCCCAGAGCACAGCAGCCATGCAGCTTGATCCTATCTCAGGGCCTTTGCACTTGTGTTTCTATCACCTGCAGTGTTTCCTCACCCTCCACTTACCCCCACTCACTCTGCATGACTGCCTTGTCTCTTCACTGAGGACTCAGCTCACATGTTATCCCATCAGCCTATCTAATTCTGCACTGACACATCAGTCCTACCTACCCCCACCCCACCTGATGTTCCTCACAGCATTCATCACTCGATGAAATGATATTATGTATGCTTTTTTTCTTTTTCCCCCAGGGGTCAGCAAACTGAAGCTCAAGGGGCCGATTTGGCACAAAGCCTGTTGCAGAAATGAAGTTTTATTAAAACACTTCCATTCATTTCCACATCGTTCAAGACTGTTTTTCACTCTGATGGCAGAGTTGAGTAATTGCAACAGAGACCATATGACCTTCAAAGTCTAAAAAATATTTATTATCCCTTCCTTTAAGAAGAGATGTGCTGATCCCTGGTTACTTGTTTACAGTGTTTTCATGTGATATGGTTTGAAGCTGTGTCTCCACCCAAATCTTATGTCGAATTGTAATCTCCAATGTTGGAGGTGAGGCCTGGTGGGGTGTTTGGATCATAGGGACAGATTTTCTCCTGGTACTGTGTTGAGATAGTGAGTGAAGTCTTGTGATATCTGGTTGTTTAAAAGTATGTGGTAAAGGCTGGGTGCGGTGGCTCACTCTTATAATCACAGCACTTTGGGAGGCCGAGGTGGGCAGATCACAAGGTCAGGAGTTCGAGACCAGCCTGGCCGACACAGTGAAACCCCATCTCTACTAAAAATACAAAAATTAGGTTGGTGTGGTGGCAGGTGCCTGTAATCCCAGCTACTCAGGAGGCTGAGGCAGAAGAATTGCTTGAACCTGGGCGGTGGATGTTGCAGTGAGCCAAGATCGTGCCACTGCACTCCAGCCTGGGTGGCATAGCTAGACTCCATCTCAGGGGGGACAAAAAGAGTATGTGACACAGGCCGGGTGCGGTGGCTCATGTCTGTAATCCCAGCACTTTGGGAGGCCGAGGCAGGCCGATCACTTGAGGTCAGGAGTTCAAAACCAACCTGGCCAACATGGTGAAACCCCACGTCTACTAAAAATACAAAAATTAGCCAGATATGGTGGCACATGCCTGTAATCCCAGCTACACAGGAGGCTGAGGCAGGAGAATTGCTTGAACCCGGGAGGCAGAGGTTGGAGTGAGCGGAGATTGCACCCACTGCACTCCAGCCTGGGCAAGAGAGCAAGACTCTGTCTCAAAAAAAAAAAAAAAGTGTGTGGTATGTCATGTCCCCGCCCATGGTCCTCTTCCTGCCATGTAAGACACCTGCTTCTGCTTTGCCTTCCGGGGTAAAAGCTCCCTAAGGCATCCCCAGAAGCAGATGCTGCCATGCTTCCTGTACAGCCTGCAGAACCCTGAGCCAATTAAACCTCTTTTCTTGGCCAGGTGTGGTGGCTCATGCCTGTAATCCCAGCACTTTGGGAGGCCGAAGCAGGCAGATCACCCGAGGTCAGGAGTTCGAGACCAGCCTAGCCAACATAGTGAAACCCCATCTCTACTAAAAAATACAAAAATTAGCTGGGCGTGGTGGCACACGCCTGTAGTCCCAGCTACTTGGGAGGCTGAGGCAGGAGAATGGCTTGAACCCAAGAGGCAGAGGTTGCAGTGAGCCGAGATCACACCATTGCACTCCAGCCTGGGTGATAAGAGTGAGACTCCATCTCCAAAAAAAACAATAAATAAAATAAACTCTTTCTTTATAAATTACCCAGTCTCAGGTATTTCTTTATAGCAGTGCAAGAACAGACAAATACACTGTGTTTATTGTCAGGAAAATATAACAGGGAAAAGTTAGGAAGTCAGCTCCTTGAGAGCAGAAGATTTGTCTGTTTTATTCCCTGCTGTGTGCTCGGCACCCATAATGCCTGTTGTTATTGTATAAATAAAAGAACAGGAACGGGCTGGGTGTGGTGGCTCACGCCTGTAATCCCAGCACTTTGGGAGGCCGAGGTGGGTGGATCACGAGGTCAGGAGATCGAGATCATCCTGGCTAACACGGTGAAACCCCGTCTCTACTAAAAATACAAAAAAATTAGCGGGGCGTGGTGGCGGGTACCTGTAGTCCCAGCTACTCGGGAGGCTGAGGCAGGAGAATGGCGTGAACCCGGGAGGCAGAGCTTGCAGTGAGCCGAGATAGCGCCACTGCACTCTAGCCGGGGCGACAGAGCGAGACTTCGTCTCAAAAACAAACAAACAAAAAAAAAGAGTGGGAACGAAGAGATGATAGCATTGTTAACTAAAAGACTTGAATACAAACCTGAATACTACTCCTGCTCCTAGTATTACCATTAATTATAAAGGCTGCAGTATATATACGTGTGTGTGTGAGTATATATATATATATATATATATGTGTGTGTGTGTGTGTGTGTGTGTATATATATGTGTGTGTGTGTGTGTGTGTGTGTGTATATATACATTTTTTTCTCACTTTGTTGCCCAGGCTGGAGTGCAGTGGCACAATCCCAGCTCACTGCAACTGCCGCCTCCTGGGTTCAAGCAATTCTTCTGCCTCAGCCTCCCGAGTAGCTGGGATTACAGGCATGTGCCACCACACCCAGGTAATTTTTTGTATTTTTAGTAGAGACAGGGTTTCACCGTATTGGCCAGTCTGGTCTCAAACTCCTGACCTACAGTAATCCACCCACCTCGGCCTCCCAAAGTGCTGGGATGACAGATGTGAGCCACCACGCCTGGCCAACGCTACAGTATGTTAAGGAGAGCTAGCATTATGCTGGGCGCTGTTCTGCATGCTTCTCTTGTATTGCATTCTTTTTTTTTTTTTTTTTTTTTTTTGAGATGGAGTCTCGCTCTGTCACCCAGGCTGGAGTGCCGTGGCGCGATCTCGGCTCACTGCAAGCTCCGCCTCCCGGGTTCATGCCTTTCTCCTGCTTCAGCCTCCTGAGTAGCTGGGACTATAGGCGCCCGCCACCACGCCCCACTACTTCTTTTGTATTTTTAGTAGAGACGGGGTTTCACCGTGTTAGCCAGGATGGTCGCGATCTCCTGACCTCGTGATCCACCTGCCTCGGCCTCCCAAAGTGCTGGGATTACAGGCGTGAGCCACCGTGCCCGGCCTTGTATCACATTCTTTAATGTTCATGTCAGCCCAGTGAGGGAGGTTTCATTCTACCCATTTTATACATGTGGAAACCTCCACTCACAGAATTCAAGTTCATTTTCCAAGATCCCACCATTGACCTATGGCCTCCAGCTCCAGGAAGTTTCTCAAGCTACCCTCTTTCTTCTGCCCCATCTTGCCCGGAAAGGACATAAACTTCGGTGTCAGACAGAACTGGGTTCAAAATCAGACTTCCTGGCTCTGCAACTCAGTCCTTGGCACTTTGTTTACTGTAAAGCTGGGAAATAACCTCCACCTATTTCTCAGCGTCTTGAGGATTAGATCAGACAGGTAAACTCTTCACAGAAGTGCCTGCCACATAGTGGATGCTCAAAAATGTCAGTTCCCAGCTGGGAGCAGTGGCTGATGCCTGTAATCCCAGCACTTTGGGAAGCTGAGTCGGGCAGATCACTTGAGGCTAGGAGTTCAACACCAGCCAGGCAACAAAGCAAGACCCTGTCTCTACCAAAAAAATAAAAAAATAAAAAATAAAATTAGCGAGGCGGCAGAGATGGAAGAATTGCTTGAGCCCAGGAGTTCTGGCTGCAGTAAGTCATGATAGCGCCATTGCACTCCAGCCTGGGCTACAGAGCAAGACCTAATCTCAAAAAAAAAAAAAAAAAAAAAAGAGTCAGCTGCCTTTGCTCTTTGTTAGGACAATGACTAGGACAAGTTTCACTGGGTCCAAGGTTTCCTTTCTGCCTGCTGGGGGCAGGGTGCACTGAGGCAGCCCTCTTGCCTGGGGAAGCAGGTGTGTTTGTGTCTTTGCAGTTGGGAGCACTCTCACCTGGGCTGGAAAACTTTCGTGACCTTTTCCCCCCACAGCTTTCTCTTTTTGACCCTGTCCACTTACCTTGGTTGGAAACAACCCCATGCCTCTTCAACTGCTTTACCCTTGAGCCATAGAGTTCTGCTGAGACTCATTCTGCCTCCACCCTCCCATTCCAAGCTCCCTAGTTCCAGACACTGCCCCAGAACAAACAGAGAAATTTGAACAGAAAGCAATGCCCAGCAAACCATAAAACTACCTGTGGTCTTGGCACTGGCATTCGAGTAAGCGCAGAGAATGATGTAAATGGGAAAAGTCCTGATGAGTTTTGCAGGAATCTTAAAATGTTAAGAATGTAATAAATTTGATGTTGCCAGAAAACAGACAAGAGTAGGGTAGGGGAGGTAGGGGGTTTGGGGGGACACGGGGCGGGGCCGGGGGTTGTGGGAAAAGTAACTGGGTAATATGTTAGAGGTTCCGAATTAGTCATCCGGTTCTTTGAATTAAGCAAGAAAAACCAACCCTGGCAAACGTAAGAGGGAAAATGAATTTACTTTTAAAAATTTATTATTATTTTATTTAGCCAAGTGAGACTCAAGGGGAAATGAATTTATGTGCGGCATATTGGGTAACTTGTAGAATCCAAGAGTAGAAACTTCCTCTTCCAGCACCACATGGCATTACTAGGTAGCATTTCTTCCCACATGCACCTCGATAGGCTCAGTATGACCGCTAGGCATCTTTTAAAATTCATATATGGCACTTTAGGAGGCTGTGGCGGGTGGATTACTTTAGGTCAGGAATTCGAGACCAGCCTGGCCAATATGGTGAAACCCCGTTCCTACTAAAAATACAAAATTTAGCCAGGCATGGCGGTGGGCACCTGTAATCCCAGCTACTCGGGAGGCTGAGGCAGGAGAATCTCTTGAACCCAGAAGCGGAGGTTGCAGTGAGCTGAGATAGTGCCATTGCACTACAGCCTGGCGACAGAGTGAGACTTTGTCTCAAAAAAATACATAAAAATAAAAATAAAATTCATATACGTGCACATATGTCCAAATTAAGGGACATTCTACAAAATGCCTGACTAGTATTCCTCATATTGTCAAGGTCATTGAAAATAAGGAAGGGGCTGGGCACAGTGGCTCACACCTGTAATCCCAGCACTTTGGGAGGCCGAGGTGGGTGGATCACGAGGTCAGGAGATCAAGACCATCCTGGCCAACATGGTGAAACCCCATCTCTACTAAAAATAAAAAATTAGCTGGTCGTGGTAGCGTGTGCTTGTAGTCCCAGCTACTCAGGAGGCTGAGGCAGGAGAATTGCTTGAACCTGGGAGGCGGAGGTTGCTGAGATGGCACTGTTGCACTCCAGCCTGGTGACAGAGTGAGACTCTGTCTCAAAAAAAAAGAAAAAGAAAATAAGGAAGTTTCGAGAAACTGTCACAGACTAGGGAAAGTAAGGAGACCTGATGACTAAATGTATGGTGGGATCTTGGAACAGAAAAAGGACATTTGTGGAAAAACTAGTGGAATCTGAATGCAGTCTGGGGATTAGCTCATGGTGATGTACCCATGTTGGTTTCTCAGTTTTGACAAATGGTCCAAGATGTCAACACAATACACGGAACTCTCTGTACTATCTTTGCCACTTTTCTGTAAATCTAAAATTATTCCTCCAAAGAGTGTCCTTAAAAATTTTATAAATCTGCTCACAAGAAGGTAAGGGAAATCCACAAAAGCCCCAAAGGAAGTCAAGGCAAAACCCCAAATAGCAAGTGATTCCCCAGCGAATGAGGAACAGGAGCCCAGGTCTGAGTTACTGCTAAGATTCTTGCCTAAAGCAGGAACCCTCAAGGGCCTATACCCTCAGAAATTCACAGCACTGAAAATTCCCAAGTCTTGTCAAAGGTCCTGACAAAAAAAACTTGTCAATTTAGGCTTTGATTTGGTGTAAAAAATGGAATCTCCCCTGAGAATTCTTAAACTCATAAACACGAGCAGAGTTTATTGTATTGTTTTTGTTTTGTTTTGAGACAGGGTCTCACTCTGTTGTCCAGGCTGGAGTGCAGTAGTGCAATCACTGCTTACTGCAGCATTGACCTCCTGGGCTCAAGTGATCCTCCCATGTCAGCCTCCCAAGTAGCTGAGACCACAGGCATGTACCACCACAGCTGGATTTATTTTTTAATTTTTTGTAGAGACAGGGTCTCCCTTTGTTGCCCAGACTGGCTTCAAAATCCTGGTCTCAAGCAATCTTCCTACCTTAGCCTCCCAAACTGCTGGGATTACAGGCAACAGCCTGTTTAAAAAATCCTGATTTAGAACTTTAATTTATAGTATCTGTTGTGGCCTGAATTATGTCCCTCCTCCAAATTCATATGTCGAATCCTTAACACCCAGTACCTCAAAATGTGACTGGATTTACAGACAGGGTCTTCAAAGAGATAATGAGGTTGAGGTTACAATGAGGCTGTTAGGGTGGGCCCCAATCCAATCTGACTGCTGTCCCTATAAAAAGAGCAGATTTGGCCAGCCGCGATGGCTCACGCCTGTAATCCCAGCACTTTGGGAGGCTGAGGGGGGCAGATCACGAGGTCAGGAGTTTGAGACCAGCCTGACCAACACAGTGAAATCCTGTCTCTACTAAAAATGCAAAAATTAGCCAGGTGTAGTAGCGTGCACCTGTAATCCCAGCTACTGAGGAGGCTGATGCAGGAGAATTCCTTGAACCCGGGAGGTAGAGGCTGCTGTGAGCTGAGATCGCACCATTGCACTCCAGTCTGGGTGACAGAGAGAGACTCCATCTCAGGGAAAAAAAAAGAGGGGGGGGGGATTCGGACACACAAAGAGACATGACAGATACTCACACACCAGAGGCCATATAAGGATGTAGTGAGAAGGTGCACAGTGAGAGTGCAAGCCCCTGAGAGAGGCCGCAGGAGAAACTAACCCCACCAACTGCTTGATCTTGGACTTCCAACCTCCACAACTATGAGAAAATAAATGTCTATTGTTTATGCCATCCAGTCTGTGGTATTTTGTCATGACAGTCCCAGCAAACTAAATATACTGCCCAAATGTCAAATGTCCCAGGAAAACCCATGCAAAAAAAAAAAAAAAACAATAATTTTAAGCACATACCCATACGTAGAGCCCTTTTAGGGCAAACTCTCTGGGGAAGAATTCACCCTCATCCCAATGGCCTGGGGATTCTGAGAGGCATGAACACACAATAAAACAGAAAACCCTAACATCGGGGCTTAAATAGCAGAAGCTTATTCTTCTCTCATTAAAGTAAGGTACTGAGCCAGCAAGGGTGGGTGCAGGGGCTTCACAGCTCTTGGGATTTCTGGGTCCTTTATTTTCTATGAAGCTTATTGGAATGGGTTTAAGAGACATCGGGAGAAGAGGACTGAAGGGCATTAAGCGCAGACTTGCTAGGAGTTGGTTAGAAAGGAAACTAGTGAAATGGGGAAATACCTGGAGAGAAAAGTAAAGACAAAAGAAAGGTTCTATTTTAAGAAGGAGAGGCTGGGTGCAGGGTCTCACGCCTGTAATCCCAGCACTTTGGGAGGCTGAGGCAGGAGGATAAGTTGAGGTCAGGAGTTCAAGACAAGCCTGGCCAACGTGGTGAAACCCCATCTCTACTAAAAAATACAAAAATTAGCCGGGCGTGTTGATGCGCACCTGTAGTCCCAGCTACTTGGGAGGCTGAGGCACGAGAATCAATAGAACTGGGAGGTGGAGGTTGCAGTGAGCTGAGATCACGCCACTGCACTCCAGTCTGGGCAACAGAGTGAGACTCTGTCTCAAAAATAAAATAAAATACAATTTTATTATTTCAAAGAAGGAGAACCCATCCATGCTTGGGTGCTTATGGGAATGGACTAGTTGAAAGGCGAAAGTTGGTAGAGAGGAGAAAAGCATGGCCAGAGGGATGCCTTTGAGTTGTCAAGAAGGGGAGATTTGGTATCCAGATTGCAGTGTGTGACCTGACTGTGTTAGAGGACCTCAGAGAGGCAAAGAGCACCCCTAGCTTTGGAGGTGGTGAGAGGTGAAGCCAGCTGGACTTCCCGGGTCTAGTGGGGGCTTGGAGAACTTTTCTGTCCAGCTAAAGGATTGTAAATGCACCAATCAGCACTCTGTGTCTAGCTAAAGGATTGTAAATGCACCAATCAGCACTCTGTAAAATGGACCAGTCAGTGCTCTGTAAAATGGCCCAATCAGTACTCTGTAAAATGGACCAATCAGGAGGATGTGGGCGGGGCCAAATGAGGGAATAAAAGTTGGCCACCAGCGCCAGCACCCGCAAGCGGTTCAGGTTCCTTTTCCACACTGTGGAAGCTTTAGTCTTTCACTCCTCACAGTAAGTCTTGCTGCTGTTCACTCTTTGGGTCCACAGCACCTTTAAAAGTTGTAACACGTGCTGAGGAGGTCGGCTTCACTCTTGAAGTCAGCGAGACCACCAACCCACCAGAAGGAAGAAACTCCAGACACAGTGGCACTGGGTGGAAATTGAACAAGGAGCTCTCCTGACTTAAGTCTGAGGCCCTCTCCCTGGTACAGTTGCTTCGAGGGCCTAGGCGGGGCCTTAGCAATGTGTTCCTATGGTTTTGAAAGTGTTTCATGAGCTGTTTTCATTGTAATAGATGCACCTTAAGATTCAGCTTTCCAATGTTAGCTGTGTTACGCTCCCCCCTGCATTCTGGGGGCATTGGAGTAGGCGGGAGGATTCTTGAGACCTGAGTAAGGGGAAGTTTAGTGGTATATTAGTCAGGGTTTTCCAGAGATACAGAACCAACAGGATGTGTATATATAGAAAGAGATTTGGTTTAAGGAATTGGCTCACACAATTGCGGAGGCTTGCTTAGTCCAAAATCTGCAGGGTAGGCCAGCAGGCTGGAGACCAGGGAAGAGTTGTAGTTCAAATGCTGGCAGAATTCCTTCCTCTTAAAGGGAAGTCAGTTTTTGTTCTAGTAAGGCCTTCAACTGATTGGATGAGGCCCTTTTCCATTATGGAAGGCAATCTGATTTGCCAAAGTCCACTAATTTAAATGCAAATCTCATCCAAAGACACCCTCATAGGCACATCCAGAATAATGTTTGACCAAATATCTGGTGGCCCAGCCAAGTGACATATAAAATTAGCCATCAAGGCCAGGCGTGGTGGCTCACGCCTGTAATCCCAGCACTTTGGGAGACCAAGGCCGTTGGATCACTTGCATCTAGGAGTTTGAGACCAGCCTGGCAACATAGTGAGACTCTGTCTTTACAAAAAATAAAAAATTAGCTGAGTGTCATGGTGTGCATCTGTAGTCTTAGCTACTCAGGAGGCTGAGGCAGGAGGATCACTGGAGCCTGGGAGGTCCAGGCTGCAGTGAGTCGTGATCACTCCACTACACTCAGCCTGGGCAGCAGAGTAAGACCCTGTCTCAAAAAAAAAAATTAGCCATCATTCATAGGATATATTTTTGTGCTTTGGAGTGTTTTGTTTTTGTATTTATTTATTTATTTATTTATTTATTTATTTGAGACAGAGTCTTGCTCTGTCACCCAAGCTGGAGTGCAATGGCGCAATCTCGGCTTACTGCAACCTCTGCCTCCCGGATTCAAGGGATTCTTCTGCCTCAGCCTCTGGAGTAGCTGGGATTACAGGTGCGCACCACCACGCCTGGCTAATTTTTTTTTTTTTTAATTTGTAGTAGAGACAGGGTTTTACCATATTGGCCAGGCTGGTCTCAAACTCCTGACCTCGTGATCCACCTGCCTCGGCCTCCCAAAGTGCTGGGATTACAGGTGTGAGCCACCGCACCCGGCCATGTATTTTTTTTGAAACAGAGTCTTGGCCTGTCACGCAGGCTGAAGTGCAGTGGCATGATCATGGCTCACTTCAGCCTGAACCTCCCAGGCTCAGACAATCCTCCTGCCTCAGCTTCCTGAGTAGCTGAGACCTCAGGTACATGCCACCATGCCCAGTTAATTTTTAAATTATGTATAGAAATGAGGTCTCCCTATGTTGCCTAGGCTGGCCACGAACTCCTGGGCTCAAGTGATCCTCCTGCCTTGGCCTCCCAAAGGGCTAGGATTGCAAACATGAGCCACTGCACCAAGCCATTTGTGTTTAAATGAATGCTAGCTGTCTGGGGGTAGTGCTGCAGTGAACATTCCTGCCTAGTGCATGGCTGACTCTACCAGGAAGGAGACCTGGAGACACATGGCCAGAGATCTTATTACAAAATATCTATTATATGAGCCCGAGAGGTTGAAGCTGCAGTGAGCCCTGATTGCGCCACTGAACTCTAGCTTGGGCGACAGAGTGAGACCTTGTCTCAAAAAGAAAAGAAGGCCGGTGCGGTGGCTCACACCTGTAATCCCAGCACTTTGGGAGGCAGAGGTGGACTGATCATGAGGTCAAGAGATCGAGACCATCCTGGCCAACATGGTGAAACCTCATCTCTACTAAAAATACAGAAATTAGCTGGGCATGGTGGCGGGTGCCTGTATCCCAGCTACTGGGGAGGCTGAGGCAGGAGAATTGCTTGAACCCAGGAGGCAGAGGTTGCAGTGAGCCAAGATCGTGCCACTGCACTCCAGCCAGGGAACAGAGTGAGACTCTGTCTCAAAAAAAAAAAGTAAAGAAAAAGTAAAAAGAAATGTCTGATAAGAGGGAAAAATGAAGCAGGCAAATAAATAGGTAAATTAGGCCGGGTGCGGTGGCTCACGCCTGTAATCCCAGCACTTTGAGAGGCCGAGGCGGGCAGATCACGAGGTCAGGAGATCGAGACCATCCTGGCTAACACAGTGAAACCCCATCTCTACTAAAAAATAAAAAATAAAAAAATTAGCCGGGCGTGGTGGCGGGCCCCTGTAGTCCCAGCTACTTGGGAGGCTGAGGCAGGAGAATGGCGTAAACCCAGAAGGCAGAGCTTGCAGTGAGCCGAGATCGCGCCACTGCACTCCAGCCTGGGTGACAGAGCGAGACTCCGTCTCAAAAAAAAAAAAAAAAAAAGATAATAAATAAAAGAAAAAAATAATAAAAAGAAATGTCTGTGACCTGTGCTGCCCAGCACTGGCAACAGAGGAGAAACTAGGTTTGAAATAAAGCAAAATAAAGTTCTTCCAAATCTGGCAGTTCATATATAAAAGAAATTTAAATGAAGTCTGCCCAAATTTGCTAACGATCTTAAAAATGCACATGACATTACCATTTATACTTTGTGAAGTAGAGAGAAACGCTTTTACACTATCAATAATAAAAATCAAATGTCTTTTCATCATGCTAGAGGAAAGACTGAATTATCATTCTATTCTCTCTGCAGAAGATGTTATTTATCACAGAACAAGCTATCTTTCGAAGAAATGATTAAGGAGTATGCAGCCCCAAAAATGTAGGAAAACATTATTATAGATGAGTGTTCATTAACAGCAAGCTTTTTAAAATTCGTAATTTGTGATTTCTTTATTCATTGTACATGATACTCATCTTTATCTAATTTTGTATTTGTAATTGTGTATGACTTTCCATAGAGTCCCCCAAATTGCATGGGGGATTGTGGGCCCCACAAAACCGGGATGCACCCTGCATTGGGCTGGTGGGAAGACTCCAATGCAGAAGGAGAGAAACTAGCAGGAGTCATGGAAGCGAGAGAGAGGGATATTTCAAGGGATAATAGTATCTCTGGCTGAAGGGAATGTGCTGGGACTTTAATTTTTCATTTTTCATTTTTTTATTTTTGTCTTACTCTGTCACCCAGGCTTGAGTGCAGTGGCACAATCACAGCTCACTGCAGCCTCAACTTCCCAGGCTCAGGTAATCCTCCTACCTCAGCCTCCTGAGTAGCTGGAACTACAGGTACGTGCCACCACGCCCGGCTAATTTTTGTATTTTTTGTAGAGACAGGGTTTCACCATGTTGCCCACACTGGTCTCGAACTCCTGGACTGAAGCAATCCACCAGCCTCGGCCTCCCAAAGTGCTAGGATTATAGGCATCAGGCACTGCACTTGACCACGTGATGGAACTTTATACGAAACCCTTCAGATCCACTCTCCTCACAGACAGTGCTGCCAAAATCTCAAATCTGCTTTGAGGGAGCGCTTTCAGGGAGTTATAAACAGCTCCAGCTCATGAAAACTTAGGATTTTATATGCAGTCCATCTGCATCAATATCACTAGGGATGGAGTTGCCAGATTTAGCAAATAAAGATTTAGAACGTCCAGTTAAATTTGAATTTCAGATACACAACGAATAACATTTTAGGATAAGTATGTCTTATGCAATATTAGTATCAAATCTGGCAATGGTACCTGGGAGTTTCTTTTTTTTTTTTTTTTGAGACAGAGTCTTGCTCTGTCGCCCAGGCTGGAGTGTAGTGGCGCGATCTCGGCTCATTGCAAGCTTCGCCTCCCGGGTTCAAGCAATTCTCCTGCCTCAGCCTCCTGAGTAGCTGGGATTACAGGCGCCCGCCACCACGCCCAGCTAATTTTTGTATTTTTAGTAGAGACGGGGTTTCACCATGTTGGTCAGGCTGGTCTCGAGCCCCTGACCTTGTGATCCACCGCCTCGGCCTCCCAAAGTGCTAGGATTACAGGCATGAACCACTGCGCCTGGCAGGGAGTTTCTTAAAAATATCTTCCAGCAAGTAACTCAGGTAATTTGTATGCACGTTAAAGTAAGTGAACTTGCTCTAGGCTTGAGAAAGTGTTATTTTAGGCACTTAAGTCACTGTTCAAAAAGAATCCTGTGAACTATCAAAACTGATCTCTCCATATTTATTTTGAATTCATGTCCAAAAACTGTTGCATATACTTTATTTTTTATTTTTTTATTAAAAAAAAATAGAGGTCCAGGAGCAGTGGCTCATACCTGTAATCCCAGCCTTTGGGAGGCGGAGGCAGGTCAGGAGTTCGAGACCAGCCTGGCCAACGTGGTGACACCCTGTCTCTACTAAAAATACAAAAATTAGGCAGGCGTGGTGGCGGACACCTGTAATCCCAGCTACTCGGGAGACTGAGGCAGGAGAATCGCTTGAACCCAGGAGGTGGGGTTGCAGTAAGCTGAGATTGTGCCACTGCACTCCTGCCTGGATGACAGAGCAAGACCCTGTCTTGAAAAAAAAAAAAAAAGTAGAGACAGGGTCTTCCCTGTCTCTATTGTTGCCCAGTATGTTGCCCAGACTGGCCTCAAACTCCTGGCCTCAAGCAAGCCTTCCGCCTCGGCCTCTCAAAGTGCTGGGATTATAGGCATGAGCCACCACACCTGGCCACATACACTCTATAACCAAAACAATGAAATGTTTAACTTGTGGCTCCTTTTGCCTCCCAAGCAGAATGAGGTAGTAGATTAGAGCGAATTGCCGATGAGGCCCTGAAGTAAAGTGATTGTGACCAAAAGATGTGACCCAACAGGCTAGGTGGTGTTGCCCTAATTCTCAACTCACTTCTTATAGCCTAACTGGTGGTTGTGATACTGGGCGTGAGCCGCCACTGAATGACAACAGAACAGCATCCAGGGCCAGCTCCCTGGCCATGTTGCCTGTGCACAGGCCCGGTTCACAAGGGCCTCACGCTTGAATTTCTTCAGAATTTTATCTTTGAACCTGGATTTTGCAAGTGAAGTCCGATAGGACGATGGAGCATGTGAGCAGAGAAGAAATGCATGATTTGTGTGTATTCAGCCATCCTTGCACGTAGCGTTCATGATGCCTGCTGAGCACAGAATTCTGGTGGACAAGTTCAGTGAGACTCAAAGTGAATACAAGGTTAATGTATTATGCCTACAGCTAAGGGGTGCGGGGGTCTGCTGATGGCCTCAAGAGGCCACACTTCCATTCAAATCAAGGCTGCTTCAAATGCCTAAAGAAATGTCATTCCATGTTGGAAACAGGACAAACCAAGGAGCTCTATCTAGCCTTTCTTATTCATGTTACCGCTCTGTATGAGCCAACCACAGTACCTGTGCTGAAAATGAGGATGTAGAAAGAAAGGGAAAGATGGGGCAGTGCAGGATTCTTTTTCCTTCAGGTCCTTCTTTCCTCATTAGGAAGGTATGGAGTTGTGGTAAAATCTTCCTGCATCAACACATGAAATTAAAAGGGTTGAGTGAGTTTTGTACCGCACTTCTACTGCTCCGTTTTGATATGGTTTGGCTGCGTCCCCACCCAAATCTCATATTGAATTGTAGCTCCCATAATTCCCATGTGTTGTGGGAGGGACCTGGTGGGAGATAATTGAATCATGGGGGCTGTTTCCCCCATACTGTTCTTGTGGTAGTGAATAAGTCTCAAGAGATTTAATTTTATAACAGGGGAAACCCGTTTGCTTGGCTCTCATTCTCTCTTGTCTGCTGCCACGTAAGACGTCCTTTTCACCTTCTGCCATGATTTCGAGGCCTCCCCAGCCACGTGGAACTATGAGTCCATTAAACCTCTTTTTCCTTATAAATTACCCAGTCTCAGGGATGTCTTTATCAGTAGCATGGAAACAAACTAATATGCTTTTCATTAAAAAAAATTTTTAATTACTTTTTAGAAATAGCATCTCACTGTCACCCAGGCTGGAGTGCAGTGGTATGCTCATAGCTCACTGCAGCCTTGAATTCCTGGACATAAATGATCTTCCTGCCTCAGCCTCCCTGGTAGCTGGGACTACAGGCAGACACCACTATGCCTGGTTAATTTTTAAATTTTTTGTAGAGATAAAATTTCCCTGTGTTCTTGCTCAGGCAAGTTTTAAACTCCTGGCCTCAAGCAATCTTTCCACCTCAGCCTCCCAAAGCCGTGAGATTACAAGGGTGAGCCACCGCCCCGAGCCCTTCATAGTTCTTGTAAGGACAGAACAAAATACACATGATCCGTGCACAATGAAGTGTGTAATTTGGTGATTCTGCGTGAGTTAAATGCTCTAACATTTCCCTTCCCGTGTAATTTGGTGATTCTGCGTGAGTTAAATGCTCTAACATTTCCCTTCCCCTCCCTTCCCTTCCCTTCCCTCCCCTCCCCTCCCCTCCCCTCCCCTCCCCTCCCCTCCCCTTCACTTTCTCCACCTTCCAGGTTCAAGCGATTCTCCTGCCTCTGCCTCCCGAGTAGCTAGGATTATAGGGGCCCACCACCACGCCCAGCTAATTTTTGTATTTTTACTAGAGACAGGCTTTCACCACGTTGGCCAGGCTGGTCTCGAACTCCTGACCTCAGGTGATCTGGCCACCTTGGCCTCCCGAAGTGTTGGGATTACAGGCGTGAGCCACGACATTTTCATTTAAAATGGGCATTGTGCGATATAATATGAATGTTGAGGCCGAGCGTGGTGGAGGTTGCAGTGAGCCAAGATCGCGCCATTGCACTCCAGCCTGGTGACAGAGCAAGACTCACACTGTCTCTAAATAAATAAATAAAATGGTGAAATTAATTTTTTTTTTTAATGAGATGGAGTCTCGCTCTGTCGCACAGGCTGGAGTGCAGTGGCATGATCTCGGCTCACTGCAAGCTCCGCCTCCTGGGTTCATGCCATTCTCCTGCCTCAGCCTCCCTAATTTAAAATTTTAATTTTTTGTTTAGCTTGGAATGACATTAAAGAGCAAATAAAAAACATTATGACAAGTGAAGGGACAGAGTACAGAAGAAAGGAAAAAGCTTTTTCTTGAGTTCTTTTAATGGTACTTCCCCCACTGCATATGGAACAAGAGGTCAGGCATCTTCATTTTGCACCAGGTCCCATAAATTATGTAGCCAGCCCTGACAGCGCCCTTAGTGGTTTTATGTGCAATTAGGGTAGTGGGGGAGGGCTGAGGTAGATTTTGAAGTGTCACAGTGTTATTTTAGGAAGGGAGGAGCCGACTGAGATTTCGTGAAGGAATGCACTTCAGAAAATGAGTGCAAAGATGAAAGTGCCGGGGCACTCAGCCTTTCATTATGCCCTGACTCCTCATTCTGCCACCCAAATGAATGACAGATATCCTCTACCAAAAAACTCTAAAAGATAGATGTGTAGGCCATGTTGGATGACTTCTTCAGTAAATATAATATGTCACATAAGTACAATTAAAGAATTAGAGATGAAAACAATAATGATTTTATATCATTGATATTGTTAGATAGGAAAGATTATATATATTTTTTTCATCCAAAAAGTCAGCATAAACTTTAGTCTGAAGGATATTGAAGAGGACTTTATTTTGATTAACTGATCAATAAAATAAAAATAAACTCGATTATCATACCCCATCCTTTTAGATTTTTTAACGTAAATATTTTATGAAAGTTTAAGTAAGTCTACAACTATCAGAAATAATAGTCTTGCTGTCCTTTGGGGAATTTTAAAAGTTTGTTTTCTTTAAAGGTACTCTAAAGTACTCTAAAAGTAATATCAGAAGATCTTGGATTAGTGACTTTGAAGGGTTTTTTTCTTTTCCCCTCTTCCTTTTGGAATTCTAAATATGTCCTTACACAGAAGACTTGGAATCCCTAGACAGAGAAAACAAAAAGAAATGGTGAGATTTCCTGGGCTTCTCTGATGATCTGCTGCTCCTAATCTATCAATTAAGATAGCCAGGTGACACTAAAGAAAGTAATCAAAAAGTGTCTGGTATTTGCAACCTAAGTCATGTTGAATCAATGCCATTTGTTAGGGAGAAAATTGCAAAGGCATGCAAACTCACATTTTAAAGGAATTTGTAGCCAAAGTCTCCAAGCACTAAGCAACATCTGGAGTATACTGAGCTCTTCATCATTTCGTTTATCTCATGTAAAAGTTTGACAAGAGATAGATGATCCTTTTTAATGTACTCTTGACCACCAAAATAATTTATTGATTATCTAGCTCCATACTCTACAATACAAGGGAAAATCGAAAATCTTACATAACATTAAAGACGTTTGCTGAACACTTACTTCATTTTGTGCAATTTACCTGGATTATCTTTTTTTTTTTTTTTTGAGACAGAGTCTT
The DNA here is from genome assembly GCF_000001405.40 of Homo sapiens. Taxonomy (NCBI): domain Eukaryota; kingdom Metazoa; phylum Chordata; class Mammalia; order Primates; family Hominidae; genus Homo; species Homo sapiens. Next base: position 16,966,195 of record NC_000005.10, read on the forward strand.
GCTCTGTCGCCCAAGATAGAGTGCAGTGGTGTGATCTCTGCTTACTGCAACCTCTGCCTTCCAGGTTCAAGTGATTCTCCTGTCTCAGCCTCCCTAGTAGCTGGGATTACAGGCGCTCACCACCACATATAGCTAATTCTTGTATTTTTAGTAGAGATGGGGTTTGACCATGTTGGCCAGGCTGGTCTCGAACTCTTGACCTCGTGATCCACCCACCTCAGCCTCCCAAAGTGCTGGGATTACAGGTGTGAGCCACCGCGCCTGGCAATTTTTTTTTTTTTTTTTTTGAGACAGAGTCTCGCTCTGTTGCCCAGGCTGGAGTGCAATGGCTCAATCTCGGCTCACTGCAACCTCTGCCTCCCGGGTTCAAGCGATTCTTCTGCCTCAGACTCCTGAGTAGCTGGGAATACAGGCAACCACCACCATGCCCGGCTAATTTTTTTTGTATTTTTAGTAGAGATGGGGTTTCGCCGTGTTGGCCAGGCTGGTCTCAAACGCCTGACCTCGTGATCCACCCGCTTTGGCATCCTAAAGCGCTGGGATTACAGGCGTGAGCCACCGAGCCCGGCTACAATTTACCTAGATTATCTACTTTAATCCTCCTCAAAACACTATGAGGGAGGTCCTATTGTTATTCCATAAGAAATCCAAGTGTTAGACTTTGGGCAATTTGTCTAAGCTCACAAAACTTGTAAGTGATAAAGACAGAATTTAGTATACAACTCCCCTCTGCTAAATTTAATTGGCTTAAAAAAAAAGTCAGAATTTAAATTTTGGTACGTTGGTTCTAGAATTCATTGAACTTAATTACTATGCCACACTTGCTCCTCAGAGTGTACTAAAATAATAATTCTCTTAGCTACTATATAAAGATTAGAAAAAGAGGCTTCTGGCTAGGTGCAGTGGCTCACACCTGTAACCCCAGTGCTTTGGGAGGCTGAGGTGGAGGATTGCCTGAGCTGAGGAGTTGGAGACCAGGCTGGGCAACAGGGCAAGACCCCATCTCTATAAAGAGTCTTTTGCATCAACACTTCTCTCCTCAAGGACGATTATGCTTGAGTACTTTCTTTTTTTTCTTTTTCTTTTTCTTTTCTTTCTTTTTTTTTTTTGTTGCCCAGACTGGAGTGCAATGGCAGGATTGCGGCTCACCATAACCTCTGCCTCTCGGGTTCCAGTGATTCTCTGGCCTCAGCCTCTCAAGTAGCTGGGATTACAGGCGCACACCACCAGTCCCAGCTAATCTAGTATTTTTAGTAGAGACGGGTTTTCACCATGTTGGTCAGGCTGGTCTTGAACTCCCGACCTCAAGTGATCTACTCGCCTCGGCCTCCAAAAGTGTTAGGATTACAGCCATGAGCCACCGCACTCGGCCATGCTTGGGTACTTTCTATGTTATTATTTTGAAAGGCAGTGTAGTAGAAGGGAAATATAGTAAGGTCTGATAAATCCAATGTCATTTGCCTCTGCTCAGGATTTATTTTTTTTTATTTTTTTTTTTTGAGACGGAGTTTCGCTCTGTCGCCCAGGCTGGAGTGCAGTGGCGCAATCTCGGCTCACTGCAAGCTCCGCCTCCCGGGTTCACGCCATTCTCCTGCCTCAGCCTCCCGCGTAGCTGGGACTACAGGCGCGCGCCACCATGCCCGGCTAATTTTTGTATTTTTAGTAGAGACGGGGTTTCACCGTGTTAGCCAGGATGGTCTCGATCTCCTGACCTCGTGATCCGCCCGTCTCGGCCTCCCAAAGTGCTGGGATTACAGGCGTGAGCCACCGCGCCCGGCCAGGATTTTTTTTTAACTCAAGCCAAAACCATCGGAAAGAACTAGAAGAGAACGTAATTTCACTTTGCTGCCTTAAGTCTTATGAAATGGTCTTTCTTGGCCAGGCGCGATGGCTCACGCTTGTAATCCCAGCACTTTGGGAGGCCAAGGCGGGTGGATCATGAGGTCAGGAGATCAGGACCATCCTGGCTAACACAGTGAAACCCCGTCTCTACTAAAAATACAAAAAAAAAAAAAAAAAATCAGCCAGGCGTGGTGGCTCCTGTAGTCCCAGCTACTCCGGAGGCTGAGGCAGGAGAATGGCGTGAACCCAGGAGGCGGAGCTTGCAGTAAACTGAGATCGTGCCACTGCACTCCAGCCTGGGTGACAGAGTGAGATTACGTCTCAAAAAAAAAAATGGTCTTTCTTTTTTTTGAGACAGGGTCTTCCTCTGTCACCCCAGCGCTGGTGTGTAGTGGCACGATCTTAGCTCATTGCCACCTCTGCCTTCCAGGTTCAAGTAATTCTCATGTCTCAGTTACCTGTGTGGCTGGGATTATGGGTGTGCAACACCATGCCCATCTAATTTTTGTATTTTTAGCAGAGACTGGGTTTCACCATGTTGCCCCAGTTAGTCCGGAACTCATGGCCTCATGCGAGCCGCCCATCTCGGCCTCCCAAAGTGCTGGGATTGTAGGTGTCAGCTACTGCACCTTGCCTGGAAATGTCTTATAACACCTGAGGGTTTTGGTAGTTTCAGAAAATACAAATTAGTAATATTTATATGAACCCCTGTATAATTTTAGAATGATTATTTAATCAGATGACCCAGGAGCACTTAATATACAAAATGTATTGATCACTGTGAGTTGGACTGCATTCCTAATGAGCAAAATTGCCATACTAAACTAATTTTGTAAAGGGCTACTAGAATAATAATGGAAATATTCTGCCAAACTTAACTAAGTACTTTGAAAATCGGGCCAGGCGTGGTGGCTCACACCTGTAATCTCAACACTTAGGGAGGCCAAGGTGGGCAGATCACGAGGTCAGGAGTTCGAGACCAGCCTGGCCAAGATGGTGAAACCCCTGTCTGTACTAAAAATACAAAAATTAGCTGAGTGTGGTGGCGGGCACCTATAATCCCAGCTACTCTGGAGGCTGAGGTGGGAGAATCGCTTGAACTGGGGAGGTGGAGGTTGCAGTGAGCCGAGATTGCGCCACTGCACTTCAACTTGGGTGACAGAGCAAGAGTCCATCTCAAAACAAAACACAAAAACATGTTTAACAGTTTAAAATGATAAGGTATCCATTGTATATAGCATGATTGGATCGCATTTCCTAGATGTTGTAAAAGCCTTGAAGACTTGGTCACTGCAGAAGAGATGAAATGTAGTGAGATTAAATGGGAAGTTATCTGTTTAGACTTTAGAAATTGACTCATCTAGGCCAGGCGCAGTGGCTCACGCCTGTAATCCCAGCACTTTGGAAGGATTAAATTGGAAGTTCTCTGTTTAGACTTTAAAAATTTACTCATTTGGCCGGGCACGGTGGCTCATGCCTGTAATCCCAGCACTTTGGGAGGCCGAGGCAGGCAGATCACCTGAGGTCAGGAGTTTGAGATCAGCCTGACCAACATGATGAAACCCCATCTCTACTAAAAATACAAAAAAAAAAAAAAAATTAGCCAGGTGTTGTGGCGCGTGCCTGTAATCCCAGCTACTCAAGAGGCTGAGGCAGGAGAATCGCTTGAACCGGGAGGCAGAGGTTGCGGTGAGCTGAGATTGCACCATTGCACTCCAGCCTGGGTGACAAGAGTGAAACTCCGTCTCAAAAAAAAAAAAAATGGACTCATTTAGGCTGGGCGGTGGCTCACGCCTGTAATCCTAACACTTTTGGAGGCCTCGGTTCATGAGGTCAAGAGATTGAGACCATCCTGGCCAACATGATGAAACGCTGTCTCTACTAAAAATGCAAAAATTAGCTGGGCGTGGTGGCATGTGCGTGTAATCCCAGCTACTCGAGAGGCTGAGGCAGGGGAATCGCTTGAACCAGGGAGCTGGAGGTTGCAGCAAGCCAAGATCGCACCACAGCACTCCAGCCTGGTGACAGAGCAAGACTCCGTCTCAAAAAAAATTGACTTATCTGTAGGAAGAGTTTGTATCAGTCAGAATAGGCTAGATTATGCAGTGGTAACAACTCCCAAAATTCCAGTGACGTAAGTAAGAAAGTTTTGTTTCTCATTCACCTAACACATCCCAGATGAATCGAGGTCCTCTGACACCTTTGTGCGACATTTTCCTCACTCTGGGATCCAAGCTGATGCATTTAGCCTGCTGGATTCAGCCTGCTGGAAAGCAATCATCTGAACATTGCTGCTCACAGTGACAGAGGGAAATAGCCACATAGCAAATTTCGCATCACCTTAGTCAAGCCAGTCACGTGATCACACCTAACTCCAGAGGGAGCAGGTAAGTACACTCCTCCCATGTATCCAGAAGGAGAAAGAACAGCTCTCATGACCATCGCAAGTTAGACCAGCACAACAGCTGTTCATGTGGAAAATTGCCTGAGGGTTTTAGTTGATGGCAAAAGCACCATAAGACAAGAAGGCCTTGGTTGATGAAAACGCTAACACAGTTGATTGAGGGATCTGTGGCAGACTGATAATGGCCTCCGAAGATATCCAGGTCCTAGTCCCTGGAACCTATAAATGCTATCTTCTGTGGTAAAAGGTATTTTGTACCTGTGATTACCTTAAGGATTTGGGGTGGGAAGACTATCCTGAATTATCTGGGTGGGCCTTGAATGTAATCACAAGTATCCTTGCATAAGAGGGAGACAAAGGGAAATTGGAGTGATAGGTTTTGAAGATGAAATAAAGAACCAGCCCCGCTGATACCTTGATTTTAGCCTTGTAAGACTCATTTCACATTTCTTACCTCCAGAGCTGGAAAATAATGACTTTTTGTTGTTTTAAGCCATTAAATTTGTGGTAATTTGTTACAGCAGCAATAGAAAGCTAAAACACTGTCTTTTTGTTTTGAGAGTCACTCTGTTGCCCAGGCTGGAATGCAATGATACAATCATGGCTCACTGTAGCCACAAACTCCTGGGCTCAAGTGATCCTACCACTTCAGCCTCCTGACTTGCTGGGACTGCAGGCAAGCACAACTGGCTTTTTAAAATTTTTTTTGTAGAGACATGATTTCGCTATATTGCCCAGGCTGGTCTCGAACTCCTGGGCTCAAGCAATCCTACCATCTTGGCCTACCAAAGTGCTAAGATTACAGGCGTGAGCCACCACACCTGGCCAAAACTGAGACACTATATAAAGCAAGAATTGGCTGGCCGCGGTGGCTCACGTCTGTAATCCCAGCACTTTGGGAGACTGAGGCGGGCAGATCACCCGAGATCAGGATTTTGAGACCAGCCTGACCAACACGGAGAAACCCTGTCTGTACTGAAAATATAAAATTAGCCATGCGTGGTGGCACATGCCTGTAACCCCAGCTATTCGGGAGGCTGAGGCAGGAGAATTGCTTGAACCCAGGAGGCGGAGGGTGCAGTGAGCCGAGATCGCATCATTGCACTCCAGCCTGGGCAAGAGCGAAACTCCGTCTCAAAAAAAAAAAAAGAATTATTTTGTTTCCAAGTGAAACAAGCAGAATAATAATAAACAGGCTCAGTAGCACATAATATACAGAGCCACTGAGGCTGTTAAGGATGTTTAACTTGGAAAAGAGAAAACAACAAGGGGTTTCATATATGAGGGTTGTCTTGTGACACAGGCAAGGCTTGCTCTGCGTAGACACAGCAGCCAAAACTTTGTCAGTGAGTAGCACTGTTACAGGGTCTGGCTTACAATAAGAACTAAGCCCGCTGAGTGCCAGGACAGGCTACCCTGGTAGCACTGGATATAGGCGCAGACGCTGGGTGAGCAGCGGTCGAGGATGTTGCTAGAGAGAATGCTGCGCTGGGGAGGGGATTTGGATACATAACTACTCAAGTCCCTTCCACAGTTTTTTTCCCCACCTGTATCTGGTCCTAACAGTTACCTTAATAAGGAGCCCACCTGACAGTTCACAGGTGTGGGAGGGCCTCGGGCTATATTAAAAAGGTGCTCATGATTGGTCAACCAATTGGTAAAGGTGCCTGTTAAAGGGAACAGATGTCATTAAAGTTAGAAGGACCCAATGCAAAGGCCTGGAGGAGGAAAGGTGCCCAGGTAGAACCTAGAGAAGGGGTGGCTTGGTAGAAGACCTAGAGATGATGTAAGACTTTGCCCACAGATGAACTGAGGTGCAACTGTCAAAGTGAGGGACAGAGAGCTCTGAATCAACCCTATGAAACTCACAGAAGTTTTATTTATTTATTTATTTATTTTTTTTTTTTGAGACGGAGTCTCGCTCTGTCGCCCAGGCTGGAGTGCAGTGGCGCGATCTCGGCTCACTGCAAGCTCCGCCTCCTGGGTTCACGCCATTCTCCTGCCTCAGCCTCCCGAGTAGCTGGGACTACAGGCGCCCGCTACCACGCCCGGCTAATTTTTTGTATTTTTAGTAGAGACGGGGTTTCACCGTGTTAGCCAGGATGGTCTCGATCTCCTGACCTCGTGATCCGCCCGCCTCGGCCTCCCAAAGTGCTGGGATTACAGGCGTGAGCCACCGCGCCCGGCCAGAAGTTTTATTTTTTTAAGCAATTGTTAGCATTTTTTTTCTTTGTTTTGTAAATAAATAGAGACAGGGTCCCCTATGTTTCTCAGGCTGGTCTCAAACTCCTATGCTCAAGCAATCCCCCCACCTCAGCCTCCCAAAGTGCTGGGGTTACAGGGGCACAACACTGTGCTAGGCCAAAAAGCACTTGTTAGAATTTAATGAACCATCCTCCATGTGGCTTCAAGCCACCAGGACACAGCATATATCTATATGGCATGATCTTGGCTCACTGCAACTCCTCCCGTGTATCCAGAAGGAGAAAGAACAGCTCTCATGACCATTGCAGGTGAGACCAGCACAACAACAGCACAACAGAAAGCAACCTCCGCTTCCCAGGTTCAAGCGATTATCGTGCCTCAGCCTCCCAAGTAGCTGGGAGTACAGGCAGCCATCACCAAGCCCGGCTAATTTTTGTATTTTTAGTAGAGATGGGGTTTCACCATGTTGCCCAGGCTGGTCTCAAACTCCTGACCTAAAGTGATCCACCTGCCTCTGCCTCCCAAAGTGCTGGGATTACAGGCATGAGCCATGGTGCCCAGTCCGGACACAACACACACACACACACACACACACACACACACACACACACACACACACACACATTTTTTTTTAAGACAGAGTCTCGCTCTGTTGCCTAAGCTGGAATGCAGTGGTGCGATCTTGGCTTACTGCAACCTCCACCTCCCGGGTTCAAGTGATTCTTCTGCCTCAGTAGAATACAGTAGCTGGGACTACAGGCACGTGCCACCACACCCAGCTAATTTTTGTATTTTTAATAGAGACAGGGTTTCACCATATTGGCCAGGCCGGTCTCAAACTCCTGACCTTGTGATCTGCCCCCCTCGGCCTCTCAAAGTGCTGGGATTACAGGCGTGAGCCACCGCGCCTGGCTGTATTTTTAAATCCTCTCATCATCTGTGTAGCTTAAAGCTCAGCAACCTGACAATCTGGCTTTCTTCCTCCCTCTTATTCCTTCTCGGTCTCTTTACTGATTCCTCCTCTGATCTCCTTTCGAGATCATGTTTCTTTGAGCATTGCCTGCATCAGAATCACTTGGAGTGCTGGTTAATAAAGCCAAGGTCGCAGAGCTGTGGCCTGAGAACCTTGATTTTTAGCCAGCTCCCTAGTTCATTTCTTTGCTCTTTAGAGTTTAACAATTAATACTTTAAATACTAACCTTCTTCAAAATTCTCTCCTTATGTTCTCTTACTTATTCTTTTACACTTTCACTGGCACACCATCTGGCAAGTAGCAGAGAGAAAAATTATATATATATTGTTTTGGGGTCTCTCTCTGTCACTCAGGCTGGAGTCTAATGGTGTGATCATAGCTCACTGCAGCCTTGAACTCCTGGGTTCAAGCCATCCTCCCACCTCAGCCCCGGTAGCTGGGACCTCAGGCGCACACCACTGCGCCTGGCTGATTTTTTTATGTTTTCTATTTTTGTAGAGCTGGGTCTCACCATCTTGCCCAGGCTAGTCTCAAACTCCTGGGCTCAAGCAGTCCTCCCATCTTGGCCTTCCAAAGTGCTAGAATTATAGGCGCGAGCCACCGCACCTGGCCAGAAAAAATATTTCTGAAAATATTGAATAATTTCATCCAAAGCTATAGTTTCAGGTATTGCCTATGTGTTGATGAGGACTCTCTAAATTATATCTCTAGGCCACGTCTCTGCTGAGCCTCAGACTAAATTCTCAGCTGCCAATTATACAACAGGTATTCCAAACTTAAAAACGTTATGTAAAACTGAGTTTGTTATCTTTCCTGTAAAATCCTTTTCATACTTGCAAATTCATTCCTTCTTTAATTTTTCCTCTTAATTAGCATGGTCACCATCTACCCTGTGTTTTGAGGAAAAATATGTGAGGTCTTCTTTTACTCAACCCCATTCCCATTGGGGTACTCATGAACCCCAGATTTGTATTATTGCAGTATCTTCTGATTCCGTCCCTCATCCTTCATTCTCTACTACAACTACCAAATACAAATACCAAATTTCCTATATACAACTAGCAAATCTGTATCTTTTGTTTCCAGGAAAACTGCAAGAGCCCCACAGTGAATTCTTCAGCTACCAAGCTCTCTCTCTCTCTTTTTTTTTTTTAATACTGTGTCTCACTCTGTCACCCAGGCTGGAGTACAGTGGCATGATCTCAGCTCACTGCAACCTCCGCCTCCCAGGATTCAGCGATTCTTCTGCATCAGCCTACCAAGTAGCTAGGACTACAGGTGTGTGGCACCATGCCCAACTAATTTTGTATTTTTAGTAAAGACGGGGTTTTGCCATATGGGCCAGGCTGGTCTCGAACTCCTGACCTCAAGTGATCCACCTGCCTTGGTCTCCCAAATTTTAAAATATTACCCTTAGAGAGAGTTTAGTATAGCAACAGTACACAAAACTTTGAAGTATTACAGTGGATGATGAAAAGTGCTTATTCAGTAAACAATTCAATGTGACTAGATTCAGTATGTGTTTAGATTGCCAGTTTTCCATGGGGAAAGCAATTGCCTAAACTTTCTCCCTATTCTGAGAGGCATTTCCTGGAACTCACACTCCATTTAATCATGACCATCTCGGTGCCCATTGGAAAGATTATGGCTGCTGTGGGCTCAATGTGTCTCCTCAAAATTCATATGTTGAAATCCTAACCCCAAATGTGATGACATTAGGAGGTGAGGACTTAGGAGGGAGGTAATTGGGTCGTGAGGGTGGAGCCCATGACCTAATTACTCAGAACCCAACCAGACTGACACCCTGATCTCTGGCTTTCAGCCTCCAGAACGCTGAGAAATAAATTTCTGGTGTTTGTAAGTCACCCAGTCTATGGTATTCTGTTAAACAGCCTGAACTAGGCTGAGCGTGGTGGCTCACACCTGTAATCCCAGCATTTTGGGAGGCTGAGGTGCGTGGATCACCAGAGGTCGGGAGTTCGAGACCAGTCTGGCCAACATGGTGAAACCCCATCTCTACTAAAAATGCAAAAATTAGCCGGGTGCGGTGGTGTGCACTTGTAGTCCCAGCTACTCAGGAGGCTGAGAAAAGAGAATCGTTTGAACTTAGGAGGCAGAGGTTGCAGTGAGCCAAGACCATGCCACTGCACTCAAGCCTGGGCAACAGAGCAAGGCTCGGTCTCAAACAAACAAACAAAAAAACAAAAAAACAAAATGGCCTGAATTGACTAAGAAAATGGCTGCTGATGGCAGAAATCAAAGGAAGAGAATCTTCTACTCAGTACTACAGAGTCCTACAACCAGTCTAGCAGTGGCTTAAGAACCTGGACTGGCCAGGCATGGCTCACACCTGTAATCCCAGCAGTTTGGGAAGCCAAGGCAGGAGATTCCCTTGAGCCCAGGGGTTAAACAGCAGCCTGGGCAACAAAGCAAGACTGCATCTCTACAAATAATTAAAAAAAAAAATTAGCCAGGCGTGGTGGCATGCACCTGTGGTCCCAGCTACTCAGAAGGCTGGGGCAGAAGGATTGCTTGAACCCAGCTGGTCAAGGCTGCAGTGAGCCATGACTGAGCCATAGCTCTCCAGCGTGGACCACAGAGTGAAACCCAGTCTCAAAAAACAAAACAAGAACCTGGACTTAGAAAAGATGGAGTAGTGAATTCAAACCACAGACTCTTTCTCTTATTTATTTTCTCAAGGAATGGAGGAAAAATCCTAAAAAGCAGAAAAAAATCATTTACTGCCAGCAGCCAAAAAAGGAAAGAGGTACAGCCTCATATATCATCTTCACAATGGGGTTGGAGGCCAAGAAGAGGAACAGAAGATTCTGCTGTGGTTTTGGTTAACCTCTAAGAATGCTCATCAATCTTCCCCAGTTTGGAGATATGGAGACAAGGGTAGGTCCAGAGAAAAAATAAGGGAGACATTGTAGGAACCAAGGTCCTATCTTACCACTCCAGATTTTAGCAGAGAGCTAAGAATCTGTTCAGGTTTTTTTTTTCATTTTCCAGGGTTTATCACTGAATATGGGGCCTGAGCTAGCCTCCATGAACATAGGCTACACCTCCAAATGGGTGGAGTGAGCCTTGACATGGAACACTTAACCTGAACTCAGGAGAACAGAGCCCAGGCTGATCAGTTCCAGCCAAGCTCTCCCTTCTGCTCTAGTAATATTGAGACCTCAGATAGTAGCTTCAAGGAAACGTGGTAAGTCTCAGAAAAGGCAGGAAGGCAGTCATAGAGACTTGACTCTCATCATATCAGAAAAATGAAAGCTCTGAACAGAGATGCCTACATTGATCATTAACAAGTGACCATGAAAAGGTGACTATGCAAATGTGCTATGGGAAAAAAAAAAAAAAGCATAGCATGAAAAAGATAGATGAGCCTTGTTTGAGAAGAAAAGCCACCCAAGAAGCAAGGAAATAGTATGTTTGAGCTATAATTATAGCCTACACTAACTGAGTGTCTAATACATTTCAGGCACTGTTTCAGGTTCTTTACACATTATTTCTTTTCTTTCTTTTTTTTTGTTGAGATGGAGTCTTGCTCTGTCCCCCAGGTTGGAGTGCAGTGGTGCGATCTCCGCTCACTGCAAGCTCCGCCTCCCGGGTTCACGCCATTCTCCTGCCTCAGCCTCCCGAGTAGCTGGGACTACAGGCGCCCACCACCACGCCCAGATGATTTTTGGTATTTTTTTTAGTAGAGACAGGGTTTCACTGTGTTAGCCAGGATGGTCTCAATCTCCTGACCTCGTGATCTGCCCACCTCGGCCTCCGAAAGTGCTGGGATTACAGGTGTGAGCCACGGCGCCTGGCCTTCTTTCTTTTTTTTTTTTGATTTTTAATTTTTAATTTTTATTTATTTAATTTTTTTTTTGAGATGGAGTCTCACTCTGTCACCCAGGCTGGAGTGCAGTGGCGTGATCTCGGCTAAGTGCAACCTCCACCTCCCAGGTTCATGCCATTCTCTTGCCTCAGCCTCCCCAGTAGCTGGGACTACAGGCGCCCGCCACCACGCCCAGCTAATTATTTGTATTTTTAGTAGAGATGGGGTTTCACTGTGTTAGCCAGGATGGTCTCTATCTCCTGACCTCGTGATCCACCTGCCTCGGCCTCCCAAAGTGCTGGGATTACAGGCATGAGCCACCGCGCCCGGCCAACACATTATTTCTTTGCACATGCTGTGAAGTATGTATTTTTATTGTCTTAATTTTATAGATGAACTGAGGTTAAATTACTTATGGATAGCAGGTGGCCAGTTAACCTATGTAGTCCAACTTCAGAGACCTGGTTTTGGGCATCTTTACTGTGATGATTTAGAATATAAGTAGTTGAACAAGTTGGTCCAAAATGCAATAATAAACAGCTGAATAAAATAAAAGAGACTAAACCGCTGATAAGACAAATTGAGGATCAAATAATCACAATTTCCACATTGATGAATAAAATAGGAGTGAATGAAGAGACCAGATGGAAAACAAAATTACTTACATAAAGTTTTATGATTATCAAATTGAATGGAGAGGGAGAAGACACACCTTGAAAATGATTAAAGAGGAGGTAAGTTATACAGAGGACAGACATGGTGCATAGTAAGAATAGTGGCAGAGAACTGAAAAGTGTTACAGAAAAAGTATTCAATGACTTAATGAAAGATAATATTCCTGAAATAAAGGAAAAACTGAATCTGAGCTAGAAAAATTACTCTGTTCTTTAGGAAATTTTCCTGTACAACAACTAACTCTAAACCATGTCTTGATGAAATCATTGCATTTTAAGGAGTCCCCTATAAAAGGGAAATATGATCCCTTCCCTTCCCTTCCTTCCCTTTTTCCTTTCCTTTCCTTCTCTTTTTCCTTTCTTTCTCTCCTTCCTTCCTTCTCTCTCTCCCTCTCTCTTTCCCTCTGTCCCTCCCTCTCTCCTTCCTTCCCTCTCTCCCTCTCTTTCTTTCCCCCTCCCTCCCTCTTTCTTTCTTTCTTTTTCTTTCTCTCTCTCTCTCTTTCTTTTCTTTCTTTCCTTCTTTCTGACAGGGTCTTGCTCTGTTGCTCAGGCTGAAGTGCAAGGACATGATCTGGGCTCACTGCAACCTTGACCTCCCAGGCTTGCTGAGCAATCCTCCTGCCTCAGCCTCCTGAGTAGCTGGGACTATAGGTACCCGCCACCATACCCAGCTAATGACGTTGTATTTCTTTCTTTTCTTTTTTTTTTTTTCGAGATGGAGTCTCGCTCTCGTTGCCCAGGCTGGAGTGCTGTGGCGTGATCTCGGCTCACTGCAACCTCCACCTCCCAGGTTCAAGTGATTCTCCTGCCTCAGCCTCCCGAGTAGCTGGGACTACAGGTGCCCACCGCAACACCTGGCTAATGTTTGTATTTTTAGTAGAGACACGGTTTCACCGTGTTAGCCAGGATGGTTTCAGTCTCCTGACCCTGTGATCCGCCCGCCTCGGCCTCCCAAAGTGCTGGGATTACAGGCATGAGCCACCGCGCCCGGCCACTCACATTATATTTCTTGACAACAAATGTAATGGCAGAAGACAAAGGAGAAATGTCTGCTAGGTTCTGAGGAAAGAAAAGATGGACACAGATGTTTTATGCCAAGTTGTTATTCAAGTCTAAAAGCAGTAGTCTTTCTCAAATATGGATAATATCCTATGATTAGCATTGAATGCATATAAATATAGGACTAATACTAAAGAATTATGGGAACTGGCCAGGTGTGGTGACCTGTAATCCCAGCACTTTGGGAGGCTGAGGTGGGTGGATCACCTGAGGTCGGGAGTTTGAGACCAGCCTGACCAATATGGTAAACCTTCAGTAGACAGGCTGTACTAAAAATACAAAAGTTAGGCCGGGTGCAGTGGCTCACGCCTGTAATCCCAGCACTTTGGGAGGCCAAGGCGGGCGGATCACAAGGTCAGGAGATCGAGACCATCCTGGCTAACACGATGAAACCCCGTCTCTACTAAAAATACAAAAAATTAGCTGGGCATGGTGGTGGGCGGCTGTAGTCCCAGCTACTGGGGAGGCTGAGGCAGGAGAATGGCGTGAACCCAGGAGGCGGAGCTTGCAGTGAGCCGAGATTGTGCCACTGCACTCCAGCCTTGGCAACAGAGCGAGACTCCGTCTCAAAAAAAAAAAAAAAATACAAAAATTAGCCACGCTGTGGTGGCGTGCATCTGTAACCCCAGCTACTCAGGAGGCTGAGGCAGGCGAATCACTTGAACCTGGGAGGTGGAGGTTGCAGTGAACCAAGATCATGCTGCTGCACTCCAGCCTGGGAGACAGAGGGAGATCTTTTTTTTTGGGAAAAAAAAAAAAAAGAATTATGGGAATTATGCTTACAAAGGCATATGTATTTTAAGCCTTAACAAAACAAAATATAATTGTATAACTATCAACCTTGGAAGAGGAGGTTGCAGTTAACATTTCCTTTGGTTTCATGTGAACTGCTTTCTCTTCTATTAAAATCCTGTAAAAAGACTGTATTACTATTATAATCTAATTTGAATAACCATTTTAATTTACATACCCTTTTCAATATTTATTTGATATTTCAATGAATGAATTTGTGAGTCTACGGTTTTCTGGATTGAGGGCCGCCTTAATATCTCAGGAGTTATTTCTGGGTGGTGTTGGGGGTATTAAATGATTTTTTTTTTTTTGAGACGGAGTCTCGCTCTGTTGCCTAGGCTGGAGTGCAGTGGCACAGTCTTGGCTCACTGCAAGCTCTGCCTCCCAGGTTCACGCCATTCTCCGGCCTCAGCCTCTCAAGTAGCTGGGACTACAGGCGCCCACCACCAAACCCGGCTAATTTTTTCTGTGTGTATTTTTAGTAGAGATGGAGTTTCACCGTGTTAGCCAGGATGGTCTCGATCTCCTGACCTCGTGATCCACCCGCCTCGGCCTCCCAAAGTGCTGGGATCACAGACGTGAGCCACTGCGCCCAGCTGGTATTAAATGATTTTATATTTTGCCCTTTGCATTTTTCTTCATCACTTAGTGTTTTATAATGTGTGTGTGCTTTTAAAGAATAAAACAATGAGGCTAGGCATGGTGGCTCACGCCTGTAATCCCAGCACTTAAGGAGGCTAAGGCAGGCAGATGGCTTGAGTCCAGGAGTTCCAGACCAGTCAGGGCAACATGACAGAACTCTGTCTCTACAAAAAATACAAAATATAGCTGGGCATGGTAGTGTGTGCCTGTAGTACCAGCTACTGGGGAGGCTGAGGCGGGAAGATCACATGAGCCTGGGAGTTAGGAGGTTGCAGTGAGCTGTGATGGCACCACTGCACTTCAGCCTGGGCAACAGAACCAGACTCTGTCTCAAGGAACAACAACAACAAAAGAATAAAACAATAAAGTCACTCTTATTTAAGAGAAAGAAACAAGTCCATATAAGTCCAATCTCGAGAAAGTCCTTTCTGGATTTTCCAGCTATCCCTTAGGATCCCAGCCTGCCATCAAAATCTGGCTCTTGGGCACGTGTTCTCAGCATCTCCAGAGGGCTGTGTCAGGGGCCATAATTTAAAAAAAAAAAAAAAAAAAAAAAAAAAAAAGGAAGAAAAACAAAACATCTAGCTCTCCCATAGACTAATTAAAG
Organism: Homo sapiens; assembly: GCF_000001405.40. Lineage (NCBI taxonomy): Eukaryota > Metazoa > Chordata > Mammalia > Primates > Hominidae > Homo > Homo sapiens. The sequence continues at coordinate 16,981,222 of NC_000005.10, forward strand.
TGACTCATCACCATGCAAGCTTTCTTCCCTGTCAAAGAGTAAACACAGAGATGCTATCCTTTGTCTAACTAACGGAATACCTTTTTCAGAGACTTGAGAGGCTGGGAGTGAGAACTAGTTAATGAGAGTAAGAAGCACACAGATTTTTGAAAGTACAAGAACATCTCGGAAGTGAGCTAAATTTTTCATACTGGCTGGGCGCGGTGGCTCACGCCTGTAATCCCAGCACTTTGGGAGGCCGAGGCGGGCGGATCACGAGGTCAGGAGATCGAGACCATCCTGGCTAACACGGTGAAACCCCGTCTCTACTAAAAATACAAAAAATTAGCCGGGCATGGTGGTGGGCGTCTGTAGTCCCAGCTACTGGGGAGGCTGAGGCAGGAGAATGGCGTGAACCCAGGACGTGGAGCTTGCAGTGAGCCGAGATTGCGCCACTGCACTCCATCCAGCCTGGGCAACAGAGCGAGACTCCGTCTCAAAAAAAAAAAAAAACACTTTTCATACTGTTGTAACTATGTTTCAATTTCTTCCTGGAGTGACAAATCCTGCAGTTTCATTGTAAAGTAAGAGTTTTGTAGGGGAGTTTAACCCCTTTCTTTCCTTTCACTTGGAGCCTCAGCTGGTCTTGGCTCTGTCCAGTCCCTCACATCACTTTTCTGCCTGGGAGGCAGTGGATTCCTCAGGCATGAAAAGCATCGTGGCCGGGCGCAGAGGCTCATGCCTGTAATCCCAGCACATTGGGAGGCCAACGCGGGCGGATCACCTGAGTCAGGAGTTCCAGACCAGCCTGACCAACATGGCGAAACCCTGTCTCTACTAAAAATACAGAAATTAGCCAGGCACAGTGGCGGGTGCCTTTAGTCCCAGCTGCTTGGGAGGGTGAGGCAGGAGAATCTCTTGAACCTGGGAGGTGGAGGTTGCAGTGAGCCGAGATCGTGCCACTGCACTCCAGCCTTGGCAACAGAGCCAGACTCAGTTTCAAAAAAGAAAAAAAAAAGAAAAGCATTGTGCAGACGTGTATTTGATGCTGGTTTCATGAAGCTTAGATGACAAAAGCACATTTACATACGAGAAAATGCTAATATGACTAATGTTTAAGACTAATTCTTATTTAATAGAGAATATAATCATAACATTCTAGATGGTAGGGTGTGTGTGTGTGTGTGTGTGTGTGTGTGTGTGTGTGTGTGTGTGTATTAATTTTTTTTAATTTTTTGAGACAAGGTCTGGCTCTGTTTCCCAGGCTGGAGTGCAGTGGCACGATCTCCACTCACTGCAACCTCGACCTCATGGGCTCTGGTGATCCTCCCATCTCAGCCTACTGAGTAGCTGGGACTACAGGCACACACCATCATGCCCAGCTAATTTTCTGTATTTTTTGTAGAGATGAGGTTTCACCATGTTGCCCAGGCTGGTCTCAAACTCCTGGGCTCAAAGTGATCTGCCTGCCTGCCTTTGGCTCCCAAAGTGCTGGGATTACAGGCGTAAGCCATTGCACCCAGCCTGGATGTATATTCTTTACATTTTTCTTTATTTTGCAAAATTTGAAAAATGAACACATTTATGTCCAGAAAAAAAAATATATATATATATATATATAATATATATATATATAATATATATATATAATATATATATATAATATATATATATAATATATATATATAATATATATATATAATATATATATATAATATATATATATAATTAAATCACAGATTCTGCAAGGGATTTTAAAAATATTTATATTCCCTAACTATTCCTGCTCACAACAAAACAACAATTGTATTAATTTCTCCTTTAAAAGTTATACCCTTGAAGGAGGCCAACAGTTTAAAAAGGAAATTTAGAACAAATAAAAGGAAATAACTTCTTCATGTGACTTGTGGTCAGCTAGAGGAATTTGCTGTCAAAGAAGGTCAACCGGTCAAACGCAGTCCTTGGGTGGTTTGCAAGGCCAGGGAAATAAAGCCGTCTTCAGGTAGTAATTGCTGGAGGAGGGGAGCATCGCCTTGGGAGGCAAGCCGGAGCTGCCCTAATTGGCCGTTGCTAGAGGGAACAAGATGTCCAGTTTTAGTGCAAAGAAAAGTTTCAGCTTGAACTGGTAACAGGAACATACTCTCGACCTTGATTTGGATATTCGGAACAAAATCCTGCTGATGAATGGCTCATTCAAACTGAAGCTACTTTCGTTTTAATGCCACATTTGACCTTTGGTCAGGCCAATGGACTCACACTAATTGGTGGCCATGTGGTAGTCACTGTTATTCATGTACACACTGGATCTTTTATTGAATTTAAGGTCCTGGGCCAGGCCCTGGCAACACAGAAGGGCTCAAGGTCTACCAAGGAAAACAGGTACATTTAAAAAATAATAATAACTTACACCTGTAATCCCAGCACTTTGGGAGGCTGAGGCGGGTGGATCACGAGGTCAAGAAATCGAGACCATCCTGGCCAACATGGTGAAACCCCGTCTCTGCTAAAAAAAAAAATACAAAAATTAGCTGGGGGTGGTGGCGCACACCTGTAGTCCCAGCTACTCAGGAGGCTGAGGCAGGAGAATTGCTTGAACCCAGGAGGCAGAGGTTGCAGTGAGCTGAGATCACACCACTGCACGCCAGTCTGAGCAACAAGAGTGAAACTCTGTCTCAAAAAAAAAAAAAAAATAATAATAGAGCAACCCACTAATACCATGATACAAGTGAGGATAAAGTGCTATGGGGACATAGAAGGAATTCATTCTGCTGAGTTGGGGATCAGGAAATGCATTGTCCCAAACTTTCTTAAGAGTCTTTCCTGAATACTTGCTGGAAGAACAAATTCCTTAGCCCCAACCTTGACTTACTGAAGAAGGTCCAAGGGAGAGGCCAGAAATCCCTATACTTAACAAGTGCCCTGGGGGCCATTTGGGAAACTTGAGTAGGTAGGAGTTTGCCACCTGAAATCGGGGGCAGGGTTTACTCAGGATAGATAAGTGCTTCTGTGTATATGTATCACCTCTGAGTATATGAATCACCCTGGGATGTGTTAAAATGCAGATTTGGATTCAGTAAGTCTAGGTTGGGTCCAGGATTTCATTTCTAACAGGCTCCCAGTTCTGTCAAATCAGCTGGCCAACCAGCCACACTGAGCAGCAGGCTTTTATCTCTATGACTTCTTGACCAGGCACCGTGGCTCACCCTGTAATCCCAGTACTTTGGGAGGCCAAGGCGTGTGGATCACTTGAGGTCAGGAGTCTGAGACCAACCTGGCCAACATGGTGAAAACCCCATCTGTACCAAAAATAAACAAATTAGCCAGGTGTGGTGGCGGGCGCCTGTGATCTCCGTTACTCAGGAGGCTGAGGCAGAATATTTTGAGTCCGGGAGGTGGGGGTTGCAGTGTGCTGAGATCGTGCCACTGACTGTACTCCAGCCTGGGCAACAGAATAAGACTGTCTCAAAAAAGAGAAAAAAAGAGGACTTCTCATTGCCTTTACCACAGAGTACTGAACAAGGTCCTTGGTGATACGACCTCTTTCCCCTCTGCAGTCCAGTCTTTTCGACACTCCACCCTGCTTTATGTTCCGACAAACTCAATTGTGATTTGTCTAAAGACACTGGCATGTGTCTCCTCTTCTACCTGCCCTCTTTCTCTCTGTTCAGCAAGCAGAGAGAAATTCTGGTCCGAGATTCAAATTCCCATGCATTCATAATGTGTCCATAATTGGCTCCTTCTGGTGGGTTCTTGGTCTCACTGACTTCAAGAATGAAGCCACGGACCCTCGCAGTGAGTGTTACAGTTCTTAAACATGGTGTGTCCAGAGTTTTTTCCTTCAGATGTTCAGACGTGTCCAGAGTTTCTTCTTTCCGGTGGGTTCTTGGTCTCACTGACTTCAAAAGTGAAGCTGCAGACCTTCGCAGCAAGTGTTACAGCTCTTGAAGGTGGCACTTCCCGAGTTGTTTGGTCCTCTCAGTGGGTTTTCTGGTCTCGCTGACTTCAGGAATGAAGCTGCAGACCCTCATGGTGAGTGTTACAGCTCATAGAGGTAGTACGGACCCAAAGAGTGAGCAGCAGCAAGAGTTATTGTGAAGAGCAAAAGAACAAAGCTTCCACATCCTGGAAAGGGACCCAAGCGGGTTGCCAGTGCTGGCTTGGGTGGCCAGCTTTTATTCCCTTATGTGGCCTGCCCACGTCCTGCTGATTGGTCCATTTTACAGAGTGCTGATTGGTCCATTTTTACAGAGTGCTGATTGGTGTGTTTACAAACCTTTAGCTGGACACAGAGCGCTGATTGGTGCGATTTTACAGAGTACTGATTGGTGCGTTTACAAACCTTTAACTAGACACAGAGTGCTGATTGGTGCGTTTTTACAGAGTGCTGATTGGTGCCTTTACGAACCTTTAGCTAGACAGAAAAGTTCTCCAACTCCCCACCTGACCCAGAAGCCCTGCCTGCTTCACCTCTCAAATAAGACCCCAGCATCATGAGGATTTCTTCCAGGAAACATCCCTGACCCCAAATCTGGGGTAGGCACCCGTCTTGAGCCTCTAACTCTCCCTGCCACATTGACCTGGTGGTTTGCTCATCCGACTTCCTTCCCAGTCCATGATCTGTTTCTCTACTCCCAGGACACACAGCCTGGCTTTCAGGAGCTACTTTGGTTGTTCATGAGTTGAACTGGATTAGATGAAAGGTTCACGTCAAATAGCTTGGCAAACATTTGCAGAGGCTCAAAGATGGGAAAATTGTGTGAGGTGATTTTAGAATCCACGTAATAGTACAGTGTGAGCCTTGTGAATCACAGGGAAAAGGTAACTGAAAATACAGCAGGGCTTGACTTGTGCAACTTGACTCTGAAGAAACCAGCCAATATTGGAACTGTGGGTCTCAGGTTTAACCTTATTCTGAGTCAAACATTTGAGAACCTGATGAGGGCTATGGGACCCATATGACCTAAAAAATGACCATATGAACAAAAAGATATAAAGACAACATCTTGCAAATTATTTCAGGGGCAGTTTAGAGACTCCCTGAAGCCAGCGGACCCCATGTTAAGAACTTTGACATCAGAGGAGATCCCGTGGGGATAACGCTATAACTGCCTGCGGTACAGGATGGATTACATCAAGCCCTTGGGCTGTTTCTTGAACACAGTTGTTGGAACACAACTACGCCAGTTCATTTCTGTATTGCCTCTGCTTGCTTTTGAGCTCTAAATGCAGAGCTGAGTAGTTATAGCAGAGACCTTCCGACCTGCAAAGCCTGACCTGTTTCCTGCCTGGCCCTTTACAGAAAAGGTTTCTGACTCCTGGAACAGTGTGCAAGCGGTGTGACCAGAGAGGAGACGCCATGCGTGTGCAGGTCCAGTGGGTTTTCTACACGTACATTCTGCCTTTGGCAAACGAGTGAAAGAGAGGGAGAGAGGAAGAAAAGAAAGAGAAGTCTTTATGCATTTTAAACTGCTTTTCCTTTTCCAGGCTAAAGCCAAATAAACATAAACCAATGAAACCCAGAAAAGCCTGGTGCCAAATAGTGACATGGTCATTTAAAATTTTAAGACCAGACATTTAAAATTATATAAGTATTTTACGATGGGTGTGGTGGCTCACGCCTGTAATTCTAGCATTTTGGGAGGCTGAGGTAGGAGGTTCTTTTGAACCCAGGAGTTCCAGACCAGCCTGGGCAACATGGTGAGACCCTGTCTCTACAAAAAATTTAAAAAATTAGTGGGGTGTGGTGACGCATGTCTGTAGTCCCAGCTCCTCGGAAGTTTGGGGCAGAAGGATTGATTGAGCCCAGGAGATTGAGGCTGCAACGAGCTGTGATCACACAACTGCATTGTAGCCTGGACAACAGAGCAAGAAACTGATTTAAAAAGGAAATATATATATGTTTATATATATAATATATTTATATATAATTATAAACATATATAATTAATTGAATTAAAAGACTAAGATCTAAGATCTGGCCTTTTCCCATTATTTCTGGCAAAGAAGTGTAAAATTTTAAATTGTAATTTAAGTTGGCTTGAAGGACCAAAGATCTTGGATCCGGCCTTTCTCCCCTAGGTCTGGCAAAGAGGTGGTAGCCAGGAAGGAAAGCACAGGTGTGTCAGACACAGTGGGAAAGCTTCTTCTGTGACGGTAGGTAAATTATTTAGCTACAAAGCATTTCCGTTTCCTCTCTTGTAGCATAGAATAATAGATGCTCATTTTCCCAAGGATTGCTGTGAAGATTAAATGATATAATGCAGGTCTGCGTAGATTTTATTTGGTTCAGGTCTCCATAAAAAGGATTCCCATTATAAAGTAATCCAGGGATGTTTAGTAAATCCAGCCCATAGCAAAGGATCTGGCATATATTTGTTTCCGTGTAAAAGCTTTTCTACAAATGGTGAGTGGCAAGAGCTTTTTCTAAACTTCCTAAGTTGGAAATGTCTTTTAATGAATGTGGGGTGATCCAAACAGAAGCAATTCCGAACTAGATTATATTGAGGTCAGAAGCAAATTATGCAAGAGATAACTTCCAAGTCTTAAATAAAAAAGAAAAAATTTATTGACGAGGTGAGGTGGGTGTGGCCAACTAGGAAATTCACCATTTTCATTTACCTGACATCTGCCCTTTAAACGCCCTTCCCCCCTCCTTAGCCATAATTCATTTCATTCCCATCAGAAATATTTAAAGAACCCTTTGTAACAACTCCACAGTTGTAGGTTGGGATACAATTTCTCTCTTAAGTCCTTCATAGGGCCCTTTTGTTTTCTGCCTGCTCATAATCTCTCAGCATGGATGTTGCAACAATGTATGGGATGTGCCTGCATTTCCTTTCTTGTTTCTCTTAGACCCCTTAACCAAGGTTCCCAAGCACTTGAACACATTAACTCTTCTTAGAGTATTTTTTAAATGACACTAAAATATTGAGAGAATAAAGGAGATTATTTTAGGACAGGGCATAGGAGAAAGAGAAAATATAAGAAGACAATTGCTCTATTTTCTAAAAGATTGGCCAGGCGCAGTGGCTCATGCCTGTAATCCCAGCACTTTGGGAGACCGAGGTGGGCAGATCACTTGAGTCCAAGAGTTTGAGACTAGCCTGAGCAACATGGGGAAATCCCATCTCTACCAAAAATACAAAAAAAAATTAGCTGGGTGTGGTGGTGCATACCTGTGGTTCCAGTTGCTTGGGAGGCTGAGGTGGGAGGATTGCTTGAGTCCCGGAGGTGAAGGTTGTTACAGTGAGCCAAGATCACAGCACTGCACTCTAGCCTGGGCCATAGAGTAAAGCCCTGTCTCAAAAAATAAAATAAAATATAAAAAATTAAAAGATTAAGTCTCTCCCGCTTATGGATATATTGCATATAATGGGGAGTGTGAGATGCCTTCAAACTTAACAGTTACAAGAAAATACAGAATCTGCCAGAATCACAACGACAAGAAAGATTCTGAATTGTAAAATATAGACAGAGGTTGGGACAATTAAAAAATGAAGAAAATCCTGCGGGAACCCAATGCACTGAGTTTCAACAAGCCTGGGAATCCACTGTCTCTGAGACTCTCACAGCCAGCCAGAGTGGTTTTCCTGGGAAGCTTTCTGAGTTGTTCTCTATGTACAGAGAAGGCATGGGCCAGCCTGGCTTATTTCCTAATAAGAGAAGAGTGGTCTTATCCACCACCTTCTTTCCAGCACATTGCACATTTCTGGGACTGTCACCCCTGCTTTTACTACTAGACAGAAAAGAAAAAAAAAACAGCAGAGAAAAACCACAATCTTGCCCTTTTGTAAGCAAGTGTGATATTTTCACCTTCAAAAAGCAGATTTGTGAAGCTTAACTTTGTTCATCTCTATAAAGTGCTTTCATTTTTTGAAAAGGAAAGTGATCCGTGTGTGGGCTTAATCTAGGCTTAATCTGATCTAAGATGGAATTATTTAAAATAATGTCACCGTAGTTTGGGATTAATACCTCTTGTTTCTCTTTGGAGACATGGCTTTTAGGAAAGTATGAGTTAACTGTCGCTATAGACTGTGGTTCCCTCTAGAGAGTATTCAGTTTTCTCTTAAAGCAAATTCATTAGGAAACAGAGGATCAGCAAAAAGTCTAGCCTGGAGTACGATGTAATGGGTGAAAGTGTATTTCTTCCATGAAAGCTTGGTTTTGGAAGTTATTGTCATTATTTGAAAACCCATGAATCTGATATGAATCTGATATGACTTTGTGTGTGTGTGTGTGTGTGTGACGGAGTCTCGCTCTGTCGCCCCGGCTGGAGTGCAGTGGCGCTATCTCAGCTTACTTCAAGCTTGCCTCCCGGGTTCACGCCATTCTCCTGCTTCAGCCTCCCTAGTAACTGGGACTACTCACAAACGCCCGCCACCACGCCCTGCTATTTTTTTTGTATTTTTAGTAGAGACGGGGTTTCACGGAGTGTTAGCCAGGACGGTCTTGATTTCCTGACCTCATGATCTGCCCGCCTCGGCCTCCCAAAGTTCTGGGATTACAGGGGTGAGCCACTGCGCCTGGCCCTGATATGACTTATTTTTAAAAAGCAGCAATCAATTCCATGTTCTGCCTCGAAGAAAAAACATTTGCGAAATCGTGTGGAGCCTATAGTCTGAGTCTTTTATTACAGAAATGTTCAAAAAAAAAAAGGAGGGGGCCGGGTGTGGTGGCTCATGCCTGTAATCCCAGCACTTTGGGAGGCCAAGGCAGGTAGATCACCTGAGGTCGGGAGTTCGAGACCAGCCTGACCAACATGGAGAAACCCCGTCTCTACTAAAAATACAAAATTAGCTGGGTGTGGTGGCACGTGCCTATAATCCCAGCTACTCGGGAGGCTGAGGCAGGAGAATTGCTTGAACTCAGGAGGCAGAGGTTGAGGTGAACTGAGATTGTGCCGTTGTGTGTCCGGAATTGGTGGGTTCTTGGTCTCACTGACTTCAAAAATGAAGCCGTACACCCTCGCGGTGAATGTTACAGTTCTTAAACGCTGCGTGTCCAGAGTTTGTTCCTTCTGATCTTCGGATGTGTTCGGAGTTTGTTCCTTCTGGTGGGTTTGTGGTCTCGCTGGCTCAGGAATGAAGTTGCAGACCTTCCCAGTGAGTGTTACAGCTCTTCAGGCGGGGCGCCTGGAGTTGTCCGTTCCTCCTGGTGGGTTCCTGGTCTCGCTGGCTTTAGGAGTGAAGCTGCAGATCTTCGCAGTGAGTGTTACAGCTCATAAAGGCAGTGTGGACGCAAAGGGTGAGCAGCAGCAAGACTTACTGCAAAGCGTGAAAGAACAAAGCTACCAAAGCGTGCAAAAGGACCCTAGAGGGTTGCCACTGCTGGCTCTGGCAGCCTGCTTTTATTCTTATCTGGCCCCACCCACATCCTGCTGATTGGTCCACTTTACAGAGAGCAGAGTGGTCTGTTTTGACAGGGTGCTGATTGGTGCGTTTACAATCCCTGAGCTAGACACAAAGGTTCTCCACGTCCCCACTAGATTAGCTAGATACAGAGTGTCCACACAAAGGTTCTCCAAGTCCCCACCAGAGTAGTTAGATACAGAGTGTGGGTTGGTGCATTCACAAACCCTGAGCTAGACACAGGGTGCTGATTGGTGTGTTTACAAACCTTGAGCTAGATACAGAGTGCCGATTGGTGTATTTACAATCCCTTAGCTAGACATAAAGGTTCTCCAAGTCCCCACCAGACTGAGGAGCCCAGCTGGCTTCACCCAGTGGATCCCGCACTGGGGCCGCAGGTGGAGCTGCCTGCCAGTCCTGCGCCCTGTGCCAGCACTCCTCAGCCCTTGGGTGGTCGATGGGACTGGGCACGGTGGAGCAGGGGGCGGCATTCCTCCGGGAGGCTCCGGCCACACAGGAGCCCACGGAGGAGAAGGGAGGCTCAGGCATGGCGCGCTGCAGGTCCTAAGCCCTGCCCCGCGGGAAGGCAGCTAAGGCCCGGCGAGAAATTGAGCACAGCAGCTGCTGGCCCAGGTGCTAAGCCCCTCACTGCCCGGGGCTGGCGAGGCCGGCCTGCCGCTCGGAGTGCGGGGCCAGCCGAGCCCACGCCTACCTGGAACTCGCGCTGGCCCGCTAGCACCGCGCGCAGCCCCGGTTCCCGCCGGCGCCTCTCCTTCCACACCTCCCCGCAAGCTGAAGGAACCGGCTCCGGCCTTGGTCAGCCCAGAAAGGGGCTCCCACAGTGCAGCGGCGGGCTGAAGGACTCCTCAAGTGCCGCCAAAGTGGGAGCCCAGGCAGAGGAGGAGCGGAGAGCGAGCGAGGGCTGTGAGGACTGCCAGCAATCTGTCACCTCTCAATTGCACTCCAGCCTGGGCAACAAGAGCAAAACTCCATCTCAAAAAAAGAAAAACAGAGGTAGTAGGGGGCATGTGCTGCCCTAGGGTTATTAAATTTTTATCTTTGTCAAGAGAAAAGGTTTACATTAATGAATTTCAAAAAGCGACCTTATGTTCTTTATTCGCTTTTTCATTTGTTTCTTCCCTAAAGGAAAAGACACAAAGAGCTGGGCGCAGTGGCTCACGCCTGTAATCCCAGCACTTTGGGTGGCCAAAGCAGGTGGATCACCTGAGGTCAGGAGTTTGAGACCAGCCTTGCCTTCTTAACTAAAAATACAAAAAAATTAGCTGGGCGTGGTGTTGGGTTCCTGTAATCCCAGCTACTCAGGAGGCTGAGGCAGGAGAATTGCTTGAACCCGGGAGGTGGAGGAGGTTGCAGTGAGCCGAGATCACACCATTGCACTCCAGCCTGGGCAAAAGACCGAGACTCTGTCTAAAAAAAAAAAAAAAAAAAGAAAAGAAACACAGAGAAGACACATGATCTTTTCTTTCCATTCACTCTTCCTTTTTCCATCATTCCCCGTAACCTCATTGGTGCTGCATGCTACATGGGACACAGTTTAAATGTGGATGAAAGGAAAGATCTTATGGCTAGATGTAACCACAATGACTCTAACAGTTGGTGGGAGGGAAAATCAAGCTGCCTGGAATGAATTTTGCATGTCAGCTTCTAGAGAGACTGGTGTTTTCATGAGCTTTATGACTAATTTGGGGTGCGGTGATGAAGTACAGGGAGGCCTGGCAGAAACAATGCTTAATACCTTGATGTTGTCCACTGTGGAATTGCCCAGGACATGAAGATGCAATAATGGAATTGGTTGTGTTAAAATGGGATAATGAAAGAAAAGGAAATACATTTTCTTTATTGGACAGGATACAATAGTGTTGCTTTGGTGAAACACACTTCTCATTATAGAATATTATAGTATCTGTTCTGATAGTTGGATATCTACAGGAGGCATCTGTGTGGTGGCAGCCTCTTGGGTGTATGAAGTGACTTTATTCTCAGTTGTGGCATTTCCCAGACGTCTCTTTGTTTGTCTTTTGTCTGACCGCAGTTGCTTGTGGTCTTTGCAGCACAGGTTGCACAAAGAAGGCTCTTTCTATTCCCTTCAGTAGATGAGCACCAATTTCTTCCGATTTATGAATGAGTTTTTCCTGGAGAGCTGGTAACTGTTGTTTGGCATACAACCATTTTTTTGCTGCCGTTTTTATTTTCGGGACTTTTTCATATGTGCTTGCTCATTTCCTCAGCTGGGCATGATTTGTCCTTTTTTTTTTTTTTTTTTTTTTTTTTTTGAGACAGAGTCTTGTTCTGTCGTCCAGGCTGGAGTGCAATGGTGCGATCTTGGCTCACTGCAACCTCTGCCTCCCGGGTTCAAATGATTCTCCTGTCTCAGCCTCCAGAATAGCTGGGATTACAGGCGTCCGCCACCAAGCCCAGCTAATTTTTATATTTTTAGTAGAGATGGGGTTTCACCATGTTGGCCAGGCTGGTCTTGAACTCCTGACCTCAGGTGATCCACCCGCCTTGGCCTCCCAAAGTATTGGGATTACAGGCGTGAGCCACCACGCCTGGCTGATTTGTCCATTATTTCAATAAGCCTGTGCAGAAGAGCAGGAGACGGGAAGTGCCCAGTCTTCTCTCCCAACTGAATTCCATTTCTCTCCCGACAGAATTCCATTTTTTTTCCTCATTCTTCTGTTCTGAGTCTAGAAGAAGACCCAGATTGTCTGAATGGACGACAATTTCATCCACTCATCAGTTCCTTCAATAAGCACCTGCTAGTTTCTGGAAGCTTGAGTTAATTCTAGAAGGCAGACAGCTTTTAAAATAAAAATTGAAGGAAAAGGGGAGAGAAAGGTGGATATGAACAAGGAGGATCAAATGAAGACAGAAAACAGGAAGGCAGAGCTAAGAAATTGTAGGAAGAGGAAATGAAGAAAAATGAGAAAGAAAAGGAAATGGTTTAAATTTTCAAAAATGAACAAAAATAAGATGGATTCAGAATACTCCACGTGCAGCTGTTTCTGCCAGTACCGTAAGGACCACATAGATTAATTAGCTTTGGCCTTTATCTTTGAAGAATTTAGAATTAAGAGTAGAAATCAGATGAAAAATATGAGAAGACATACATGTCTTTGTCTACCCTTGTTTCCTGAGATTTATATGAAGAGAGCTTTTCAAAGTAGTTAATGGCCAGGCACAGTGACACGTCTGTAATCCCAGCACTTTGGGAGGCCGAGAGGGGAGGATCATTTGAGCCCAGGAGTTTCAGACCAGCCTGGCCAATGTGGCGAAACCCTGTCTCTACTAAAAATACAAAAATTAGCTGGGCATGGTGGCGTGTGCCTGTAACCCCAGCTACTCAGGAGGCTGAGACAGGAGAATTGCTTGAACCCAGGAGGCGGAGGTTGCAGTGAGCCAAGATTGCATGACTGTACTCCAGCCTGGGAGACAGAGCGAGACTCCGTCTCAAAAAAAAAAAAAAAGAAAAAGAAAAGAGTAGTTAATGGCCAGGCATAGTGACTCACGCACTTTGGGAGGCTGAGGTGGGAGAATCACTTGATCCTAGGAGTTCAAGACCAGCCTGGGCAACATAGCGAGACTCCGTCTCTACAAAAAATACAAAAAGTTAGCTAGATGTGGTGGCACTTGCCTGTAGTCCCGGCTGCTTGGGAGGCTGAGGTAGGAGGATTGCTTGAGCTCAGAAGTTTGAAGCTGTAGTGAGCCAAGTCACAGGGCTGCACTCCAGCCTGGGGGACAGAGCAGTACTCTGTTAAAAAAAAAAAAAAAAAGTAGTTAACATATTTTACTTCTCTTTGAAAGTGCTTCAAGTAAGTGGGATAACTAAAAAACAGAAAATGTTTAAAATTTATGCTTGTCGCTTATAAATTCCATTTCTGTCTTGCAGTTCAGGCTGGGGGGCTTTGTGGAGATCCCTCTCCTGAGGTGGTGTCCAGGGCTTGGGGGACAATTACTGGGCGTGTCCCCTCCTCTGTAACCAGAAGGCGGAACATGTGCTGACAGCTGAGAGGGAGAAAGGAGCTATTTTCTCCTCCCTTCTAAAGCTGTTAATGTCCTGGGCTCCAATAAACGATTGTAACAATTGATCTCTGTGTGGTGAATCAGATACTCATTACATCTTGCTAAGCAAGACACTTAACTGAGCAGAATTCCTTTTCTAGTGACCTCTTCTCTCCTCTTAATGGGCAGTGATCCCTGAACCACAGGGGCTTGTTGTTGGTCCAGGTCACAGGCTTACAGCCTCCAGCGACACACACAGTAGTTTGAGCAGGAAAGGGAGAGGGACACTCTTCCATAAAAGGCCTCAGTGTGATCTGCTGTGTGGCAGACAACTGTGCGCAGGTCCTTGAAGTACTGAAGAAAGTCAGAGGAAGTTTGCCTGAGGGGTGCTTGTGATATTTTTGGCAGTGATTTTCTCACTACCTGTACTGTTTGTGTCTATTATTAATGTTTACTGCAACTTGAAAAAGAATAGCTACTAAATTAGGATTTGATGAACTTCTCAGCTGGAGAGAGCTGGATCTTACAGAGAAACACCATTTGGGATTGGAGATGTTGTGTTCTCTTAGTGGTTTCATTTTGATGTTAGGATAAGGAAGGGAAAAAACACTTCCAGAAGGCAGAAACAGCTTGTTGTGTCCAGTCCATGGAAGAAACATCAACATGTTTGAAGTGAGCTTTGCAGTTGTTTTGTCTAAATAGATGAAGGGCTCCAGGCTTTGGCTGCCTCACCATCACATCCTTTTATAATTTTAGTTTGGTTGATGAGTTTTTTTTCCTCAAGATTCTGCCTGATTTCAGCAAGTGTTTGGTGCTGCTGGGTAATGTCTTTACTATTAAACCATTTGGATTTTACTCACTTTTCAAGATCAATGGCTTATTTTGTTGTTACTGGAAAGGAGTTAGAAAGCTCCACAACATCTCTTCCACTCTGCCTTCAAGGGATCGTCACAGCACAAATGTGATTGTTTCTGGACTTGTTAAGAGCCCTGAGCAATACAATGTGAAATAGCTTAGGCCTGGGCTGGAAGGAAATGATGAATGTTTTCCTTAGAGGAAGCGATTGGGGGTTTGGATGGAGGGATCTCGGGGCAAAACCCCACTTCCTGGAAGGATAATTAGTGTGTAGAAAGGTAAGCAGACACTGTTCTCGTAGAAAGTCCCTTGTAATTATCCCAATAGGAATGTGCTCAGGACATATTTTTCCCTTTATTAAAGGGGTTGTGGGAGCACTGAATGATCAGCGTTGAGCCTTTTGTCCCAAGGAGAATTTCACAAAGGGCAAAGTCCCCTTTCCTCATATTTTGCATACCAAGGGAGTAATATCCAAAAAGTAGTGGTCCATTTGTTAATTCACTTTTTAGATCTCTCTCCCTCCATGCATACCATATATAATATATACATTCTATTTAGTGTATTATATAATAAAACAAAATGCACAGAAAGGTTGCTTAAAGATCTTAAGTGTGTGTTTGTACTGTCATCCTAATGAGATTTGGAGATTAAAGTTTTCTAAAATCTTGTTTTAGAAACAAGGTTATTATCGTCAGGGATAATACATTATATTTTTTTACATGAGGCTCTTGGAAATCCATTGGAGAGACATTTCCTCACTAACCCTACGTGATCTTTTAATTTTAATCAAAAAAATTTTTTTGAGACAGGGTCTCACTCTGTTGCTCAGGCTGGAGTGCAGTGGTGCCATCATGGGTCACTGCAGCCTCAAACTCCTTGGCTCAGGCAATCCTCCTGTCTCAGTCTCCCATGTAGCTGGGGCTATAGGCATGCACCACCATGCCTGGCTCATTTTAAAATTTTTTTGTAGAGATGGGGTCTTGCCACATTTCCCAGGCTGTAATTTTTATTTTTAATTTCCACTTTATTAGAATATTGAGTCAATATTGGTCAATTAACATCTGGATAAAGAAATTGTGGCCATAAAAAGGAACAAAATAATGGCATTCGTAGCAACCTGGATGGAACTGGAAACTATTATTCTAAGTGAAGTAACTCACAAATGGAAACACAAATATCATACGTTCTCACTCATAAGTGGGAGCTAAGGTCCGGGCGCAGTGGCTCACGCCTGTAATCCCAGCACTTTGGGAGGCCGACGGGGGCGGATCACGAGGTCAGGAGATGGAGACTATCCTGGCTAACACGGTGAAAACCCATCTCTACTAAAAATACAAAAAATTAGCTGGGCGTGGTGGCGGGCACCTATAGTCCCAGCTACTCGGGAGGCTGAGGCAGGAGAATGGCGTGAACCCGGGTGGCGGAGCTAGTAGTGAGCCGAGATCGTGCCACTGCACTCCAGCCTCGGTGACAGAGTGAGACTCTGTCTCAAAAAATAAAATAAAATAAATACGTAGGAGCTAAGCTGTGAGGATGCGAAGGCATTAGAATCATACAGTGGACTCTGGGGAACTCGGGAAAGGGTGGGAAGGGGGTGAGGGATAAAAGACTACACACATTGGGTTCAGTGTACCCTGCTTGGGTGGTGGGTGTACCAAAATCTCAGAAATCACCACTGAAGAACTTATTCATGTAACCAAATACCACCTGTTCCCTCAAAACCTACTGAAATTAAAAAAAAAAAAAGAATAATAATATTGAGGCGTTGGGAATGGGGTGGGTTTTACTTCCCACTTGTTGGTGTGAATGTGATCCTCAGGCCCTGCCTCTGGGTGTGGAACTGCTGCCTTTTCATCTGCCCGCAGGGAGACTCCTCATGGCATCCAGGTCTCAGAAATTAGGCAGGGGCTCTTTCCGCTGTGCTGTACGTTCTGCCCACTCAGCTTTTAAAACCCAAGTCTTTTCTCCCTGCCATTTGCCCGCGGGTGCTGAGAAGTTGCGTTATCAGATGTTCATCCTTAACTTACTTAGTTCTCCCTGGTAATTCTCTCCTGAGGTTTACCTTTCTTTTTCTGTTTTCTGATGTGACAGCTCAAAGATATCTGAGAAAGAGAAAAGTTACTTTTAAAAGAACTTGAGGCCGGGCGCGGTGGCTCACGCCTGTAATCCCAGCACTCTGGGAGGCCGAGGCGGGCGGATCATGAGGTCAGGAGATCGAGACCATCCTGGCTAACACAGTGAAACCCCGTCTCTACTAAGGAATACAAAAGAATTAGGCGGGCGTAGTAGTGGGCGCCTGTAGTCCTGGCTACTTGGGAGGCTGAGGCAGGAGAATGGCGTGAACCCAGGAGGCGGAGCTTGCAGTGAGCCGAGATCGCGCCACTGCACTCCAGCCTCGGCCACAGAGCAAGACTCCGTCTTAAAAAAAAAAAAAAAAACAAACTTGATAAATGAGTCAAAGCTTTTTGTGGGAAATCAGTCAACTGTCTCAAACTTAGAAAATTCTTAATTATCCATGGTTAACAGTGTTCATGAAGAAAGATGTCACTGAAATACATATAATTTAAAGCCTTTGGAAAACCAATGGTACAACTTATTTCTCCAGCACACTTTAAATTTATTTATTTAGTTTTTTTTTTTTTTTTTTTTTTTTTTTTTGAGGCAGACTCTTGCTCTGTTGCCCAGGCTGGAGTGCAATGGTGCAATCATAGTTCATTTCAGCCTGAAACTCCTGGGCTCAAACTATCCTCCCACCTCAGCCTCTGCAGTAGCTGGGACTACAGGCACATGCCACCATGCCTGACTAATTTTTTACTTTTTTTTTTTTGTAGAGATGGGGTCTTGCTATATTGCCCAGGCTCATCTCAAACTTGTGGCCTCTAGTGATCCTCCCACCTCAGCCTCCCAAAATGTTGGGATTACAGGTGTGAACCACCTCGCCCAGCCCTTAAACTTGTTTTTAATCAGAGACCCTTTCTTTTTCCTGCCCAATATTTGATTATATTAAGAACCACATAAAATGTGCCTAAAAGCAGTGTGCAGACAAGTGGATTAAAACAGAGCATCAAAAGTAAGGATCAGTCGGGCGAGGTGGCTCATGCCTGTAATCCTAGCACTTTGGGAGGCCGAGGCAGACGGATCATGAGGTGAAGAGATTGAGACCACCCTAGCCAACATGGTGAAACCCCGTCTCTGCTAAAAATACAAAAATTAGCTGGGCGTGGTGGCACGCACCTGTGATCTCAGCTACTCAGGAGGCTTAGGCAGGAGAATCCCTTGAAGCTGGGAGGTGGAGGTTGCAGTGAGCCGAGATCACACTACTGCACTCCAGCCTAGGCTACAGAGTGAGACTCGGTCTCAAAAACAAAAAAAGGCCGGGTGAGGTGGCTCGTGCCTGTAATCCCAGCACTTTTGGAGGCTGAGGCAGGTGGATCACCTGAGGTCATGAGTTCAAGACAAGGCTGGCCAACATGGCAAAACCCTGTCTCTATCGAAAATACAAAAATTAGCCAAGAGTGGTGGAGAGCACTTGTAATCCCAGGCTGAAGCAGGATAATTGCTTGAACCCAGGAGGTGGAGGTTGCAGTGAGCCAATATCACGCCACTGCACTCTAGCCTTACTTGTAAAAGGAAGGATCATTTATAAATTTAATAACTGAAAGTTGAAAAATGGATTTAAGGAGAAAAAGGTATAGGTTTCTTTGTTTTAGCAACCCACTGCCCTTATCATGATTAATACATTTATTTATTTATTTGAGACGGAGTCACACTCTGTTACCCAGGCTGGAGTGCAGTGGTGCAATCTCGGCTCACTGCAAGCTCCACCTCTCGGGTTCACGCCATTCTCCTGCCTCAGCCTCCCGAGTAGCTGGGACTACAGGCGCCCGCCACTACGCCCGGCTAATGTTTTGTATTTTTAGTAGAGACACGGTTTCACCGTGGTCTCGATCTCCTGACCTCGTGATCCACCGGCCTCGGCCTCCCAAAGTGCTGGGATTACAGGCATGAGCCACCGCACCCGGCCAATTACATTTATTAAAACCATCGAAATAGCAAAGAACAAATTAGGAGAGACAGAAGGTATAATGGTGGTTGCTAGGCCTAGGTTGGGGGATAGGAATTTGAATTTAAGAGATACACAGTTTAAATTTGGGAAGATGAAGCAAGTTCTGGAGATAAATGGTGGTGATGGTTGCATAGCAGTGTGAATGTACTTAATGCTGCTGAGTTGTATAATTAAAAATGGCTAAAACTGTATATTTTATATATGCATGTTGTACCACAATAAGGTAGGGAAAAAAAAAAAAAAAGGCCGGGCACGATGGCTCACGCCTGTAATCCCAGCACTTCGGGAGACTGAGGTGGGCGGATCACCTGAGGTCAGGAGTTTGAGACCAGGCTGGCCAACATGGCAAAACCCCATCTCTACTACAAATACAGAAAAAGTAGCTGGGCATGGTGGCGGGAGCCTGTAATCTCAGCTACTTGGGAGGCTGAGGCAAGAGAATTGCTTGAACCCTGGAGCTGGGTGACAGAGCAGGACTCCGTCTCAGAAAAAAAAAAAAAAATTAGCTGGGTCTGGTGGTGCATGCCTGTAATCCCAGCTGCTTGGGAGGCTGAGGCAGGAGAATCGCTTGAACCCAGGAGGTGGAGGTTGCAGTGAGCCAAGATCGTGCCAGTGCATTCCAGCCTGGGCGACAGAGTGAGACTCCGTCTGCAAAGAAAAAAAAGAAAAATTAACAAAAAAAAAAAAAAAAAAAAAAAGAGAAAAAAAAGAATAATGCTAGAATTGGCCAGAAGAAGCTCCCAATTGAATTCACTAGAAAGTTTGTCGTTTGAGTCTTAGTAGAAAATAAGTAACAGTCTTCTTGAAAGAAATGTCAGGTCTATCTCCGCAGAAAGAAATGAGAGGAAAAAAAAATCGTAACAGCTTAGCATTTATAGGGTATACAACAGGGAGTAAAACACATATGAAAAATATCATGATAGAAGGCCTTTATTTAAAAGTGTGGTTGAAGGCTGCTGACTCACTGGATAACTGAAGTATTTGTGGCTTGAGTAATGGCTAAGCCAAGAATCCTGGAGTCAGTGAGACTCTTTCTTCCTTGGAAAAAGAAAAAAAGGAAAGATCAAGTAAATTCTATCCCATTCTGTCTTAGATATTTTGTTCAACAATGATTTTGACCAATCCCAAATTCCTCAAATGAGGGAGGAATGTTCCGTGTTTTTGTAACCTTGATTAACTGTGATATTATTCCAAGAAAGAAGCAGTATCCAGATGGGGCAGGAGGCACAAGGAAAGAGCTAAATTGGGAATTCATTTTTTGTTCCCAGTCAGATGATGGGTGTCTTATGTATGGGGTCAATGCCACATCTGATCTCATCCCGAGAAAATACTCTTTAACTAGCTGGGCAAAATGTCTGTACTGAAGTGGGAAGTAATTTGATTGACTAAACATCTGAAAGCTGTGGCTCACACCTGTAATCCCAGCACCTTCAGAGGCCGAGGCAGGTGGATCATCTGAGGTCAGGTGTTCAAGACCAGCCTGGCCAACATGGCGAAACTCCATCTCTACTAAAAATACAAAAATTAGCCAGGTGTGGTGGTAGGTTCCTGTAGTCCCAGCTACTTGGAAGGCTGAGGCACGAGAATCACTTGAACCCAGGAATTGGAGGTTGCAGTGAGCCAAGATTGTGCCACTGCACTCTAGCTTGGGCTTCAGGGAGAGACTCTGTCTCAAAACAAAAAATAACAACAACAAAAAACAAACAAACAGAAAACCCCCAAAACATCTGAAGACAATCTTACAGTCTTCTGCTATGGTATTTTATCTTACATTATTCTGATACTGATTATTTATCTTCCTAAGGTTGCCTTTATTTCATAGTGTTTTTTGGCATGAATAAAGTGATCACTTATGAATCAAGTGCTTGGAACTGCAATGGCCCAGAGACGCAGCTTTCTGCAAAGTCCACACCTACTAGGTTAGCAAGGCTCTAGTTATCTTAGGGAGGTTGTTGAGCATGGTCAAGTGAAGATGTTCTGGAAGCAGCTTTCCTGGGTATGAATCCCAGGTCTGCCCCTTATGAGAGACCTTGGACACTGACCCACATCTCTGTGTTTCAGTTTCTCTTCTCTAACATGAGAATGATCAGACTAGGCCTTACGTCAAAGGACTGTAATGAAAATATTATTTAAAACATAAGTACTCGGAACAGTGCCCAGTGTATAGGAAGTGGGCTATAAAAGTTGGCTATTATGACTATTAATCATCGATTCTTTGGAGGAAGACATGGCTAAAACAGTGAGACTGAAAGCTGTTTGGTAATTCTATAGCTTGGGAATCAGAAACCATTCATCATTTGCATTGGGGAGTTTGAAACTCCTGGCTACTATAAGCATGTAGAGCTGAAAATAAAATATTGGTGTTAATGAATTGTTCATGCATTCATTCATTTATTGATTCACCATGTGTCAGGAATTGGAGAAACCAAATCAATTATGGCATGATCACCGACCTAATGATGCTCGGTCTAGTGGTAGAAACACTCACATGAACAGATTATTATGCAACATGGAGGTGCAAAGATGGAGATATACACAAGGTAGTACTGAAATATGATGGAGGGGAACTTTAGCTCAGGGTGGGGAAGAGGAAAGAGTCATAATTCTTTGAGGAAGTAATCCCAGAACATACCTCCTTTGTCAAATAAGAAATTAATTCTTAAAAATCTGTAAATGTTTCAGTCTGTGTCTTCAAAATATAAGGATTTTCTCTTTCAACATAATCAAAATACCATTATTATTTCTAAAACAAATGACAATTGTTGCTTAACTATGATAAAAATATCCGGGGGTTTTCAATCTCCTCATCTATGTAATTTTTCTTTTAGTTGGTTTGTTTGAATCAAGAAGTATATAAGGTCACCTTGTGATGAGTAGTTGTCTCTTAACCTATGTAGTTTTCCTTTTTTTTTGGGTGACAGGATCAGGGTTTCACTCTGTTGCCCAGGCTGGAGTGCAGTGGCATGATCATAGCTCACTGCAGCCTTGAACTCCTGGGCTCAAGTAATCCTTCTGTTTTAGTCTCCCAAGTAGCGGGGACTATAGGCACACACCACAACATGAGGCTAAATTTTTAAATTTTTTTGTAGAGACAGGGTCTCGTTATGTTTCCCAGGCTGGTCTTGAACTCCTGGGCTCAAGCCATCCTCTTGTCTTGTCCTCCTTATAAGCATGAGCCAATGTGCCTGGCACTTTTTCTTTTTCTTAATTCCTTGTAACTCATTTGCCGAGGAAACTGGATTATTTATCTTGCAGAGTTTTTCATAAATGAGTTTTGCTGATGGCATCTCCTTGGTGTTCTATAACATTTTTCTCTCTTATATTTCCTATAAATATCTATTTAGGTCTAGACGCTTGTTCAGATTCAAGCTGTTTTTGAGGGAGTGGGGTAGGGCAAGACTACTCTGTAGACAGTGCGGGGCATTGCCAGCAGGAGACGTGCAATATCTGGTTGTCTCTACTTTTGAGATGCTCTCAACCCTTCATGCTCAATGGGCAGGTCCCTCCATTTATTGGGGTTATAAAGTGGTCCTATTCAAATTCTATCATTTCTTTAGCTGGGATCTATAAGAAGAAACTTCTCTCACTTATTCTTTGCTTATTCAGTGGTGTTCCTAGTACTTCCAGGAAGGGCATGACAGTTCCTGATTGAAAATTCTTTTTTTTTTTTTTTTTTTTGAGACGAAGTCTCGCTCTGTTGCCCAAGCTGGCGTGCAGTGGCATGATGCTCACTACAACCTCCACCTCCCAGGTTCAAGCAATTCCCCTGCAGCCTCCCGAGTAGCTGGGACTACAGGCACGCGCCACGATGCCTGGCTAATTTTTGCATTTTCAGTAGAGATGGAGTTTCACTATGTTCTTGATTGAAAATTCTATTCACAGTGCCCATGTGGCATCCCAGGGCTCTAAACCTTTAAAGTCAAAATTCTATCCAGTGTATAATTTTTCTAAGGCAGTAAGGTGAATGGAAGCATTTTTATAAAAACTTGTCATGGGAAGAATTTTTTTTTTTTTTTGCTGTAATATAGCTTTAAAAACACTCTAGCATACCCCCAAGCTTTTAGTAAAAGTAGTTGTTTTATTTTAACAGCAATTAGAAAAGATAATCCTGCTAAACTGAAATCCTAGACTACATCTGATATCATTTTAGTTTTCAGTGACCTACTTAGTGCATGGCACGATTTACAGTTGAGGTTTATTGCTTTAGCAAAATAATGCTTTGGTCATTCACTTAGAAAAAAAACCCTTTCAACTTTATTCTCTAGTATGGAGTGAAACCTTTAACACTCAAAATTAGTTCAAGGTTAAGTCATTATTAAAACAATTTTGTACCTCAAGTCTCAAACAGAAGTACCTATTAGACATGATGCATACAGAGTTTATGTTTCTTAAAAGACTAGGGAAGAGGCGGGGCGTGGTGGCTCACACCTGTAATCCCAGCACTTTGGGAGGCCTAGTTGGGTGGATCACCTGAGGTCAGGGGTTCGAGAGCAGCCTGGCCAACATAGTGAAACCCCGTCTCTACTAAAAATACAAAAATTAGCTGGACATGGTGGCAGGTGCCTGTATTCCCAGCTACTTGGGAGGCTGAGGCAAGAGAATCGCTTGAACCCGGGAGGCAGAGGTTGCAGTGAGCCGAGGTCGCGCCATTGCACTCCAGCCTGGGCGACAAGAGTGAAACTTCGTCTCTTAAAAAAAAAAAAAAAGACAAGAAAAGAATACATTCCCACCACTGTATACAGGATGTGTAAACTACATACACATACACACAACACCCCCCTCCCCAAACACCCACACACACGCAGGTTAACTTAAAATAGAACATTAAAGAAACATTGCACTGTGGATATTTTGTAAACGTCCCTTTTAAGTCTAGTCCCAAGGGAAATCAGCTGTTTGCTTTTGGTTGGTGACATAAAGCATTAATAGTAGTAGAAATAAGGGTCACCTCTGAGCTGTGAGGTGGACTCGGGTGTGACCTTGAGTCCCCCTAGTCCCTCCAATGAGACACTGGCTGGCCCAGATCTTGACCGGCTTTCCTCTTGCCCTCTTCCTCCACATCACTTAAACCCTTTGTCTCCAACTACATTAGATCTATTCAGTGTTTGCCTTTTTAATGCCTCCACAATTTCTAATACCTACAAAGAGCGGATTGATTCTCACCCCCAGAATATGCCAGCAGGAAGCGGTGGGGTGTGCATGTTGGCCTGGTCCCAATTTCAGGGACAAGCCAACAAGGGGGAATATTGTCTTTCTTTTCATTCTGTATTTTATTTTTTTAGAGCATTTTTCTTTCTTATCCAGATTAGTCTGACCTCAGCACAAGACAACTATATATTACTTTTAACGGCAAACTTGAATGTCGCCTGGGTTGCACTGGTGGTTTTCCATGAATGTAATGTGATAATCCCCACGGAGCCACGAACCGCTTATTACTCCTACCCTGATAGAAATACTTAGTTGGCGCTATGATGATGTCTTTTATTTTTAACCCAGCTGAAAATGGAAGCATTACAGAGCTCAGAAATATTAATGAGAAAATTCTCCGCTTTACATGGCAGAGTAAACTCCGCACGATGGACTAGAATAAAAGTATTTTGCTTCAGTTTTACCTCGACAGAAACATCTTAACTGAGGCTTTCAAGCTAGGCTTTTGAGAATGAATCATATGACACACACATATACAAAATGGAAATGCCCTGCCATCTAAAATTAACTTTCTCTTATTGCACCGGTAGTGCTAACAGTTACAAAAGAAGTTACTAAATAATGCACGCACTCGGATGATTTAAAATGCAGCTGTGCTCTTTTCTATTTTAGAAATCCTGAGGGTTAGAGCCTAATCTAATCCTTTCTTTGTTAGAGCTTCTTTGAAATGATAGGCCCTTAAAAATGTTTTATTTGTCTCGAATCTGGCCTGCGTTATTAACAGGCTGTCTGTAAGCCTCTAAGAACTTTCTAGTGTTTGTTCGTTAGCAGATAGAAATGGACTTGCAATCTTACTCCTGTTCTAAGCAAATAAACTATGCTAAAACCCAGTGGGTGTTTAAAGCAGAAGGGTTTCTTCTTTATAAAGGACATGACTTACTACTGTATTCTACTTCTAGGCACAGTCCTATCAGGATAATTTGTGAGACGGTACCATAATTATGAGTGTGAATCACCAGCAACTGAGTTTTCTTGTGTGTTTCATGAAAACAAAATAAATAAAAGTCTCCTCGTGTTGTGTCTTTGTGGGGAGGCATGATGGAACCCCACCAAAAATTTGTTCCTAATGTCGGTACTTATTTTATTTATTTATCTATTTGATAGAATTTCGCTCTGTCACCCAGGCTGGAGTGCAGTGGTGCAATCTCAGCTCACTGCAACCTCCAAGTGATCCTCCCACCTCAGCCTCCCAAGTAGCTGGGACTACAGGCATCTGCCATCACACCTGGCTAATTTTTGTATTTTTAGTAGAGATGGGGTTTCACCATGTTGGCCAGGCTGGTCTCGAACTGCTGACCTCAGGTGATGCGTCCACCTTGGCCTCACAAATTGCTAATGTCCTTACCTACGACACGACAGAAGCACCAAAAGGGTATGAAAAACTTTATTACTCACTTAGTGAGACTTTCTGGGGAGAGCAAGGCAGACCCCCAAGCAGGTTCAGAATGGCTTGCGAGAGCAGGCAAAGGGCTACCATGTTGGCTTTTACTATGATCAGGAGGTGGCCAGGGGTGAGGGGTTCCATGTGTGTCCCAGAGCTTGTGTGGTTTAAACTTCCACTGGCGTCAAAAGAGCAAGCAGCTAGGCTTCCTTATAACTTGGCCAAATAAGAGGGAGTATTGGGACTTGACTTAAACTAGATGGTTAACTGTCTTCAGTTAAACATCAAAATGGGCTCAGAGCTTTCATTACACCTCATTTTTAATTGAAGACCTAAGACACCTTGAAAGGTAGGAACTATTTCTAGACTAACACCAAATTTTCTCACTGCTTGAGAAGTGGGGCTTGTGGAATATCCTTTGAATAGCTTTTACAATTCTGCTATATATTTCCTTCCCGGGCTTTTAGGGGCAAAAACAAATAAACAAAAAAAAAACAAAAAAAAAGGACGCAGTCATTTTCTGATTAAAAAAAAACTTCTGGTAAGAAAGCCATGGCCAGGCACGGTGGCTCACGCCTGTAATCCCAGCACTTTGGGAGGCCGAGGTGAGCAGATCACGAGGTCAGGAGATCGAGACCATCCTTGCTAACACGGTGAAACCCCGTCTCTACTAAAAATACAAAAAATTAGCTGGGCGCAGTGGTGGGTGCCTGTAGTTCCAGCTACTCGGGAGGCTGAGACAAGAGAATGGTGTGAACCCGGGAAGTGGAGCTTGCAGTGAGCTGAGATCGCGCCATTGCACTCCAGCCTGGGTGACAGAGTGAGATACCAGCCTGGCCTGGAGATACCAAAAAAAAAAAAAAAGCCAGACCCAATCCCTTGCCTCATGGGACTTATAGCTCGCCTAGCTATGAACAATAGCCTCAAGACTAGATTATTATTAAGGATCCTTAAGAATTGACCCATTCCAGCATTCTCAATTAATGCTTGCTGTTGATAGATTATTTTTCACTCTCTAACCTAAATCCTTTGCACACTAGGTCAAGGTATTTCTTAGTTTTCCACACTACCCTGGATGGAATGATAGGCACTGAGAAGTTCAAGGGACATGGCCGGGTTTGGTGGCTCACGCCTGTAATCCCAACACTTTGGGAGGCCGAGGCGGGTGTATCACCTGAGGTCAGGAGTTCCAGACCAGCCTGGCCAACATGGTGAAACCCGTCTCTACTAAAAATACAAAAATTAGCCAGGTGTGGTGGTGTGAGCCTATAATCCCAGCTACTCAGGAGCCTGAGGCAGAATTGCTGGAACCCGGGAGGCGGAGGTTGCAGTGAGCCAAGATTACACCACTGCACTCTAGCCTGGGTGACGGAGTGAGACTCCATCTAAAAAAAAGGTCAAGGGACATTAGGGACTGTTTAGGATTATCTTACTATTTAGATGGAGAAACTTCTGGCCCAGTGATTTATCCAGGATCACACAAACTAGAATCCAAGCACTGAGCTTTTAAAAATGTGCCTCCACTAATTTAGCTCAGAGAATTTGATGTTATCTTATATTTTCCTGGGCTCTTAATAACAATGCTCTCTCTGAAGATTAGTGTTAAAAGCCTAGCTTTAAAAACTACATCAATTGTATATGTCATTTTCTCATAATCTTCTTTGTCTGAATATGTTGTAGGATTTTTATATGAATTATAAAATGAAGACTCTGTATTTCATCACACTGCAAATGTTAAATTATATCTTAGCATTGGGTAATAGACCCAACGACAAATCTTCCCTTTTGTTAATCGTTGTATTAACTTTTAAAATAAAATACCTTTCCCTTGATTTTTTTTTTTATGCTACATTCTGAGATTTTTTTTTTTTAAATAAGTTTTTATTGGCCAGGCACGGTGGCTCATGCCTGTAATCCCAGCACTTTGGGAGGCCGAAGTGGGTGGATCACCTGAGGTCAGGAGTTCGAGACCCACCTGGCTAACATGGTGAAAACCCGTCTCTACTAAAAATACAAAAAATTAGCTGGGGATGATGGCACGTGCCTGTAATCCCAGCTACTCAGGAGGCTGAGGCAGGAGAATCGCTTGAACCCAGGAGGTGGAGGTTGCAGGGAGCCAAGGTTTTGTCACTGCACTCCAGCCTGGGCAACAAGAGCGAAACTCCATCTCAAAAAATAAAAAATAAGCTTTTATTTTACAATGATTTTAGATTCATAGAAGTTTTGAAGATAGTACTGAGAGTTTTCATCTAGCCCACCACGCTCAGTTTCCCCTATTAATGACATCTTACATTAGTGTGGTACATTTTCCAAAATTAACCAACCTTGATACAGTATTATTAACTAAAGTCCATACTTTACTCCCATTTCCTTCATTTTTACCTAATGTCCTTTCCTGTTCAAGGATCCCATCCAGGAGACACGTCATATTTAGGGAGGCATCATGACTTCTTAGGGTCCTCTGCACTGTGACAGTTTCTCAGACTCTCCTTGCTTTGTCTGAGCACTGGTCACGTATTTCGTAGAATGTCTCTCAACTGGGCTTTGCCTGATGTCTGTCTCATGGTTTTATGGGTTTTTGGGAGGAAGACCACACAGGTAAAGTGAAATTCTCATCACATTATATCAAAGAAACAGACTATCTACATGATTTTGTCATTGTTGACATTAACTCTAATCATCTACCTGAGGTAGTGTTTATTCTTAGATAAAGGGTACAGCAGAATGTTCTGGAGACGCGTAAATGACGAGGCAGGAAGGACAGAGGGGTTTTCGTGTATGATTTCTACGAAGGAAAGTTATTCTCTCTTTCCATATTATATTCTTTGGAAAGAAGGCTTTTTGTTTGTTTTTGAGACGAAGTCTCTCTCTGTTGCCCAGGCTGGAGTGTAGTGGTGCAATCTTGGCTCACTGCAACCTCTGCCTCTCGGGTTCAAGCAATTCTCTCTCTCCTGCCTCAGCCTCCTGAGTAGCTGGGACTACAGGCATGTGCCACTATGCCCAGCTAATTTTTGTGTTTTCAGTAGAGACAGGGTTTCATTATGTTGGCCAGGCTGGTCTTGAACTTCTGACCTTGTGATCTGCCCACCTCGGCCTCCCAAAATGCTGGGATTACAGGCATGAGCCACCATGCCCGGCCTGGAAAGAAGTCTTTAAGTGCAAGTTTAATTTAAGAATGAGGAGTTATGCTCCACCTCCTTAAGGGTGGAATATGTGCATAAATTTTATTTAGAATTACTGTGCATGGGAGATTTGACTATTATCTATCTCTCCTTCTATGTATCTATCTATCCATCCATCATCTGTGTATCTGTGCATCCATCCATCCATCCTTCCATGTATGTATCTATCTACCCTTCAACCTATCTATCCTTTAATCAATCCTCCTCTCTATCCAGCCATCTGGCGTCTATGTATCTATGCATCCAGCCAGCCATCCATGTATATATGTATGTATATATATATCTATCCTTCAATCTATCAATCTATCCATCCATGTATGTATCCATCCATCCATCCATGTATGTATGTATGTATCATCTATCTAGCCATTTGTCTGTCCATTGGGTCCATCTGTCCATCCATCCATCTATGTACCTACCTACCTATCTAACCATAAGGACTCAGGGGTACTTACTTTATACTTTCTATTCTAATCCAATACTACTTTATCTTGGGAATGAAATTGTTTAAGCTTTGGCCATTGGGAGCTCTTTCAGTTGACTTCTGTTCCCCTTTGATATATCCTTATCATGTGTATGTGTGAGTTTCTTTTTTTTCTTTTTTTTTTAGACGGAGTCTTGCTCTGTCGCCCAGGCTGGAGTGCAGTGGTGCGATCTCGGCTCACTGCAAGCTCCGCCTCCCACGTTCACACCATTCTCCTGCCTCAGCCTCCCGAGTAGCTGGGACTACAGGCGCCCACCACCACACTTAATTTTTTTTTTTTTGTATTTTTAGTAGAGACGGGGTTTCACCGTGTTAGCCAGGATGGTCTCGATCTCATGACCTCATGATCTGCCCACCTCAGCCTCCCAAAGTGCTGGGATTACAGGCGTGAGCCACTACGCCTGGCTGTTTTTTTTTTTCCTTAGCACTACCTATTTTCTGGCACTGTTAAGATGTTCCAGTTTCATCTTATTTGTTTCCTGCACCAGTGTTAGGGTCAGCCATTTCTCCAAGGTGTGGTATCTTCTGTCAAAGAATGATTGTAGGAACAAAAATGTGGGTGTGAGGTGTGCTTTTTGCTACTGAAGTGTCATTGCTTCTAGGTGGTTCTCTCAGCCAACAAAGCAAGGAAATATGTTCATATTCTAACTCTTCTATATGCACATACCTGTAAATATTTCTATATGTATCCATTTTCCTTTTTTTTTTTTTTGAGATGGAGTCTCGCTCTGTAGCCCAGGCTAGAGTGCAGTGGCACAATCTCAGCTCACTGCAAGCTCCGCCTCCCGGGTTCACGCCATTCTCCTGCCTCAGCCTCCCAAGTAGCTGGGACTACAGGCGCCCACCACCAAGCCCGGTTAATTTTTTTGTATTTTTAGTGGAGACGGGGTTTCACCCTGTTAGCAAGGATGGTCTCGATCTCCTGACCTCATGATCCGCCCGTCTCGGCCTCCCAAAGTGCTAGGATTACAGGCGTGAGCCACCGCGTCCGGGCTTTTCTTCTTTTTTCTTTTTTTATGAGTCTTGCTCTGTCTCCCAGGCCAAAGTGCAGTGGCATGATCTCGGCTCACTGCAACCTCCACCTCCCAAGTTCAAGTGATTCTCCCACCTCAGCCTCCCAAGTAGTATTTTTTGTATTTTTAGTTCGTAAAAAACTAAAATACAAAAACTAAACACATTAGTTTTGTAAAAATACAAAACTAGTTTTTGTATTTTTAGTTTTGCCATGTTGGCCAGGCTGGTCTCAATCTCCTGACCTCAGGTGATCTGCCTGCCTCGGCCTCCCAAAGTGCTGGGATTACAGGCGTGAGCCACCATGCCCGGTCAGTTTTCATATTAAGCTAAACACTAGTTCATACTGATGTCTCCCTCTCTAATCCAGTACATTGGGTATCCTAGCCTCCCTCCCTTGCTTGTTTGTAACCACCCCCTCCAACAGTGGGAAACCTGGCTTCTGCCATCTGCCATCATATACTTGTTTAATTCTGGTTATACATGTGTAGTGGTTTTAGAATTGTTTATCTGGAGATATATATATATATATATATATATATATATATATATATATTTTTTTTTTTTTTTTTTTTTTTTTTTTGAGACGGAGTCTTGCTTTGTCACCCAGGCTGTAGTGCATTGCAGTGGTGCGATCTCGGCTCACTGCAACCTCCACCTCCCAGGTTCAAGCAGTTCTGCCTCAGGCTCCCAAGTAGCGGGGATTACAGGTGCCAGTGGCCACCATGCCCGGCTAATTTTTGTATATTTAGTAGAGACGGGGTTTCACCATGTTGACTAGCCTGGTCTTGAACTTCCAAGCTCAGGTGATCCACCTGCCTCGGCCTCCCAGAGTGCTGGGATTATAGACTTGAGCCACCATACCCAGCCCCGCCTAGTTCCATTTTTTAAAGCCCACCAGAGTAGATTTCTTATGCTAAATTGCATTAATAGGCCTGTGTTGTTTTTTGTTAATGTTTGTGGCACTTCAAAAGCATAGTAATTATCAATTAGTCTGAATGAGTGTAAAAGGAAGAGTTTCAAGAAATTGAAGGAAGCCTGTAATTTCAATTTAGGATTCCTTTATATCTGATCCTTCAAGACTAGAAGTCAGGCTGGGCATGGTGGCTCACGCATATAATCCCAGCACTTTAGGAGGCAGAGATGGACAAATTGCTTGAGCTAAGGATTTGAAGACCCGCCTGGGCAACATGCAAAACCCCATCTTTACAAGAATACACAAATTGGCTGGGTGTGGTGGTGTAAGCTTGTGGTTCCAGCTACTTGGGAGGCTGAGGTGGAAGGATCACCTAAGCCTGGGAAGTCAAGCTGCAGTGAGCTGAGATTGCGCCACTGTACTTCAGCCTCGGTGACAGGAGTGAGACCCTGTTCAAAAAAAAAAAAAAAAAAAAAAAAAACAGACTAGGACCCAAATTGGATAAATGGGACTGAGACTTAAAAAATATAACCATTTTCTTTCTCGGTTTCCAATCAGTCTCTCAATGCTTTTCAATAAATCTCTGCTTTTGCATTTGAGTGTGCTTGGGTCCCCTTTTTTCCAACTTCTTTATTCATCCTCTTCCTCACTTCCCTTCCAAATCAGCTTGTCTTCCTCATCCATTGGGTTTGGTTACTTCCTTTTCCTTGGTCCTCCACTCCAAAGGATCCTTGTTTGTCTGGTATGACGTGACAGTAGCTGAGTCACACCTTATGGGAATGAAGTCATCAAAAGTCTCTATCCTTTCCTCTTTTTGGAGACTGGGAATGTGAGAAAAATGGTAAAAAGGAAATGGACAGGGACTACAGCCAGCTCAGGAGAATGACTGTCATGGGTACTGGGTTGATAACAGGTTTAACGAGTTTATAGGACCTCTCTTCTGATGAGATTGAGACTGTCACCTGAAACCAGAGGCTGTTCACTTAATTTAAGAAGCGGACCATAGAAGGGAATCTCTTTTTAAAAAGTGATGCAATTTATTTTAGAACATTTTGACTTAGTCTAGGTGTGGTGGCTCATGCCTGTAATCCCAGTACTTGGGGAGGCAGAGGCGGAAGATTGCTTGAGCCCAGGAGTTCGAGACCAGCCCAAGCAATATGATTAGACCCCCGTCTTTACAAAAGTAAAAATAAAAAAATTAGCCAGGCATGGTGGCACACCCATGTGGTCCCAGCTACACAGGAGGCTGAAGCAGGAGGATCTGTTAAGCATAGGAGTTTGAGGCTGCAGTGAGCTGTGTTTGTGCCACTGCACTCCAGCCTGGGTGACAGAGCAAGATCCCGTTTCACAAAACAATACAAAAAAACCCATTTGACTTAAAATATTTACACCTACATTCCTTTGTCGATCTTTTGATGTAGGGCCAAGGATTTCTTTTTTTTTTTTGCGTATAAAGTTTTTGCCCACTGATTGGAATACAGCATCATCTTTCTTGAATAACTGACATCCTCCAGTATACCATCTATGAGTTCTAACTTTCGTTTCTTTATTACAAAGGAGAACTCAAAGAATTTGTGAAGCAATCAAAGTACATAATTCTTCTAGATTTTCATGACGCAACCCACCTTGAGTCATATATGGTTCTTACCCAAATTTACTTTGACAGCAGTTGTTAGTTACTTTTATTCCATCTTTGCAAAGTAGTAGTCAACTGTAGTTTCTTTTTCTTTTTTTTTGAGACGGAGTCTTGCTCTGTCGCCCAGGCTGGAGTGCAGTGGCACAATCTTGGCTCACTGCAAGCTCCCAAGTAGCTGGAACTACAGGCGCCTGCCACCATGCCCGGCTAATTTTTTTTGTATTTTTAGTAGAGATGGGGTTTCACCGTGTTAGCCAAAACGGTCTCGATCTCCTGACCTCGTGATCCACCCGCCTCGGCCTCCTAAAGTGCTGGGATTACAGGCATGAGCCACTGCGCCCGGCCAGTCAACTGTAGTTTCTTAGAAAAAGCAATTCTCTTTTTGCCCTTTTATTTAATTGGTTTTCATAATGGTTAATTAGTTTAATTAAATTCTTAGTTAAAATAACAAGTCTATTCCATATAAAAATATTTGAGAATAACTGACTTTGATAAGCACCAACTGAGTCTGATAGGTGACTCCGTGCTTATCAAAGTTACCTATGTTTGTCGTGTACCAGAGGGAAGCCTATTAATTTCAAGCTTTCAGCGTGTTGTGGGTCTCAGTTGATTTGCTTTACAGATAAATTGAAGAGTGTTGCTTAACCCAAATGAGTTGGTTAAGTGGAGGTCCATTGGTAGAACTTCTACTCTGCCAGATGGTTTACAAAGCTGAGTGTACTTCCAGGTTTGAAATGTGGAGTCATTGGACAATCACTACAGCATAAAGAGAACTGCTTTATTATATAGCTTAAGCTACTCTGGTAAAAACACCGTTAGGCTCCATATTTCTACCTCAATGATATACATAAAGTGCATGAAATTCCACTATTGAATAGTTGTCATTTCAGAGCATTGCCTTATGTAGGCATTCTCTCTTAAATTAAAATAGTCTCCGTTTACCTGTGGGGGACAGGCTCCAAGACCCCCAGTGGATGCCTGAAGCTGTGGATAGTACCAAGTGCTATTTATACTATTTTGTTTCCCTATATATACATACTTATAATAAATTTAATTTATAAATTAGTTACAGTAAGAGATCAACAGGCCTGTCACGGTGGCTTACACCTGTAATCCCAGCACTTTGGAAGGGCAAGGCAGGTGGATCACCTGAGGTCAGGAGTTCGAGAGCAGCCTGACTGACATGGTGAAACCCCATTTCTACTAAAAATACAAAAATTAGCCAGGCATGGTGGCGGGCGCCTGTAGTCCCAGCTACTCAGGAGGCTGAGGCAGGAGAATCACTTGAACCTGGGAGGCGCAGGTTACAGTGAGCCGAGATCACGCCACTGCACTCCAGCCTGGGCGACAGAGCAAGACTCCATCTCAAAAAAAAAAAAAAAAAAAAAGAGAGATTGACTATAATAAAATATTGTAATAAAAGTTGTATAAATGTGGTCTCTCTTAAAATATCTTACTGTACTATGCTCGACTTTTTTGTGATGGTGTAAGATGACACAATGTCTATGTGATGAGATGAAGTGAGGTGATTGACCTAGGTATTGTAACGCAGCATTGACTGCTATTGACCTTTTCACTGTGTGTCAGCAGGAGGATCACTGAGCCATGACAATGCTGGTTGACTAAAGGTAACAGAAACTGGCTGGATGTGGTGGCTCACTAATCCCAGCACTTTGGGAGGCTGAGGCGAGGGCATCTCTTGAGCCCAGGAGTTTGAGACCAGCCTGGACAACATGGCAAAACCCTGTCTCTTCAAAAAAAATACAAAAATTAGCTGGATGTGGTGGCATGTGCCTCTAGTCCCAGTTATTTGGGAGGCCAAGGTAGGAGGATCACTTGAGCCCAGGAGGTGGAGGCTGCACTGAGTCAT
This sequence comes from Homo sapiens, assembly GCF_000001405.40. Classification (NCBI taxonomy): domain Eukaryota; kingdom Metazoa; phylum Chordata; class Mammalia; order Primates; family Hominidae; genus Homo; species Homo sapiens. Next base: position 17,015,180 of record NC_000005.10, read on the forward strand.
AATCACACCACTGCACTCCAGCCTGGGCGACAGAGTGAGACCCTGTCTCAAACAAAACAAACAAAAAATACAATAAAACCCAAACAACAGAAACTGTGGAAAGCAAAACCTTGGAGAGGGAGTAATATCCATTATGACTGTAACGTATAGTTTTACTTGTTAACACCTAGATTTAGCATTAGTATCTTCTTTGAATCAGTTTATTGAATCAGTTTCACTGCCAGGAAGAGCCTTGGGAAGAGTAAAAGCTTCAAGAAAAAGAGTACAGAAAGTAGAGTTTTCCAAAGATAATCCTATTCTCTTTTTTTTTTTTTTTTTTTTTTTTTTGAGACAGAGTTTCATTCTGTCACCCAGGCTAAAGTGCAGTAGTGTGATCTCGGCTCACCGCAACCTCCTCCTCCTGGGTTCAAGCAATTCTCCTGCCTCAGCCTCCCAAATATCTGGGATTACAGGCTCCTGCCACCCCACCCAGCTAATTTTTTTGTATTTTTAGTAGACACGAGGTTTCAGCATGTTGGCCAGATTGGTCTCGAACTCCTGACCTCAAGTGATCCACTCTCTGGCCTCCCAAAGTGCTGTAATTACAGGCGTGAGCCACCACACCCAGCCAATCCTATTCTCTGTGATACTCCCCCATGCTGAATCTGAATAGAACCATGTTAGTAGCACATGAGAACAATCTAGAATAAATCATGGACTTAGCGATTAAATTTATCAACGTGTGAGATCGGTGTGATGGTGCACATCTACAGTTCCAGCTACTTGAGAGGCTGAGGCGGAGGGAATCTCGAGCCCAGAAATCTCTTAAGCCCAGAAGTTCAGGGTCAGCCTGAGCAGCATAGCAAGATCCCATCTTTAAAGACATTTTCTATTTTTATTGTTTATTTATTTACTTATTGAGACAGAGTCTGGCTCTGTCGCCCAGGCTGGAGTACAGTGGCATGATCTTGGTTCACTGCAACCTCCGTCTCCCGGGTTCAAGTGATTCTTGTGCCTCGGCCTCCCGGGTAGCTGGGACTACAAGCATATGCCACCAAGCCCGGCCATGCCACTGTACCTAGCCTTATTTTTTTATTTCATTATTTATTTTTTTGAGATAGGGTCTCACTCCCCCAGGCCAGAGTTGCCAAGGGTGGAGTGCAGTGGTGCAATCTTGGTTCACTGCAGCTTTGACCTCCCGGGCTCAGATGATTCCTCCACCTCAGCCTCCCGGGTAGGTAGCTGGAACTACAAGCATATGCCACCACGCCTGGCCATTTTATTTTTTTATTTTTTAATTTTTAGTAGAGACGGGGTTTTGTTGGTCTGAAACTCTTGGACTCAGGCAATCCACCTGCCTCAGCCTCCCAAAGTGCTGGGATTACAGGCGTGAGTCACTGTGTCGGGCCAATTTATTTATTTATTTTTGAGACAGGGTCTCACTGTGTCACCCAGTCTGGAACGTAGTGGCGCAATCACAGCTCACTGCAGCCTCAATTTTCCAGGCTTAGGTGATTCTCCCACTTCACCCTCCCCAGGTAGCTGGGACCACAAGTGCCTGCCACCATGTCTGGTTAACTTTTTGATTTTTTGCAGAGACAGTGTCTTGCCATGTTGCCCAGGCTGATCTCAAACTGCTGGGCTCAGGCGATCTACATGCCTAGACCTCCCAAAGTGCTGAGATTGCAAGCATAATTTATAGCCCAAATGGATTTTTTTATATCTACATTATCCATTATTCCTATATAGGCTAAATTAGTAAAATACTACTTGACGAAGTTTCAAAATAACTTTTTGTGTAGGTGAGAGGAGAGCTATTTCTTGAGGGGTTTGCGGATAGATCTTGGATGAAGACTATTCCTAGACTGGTGTGGTGGCTCATGCTTGTAATACCAGCACTTTGGGAGGCCAAGGCTGGAAGATTGCTTGAGCCCAGGAGTTCAAAACCAGCCTGGGTAACATAGTGAGACCCCATCTTGAAAAAAAAAAAATAAAGGACTTTTTTTTTTTTTTTTTTTTTTGAGACGGAGTCTCGCTCTGTCGCCCAGGCTGGAGTGCAGTGGCATGAACTAGGCTCACTGCAAGCTCCGCCTCCCGGGTTTACTTAGGCCATGCTCCTGCCTCAGCCTCCCGTGTAGCTGGTACTACAGGTACCCACCACCATGCCCAGCTAATTTTTTTGTATTTTTTAGTAGAGATGGGGTTTCACTGTGTTAGCCAGGATGGTCTCGATCTCCTGACCTCGTGATCCGCCCGCCTTGGCCTCCCAAAGTGCTGGGATTACAGGTGTGAGCCACGGCGCCCGGCCAAAAAGAACTATTTCTAGAAGGATGAAGAAACAGGTAATTCATTTAGCGTGTTACTCCTACATTTCCATGTAGAAAAAAATAAGCACATTTTTTTTTCTTTTTTGAGATGGAGTCTTGCTCTGTTGCCCAGGCTGGAGTGCAGTGACACGATCTCAGCTTACTGCAACCTCCGCCTCGTGGGTTCAAGTGATTCTCCTGCATCAGCCTCCCGAGTAGCTGGGATTACAGGTGCTGCACCACTGCAGCCTGGCTTTTTTTTTTTCTCTGTATTTTTAGTAGAGATGGGGTTTCACCATGTTGGTCAAGCTGGCCTCGAACTCTTGACTTCAAACAATCCACCCGCCTCGGCCTCCCAAAGTGTTGGGAATACAGGTGTGACCCACTGTGCCCAGCCAAAAATAAGTACATTCTTTTTTTTTGGAGGGGGATGGAGTCTCGCTCTGTCGCCCAGGCTGGAGTGCAGTGGCACAATCTCGGCTCACTGCAAGCTCCGCCTCCTGGGTTCATGCCATTCTCCTGCCTCAGCCTCCCGAGTAGCTGGGACTACAGGCGCCCACCACCACGCCCGGCTAATTTTTTGTATTTTTAGTAGAGACGGGGTTTCACCGTGTTAGCCAGGATGGTCTCGATCTCCTGACCTTGTGATCCGCCTGCCTCGGCCTCCCCAAGTGCTGGGATTTCAGGCGTGAACCACCGCGCCCTGCCAAATAAGTACATTCTTAAAAGTGAAAGAAACAGTTAAGCTAGGGAAAGGGGCAAAGAGCCACTGACTGTCTTGTCAGGTTCATGTGCTGATGGCATACACAAAGCTCTGATCTATTTTTAGTTTTAGCTTTAGGGCCATTTACAGGATTTCTCTAACCTGATTACAGCCCTAGGAGTTGAACCCAGTGAAAAAAATCTCTCATCACAAGCTAAGATGGTTATTTGGTTACAGACTCGGAAGCAGTGGACAAAACTCCCCACTGCACATTAAGCTTGGGGGTCATAACGTCCTGCAGGCATTCTCCAGGGGGCGGGTCCCCTGGCTCTCAGATGCATACCCTTGTCCTTGTGCCTGTGCAAGCGGGCAGGAAGGTCCCCTGTTGCTCACCTGTGTCTGTTTATTATTATTGTCCACAAAACCTTCGTAAGGACAAAGAAAATAAAACACACTGGATTGACTTAAAACAAACATTCATGTTGAATATGATGATTTTTTTGGTGAATGTTCAGCATCAACTGTCTTAGCTCCAAATGGGAAAATAATGCTCCCTGAATACCTGGAGAAGAGAATGTAAGGGACAATTGGAAGATACAAGCTAAGACTCACACAACTGCCAAGTCTTCATAGGAATGGATTCATTGATTCATTCACTTATTCTTGCAACCAGGAATTATTAAGCAAACACTAAATGCTGGACACCCTAGTCACTGCTGGGGAGACAATTCGGAAGACTTCATTTCTGCCCTCAGTGAGTTTATAGTGGAGGAGAGGAATAGGGACATAGCCAGCAGTAAACAAATACTTTTGCTTATAGTTCTATAGAAGAAACATGGCAAGATATTACATGACCACAGATTAGCATCATGAGCAACATGATCTAGACAGGAAATTCTAGAAAGGCTTTTCCAAGGAAGTTACATGTAAGCCCAGAGGTGAAAAGGAGTCAAGATTAGACAAGAAAAGAGCAGGTGGCAAGAAGGATGGGTGGAGCTGTTCTAGGGGAAGAAACAGGATGATACCTAAATTGGAATAGGGCTCAGTACATGGAATGGGCTGGAAGTTAACATTAATGTCTAGCCTTTGTGAGCCCTTACTAAGTGCCACATTGTGTGCTAGAAGTTTATGTACATTGTTACACTTAATCTTTTGTAGCATCTCCACAAAGTATATACTATTCTCAGATGAAGAAATAAAAGGTATAGAATAATTAAATGGGTCAGGTGTAGTGGCTCACGCCTATAATCCCAACACAAAAAAATTAAAAAATGAGCCAGGCATGGTGATATCAGCACACCAGTAGTCCCAGCTGTGCAAGAGGCTGAGGCAGGATTGCTTGCATCTGGAAGGCCGAGGCTGCAGTGAGCCGTGATTGCGCCACTGCATTCCAGCCTGGTTGACAGAGCGAGACCCTGTCTCCAAAAGAGCAAAAAACAAAAACCCAAGAAATAAGGTGTGTATTATCTGAAGTTGTTCATCAAATCAGGGCTCTTGAGTAGCTTCATTTTCCTGAACTGTGCGTTTCCCATGACTTAGAGTAAGGGCTGGTTGAGCAGAGAAACATTGCCCAATGAATAAAAGGGCTGTATGGAAGCTCTAAACCAGTGAGACAGATGAGGGTCTGGCCCCACCATCATTTATTCAGAAAGCCTTTACCCGTTTGGTCTGGAGTGATGAGGTCCCAGAGGAATCTCCAAGAGGCAGCCTTGCTGTTGGCTGTGTGTGAGTAGCACTATCCTCAAACTAGTTCCTAACTTTTAACGGTTTGCAAGCTCTTTTCATTATCTGATAAAAGCCATAGACTCCATTTCCCAGAAAAAGGTTATCACATACAAAATTCAGTGTATTAGTCCATGCTAATGCTTCTAATAAAGACATACCTGAGACTGGGTAATTTATAAAGGAAAGAGGTTTAATTGACCCCCAGTTCCACATGGCTGGGGAGGCCTCACAATCATGATGGAAGAGCAAGGGACGTCTTACATGGCAGCAAGCAAGAGAGCGCTTGTGCAGAGGAACTCCCCTTTAGGAAACCATCAGATCTAGGGCCGGGTGTGGTGGCTCATGCCTGTAATCCCAGCACTTTGGGAGGCCGAGGTGGGTGGATCATGAGGTCAGGAGATGGAGACCATCCTGGCCAACACAGTGAAACCCCATCTCTACTAAAAATACAAAAAAAAAAAAAAAAAAAAAAAAAACTGGGCGCGGTGGCAGGGCCTCTAGTCCCAGCTACTCGAGAGGCTGAGGCAGGAGAATCGCTTGAACACAGGAGGCAGAGGTTGCAGTGAGCTGAGATCGCACCACTGCACTCTAGCCTGGGTGACAGAGGAAACTCCGTCTCAAAAAAAAAAGAGATCTCATGAGACTTACTATCATGAGACCAGCACGGGAAAGACCAGCCCCCATGATTCAATTATCTCCCACTGGGTCCCTCCCATGACATGTGGGAATTGTGGGAGCTACAATTCAAGATGACATTTGGGTGGGGACACAGCCAAACCATATCACTTGGCACATAATTTTGGGGCATGTAGTCTTATTCATATACCAGAGGTTAAGCACACTTGGTGTTTTATACGTTGTGACGAGTAAGGAAGCTAGCATACGTTAACAACTGCCTCTTAATGGATTCCTCTTGGACCCTGGAACATCCTGTTTCAAACAAGACTGTTAATGGTGGAGGGTGTCTTGGTTCTTGGCATCTAGAACAAAGAATTCGGCAAAATGCACAAACAAAGCAAGGAAGGAATGAAGGGTTTTATTGAAAATGAAAGTACACTCCACAGTGTGCGTCTGAGCATAGGGAGTCATAGCATAGGCCCTGTTACAGAGTTTTTGTGAGTTTAAATGCCCTCTACTAGGGGTACACCCTATGTAAATGAAGAGGATGAAGTAAAGTTACAAAGTCATTTACTCAGTGTATACCCTATGGAGAGGATTATTTCCTGTTACAGCTGAAGTGTGAATCAGCCTTATATTCCCCACCTCCAGACCCTATTTTTGTGCCTCAAGATGAGGGGAAAATAATCCATCAATCACTCAATCATGGGATTCAGCAAACATGATTGATCTTCCTGTTATGCTTAATTGGGAGGTTGTAGTTAACTTCTAGGGGGAAAGGTGATGTGATTTAAATTATATCCTTTGATATGAGACTCACTCTCAATACAAACTAGTGGAATATCCTTGGAGAATAGCAGAGACAGCCTTCAATGGTTATGCTTACATTACCTCACTTCTCATGAGAACAATAGTGAGACACTTCAAAAAGTTTGCAGCTGCTAACCCTGTATGAATTTAAAAACTAAAAATGAAATAGAAAGCCTAGAAGTCTAGTCCCCATTCCTGCAATTGTTTTCGTGACACGAAAGGGAAAGAAAAATGACCAGTAAATTAATTTTTGTTCTTCCCACGATTCTACAACAGCAATGCCCTTAAAAGCTGTGAACATCAATAGCCTGAAAAAGGCCAGCACTGGAGCTGTAGCCAGTGTTGCCTGTTTTAATTGAAATCCTTAATTAGCAACAGCCTGAGGCCCTAAGTCATCATGAGTTGCTTTTAGAGCAGGACCTGTGACTGTCCAGGCCTCCAGGGCAGCACTGAATGTCTATGTGGTTGTGATCACAAGACATAGCACTCTTTTCAGAGAGCTTTTATGAAACAGAACTTTCATAAAACATAAGATAAAAACACAGTGATCTGACACAGCACATCCCAGAAAATTGTAACATACCCAAACACATCCTTATCCCAAAGAGCTGTCTGGAATAGTCTAAGTGATTGTAGATTACAGTTTTTCTTTTGAGAAAATATTGAATGAAAAGCATATTACATTTAGAGGGTTCTCAAATATCAGTGGTGGGATATGCTATGCTGTACCTGTGTGTGTAATATATGTGATGATTTATCAAATCTCAGCAGTGGTTAAATTGCAAGTGAGGCTGTTAAAATAAACTGTGCAATTCTTGAGAAATCTACATAGGCACTTAACATACTACCAAAGAAGAAAAAGTCCTGGTAGTTTCTCTCCAGGGTGTCTCTCTCCACTAACTTGTTTAATAACAAACCTTGGGGCTGGTATAATATCTAAGTGACAGATATTATTAAGTGGATCCTTTGGGCCAGCTGCATGATTTCTTGTGATTTCAGAAGGACATCTTTCCATCCAAGGGATGTCTTCATGGACAGTTAGAAACTTACTTTGCTTTTTGACAGGAAGTGGTTTCTCATGTAGTCATTTTGGGTTTTTGTCAATTTCCAAAAAGGTGGATTAAAATAACTGCTGAAGTTGGAGGCCAAGCTCAGTGAAGTGGTCTCTTCTGGGTAATGGACTGGAAATGACCATCTGATACCACATCTATTTCCCAGAAGCCATTAGTTGTTAACAAATTTAACATAGATAAGAAGTTAGCAGTTTTTTGGAGTCAGCAGAACTGAATAGGTCATATTACTAAATATTTTAACAGCTTTATATTAGAAATAATTTGGCCGGGTGTGGTGCCTCACGCCTTTGGTCCCAGCACTTTGGGAGGCTGAGGCGGGTAGATCACTTGAGGCTGGGAGTTCAAAACCAGCCTGGGTAACACAGTGAAACCTCATCTCTACAGAAAATACAAAAATTAGGCCGGTTGCAGTGGCTCACGCCTGTAAACCCAACACCTTGGGAGGCCGAGGCTGCCAGATCGCGAGGTCAGGAGATCAAGACCATCCTGGCCAACACTGTGAAACCCTGTCTCTACTAAAATACAAAATATTAGTCAGTCGTGGTGGTGCACACGTGTAGTCCCAGCTACTTGGGAGGCTGAGGCAGGGGAATCGCCTGAACCTGGGAGGCAGAGATTGCAGTGAGCCGAGATTGTGCCACTGCATTCCAGCCTGGCTGGTGACAGAGCAAAACTCTGTCTCAAAAAAAAAAAAAAAAAAAAAAGGCAAAAATAGCCAGCATGGCGGTGTGTCCCAGCTACTCACCCGGAAGGCTGAGATGGGAGGATCACTTGAGCCTGGGAGATTGAGGCTGCAGTGAGTCGTGATTGCCCCACGTGACAGAGTGAGACCGTCTCAAAAAAAGAAAAAATTCACGTATCATAAAATTAACCTACTTGAAGTGTATAGTTTCATGTTTTTAATATATTCATAGGCCTGTGCAGCTAGCAACACAATCCACGTCTAGAACATTTGTGTCCCTTCCCTAAAAACCCTGTGCCCGTTTGTAGTCACCTCCCATTCCTGCCTTGGACTATCTCATCTTTGTAAATATTTTCCCCAAACATCTTAGTTTTTTAAACTTACTTTTATTAAGCGTAGTAAACAGTGTACAAAGTATATTGTAGTACATTGTAAACACTAGTGAGGGAACACAGGGCCATGCTACATAATTTACACAGATCATTCACTTACCAAATAGTAATGGAATGACTGTTACGTGCCAGACATTGTTCTGAGGCTTAGCATATAGCTATGAACCAAATAGACACAAACTACTGCCCCTGTAGAACACACATTCTAGTCAGGGGGGAGGGGACAGCTAATACATAAGTTAAATATAACAGCATATAATATGTTACATGGTGGCCAGGCACAGTGGCTCATGCCTGTAATCCCAGCACTTTGGGAGGCCGAGGCGGGAGGATCACTTGAGGTCAGGAGTTCGAGACCAGCCTGGCCAACATGGTGAAACCACATCTCTATAAAGATAAAAAAATTAGGCTGGGCGCAGTGGCTCACACCTGTAATCCCAGCACTTTGGGAGGCCGAGGCGGGAGGATCACGAGATCAGGAGATCGAGACCATCCTGGCTAACACGGTGAAACCCCATCTCTACTAAACAAAATACAAAAAATTAGCTGGGCGTGGTGGCGGGTGCCTGTAGTCCCAGCTACTCAGGAGGCTGAGGAGAATGGTGTGAACCCGGGAGGCGGAGCATGCAGTGAGGCGAGATCACGCCACTGCACTCCAGCCTAGGTGACAGAGCAAGATTCTGTCTCAAGAAAAAAAAAAAAAAAAAAAGGCCAGGCATGGTGCTTCAGGCTTGTAATCCCAGCACTTTGGGAGGCCAAGGCGGGCAGATCACGAGGTCAGTTCAAGACCAGCCTGACCAACGTGGCGAAAACTGTCTCTACTAAAAATACAAAAATTAGCCAGACATGGTGGCGGGCGCCTGTAATCCCAGCTACTCGGGAGGCTGAGGCAGGAGAATTGCTTGAACCTGGGAGGCGGAGGTTGCAGTGAGCCAAGATCGTGCCATTGCACTCCAGCTGGGTGACAGAGCGAGACTCTGTCTCAAAAAAAAAAAAAAAAATTACATGGTGATAAGCGCTATAGAAAAAAAATTAATTAGGGAAGGGGAGTGATGAGTGTTTTCATTATTGTGAATATATACTGGTATGAAAAATTTATTTGAAAGAAGTTATGTTGGACATTTTCAAAGAGCAATATTAAAAGAGGCTTAAGAGATGGTATTTTGGCCTGGAAATGAGAGCACTTAAATTCAGCCACCTGTGCAGCACTATGAGATCCTGGAAGGGGCAATGTGTGCAGAGAATAAAGAAGGAATTGCAAAACGGAGAAACACTTAGTGTGCACCGGAGTTCGGCTATCAGCCAAACAAGGCTGACAGTGTTTACAAGGCTGGGAGCCTTGGTGCTCCCAGCCTGAAGCTTGGCTGGACCTGGAGGGAGAGCTCCTTTAAGTGTCCCCGAAAGGCCTGAGCACAGGCTGGCTGCGATGTTCACTCTGCTCACATTCCTAGGCCAATGCTGAGTCCTTGGTCTTCCCTGGTTAATTTGAAGAGGAGCACTCTCTTAAACTCAGGAGCTCAGAAAGGAGCTGGTGAGAGAGAACCTGGGAACTTTCTGCCCCAGGCCTGGAGTCTCTGTTCTAGGCCTTATTTATTCATTCTATGATGAGTCATCACTGTTGATGGCTTCTGGGGCTCAGCAGTGAAAGAGAGACAAAGACGCTGACATGATAATTTACTGGGAGAAACACTTTCTTTTTCATTTTTTTTTTTTTTTTAAAGAGATGGGGTCTCACTATGTTGACCAGGCTGGTCTTGAACTCCTAGCCTCAGGCGATCTTTCTGCCTCAGCCTCACAAAATGCTAGAATTAACAGTTGTGAGCCACTGTGCCTGGGTCTGGAGAAACACTTTAAAAGTAATTTCAATAAAGTATGGTGACCTGCTATATAGCACAGTGGTTCGGGTCCCCGACTTAGGAGCGGGATGACGTGGCTCTGCGTTACTGCTCTGTAACTTTTAGCAACTCCATTTCTTTGTGCCTCAATTCCCTTACTTATAAAATGGGGATGATAATAATGATATCTATGCCATGGGAGAAGAACAGTGCCCTACATAGTGAATGCTAAATAACTACCATAGACGTTTTCTCTAGTTACAGAAAAGAAGGCTGAGTTTGCTTAAAAAGTGGCCTCAGGGCACTATTCACAATAGCAAAGACTTGGAACCAACCCAAATGTCCGTCAATGATAGACTGGATTAAGAAAATGTGGCACATATACACCATGGAATACTATGCAGCCAGAAAAAAAAGATGAGTTCATGTCCTTTGTAGGGACATGGATGAGGCTGGAAACCCATCATTCTGAGCAAACTATCTCAAGGACAGAAAACCAAACACCACATGTTCTCACTCATAGATGGGAATTGAACAATGAGAACACTTGGACACAGGGTGGGGAACATCACACGCCGGGGCCTGTCATGGGGTTGGGGGAGGGGAGGGGAGAGGGATAGCACTAGGAGATATACCTAATGTAAATGACGAGTTAATGGGTGCAGTACACCAACATGGCACATGTATACTTATGTAACAAACCTGCACGTTGTGCACATGTACCCTACAACTTAAAGTATAATAATAAAAATAAAAAAAATTTAAAAAGTAGCCTCAGGGAAATGAAAAATCCACACCCACTGCTACCTGTATCCCCCTGGAAGATTCCAGCACAAAGATGTGGGCCAATAAAATTTCCTAGCATTTGGCTTATCCCAGATCAGCCCACGTGCTTGGGAGTGGAGTACATTTACCTTTTTTCCCAATTCAACCTAAAGGAGAAGGTTTAGGGTGGGGGAAGTACAGAGAGGGGCTTTGAATTTCTTCACCATATAGGTCAGTATTCTCACACTGTTGGTTCCTTTTCCTGATTATTCAATAGGCTTAACAGTCAGGCTGTGAACCCACCTCCATAGGCAGGTGAGATCAGTGCAATATCAGATAAGTAGAGCCTTATGTTTCTCCTGAGAGCAATGAGATTTGGTGTTTTCCTCACCCCCACCTCTTCAGCAAATGCCCCTTTGATGCTTTCCCCAGAAGCTTCTACCATAGGACAAGGCAGGGCTTCAAGTTCTTTCCAAGGACACCCTTGATTCTAGACTAGGAACAAGCCCCCAACATCATTTCCATTTTACATTACCTTTATTTAATCTGTCCAACTTAAGCACAAGGTGAAATTAAATGACAAACGTTGGTTTATAGAATCACCCCGAATCATACAGCACTGGCAATGAAAAACAAGAGAGCCATATGAATTATCCCCCATTACCCAGCGAACCCCTTTAATCCCCAGTGAAATTAAAGAATCCTAAGTAAATGTGCTTTTATCTTGTTGCCACAGAGAAATTAAAAATCAGTAGAAAGAAGAGAAAGAGAAAGTGAGAAAGAAAAAGGAAAAAAAGGAGGAACGCAGTTTCTCTTTTCCATTTGGAAATTAAATTCCAAAGCCCTCCCTCCTCATTTGTTTGTTCGTTTGTTTTGTTTTGTTTTCTTGTTTTTTGAGACAGAGTCTCACTCTCTCACCCAGGCTGGAGTGCAGTGGCATGATCTTGGCTCACTGTAACCTCCACCTCCCGGGTTCAAGTGATTCTCCTGCCTCAGCCTCCCAAGTAGCTGGGATTATAGCTGGGGTTACAGGCACCTGCCGCCACCCCCAGCTACTTTTTGTATTTGAAATAGAGATGGGGTTTTGCCAGGTTGGCCAGGCTGGTCTCAAACTCCTGACCTCCAGTGATCCACCTGTCTTGGCCTCCCGAAGTGTTGGGATTACAGGCGTGAGCCACCATGCCCTAGCCTCATTTGTTTTTAAAATTGCACTATTATCATTCCCATTTAAGAATTCATTAATGGGGCTTTGAAGACTTCCCGAATGGACCGAGCTTCCAGGGTTAGGATGACATCTCAGGAGAGCTCACTCAGCCTGTGACCAGGGAGCTGCCTGTTTCCTCTTGGTCACTTTCAATGCAGTTTTGGGTAACAGCTGTGGCTCAAGTTTGTGGTGTACAATTATCCTGATCAGTGAAAAGGAGGGTTTCAGCACACATAGTTCTTCTTTAGTTATATAAATCATTATTCGATGAATAGTAGAGACAATTAACTACTCTCTAATTTGTCCTACTTTGACTTTATAAAAGTAATCATTAAAATGATATTTTACTAGCACAAATGTATGTTAAAGTTGCAGATTTAGGAGTATATATTCAGGGCAACTTGAATCTATGTTCCCAGGTAAAAGAATGTTTTAAAAACATTTCACGTGGGCCACGGTGGCTCATGCCTGTAATCCCAGCACTTTGGGAGGCCGAGGTGGGCAGATCACTTAAGATCAAGAGTTCCAGACCATCCTGGCCAACGTGGCGAAATCTCATCTCTACTAAAAATACAAAAATTAGCCAGGCATGGTGGCACACACCTGTAGTCCCAGCTACTCGGGAGGCTCAGGCAGGAGAATAGCTTGAACCTGGGAGGTGGGGGTTGCAGTGAGCCGAGATCGTACCATTGCACTCCAGCCTGGGCAAAAGAGCGAGACTTTGTCTCAAAAACAAACAAACCAAAAAAAAAAATTTTTTTTCAGATGTCTTTATCCCTGGGATGCAAGGTTGGTTCAACATAAACAAATCGATAAATGTGATTCATCACATAAACAGAACTAAAGAGAAAACCCACATGATTATCTTCATAGATGCAGAAAGGCTTTTGTTAAAATTCAACACCCTTTCATATTAAAAACTCAGTAAATAAAATAGGTATTGAAAGAACCTACCTCAAAATAATAAGAGCCGTCTATGGCAAAGGCAGTCAACATCATACTGAATGGGCACAAGCTGGAAGCATCCCCCTTGAAAACTGACAAGACAAGGTGCACTCTCACCACTCCTATTCAGCATAGTATTGGAAGTCTTAGCCAGAGCAATCAGGCCATAGAAAGAAATGAAAGGCATCCAAATAGGAGGAGAGAAACTCAAGCTATCCATGTTTGCAGATGACATAATCCCGTATCTAGAAAACCCCATAGTCTTGGCCCAAAAGCTCCGTAAGCTGAAACAATATCAGCAACGTCCCAGGATACAAATTCAATGTGCAAAAATCACTATCATTCCTATACACCAGCAACAGTCAAGCCAAGAGCCAAATCAGGAATGCAATCCCATTCACAATTACTACAAAAAGAATTAAAATACTTAGGAATACAGCTAATCAGGGAGTTGAAAGATCTCTACAAGGAGAACTACAAAACACTGCTCAAAGAAATCAGAGGTGACACAAACAAATGGAAAAACATCCCAGGCTCATGGATAGGAAGAACCAATATTATTAAAATGGCCATACTACCCAAAGCAATTTATAGATTCAGTACTATTCCTATTAAACTACCAATGACATTCTTCACAGAACTAGAAAAACCTACTTTGAAATTCATATAGTACCAAAAAAGAGCCCAAATAGCCAAGGAAATCCTAAAAAAAAAAAAAAGAGCAAAGCTGGAGGCATCGTGCTACAGACTTCAAACTATACTACAGGGATACAGTAATGAAAACATCATGGTACTGGTACAAAAACAAACACACAGACCAGTGGAGCAGAATGGAGAATACAGAAATAAGGCTACACACCTGCAACTATCTGATCTTCGAAAAAGCTGATAAAAACAAGCAATGGGGAAAGGATTCCTTATTCAATAAATGGTGCTGGGATAACTGGTTAGCCATATGCAGAAATTTGAAACTGGACCTCTACCTTACACCACATACAAAAATTAACTCAAGATGAATTAAAGGCTTAAATGTAAAACCCCAATCTACAAAAAACCTGGAAGACAATCTAGGAAATATCATTCTGGGCATAGAAATGGGCAAAGATTTCATGATGAAGATGCCAAAAGCAATTGCAAAAAAAGGAAAAGTTGAGAAATGGGATCTAATTGAACAAAAGAGCCTCTGCACAGCAAAAGAAACTATCAACAGAGTGAACAAACAGCCTACAGAAGGGGAGAAAATTTTGCAAACTATGCCTCTGACAAAGGTCTAATATCCAGCATCTATGGGGAACTTAAAACAACTTTAAAACAAAAAAACCCCCAACAATCCCATTAAAAAGTGGGCAAATGGCCGGGTGCGCTGGCTCACGCCTGTAATCCCAGCACTTTGGGAGGCCAAGGCGGGTGGATCACGAGGTCAGATTGAGCCCATCCTGGTCAACATGGTGAAACCCCGTCTCTACTAAAAATACAAAAATTAGGCCGGGCGCGGTGGCTCATGCCTGTAATCCCAGCACTTTGGGAGGCCGAGGTGGGTGGGTCATGAGGCCAGGAGATGGAGATCATCCTGGCTAACACGGTGAAACCCCATCTCTACTAAAAATACAAAAAAATTAGTGACAGAGGGAGTCTCGGTCTCAAAAAAAAAATACAAAAATTAGCTGGGCGTGGTGGCGGGCGCCTGCAGTCCCAGCTACTCAGGAGGCTGAGGCAAGAGAATTGCTTGAACCTGGGAGGTGGAGGTTGCAGTGAGCCGAGATCACGCCACTGCACTCCAACGTGGTGACAGAGCGAGACTCTGTCTCAAAATAAATAAAAGTAAATAAATAAATAAAATGGGCAAAGGACATGAACAAACACTTTTCTTTTCTTTTCATTGAGACGGAGTCTTGCTCTGTTGCCCAGCCTGGAGTGCAGTGGCGCAATCTCACCTCACTGCAAGCTCCGCCTCCTGGGTTCACGCCATTCTCCTGCCTCGGCCTCCCGGGTAGCTAGGACTGCAGGCGTCCGTGACCACACCCGGCTAATTTTTTGTATTTTCAGTAGAGACGGGGTTTCATCGTGTTAGCCAGGATGATCTCTATCTCCTGACCTCGTGATCCACCCGCCTTGGCCTCCCAAAGTGCTGGGATTACAGGCGTGAGCCACCGTGCCCAGCCGAACAGATAATTTTCAAAAGAAGACATACATGTGGGCATCATATGAAAAATGGTCAACATCACTCATCATTAGAGAAATGCAAATCAAAATCACAATGAGATACCATCTCACACCAGTCAGAATGGCTATTATTAAAACGTGAAAAAACAACGAAGATTGGCAAGTTTGTGTAGAAAAAGGAACGCTTATACACTTTTGGTGGAAGTGGAAATTAGTTCAACCATTGTGGAAGACAGTGTGGCAATTCCTCAAAGACCTAAAAACAGAAATACAATTCGACCCAGCAATCCCATTTACTAGGTATAAACCCAAAAGAATATGTTGATACATTGTTCTATCATAAAGACACATGCATGTATGTTCACTGCAGCACTGTCCACAATGGCAAAGACATGAAACCAACCTAAATGCCCATCAGTAGTAGACTGCATAAAGAAAATGTGGTTCATATACACCATGGAATACAATGCAGCCATGAAGAAGAATGAGATAATGTTCTTTGCAGGAACATGGATGGAGCTGGAAGCCATTATCCTTAGCAAACTAATGCAGGAACAGAAAAAAATACCGCATGTTCTCACTTATAAGTGGGAGCTAAATGATGAGAACACATGGACACATGGGGGAAACAAGACACCCTGGGACCTATTGGAGGGTGGAGGGTGGGAGGAAGGAGAGGATTAGGAAAAATAACTAATGGGTATCAAGCTTAATACCTGGGTGATGAAATAATCTATACAACAAACCCCCCATTACAGAAGTTTACCTATGTAATAAACCTGCACATGTACCCCTGAACTTGAAAGTTAAAAAAAAAAAACAAAGTTTCAAATGTATAGCAACTTTAAATAAAACTAGCAAATAATAAAAGGAGAATGGCTACACATAAAATTTGGGGGTCGTGGATTAAGTCTGCAGTATTTTTTCAGCCTCAGCAGTCTACTTAGACCTTTTCTTTGCGTTGGTTGCACAGAATGGAGAAAAATCCTGATTGATGCAGCTAATAGTAAATTATAAACATTAAAAGAAAACCTTATCTTGCAATCTCAGGATACTCTCCAGTTAAACTTCATCCTGAAAGATGCAGAAGGAGTAGTGGGAACCGTTTGTATAATAGTGGAAGGACTAATAATATCTGTGGGTTTTTTCTTTTTTTTTTTTTTTGAGGCAGTGTCTCACCTTGTACTCCAGGCTGGAGTGCAGTGGTATGATCATAGTGTGTCCGGAATTGGCGGGTTCTTGGTCTCACTGACTTCAAGAATGAAGCCGCGGACCCTCGCTGTGAGTGTTACAGTTCTTAAAGGCGGCGTGTCCGGAATTTGTGCCTTCTGATGTGCGGATATGTTCGGAATTTCTTCCTTCTGGTGGGGTTCGTGATCTCGCTGGCTTAGGAGTGAAGTTGCGGACCTTCGAGGTGACTGTTACAGCTATTAAGGTGGCGCGTCTGGAGTTATTCGCTCCTCCCGGTCGGTTCGTGGTTTCGCTGGCTTCAGGAGGGAAGCTGCAGACCTTCGCGGTGAGCGTTAACAGCCCATAAAGGCAATGGCGGACCCAAAGAGTGAGCAGCAGCTAGATTGATTGCAAAGAGGAAAAAAAACAAAGCTTCCACACTGTAGAAAACAACCCCAACAGGTTGCCACTGCCTGCTACCGCAGCCTGCTTTTATTCTCTTATTTGGCCCCACCCACATCCTGCTGATTGGTCCATTTTACAGAGAGCAGAGTGGTCTGTTTTGACAGGGCGCTGATTGGTGCGTTTACAATCCCTGAGCTAGACACAGAAGTTCTCCACCTCCCCACTAGATTAGCTAGATACAGTGTCCACACAAAGGTTCTCCAACTCCCCATCAGAGTAGCTAGATACAGAGTGTCGACTGGTGCATTCACAAACCCTGAGCTAGACACAGGGTGCTGATTGGTGTGTTTACAAACCTTGAGCTAGATACAGAGTGCTGATTGGTGTATTACAATCCCTTAGCTAGACATAAAGGTTCTCCAAGTCCCCATCAGACTCAGGAGCCCAGCTGGCTTCACCCAGTGGATCCTGCACCGGGGCGCAGGTGGAGGTGGTTGATGGCACTGGGCGCTGTGGAGCAGGGGGCGGTGCTCGTCGCGGAGGCTCGGGCCGTACAGGAGCCCACGGAGGGGTGGGCCGGCGGGCGGCTCAGACATGGCGGGCTGCAGGTACCGAGCCCTGCCCCGCGGGAAGGTAGCTAAGGCCCGGCGAGAAATTGAGCACAGCAGCTGCTGGCCCAGGTGCTAAGCCCCTCACTTCCAGGGGCCGGCGGGGCCTGCAGGCGGCTCCAAGTGCTGGGCCCGCCGAGCCCACGCCCACCGGGAACTCGCGCTGGCCCGCAAGCACCGCGCGCAGCCCTGGTTCCCGCCCGCGCCTCTCCCTCCACACCTCCCCGCAAGCTGGGGGAGCCGGCTCCGGCCTTGGGCAGCCCAGAAAGGGACTCCCACAGTGCAGCAGCGGGCTGAAGGGCTCCTCAAGTGCCGCCAAAGTGGGAGCACAGGCAGAGGAGGAGCCGAGAGCCAGCGAGAGCTGCGAGGACTGCCAGTAGGCTGTCACCTCTCAATGGGTCATTGCAGCCTCAACCTCCTAGGCTGGAGTGATCCTCCCACCTCAGCCTCCTGAGTAGCTGGGACTACAGACACATGCCACTACACCTGGCTAATTTTTTTTTTTTTTTTTGGTAGAGATGGGGTGCTACTATGTTGCCCAGGCAGGTCTTGAACTCCTGGGCTCAAACGATCTGCCTGCCTTAGCCTCCCAAAGTTTTGGGATTACAAGTGTGAGCCACTGCCCAACCAATAATATCTACTTTTTTTTTTTTTTTTTTTTTTGAGACAGGTCTCTCTCTGTCACCCAGGCTGGAGTGCAGTGGCGCGATCTCGGCTCACTGCAACCTCCGCCTCCTGGGTTCAAGCGATTCTTCTGCCTCAGCCTCCTGAGTAGTTGGGACTACAGGTGCCCGCCACCACACCTGGCTAATTTTTGTATTTTTAGTAGAGACGGGTTTTCACCATATTGGCCAGGCTGGTCTCAAACTCCTGACCTTGAGATCCACCCACCTCAGTCTCCCCAGGTGCTGGGATTGCAGATGTGAGCTACCGCGTCTGGCCCAATAATAGCTTCCTGATCTGTTATTCACTCATTATTGTATAATGTGTATGACTTATAAGCCTGGTGATATGGTTTGGCTCTGGGTCCCCACCTAAATCTTTTCTTGAATTGTAATCCTCACATGTCAGGGAGGGACCTGGTGGGAGGTGATTGAGTCATGGGGGCAGTTCCCCCATACTGTTCTTGTTATAGTGAGGGAGTTCTCACAAGAGCTAATGGTTTTAAAAGTGGCAGTTTCTGGCCGGGTGCGGTGGCTCACACCTGTAATCCCAGCACTTTGGGAGGCTGAGGTGGGTGGATCTCAAGGTCAGGAGTTCGACACCAGCCTGGCCAATATGGTGAAACCCCATCTCTACTAAAAATAGAAAAATTAACTGGGTGTGGTGGCACATGCCTGTAGTCCCAGCTACTCAGGAGGCTGAGGCAGGAGAATCACTTGAACCCAGGAGGCAGAGGTTGCAGTGAGCTGAGATTGCACCACTGCACTCCAGCCTGGGTGACACAGCGAAACTCCATCTCCAAAAAAAAAAAAAAAAAAAGCGCTAGTTTCAGCTGGGCCCAGTGGCTCACACTTGTAATCCCAACACTTTAGGAGGCCGAAGTGGGCAAATCACTTGAGGTCAGGAGTTCAATACCAGCCTGGCCAACATGGTGAAGCCCTGTCTCCACTAAAAATATGAAAATTGGCTGGACGTGGTGGTGCTTGCCTGTAATCCCAGCTACTCTGGAGGCTGAGGTAGAATTGCTTGAACCTGGGGGGTGGAGGTTGCAGTGAGCCGAGATCATGCCACTGCACTCCAGCCTGGGCAACAGAGCATCTTTGTCTCTCCTGCCGCCACGGAAGACGTGCCTTGCTTCCCCTTCGCCTTCTGCCATGATGATAAATTTCCTGAGGCCTCCCCAGCCATACAGAACTGTCAGTCAATCAAATCTTTTTTCTTTATAAATTACCCAGTCTCAGGTAGTATCTTTATAGCAGTGTGAGAATGGACGAATACACCTGGTTCTTGCTGGACATTTGAATGTGCAGATTCTGTGCTTAAAAGTGAACTCCTGGCCAGGCGCAGTGGCTCACGCCTGTAATCCCAGCACTTTGGGAGGCCAAGGCAGGCGGATCGTGAGGTCAGGAGATGGAGACCATCCTGGCTAACACAGTGAAACCCCGTCTCTACTAAAAATACAAAAAATTAGCTGGGCATGTGCCTGTAATCCTAGCTACTCAGGGGGCTGAGGCAGGAGAATAGCTTGAACCTGGGAGGCAGAGGTTGCAGTGAACCGAGATCGCGCCACTGCACTCCAGCCTGGGAGACAGAGCGAGACTCTGTCTCAAAAAAAAAAAAAAAAAAAAAAAAAAGAGTGAACTCCCTTGTACAGCTCTACATGAATGGATAAGAATAGGCTTCAATTTTTAAAATCATTTATTTATCAATATACAGTTCAGCAGCATCAAGTGTATTCGCAATGCTGTGCCACCATCACCACTATCCCCTAGTTTGGTTTTAAAAGTTATTTCCAAGAGTCTATGTTATACAGCTTTGAAGGGGGCACATGTATATATCAATCATTCTTTTAAAATCACTATTTGTACTGTTGCATAATTATTAATACTTTAGTTCATACAAACCCAACTTTAATTAATTTCTTCAATTTAAACTTCCAAATAAAATAAATTAAATTAAATTAAATTAAATTAAATTAAATTAAATGCTGGGTACAGCGGCTCACACCTGTAATCCCAGCACTTTGGGAGGCTGAGGCGGGAGGATTGCTTGAGCCCAGGAGTCTGAGACCAGCCTGGGCAACATAGTGAGACCCTATCTCTACAAAAGTAAACAAAATAAAATAAACTTCCCCTCTCCCCTTTGAGTTTAAAATTCTTCTCTGTTTTCCTTTTCTTGCAGTGTTTCCAGAAAATTCAGAACCCTAGAGATGCTGGGAGTTGGGATTTGCAAACATGGCTTGATCTCTATGCAGTGTTTTCAAGACTTTAATTAGCTACTTACCCTAATTTCTTTAGTTAGTATCTTACCTGTTCCCTGAGCTAATCCTAGTGACCTGAAATCTCATCAAGTTCTGAGGAAAATGAGAACATTCACTCCTATGACATCCTTTTTCCTCCCAGAAGTAATCATTGTTGATAAAAGGTCACTTACTTTTTTTTTACTAGAATGATCCTCACGACAGCCCTTTGAAGACACTGTTGTCATCTCCATTTACAGATGATGAGATGGAAGTACAGAGAGGGTAAGTAACTCGTGCTGGGTCACACAGCAAGGGGAGTGCAGAGCCGGGACTTAAACCCAGGCAGCCAGCTCCAGAAAGCTCCAGAGCCCACACCTGGCCTCCAGAGCCCCACACCTTGCCTTCATAGCAAGGACCAGTGTTTTTGCTGACTTCTCCCCAGAGCTTCAGTACCATGGAAAAATTTGTGTCACAGACGAGAAAGACACAAGGTGACTGGGAACTGGAGGCACTGTCTAATCTCCCTATGTGACTTGGACACATCTCATAGCTCTTCTGGATCTTTCTTATTTCAAAAGAAATAATACACATAGAGGGATTAACATAAAGAATTCAATAGGCTGGGCGCAGTGGCTCACGCCTGTAATCCCAGCACTTTGGGAGGCCGAGGCGGGCAGATCACAAGGTTAGGAGATCGAGACCATCCTGGCTAACATGGTGAAACCCCGTCTCTACTAAAAATACAAAAAAAAAAAAAAAAAAAAAAAATTAGCCGGGCATGGTGGCGGGCAACTGTAGTCCCAGCTACTCGGGAGGCTGAGGCAGGAGAATGGTGTGAACCCAAGAGGTAGAGCTTGCAGCGAGCCGAGATAGCACCACTGCACTCCAGGCTGGGCGACAGAGACAGACTCCATCTCAAAAAAAAAAAATAATTCAATAAACATTCTCTATTATTATTTGGAGACAAATAGAACTGGCTGGCCAGGCGTAGTGGCTCAGACCTGTAATCCTGGCATTTTGGGAGACCGAGGTAGGGGGATCGCTTGAGCTCAGGAGTATGAGACCAGCCTGGGCAACATAGCGAGGTCTCATCTCTCAAAAAAAAAAAAAAAATTAGCTGGACATGGCATCCTACACCTGTAGTCCCAGCCCCTCAGGTGACTGAGGTAGGAGGATTGCTTGAGCCTGGGAGTTTGGGCTGCAGTGAGCCGTGATGGCACCACTGCACTCCAGCCTGGGTGACAGAGCAACACACTGTCTCAAAAAAAAAAAGGGAGGAAAAAGAAAGTCACGGCCAGGCGCGGTGGCTCACACCTATAATCCCAGCACTTTGGGAGGCCCAGGCGGGCGGATTGCCTGAGGTCAGGAGTTTGAGACCAGCCTGGCCAACATGGTGAAACCCCGTTTCTACTAAAAAAAAAAAAATACAAAAATTAGCCAGTCATGGTGGCAGGCGCATGTAATCCCAGCTACTCGGGGGGCTGAGGCAGAATAGCTTGAACCTGGGAGGTGGAGGTTGCAGTGAGCCAAGATCGCACCATTGCACTCCAGCCTGGGTGACAAGAGCGAGACTTCGTCTAAAAAAAAGAAAGTCACCTAGCTTTTCTACATTGTAGTTTCCTTTATGTAAAATAGAAATTATCATACATAATTTCCAGAGTTGTTGGTAGATTGCTTAGGACATTGACAGATTAGGGAACCTGAATAAATAGTAGTCTTTAGCAATATTAGCTATTATATAAAATCCCAAGTTCTAGAAACAACCAATTTGTTTTCCAAATAAAGCAGACCTTCCTTTCATTGAACAGAGAATAAAATAAGAACCTGAGTCCCATCTCCCTCTGTCTAGTCCCCAGAGAGACCACCCACCCTGAGGCCCATCAGCCAGCAATGCGTTAGTGATAAACGACTAGGCTAAGTCCCCTTGAATGATTTATTTGCCCCTAAACCCTCTGAACATATCTCATTTCTAAAAGACCTATCACTGACCCTAAAAGCCATCAGACCAGCAGGAAAAAAAAAAAAATCGAACAATGCAACCAAACACAAGCCAAAGCTTTGAGGTCTGGCCAGCTTGTAGGATAGAGATAGGAATGAATGCACAAAATGTAGAGGCAGTCCAGTGGGCCTGTATATCCATCTTAGGGACACAGCCCTGACTCCAATGTGCCGAGGTATGTCTGTTGTGATCCTACAAGTTGGAGTGATGGGACTGCTTGGTTGCCATTTGCAAAATGATCCTGAAATCTGACAGGGAAATACTGTTTGACAGTCATGCCTAATATGGGTAAAATTGAAAATCGAGTGGTAGATCTTAATTCCATTCCAGGTTATTTAAAAGAATAAGCCCAAGATAATACAAAGGATGAAATAATAGTTTCTAGGCCAATTAGAAAACAAGGTAATAGTATTAGGAGTGAGTCAGAGAAAAAAATCCAAAACAACAACCTCGATTATTTTTCTTTGTTGGGTGATGTGGTTTTAAAACAATGACCTGCACATCCTGCTTACACCAACTGCTAAAAATAGCATTTGGAGTTTTTGTTTTAGTCTCTCCTGGGCATAGGCTATGATACCAATTACCTTTGTACAGAGAGCAACTTTCATCCTAAGAAGAGGGAAGTTGGGAATTTTGGAGAGCAGCAAAATAATTCAGAAACATAAGGACGCAAGGCTGGGCTTGGTGGCTCACGCCTGTAATTCCAGCAATTTCGGAGGCCAAGGTGGGCAAATCATTTGAGCCCAGGAGTTTGAGACCAGCCCAGGCAAAATGGCAAGACCCGTCTCTACACAAAATACAAAAATTAGCTGGGCATGGTGGTGTGCACCTGTAGTCCCAGCTACACGGGAGGCCGAGGTGGGAGGATCACTTGAGCCCAGGAGGTTGAGGCTGAGATTGTGCCACTGCACTCCAGCCCGGGTGACAGTGAGATCCTGTCTCAAAAAAAAAAAAAAAAAAAGAGAAAGAAAGAAAGAAAGAAAAAGAAATGAAAAGAAATGTAAGGAGCCAGCTCTGACTCCTGTGGACAACCTTGAAGATTTATTCTACCAGAGTTGTGTCTCCCCCTCTCCTCTCTCTCCCTCTAATGATTTCACAGTTCTGCATACATTTCTTGCACACCTGCCATGTCCTAGGCACTAAACAGAGGCAGAAAGCAGAAAGCTCCATTGTGGAGACCACGTCTATCCACTGTGTGCTGTGCGATCTCAGGCGTGTTATGTAACTGTTTTGTTTTCTGAGGCTGAAGAGAAAATGGTTTCTCTGAGGAGACAGCCAATGAACCAAACATACCCTTGAAGCTCCTAAAATAAATTTCATTTAACACTTAATGCTAATGTTATCAGTCTTCTGGAAGTTCATTTCATTCCAAGAATAGCTTCTAGACTTTTTGTTGCAGTCTGTTTAATAAGTATAGACTGGATAGTTGAACAAAACATGGTACCAAAAAATGTGTCAACAGTCCCCAGGGTAGCAGGAAACATCCATTCCATTTTCGTGGATGGTGCATGACTGATGCAAACATGCTAGTTATCCATAGCTCGTTCAAGAGAAATGCCAATTCTTTTTTTTTTTTTAATTTTATTTTACTTTAAGTTCCAGGGTACATGTGCAGGACAAGCAGTTTTGTTACATAGGTAAATGTGTACCATGGTGGTTTTCTGCACCTATCAACCCATCACCTAGGTATTAAGCCCCATATGCGTTAGCTATTTATCCTAATGCTCTCCCTCCCCATCCCCCCAATAGACTCCAGTGTGTGTTGTTCTCCTCCCTGTGTCCATGTGTTCTCATTGTTCAGCTCCCACTTATGAGTAAGAACATGTGGTGGTTGGTTTTCTGTTCCTGTGTTAGTTTGCTAAGGATGATGGTTTCCAGCATCATCCATGACCCTGCAAAGGACGTGATCTCATTCTTCTTCATGGCTGCATAGTATTCCATGGTGTATATGTAGCACATTGAGAAAAGCCAATTCTAAGGTGTTATGTGTATAAGGCAGTGGACCTCTGAGTGGGCTCCCCTAGGAAATTGTTAGAAATGTCCATTCTTGGGTCCCAGATTCACTGAATCTGAAACTGTGGAGTTGGGGCCCAGCAATTGACTTTAACTGCCCTCCAGTGGATTACGATGCATGCTGATGGATGTTTTTCATAATTTCAAATTTTCCAGTCATGTCATTCTAATGTATATTAATTCTATGTAAAACTTGTTAAAAAGCCTTCTGACCAACTTTTTCTTTCTATAGCTTGAGTTTCAGGCATAACTTCCACAGGTATAACTTCCACAACTAGAACCTCATACTGCTATCACTCTTTAACTTGATAGGATCATAAACTGTTTTTCTTTCTTCCTTTCTTTCTCTCTCTCTTTCTCTCTCTCTTTCTTTCTTTCTTTCTTTCTTTCTTTCTTTCTTTCTTTCTTTCTTTCTTTTTCTTTCTTTCCCTCTTCCCCCCCCATCCTCCTCCTTCTCCTCCTCCTCCTCTCTCTTTCTTTATTCTTTCTGGTTTTTTTTTTTTTTTTTTTTCAGAGTTTTGCTCTTGTCACCCAGGCTGGAGTGCAATGGCACAATCTCGGCTCACTGCAGCCTCCTCCTCCCGGGTTCAAGTGATTCTTCTGCCTCAGACTCCTGAGTAGCTGGGACTACAGTCGTGTGCCACCAAGCCTGGCTAATTTTTGTATTTTTAATAGAGATGGGGTTTCACCATATTGGCCAGGCTGGTTTCAAATTCCTGACCTTGTGATCCGCCTGCCTCAGCCTCCCAAAGCGCTGGGATTACAGGTGTGAGCCACGGAGCCCGGCCCGTACTGTTTTTCTTATAGCACCTTAAAACACTCTATTTCTGGGCTGGCATGCTGGCTTATACCTGTAATCCCAGCACTTTGGGAAGCTGAGGCGGGAGGATCACTTGAGCCGAGGTGTTCGAGACCAGCCTAGGTAACATGGTGAGACCCTGTCTTCAAATAAAATAAAATAAAAAATATAAAAGTGCTCTATTTCTTACAAAGACATGAGAGTTTTAATAAAAGAGAACAAAGGACCATCAAATACTTTTCAGACAGCTGATGTATAGATTCTTTACAATATTTAAAAGAATGTTACTACTAGTAGAATAATAATATGACTAGTGGGTAGTAAATGTTCTTACGGGGCTGAGAGAATACATCACGTACGACTGGCAATCATGAGCTAAGTCAGGTATAGAAAAATTTCTTCTCCAGGACGGCATCATCACCTAAATGCAGCAGAGCGTCTGTCATTTTATGTGGCTTTTAGGGGTCCTGTCGTTGGAAGAATGAGCAGTCGTCTGTTGGGGCTGGCTTGTGCTGCTCAGGACAGTGTAAAAGCCAGCTCAGAACATTTCTTCCCAACTCAGTGTTTGGAAACATCACGTTGGCATCGGCCATGCCTGGAGAATTTACACCATGAAACTGGCAAACACTATAAGTGGGAACTTCTTAAGTTTTTTTATTTTTTGAGAGCTGGCTCACATCACCACTGAAGTTAGAAGAGTATGGAGCTCCAAGACAGGGCCTACTGACTGAGCTCATCTCCTCCGGAATAGCAGGCTTTGGAAGTACTGTTTTAGGATCAAGACTCATCTTTATGCTTGTTGGGATGGTACTCACACTGGGATGCAAAACCAACCTGTTGGAGGATTTGTCCGTGCAACTTAATTGTTGCTGTTCTTGCTCCTTCTACACAGCCTCTGTGGACCTTGTAGGCATCTATCAGGCACTCCTGTCTCCTGCCAGGTCTGCACCTACTGCAGGAGGGAGGCCTAGGAAGTGTCAGAACTGATGGGCTCAGCCATGCAGCGGTGACCCCCTATCCCCCTCTCTGTCTCCTCCTTTTGTAGTCTGCTCCAAGGTCAATCAAGGGACCAGAGGTTTTAGTGAAAAAGCTAGTTCCGGCTGGGTGCAGTGGCTCACGCCTGTAATCCCAGCACTTTGGGAGGCCGAGATGGGCGGAACACTTGAGGTCAGGAGTTGGAGACCAGCCTGACCAACCTGATGAAACCCCATCTCTACTAAAAATACAAAAAAAAAAAAACAAAAAAAACAAGGCGGGGCGCGGTGGCTCACGCCTGTAATCCCAGCACTTTGGGAGGCCGAGGCGGGTGGATCACAAGGTCAGGAGTTCGAGACCATCCTGGCTAACACGGTGAAACCCTGTCTCTACTGAAAATAGAAAAAAATTAGCCAGGCGTGGTGGCGGGCGCCTGTAGTCCCAGCTACTCGGGAGGCTGAGGCAGGAGAATGGCATGAACCCGGGAGGCAGAGCTTGCAGTGAGCTGAGATTGCGCCACTGCACTCCGGCCTGGGCGACAGAGCGAGACTCCGTCTCAAAAAAAAAAGAAAGAAAAAGAAAACACTAGTTCCACTTCAACGTACAAAGTTAGCGTTTACTAAGCACATAATATGACCCAGGCACTCTGCTAATAACTCGACAAACACACCCTCATTTAATATTTCCAGAAGCACCAAGAGATAGGGATTTCTCGTATCTTCATTTTTCAGGTGAGAAAGCTGAGATTTTGAGAGGTAAGTGACAGCCATGATCACCGAGGATTTGAACTTGGTGTGTCTGACACCTGTCCTTCTCCCTTGAATCAGAGGTGAGTTCATGGTGCGAACATAGGTCTGAGTCACAGACACCAGACCTTTCTTTGGATTCATCTTGTGCCTGGGTTTTCTTTTCTTGGGCTGTATGATCTCCCTGGCTCCCTTTTATCTTTCGTGCAAACAGACATCTGGTAGGTCGGTCTCATGAGGTCACCAGATGTGCCCTAGTAGGTTTCAAGCCCCGGATTAGACACAGTGTAGGTTCAAGCTAGGACAGCCTCCTCCCAGCTAGTCAATCAGGGCTTCATTAAATGCTTATTAGAGTGATTTGGCTTTATAATTACCCACAGAGCTTTAAAAACGCAGACACTTTAGGTCCTACCCTAGAAATCTCAATTTATTGATTAAGGCATAAGGCCTGGACATTTTCTATAAGCTCTCTCTCTCTTTTTTTTTTTTTTTTTTCAGAAGGAGTCTCTCTCTGCCGCCCAGGCTGGAGTTGAGTGATGCAATCTCAGCTCCCAGCACTCTCCACCTCCTGGGTTCAAGCGATTCTCCTGCCTCAGCCTCTCAGATAGATGGGACTACAGGCATGCACCACCACGTCTGGCTAATTTTTGTATTTTTAGTAGAGATGTGGTTTCGCTATGTTAGCCAGGCTGGTCTCAAACTCCTGACCTCAGGTGATCCACCCACCTCGACCTCCCAAGATGCTGGGATTACAGGCATGAGTCAACGTGCCTGGCCTTTATAAGCTCTTGAAAGGGTTAACAACTAGAAAGTTCTCCCAGTGTTAGATACCTAGAAATGCCAGACAAAATTTTGCAACATCATTTTCAATGTATAATTGAGCTCTCAAAATAGTAATGAAAGCTGTCTTCAGACAGCTCTCAAGACAATATCCTCTGGGGCCAAAATCATGGAAGGAACTGGAAACCAGGCTGTTGAACACACGCGCTGAGAAGTAGCTGTGCTTGGTGACAGGTGGTGGTGAGAGGAAGGGAAGAGGGTCCTTTCTAGCCATCAATCGGGACTATTTTCTACAATTATTTAGTATTGGATACACCCCCAGAATACTATCCTTTACACCAGATACTTTAGATCCTACCCTAGAAATCTCAATTTATTGATTAAGGCATAAGGCCTGGACATTTTCTATAAGCTCTCTCTCTCTGGTTTTTTTTTTTTTTTTTTTTTTTTTTTTAGATGGAGTCTCGCTCTGCCGCCCAGGCTGGAGTTGGGTGGCGCATTATAACATTTGACCAAGATTCATCCGTGTTGTTGCAAGACGTAGTTCATTCATTTCTTGCTATATAATATTCCATTTTGTGGCTGAACCACAACCCACCTATTCCTTCTCCTGTCAATGGACATTTGGGATGTTTCGAGTTTTTTACCCTCAGGCAGTTATGAAATTGCATGCACAGGCCTCCCAGTACACACATGACAGATTTTTTTCTAGGAATAGAACATATTCAGAGCAGAACTCTTGATTCTTCCCCCCAAGCTTTTCCCACCTACCGTCTCCCCGATAGCACATCATAGCAACTCCACCCTTCCCCTTGCTCCAGACAAAGCTTTGGCACCATCTGTGTTCATTTTCTGTGGCTGCTGTAACAAATCACCACAAACTGATTGGCTTAAAACAACACCAATTTATTATTTCACTTTTTTTTTTAGATTAGAAGTCCAACATGAGGTCTCATCAGATTAAAATCAAGACACCATCAGGGCTGTGCCCCTTCTGGAGGCCCTGGAATTAGATGCTGCCTGGCTTTTCCCAGCATCTAGAGTCCGTCTCTATTTCTCAGCTAATGGCTGCATGCCTCCATCTTTACACTCAGCAACTTTACACTCATGCCTCCATCTTTACACTCAGCTGAGTCTTTCTCAAGATGCCATCTCTCTGATTCTCCCTCTTCTGCCTCTCTTTTCTACTCCGAAGGACTCTTGTGATTACATTGGGCTCATTTAGATATTCCAGGATAATCTCCCGATGTTAAGATCATCTGATTCGAAGTCTTAATTCCATCTGCAACCTTAATTCATTCCCCTTTGCCGTGTAACCTCAAGTAATCACAGGTTCTGGGGACTGGGACATAGACATCTTTGGGGAACCATTATTCTGCTTCCTACACCATCCTTGAAAACTCTCTTCCACATGATATAACCAATCAGCTAGAAGACCCTGCCTACTCAGTTGTCAACATAAATTAAAAATCCACCACTTCTTAACACTCTACTGCTGTCCCTACAGCAGTAGAATGGTAATTCCGAGATACGATGGTTCAATCCACCATCATCTCTCTTGGGGCTATTAGAATAGTGTTCTGAACACAGGTCCCTGTGTTGATCCTTGCAGCCTCATCTCAATTACCAGCCATAATGATCCTCCTAAAATGTAAGTCAAATTATGTCACTCTTTACACAAAACCCTCCAATGTTTTTCATTTTTTCTTGAGACGGAGTCTTGCTCTGCCACCCAGTCTGGAGTGCGGTGGTGTGATCTCAGCTCACTGCAGCCTCCGCCTCCTGGGTTCAAGTGATTCTCCTGCCTCAGCTTCCCGAGTAGCTTACAGGTGCCTGCCGCCACGCCCGACTGAATTTTGCAGTTTTAGTAGAGACAGGGTTTCTCCATGTTGGCCAGGCTGGTCTTGAACTCCTGACCTCAAGTGATTGGCCCGCCTCAGCCTCCCAAAGTGCTGGGATTACAGACGTGAGCCACCATGCCTGGCCCAGTGTTTTTCATTTTCTCAGAATAAAAACCTAGATTCTTGCAATGGCCTATACAGCTCCTAGACTCATGCACCCTCTTCCACTCCTGACCCCTCTGCCTCATCTGCTACTACTCCTCCTCCCATTATTCACGCCTCACCTTTAACTTACTATATAATTTACTTATTATTGTTTCCCTCCTTCTTTCTAAAACAGTTAGGTTCCATGGGAGTAAGAGTTTTGTCCACAGATATCTACGCAGAGTTTGGAACTCAGTATTTATATTAAAAATGATTTGTTTCCAAAACAGCAGCATGGATAGAAGATGAGGCTCTGGGCTAGCAAAAGAGGGGAGATGAAAACACGACCGCTACATGAATCTGAGAACCTAAAAAAGTTTCTCCCTGCTGGGCACGGTGGCTCACGCCTGTAATCCCAGCACTTCAGGAGGGCAAGGCAGGTGGATCACCTGAGGTCAGAGTTCGAGACCAGCCTGGCCAACATGGTGAAAACCCTTCTTAACTAAAAATACAAAAAAATTAGCTGGGCATGGTGGCGGGCACCTGTAATCCCAGCTACTTGGGAGGCTGAGACAGGAAAATTGCTTGAATCTGGGAGGCGGAGGAGGTTGCAGTGAGCCAAGATCACACTATTGCAGTCCAGCCTGGGTGACAGAGTGAGACTCTGTCTAAAAAAAAAAAAAGAAAGAAGAAAGAAAGAAAAGAAAGAAAGAGAAAGAAAGAAAGAAGGAAAAAGACACAGAGAAGACACATAATCTTTTCTTTCCATTCACTCTTCCTTTTTCCATTATTCCCCATAACCTTATTGCTGCTGCAGGCTACAAAGGACTCAGTTTA
The DNA here is from genome assembly GCF_000001405.40 of Homo sapiens. NCBI lineage: Eukaryota > Metazoa > Chordata > Mammalia > Primates > Hominidae > Homo > Homo sapiens. Next base: position 17,045,602 of record NC_000005.10, read on the forward strand.
AATGTGGATGAAAAGAAAGATCTTACGGCTAGATGTAACCACAATGACTCTAATAGTAGCTGGGATTACAGGCGTTCGCCACCATGCCCGGCTAATTTTTTTTTGTATTTTTAGTAGAGACGGGGTTTGGCTATGTTGGCCAGGGTGGTCCCGAACTCCTGACCTCAAGTGATCCACCCGCCTTGGCCTCCCAAAGTGCTGGGATTACAGGCCTGAGCCACTGCGCCTGGCCGTTTCCCAAGTCTTCTAAGAAATTATTATCAAAGGCCTACTGTCAAGTGTGTTTGGGGTTGAATTTATGCAACCTGCATGGTCAAGGTATTCTGAAAGCCAAGAAATTAACATCAGAAGTGGTCTTAATGACTGGCATGGTGGCTCACACCTGTAGTCACAGCACTTTGGGAGGCTGAGGTGGGCGGATGACTTGAGCTCAGGAGTTTGAGACCAGCCTGGGCAACATGGCAAAACCCCATCTCTACAAAAAGTACAAAAAACTAGCCGGGGATTGAGATGCACGCCCGTAGTCTCAGCTACTTGGGTGACTGTAGTGAAAGGATAGCTTGAGCCCAGGAGACAGAGGTTGTAGTGAGCCGAGATTGCACCACTGCACTCCAGCCTGGGTGACAGAGCCAGATCCTGTCTCAAAAAAGAAAAAAAAAGGAGAGAGAGAGAGAGAAGAGAAGAGAAAAAGAAGTGGTCTCAGGCTGGTGATACTCCTGAACCTTTGAGAGAAGCAAGTAAGTCTGTAACTCTCTGAAGGAGGAACATGCCCTCTACCCAGACTTCCCTGGATTTTCATAGGCAAATCCCCATTGATAATGAGCTCACCATCCAAAATTCCACATCCCACAGGGGACCTCTCCATGTGAACTGAGTGAAACCAACAGCAGGTAAAATCAACAGCTGGGTCAAGCTGCCAATAACTCTAGACAATAGAACAATGGGATGAAGACCATGGTGTATATTTGCTGTGGTTTGTATGTGTTCCCTCCAAAATGTTGAAACTTAATCCCCATGTGTTGATATTAAGAGATGAGGCATTCTAGGAAGTTGACAAGTCAGAAGAGTTCACCCTCATGAATGAATTAGTGCCTCATAAAAGGGCCAGAGGGAACTAGCAGAGGCTTTTCTTTGCCCTCTGCCTTCCAACATGGGAGAACACAGTGTAAAGACCCTCATCAGACACTGAATGCCTTCATCTTGGACTTCCCAGACTCCAGATCTGTGAGAAATAAATTTCTATTGTTTGTAAATTACCCAGTCTGTAGTACTTTGTTATAGCAGCATGAATGAACTAAGACAATGTTTAAACTGAAGAAAGGCCAAAATAAGTAAATACTTCGAAAACATGAAAAGAAAAAAAGCAATAATCAAGAAGACCAGCAACGTCTGAAAAAGAGCAAAATTGGCTGGCTATGATGGCTCACACCTGTAATCCCAGCACTTTGGGAGGCCAAGGTGAGCAGATTTGCTTGAGCTTAGGAGGCGGAGACCAGCCTGGGCAACATGGCAAAACCCCATCTCTACAAAAAGTTAGCCGGGAATGGTGGCATGCACCTGTAGTCCCAGCTACTCTGGGAGGCTGAGAGGGGAAGATCACTTGAGACCAGGAGTTCACAGCTACAGTGAGCCATGATCCTGCCGCTGCACTGAAGCCTGGGTGATGGAGTGAGACCTTGTCTCAAAAAAAAAAAAAAAAAAAAGAAAAAAAAGAAAAGAAAAGAAAAGAAAAACTTTTGGTGATAGATAAATGTAAATGCTGGTGTCTACATAACCAGAGGAACACTTGGGCAGAACTTGATATCCAGGAGATCTGCCTTGCAGCCATTTCAAAGTTGGTTTACTGATAACTTCTACTGAAGACCAGAACACTGCTTCATCTTTAACATGTAGTTAATTAGTTAGGTAACTTTGCAATTCTGTGAGAATGTTAAACATTTACTACACTCAGAATAAAGATACACTAAGATAGAAAAGGTGTCTTATCATCTCAAATTGGGTCCTGTTAGGATCAAAGCTTGGGGGTTTGAAGAAGTCAACAGACTTTAGCATATAGTAGGATGATCAGTTGGGTCATCCACAGTATCAGCTAGCAGTGCTTGTAAAGTAAACAACTCTGGAAGAGGTAGTCTGTGCTGTAGGACATATCTCAGTTCTCTGTGTAACACACAATGCTTTTTAGCTTGATCAGGACTGTTAGGAACACAGCAAAAATATCTGGAGCAAAGTAACTAAGCAATGATTCAATAGAGTGCCAATGGCAGAAGTGAAAGAGCTGATCACAACACTCGTGGCAAACTTCATTGGAGAAAGGAAAGACAGGTTCTTGTAATGATTATTTGGAAAATATTTTCTCTTGCCTTTCCTATCTTGGTAAATTGTACTACTATCTACCCGTTTCCCAAAATAGAAAAAGTGGCATCCTCTCTCTTTCTCTTTCTCTCTCTCTCTCTCTCACACACACACACACACACACACACGTGTGCTTCATCTGATCAATTACACTTCCCATCCATTTTACCTTCTAAATAGTTTTCTAGGCCGGATGCTGTGGCTCACGCCTGTAATCCCAGCACTTTGGGAGGCTGAGGCAGGCGGATCACAAGGTCAAGAGATTGAGACCATCCTGGCTAACACAGTGAAACCCGTCTCTACTAAAAATACAAAAATTAGCCGGGCGTGGTGGCGGGCACCTGTAGTCCCAGTTACTCGGGAGGCTGAGGTAGGGGAATGGCGTGAACCCGGGAGGCGGAGCTTGCAGTGAGCCGAGATCGTGCCACTGCACTCCAGCCTGGGCGACAGAGCGAGACTCCGTCTCAAAAAAAATAAATAAATAAAATAAAATAAATAGTTTTCTAGGATAGTGGCCGGAATAGACTACTAACGTGGTAAATCACTACTTTTTTGTGTGTTACTTTTTTCAAACTGATAATCTTTAGGGGATTTAGAATGATAAATTAGTCACAATGATACACTAGAGATTATAAAAATTTAATAGGCTTTTGGTTGGGTACGGTGGCTCATGCCTGTAATCCCAGCACTTTGGGAGGCTGAGGCGGGAGGATCACCTGAGGTCAGAAGTTCGAGACCAGCCTGACCAACATAGAGAAACCCCACCTCTAGTAAAAATACAAAATTAGCTGGGCGTGGTGGCGCATGCCTATAATCCCAGCTACTTGGGAGGCTGAGGCAGGAGAATCACTTGAACAGGGGAGGCGGAGGTTGTGGTGTGCCAAGATTGTGCCATTGCATTCCAGCCTGGGCAACAAGAGTGAAACTCCATCTAAAAAAAAAAAAAAGAAAAAAAGAAAAAGCCCAGGCGCGGTGGCTCACGCCTGTAATCCCAGCACTTTGGGAGGCCGAGGCGGGTGGATCATGAGATTAGGAGATCGAGACCATCCTGGCTAACATGGTGAAACCCTGTCTCTACTACAAATACAAAAAATTAGCTGGGCATGGTAGCAGGCGCCTGTAGTCCCAGCTACTTGGGAGGCTGAGGCAGGAGAATGACATGAACCTGGGAGGCGGAGGTTGCAGTGAGCCGAGATTGTGCCACTGCACTCCAGTCTGGGCGACAGAGTGAGACTCTGTCTCAAAAAAAAAAAAAGAAAATTAATAGACTTTTATCTGAGTTTGGAATTTAATATACTGTGTAGAATATCTGGAGAATCTGAAAACTAAGCATGATGACTTTTTCCTCTTATGAATTGTAATTTTCTAGGCATGTTGGCGAAGCTAAGGCAGTATAATGAGGTGGCCCTGGAGCTGGAGTATCTGGTTTGAATCCTGGTTTCCGATCTGTGGCTACTTTTCTAATCCTTGGCTCCTCCAGCATTTGCCTGGAATAGTACAATTCCCTCCTAAGTGTTTTCTGTTTGAGCTCTTTTCTATTTCATTAACGTTACAGTGATTTATTTAAAGTACCATACAACTTTTTTAGCTGGGTGCAGTGTCTCACACCTGTAATCTCAGCACTTTGGGAGGCCAAAGCAGGAGGATCACTTGGGGCCAGGAGCTCAAGACCAGCCTGAGCAATATAGTGAGACCTCATCTCTAGCAAAAATTAAAAAATTGGCCGAGCACAGTGGCTCACGCCTGTAATCCCAGCACTTTGGGAGGCCGAGGCGGGCAGATCACGAGGTCAGGAGATCGAGACCATCCTGGCTAATATGGTGAAACCTGTCTCTACTAAAAATACAAAAAATTAGCTGGGCGTGGTGGTGGGCGCCTATAGTCCCAGCTACTCAGGAGGCTGAGGCAAGAGAATGGCGTGAACCTGGAGGCGGAGCTTGCAGTGAGCCGAGATTGCGCCACTGCACTCCAGCCTGGGCGACAGAGCCAGACTCCGTCTCAAAAAAAAATAAATAAATAAAAATTAAAAAAGTAGCTGGGTGTGGTGGCATGCACCTGTGGTCCCAACTTCTCAGGAGGCTGAGGCAGAAGGATCGCTTGAGCCCAGGAGGTCGAAGCTACAGTGAACCATGATGGTACTGTACACGCTTTTTTCATTTCAACTGTAAATATTTGTATATGTTTGTATGTAGGGGTGTGTGTGTGTGAGTGTGCATTTTTAATTAGTGTCTATGGCTAAGTCCTGTGAAGGTTACAAAGATGAATGGCAGAATGAAAATTGTTCCAGCTCTCAAAGAGCTTATAAATTAATAGGATATTTTAAATAATTTAACTGATTTGTGTGATTAAATATAAATTTTAAAAAACTATCTTCATTTTGTTGATGCTTGAAGAACAAGGCAGGATGCAGATTCCTATTAGTGGAAGTTAACATGGTCAACAATAGCATGACCTCACATTGCAGGTTCACATTATCAACATGGTGCCAAGTTTTGTTTAAAAACTTTTGCATATTTTTTGTGGCAATTTGTACAACAATACGACTGAAAACAAGCTGGTGTGATGGCGTGGGAAAATTCAACGCCATTGATCAGATTTCAGAGGTCATAGATGAAATACTCTTTTAAGCTTAGTGCTTACTGGCAGGAGGGGATACAGATGTTAAACTCCATAGATTTGTGTGAAATAGAATTTGTCCTTCCAAAGAGGCTTTTAATGTAGAAAGTGCTGAGAATCTTTTTCTCTAGGACATGACAAAGTCTTGTCACCATTTGATGACACTGCTGAGATTGTGGAGACAAGGTCTTGCCGTGTTGCTCAGGCTGGTCTCAAACTCCTGGGCTCAAGTGATCCTTCTGCCTCGACCTCCCAAAGTGTCGGGATTACAGGCATGAGAAACTGCCCGGCCGCTGTCGTACATTCAATTTCTGGAATTTCATAAACTTTGAGTGAATGAATGCTATGTCTGGGTGAAATAGATGCTTTATATCCCTACGTTGAGCACCCAAAAGCCAAATGTGGAGCTGAACAATGCATTTAACTGGGATAGATTACCAATGGAAAGGCAGGAATTATTTTTTTCCCAAATGACAAAGCTTTAAGTAAAGTGGGATGATAAATTACCCACTGAGACAACTCAGAAAATACAGAAAACTTTTCTTTAATGTTGATTTTTGTTTTGTTTTTAGGTTTTCAAGTTTATTTTCAATTTTTGTGGGTGCATAGTAAGTTTATATACTTGTGGGGCACGTAAGATATTTGATACGGGCATGCGATGCATAATATTCACAGCAGGGTTAAAGGGAAATCCATCACCTCAAGCATTTATCTTTTGTGTTACAAACAATCCAGTTGAACTCTTTTAGTTATTTTAAATGTACAATTAAATTATTTTTTACGGCCAGGCACAGTGGCGCATACCTGTAACCCCAGCACTTTGGGAGGCCGAGGTGGGCAGATCACCTGAGGTTAGGAGTTTGATACTAGCCTGGCCAACTTGGTGAAATCCCATCTCTACTAAAAATACAAAAAAAAAAATTAGCTGGGCATGGTGGTGGGCACCTGTAATCCAAGCTACTCGGGAGGCTGAGGCAGGAGAATCGCTTGAACCTGGGAGGCAGAGGTTGCAGTGAACCAAGATCACGCCACTGCAGTCTCCAGCCTGGGTGACAGAGCAAGACTCTGCCACACACACTATATATATATATATATATACACACACATACACACACACACACACACACACGTATATATATAGAGAGGTATATATATATTATATATATACGTATATATATATTTTATATATATAATATATATACGTGTATATATATATTTTATATATACACATATATATTTTTTATATATATACACGTATATATATTTTATATATATATGTATATATATTATATATACGTATATATATTTTTTATATATATACGTATATTTTTTATATATATACGTATATATATTTTTTATATATATACGTATATATATTTTATATATATACGTTTATATATTTTTATATATATATATGTATATATATATTTTTTATATATATATACGTATATATAGAGAGAGAGGTGTATATATATATATATTTTTTTTTTTTTTAACTATAGTCACCCTGTTGTGCTAGCTAACACTAGGTCTTATTCTTTGTTTGTTTTGAGATGGAGTCTTGCTCTGTCACTCAGGCTACAGTGCAGTGGCACAATCTCGGCTCACTATGACCTCCTCCTCCCGGGTTCAAGCCATTCTCCTGCCTCAGCCTCCCAAGTAGCTGGTACTACAGGTGTGTGCCACCATGCCCGGCTAATTTTTTTGTTTTGTTTTGTATTTTTAGTAGAGATGGGGTTTCATTATGTTGGCCAGGCTGGTCTCGAGCTCCTAATCTCAGGTGATCTGCCCGCCTCAAAGTGCTGGATTTATAGGCGTCAGCCACTGTGCCTGGCTTGTTTGTTTCTTCTTTTCATTTTTTTTTTTTTTTTTTTTTTTTTGAAACGGCGTCTTGCTCTGTCGCCCAGGCTGGAGTGCAGTGGTACATTCTCGGCTCACTACAACCTGCGCCTCCCATGTTCAAGCGATTCTCCTGCCTCAGCCTTCTGAGTAGCTGAGATTACAGGCGCATGCCACCACACCCAGCTAATTTTTTGTATTTTTAGTAGGGACAGGGTTTCACCATGTTGGTCAGGCTGGTCTCAAACTCCTGACCTCATGATCTGCCTGCCTTGGCCTCCCAAAGTGCTGGGATTACAGACGTGAGCCACCGTGCCCGGCCTGTTTGTTTCTTTACCTTACTTTTTTCTTCTCCTTCTTCTTTCTTCTTCTGGTTACCCACATGCAAGAGCTTATTCATTCTTTCCAACTATGTTTTTGTACCCATGAGAATACAGACATTTATTATATATATATGTTTGTTGTTGTTTGTTTTTGATTTTTTGAGACTGGGCCTCACTCTGTTGCCTAGGCTGGAGCACAGTGGTGTGATCATGGCTCACTGCAGCTTTGACTTCCGGGGCTCAAGCCATCCTCCTGCCTCAGCCTCCTGAGTACCTGGGACCACAGGCGCACACCACCACCCCAGGCTAATTTTTGTATTTTTTGTACAGACTGGGTCTTGACATGTTGCCCAGGTTGGTCTTGAGCCCCTGGGCTCAAGTGATCTTCCCGCCTCGGCCTCCCAAAGTGCTGCCATTACAGGCATGAACCACTGCACCTGGCAGAATATAGAAATTTAATAAGTTTTCATTTAAATTTACGATTGAATATATAGAATATCTGAAATATTTAAAAATTACATATGAGGCCAGGCGCGGTGGCTCATGCTTGTAATCCCAGCACTTTGGGAGGCTGAGGTAGGCAGATCACGAGGTCAGGAGTTCGAGACCAGTCTGGGCAATAAGGTGAAACCCTATCTCTACTAAAAATACAAAAATGAGCCAGGCGTGGTGGCACACACCTGCGCTACTTGGGAGGCTGAGGCAGAAGAATCACTTGAACCCGGGAGATGGAGATTGCAGTGAGCCGAGATCATGCCATTGCACTCCAGCCTGGGTGACAGAGCGAGACTCCGTCTAAAACAAAAAAATTAGACATGAAGACTTTTTTCTTTCATTAGTCGTGATTTTCTAAGCATGCTGCCCAAGCAAAGGCAGTGTCAACAGGTGGCTGCAGCACTGGCCCACCTGGCTCTGACATTCACACCCCGAGGGTTTGGACAAAATGCTTCACTCCCATTTGTCTCAGTTTGTTTATCTGTAAAATAGGGGTGCCATTGTCAGTACTTATCTCTTTGGGTCCCATTGAGGAATCACCCTGATAATATAAACAACGTGCTTTGAATAGAGTCTGGCTGAACTTGGCCCATCCTGAATTGCTCTATAAATGTTAGTGCTTTTGTTCATATCCTCTGTAATGGGACTTAACCACAGACTTTTGCAGATCACTTTGGAGTTCTGCCTTGGCACCAAATGAATATGGATGAAATCGAAACAAGAACATAAGGACGGTGATGGACAGATAGCTTAAGAACCAGAAGCCAGACACTGTTGCAGGGATGTCTGTGATTTCCAAGCAGAACTGATATGTGATTAGGCTGTCTCCCTCAAGAAACCCAGCTATGGTCATCCTTATCTGGGACCCTTGAATTGTTTGTTGTTTTGTATCCATGCAAACAAAGATAGGAAATCTTCACATAAGCAACTTACATATTTGCTTCAAAGGAATGTTAACTTAATTGTTCTATCTTTGTTTCCTTGAGAACTGCTTAGATATATTTTCTCTCGTGTTTATCAGAAGATGAAAATTTTATAAAAACAGGCTTTACTGAGGAATTCTTCTATATATTCAAAGCTATCAGCTGGGTGTAGTAGATCATACCTGCAATCCTAGTGCTTTGGGAGGCCAAGGCAGGAGGATTGCTTGAGCCCGAGTTCAAAACCAGCCTGTGCAACATAGTGAGACTCCGTCTCTACAAAACATAGAAAAAATATCTGGGTGTGGTGGTGCATGCCTGCAGTCCCAGCTACCTGGGAGGCTAAGACAGGAGAATCGCTTGAACTAAGGACATCGAGGCTGCAGTGAGCTATGATTGCATCACTGCACTCCAGCCTGGGTGACAGAGAGAGAAAGACCCTGTTTCAATAAAAAAAAAAAGAAAAAAGAAATGTTAGCTAGTGAAGTTGATGCAAAATCCTTGGAACTACACCCGTGTCTGCATATGTTTCTGTGAGATAAACCCTCTGAATGGCTTCCCTGATTATGCGAAGTAGTAGCTTGAGTTTTCATAGGTGACCACTGTAGTCTTTAGTTTCTCCAGAGTCAAGGTTAATTGGAGGAGGCGATTACACTGGGAATCCAGAGAAGCAGACACACAGCATCCTGGGAACGGCGGCTGTTTGGAAAAGTCTCCTTGGCCACTGGTTGCTTTACGGCAGGCAGATGGAGGCCAACCAGGAAGCAGCGTTTTTCTCCCACGTTGGCGGTGATTCCCACTCTAAAAGAAACCTCTGGGGTCTCCCAATGTAAGGAAGACCACTGTGAAAAACGCGATCACTTTGATTCCATCAATGTTGCTGTGCTAGGAAGAGACCTAAGTCACCCCTGGCATCCTCCCACTGAAATCCAATATCTACTTCTCTGCTCCTTGTATCAAGGACCTAGAATTTCACTTTGTGTTTCTTCTGGAATTCTAAGATCCTATCCCTAACCATGAAGGTCATGAGCTCATTAAACGTTTCTATATACACCGAGTATTTTAAAAAAATAGCAGACTAATGCTGACAATGTTAAAAAATAATGTCGATAAAAATAATACTGATAATATTAAAATATTTTGGAGTGGCTCTCCTTTTTTTTTTTGAGACAGGATCTCACTCTGGAGTGCAGTGACGTGATTTTCAGCTGACTGCAGCCTCGCCCTCTTGGGCACAAGTGATCCTCCCACCTCAGCCTCTCAAGTAGCTGGGACTGTAAGTGCGCACCATCACTCCTGGCTACTTTTTGTAGAGATGGGGTTTTGTCATGTTGCGCAGGCTGCTGGAGTGGCTCTCTTTAAATAATAGTTTAAAAGGAATAATTTATCTCACTTGAGCAAGTTATTAAAATGAAGTTTCAAATGCAATATTTATTTTTCTTTTTTTTTGGTGTTTTTTTGTTTTTTTCAAATGCAGTATTTAAACAGTCAACTTTATATCAGTCATGACCAGCAATTGCCCAAATAAACAGAAAAATGCAACTTTCTTTCAGTTTCTTCATAATGTCTATAATTTTGAAGTAGATGACTGAAACGATGAGAAAAAAATAGAAAAATTGACAATTTTACTGTATTTAAAATGACACCATTTTCCTGCATAGTTTGGATTCCATCAGTCAGCATTGATTTGGGTTTACTTCAGTTTAATTTAGTAGGAACCCCCAGCTAAACTCCAGAAGGGGGAGGAGTACAAATTTTCATTTTTACCAAGGTCTTGTTTATAAAGAGCCTCAAGTTTCTTCAAAAATGGGGATAATAACACATTTTCTGTGAGAATCGGTAAGTATACGCAAAGACAGTCTTCACACACCAGGCATTAAAATACATAAATATCAAAGACCGTATTGGAAAATTATTTGGTCACTTAGCTAAACTAAAGGATAAGATTAGAAAATCAAAATGGAACTTGGTCTAGGACAAAGCTCACGATGTATTTGGGCCAAAGTGTCATTCTACCATTGTTAGGGGAATTCCCATCAACTGCCAAAGCTTGGGCTCTGCCCAGAAAGGGATTAATTCCAAGACAGTGTTCCCTGAGTGCCTTCCAACCACACCCACTACTACTCAGTGCCTTCTGGACACCCCAAATGTTGTCTTATTCATGCCAACTTTTATATTTTTGAAATATGCTTCTGCAATACAATTTATAAAGAGGGGAGAACACAGACTTTAGGGAAGGCGCTCTCTCTCCAGTCAGTTTCCTCAAGGCTCATAAATTCCCGGCACCTGGCTTCATTCTCAGACAATGAATCCACGATTTTCTGGCTTCAGTACAAAGCAGGGAGGACCTAGCTCCTGGCTGTTTGTGAATCTCTTCGATTTTCCGGCTTCAATACAAAGCAGGGAGGACCTAGCTCCTGGCTGTTTGTGAATCTCTTCGTCTCCTATAAAACAACAGTTCTGGCCTGATGCAGTGGCTCACGCCTGTAGTCCCAGCACTTTGGGAGGCCGAAGCAGGGGGATCACGAGGTCAGGATTTCAAGACCAGCCTGACCCAACATGGTGAAACCCCATCTCTACTAAACATGGTAAAACCCCATCTCCACAAAAAAATGAGCTGAGTGTGGTGGTGCATGCCTGTAATACCAGCTACTCAGGAGGCTGAGGCAGGAGAATCATTTGAACCTGGGAGGCAGAGGTTGCAGTGGGCCGAGATCGTGCTATTGCACTCCAGCCTGGGCGACGAGCAAGGCTCCATCTCAACAACAACAAAAAAAAAAACAAAAAAAAAAAAACAGTTCTGGCTGAGTGCAGTGGCTCATGCCTGTAATCCCAGCACTCTGGGAGGCTGAGGTGGGTGGATCTCTTGAGGTCGGGAATTCAAGATCAGCCTGGCCAAGATGGTGAAACCCCATCTCTACTAAAAATATAAAAATTAGTGGGGCATGGTGGCTCATGCCTGTAATCCCAGCTACTTGAGAAGTTGAGGCAGGAATATCATTTGAATCCAGTGAGCTGAGATCGTGCCACTGCACTCCAGCCTGGGCAACAGAGTGAGACTCTGTCTCAAAAAAAAAAAAAAAAGAACAGTTCTTCCTGCATAACAGCACTAAGTATTGCCTCCTCTCCTCTCAGTTTTGCATTTTTTTTCAGGTAGAAGAGATTATCTGCAATATGGAATTTGCACATTCGTATTGTCTTCTCCTGGGAAGTTGCCTAGACACATGCCCCAATTTGGAAGTCCTTTTGTAATTTAGCTATGCCGTTTTCCTGGGGTTGAAGTTCAGGGGAGAAGCACAGCCTGAGATTTACTCTCCTCTCTTCACCTTTGCTTCTCCCTCTCAAAGTAGAGTCTCATTCAAAGCAAAGTGTCCTTGGCAACCAGTTTAGCAAGTTTTTCTTTTTTTTTTCTTTTGGGATTCTTGGCTGCCAGTGTGGGGCTGTTCGAGATGAGCCTCATCCAGCAGTTTTAATCTTGTGGCTCTAGGTGGGACTTTTACTGGATAAGCTGAGACTCAGTAACAGGCAGAGTTGTCTGGAGGTTGGCAAAACCTACTGGATGACCCTCAAGCTCTTTAACACGTCTACTATGTGTCTGCCTTTGTTACAGTAGCTTTTCTCTGGGGCAGTATGGGACAAACGGGCTGCCTGCCAAGGTAAAATGTGACTAAATTCATTTCTTTATAAACAAGACCTTGGTGAAAATGAAAATTTGTACTCCTCTCCACTCTGGAGCTTAGCTGGAGGTTCCTACTAAATTAAACTGAAGTAAACCCAAATCAATGCTGACTAATAGAATCCAAACTATTAGGCTCTGGAAGGAGGCTCTGGAAGCCCAATGGCAGAGAATTAAGAATAGAAATCTCCCTTCTGGCTCCTAGGCCTGTGGTCTGAATTATTTCCTGTACTTCTGCCCTCTTGTCTACTTGCATCAGTGATTAAGAACATTTGGGGCCAGCGCAGTGGCTCACGCCTGTAATCCCAGCACTTTGGGAGGCTGAGGCCAGTGGATCACTTGAGGTTGGAAGTTTGAGACCAGCCTGGCCAACATGGTAAAACCCCATCTGTACTAAAAACACAAAAATTAGGCCCGGCAAGGTGGCTCACACCTGTAATCCCAGCACTTTGGGAGTCCAAGGTGGACGGATCACCTGAGGTCAGGAGTTCAAGACCAGCCTGGCCAACATGGCAAAATCCCGGTCTCTACTGAAAATACATAGATTAGATGGATGTGGTGGTGCATGCCTGTAATCCCAGCTACTCAGGAGGCTGAGACAGGAGAATTGCTTGAACCCAGGAAGCGGAGGTTGCAGTGAGCTGAGATTGTGCCATTGCACTCTGTCTCAAAAAATAAATAAAATCCTTTCTCTAACATCAGAGTTTTAGCCTTTGCACATGGCTATCTTCTTAGGCACAGTTTGTAGAAGAAAGTATTACGTTTATTTAATTACTCATTCATTCAACAAATATTTATTAAACATGTGTGCTAAGCAATCTTCTAGGTGCTAAGGAGACGGGTGAGTTGTGAGCACAACAAAGATCTCTGTCTTTGAAGAACTTACATTCTAGTGCAAGGAGACAGATGGAAAATGACATAGATAGCTTGGACAACATGGTGAAACCCCATCTCTACAAAAAAATACAAAAACTCGCCGGGCGTGGTGGTGCATTCCTGTTGTCCCAGCTACTCGGGAGGCTGACATGGTAGGATCACTTGAGCCCAGGACGGGAGGTGGAAGTTGCAGTGAGCTGAGATTGTGCCACTGCACTCCAGCCTGGGCAACAAGCAAGACTCTGTCTCAAAAAAAAAAAAAAAAAAAAAAAAAAGAGAGAGATAGACCAGGGAAATCTATGGCATCTTAGAAGTGATAACTGAGCTGGGGGAAGGGTGGGGTACTATGTAAAAAGACCTACCTAGTGGAATGAAGACCTGAAAAGAAGAGAGGGAATGAGCCACGAAGGCAAAGGAGAGAAGGCAGGAGAGACCCTGGCATATTCAATGTATCTGGAGAAAGTGAGAAAGGATCATGAGGTGAAGACAGGAGGGTAAGGATGGGGCGGTCCTGTGTAGACCATGGAAAGATCATGTAAAGATCATGCACAGATCATAGATCATACATAGATCATGAACAGATCACACAGAGCTCACAGACAGGTCATGGATCATGCACAGATCGTAGATTATGCATAGAACATGAGATGGGAAGCTGTTGGACAGTTTTTCAATTTTAAAAATTCAGTTAATTAATTAAATTTAAGAGGCAGGGTCTCAACTGGGTGTGGTGGCTCACGCCTGCAATTCCAGCACTTTGGGAGGCCAAGGCAGGCGGATCACCTGAGGTCAGGAGATCAAGACCAGCCTTGTCAACATGGTGAAATGCCATCTCTACTAAAAATACAAAAGTTAGCCGGGCGTGGTGGCAGGTGCCTGTAATCCCAGCTACTTGGGAGGCTGAGGCAGGAGAATCGTTTGAGCCCAGAAGGCAGAGATTGCAGTGAGCCAAGATCATGCCACTGCACTCCTGCCTGGGTGGCAGAGCAAGACTCTGTCTCACAAAAACAGACAAACAAACAAACAAAAAAAACAGTGTGATCTGATTCATGTTTTAACAAAATCACACTGATTTCAAGGTTGGAAATTGGCCTGTTGGTAAACAAGGGTGGGAGCAGGGAAGCCAGTAAGGGCTCTAGCGAGTTATTCGGGCAAGAGATGGGGGTGGCCTGGACCAGGTTGGTGGCATGGAGGAGGTGGATGGTGGTCAGATTCTGTATATTTTTTTTGTAGTAGAATTGAAAAGATTTATCCACAGATTACATGGGTGTAGAAGAGTCAAAGATGATTCCAAAGTTTTTATTTGTGCAACTGATAAGAATGGACTGGCTATGTACTGAGATTGATGAGAAATGTGAGAGTACCTGGTTGGCTGGAGGGAGGGTATGGTTGTCAACAACTTGGCTTTGTACATTAAATTTGAGACGATTATTAGACATCCCACTAGAAATATCAAAAAATATATATTGGATAAAAGAGTTGAAATTCAGGGGAGGTTGGGCATGGTGGCTCACACCTGTAATCCCAACACTTTGAGAGGCCAAGGCAGGAGGACCTCTTGAGGCCAGGAGTTCAAGAACAGCCTGGGCCACGTAGTGAGACCCCCTAACTCTACAAAAAATTAAATAAATTAGCCGGGCATGGTGGTGCATACCTGTAGTCCTAGCGCCTCAGCAAGTTGAGGCAGGAGGATTGCCTGAACCTAGGAATTTTAAGCTGCAGTGAGCCATGATCATGCCACTGCACTCCAGCCTGGGCAACAGAAGAGACCCTGTCTCTAGAAAAAAGGAAAAAAAAGAGAGTTCAGGGTAGATGTCTGAGCTGGAGGGGCTCTACATTTGGTAATTATAAGCATTGTTGACGGCATGTAAAGCTAGACCACTGGATGAGCTCACTAAGGAAGGGAGTGTATCCTTGGAGTTAGAAGGTTTGGGTCCAGGTTGCAGCTTGAACACTCAGGGGTCTGTCACCCCCTGCATGGTGGCTCCGCTTCTTCAGCTGTAAACTTGCGATTATAATATTTGCATCATGATGGTACCCTTAGGATAGACCTAAAGTGGTGCCGGATGCTCAATAAACATTGGCTGCATATTGTCAATGAATAAATAGAATTCCTGTGTCTAAACAGCGAAGAACATTTATTTTACTTGCCAAGTGTCTCTTTATTTTACTTGCCAATTGTCTCTTCATTTTGACATTCACTCATTCACTATCAGGGAGTCTCACTATCAGTGAGGAGAAAGGTGGGATGGGAGGGCAGGAATTCTAGTGTATCCGGACAAATAAGCCACTATTAACTGAGCATTTATGAGGTGCCTGGGGCTGTCATCTCTTTTCATACATTGTCTCATTTTATTCTCATAGCAACCTTAGGAGATAGCTACTTCAAGGTTCCAGTTTTACAGATGAGACTAGGTAGTGTACCCAAGAACATGGCAGCTAAAGAATCTGAAGTCGGATTAGGACCCAGGTCCAGCTGATTCCAAAACTCAATTATTATTTACCCTTCCTGCCATGCTGTCAGCCGAGGAGGGCTCTCCTAAGTCTCTCCACTGACACTGGGTGAGGCTCCCCGTCACCTCCCATCTTCTCTTTCTTAGCCTAAGGTTGCACAGCTGCCAAGTAAGTGGTGGGATCAAATTTCTTTCTTTCTTTCTTTTTGAGGCAGAGTTTGGCTCTTGTTGCCCAGGCTGGAGTGCAATGGAGCAATCTCGGCTCACGGCAACCTCTGCCTCCTGGGTTCAAGTGATTCTCCTGCCTCAGCCTCCCAAGTAGCTGGGATTACAGGCATGCGCCACCATGCCCAATTTTGTATTTTTAGTAGAGATGGGGTTTCTCCATGTTGGCGAGGCTGGTCTTGAACTCCTGACCTCAGGTGATCTGCCTGCCTTGGTCTCCCAAAGTGGTGGGATTACAGGTGTGAGCCACCGCACCGGCCTAAATGCTACACAATTTAAGAGCTTGTTTGGATTAATGCAGGACCCACAGCTCATTACTGAACAATCACTGAGTATACGTGTTCCAAATGCACAGGGGGTTATTCCTAAGAAAGCAATCAGCCTAGTGGACCGCAGAATGCCATTATAAGGTCGGTTTGCTCTGAGAAGGGGACTGCCCAACTCTCCCTATAAAATACCAAGTGAAGCCCCCCAGATGAAGCAGTTAATATGCTTCATATGCAAGCCATGGTGGACTAGCTTTATATTCTCCCAGCAAATAGGCCTATTACCCAGGCCATGGTAAATTCGGGGCCTAAGGGGACCCCTTTTACATGGGTGCCCCTCCCACAGAATCATGGGACTGTTTAAGCAGCCTTGACAAATCTGCTCTCCCTCATAGTGAGAGGTGACAGCCTGCTGGCAGCCCTCCCAGCCCTTGCTCTCTGCGTGCCTCCTTGGCCTTGGTGCCCATTCTGGCCGCACTTGAGGAGCCCTTCAGCCCGCCGCTGCACCGTGGGAGCCCTTCCCTGGGCCGGCCGAGGCCGGAGCCGGCACCCTCGGCTAGCGGGGAGGTGTGGAGGGAGAGGCGCGGAGGGAGAGGCGAGGGCGGGAACCGGGACTGCCGCGGGGCGCCTGAGAGCCAGCGCGAGTTCAGGTGGGCGTGGGCTCCGTGGGCCCTCACTCAGAGCGGCCGGCTAGCCCGCCGGCTAGCGGCAGAGAGGAGCTTAGCAACTGGGCCAGTAGCTGCTGTGCTCGACTTCTCCCGGCCTTAGCTGCCTCCCCGCAAGGCAGGGCTCCGAACCTGCAGCCCGCCATGCCTGAGCCTCCCCCAACCACACCCCGCTCCGCTCCTGCGCTGCGGGAGCCTCCCCGAGGAGCGCCGCCCCCTGCTCCACGGCGCCCAGTCCCATAGACCACCCAAGGGCTGAGGAGTGCGGGTGCATGGCGCAGGACTGGCAGGCAGCTCCACCTGCGGCCCTGGTATGGGATCCACCGGGTGAAGCCAGCTGGGCTCCTGAGTGTGGTGGGGACTTGGAGAATCTTTATGTCTAGCTAAGGGATTGTAAATACACCAATCAGCACTCGTATCTAGCTCAAGGTTTGTAAACATACCAATCAGCACCCTGTGTCTAGCTCAGGGTTTGTGAATGTACCAATCAGCACTCTGTATCCAGTTAATCTGGTGGGGACTTGGAGAACCTTTTTATGTCTAGCTAAGGGATTGTGAATGCACCAATCGGCAGTCTGTATCTAGCTCAAGGTTTGTAAATGCACCAATCAGCACTCTGTGTCTAGCTCAGGGTTTGTAAATACACCAATCGGCAGGCTGTATCTAGCTAATCTAGTGGGGACAGAGAACTTTTGCGTCTAGCTCAGGGATTGTAAAGGCACCAATCAGCAGCGTGTCAAAATGGACCAATCAGCTCTCTGTAAAACAGACCAATTGGCTCTCTGTAAAATGGACCAATCAGCAGAATGTGGGTGGGGCCAGATAAGAGAATAAAAGCAGGCTGCCCGACTCACCAGCGGCAATTTGCTTGGATCTGCTTCTGGGTCATGGAGGGTTTATATTTTTTTTTTTTGTTTAGTTTTAGCTGTTTGCAGTAAGTCTTGCTGCTGCTTGCTGTTTGGGTCCACATTGCTTTTATGAGCTATAACACTCTTTGAGAAGGTCTGTAGCTTCACTCCTTGAAGCCAGTGAGATCACGAACTCACCAGGAAGAACGAACAATTCCAGACGCGCCATTTTAAGAGCTGTAATACTCACCGTGAAGGTCTGCAGCTTTACTCCTGAGCCAGTAAGACCACGAACCCCACAGAAGGAAGAAACTCTGAACACGTCCGAATGTCAGGAGGAACCAAGTCTGACCACACTGCTTTTAAGAACTGTAACACTCACTTCGAGGGTGCACGGCTTCATTCTTGAAGTCAGTGAGACCAAGAACCCCCCAATTCTGCACAGAATAGGTCTTACAGCTGTAATTCTGGGAACCCAAACCCTTTTCACCAGAAAAGGTAAAATGGTCTGTGAGAAAAAAAAGGGTTTCTGAGTCCAGAACATAAAAACATACAGTTTAGGCTGGGTAGGGTAGTTCATGCCTGTAATTGCAGCACTTTGGGAGGCTGAGGGGGCAGATCATGAGGTCAGGAGTTTGAGGCCAGCATGGCGAAACTCCGTCTCCACTAAAAATACAAAAAATTAGCCAGTCATGGTGGTGGGCACCTGTAATCCCGGCTACTTGGGGGGCTGAGGCAGGAGAATCACTTGAACCCAGGAGGCAGAGGTTGCAGTGAGCGGAAATCATGCCACTGCACTCCAGCCTGGGCGCTAGAGCAAGACTGTCTCCAAAAAAAAAAAAAAAGTTTAATCCAATTGTAAAATGCAGGATGTTTAAGCAAGCTTTACATAAGGTAGTTATAACCCCCTTTACCTAAAAGTCTTAGGAAAATGGGTGCCATATTTAATGGGGGGATGCTTTTCCCCTTTCCAGTACTATAAAAACTGAAGATACATAAATTTGCTCTTTTAGGAAATGTTATTTGAATACACTAAGTAGGAACTAGTAAAATTGTCTAAGCTTACAAAATATAGGATAAAACTGGAATACTACTCGAGACAATTCCTCTGTTGCATAGCCTTTTAAGTGGAGTTTTTGTTTTTTTCCTTTATCAGGGCCGATGCCAAAAACTGAGTACTTTTTCAATAATAGCTGCTGAATTAGAGAATTTCTGTTTGGGGCATTTACTGCCTTGCTATGGAACATTAACTGAAGCTCCCCCTATGCTAATGGAAATAATGTTTCCCAGAAGAGTCCATGATAAAATAAAAATGGTTTACACAAAATCTTGCTACCTAGTAAGTAGAGAGCCTCTTTTCTAGGACTAATTGCGAGGAGCTGCTAAATTCTACAGGGCCTAATAGCTCTCATGAGCTGTTTGGCTTGTAAATGGCATTTCCAAGGTAAACAAACATCTTGTTTTAAAAGCTGCTGCTCTGGTTAAAGAAGGGTCAAGAAAATCTTTTTTCTTTTACGTTATTTGGGTAAAGTATGTTTTTGCAAGCAAATTTACTTTTGAGTCCTCCAAAATTCAGATTGTAATTTTATGACAATATGGTTGTCTGCATAAGTTCAATAATAGTTTTTTTTTTTTTGATTGGAGACACTGGTTATTTTACCAAGACTGAAACTAAAATAGCCTATTTTTAGGTAAAGTTTCAGCAAAACCAACTCAAAAGGAGTCTATATGGCCAGTCAATTCTTGCTGCATTTTATGCAGATAGTCAGATAAGCATAATAAGCCTAAAACTTATCTTGCACACAAATTGGCCTTGCTATAATTTTCTCTTTGATAAAAAAGGTGGCTAAAAAAAATTGTTTCAAGGATAAAGCATAACACTTAATACTAGATTTCAGCCCTAACTTTTTGAATGCAGATTAAATCATTATTTCTTGGCTAGAAAGCCAGATTATAGGCGGGGCATGGTGGCTCACGCCTGTAATCCCAGTACTTTGGGAGGCCGAGGCGGGCGGATTGCCTGAGTTCAGGAGTTTGAGACCAGCCTGGTCAACATGGTGAAACCTTGTCTCTACTAAAAATACAAAAATTAGTCAGGCATGGTAGTGGGTGCCTGTAGTCCCAGCTACTCGAGAGGCTGAGGCAGGAGAATCGCTTGAAATTGGGAGGCAGAGGTTGCAGTGAGCAAGATGGTGCCATTGCACTCCAGCCTGGGGCACAGAGCAAGACTCCATCTCAAAAAAAAAACAACAAAAAAAACCCAGATTATAATTTTTTTCATATTTTTATTTGGTGCCCTAATGGAATAGGTTCCTTTTTCTATTCTGACATATGAATTACTCTTGTAATTCTCAAACTGTAAATGTTATTTATTTCTCCTTGTTTTACTTCCAAGGAAACCAAAATCATGGTATTTTGAAGACCAGAGATATGAGTCTCCGTTGTTTGGCATCCCACTGACCCCACATCTGTTTCGCTGCTAATGCTCTGCTGCCAGAACTATCCAAGCTGCCTCCCTCTGGGCCCAGGGACTATTGCTGAAGAGGTGGGTGTGTAAGATTGTAAGAGCTGGCTTTGTGGGAAAAAATTAGGTCAAGGTCAAACCCTCCAAATCAAGAAGGAGGTACAAAAATGCCTAAACAGCTGGTAAAGCAAGTTTAGTTGTCTTCTAAACTATTATGTGTCGCTTTTACATCCACCCCAACCAAAAAATATTCTGCCTACTTTCATGCGCGTCCGTGTGAAGAGACCACCAAACAGGCTTTGTGTGAGCAGTAAAGCTGTTTATTTCACCTGGGTGCAGGTGGGCTGAGTCTGAAAAGAGAGTCAGCGAAGGGAGATAAGGGTGGGGCTGTTTTATAGGATTTGGGTAGATAAAGGAAAATTACAGTCAAAGGGGAGTTGTTCTGTGGTGGGCAGAGTGGGGGTCACGAGGTGCTCAGTGGGGGAGACTTTTGAGCCAGGATGAGCCAGGAGAAGGAATTTCACAAGGTAATGTCATCACTTAAGGCAAGGACCGGCCATTTTTACTACTTTTGTAGTGGAATATCATCAGTTAAGGCAAGGACCGGCCATTCACACTTATTTTGTGGTGGAATGTTATCAGTTAAGGCGGGGCAGGGCATATTCACTTCTCTTGTGATTCTTCAGTTACTTCAGGCCATCTGGAAGTATACATGCAAGTCACAGGGGTTGCGATGGCTTGGCTTGGGCTCAGAGGCCTGACACTTACTATAGAGTTAAAGACAATTATTTACTAACAGGATGAAAATACCTTGTAACAGGCTGGGCGCAGTGGCTCACGCCTGTAATCCCAGCACTTTGGGAGGCTGAGGTGGGCGGATCACGAGGTCAGGAGATTGAGACCGTCCTGGCTAACACGGTGAAACCCCGTCTCTACTGAAAATACAAAAAATTAGCTGGGTGTGGTCGCGGGCACCTGTAGTCCCAGCTACTTGGGAGGCTGAGGCAGGAGAATGGCGTGAACCCGGGAGGCGGAGCTTGCAGTGAGCTGAGGTCCTGCCACTGCACTCCAGCCTGGGTGACAGAGTGAGACTCCATCTCAAAAAAAAAAAAAAAAAAAAAAAAAATCCCTTATAACAAGCCTCCTAGGTATAACACTCCCAATTATGAGTTGTGAAGATAAATCTCTGTCTCTCTATCTGTATTTTTCAGAACAATGCTTATATTTTGTGTAGTTAATTGCTATATATCTGTAACAAAAACCAAGCTCACAGGAGTTCAACACATAGAAGTTAAAAATAAGTCGGTCTTGTAACTTTTCCTTTTGGTTTTGTTGTTGGCTTTTTAACTTAATAATTTTAAGAAGTAACAAATGCTTGTCCACATCCATTCCTATCTGGCCTAGAACAATTAATTGGCTATAAGCCTTTTGACTCTTTTTTTTTTTTTTTTTTTGAGACGGAGTTTCGCTCTTGTTGCTCTGGCTGGAGCGCAATTATGACTTCTGTGACAAAACCTCCTTTCCTTTCCCAAATACCAGTATATGTGCAATACGAAGGTGGTAGGAAAAATAGATTTGTCTACTGTTAACAAGTCTATAACAATTTAGACATTTAGGACCAGGCATTCCTTGCACGTGATTTATACTCTTCTCAGGATGTTATACCTATGGAGATAAATTGGCTAGGAGAGATATTAAATTTATTGGATTCTGAGTTAATGTTGGTTCTACAATCTTCAAGTAAGATTTATCATAAAGTTCGGCCCGGCGCAGTGGCTCACACCTGTAATCCCAGCACTTTGGGAGGCCGAGGGGGGCGGATCATGAGGTCAAGAGATCGAGATCATCCTGGGCAACATGGTGAAACCCTGTCTCTACTAAAAATACAAAAATTAGCCGGGTGTGGTGGCAGGCACCTGTAGTCCCAGCTACTTGGGAGGCTGAGGCAGGAGAATCGCTTGAACCTGGGAGGCAGAGCTTGCAGTGAGCCGAGATCGTGCCACTGCACTCCAGCCTGGTGACAGAGCGAGACTCCGTGTCAAAAAAAAAAAAAAAAAAATTTTTTTTTAATCATAAAATTCGAGTGACCCTTTATAAGGAGGGTAAACACATTGTGAGTCTAATCAAAGAATATGATGCTGCGTGCAGTGACTTTTTTGGGCTGGTTAGGTTGTTTACTGCTCTCTGACTCATAATCTTATTGGATGCCTAATCTTTGCTATCTTTATGATATTTGTCACTGTATTAGCATTATATAGCTCCTGTAAATGTTACGCCAGATACAGCAAAAGGAAAAAGGCACAACTGAAGACCCAGATCATGATAGCTCACAAAATGGATCTGTTGCCAGATTTTTTTTTTTTTTTTTTTTTTTCCAGACTAAACCCTAGGCCTGACTTCATCTCACCCCTTAAACAATTGGCTATTATATCAGGTCAGACCGTGTCCTCTCCCCCATGATCCAAATCGCTAATATTTTAAAACTGTTACCACCAACCAGACTACTCCAGGAATGAGCCTTCCTAGCACTGAGAGACCTCGCCAAATGACCAAATCAGATAACTCTAGGAATGAGCCTTCCTAGCACTGTGGGACCTGTTGCTGTTTGGCCTGTATATGCATGCTATGGAATGCTTTTCGGCCAAGAGTGGGGACTGAAGACTAAACTCTGATTTTTTTTTTCTTGCCCAAATTCCTATCTAAGGGGTCCAGTCATGCCCTACGAACATAAATTCTCATCAGATGGGTTTTATTTGACCCTATATATCATGATTTGCTTCCCAACCTGACTCTGGCATAACATTACGAGACAAAGAAGAAAATAAAAATATTTTACCCCAAAACATGTTTCTTTGTCATATTTTGAAATGACCCTGCAAAGCTGTTCTTTGTGGGGGAAAATTTGCGTCTGTAAAGAATTGCTATTAACATAGCTAGATCTTTTTCTTCTAGACCCTCCCAATCCTAAAAAGATTAATTAAGGTCTGAATAGGAAACATTTGTCATCTATTATCTCTAAGGGCAGCCACTGTAAGACTTCAATATAACTTTGGTTTCCACAATCTTTATCTTAACCTGAACATTCCCTTTCTATCTATCCCAGGACTAGACAAACTCAACCAATTGTCAATCAGAAAATGTTAAAATTCACCAATAGCCTGGAAGCCCCCACTTTGAGTTGTTCCGCCTTTCTGGACCAAACCAATGTATTTCATGTATTTCTTAAATGCATTTGATTGATGTCTCATGCCTCCCTAGAATGGATAAAACCAAACTGCACCCTGGCCACTTTGGGTAGATACATGTTCTCAGGACATCCTGAGGGCTGTGTCACAGGCAGGATCACTCGTTTTTGGCTCTTCAAATATTTTACACAGTTCGACTCTCTTCGTCGACACAGACGCTATAGTTCTTTTAAAATAATTTTTTAAATTTAATTTTTTTTGTTTTTTTGAGATGGAGTCCCGCTCTGTCACCCAGGCTAGAGTGTAGTGGCTCGATCTTGGCTCACTGAAGCTCCGCCTCCCTGATTCACGCAATTCTCCTGCCTCAGCCTCCCGAGTAGCTGGGACTACAGGCGCCTGCCATCGTGCCCGGCTAATTTTTTGTATTTTTAGTAGAGACGGAGTTTCACTGTGTTAGCCAGGATGGTCTCGATCTTCTAACCTTGTGATCCACCTGCCTCTGCCTCCCAAAGTGCTGGGATTACAGGTGTGAGCCACTGCGCCAGGCCATGAATTTTTTTTTTTTTTTTTTTTTTTAATATAGTGATGGAGTCTCAGTGTGTTGCTCAGGCTGGTCTTGAACTCCTGAGCTCAAGCAATCCTTCTGCCTAAGCCTTCCAAAGTACTGGGATTACAGGTGTGAGCCACCTATCCAGCCCTAAACCTAGTAGTTCTAATTTCTTTTCTGTTCCGGAACACTCGGTTGGAAGGATAGACCACACCTATCTGGAGTGGATAACTGTAAATTGAACATGTCTCACAAATCATCTCGCCTGATGGGTATGGGTATCCTATCCCCACCCTGAGGCCTTTTTCTTGAGAATCAATAGTGTGAGGAAAATAAGATGGATTCAGGTCATTTGGGGCAGCCAATCGAGGATGGCTGAGCTTTTGGAATTGCTGATACACACACCTGTGCAAGCTTGGATTTAGGAAAGACAACTTCATTTTATCAACAAGAAAAATTGGAGTCCCTGAAAGATCTCTTTCTGTTTATCTTTTTCTAATATGTCTTTTCTGGGGAATAAGTGACTGTGGAGTAGTTTAAAAGCTGCCGCTCCTTGGCCAGTGGATCTCTACCTTGTAAAAATATTAGTTCTTGCTGGGTGGGAATTTGAATATCTTGGAGATATGAAAGGGTGTGCTTGCTGCTCTATTTAGAACTGACTACAATCAGCACTTAGCGTGTGTCCGGCTGGCTCGCCAGAGGGAGAGTAAGAATCCTTGAACTAGCCACAATAACCCTTTCCTTCCAACCTTGTAGCTCTGTGCACGCCCTTAGAGATAAACCAGCCTACTCAATGCAAGGGCAACTCCCATGCCACAGTTTCTCTCGGGCTGCCGTCCAGGCAGGTGTCTGGAAGCGTGATTTACGATCATGATGAGTAGGCAGATTGGGGCTGCTTCTTCCATTGTTGTTTGCCTAAGGGACTAGTATGACTCCCACTCCCCCATTTCTGGGAGTTTTTGAAGTCCAAGGATAAAGATTTAATACGTGAAGGCATGAGGCCTCTCTGCACATCTTCTGCACGCTTCTCTGACCTGGCTTTCATTGGGGGTGGTCTGACTGGGCCGAAAGCCAGATGAGGGATGAGGCCAGAGGCTCATGTTTGCCCCCTGGCCGCCCTTCTGAGGTTCCAGGAATCCTCTCTCTGTCGCAAATATCTTGCCAACTTGAAAACTCCTCACAGACAAAGAAATCTATATATTTTAAGTAGCATTGAATTCCAGAATCCAGCTAATGCAGGATCTATTACAGACCAGTAAACCAGAATAATATGTGTATAAAAAGGTAGATGCCTAGGAGAGCCTGCCTCACCAGCCAGAATGTGGATCCATTATTACATTGTAAAATATACAAGCTGTATGTGAAAATATACATGTATAATTTAAACAACACAATAAACAGCTTTTAAACCATCATCTATGCCAAGAAATGGAACATCACCAGTCCCCCAGAAGTTTCCTGTGTGCTCCACCCAGATCGTATATCCTTCCTCCTCCCACGCCCCTCAGAGATAACGACTGTCCTGAATTTCGTGTGAATCACACCTTTGCTTTTTAGTGCATATGTGTTTCAGTAAACAGTGTACATGTTTAGTTTTGCCTGTTTTGAAAATGTCTTTGAAGTCATACTTTATGATTGGCTTCTTCGGCTCAGTATTCTTTTTGAAATTCAGCCAGACTGGCGTGTGTAACATGATCTATTCATTTCACTGCTGTGTAATAGTCCATGGTATGGATAACCGGTACCTTTAATCATTCCACTGCTGATAGGCAACTTGAATTATTTCCTTAATGAAGAGTACTACTAAAAACACGTGTCAACATGCTTCCTGGTGCACGGGTGTCAAGTTAAATTTGGACTGCTGTTCGTTTACCAGACTCTTCTCATTGAGGAATCATCAGCAAATGAGAAAAGTCCTCAGAACTGGAGCTGCCAAACATTTGTCCTATTTTAAAAAGTGGGAAGAGTTGGCATCTGGAATCCGTTGACCAATGGGCATGATGAGGAATCTTGGCAAAATTCTGAAACAAAATTCGATGTGATTTGTACTTAAGAGTACAGCACTTAAAGAATGAAGTTCCCATTAACTAGTGTAATGTCACAAAAAATAAGCCAAGACATATTATTTTAATCAGCCCTTTTGGTACAGTCACTGCACTGATAGGTCCAAGAAGTGCTACATTAGCCTTACTTTCCATGGACCATTCTATGAGGCTCTGTATAGATTCCCCATTATAGAACTACTCACAATGGCTGGTATTTATCTACTTTTCTAAATTTCTATATTTGTTTGTCTACTTTTCCATATCACAGACTCAAGTGGGCAGGGCTCTTGTTCATCTGAGAGTGCTTGGCTCCAAGCTTGTCTTTTCCAGGCATTTGTTAGATAGATGCTCTTTTTGAAGACAAGACCAAGAACATAAGATCTGCAGTGGCGTGAGACCAGCCTGGCCAACATAGTGAAACCCCATCTCTATTAAAAATACAAAAAATTAGCCGACCATGGTGGCGGGCACGTGTAATCCCAGCTACTCGGGAGGCTGAGGCAGGAGAATCACTTGAACCCAGGAGGCAGAGGTTGCGGTGAGCCGAGATCATGCCACTGCACTCCAGCCTGGGCAACAGTGTGAGACTCCGTCTCAAAAAAAAAAAAAAAAAAAAGATCTGCAGTGATATAGACTAGGCAGGGGTGTAGGCAGTGGTATAGACAGGGATATAGGTAGGGGTGTAGGCAGGGAATCTAGTAGTTTTAGAACCATCATATCTAATAGCGATCAATTAGCAGATAAATATCTCTTTAGAAACTTACATTAAAGCTTTTGCCTTGCTCGATATTTTTTGAGGGTTCAGATGAGTTTATATATTTTATCTTACAATGTCATTGAGATATAATTCATAAATCACCCACTTAAATTGTACAAGTCAATAGTTTTTACTATTAATAGGTAACTGTCACCTATAGCAGGTAACCATCACAATAGAATTTAATCCACCAAAATAATCTCATAACCATTAGCAATTACTCTCCACTCCATATCACCTCAACCTTCCCAGCCCTAGAAAACCACTCATCTGATCGGGCGTGGTGGCTCACGCCTGTAATCCCAGCACTTTGGGAGGCTGAGGCGGGCGGATCACGAGGTCAGGAGATCGAGACCATCCTGGCTAACACGGTGAAACCCTGTCTCTACTAAAAATACAAAAAATTAGCCAGGCATGGTGGCATGTGCTTGTAGTCCCAGCTACTCGGGAGGCTGAGGCAGAAGAATCGCTTGAACCCAGGAGGCGGAGGTTGCAGTGGGCCGAGACCCACGCCACTGCACTCCATCCTGGGTGACAGAGCGAGACTCTGTCAAAAAACGAAACAAAAAACCCATGGCTAAAACAAAAACGAAAACAAAAAAACACACCACTAATCTATTTTTTTATTTTTTAAATTTTTAAATAGAGTTGGGGTCTTGCTATGTTGCCTAGGTTGGTCTCGAACTCCTGGGCTGAAGTGATCCTCCCACCTTGGCCTCCCAAAGTGCTGGGATTATAGGTATGAGCCACTGTGCCCAGCCCACTAATCTACTTTTAGTCTTTTTATAGATTTGCTTATTCTGGATGTTTTATATAAATGGAATCATACAATATGTGGTTCTTTTTTGACTGGCTTCCTTCTCTTAGCATAATGTTTTCAAGATTCATCCATGTTTTATTTAGCATGTATCAGGACTTCATTCTTCCTTGTTGTTGAATAAGATTCCCTTCCATGGATATAACACATTTTACTTATCCATTCATCAATTGGTGATCATTTGGGTTGTTTCCACTTTTGGGTTATTTTGAATAATGCAGATATGAACGTTTGTGTACAAATTTTCGTGTAGATGTATGTTTTCATTTCTTCCTAAAATGTTTTCATTTCATGTCATTTCTCTTGGGTATATGCCAAAAAGTGGGATTGCTGGGTCAGATAATAATTCTAACTTAACTTTTCTAGGTACTTGTCTTGGCTGATATTTTAATAAGTAATGTAGATAAAGACAACATTATAATGGCCAAACTTGTGAATGGTACACATCTACAAGGAGTCAGTGCTGTGGAGTGGCACTGTTCAATATGGTAGCAACTAGCCACATGATTGCTGAGCACTTGAAGTTTGGTTACTCTGAATTAAGATGAGCTAGGAATATAAACTATGTACTAGATTTCAAGGTGTTATTATAAAAAGTAATGTAAAATATCTCAATCATTTTTAAGCTGGCTGGGCACCATGGTTCACACCTGCACTTTGGGAGGCTGAGGTGGGAGGATTGCTTGAGTGCAGGACCTTGAGACCAGCCTGGGCAAGGGCAGGAGCTTGAGACCATCACTACAAAAAAAGTAAAAATTAGCCAAGCATGGCAGCTTGTGCCTGTTGTCCCAGCACTTTGGGAGGCTAAGGTGGGAATATTACATGAACCCAGGAGTTTGAGACCAGCTTAGGCAACATAGTGAGACCCCATCTCTACAAAAAAATTAAGAAACTAGCTGCGCATGGTGGTATGTGGCTATAGTCCCAGTTACTTGGGAGGCTGAGGCAGAATTACTTGAACCCAGGAGTTCAAGGCTGCAGTGAGCTGTGATCACACCACTGCATTTTAGCCTGAGCAAGAAAGTGAGACTCTGTCTCAACAAAAAATATTTATGCCAATTACACTTTGAGATGATAATATTTTGGCTATATTAAAGTAAATAAAATACCTTATTAAAATTAATTTTACCACTTCTTTCTTTATTTTTTGAGAGACATGTTCTTGCTCTGTTGCTCAGGCTTGAGTGAAGTGGCAAGATCACAGCTCACTGCAGCCTCAACTTCCTGGGCTCAAGTTATCCTCCCACCTCATCCTTCCAAAGTGCTAGGACTACAGGCCCACACCACTGTGCTCAGCTAATTTTTACTGTTTCTGTAATGGGGTCTTGCCATCTTGCCCAGGCTGGTGTCAAGCTCCTGGACTCAAGCAATCCTCCTGCCTCACCCTCCCAATGTGTTGGGGTAACAGGCATGAGCCACTGTGCCCAGCCATGGAATCTTTATACTTTTTAAATATGGCTACAGTTGTGCCTTGCGTTATACATAAGTGCCTCACATCGTATTTCTATTGAGCAGCGCTGCTGTATTCTTTTGTGTTGATTTCCTCCTTCAAACATTGGGTGGATACTAACCTGGTAGGGTTTGGAATCAGTCAGACCTGGATTCCTCGCTCTGTCACCCAGGCTGGAGCGCATTGGTGCAATCTCTGCTCACTACAACCTCTGCCTCCTGGGCTCAAGTGATTCTCGTGCATCAGCCTCCCCAGTAGCTGAGATTACAGGCGTGTGCCACCACACCCAGCATTTTTTTTGTATTTTAGTAGAGATGGGATTTCACCATGTTGGCCAGGCTGGTCTCAAACTTCTGGCCTCAAGAGAGTCGTCCGCCTTGGCCACCCAAAGTGCTGGGATTACAGGTGTGAGGCACTGTACCCAGCCTCAAAACCAGGTTCTTAGCTGCAAAGCTATGGACAAGTTACTTAATATTTCTAAGTCTCAATTCTGTTAACTGTAAAAATTAAGCAATAATAACTTATTTTATCAAAATGTTACAAGGATTCAATAAAAGCAATTACATAAAGAACTTACCTGAATGCAAGCACATAGGAAGAGCTAAATAAATGTTCCTTCTCTTTCTCCTTTCCTTTCCTCATTTCCATTCTGTTAAGTGATAAGTAATTAACCTAGTCAGATGATATACAGTTCTGGGTGGTAACATGTGCCACCTTGCGTGACTTACAGTGTATTTACTTTAATAAGGGACTTCAAGATATTATGCATAATGGAATGACTTCAGTGGTTGCATTTTTGGGTAGGCAAGATCTCATAAATAATATGAATAGCCACTTTTATCTCTTCTGTTATCAGGGTAGAATTTAACTTAGCCTGTTTGCAAGGCGATATACTCCAAGTCTTAAAATAATGCCTAGTTGTTTGAACTTTACCCAGCACGGAGGATATGTGGAGATTGAGATGGTTCACATGTGTTTCAGGATGTCATTTGAACCACTCAGAACTCATTCAATATGGAAAACTAAGTGAGAACTTCTCAAGGGAACTTGTTCTCTTTCCAGAGGTTGCTGGAATTTCCTGTTTCTGTTTGGACTCAAAATATCACATAAAATTCTATTTTCTCTGAACACTTTGGGTCCTGGCTTGACCCAGGAAGGCATATTTTAATTTAAATGAAAAACATACACGTCGGAGACTCTTCACCATCTTCCTCAGTTCTGAGGTATGTCTTGTTGACCAAAAGCTGTTTTTCTCCCAACAACATTGATCACAGATTGCACTCACTTCACCTCTACTGAGAAAATTTACATCTTCTCCAGAATCAGCAACTATCCACATTTTTGTTTTTACTGTAGTAAAATGCACAAAACATAAAGTTTACCAACTTAACCTTTTTTTTTTTTTTTTTTTTTTTGAGACGAGTCTCACTCTGTCGCCAGGCTGGAGTGCAGTGGCATGATCTCAGCTTACTGCAACCTCCGCCTCCTGGGTTCCAGCGATTCTCCTGCCTCAGCCTCCCGAGTAGCTGGGACTACAGGCGTGCACCACCACGTTCAGCTAACTTTTGTATTTTTTGTAGAGGTGGGGTTTCACCACGTTGGCCAGGATGGTCTCGATCTCTTGACCTCGTGATCCACCCACCTTGGCCTCCCAAGGTGCTAGGATTAGAGGCATGAGCCTCTGCCTAGGCCCAACTTAACCATTTTTAAGTGTACTGTTCAGTGTCATTAAATACATCCGTAATGTCCATAATGTTACACAACCATCACCACCATCCACCTCTGTAACTCTTTTCTGTCTTGTAAAACTGAAACTCTTGTACCCATTAAATAATTGCTATTCATTCTCTCTTACTCCTATGCCCTAGCAACTACCATTCCACTTTCTGTTTCTATGATTTTGACTACTCTAGATATCTCATGTTAGTGAATTCATGCAGTATTTGTCTTTTTGTGAAAGGCTCATTTTACTTAGTATAATGTCCTTAAGTTTCATCCAAGTTGTAGCATATGTCAGAATGTACTTCCCTTTGAAGGATGAATAACATTCTGTTTTATATAGATAACACATTTTGCTTATTCATTCATCTGTTGATGAACACTTGTGTTACTTCCATCTTTTGGCTATTCTGAATAGTGCTGCTGTGAGCAGGAATGGATCATTGAACTTTTTGCACTTTTGGAAGCTGATAGAATAGCAAACACAGGCCGGGCATCGTGGCTGATGCCTGTAATCCCAGCACTTTGGGAGGCTGAGGCAGGAGGATCACCTGAGCTCGAGAGTTCGAGAGCAGCCTGACCAATATGGTGAAATCCCGTTTCTATTTAAAATACACAAAAATTAGCTGGACATGGTGGTGCACGCTTGCAGTCCCTGCTACTTGGGAGGCTGAGGCATGAGAATTGCTTGATCCTGGGAGGCAGAGGTTGCAGTGAGTCAAGATTGCACCACTGTACTCCAGCCTGGGAGACAGAATGAGACTCTGGGAGACAGAGAGGAAAAATCAGCCTCTGACAATTTGTTTCATGTAATCAAATAAAACGTCTTGATGCACTAAGAGTTCCAGGTTCATTGCTATAGGTTGTAAGAAGATAGAGACATAAAATTCTATTATCATTATTTAGCATTAATTACTTTTTTCTGTACGTTTTTCCTCAGGTGATCTATATCTAGAAACTCCTATTTGGTATTTGGTATGTAGTTAAAAAAAAATAAAAAGTAGGCCAGGCTCATGCCTGTAATTCCAGCATTTTGGGAGGCTAAGGCGGAAGGATCATTTGAGCTCAGGAGTTTGAGATCAGCCTGGACAACATGGTGAAACCCTGTCTCTACTAAAAATTCAAAAATTAGCTGGGTGTGGAGGAGCGTGCCTGTAGTACCAGCTACTTGGGAGGCTGAGGTGGGAGGATCCCTTGGGCTTGGGAGGCAGGGTTGAGTTGGCAGTGAGCTGAGATGGCACCACTGCCCCACTGCACCTGGGCGACAGAGTGAGACCCCGTCTCAAAAAAAAAAAAAAAACAACTAATCTCCAAATACTTTTGGAGAAGCGTAAAGAGTTTAATCTGGGGTAATAGAATGGGTACCCTCTGCAGTCCCTCGGACCATCTTGTTTCCATTTACTTGATTAAGAATTAAACATATTGCAGCCATGTGTGAACTTGGCACATTCAAGATTCCTGCTAAAAGTTAGAATTCCTTTGACATCCTACCGCACCCTTTAGAGAAATTTCTAAAGACTTCCTTCCAGCTGTCACCAAAAATGATAAAAGGCCATTTACGGACAGCGTTGCTTTGATTGCCCCTGCCTAAGTGTACAATGGGTAGAAATGCATTTACTGCCATTTCTAGGGCAGTAGAATATTGGAAATAGTAACCTTTTATATGTTCTTTGCCTAAAGGATGGAAGAGGCCATGGCTGTGTACTGACAATATTCTTCTACTGACAAAATGCTGTTGCTTGAGAGTGCAGCTGAGGTTATGCCATTTCTCATAAAGTCAAGTAAAAAGTAAAGCAGTGTTGACTTACTAGCTTATCAACTGAAAGAACGCCTTGTAGCTTCTAGTCTGTAAAGCCTCAACTTATTTCTATTATTTACAAAAAGGATCAGTTTGTTCCAAGCCTTTTGAACTGAAGTGCTGCTGTTCCCTGCAGCAGGAGAGAGGTCACTAAGAGGAAGCCAGAGAATCACACGGATTGCTTCTTCCTCCAGCTCTAGAACTGAGATGGCTCCTCGCCTCCCGAAAAACAATGCGGCTGACTCTAACGAAATTCACTATCACCCACAGGCAGTAGCCAGACACACCTACTTTATTTTCAAAATTAAATTGTTTGATGACAGACAGATAAGGAACAGATGGCAGGGAAGGTGGAGATAATAATAGGTAAGTTTTGTCTTCTGGGTTGATGGGTTTTACCCTATTCCTATCAATGTTGACCAGAAATCAGAACATTATTCATTTATTTTGGAAATTACTTCAGTTGATTAAACAAATGTAATCAGGATAAAAAATAAACCTAAGGAGGCCGGGCGTGGTGGCTCATGCCTGTAATTCCAGTACTTTGGGAGGCCGAGGCGGGTGGATCACAAGATCAGGAGTTTGAGACCAGCCTGGCCAGCATGGTGAAACTCCATCTCTACTAAAAATACAAAAATTAGCCCGGGCATGGTGGTGCGTGCCTGTAACCCAGTTACTCTGGAGGCTGAGATAGGAGAATCGCTTGACCCCAGGAAGCAGAGGTTGCATTGACCTGAGATAGCGCTATTGCACTCCAGCCTGGGCGACAGAGCAAGACTCCATCTCAAAAAAAAAAAAAAAAAAAAAAAAGGAATAATTAACTCATAATCCACTTCTTTAACATGACAACTCAATTTTTTCCCAGTCTTTGTCCATAATAATTCAGATAAAATATTGCTTTTTTACATTTGATAACTAACCGTCATGTCATTTAACCAAATGGTTTGATACAAGGTTTGAAGCTGTAGAGCTTCAATGAAAACATCCATACCTATTAAATGGGACAAAGAGAAAGATTATTTAATGATAAAAGTGTATAAGCCGCAAGAATGTATTACAGTCATGTTTATGCCAAAGCAGGAAAAAAGCCGAATACATAAAGCAAAAACTCATGTCAAGATAACTTAAAAACAAACAAATTATTCTAGGACATTGTAATATATCTCTTTCAGAGTTTACTAGGCCAAGCAGATAAAAATAAGGAAAAATAAGGTTTGAAAAAAATATAATAAACAACCTCAACATTATACATGACTTTATATCCAGCAGAAAATATATGTTCTTTTGTGACTTTGGGCATTTAGATGATTCAGTCATTAATTGGCCACAAAGAAAACATTAACACGTTCCAAATATCGGAAGTGGATGTTCTGGAGGCCATATTCTTAACTCTTATTCCAATAGAACTAGATCAACAATGTATATATAGATACACCAAATTGAAGAAAGCTCCGCTTAAACTAGTAGTAGAACCTAATTTAATGTCATATTTTATTGGCAAGGAATAACAAATGGTTTAGAGCTTATATCAATTTACAGCTTGTGAGTACAGGTACAATCAAGAGTACCAGGTGATTGAGAGATTAAAATTTTATTGATGGATCTCATCTTTAGAGTATCTGCATTAGTCATCAATCCTGTGAAATATTCTCATAGGTTCAGAAAATCTCCGTAAGGAATGAACATTTGGATCCAAACAGATTACAAACCAAAATGAGTCTTCAATGTTATTTCTTGCTTTTCGGTGTGAAGGAAACAAGACCGCTGTAACAATGGAGCTTTTCCAAAAGCTGCGATAAGATCTTCCTTCCGTGTCTGGAACTGCACTCTGAAGCGCTGGACTCTTAATCAGCACAAAGAGGAAACCAAGGCTTCCTTCCCAGGTCAACTGGCTTCCATGGACTGCAAAACTACCTTTTACAAAGCGCTCTGGATGCTGTTAGCCTAGGAACCACTTTCTGTTTCATTCCCCTTGGCATTAGACTAAACAAAGCACTGTGTTTCCATTTTAATATGTGGTCCCTTAAAAGACATTCTTCTCTACATCATAAGGATAAAGCAGCATAGGTTGTGCTTATTCAGCCTGTTCCATCACTATCACGATTATTTACATTAAATTAAAAATATAGTTCACAAGGCAACCAGTGTGGGTTGGCTTGAGAGGGGCAGGAGTTGTCTTTGATGAACGAAATAATTTTAGATAAAGTTACCCTGGTATATCCCTGCTTAGTGACAATAAGAACATTTTATTCGATCCATTCAATAAACCTCAGAAAGGTAGGTTCTGAAGATGTGAGAAGGGTATAGATGGAGGCGTGGGGCTGTCTCTGATTCTGATGTGCAAACAAGCTGTCTGAAGTCTTTCCATATTTTAAATCCCCAGTTGTGAAATGAGATCCATTAGTAAATTGAAGATGGGATGACATTGGCTGGGTGTGAATCATCTCCTGGTAAAACCTTGAGCTTCCAGAAGATGCCACATTGCAAGACATCTAAAAACACCCAGGGGACCGACGATAGCTTTGTTTTAAAATAAAATGGTTACCTTGGAAGATTGGAAAAACTTAAAAGGTGCAGGCTTGCAAGCTCTTGCTTGCATCTTGCAGGCTTAAACACATAGAATTCTATTGCAACAGTGGTGTTGACAGAGCAAGCGTGTTTCCTTGAAACAAGAAGCCGCCCAAATTAATAATTACTACCTGATGAGGCCCTCAAATATTTCCCACTGATTCCTCCTTTTTTTCCTCTCCCTTTCTTGTTTTGGTTTTTGAGACAGGGTCTCTCTGTCACCCAGGCTGGAGTGCAGTGGGCAGGATCACAGCTCGCGACAGCCTCGACTTCCTGGGCTCAAGCAGTCCTCCCACCTCAGCCTCCCGAGTAGCTGGGACTGCAGGTGTGTGCCACCATGCCCGGCTAATTTTTAAATTTTTACTAGATATGGGGTCTCACTGTGTTGCCCAGGCAACATAGTCTTGGAACTCCTGGGCTCAAGGGATCCACCTGCCTCAGCCTCCCAAAGTGCTGGGGTTACAGGCATGAGCCAACCACGCTCCGCCTTTTTCTCTTCCTTTGTACCACCCCCTCACTGAGAGCTCCTGCACACCGGGCCTCTTTTTTTTGGAGTCCTGCTCCTTCATGGTGCAGCAGTGGGAGGCGAGGGTTGGGGAGACAGTGTCCATAATGAGCTCTCAGGTCCCTCAGCTTGGCTCCTGAGCCTACTTCTCCTCCACTGCTGGCCTGGCCAGGCCGTGACATTCAAAAGATGAAAACACCAGGAGGCAGCAACAGAAGGAAGAGGAATTCCCACTCTGCCATCACTCTACCACATTCTTCCATGGAGTGTAAGGTTAGGCCAGACCAGAACGTGGGCTTTCCCTCAACCTCCTTTCTTACAGAGGGGAGCGAGGTTCATTATATTCTTATTGGGAAGAAATCTGGTTTGGAAACTTGTGGAGCTGATTACTAGAGAATGAAAATAATGCCCATGAGCCAGAGTTACTTCTCCCCCTCATTGTTTGCTTATAACATAAAAGAAGAAGTATTTATTGTCTCGTGTGTAGTAATTGAGAACAGATTTGAGAACAGATGCAGGCACACACATGAACTTTTTAAAAAAACTTCCTGCAGTTATTTTATTTTATTTTTTTTCAGATGGAGTCTCACTCTGTTGCCCAGGCTGGAGTGCAGTGGCGCGATCTTGGCTCACTGCAAGCTCCACCTCCCGGGTTCATGCTGTTCTCCTGCCTCAGCCTCCCAAGTAGCTGGGACTACAGGAGCCTGCCACCACGCCAGGCTAATTTTTCGTATTTTTTAGTAGAGACAGGGTTCCACCGTGTTAGCCAGGATGGTCTCGATCTCCTGACCTCGTGATCTGCCTACCTATTAGAATAGCCCAGCCAAGGAAGCTTTTCTAATGTCTAAAATAGCAGAAGCCAGGTGCGGTGGCTCACGCCTGTAATCCTAGCACTTTGGGAGGCTGAGGTGGGAGGATCGCTTGAGCCCAGGAGTTCAAGACCAGCCTAGGCAACATAGTAAAACCCTGTCTCTACAAAAATTAGCAGGGCATGGTTGGTGGCACATGCCTGTAATCCTAGCTACTGGGGAGGCTGAGGTGGGAGGATTGCTTGAGCCCGGGAGGTCAAGGCTACCTTGAGCCAAGATAGTATGCCACTGAACTCCCCCCTAGGCAATAGAATGAGACCTGTCTCTAAATAAGTAAAATAATGCCAGGTGTGGTGGCTCATGCCTGTAATCCTAGCACTTTGGGAGGCTGAAATGAATGGATCATCTGAGGTCAAGAGTTCAAGACCACTCTGGTCAACATGGTGAAACCTCGTTTCTATTAAAAATACAAAAAAAATTAGCCGGGCATGATGGCGGGTGGCTGTAATCCCAGCTACTCAGGAGAGTGAAGCAGGATAATCGCTTGAACCCAGGAGGCGGAGGTTGCAGTGAGCCGAGATCGCACCTCTACACTCCAGCCTGGGCGACAGAGCAAAAACTGTCTCAAAAAAAACAAAACAAAAATATGTAAATAAAGTGGCAGAAATGTCATTATTTAGCAAACTTCAACTAATTATTATTTTTTATATATTTTTGAGATGGAGTTTTGCTTTTGTTGCTCAGGCTGGAGTGCAGTGGCACTATCTCAGCTCACCGCAACCTCTGCCTCCCAGGTTCAAGTGATTGTCCTGCCTCAGCCTCCTGAGTATCTGGGATTACAGGCAGGTGCCACCATGCCTGGCTAATTTTGTATTTTTAGTACAGATGGGGTTTCTCCATGTTG
This sequence comes from Homo sapiens, assembly GCF_000001405.40. Classification (NCBI taxonomy): domain Eukaryota; kingdom Metazoa; phylum Chordata; class Mammalia; order Primates; family Hominidae; genus Homo; species Homo sapiens. The sequence goes on from NC_000005.10 coordinate 17,082,724, forward strand.
GACAGGCTGGTCTTAAACTCCACGCCTCAGGTGATCCACCCGCCTAGGCCTCCCAAAGTGCTGGCATTACAGGCGTGAGCCACCATGCCTGGCCTATTTCATTATTTAAATATGTGATTTGATTGTTTGGCCCATCTAACAAAATTGGGAACAAATAATAATCTAGTACAAGGCAGGAAACAACAGAGTAAGAGCATTCATTTAGGCATAAGTTGAAGTTATTAAGGACAGCACTTCCTTCTATTATATTGTAATACTTATAACAAATTTGCACTATAGTTAAAATTTGCAACCCAAGACACTTTAAATTCGTTGACTGCAGATGAGGTACACGACCTCTCAGGAAGCTGAGGTCAGTAGAATAAATGTGTAAGTTTGTATGTCTCAGGTGGGCTCTTGCTGCCTACCAGAAGAGCAAACTTTTAGGATCAATTAGCAAAGGGTGTGCATAAAGGCATTAGACAGTTTTACTCTGCAGGAACTTTTTTTTTTTTTTTTTTTGAGACGGAGTCTCACCGTCACCTAGGCTGGAGTGCAATGGCAAGGGCAAGAGCTTGGTGAGGTGACAGCGTGCTGGCAGTCCTCACAGCCCTCGCTCGCTCTCAGCGCCTCTTCTGCCTGGGCTCCCACTTTGGCGGCACTTGAGGAGCCCCTCAGCCCACCGCTGCACTGTGGGAGCCCCTTTCTGGGCTGGCCAAGGCCAGAGCCGGCTCCCTCAGGTTGCAGGGAGGTGTTGAGGGAGAGGCGCGAGCGGGAACCGGGGCTGCGCGGTGCTTGCGGGCCAGCTGGAGTTCGGAGTGGACGTGGGCTTGGCGTGCCCCGCACTCGGAGCAGCCCGCCGGACCCGGGCAATGAGGGGCTTAGCACCCGGGCCAGCGGCTGTGGAGGGTGTACTGGGTCCCCCAGCAGTGCTGGCCCACCGGCGCTGTGCTCGATTTCTCGCCGGGCCTTAGCTGCCTTCCCGCGGGGAAGGGGAGGGGAGGGGGAAGTGTTCCTCCAATTGTTTTATCTGCTCTTACAAAATCCTGAGCGTTTAAATAAATGCTAGGACCAGAGGGATTGGCAGTGGGGATGACAGCTGACAAATACTTAAAGGCAACTACCAAAATTGGTGGGGAGTACAGTAAGTCAATCAAAAGGTGAAGAAAAGAACTTTCTCTTGTTACCCACAGGAAAATACCTAGAGAAAAACCCTCAGTTGAAAGACATCCTGCATTGAATCTATGTGATTATTTCCTTCCCTTTTTACTACCAGTATAAGCAGCGTGTAAGTAATTGTTTGGTCTTTTCCTGGAGCTTAACATCCATCATATTGATCTGCTTAGCTTGTATTTACTTATGTGGTACTTAGGTATTTGTCTGACTTTTTTTTTTTTTTTTTTTTTTTTTTTTTTTTTTTTTTTTTTGAGACAGAGTCTCGTTCTGTCTCCCAGGCTGGAGTGCGGTGGCACGATCTCGGCTCACTGCAAGCTCCGCCTCCCGGGTTCACGCCATTCTCCTGCCTCAGCCTCCCGAGTAGCTGGGACTACAGGGACCAGCCACCACGCCCGGCTAATTTTTTTTTTTTTTTTTTAGTAGAGACGGGGTTTCACCGTGTTAGCCAGGATAGTCTAGATCTCCTGACCTCGTGATCCGCCCACCTCAGCCTCCCAAAGTGCTGGGATTACATGCGTGAGCCACTGCGCCCGGCCTTTTTTCTCTATTTTTTTAAGGTTAGGGTCTCACTCTGTCGCCTGGGCTGGAGTGCAACGGTGCAATCGATGCAGGATTTTTTTGCTCCTTAGTTAAGCTAAAATCGGGTTCTTGTCTCACGACCAGGAAACACTAGGTATACAGACACATTGAAGGGTGAGGAGGGTGGATTTATTAGGCGAAAAGAAAGCTCTCAGCAAAGAAAGAAGGGGTCCTGCCAACAGGGTCCCACCTCACAGATTGAACACCAGGCCACCACATGAGCTGAGGCGGCCAGGCTCCTCCCCCTGCATAAGGCGCGAATTCCTGGTGGCTCTACCCCCATTTCCCCAGTGCGCATGTGGGCCCTGAGTCTCAGCCACTCCACATTGATTTATTTCTCTTACTACACATATGTTAAGGGATGGAATTTTTCACCATGGGCATGCTTATGCAGGCCCCCTGTGCACAATGACCTGGGCAGCCTTTGGCTATCTCCTGCTTCTATCATAATCATAGCTCACTGCAGCCTTGAAATCCTGGGCTCCAGGTCCTCCAGCTTCAGCCTCCTGAGTACCTGGTACTACAAGTGCACACCGCCACATCTAAGTAATTTTTAACATTTTTGTAGAGACAGGGGTCTTACTATGTTGCCTCGGCTGGTCTTCTGGACTCAAGCAGTCTTCCTACCTTGGCCTCCCACAGTGCTGGGATCACAGGTGTGAGCCACTGCGCCTGGCCCATGTCATTTTTCAGAAAGGCTCTTTAAAAGGATTTCTCAGGAGCAAGTGGAGAAAGAAGTTTCTTAAACCCTTTGTGTACCACAAGCCAGGAAACCATGAGCTAGAATTGAGCATCGTTTGTTGTAATTCACAATTGTTCTCAAACCTGGCTGAATTGAAAAACTACTCAGAGTGTTTTAAAGAATACTGATGTGATGCTGAAATATTTAGGGGAGGCACACTGACACCTATCACTTACTTTGAAATGTGTTAAAAAATAAGATGGGGCCAGGTTCAGTGGCCTGTAATCCCAGCACTTTGGGGAGGCTGAGGTGGGAGGATCGCTATCGCTTGAGTCCAGGAGTTCGGGACCAGTCTGGGCAACATGACAAGACCCTGTCTCTACAAAAAATTTTAAAATTAGCCAGGGATGGTGTCCTGTCTGTAGTCCCAGCTACTTGGAAGGCAGGAGGATTGATTGAGCCTGGGAGGTTGAGGCTGCAGTGAGCCAAGATTGTACCATTGCACTCCATCCTAGGCAACAGAGTGAGACTCTGTCTCCAAAAAAAAAAAAAAAAGGGCTGAGGGATAGCTAGAGGGCTGGCTAGACAAATAGGTATGTGATAGGAGAAGTATTGTAAGATGCTAATTGGAGAATATAGGTTTAGGGTGAACATGCTTTTACTGCAACATTATTTTTATGCATGTTTGAAACTTTCATAATATGTTACGCAAAATATAGGAAATATGTAATATTTACAATCAAAAGCAAAAATGATGGAATACATAGTGGATCTAGTATTCCACTATGTAGACGAATGAATTAGTACATTTTAAAATTAGATTTAGAAACCCTTTTTGAAAAAAAAACAAGCAGGAAAGAACAAAGAACTAGAAAATATATAATTATGAGGTATATGGGATGGTCACAGGAAGAATCCCAGAAAAATAGAAAAATAAAAGTTGAGGAAAGGGTATCTTTGAAAAAAAATAAAGGAGAAATAAAGGAGATGAAAAAAGCACATGCTGGGTTTCTTTCTCCCTTCCCTTATTGATGAAAGCTGAGTTTCAGTGGGTGGATCCAACACTGGCATTATTTGGAAAGCTCCCCAGTTGACTTTAATGTACATCTAGGGCTGAGAATTGCTGGTTGAGAGAAGGAGCCTTGGGAGACTAATATGCTTTAAAAACAAAACAGTTATAAGAGTATGGAAATCATGAAAATGAAGCAAATTTTAAGAACAACTTGAACTTTCCTTAGGTTCTGAAAGATTGACTTTTATCTATTGGTAACTTCTCAATTGAAATAAAAATAAGGCTGGGCGTGGTGGCTCATGCCGGTAATCCTAGCACTTTGGGAGGCTGAGGAGGGTGGATCACCTGAGGTCAGGAGTTCGAGACCATCCTGGCTAACACGGTGAAACCCCGTCTCTACTAAAAATACGAAAAATTAGCCGGACGTGGTGGCAGGTGCCTGTAGTCCCAGCTACTTGGGAGGCTGAGGCAGGAGAATGGTGTGAACCCTGGAAGGCCCTGGAGCTTGCAGTGAGCCCAGATCGCGCCACTGTACTCCAGCCTGGGCAACAGAGCGAGACTCCATCTCAGAAAAAAAAAAAAAAAAAAAAAAAAAAAGAACCTCAGGTGGGCCGGGAGTGGTGGCTCACACCTGTAATTCCAGACTTTGGGAGGCCGAGGAGAGCAGATCATGAGGTCAGGAGATGGAGACCATCCTGACCAACATGGTGAAATCCTGTCTCTACTAAAATACGAAAAATTAGCTGGACGTGGTGGCACTTGCCTGTAGTCTCTGCTACTTGGGAGGCTGAGGTGGGGAATGGCTTGAATGTGGGAGGCGGAGGTTGCAGTGAGCCAAGATTGCACCACTGCACTCCAGCCTGGTGACAGAGCAAGACTCTGTCTCAGAAAAAACAAAAACAAAAACAAAAACAAAACCAAAAAAAACAAAAACCCAAAAAACTTCAAGCGAAGATAGAGACACGAACATGGGATGATGTCGTGCGAACATGAAGGCCGAGACTGGGATGATGCTATCTACAAGCCATGGAGAGGGGCCTGAGCTGTCTTTTCTCTCACAGCCTGACTTCTTGACCTTGGTCTTCCTTGCCTCCAAAATTGGGAGAGGATAAATGCCTGTGGTTAGGCCACCCAGTCTGTGGTGCTTAGTTGCAGCAGCCCGAGTGGCGAAGACACAGTATGTCCCTCTGATGTTTGCTCCTTTGCCTCCATTATGTTTAACCCTTGCCCTCGGACAGGGCTCTAGATTTGATGCAGGGATGTGACACATTTCAGGGTTGGGGTATCTTTCAGTGCCACCTTCACTGTTTCCTGCTGGAAGAACTGTCCAGCTATTCTTCCCAAGTCCCTATATGGTGTCTCAAATCAGGTGGCTCTTAGGACTATGGTGCTTTCTCTGTATGGCTCCAGGTCTGAGGGAATTATGTCAACTCTGTTTTTCACAGTTTACGTACAGTTTTAATTTTTGTCTTCACAGTTTTTTTTTTCTTTGGCCCTTATGGCTTTTATTTTATTTTTATTTTTTCTGAGACGGAGTTACACTTTTGTTGCACAGGCTGGAGTGCAATGGCACGATCTGGGCTCATTGCAACCTCCGCCTCCCAGGGTCAAGTGATTCTCCTCCCTCAGTCTCCCGACTAGCTGGGATTACAAGCACTTGCCACCATGCCTGGCTAATTTTTTTTTTTTTTTTTGTATTTTTAGTAGAGATGGGGTTTCGCCACATTGGCCAGGCTGGTCTCAAACTCCTGACCTCAGGTGATCTGTCCACCTTGGCTTCCTTAAGTGCTGGGATTACAGGCGTGAGCCACCACGTCTGGCCCCTTATGACTTTTAGTTAAAACACAGGTTTCCAGTAACCTAGGTGAGATATTTTTCTCTCCATCATCGTCATTGAGCTTATGTCCTACATTTGTAATGCAGTTAGATTTAGTGTCACAGCCCGAAATTCATCCTTCAATTCCCTATCATCTTGGTTGAGTTAAAAAAAAAATTCATAGAGTAAACTTCACTTTCAAAAGTGTACAGTACAATGGGTTTTGATAAATGCATAGTGGCACGAATCCATCACTAGCATAGCATACACAGCAGTGTATGCTTTGGGTGATGAAATACACTATGCTATGTATTTCATCACCCAACGAATGTCCCTGTGTGGTCCCTTTGTAGTCAACCATTTCCATTCTCCTATCTCCTGGAAATTGTCATCTCTTTTCACTGGTCTCTTATTTTGATAAATTTAATCTTTTCTGGCCGATGTTCTTCTACTTTTTGGTTTGAGGCAGAAGACTTTCTTTTGAAATGGAGTTTCCTTATATTTTTTGTTTTTTGTTGCTTTTGGTGGACTTCGGTGAATGCAGTGGAGTCAACATGACTCTCCTCTGTCATCTCTAAGTAGGCATTTAAAGAAGACTTTTGGTGACATTTAAATTTCCTTTTGCTGGGTGTGGTGGCTGATCCCAGCACTTTGGGTGGCTGAGGTGGGCGGATCACCTGAGGTCAGGAGTTCGAGACCAGCCTACTCAACATGGTGAAACTCCGTCTTTACTAACAATACAAAAAATTAGCCAGGTGTGATGGCGGGTGCCTGTAATCCCAGCTACTCGGGAGGCTGAGGCAGGAGAATTGCTTGAATCCCAGAGGCGGAGGTTGCAGTGAGCCGAGATCATGCCACTGCACTCCAGCCTGGGCGACAAGAGAGAAACTCCGTCTCAAAAAAAAAAAAAAAAAAATTTCCTTTTCTATTTTTTCTTAGATGGCTCTGTTGCCCAGGCTGGAGATCGATAGTGCGATCTCAGCTCACTGAAGCCTCAACCTTCCAGCCTCAAGCAATCCTCCCACCTCAGCCTCCTGAGGCTGAGACTATAGGTGTGCAACACCATACCCAGCTAATTTACAATTTTTTTTTTTTTTTGGCAAAGATGACATCTCTGTATGTTACCCAGGCTGGACTGGAACTCTGGGCTCAAGCCATCCTCCTGCCTCACCTCCTGAAGTGTTGGGATTACAGGTATGTGAATCACTGCACCCTTCCTGAATTTCCATTTTTCAGATAAGCTCAGACAAGGAATTTATTTAAGAGTAAGAGATTCATGATGAAACAAATATGATATCTTAGATTATCTTAAGATTCTCTGCATGCCCATAGTTTAGTTTAATTCAATCAAAAACAGTTACAAAAATACCTTTGTCAAGCACTGGGCTGAGTATGGGATGTTACCATAGTCTGTTTGTGGGACATAAAATTGTAATTATAATCCTGTGTGGTAAGTGCAACACCAGGAACATGGATACACAGATTCACTGGAGTGGCGTCTGGACTCCAGATTCTAGAGGAGTAATTCTACACTGATTAGTAACCGCTGGCTTTAAAGGTGAGATTTGTTACTTGTAGAAGCTGATTTCATCTGGGATGGACATAATTGCTCCCAGTGCCAATGAAACCAAGCTTCCAGGACCAATCCCACATTTAAGGTTTTTTTTTTTTTTAAATTAATTAATTAATTAATTAATTATTTTTCAGAGACAAGTTCTCCCAGGCTGGTCTTGAACCCCTGGGCTGAAGGGATCCTCTTGCCTTTGACTCCCAAAGTGCTAGGATTATAGGTTTGAGCCATCACACCTGGCCTCCAAATTTAGTTTTATTCTGGGGGTTGACAAACTCTTTTGGAAAGAGTCAGAAAATAAATATTCTAGGCTTTGTGGGCCACACTCAGTCCTTGCCAGGGGCATACAGTGAGTCACGCTACACTGCTCTCTGAATCTTAGGAATGGCCCTAAAGCCGTCAGAAGAGATCTCAAATAGGAATGTCATTGAAAAAGGACCAAAATTCAAACATGTTGAAGTGTGGTGGACTGTGTTTTTCTTCTCATTGGCTGCCCTATGTGGAGGGTTGAACACATCCACTCCTGCCATGGGGTTGCTCTGTCTACCCTGTGGGTGAATTTACTTCCCCACACACTGATCTCAAGCATGGCCACACAGCCTGCTTCCATAAAATGTCAGTGGGAATGTGGTGTGCCTCTTCCCAGCGGATACTGAAGAGCCATTGCGTGCTCTTGTCATTTGCCTTCTCCTTCCCCAAGATCAACATGGCCCAGGTGAGCTTGATCCCAGAATGAAGACACACAGAGCAGAGTCACAGCTCTCAGCTGACCTGGAAAATAAATAAGAATTAAACCTTTGTTCTTAGAGGCCTGTGAGATATTTTTTTTTTGGCTGCCACTGCATAATCTAAGAAAGCTGACTAGTACACAAAGACACGTATACCCACTGAAGCTATTTCACTCTGGTCCCATACGTCTGAGCTAAGCAGGCATAGATCAAAATCATGGAGTACATTTTAACTTATGAATAAACTGTGAAAAATATAATTCTCAAATTATGTTTTTTTAAGAGATGGGAGTCTCACTTTGTGGCCCAGGCTGGTCTCGATCCTCCAGCCTCAGCCTCCCAAGATGCTGAGATTATAGGAATGAGCCATCACACCTGGCCTATAATTCTCAATTTTTAATTTTGTCTATAAAGTTGTTTCATTTTAAAGAAGAGGTAAAGCTTGCTATAGATTGCTCAGAGTTCTAAGCAAGGAAAGTTAGTAAAGTAGAATGAACAGGCCAGGTGTGGTGGCTCATGTCTGTAATCCCAGCACTTTGGGAGGCTGAGGTGGGCGAACTACTTGAGGACAGGAGTTTGAGACCAGCCTAGGTAACATAGTGAGACCGTGTCTCTAGAAAAATACAAAAATTAGCCAGGCATGGTGGCGGACACCTATAGTCCCAGCTACTGGGGTGACTAAGGCAGGAGGATCCCTTGAGCCCAGGAGGTGGAGGTTGCAGTGACCGAGATCACACACCACTGCACTCTGGCCTGGGTGACAGAGTAAAACCCTGTTTCAAAAAAAAAAAAAAAAAAAAAAAGAGGAACTGGTATGCATATCAAACTAGTGTCAGAATAGCTGATTCTCCAGGAAACCCAGAGAATAGTGAACTCAACGAAACTGTTGCCGTAAAAATAATCTGTTTTTATGAATAAAGGATAGCTAAAAATGAATTAGCAACACCAAAACTATTTCTAAATAATGATCTGTAAATAATAAGCATAGTTTTAATTACTAGACTGAATGATAAAAGCCATCTATAGTGCTGGGCCCCGCTGGGGACCGTTTCAGAGCATCAGTTGCTCAAAAATGACTGTACCTTCCAGTGTTAAGATCTGTATCTTTGGATTCCAGAGTCAATTCAGGATTTCATCCCTGCCAGTTAATGGATATCCATGATGAACTTTTCATCTGGGTGTGCTTTTGCAGATTGCTCTTACGGGTCTAAACATATTGATTAATAGTAGTAACTGACATTTACTGAATAGTTACATGTGCCAAGTATTGTGTTAAGTGCTTCAGGTGCCTTCTTCAAGATCAAGGGGACCCTTAACCCTGGACCGACTGTAAAGCAGGTACTGTTATTAATTATTTCTAGCTGCAAAACGAGGAAGCTTAGGCGTAGAGATATTAATTTACCCAAAGCTTCACAGCTTACGGTCAGGATTTGAATTCAGGTCGGTCCGACCCTGGACCTCATGCTCTGGCTTGGAGGGCACCACCACCTTGTGTTTAGCTGTCTCTTTCTCTCTCTGCTGCTGCTGCTGCTGTGAGGCCACGGGACCTCATAAAAGCTAAATGAGATCACATCTGTGAAAGCCCTTTGAAAACTGCGACACACTGTGCAGATCGTAAGGTTTGAAGGTGAACTCCTTTTTTTTTTTTTTTTTTTTTTGAGACAGAGTTTCGCTCTTGTTGCCCAGGCTGGAGTACAATGGCGCGATGTTCACTCACTGCAACCTCCGCCTCCCGGGTTCAAGAGATTCTCCTGCCTCAGCCTCCCGTGTAGCTGGGATTACAGGCGCCCACCACCATGCCTGGCTAATTTTGTATTTTTAGTAGAGATGGGGTTTCCCCATGTTGGTCAGGCTGGCCTTGAACTCTGGACCTCAGGTGATCCGCCCTCCTCAGTCTCCCAAAGTGCTCAGATTAGAGGCGTGAGCCACCGCGCCTGGCCAAAGGTGAACTCTTTATATAACTCCAAATTGTCCAGGGGAAATAACAAACAGCCACATTGGTGGGTCCAGGAGGGAGAAATGTCAAGGTGTGTGCGTGTGGGGTCTCTCCTTGGTGTGATTAAGGGATAAGAAGTCCTGTTCATCCCAGAAGCTGGAGCTGGGGACTCAATCCCAACTGAATTTACAAGGGAGAGCTTGTCTTCTGGCCTCACACCTACTCCCAGGGTGAATTCGTTAGCACAGCATCTCATATTTTCTAGGGTAAGCATAATATGTGGCCTGAAAACCAACCCCTGGAGACCAGTCCCTTTGACTTCCAACACCTGATTTATTGGATCAAATGTCTAGCATTTCAGGCTGATTTTAAAAATGGAAACCAATCAGGAGGCAGAGGGTGCCCCTGGGATCTGAAACTGGTTTTTGTCCTCTTTTCAAGTAAGAACAAACTTAGGAGATTTATATTTAAATCAGTTGGGTGGAAACCTCATGAAGGACGAGCTAAGGTTTGAAAGTGGAAGGTGAGAAGCAAATGCATTTTCTGGGTTATCGCAGGGAGAGTTCATACTCCACTCAGCTTAGGAGAGCTTGCAGCCAGGCTTTCAGGGGCTGGATTTAAATCAACATGTTTCATGCACTAGTGGTTTTCCAAAGTGGGGTCCCAAATCCATGAGCTAGCCCAGAACATAGCTCTGATTTTTTATGGAGTTGGGCCATCTATGACTTTTATAGACCTGGGAATGTAATAGGGTGCTTAATTGTGAAAGGCTTAAGATCAGAGGTGGGGGGGAAGAGACAGGAATAGAAGAGAGAGAGAGATGAATGAATGAGGGAGAGAAGGAAGGAAGAAGCTTAGGATTTGAGACGGATGAGGAATATGTTGCCCTCAACATCAGGTTGGAAAAGAACCCAAAACCAAAAAGCAGTCAAAAAAATCTAGTATTGAATTACAAACAATATATTTGTTCTTTCACTTAAGATTCTTGTTCTTTTAATTTCCAACTTCAAGGTATGAAAATAGGCTTTCAGGCTGGGCATAGTGGCTCACGCCTGTAATCCCAGCATTTTGGGAGGCTGAGGTGGGTGGATCACGAGGTCAGGAGATCAAGACCATCCTGGCTAACACGGTGAAACCCCGTTTCTACTAAAAATACAAAAAGTTAGCCGGGCATGGTGGCGGGTGCCTGTAGTCCCAGCTACTTGGGAGGCTGAGGCAGGAGAATGGCATGAACCCGGGTGGCGGAGCTTGCAGTGAGCCGAGATTGTGCCACTGTACTCCAGCCTGGGCGATGAGCGAGACTCTGTCTCAAAATAAAAAAATAAAAAAAAAGAAAATAGGCTTGCAACAAATCATGGAAATACAAGGCTGACAGATCCTCTTAGGAAAAATCTCTAGACGTTAATCAGAAGAGGATCAGAAATTTCTCTATAATCATTGATTGTTGGAACATAGAGCAGTTTATGAGTGATTACTTATTTCTCTTAGGAGTCACTGTCACTAAATAGATCATGCCCATAAACATTAAAAAAAATTAAGTCCTGGCTGGGTGCGGTGACTCACGCCTTTAATCCCAGCAATTTGGGAGGCTGAAGTAGGCAGATCAATTGAGTTCAGCAGTTTGAGACAAGCTGGGGCAACATGGCAAGACCCTGTCTATACAAAAAATACAAAAATTAGCCAGGCATGGTGGCACACTCCTGTAGTCCCAGCTACACAGGAGTTTGAGGTGGGAGGATGGCTTAAGCCCAGGAGGTAGAGGTTACAGTGAGCTGAGATCACACTACTGCACTCCAGCCTGGGCAACAGAGCCACATCCTGTCTCAAAAAAAAAAAAAAAATTTAAAGAAAAAAAGGAAAAATTAAGTCCTAGTCTAGCTACGTTTTGACTTTCAGGGAGTCCAGATTGTTACTCAATTTAGAAGTTTAGGCCGAGTGCGGTGGCTCACGCCTGTGATCCCAGCACTTTGGGAGGCTGAGGTGGGTGCATCACCTGAAGTCAGGAGTTTGAGACCAGCCTGGCCAATGTGGTGAAACCCCGTCTCTACTAAAAATACAAACAATTAGCTGGATATGGTGGCACGTGCCTGTAATCCCAGCTACTTGGGAGGCCAAGGCGGGCAGTTCACGAGGTCAGTTCAAGACCAGCCTGACCAACGTGGCGAAAACTGTCTCTACTAAAAATACAAAAATTAGCCAGACATGGTGGCGGGCGCCTGTAATCCCAGCTACTCGGGAGGCTGAGGCAGGAGAATCTCTTGAACCTGGGAGGCGGAGGTTGCAGTGAGCCGAGATCGTGCCACTGCACTCCAGCCTGGACAACAGAGCAAGACGCTATCTCAAAAATAAAATAGAAGTTTAATAAATTCCAAAATTCTAAAGTTTTAGAATGAATTCTAATTCTGATTTAGTGACAATTTTAATACATCCTGAATTATTTCCTTTATTTAAAAATTAGCATGTTTATGGTACTGTATATCATATGCATCCCTTGTTTTCTCATTGTTATTTTACCAAGAAAAGCAAGTGTGCTTTCAGCATTAGGATATATTTGATGAGCATGTCATCCACTTGGTAGTAATGGGACTCTGAACCAGCTTGCATACGTTTATCAGACTTAGTAAGAGATAAAAACATCCTATTCTAGTCCATGGATAAGGCAGAACTAGAGTCTTAGACTTGCTTTCATCAGCTCTACTTCTGCCAGGATTTTGGCTCTTCAGGCTGTATCAAATGACAAGAGTTGGCTTTTAATATAAAAGTTCCAGTCATTGCTATTATTGAAATGCTGCCTATATTCACTTCTACCACCCACGCTTTTGAAAATTGGCAGCAGAGGGAAACTTGAACTACTCTTTAGAATCATGCAATAGAAGGAGGAGAAGTTTACCTTGTAATTGTGGGAGGAAACGGCTGAGGAAGTGTCAAACTGCATAAATCCAACAGAAGGGCGAGGCCGCACTCCACTCCGGTTGACTGCTAGGGATTATGAGGTAGCCGACATAGAGGCATGCGTTTTCATCCACATACATAGCATACATGAATTTGAGTGGAAATAGTGATGGAACAGATTTGTGCTGATTTCTAGTGGTCTGAATTTACAAAATGGAACTAATCTTTGCAGTGTTCAAGCAGAGTCTGAAGAAGGTGATTTTGGGAATGACATGAGGGTTGTAGGGACCAGCCCCCACAGGGTCGGTGGGTCTCTCCCCGTGTGCGGCGACGAGAGAGTGTAGAAATAAAGACACAAGACAAAGAGATAGAAGAAAAGACAGCTGGGCCCGGGGGACCACTACCACCAATGCGCGGAGACCGGTAGTGGCCCCGAATGTCTGGCTGCGCTGTTATTTATTGGATACAAAGCAAAAGGGGCAGGGTAAAGAGTGTGAGTCATCTCCAATGATAGGTAAGGTCACATGGGTCTCGTGTCCACTGGACAGGGGGCCCTTCCCTGCCTGGCAGCTGAGGCAGAGAGAGAGAGGAGACAAAGAGAAAGACAGCTTACGCCATTATTTCTGCATATCAGAGACTTTTAGTACTTTCACTAATTTACTACTGCTATCTAGAAGGCAGAGCCAGGTGTATAGGATGGAACATGAACGCGGACTAGGAGCGTGACCACTGAAGCACAGCATCACAGGGAGACGGTTAGGCCTCTGGATAACTGCTGGTGAGCCTGACTGATGTCAGGCCCTCCACAAAAGGTGGAGGAGCAGAGTCTTCTCTAAACTCCCGCGGGGAAAAGGAGACTCCCTTTCCCGGTCTGCTAAGTAGTGGGTGTTGTTCCTTGACACTTTTCGCTACTGCTAGACCATGGTCCGCCTGGCAACGGGCATCTTCCCAGACGCTGTCGTCACTGCTAGACCAAGGAGCCCTTCTGGTGGCCCTGTCTGGGCATAACAGAAGGCTCGCATTCTTGTCTTCTGTTCACACCTCACTATGTCCCCTCAGCTCCTATCTCTGTATGGCCTGGTTTTTCCTAGGTTATGGTTATAGAGCGAAGATTATTTTAATATTGGAATAAAGAGCAATTGCTACAAACTAATGATTAATGATATTCATATATAATCATATCTAAGATCTATATCTGGTATAACTATTCTTGTTTTATATTTTATTATACTGGAACAGCTCGTGTCCTCGGTCTCTTGCCTCGGCGCCTGGGTGGTTTGCCGCCCACAGGGGTTCTTATATCTGATGGGAATTTGGACTCAGTAACACTATTTACCTTGAGATTTTGTGAATTGCATGCCCCAGGCCTCCACAGACCTGCATTTTATATGCAAGAAGTACATGGCTGACATTCCATGTGTGTCCCTGGTTCACAGTGAGATTCTAAGTAAATGTGATTAATGAATCTGAGCTAACGTGAAAACCGATGAAGTGAAATCTAAGGCTTTCCTGCTTTCTCCAGTGGAATATTCTTACCCTTCTGGAAACCGTGCACCTGCTTGGTGATTTAACCCAAACAAAGGATTCTGCTGGGGGATTTCTTAAGCAGGAGAGGAGAGCAAGCTCCTGAAAGATTTCACATATCTCTATAAACTCCACTCTGAAATTAGTTGCGTTCTGGAGGACGATGCTTTGTGCAACCTTCATGACTGTAGGGAATGATGTTTGTGGAGAATCAGAAGGTCTCTCTGTCTCTGTCTCTGTCTCTCTCTTTCTGGACTTACAATGGGTTTTGTATGTCAATGTGTACAGTGCACAGAAGATGGGGGCAGCAAGTGATATCTGAGCATCTGCCCCTCCCCGTGAAGTCTGCTTCTTTGGTCATGAAAGAGGGCACTCATGCATGATCGATGGCTCATCTAAGCGCCACAATAAATCTCCGATGGATCTTTCCACCCCTCGTCAGACTCCAGCTCCTCCCTTAACTCCCTTCCCAGGGAAATTCCTTTGGCTCAGTGCCTCAAGGTGGATAAATAGGCAGGAAGAGTGGGGCGCGCGTCAGGGACGTGCCTGTACTCTTCTTTCAGGAGGAAACTGCATCTGAAACCTAAGCCAGGAGGTGCCTGCCATGCGCTGCTGCTGCTGGGAGAGAGACTGTTATAACCCAGAGGACAAAGAAGACAGTGAGGGGGAAACCCCGCTGTGAGAATGCTGTGTAAATAGTGCGAGCATCATCTAACCATGCCTCTTTTCTGAAAAAGTCATGGCACTTGACTGAAACCCACTCAGATGGTCTGGAAGCAGATCCAGATCTTAGATACTAGAAAGTATCTAAGTAGCAGTGCAATTTTCTGCAATGATGGGCGTGTTTAATATCTGCACTGACCCGGATGGCCGCCACTAGCCACAGGTTACTACTGAGCACTTGAAATGTGGCTAGTGCCACTGAGGAATTGGCTTGTTTCATTGACTTTTAATGAATTTACATTTATGTATGTATTTTTGAATTTAAATTAAAATGTGCAGAGTTGCACATGGCTAGTGGCTGCCACATTAGGTGGCATGGTTTACAGGCATCTGTATAGGAGGCAGCCTAGACTGCTGCTCTGGAAAGACTTGTTCTCATTTTCTTTCTTTCTTTTTTTTTTTTTTTTTTTTGAGACAGAGTTTTGCTCTATTGCCCGGGCTGAAGTGCAGTGGCATGATCTTGGCTCACTACAACCTCTACTCACTGGGTTCAAGAGACTCCCATGCTCCTCCCGAGTAGCTGGGATTACAGGCATGCACCACCAAGCCTGGCTAATTTTTTTTTGAGACGGAGTTTTGCTCTTCTTGCCCAGGCTGGAGTGCAATGGTGCGATCTTGGCTCACTGCAACCTCCATCTCCTGGGTTCAAGTGATTCCCCTGCCTCAGCCTCCTGAGTAGCTGGGATTACAGGCATGCGCTAGCATGCCTGGCTAATTTTGTATTTTTAGTAGAGACAGGATTTTTCCAAGTTGGTCAGGCTGGTCTTGGGTGATCCGCCTGCCTTGACTTCCCAAAGTGTTGGGATTACAGACGTGAGCCCCCGCACCCGGCCAATTTTTGTATTTTTAGTAGAGATGGGGTTTCACCATGTTGGCCAGGCTGGTCTCGAACTCCTGGCCTCAAGTGTTCCTCCCGCTTTGGCCTCCCAAAGTGTTGGGATAACAGGCATGAGCCACTGCGCCCGACCTTCACCTTCCTGTCTTGATGTTGGTGATGTCTCTCTAGGTTGAAGAAGAATGACTCTTAAGATCAACCTTCCCCTTTCTCTAGTTACCAACTTGTTTCAGGAACCTGTAAGAAAACTCAGAGCAAAGTATTCAGAAGATGCTCTTCACCCCCAAATGTTCTCTCTGTGGACACCTGGGTACCAAACCCAGCCTCCACTCCGGCTCTGCCCCCCTTGCTGCTCTCTTGTCTGCCCATGGGACTCCCTCCCTCCCTCCCTTCCTTCCTTCCTTCCTTTTTCTTGAGATGGAGTCTGCCTCTGTCGACAGGCTCGCATGCAGTGGCGCGATCTCGGCTCACTGCAACCTCCGCCTCCCGGGTTCAAGTGATTCTCCTGCCTCAGCCTCCCAAGTAGCTGGGACTACAAGTGCCCGCCACCATACACAGCTAATTTTTGTATTTTTAGTAGAGACGGGGTCTCACCACGTTGGCCGGGCTGGTCTCGATCTCTTGGCCTTAGGTGATCCACCCGCCTCGGCCTCCCAAAGTGCTGGGATTACAGGCATGAGCCACCGCGCCTAGCCTACCCTTTCTTTCATCTCAAGGCCGATCAACTTAACTGTGGTCAAACAGCTTGGAGATGCGCTTGGCTTCATCTGGATTCCTGCAGTGTTAACAGCCCTACTCATAGCACTTGGAAGGAGGACCTGAGCTGCCCTGAAACTTCCCATCTATCATTCCTGGATTTCTCCTCTCTCAGTCAGTGACCCTTAGAAATCACGGGACGAGGCTGGGTGCAGTGGCCCATGCTTGTAATCCCAGCATTCTGGGGGGCCAAGATGGGAGGATCACTTGAGCCCAGAAGTTCAAGGCTGCAGTGAGCTATGATAGCGTCAGCCTGGGCAACAGAGTGAGACCCTGTATCTAAAAAAACAAAAAAAAAAAAAGAAAAAAAAGCAAGAAAGCAGATCACCTTGTAGCTTTATTGCTCTATATTATAGGTGAGAACCCTGGGGCCTGGAGAGTTAAAATGACCTGCTCATGGTCACACAGGTAGAAACAGAAAACTGCAACCAGCTTGGCTGGCTCCCAGCTGAGAGCTTTTTTATCCTATCACACTGCGTCCCCAGAGGTGTCAAAATCCAGAAGGATAAGATTAACATTAACCAGCATACAACTGCAGGACAGTGTAATAATGCCCCTAAAACGCAGTTTAATTTTAATTAATTAATTAGTTAATTAATTTATTTTGAGACAGAGTCTCACTCTGTCACCCAGGCTGGAGTATGGTGGCGTGATCTTGGCTCACTGCAACCTCTGCCTCCTGGGTTCAAGCGATTCTCCTGCCTCAGCCTCCTGAGTAGCTGGGATTACAGGTGCGCACCACCACACCTGGCTGATTTTTTGTACTTTTAGTAAAGAAGGAGTTTCACCATATTGGCCAGGCTGGTCTCAAACTCTTGACCTCAGGCGATCCACCCACCTCAGCCTCTGAAAGTGCTAGGAGTACAGGCGTGAGTCACTGTGCCTGGCCTAATTTAATTCGATGTAATTTTTTTTTTTCCTTAAGACAGAGTCTTGCTCTGTCACCCAGGCTGGAGTTCAGTGGCCTGATCTCGGCTCACTGCAACCTTCACCTCCTGGGTTGAAGCGATTCTCCTGCCTCAGCCTCCCAAGTAGCTGGGACTACAGGCTCACGCCACCGTGGCCGCCTAATTTTTTGTATTTTTAGTAGAGACAGGGTTTCACCATGTTGGCCAGGCTGGAATGCGATATAATTTTAAGAGGTCAGATTCCCTCCTGGGTGTGCCAGTCCTTCAAAGTTGCCAGAAGAGCCCCTAGCGGCCGGTTTTCTTCCACCCACCAACCTGGCCACGCTCAGTCACGGCTGTATCATCTATGACTGCTTTCATACTGCAATGGCAGATTTGTGGTCTTGGCCTGCAAAACCTAAAATATTTACTACCCAGCCCTTTGTAGAAAACATCTGCCCACTCCTGATGTAAATTAAGATGTAGTGAAAGGTGTATTCATCTCTTACTGCTGCTGTAACAGATTAACACTAACTTAGTGGCTTGAAACACATAAATTTATTAGCATACAGTTCCAGAAGTCAGAAGTCTGACAATGGATCTTACTGGGCTAAAATCAGGCATCAGTCAGCAGTGCTACTCCTGGTGGCCTAGGACAGGGCACTTCCTTGTCTCTTCCAGCTTCTAGAGGTCACCTGAATCCCTTGGTTTATGGCCACGTCCTCCATCTTCAAAGACAGTATGGAACATCTTTATTTTTATTATTTATTTATTTATTTATTTATTTATTTTGAGACAGGGTCTGGCTCTGTTGCCCAGGCTAGAGTGCAGTGGCAGCGATCATGGTTCACTGCAGCCTTGACCTCCCAGACTCAAGCGATCCTCCCACCTCTCAATCTCCCTTGTAGCTGGGACTACAGCACATGCCACAACGTGCAACTAATTTTTATATTTTTTGTAGAGATGGGGTTTCACCGTGTTGCCTAGGCTGGTCTTGAACTCCTGGGCCCAACTGGTCTGCTTGCCTCAGCCTCCCAAAGCGCTGGGATTATAGACATGAGCCACTGTGCCCAGCTGCCCAGCTATTTATTTATTTATTTATTATTGTTATTATTATTTTTTTTTTAGAGAAGGGGTCTCGCTGTGTTGCCCAGGCTGGTCTTAAACTCCTGGCCTTAAGCTGTCCTCCCACTGTGGCCTCCCAGAGTGCTGGGATTACAGGTGTGAGCCACCGTGCCTGGTACATGACTTTTTTTTTTTTAATAGTATTCTATGCAACACTTTTTAACAAATTGTGTAAACACATCACCTAGCATCACGTTAGGTGTGAGACTGATGCTGAGGCTTTGTGTAAACACATCACCTAGCATCACGTTAGATGTGAGACTGATGCTGAGGCTTTGTGTAAACACATCACCTAGCATCACGTTAGGTGTGAGACTGATGCTGAGGCTTTGTGTAAACACATCACCTAGCATCACGTTAGGTGTGAGACTGATGCTGAGGCTTTGTGTAAACACATCACCTAGCATCACGTTAGGTGTGAGACTGATGCTGAGGCTTTGTGTAAACACATCACCTAGCATCACGTTAGGTGTGAGACTGATGCTGAGGCTTTGTGTAAACACATCACCTAGCATCACGTTAGGTGTGAGACTGATGCTGAGGCTTTGTGTAAACACATCACCTAGCATCACGTTAGGTGTGAGACTGATGCTGAGGCTTTGTGTAAACATATCACCTAGCATCACGTTAGGTGTGAGACTGATGCTGAGGCTTTGTGTAAACACATCACCTAGCATCACGTTAGGTGTGAGACTGATGCTGAGGCTTTGTGTAAACACATCACCTAGCATCACGTTAGGTGTGAGACTGATGCTGAGGCTTTGTGTAAACACATCACCTAGCATCACGTTAGGTGTGAGACTGATGCTGAGGCTTTCCACACCCTTGCCATGGCTGACAATTCTGTGACCACTTGGACTATGTGGCATCGACATCCACAGCTGTCGGTTGCTGGCCCTGTCCTGCCTCATCTTTTAGGAACAAAGGGCTGTGCCCCTCATCTCATTCATTCCACTCAGGGCCAGGTGGGTCAGAGGAAAAAATATTGTGGAGGAACTGAGCTAGGCTCTTCCTCTATACGGTGTCTTTCTGGAAGTTTATGTATTTTCTTTATGGCTGAGGTTCTAGGTACAGAGACACATTGCATGAAACCTTTATAACTGAATCTTCACTACCCGTACCAATCGGTAAGTGAACTCCAGAAAAATGCCCAAGTTTAACCACTCTAAACACTGCCTTATTATCAGAATTCTAAATAGCGTGCCACCCTATATGTGATCTGCAGTAAGACAAGCTTCCCCTGACAAATTGGTTGTGCAAGTAAGAGAGATTCCTTGAGATTTAAGGCTCTCCCTCTGGGTGAAGGTTACATAGCTAGTAACAAAAGAGAAAGTTCTTTTGTTCCTTTAAAGCCAACACAGATATCAAATCCTTCACTTTAAGCTTATGAGTAAAAAGTGAAGAGATTCCTAAGCTACTGGGAATATTAGCTACCATTACTGATCATTTTCAAGGTACCCAGCATTGTTCTAAGGGCTTTGCATTTACTAACTCGTGTAATTCTCCTAAGAAGTGGGCACTACTATTGTTAGTTCCGTGCGAAAGTAATCGTGGTTTTTGCCACTGAAAGAAATGGCAAAACCGTGATTACTTTTGCACCAACCTAATATTATTGCCATCTAACAGATGAAGAAACTCAGACAGAGGGAAATTGAGTAGCTTGCCTAAGGACGCACAGCTAGCAGGAGGTAGAGTCAGGTTTCCAAGCCAGGCAGGAAGCCCCATACCTGTGCTAGTGAGCTGCTGGAGTGGCTGAAAGGAATTAGTATCTTTCTCCATTTTTTTTTTTTTTTTTGAGATGGAGTCTTGCTTAGCTGCCCAGGGTAGAGTGTACTGGTGTGATCTTGGCTCAGCGCAACCACCGTCTCCCAGGTTCAAGTGATTCTCCCATCTCAGCCTCAAGACTAGCTGGGATTACAGTCACCTGCCATCTTACTGGGCTAATTTTTATATTTTAGTAGACACAGGGTTTCACCATGTTGGCCAGGCTGGTCTCAAACTCCTGATCTCAGGTGATCCCCCCGCCTTGGCCTCCCAAAGTGCTGGGATTACAGGTGTGAGCCACCGCACCCGGCCTCTTTCTCCTTTTTTATCTCTTTTCTAGAGTGGGGACAATTCCAGAAGAGTAAGACAGTCTTGCCAATAGAAAAGAGTGGAAGAGCTGGGGGCGGTGGTGCATGCCTGTAATCCCAGCACTTTGGAGGCCGAGGCGGGTGGATCACCTGAGGTCAGGAGTTTGAGACCAGCCTGACCAACATGGAGAAACCCTGTCTCTACTAAAAATACAAAATTAGCTGGGTGTGGTGGCACACACCTGTAATCCCAGCTACTCCGGAGCCTGAGGCAGGAGAATTGCTTGAACCCCGGAGGCAGAGGTTTCAGTGAGCTGAGATCACTCCATTGTACTCCAGCCTGGGCAACAAGAGCAAAACTCTGTTTAAAAAAAAAAAAAAGAAAAGAAGAGTGGAAGAAACAGGGAGCCAAGGACCAGTGTGGGTTAGACTTGATATTTTCTAGCATGTTTATTATGCATTAAAGCCATAAAATCAAAGTGAATTCCATTATTTTCATTTCTTCCAGATTTCTTTGTTCTCTTTGTTATCCTTCTTGCTGATGAGTTTATTATTATTATTTGAAAATGGTCTCAGGGCAAGCTTCTCTTTCTCAGCGTTCTTCCCTTTTACAATGGAACCCTGTCAGCATTTTCATCCTGCTTCCTCCTTATCTTTCTCATAGAAATGTAAATTCCATAATAGCACTGACCTTCTGCTTTGTCAATACTTTTAAGAAAGAACAGAAAAGCAAGCCACAACTCGATACAGACATCCAACCTCTTGGCTTTTTAGCAGCAGGATTTGTTGGTTTGTGTAGAGATCATGCATCTTGCTGGAAGCACGTTTTACCCCTTAGTTTCAGGGGACCACCACAATGCTGCAGCAGAATCCAAAGAAGGGTTGCTACCTATGTGGGTCAAGATGACGGAAAGTGCAAAATCATATATCTGTTGTTACAGTGGGGGCACTTTGCGGGGGGCGGTGGGGGTGTGGGTGGGAGAAGTGATCTGAAACCTTATGAGGTGAGGTTGTGTGCTGCTAAGGAGCATTTTTTTTTCTTTTTCTTTTCTTCTTCTTCTTCTTTTTTTTTTTTTTTTTTAGGGTCTTGCTCTGTCACCCAGGCTGGAATGCAATGGCTGATCTTGGCTCACTGCCACCTTGACCTCTCTGGCTCAAGTGATTCTCCCACCTCAGCCTCTCGAGTAGCTAAGACCACAGGTGCGTGTCACCATGCCCAGCTAATTTTGTTAATTTTTTGTAGAGACAGGAGCTCTCTGTTTCCCAGGCTGGTCTTGAACTGCTGACTTCAAGTGATCCTCCCACCCCTCCCTCCCAAAGTGTTGGAATTACAGGTGCAAGTCACTGCATGCCCAACCAAAAGCATTTTCTTTCTCTCTTTCTTTCTCCTTCCTTCCTTCCTTCTTTCCCCCTCGCCTCTTTTTTTTTTTTCCTAAGTTTTGCTCTGTTTCCCAGGCTGGAGTGCAGTGGCGTGATCTCAGCTTGCTGAAACCTCCACCTCCCAGGTTCAAGCGTTTCTCTTGCCTCAGCCTCCTGAGTAGCTGGGACTACAGGCGCGTGCCACCACGCCCAGGTAATTTTTTGTATTTTTAGTAGAACGGGGTTTCACCGTGTTAGCCAGGATGGTCTCGATCTCCTGGCCTCAGGTGATCCACCTGCCTCGGCCTCCCAAAATGTTGGGATTACAGGCGTGAGCCATTGCGTCCAGCCCACATTTTTTTTCTTAATCCCGGCCCTGGAAAACATTTTGATCTATAGAGGCATTTGTAAGGCTAGATGTCTTTGTACAATTTGTTAAGTAGTGTTCTGCAGACGATTGTAAAAATGGGTCAGGGAGTAGAAGGTGATATAAAGTATCCCAGAATATTGGTGAGGAAAGAAATCTGGAGTCATGTGTGGGAAGCACAGAAGGAAATTTTTAAGTATACAAGAAAGTTAAGAATGATAACTAGACTGCCTGTTCTGCCTGTGGAGTAGCCATTCTTTTATTCCTTCATTTTCTTAATAAACTTGCTTTCGCTTAAAAAAAATGATAACTAGACTGATAAAGAAGACATTAGCAATGAATGAATTGGATGAGTAAATCTTCAGTCAGAATGAGAGACCTGCTTGCTGTTGAATCTCTTGGAGGTCAGTCCTTTCACATTCAATAAATATGTATTGAGACCCGTGTCTTCAGGGCTCTAGGTGCTGGTGATTCAGTGGTGAATAAAGCCAAGGACATTTTTTTTTTTTTTTTTTGAGACAGAGTCTTGCTCTGTCGCCCAGGCTAGAGTGCAGTGGTGCGATTTCATCTCACTGCAACCTCTGCTTCCCGGGTTCAAGCAATTCTCGTGCCTCAGCCTCCCGAGTAGTTGGGATTACAGGTGCCCCCTCAGAACCCCTGGCTAATTTTTGTATCTTTAGTAGAGACGGGATTTCACCATGTTAGCCAGGCTGGTATTGAACTCCTGACCTCAGGTGATCTGCCCACCTCTTCTTCCTAAAGTGCTGGGATTACAGGCGTGAGCCCTGCCAGCCAAGGCCATCGTGTTACCTACTTTACATTGTAATGCAGGAGCCATCTAATAAATCAATAAACAAAAATATAATGTAAGGTGGTAGGATGACAGGAGAAGCTTGCCTGAGAAGGTGACATTTGAAATGACAACAGAAGGAAGTGAGCTGTGCAGATATGTAGGGCAAAGAGCATTCCAGGCAGAGGGAACAGCAAGTGCAAAGGCCTCAAGGCAGGAACATATTTGGGGCTATTCAAGGGCTAGCAAGAAAGGCAGGGGGAGAGTGGAGGAAGATGACATGGGAGCAAGGGGACATTGCAGAGTCCTTGTAAACCATCTGAGGATGTTATTTTCCATCCTAAGATGAAGGCAGTGAGTGGTTTGGAGTACAGTGGGGGCGTGATCTGGGTTAGAAGGATCACTTTGCTGTATGTGGAGCCAGGCCATGGTGAGAGAACGGCTGTATAGCTATAAAAACTCTCTTCCAGATTTGCAAAATGTCGATGAGAATAACTGCTTTAAAATATCTTTATAGAATACTCTATCCAGTTAAAAGAAACAAAAGTTTGGCATGATCTTCAAATAACCCAAGGGGGAGAAAAATATTAGGCAAATATAAACAGCATTGCATTCAAGAGGTGAAGTTGAGACATGCTTTCAATCTAGCCTCTGCAACAGCCAAGTCATCACAGCGCAATCAAATCCAGCTGGGACCACGGAAGATGACTCCATATCCTGTGGATACTCTGCTTGGCACAATGTGGGTGGGAGCCAATGAGGGCTGGATGGATGGAGGCCCTGAGACTGCTGCCAACCCTTGTTCAGAGCTAGTGGAAACTTCTGACTCTGAAGTCTTCTTTGCAGCTGGAAATGGGGAAAGGACTTAGGGAAGGTGCTGAAGCTGGCTTGGATAAGGCAATGTCCCACTGGAGCTATTTCTGAGCATTTTATTATTACTCAAATCCGTCTTCCCTCCCCCTTTTTTTTAATTGGTAAGTTTTTATGCTGGTAATAATAGGTGATGCTTATTCATTAATTTACAATGTGCCAGGTACTATGTTAAACTTATCATATTCATTATCTTACTAATTTAAGCCTTCACAACAGCCCAATGTGGGAGGTGATATTATTATTGCCCACAATGTTTAGAAGTGGGAACACAAGTTTAGAGACTTGCATAATTCCAGTTAGTTAGTAGCACAACTGAGATTCATCAGAATCCAGCTCATCAGAATCCAGTCTGTGCATTTGAACAATAGCACACTGTCTCTGACTGTTACTTGCCAAGCATCTACGTGAGGAGTTGCCCAAATGGCGGCAAAGTCTGTTCTTACTTGGTTTCCTTTTAATATACATTGGCAGACGTTTTGCATCGCCATGAGGTCTGCTGACTCCCAGTGCAGGAAATCAGTAGCCACAAGGTATTAGACTGATGTGAGAAAATGCTTATAACCAATATGCAAACCTTATTTTATTTTATTATTATTATTTTTTGAGATGGAGTCTCGCTCTGTCACCCAGGCTGGAGTGCAGTGGCGCGATCCTGGCTCACTGCAAGCTCCACCTCCCAGGTTCACGCCATTCTCCTGCCTCAGCCTCCCAAGTAACTGGGACTACAGGCACCCGCCACCGCACCCAGTTAATTTTTTCTATTTTCAGTAGAGACGGGGTTTCACTGTGTTAGCCGGGATGGTCTCAATCTCCTGATCTCATGATCCGCCCGCCTCGGCCTCCCAAAGTGCTGGGATTACAGGCATGAGTGGCCGCGCTTGGCTGCAAACCTTATGTTAAGCAGACCTGGTAAGAAGAAAAAAAGACTTATAAAACAGGCATTCGAAGGACCTACTCATACTTCAAAAATTTTTATTGCATAAATTGGTATATACTTGCACATGCACACAAAATTATTACTTTGCCAAATGAATTGCCAGAGTATTCCTTTGGATAGACATCTAGCACATAATGCAACTCGTGTACAATTTACTCTAGGACATTTATGCTTATGACATAATGTATCCAAGCACATGATGCTTATGACAAATATAGCTGCATGATGACAATCGTGGACAGTCAATGGCTGTTATCTGGGGTAAAAAGTCAAAAGGCTTATCTGGGGTAAAAGCCAACAAGCTGATGTTGACCATCAAGCATCACAGTCTCATCACAGAACTTTCCTACTGAAACATTTTTACAAGTTGCTAACTTTAAAAAAAATCTTTTATTTTATTTTATTTGTCTATTTATTTTTTGAGATGGAGTTTCACTCTTGTTGCCCAGGCTGGAGTGCAACGGCGCAATCTCGGCTCACCACAACCTCTGCCTCCCAGGTTCAAGCGATTCTCCTGCCTCAGCCTCCTGAGTAGATGGGATTACAGGCATGCACCACCACGCCCGGCTAATTATGTATTTTTAGTAGATGCGGGGTTTCTCTGTGTTGGTCAGGCTGGTCTCGAACTCCCGACCTCAAGTGATCCGCCCACCTCGGCCTCCCAAACTGCTGGGATTACAGGTGTGAGCCACTTCACCCAGCTTATTTATTTATTTTTTTGAGACAGGGTCTCACTCTGTTGCCCAGGCTGGAGTGCAGTGGTGCCATCTTGGCTCACTGCAGCCTCAACCTCCCAGGCTCAAGTGATTCTCCCACCTCAGCCTCCCAAGTAGCTGGGACCATGGGCATATGCCATCACGCCCCACTAATTTTTGTATTTTTTTGTAAAGACAGGGTCTCACTATGTTGCCCAGGCTGATCTCAAACTCCTGGGTTCAAGTGATCCTCCTGCCTGTGCCTCCCAAAGTGCTGGGATTATAGATGTGAGCCACCGCTCCTGGTGAAAGTCTTTTATTGTAAAAATTATTTTATTTTATTTTTTACCAGGAATAAAAAAGTAACTTTTAACCACAGCTGAAACCTTTGCTTGCTACATCATAGCAAAGAAGCCCTGTGCATTAAGTATCATGTTTATAACTCAAAGTTACTTTCACCACATGGAGATGTTTCCCCTAGTCTTGTGGTTCGTAAAAATGGCTAGATATTCCAGTGTTAAATATTCTGCAGATGATATTTTATTAATAAACTGACAGGGGAAGGAAAGAGATGGGAATGGAAGGATATCACTCTGTTCTTTATTCTGACTACACATTTTGATTCATCCATACTTTGGAGAGATGCATGTCCGGAATTTACAGCCAATGGTTACCATGGAGAATTATGGAATTGGCAAACTCACCCCTCTGCCCTGAAGGGCAGTGGACAGAAAGGTGAATTCAGTGAATAATTTAGAACCCCAGGCTGGGTGCAGTGCTCACACCTGTAATTCCAGCACTTTGGGAGGCTGAGGTGGGCGGATCACCTGAGGTCAGGAGTTCAAGACCAGCCTGACCAACATGGAGAAACCCCATCTCTACTAAAAAATACAAAATTATCTGGGCATGGTGGCTCATGCCTGTAATCCCAGCTACTTGGGAGACTGAGGGAGGAGAATCGCTTGAACCTGGGAGGTGGAGGTTGCAGTGAGCTGAGATCATGCCACTGCACTCCAGCCTGGGCAACAAGAACAAAACTCTGCCTCAAAAAAAGAAAAAAAAATTTAGAACCCCATTTCCAGAAGACTAATTCCTAATGTAGACTACCAATCTAAGTTTAGATGAATGAAGCACCATATTCCATGTGATACAGTTTTCATTCTAGCACAAAACGTAATTCTCACTATCCATGGCCTTGTTGATAACTGAGGATCTGATACTGGCTTCCTGATGTTTCTTTTTTTTTGGAGACAGAGTCTCGATCTGTTGCCCGGGCTGGAGTGCAGTGGCACAATCTTGGCTTACTGCAACCTCTGCCTCCCGCATTCAAGCAATTCTCGTGCCTCAGCCTCCTGAGTAGCTGAGATCACAGGCGTGAGCCACCACACCTGGCTAATTTTTGTATTTTTAGTAGAGACAGGGTTTCACCGTGTTGGCCAGTCTGGTCTCGACCTCCTGACCTCAGGTGATCCACCCTCCTTGCCTCCCAAAGTGTTGGGATTACAGGCGTGAGCCACCATGCTCAGCTGCTTCCTGATATTTCTGAAAACTCTGTTTTTACATTTTCTGTTTTGGAACACTTCAATCACATGCTATTTTTTTTTCCTTAATGAGAGTAGATGTGTGGAGACGCTTTCCAGAGGGGATTTCCCCTAGCTTACTGTAAATTCTTTCAGTTCCCTTTTTTGTAGTATTTTTCCTAATCATTAATTTTTACTGTTCATAAGCATTTCCTCAAATATTATTAAATATATTATTTAAAATAGAATCAGTACCTTTAAAAAATCTCAATATCAAATAATAGTATTAAGTCGTATTTATATTTAAATATCATTAATATGAAATAATATATCTATTGTTTAAATATTTATCAGTACATTTTTCCCCCTTTAAGTTAAAAAAATAAAAGACAAACAAGAGAAGGAGTACTTCCTCAGACTTAGTTTATGCTTTTGGCAAACTTTTCACCTTTTCAGTTGAATTAGTGACAATGACTTGTTGCATTAGAAGACTATGGGAATGACTTCAAAGAGCTGTAACATCTTATGTGTGTCTGTAGTCCCAGCTACTCGGAAGGCTGACGCATGAGAATCGCTTGAACAGGGAGGTGGAGGTTGCAGTGAGCAGAGATTGTGCCACTGGACAGAGCGAGACTCTGTCTCAAAAAAAAAAAAAAAAAAAAAAAGAGCTGTAACATCTTAAAATGCTTTAGCAATTCAAATTAGTTCCAGTATATCTTACTTATTTGGAGTTATACTTTAATGATACAAGTTGGCCACTTTTGCTTATTAATATTAGAAAAAAACTTCGTCTTAATTACTTTTCTGTGGGGAAACAATTATAATCTGTACTATGTAACCATTTATACAATTTATAACAAAGACATACCCATTCTTTGGAAGAGAGCTATTTGCGCTAGCTGTTTTAAGTATGTTTATGTGTGAGCCTCTCTGGGAAGTTTATATTTTGGCGACAAAAATTTTTTTTTTTGTCTGAAAACTGGCAGAATGGATTTTTTTAAATAAGAATTTTTTAAAAAAGCATTTTCTCCCCAGATTAGGTCTGCCAGTGGAAGTAATTATGGCCTGGTGTTCCTTGGGTTCTTTTGCACCCTTTGGTCAAGGTGGCTTGTTGCTGAGAGATCATTTTGCTGACTGCACATTGGATTTCACTTCTAGATGCCTAAGCTCTATTTAGTAAGCTGGGTGAGTTTACACAAAATAGCAACCCTGAAGTGGAAATATCCATACAGTTTAGTAGCTGCCATGAATATATCACACATCAGACTCAATACACCATGAAGACATCCCCAATAGTTTCTAATCATTTACATATGTTCTTTCCTTAACAGCATTTGCATTATAATCACTTTATTCATAAATCAAATGGTCCATTTAAAAGAGATTATATAGAGGAAAAATTATTTCAAGACTTGTTTACCAGTGTTTTTACTTAAGCTAGTTCCCAAAGCCTATAAATAAAAAGGGTTATTTTCATGTGAACTGTTTAACTCATCAATGTGTACAATGCATCTTGTGTAGAAGTTAGTCCTCCTCTGAAAGAAATTTCCAGAAATATATTTTTATTTAGGAACAAGAGCTTAAGTTATAAGACACTCTAACAAAGTGTGTGTATGTGTTTGTATGTGTTTTTCTAACCATAGAAAACATTATTTTAGTGAATGTTCAAATACACAGTGGTACTGTCTGCTTCTCTGGAAGTTTCTGTGACAATAGGGATACAGGTTAAATGTACCATGTGTTATATTGAATCAGGTTCCAGGGAGAGGGCTATATATCATTGAGGAGAAAACAGGCCTTTGCTTTCAGAAAGGTAATCTGGAAATCTAAAATATAATAATCCCACCACATAATGTTGTATCTTCATAATGATGAACTACTAACATACTACTTTAATTTTATCCCTAAACTCACCTAGAGTCTACAAGGAATTTTTACAATCTCCTTTTCCTTTCCCTCCCCTCCCCCTCCCCTCCCCCTCCCCCCTCCTTCCCTCCCTCCTTTCCTTCCTTCCTCTTTCTTTCTTTTTCTTTTTTTTTTTTTTGAGGGAGTCCCCCTCTGTCGCCCTGGCTGGAGTGCAGTGGCGCAATCTTGGCTAACTGCAACCTCTGCCTCCTGGGTTCAAGCGAGTCTCCTGCCTCAGTCTCCCGAGTAGCTGGGATTACAGGCATGTGCCACCAAACCAGGCTGATTTTTGTATTTTTAATAGAGTCAGGGTTTCACCATGTTGGCCAGGCTGGTCTCGAACTCCTGACCTCAGGTGGTCCACCCACCTCGGCCTCCCAAAGTGTTGGGATTACAGGCATGAGCCACTACGCCTGACCTACAATCTCCATTTCTTATAACGAATTCATTCAAACTATGTGTTAAGGGGAAGAAGATAAGTAATCATAGTTCTTGCCCAGAAGGAGTAAGAACAGGAGTAAGAACGAAATGCTATGGACTCAGTACATATGTGTAAAGGCCATTAGCTCTATAACAATTTTAAGGTGAGGCAGGAGCTTCATTCGATTCTACAGGTTTGAGCCTTTTTATGTTTCAGTGTAAGATGTTTATTTTATGTAAGTCAATGTGTGATAATGTTAAATCCATGCAAGGAAGACACAGGCAGCTCAGTGGTTGGCTTTGGGGAGCAAAGGATGAAAGGAAAGCTGCTGTGCAGGCTGGAAGGGAGAGGACAGGGGATTTTTCTTAGGAATCTTGGAAATTTTCTCAAGCTTCTTGGCTGCTCTGAGGAAGTAGTTTGACCTTTGCCTGGCTGCTCAGTATTGGAATGAGATCCTGAGAGGTGAAGCCAGCTGGACTTCCTGGGTCGAGTGGGGACTTGGAGAACTTTTCTGTCTTACAAGAGGTTTGTAAAACGCACCAATTAGTGCTCTGTAGCTAACTAGAGGTTTGTAAAATGCACCAATCAGCACTCTGTAGCTAGCTAGAGGTTTGTAAAATGCACCAATCAGTGCTCTGTAAAATGGACCAGTCAGCACTCTGTAAAATGGACCAATCAACAGGACATGAGTGGGGACAAATAAGGGAATAAAAGCTGGCCACCCCAGCCAGCAGGGCAACCTGCTTGGGTCCCCTCCCACACTGTGGAAGCTTTGTTCTTTCACTCTTCACAATAAATCTTGCTGCTTCTCATTCTTTGGGTCCGTGCCATATTTAAGAGCTGTGACACTCACCGCAAAGGTCCGTGGCTCCATTCTTGAAATCAGCGAGACCACGGACCCACTGGAAGGAACCAGCTCCAGACACAGTCCCATCCTAGAGACTCCTCTCTTGCAAAAGGCTTGGAATATTTTGTTTCTAGTTTTTGTTTCTATATTCTTTCCAGTGAAAAAGTATCTGGCAGAGTGTGGTGGTTCACACCTGTAATTCTAGCCATGTTGGAGGCTGAGGTGGGAGGATTGTTTTAGCCCAGGATTTCAAGACTGCAGTGAGCTGTGATTACTGCTACTGCACTCCAGCCTGGGGGACAGAGAAATACCCTATCTCAAAAAAAAAAAAAAAAAAAAGCAATTAAGAAAACACTTTAACATTAACATTGTATACTTAGTTTAAACATTGCATTTAGGCCAGGCATGGTGGCTCACGCCTGTTATCCTAGAATTTTGGGAGGCTGAGACAGGTGGATTGCTTGAGGCCAGGAGTTCAAAAACAGCCTGGCCAACATGGTGAAACCCCGTTTTTACTAAAAATACAAAAAAATTAGCTGAGTGTAGTGGCAGTCACCTGTAATCCTAGCTACTCGGGAGGCTGAGGCTGGAGAATTGCTTGGACCCGGGAGGCAGAGGTTGCAGCGAGCTGAGATTGCGCCACTGCACTCCAGCCTGGGCAACAAGAGTGAAACTCCGTCTCAAAAAACAAACAAAACCCATTACATTTAATATTTAACATTAACATTATGTATTATCAGTCTATCAAACATTAAAATGATTAACAAATCCATGCCACGTCAGTACTAACACACTTAACTTGCACAGATGTAGACGGAATACAATTTGTTGGAAGCAACTTAGAATAGGAATTCAGCCTCCTGCTGCCACCAGACATCCCCAGGGCTCTGTGAGGACAAGGGATTGTTTTGGGTTCAAGGCAAGGTAAACCACAACACATTGAGCAGGGACCAGTCACCACTTGGAGGAGATGATACATATCTTTTTCTAGAAGTTTGTTTTTTTCCATTATATGATTTAAAGAAAAGGCAGCCACAGTTCATATGGTGTTAGAGAATCTTGAAAAAACAAATTCACATTCTTTTCTCTCCACTTGATCAACAACTGTGTAATTCTAAATTCCTGGGAGGCGTTGGGTTTGACTTTATTGGATTCAGCCCATAGTCTGAAATGAGGTGGTTTCTTTATTTGATAAGTTCCCCAGCTGAAGTTTCAGCAACTGTTCTTAAGGAAATGTTATCTCTTTATCGTAAGAAAAGCTTTTCGTACCAAATTTTCAGTGTTCTGGTTGTTCCAAAATAGTAGGAATGGAAATGTTGGCTGTCAGAAAGTCTCTTCCTCTATTGGTGGAAAAGAAAAATAGCCTATCTGAATCATGAGAGGGATCGTAGAGATTTCCCATTCCAAAGTCCCTTCCTTTTTCAGACGAGGAAACTGAGGCCCAGGAATGTTAACTGAAACAATACCGAGGGCTTGCCCTGCACTTAGGGTGGGAATGAGATCCCTGGGTTTTTAGTGAATGGAATGGGATTCTTCAAACATCCTAGCCTGCTTATAAATTGCACGTTAACTCCCTGATGATGTGGAGAGGCTGTGAGCTTGACTGAGCGTTACTGTTCACAAGTGTATCTTTTTACCTAAGGATTAGGAACTGTGTGCTGACTTAGCCCAGGTGAGCTTTGATTTTGCCCCAGGTCAACATCGGAAACCACGTCTTTTATAGGAAAGGAACAGGAAAATCCAGTATGAGATTTCACATACATATTTATTCTCCTGATAAGACTCCAGGTTCCTGGTGCAGTTGCTTTCGCTTCCCTGTTAATGATTTGGTCGTGTTACCTCTCCTTTGTGATGTAGGTTTTTCTGAAATGATGTAAATAATGGTCTAAATCATCTTCCTTACTCAGTCAATAAATATTTGGCTCTAGTCTGTATTATTTTCTTTTTGCTGTTTAACATATAACTCTTTGTTGGTTATTTTTTTTTCTGAGTGAATTTCACACCACCCCTAAGTGAAAGCTACATGAAGGCATCAAACCTAGCTTAGTGTTTTCACATCATTAATTCTAAGTAACATTTCTGAAGCTACTTGAAAAACTAAAATTTTATAAGGTGAGCTACTGAAAAGTCATTACATCAAGGCTTTAATGTATTGTCTTGGTAATGATAAATTTCCATGTGTCAGAATTGCACAGAGCACTATAGAATTCCTACAGCCACACAGGTTCCTCTTTCCCAGGGATTTCTGTGTACAGGTCAAACCTCTATAAAATAAAGCTGTCAAAAGACAAAATTACAACCACTTTAAAGATCGAACTGCCTTTTATGTGTGATGCTAGAATGGGGCAGCGCCTCCTTCTACACGGTAGAGTGAGTGTTCTGATGGGCGGAGCACAGGAGGTTTGCTTTATAGGCAGAAAAAGGCTGAAGAGAGCAAAAATAGGGGACAAAAAGTGGATTGATCATTTCAAATTTACTTTCCCTACAGATGGTTAAAACAGAGGGGAACTTCCTTGTCACTCAGGCTCTGGTACACTAGGCTCCTTTTGCCTGGTTGTTGTATAGCTTCTGTTTTGGGAAAACAGGCCTGTTTCAGACCTGCTAATTTTTGTATTTTTAGTAGAGACAGCGTTTTACCATGTTGGCCAGAGTTCATTCAGATCTCATGGCAATTAGCCTTACTGACTCCATACTGGTCACTCAGGCTAATTGCTGGGGCCCAGAGTCGGAGCTCAGTCCAAACAACAGCCTGCCATAACTGTGTTTAGCAGAGGTTGCCATTCCTTTCTTGGTCCCTTTTGTCTTAGAATCAATTGTCTGAATTACCAGGTATTGTCATCTCCAAGGGAGGATCTGTCTTGGAAATTTCTAGCTAGTTCCCTTTTCCTAATAGTGGACACGTGTGTTCCCAAAAGGAATGACTATGAATGGGCCAGTGTTTCATGGACCATGTCCTCCAAAACTCCTGTGTATTTACTTACAGACGATGGGCCGGAACAAGTGGGAAACACTGCCTTTGGCTTGATTCCATCCAGTCCATAGGATGACATTGTGTGGCCACTGGTCTTAATGCCCAGGCAATATTTTCCCTCTGTAGCTATGCCTTTAAGACAGAAAACTAAAAGGCTTAAAACCACTAGACAATTCCAGGAGGAGGCTACTTTCTTTGTTGTGCTTCTGTTGTTGACACTTCTGTTCTCAAGGTTAATTACATATTTGGTTAACTGATTTAATTAGTTAATTGGTTTGCTGGGCCTGCCTCCTTGGTAAGAATTCAAATGCAAATTCACACTGGGATATGCCCTTTCATTGTTAGTGGCCTATAACCAAGACACACACACACACTACTTAATTATAAGTGTTTGTTTTGGGGAATTTGCTACTTGTTCTCTGAAGCAGATTTTCTTTTACACGAGGAGAGCAAATGCCAGTTTACTGCCAATTCCAGAAGTCTGCTCTATTGCAGCAAAGAAGGAGATGGGAATGGCAGTGTCTAGAAGCATGAGACGTCTCTGACGTCTGCTCTGATCCTCCCAGTGCCTGGTGGGTTCTGGGGCCAGAACTGGGCACGGTGACTCAAAATGTGAAGATGTCCTCCTTCTGGGGTGTGTCGTGTGTCCTCTCTACCTCAGCAGAGAAAACAAGAAAATGAAACGGGATTCAGAGTGTCAATTCTAAACGTTAACACTTTCTGAATAATCAATAAAAAACGAATTCTGGCCGGGCATGGTGGCTCACATTTGTAATCCTAGTGCTTTGGAGGCTGAGGCAGGTGGATTGGCTGAGCTCAGGAGTTCAAGACCAGCTTGGGTAACATGGCAAAACCCTGTCTCTACTAAAAATAACCAAAAAAAAAAAAAAAAATTAGCCAATTGTGGTGGCACACGCCTGTAATCCCAGCTACTCAGGAGGCTAAGGCACAACAATTGCTTGAACCTGGGAGGTGGACGTTGCAGTGAGCCGAGATCACGCCACTGCACTGCAGCCTGGGTGACAGAGCGAGACTTCGTCACAAAAAAAAAAAAAAAAAGAATTCTGTCTGGGTTGCTGGTGGAATAAGAAAAAGCAGAGGCTGGTCATGGTGGCTCATGCCTGTAATCCCAGCACTTTGGGAGGCCGAGGCAGGTGGATCATGAGGTCAGGAGATCGAGACCATCCTGGCTAACACAGTGAAACCCCGTCTCTACTAAAAATACAAAAAATTAGCCGGGCGTTATGGTGGGCACCTGTAGTCCCAGCTACTCGGGAGGCTGAGGCAGGAGAATGGCGTGAACCTGGGAGGTAGAGCTTGCAGTGAGCCGAGATCGTGCCACTGCACTCCCTCCTGGGAGACAGAGGGAGACTCTGTGTCAAAAAAAAAAAAAAGTAAAAGCAGAAAAGGTGTTTCACTTAGGTTTTACGGTATTAGATTAATTCTCTAATCATTTCTAGTCCTTTCTATTTTCAGTCTGCCTGATTGAAAACAGAAAAATCAGGCTGGGTGTAGTGGCTCATGCCTGTAGTCCCAACACTTTGGGAGGCAGAGGCGGGTGGATCACTTGAGGTCAGAAGTTCAAGACCACCTGGCCAACATGGTGAAACGCCATCTCTACTAAAAACACAAACAATTAGCTGCGCATGATGGCCCTTACCTGTAATCCCAGCAACTTGGGAGTCTGAGGCAGGAGGATTGCTTGAACCCGGGAGGTGAAGGTTGCACTGAGCTGAGATTGATCTTGCCATTGCACTCCAGCCTGGGCGACAGAGCGGGACTTCATCTCAAAAAAAAAAAAAAAAATTATATTTTTCACAGATGACTTTATTGATGTCGAGCAAATTATTAGCCTCTCTCTTTTTTTTTTTTTTTTTAGGGCTAGTCAAGTGCAGTAGTGAGAAGGAGGGAAAGAGTAGAACCAGGAGTTCAATCTGTAACTGACTGAATAATCAATTGAGATAACTCACTACCTTCAGGCCAGTCTATCAGCCTACTTTGTTTGGCATCTGGAAGATCAGAGTTTGGAGAAGAAATGCTCCAGGGTCCTCAGTCCTTGATGAGTTGTACTCATAATAGAGTGAGTTGAGGGTTGCTCTTGCCATGTGTGTTTGCTTGTGTGGTTCTGAGAAATCTGGAAAGAACTTGGCTGATGACTTTAAAGCTGGTGGTAGATCCTTTTAACTGGAGAATGGAGCCTGTCCATTGTTGGAATGACATTGATTTTTATTTTCTCTTTAATTGTTGAGTTTCTCATTTCTGCTGCAGGGTTAACAAATTTGTAACCTCCTTGGCAGTCTTGCCTGAGATTCTTCTTTCCTCTCATAATTAGAGAGCTTTTTGTAATCTTTCATCAGACTTTCCTTTGAACTAGCTTAATTATGTCTCATTCCAGCTTTATTGATTGGTGTCGCTAATTGATCGTTTTTCTTCCATAATATTGCTTTATGCACTTTAAAAACAATTATAGCTCTTTTTAATTTATTTTTTATTTTGGAGACAGAGTCTTGTTCTGTCGCCCAGGCTGGAGTGCAGTGGTGCGATCTCCGCTCACTGCAACTTCCGCCTCCCAGGTTCAAGCGATTCTCCTGCTTCAGCCTCCCAAGTAGCTAGGATTACAAACACGCGCTACTACACCTGGCTAATTTTTTGTATTTTTAGTAAAGACAGGATTTCTCCATGTTGGTCAGGCTGGTCTTCAACTCCTGATCTCAGGTGATCCACCCTCCTCGGCCTCCCAAAGTGCTGGGATTACAGGCGTAAGCCACCACGCCCAGCCTAATTATAGATCTTTTCATGTCCATCTTCTCCATTGCCAAAATACTCTTTTAAAAAGGTAGAATTATTTTTTAAATTGTAGAAGTCATATCACAGTGGTACCATTTGACCTTTGTTTTTCCTTCTGAATCAGTCTTTATATTGCTCCCTACAAATCATACTTCAAGTGACGTTTCCTTTGGATTTGAGGTTGAAAACCCAAACATGAGACCAACATCCTATAAGCAGTGCGGAAGTCCATGGCAGAAGTTCTCAGGCTGTGTGCTGTGTGTGGAACTCTTGTTCATACATCGCAGTGTCAGAGGCCATTTCCTCTTTTTATAGGGAGGCTTGGGAGAAAGGCGGGTGGCAACACTGTCTCATTGATGACTCATGTTCCTGTGTCTGTGAGCGTTAGGGAGAATGACAGAGCTCTCCGGAACAGCGTCCTCAGGGCCTGCAGCACTACTCAGTGGGGTCTGATTCCTTCTGCTTTTTATAGTGAGGCGTTCATAGAGTGTCACAGCCTTCATGAGGAAACGGGAAATGAGATGGGGGCCCAAGCAGACAGACCAGACTTGGGAGGAAGAAAAGAAAAGAAAAAAAGGAGAAAAATAGAGAGGGGAAAGAGGGTGATTAAAGGCAGATAAAGAAAAGAGATGCATCGAAACAACATTGAGAAAAATGAGAAGTGTATGGAATGGCATTTAAAAGTCACTCTTAGGCCAGGCGCGGTGGCTCACGCCTGTAATCCCAGCACTTTGGGAGGCCGAGGCGGGCAGATCACGAGGTCAACAGATGGAGACCATCCTGGCTAACACAGTGAAACCCCATCTCTACTAAAAAAAAAAAAAAAAAAGAAAATACAAAAAAATTAGCCAGGCGTGGTGGCGGGCACCTGTAGTCCCAGCTACTCGGGAGGCTGAGGCAGGAGAATGGCGTGAACCCAGGAAGTGGAGCTTGCGGTGAGTGCCACTGCACTCCAGCCTGGGCGACAGAGTGAGACTCCATCTCAAAAAAAAAAAAAAAAAGAAAAGAAAAGAAATGCATAGAAACAACATTGAGAAAAATGAGAAGTGTATGGAATGGCATTTAAAAAGTCACTGTTAGGCCAGGCGTGGTGGCTCATGCCTGTAATCCCAGCACTTTGGGAGGCCGAGGCAGGCGGATCACAAGGTCAGGGCTTTGAGACCAGCCTGGCCAATATGGTGAAACCCATCTCTACTAAAAATACAAAAATTAGCTGAGTGTGGTGGCACGCGCCTGTAGTCCCAGCTCCTCAGGAGGCTGAGGCAGAAGAATCACTGGAACCCGGGAGGTGGAGGTTGCAGTGAGCTGAGATCCCGCCACTGCACTCCAGACTGGGTGACAGAGCGAGCCTCCATCCCCCCCCCGAAAAAAAAAAAAGTCACTCTTGTTATGATTATTCCTGCCTTTGAATTGATGGAAAGGAAATGGTTTGGTGTCCAACTCTCAAACACTCTAGCTGTGAACGTATGGGCCTAAACTTGTCCTGTGTGAAAGACGTGTAAATCATTTGGTGTCTGTTCCTTACATCTTGGCAAAGGTTATCTCCTAGGCTCTGTGCAGTGGGGTCTGATATGTGGAAGAGGAGGTAGGGGGAAGAGAGGAGGGTAGAGGAGCCCCAGGCAGGAAGCGGTGGGGGGGTGGGGGCTGCTGGGAAGCCTCCCCTCCAGAAGAGCCAGCGGCCTGGTGAGGCACAGCCCAGCCTCAGGTGTGAGTGTCTTGGATGGTGAGGAATAGAGTGTAGCTGGACCAGGATGCAGGATGGATGAGGCTGCCAGGGTCACCGGAGAGAGGCAGTCATATAGCTTAAGCTTTTGTTGGCTGCACTTTAGTTAACTAAACAACCAGGGGAGCATGGATTTCATGCCAATTAGCAAATATTCCCATGCTGGTTTTTCACCCTGTGAAATTATTAACATCAGGTGTAACCGTTGTGGCTCACTGGAACCCAGTCACCTCTTTTGATGAGAGGATTTTTGTTTTCTTGCCCTTATCTAACATTCACATACTCAGTGTCAACTATCAACTAACATTAACATTGACCTTGGAGGCCAGTGAAGTCAGAGATGAAGACCGAAACTGAGGTTACACATGCTCTTGGTTTCACCATCTGCAGAAATATCAGGAGAAATAATAGGGGTATTCATCCCAATGGACAGCCAGGCCTCTCCTAGCACCTTCTGTTTGCCTCGCCTTATGCCCCCAGCACTCTGCTTGGTCCTACAGCTCTGCCTACTGTGGCCACTAGCAACAGAGATGATCACAGCAGCCCTCGGTGTGCTCACCGTGCGCCAGACACTGCGCTAAGTGCCGAAT
This sequence comes from Homo sapiens, assembly GCF_000001405.40. Lineage (NCBI taxonomy): Eukaryota > Metazoa > Chordata > Mammalia > Primates > Hominidae > Homo > Homo sapiens. The sequence goes on from NC_000005.10 coordinate 17,120,801, forward strand.
GCGTGTCAGGTCATGCAATTCTCCAAACTCTAAGGTCCTTTTTGTCATATTATTTATATTTTACAAATGAGTACACTGATGGACAGGTTAAAATGGCCCAGGGTCACACTCTGTTAAATAGCACAAAAGAGACACGAGATTGGAGAAATGATGCCTAACAAGACAGATTCCGTCTTTGCCCTCCCCACAGCAGAAAAGGAGTTGCTCATATTTGACTGTGGTGTGAGACTCAGTCAGATGGGGTTTAGACTAGAGGCAGAGAGTCGAGAAGAAACCCTTTAGTAATGGGGTGAGGAATGATGGATCCCTGAACTAAGGTGATAGCAAAGAGAATGGAGAGAAGGTGGATTTGAAAGTGAGTAAACACTTTGGGAGGCCAAGGCGGTGGATCACCTGAGGTCAGGAGTTTGAGACCAGCCTGGCCAACATGGTGAAACCCTGTCTCTACTAAAAATACAAAAATTAGGCCGGGCACGGTGGCTCACGCCTGTAATCCCAGCACTTTGGGAGGCCGAGGCTGGTGAATCACGAGGTCAAGAGATCGAGAACATCCTGGCTAACACGGTGAAACCCCGTCTCTACTAAAAACACAAAAAATTAGCTGGGCATGGTGGCAGATGCCTGTAGTCCCAGCTACTTGGGAGGCTGAGGCAGGAGAATGGCGTGAACCCGGGAGACGGAGCTTGCGGTGGGCCGAGATAGCACCACTGCACTCCAGCCTGGGTGACAGAGTGAAACTCCGTCTCCAAATAAATAAATAAATAAATAAATAAATAAATATTAGCTGGGCGTGGTGGTGGGTACCTGTAATCCCAGCTACTCGGGAGGCTGAGGCAGGAGAACTGCTTGAACCTGGGAGGCAGAGGTTGCAGTAAGCTGTCACGCCATTGTACTCCAGCCTGGGCAACAGAGTGACTCTCTGTCTCAAAAAAAAACCAAAAACCAAAAAACAGTCAGTAAAGAAGTGGGGCTCATAGACATAGTGACTAACCAGAAGTCAGGGATTCGGGCCTGGGCTCCTGGGCTGGGAGTGAGAGGGTTCTGGCCTGTTCCTTCCCTTGGCAAATGGCACCACCCTTTCCTGCAGCCCTCCTGTATCTTGTGTTTATACCTGGAAGTGTGGCTTTAGCCAGTGGAGCCAGAAGTCTGGTAAATGTCTGTGAAACACAGAAGAGCCGAGGTAGCCCTGAGTCGTGGATGCCATTGGTGCCTTACCCAGACTGTCTTTGCTGGGGGCCCCTGTCTCAGCTGCTGGGTCATTTGAGAGGCCTTTTCTGGAAAAATGTTCTTGACTCACAGGAGCCCCCCTGCCTGGAGACAGCTGAGTAGGTACCTCAGGATGCCCCCATTTACCCCACCACATACACACTGGGGACTGGCCAGTCAACTAGCAGATACGGAGCCAGAAAGACTGGGATCCCTTACTTCAAGGCCAGGTAGCTCTGTGGTTTGATTGATTGCACTGTCACCTCCTCCCTGTCCGTGGACCAGGCTATGACAGGGCTTTCCCAGAGATCACATCCTGCTTCCCGGCTTCCTCATCCTGGTCACCCTTCTCTCACTCCCTCTTAGGGGCTGAATTATGTCTTCTGCCCCCAGTTCATATGCTGAAGGCCTAACCCCCAGTACCTCAAAATGTGACCGTATTAGCAGATGGGACCTTTTAAGAGGTCACTAAGTCAAAATGAGGCTGTTAGGATGGGCCATAACTCAATGTGACTGGTGTCCCTATAAGAAGAGGAAATGTGGACACACAGGCCAGAGATGCTCACGCACAGAGGAAAGACCATGTGAGGATGCAGTGAGAAGGGGGCTGTCTACAAGCCAAGGAGAGAGGCCTCAGGAGAAACCAAACCTACTGACAGGCTGATCTTGAACATCTACCCTGTAGAACTGTGAGAAAATTAACTCCTTTTTTATTTTATTTATTTATTTATTTATTTAGAGACAGAGTCTTGCTCTGTTGCCCAGGCTGGAGTGCAGTGGCGGTATCTCGGCTCACTGCAAGCTCTGCCTCCTGGGTTCATGCCAGTCTCAGCCTCCCAAGTAGCTGGGACTACAGGCGCCTGCCGCCACTCCCGGCTAATTTTTTTTTTTTTTTTTTTGTAGAGACAGGGTTTCACCGTGTTAGCCAGGATGGCCTCTATCTCCTGATCTCGTGATCCGCCCACCTCAGCCTCCCAAAGTGCTGGGATTACAGGCTTGAGCCACCACGCTCAGCCGAGAAAATTAACTTCTGCTGTTGAAGCCTCTTTTAGTCTGTGGCAACCCTAGCAAATTAGCAGACTCCCTCACATGTTTTTCCTGAAGCGCATTCCTTCAATAAGCCAAAAGCACCAGGATCCTGGTCTCACACGCTGCTTCTAGGGAACTTGACCAAAGACACAAAGGCACTATGGAAACAATGTTCAGATTGTATTCCAAGTGTGCCAGCTCTTTGCTGATTATTTCATTAACTTGTTAGTAGAGAGTTAAGACCCAGGCAGCAGAGAGGCTCCCAAGGGCTTCCAAGGACAGTGTGTTCTGTGGACAGTCCAGGCTTTAGAAGCGGGGGAGTCCCCAAGTTTCATCTGGGAATGGAGCCTCCCTCTTTTCCCCAGTCATTTGGCCTTCTACATCTTAAAGAAGTCTATGTTAAAATAAGTTATAATGTACGCATAAATTAATTTGTTGCTGGTTAAAATCAGAAAGACATTCAATCTTGATAAAAAATAATTTCAATCTATCAGAACATGAACTTCTTTTTTTTTTTTTCCTGTTGGCAAATGCTTTTGATTTGTTTGTACCTTTTGGCTACATACATAGCAGATAAATAAAGGGGCAAAGTGGGTTAGAAAAATCTCAGGACTGGGAATTGAGAGGCCCAGGATCAAGTTCTGCTGTATAAGTCTGTTTTCACACTGCTATAAAGATACTACCTGAGACTGGGTAATGTTTAAAAAAAAGAGGTTTAATTGACTCACAGTTCCACATGGCTGGGGAGGCCTCAGGAAACTTACAATCATGGCAGAAGGCTAAGGGGAAGCAAGGCATGTGTTATCACGGCAGCAGGAGAGAAAGAGAGAGAGTGAAGGGGGAAGTGCCACACTTTTAAACCATCAGACCTCATGAGAACTCACTATCACGAGAACAGCAAGGGGGATGTCCGCCCTCATGATCCAGTCACCTCCCACCAGGCCCCTCCCCTGACACATGGGGATTACAATTCAACATGAGATTTGGGTGGGGACACAGAGCCCAACCACATCATCTGCTTCAACCAGTTGTCTGATTTTAGACCTTCTATTATTCTTGGCTTGGCTTCAGGTTTTTTAAAACAACTCTCCCTTTCCACAAAAACAAAAACACAAAAACAAACAAAAAACCACACACAAAAAAAGGAGTCCAAAATGCTCTCCAAATCTTATTTCCTTCTAAGGTTCTAATTATTCCGACAATCCTGGATATTTCAGTCAAAGGTGTTCCAGCTTCTCGGGTTGCTCCAATCAGAACCTTCTCACCTCTCTGCAGTTTGCAGGTGGATCTCAACCCACCCTTTGTGCCAGTTTTCATTAGTAAACTTCAACACCCTTTACCTCTCTGTCCTCAATTCCCCCAGTAGGCTCTGCATGTCAAATAAACCTCTCCAAATAGATTTGGAGTCTGGCTCCGTAGCATTTATTGAAAACCCATTATGTCCTGTTTACTTATTCTGCAATCGGAGCCTGCACATTTCTGATACACTAATGGGAAAGTTCTGGCCAAAGAGGAGGCGATTGTTCTGGCTCTGTCCTGTCCCGTGATATCAAACGTTCATCTGTGGAACGCATCTGAAACCTTTTGTCCTCTAGTGGCTACAGTGGTTAACCTTGAGAGAGAGAGAGAGACAGAGAATGTGTGTTGTGTTGGGGGAGGGTTTTTGGCAGGGGAAGGCATTGATTTTATTAGCTTAGGACAACTTACGCTGTGTATTCAAGGAACTGTCAAAATCCCAAAAGTGTACTGTCTAGTGTATAGTTTTCTTTCCCTTTCTTTCTTTCTTTCTTTCTTTCTTTCTTTCTTTCTTTCTTTCTTTCTTTCTTTCTTTCTTTCTCTCTCTCTCTCTCTTTCTTCCTTCCTTCCTTCCTCTTCCTTCCTTCCTTTGTTCCTTCGTTCCTTCCTTCCTTTCTCCTTCCTTCCTTCTTTTCTTTCTTTCTTTCCTCTCTTTGTTTTTTTGAGACGGAGTCTCCCGCTGTCGCCTGGGCTGGAGTGCAATGGTGTGATCTCGGCTCACTGCAACCTCCGCCTCCTGGATTCAAGTGATTCTCCTGCCTCAGCCTCCTGAGGAGCTGGGACTATAGGCGTGTGCTACCACACTCAGCTATTTTTTTGTATTTTTAGTAGAGACGGGGTTTTACTATGTTGGCCAGACTGGTCTCAAACTCCTGACCTTGTGATCCACCCGCCTCGGCCTCCCAAAGTGCTGGTATTACAGGCGTGAGCCACTGAGCCCGGCCAGTTTATTTTCTTAGGCCTCTGCTGACAGTGAACTGACCGATACCATGAAGTTCCTGAAATATTGCAAGAAAGAAGTCTTCTCATCTTTTCCTGGCACAGCAGATTCTTTATACCTCTCTAAAAGCTGCCCAGGGATTCCCATTCAAAGCCTCTTGAGATGGAAAAGATGCACTGATTTTTTTTTTTGAGACAGAGTCTCGCTCTGTCACCCAGGCTGGAGTGCAGTGGCATGATCTCAGCTCACTGCAACCTCTGCCTCCCGGGTTCAAGCGATTCTCCTGTCTCAGCCTCCTGAGTAGCTGGGATTACAGGTGCCCACGACCACACCTGGCTAATTTTTATGTTTTCAGTAGAGACGGGTTTCACCATGTTGGCCAGGATGGTCTTGATCTCTTGACCTCATGATTCACCTGTCTCGGCCTCCCGAAGTGCTGGGATTACAGGTGTGAGCCACTGCACCCGGCGATTTTTTTTTTTATGCACATGACACTGGAGAAATCAGAGAGAATTTTCCAGAAGTAGGGACTTCTTGCCAGAGATCAATAACCCCTAAAAGGTAAATTCTTTGAGGATACATCCATGCCTTATTTATTTTTGTATTACTGCAATATTGGACCATGCCTGATACATAGCAAGTCTTGAATAAATAACAGGATGAGTAATGAAATGTGGCGCTAAGACTCAAACTCTGGTTTGTCCAGTGAACAGAGCAATATTAATCTGGCATCTCACAACAGGTAGTAGGTTAATCGTTTGTTCCCCCGGAAGACACAAACTTGGTGCATCTTATTTGTAACCAGCACGTAGACAGCCCCAGGCACAGAATTGGACAATAATAAACTGTCTGTTGGATAAATGTATCAATGAATGAATAAATGCATAGGATGTAAAACTTTCACCTCATTAAGTGAATATTAATGAATTGAAAAAGCAATGTGTGCACCTATGTTGTTAGACCCTACAAAATAACCTAACCAGATTCTTTTTCTTTTTTTTTTGTTTTGAGACTGAGTCTCACTGTGTCACCCAGGCTGGAGTGCAGTGGCACGATCTTGGCTCATTGCAATCTCCACCTCCTGGGTTCAAGCGATTCTCCTGCGTCAGCCTGCTGAGTAGCTGGGATTACATGCCGGGCTAATTTTTGTATTTTTTAGTAGAGACAGGGTTTCACCATGTTGGCCAGGCTGGTCTCAAACTCCTCACCTTGTGATCCGTCTGCCTCGGCCTCCCAAAGTGCTGAGATTACAGGCGTGAGCCACTGTGCCCGGTCCCAGATTTCGTTTTTAAAAAATCTATGAACTTCCTGGGGTGAAGAAGCAAATACCAACATCTCATCTGACTTTCATTCTGCCACTGAATGGACCTCACAACCCTGACTCCACAGTCAACAGGAAGATAATTTGCCACCCACCTCCTGGAACCATAGCTGTTCCTCTAGAAATGAAGATGGATTCACAGATACGATTACACGTAGGTGAAGTTCTGGAACAGGTAAAACTAATTGATGGTGACAGAAATCGCAACAGTGGTTTCCTTCTTGGTAGAACTCATTGGAAAGGGGCACGAGGGAACTTTCTGGGGTGTTGAAACGTTGTTTAACTTAATTTGGGTGGTGGTTTACATATGTGTATACAATTGTCAAACCCCCTTGAATCACAAAGATCTCTACATTTCATAATATTTAAATTATACTTCAATTAAATTAGTGGACAGTGCTGAGATGAGCACGATAAAGCCCATTTCTTTCCAAACACACTTGTTCCCTGTTACATATTAATTTATGCCTGACCCAATGCCCAGTGAGCTCCCCTTCACAATGGCACCGATGTAGAGGGATGACAAATTCTCAGGTTGGTTTAGATTACAACAGTGGGCAGAATAAATGTTATTTCTCCAAAAAAAGTGATGGGCTTGGACCTTGCCTCAAGTTATGGACCTCAATCTTTCACAGACCTCAATCTCTCAGAAATCCAAGGCCCAGATGAATCACGGCATTTTTCCTAAGGCCACACAGTCAACCAGTAGTACAGCTGGGTCTAAAACTTAGACCAGCTCCCTTTCCCCTTCCCTACATTTAGTCTTTCTCCTCTCCTCTCCTCTCCTTTCTCTCTTTCTCTTTCTCTCTCTCTTTCTTTCTTTCTTCTCCCTCCCTCCCTCTCTTCCTTCCTTCTCTCTCTTTGTCTGTCTCTCTCTCTCTTTTAGATGAAGTCTTACTCTGTTGCCCAGGCTGGAGTGCAGTGGCACAATCTTGGTTCACTGCAACCTCTGTCTCCCGAGGTCAAGTGATTCTCTTGCCTCAACCTCCCAAGTAGCTGGGATTACAGGTGTGCACTGCCACGCCTGGCTAATTTTTGTATTTTTAGTAGAGACGGGGGTCTCAACATGCTGGCCAGGCTGGTCTCGAACTCTTGACCTCAAGTGATCTGCCTGCCTCGGCCTCCCAAAGTGCTGGGATTATAGGCGTGAGCCACTGTGCCAGGCCAAGTCCAGTTTTCTTTCCATCGTAGTATGTGGAGTAGAAAAGAGACTTCCCTCAGACCAACCTTTGTTCCCAACCTTGATCTATCAGGTATTACCTGTATGAACTCAAAATAATGTACGTACTGCCCCATGCCTCAGTCTCCACATCTATAAAATGGAGATACTGTGTTTACCTGTGGTTGAGACTAAATGAAATAAAGTCTGTCAATACCAGGTGCTTACTGACTGGCGGCCCCTTCTCCTTCTGGCCCTATTCATTGCTAATTCTCCTGCCCGGCCTCTTCCTTTGAATGCTTTTCATGACTAATTCTCCATATTTCCTCCCTATACTCAGCCCCTTGGTATGTTTATTCGCAAGGTTATAATACGATGAATCAGCTCTTTAAATAAATATTTTTCTTCGTGAGAATTAATAACCCTAAGTGTTTAAGGCGAGTTTTTAAAAATTCCCTAAGTCTCTTTTTCCCCATCCCCAGCAAACTCTTGATCCAATAAGAAAACAAACCTCATAAATAGGATAAACTGCAGCATATTGCAAAGAAACCGGATACTTTTTTTTTTTAAAGAAAATACGTGAAAAGGTAAAAAGACTTCAACTTCTCGTAGACTTTCTGTCATCTTTGGCAAATTATATTACTTTCCTGTGCCTATTTAAGAACCTCTCAAAATAAAAATGGCTGTTTCTCTTGCAAAGTTGTGAAACGAAGTAGAAATAATTAGTACTTTATCTAAATACATTTTAGGACATTTGAGGTCCTAGCATCAGACTCTCATCTGGTTCCTCAGATCACCCTGAGGACATTTCAATACTGAGGGTCTGAAATTTGAAGGGGACAAATGAGTGCTTTGCTGCTTGGACCAGTGACACATTCATTTTGTTGCCTTGTCCCATCAGAAACCCCTTCTCTTCTGCTGTGCACCACTATGTTTTTGCCTCTCTCCTGGTCAGTTCCAACGCTGGCAACAGCTCCTGAGAGAGTTGACCAGGCAACTATTAAGTACAAGTGGGCCGGGTGCAGTGGCTCATGCCTGTAATCCCAGCACTCTGGGAGGCTGAGGCAGGAGGATCACTTGAGCCCAGGAGTTTGAGACCAGCCTGGGAAACATAGCAAGACCCTGCTCTACAAAAAAATTTAAAAATTAGTTGGGCATCCTGGTGCACGCCTTTAGTCTCAGCTTCTCAGGAGGCTGAGGTGGGAGGATCACTTGAGCCCAGGAGTTGGAGGCTGCAGTGAGTTGAGATTGCACCACTGCCCTCCAGCCTGGGTGACAGAGAGAGACCCTGTCTCCAACAACAACAACAACAACAACAACAACAACAACAACAACAAAGTGATTGATATAGCCACTGCCTTCTCTTCTCACCATGCAAAGCCTAGACATTGCCAAGAAGTGCGTGGTCATGACGCAAGTCCAGCAAGCACTATGTCTGGCAGAGAAAGCCACCCAAGAGTCACCCCTCCTGTGACCCCTGAGAATCCTCAGTGTTGGCTGCTGTCATGGCTCTGACCCACAATGATCTGATTTGCTGAGTAAAGATGGGGCTTAGAGAACGTGCAGCATTCCGGCAGCAGGCACATCGATGGCTGCTGGTTTTTATTTCGTGATAGAGCCTACTGGCTCTTAGAAGGCCAACACTGCACACAGGAAGACACAAAACAAACACACTCATCAAATCCTTGCTAGTCAGGCTGAGCTGAAAAACAAACTTCGAATTTTCTCCCTTAAACGGGACTGAACTTGACTGGGGCACTTGAACGTTTCCTTGGAAATGTCAAACAGCAAAACTCCGTTCTTTCTGGGTACATCTTTTAAACTCTGTCCCTCCGGGGAAGACCTTGGAGATTTATGCTACTCATACACTTAGGCTTAAAAAAAAAAAATCACATCCTGTAGATTCTAGCTGAGGTTCTCAGTTTAGTCTTTAGCACAGTTTTTTCTTTAATCACATGGGAAGAGAATTTGGCTTAAGGGCTCCGTTTTTCCAGGAAGACACAATAATTATTGGGCTGTGCGTAGCACAAACTGAGTCTCGGGTTGAAGCTGGTATTGAGATGAGCTTTAGAAATTCTATATCCAACATAATTTTATATATTTGCTTTAGTTCGCATAGCAAGGAAATGGTATTTGGTAAGGAGTTCAGTTCACAGAGCCACGTGATGGCTGACTAGGGGGTCAAAGCTGGAGCTCCAGTTTTCCAGTTTGGTGTCTTTTGCACAGAGCACAGATTTTGTATTTTAAGCAATTGTGCCTTTTATTTTTATTTTTTTAGAGGCAGGGTCTCACTCTGTCACTCAGGCTGGACTACAGTGGTTTGATCATAGTTCACTGCAGCCTCCAGCTCCTGGGCTCAAGGGCTCTTCCTGCCTCAGCCTCCAAGAGTAGCTGGGATTACTGGCACTTGCCACCATGCTCGGCTAATTTTTTAAATTTTTTTGTAGAGATGGGGTCTGACTACGTTGCCCAGGCTGGTCTCAAACTCCTGGCCTCAAGTGATCTTCCCACCTGGGCCTCCTGTAAGTGCTAGTGTGTCCGGAGTTTGTTCCTTCCGGTGGGTTCTTGGTCTCCCTGACTTCAAGAATGAAGCCACGGACCCTCACGGTGAGTGTTACAGTTCTTAAAGATGGTGTGTCCAGAGTTTGTTCCTTCAGATGTTTAGATGTGTCTGGAGTTTCTTCCTTCCGGTGGGTTTGTGGTTTTGCTGACTACAGGAGTGAAGCCACAGACCTTCGCAGTGAGTGTTATAGCTCTTAAAGGTGGTGTGCCCGGAGTTGTTTGTTCCTCCCTGTGGGTTCGTGGTCTTGCTAACTTAAGGAATGAAGCCACAGACCCTCGTGGTGAGTGTTACAGCTCATAAAGGTAGTGCGGACCCAAAGAGTGAGCAGCAGCAAGATTTATCATGAAGAGTGAAGGAACAAAGCTTCCACAATGTGGAAAGGGACTCAAGCAGGTTGCCCCTGTTGGCTTGGGTGCCAGCTTTTTTTCCCTTATTTGGCCCTGCCTACATCCTGCTGATTGGTCCATTTTACAAAGCACTGATCAGTCCGTTTTACGGAGTGCTGATTGGTGCATTTACAAACCTTCAGCTAGACACAGAGCATTGATTGGTGCGTTTTTACAGAGTGCTGATTGGTGCGTTTACAAACCTTTAGCTAGACACAGAGCTGATTGGTGCATTTATAATCCTCTAGCTAGATAGAAAATTTCTCCAAGACCCCACCCCACTCGACCCAGGAAGTCCAACTGGCTTCACCTCTCACTAGGATTAGAGGTGTGAGCCACCATGCCTGGCCAGCAATTGTGCCTTTTAATCTGCTTTGCTTCCCTAATGCAGATCTTGGTCATGTTTCCTAGATGCCCATTTGACTGCCTTAACTCATGGCCAATAAAGTGGGGTCAGTGTTGAAAGCAAACCAGCAACTCCAATTGTTGCTGGCAGCAACTCCCTGCCCAGCTCTATCCTCCATCTGACTTTGCCTTTCTCCATCTCAGACTCTGGAGGCAGGAAGGCAGGGTAAGGCCAGAGATAGAAAAAGCATAGTTGCTGCTAGGGTAAATGTGGGGCAAGCACGGTTCATCGTAGTTCCCTTATAACAAAGGTAACAGTTGAGGATATTTATTGATTTGGTTCTCAATTGTATTCTCTAGATTAAAAAAATAAAAAGATTTGGTGAAAATCTCTTTCAGTTAGTTCTCTAGAAAACTTTTGGGTTTATGATGAGCAAAAAATAGGTACTTGGTTTCATTTGCACAGGCTTTGCCAAACTTTAATTGAATTCAGAGAGTTCTACAAATTGGGCAATGAATAATAATAATAATAAAAAAAGGCAGCTTCTGGCTTATTGTGGTATTCTGTTTAGCTCTATTAGCTGTCATTAGTAGTGAAGGAATAGAGGAATGGGACCTAACTTTATGGAGTGGCTTAGGTGGAGTTAGGGGAACACTGGGCAGGGTTGAGGACAAAGGAGGAGAATCCTGAAAACGAGCATGTTGCAAAGTCTACTTGCCCTTTAAGAGCTTCCTCTTCCACATTCCCGGAACCTGAGTTCAAAACTTTCTTTTCCTAAGACTTGAGGTTGCATCTCAGGAGGAATATGAGTCTTTCTTCCCAAACCTTTGCTTTATAATCAAATCGACTGAAACCTATAAATAAAGGTTAGTGTGGGTGGAGAGGGTACACTTAGGGAAATTCATTTTCTGGCATCACAGAATTATCTTAAATAATGTATAAGGAACCATTGGCTGTAGAGCTGTTATTGAACAATAACAGCAATATGCTCAGAGCACGATGCTGAGCTATATATGTTAATAACAAAGCTAACAAAAAGAAAGACGGCACTTGGTCCTATTTCATTTGCCAACTGGGAAATGAAATCATCAACATGCTTTATAAGTGGTTGGCTAGTTTTCATCATTTATATGTCAAATTTAAAAAAGGAAAACCGAGTTTTGAAGTATATTTTATAGACATTCTTCAGTAAATTTCACTTTTTACAAAACGGTATAGTTGGTCAGGCATGGTGGCTCACGCCTGTAATTCCAGCACTTTGAGAAGTTGAGGCGGGAGGATCACTTGAGTCCAGGAGTTCAAGACCAGCCTGGGCAATATAGTGACGTCTTCTCTAAAAAAAATAAAAAAATAAAAAATAAAAAGAAGCCAGATGTGGTGGTGCATGCCTGTAGTCCCAGCTACTCAGGAGGTTGAAGTGGGAGGATGGCTTGAGCCTGGGAGGTAGAGGTTGCAGTGAACTGTGATCATGCCACTGCACTCCAGCCTGGGTGACAGAGCAAGACCTTGTCTCAAAACAAAAAACTGTATAGTCAGTTAGTCAAATCTTGGTGTTTGCAGGGAGGGCTTGGTTTAAAACTCATTTTCCCTTGTAAGATATTTGCATATTCTAAATTAAAGATTACTCTGCTGCCTTTTTAGTACTAGGAAAAACAGAAGCCCTCTTGTGGTCAGATTAAAAAATACAAGCTGTGTTCCGTGAATCAGTTTCAGGGCTTAGTTTTAGCTAGACTAAGCCTCACTCAAACTGATTTTTACCAATGTTTTACCATTAGGAAAAATATAACACACATAAAAGAAGCAGTGTTTTAACATATACTCTGAAAGAATTGAGACTCTAAAAAGAAACAGATTAATTTTAACTGTAGCGGAAGCCGAATGACAATCACATCATATAGCTTTTGTAACTGTCCTCTTCCTGCTGTGACTTTATTGTGGGATTTTAAAATTAGGTGTGGCATCATAGTGTGATGATAATTACACAGCTTGGCTCGTTAAGGCCATAAAACATTGTGGATTTGAAAAGCAGTACACTCCTGTAGTTAGAACACAGGGGGCTGGGATCAGAACTGGTTTGGTTTGCACAAAATCAATTATTTCTCTCCTTGTGTCTCCTGCATTTACTTCTGGAGTTAAGAAATGGGTGTTTGGCCAACGCTTCTTTCTTCACTGGGCTCTGAGAAGCCTGTTCTTCGGTTTTCTACTCAAGCTGCTATCTGTAGGCCTGGCTTTGCTAAGCAACTCTTTCTTTTCCTAAAGATCTTTTGTTTTAGGGTATACTTTTCTGTTTTAAGGACATAATTATAGATTTGCAAGAAGTTGCAAAAAAAAAAAAAATGTACAGGGAGATCCAACATACCCGTCACCCAGCCTTGTCTGATGGTCATGTCCATATAACCAGACACATTATAGAAATTAGGAACCTGATATTGGTACAATCCATAGAGATTTAATTGCATTTACTAGCTTTACAAACACTCATTTGTGTGTGTGTGTGTGTGTGTATAAAGTTCTGTGCAATTTTGTCACATGTATACATTCATGTACCTGTAACTACAGTCAGATACAGAATTGTGGCCTGACACAGTAGCTCACATGTGTAATCCCAGCGCTGCAGGAGGCTGAGGCAGGAGGGTCGCTTGAGGCCAGGAGTTTGAGACCAGCCTGGGCAATATAGGGAGACCCTATCTCTACAAAAAAATTAAAAAACTAGTCAGGTGTGATGGCAGCACCTATAGTCCTAGCTGCTCAGGAGGCTAAGGCGGGAGGATCACTTGGGCCTGGGAGATCAAGGCTGCAGTGAGCCATGATCACGCACTCACGCCACTGCACTCCAGCCTGGGTGACAGAGCAAGACCCTGTCTCAGAAAAAGATACAGAATTGTGCCATTAGCCCAGGCTACCCCATTATGTCTACACCCAAGTTCTCTTCCTCCCACTCCTACCTGTGGCAGTCATGAATCTGTTTTCTATCGCTATAGTTCGGTTATTGTAAAATGTTATATAAATGGAATCATAACTTGTTGAGATGGACTTTTTTTTCACTCAGCATAATTCCCTTGAGATCCATTCAAGTTGTTGTCTATTCCATGGTATGGCTAGACCACAGTGTGTCTAACCATTTGCCCACTGAGGGACATTTGGCTTGTTTTCAGTTGTTTAGCTCTTGGGAATAAGAGCTACTATGAATATTCTTTTTTCTTTTTTTTTTGACACAGAGTTTCACTCTTGTTGCCCAGGCTGGAGTGCAATGATGTGATCTTGGCTCACTGCAACCTCCAGCTTCCGAGTTCAAGTGGTTCTCTTGCCTTAGCCCCCCAAGTAGCTGGGATTACAGGCATGTGCCACCATGCCCAGCTAATTTTGTATTTTTAGTAAAGACAGGGTTTCTCCATGTAGGTCAGGCTGGTCTTGAACTCCCGACCTCAGGTGATCCACCCACCTTGGCCTCCCAAAGTGCTGGGATTACAGGTGTGAGCCACTGTGCCCGGCCTGAATATTCTTATACAGGTTTTTGCTAAATTACAAAGTGTTGATAAAATAAATTAAAGAAGACCTAATAACTTTTTTTAAAAAAGAGAACTACATTTCTTCAGCATCAAGTCGTATTAGTTAATCTAAAACTTAGTTTCTTTGATGGGCTGGGCCCAGAGGCTCATGCCTGTAGTCCCAGCACTTTGGGAGGCTGAGGCAGGCCTATCACTTAAGGCCAGGAGTTCAAGGCCAGCCTGGCCATCACGGAGAAATCCAATCTCTACTAAAAATACAAAAATTAGCCAGGTGTGGTGGTGTATGCCTGTGGTCCCAGCTACTCGGGAGGCTGAGGCTTGAGAATCACTTGTACCCTGGAGGCGGAGGTTGCAGTGAGCCGAGATCGAGCCACCGCATTCCAGCCTGGGCAACAGAGTAAGAATCTGTCTCAAAAATAAACAGTACAATAAAATTAAAATAAAATTTAGTTTTGTTTTAATTGGCATGGCAGCCTCCTCATGATGGAAGTCTTCCTGGGCTCTGATCTTAAATCCTTACCCTTTTATTATATGGCAAGATTTATTATCGTTTATTGGTGTGGTTTAAATACTCAGATATGGACAAATAATGTAGAGCTTTTATCCTTGTCATTGTCCCCTTCCCTAAAGTGCTGTCTTAGGAATCAGTGGTTTTCTAGGAGTGAGGTGTGTCCTTATTCAACATGGTCCAACAGGTAGCCACTAGCCACCTGTGGCTATCGAGCCTGCAGCATCTTTGAGATGCGCTGTAAGTGTAAAATACAAACCAGGTTGGAAGTCTTAATATGAAAGAATGTAAAATATGTCACTATATTTTTATATTTGTTACATATTGATATTACTGGCCAGGTACAGTGGCTCACATCTGCAATCTCATCACTTTGGGAGGCCAAGGTGGGAGGATCACTTGAAGTCAGGAGTTGGAGATGAGCCTGGGCAACACTGTGAGACCCTATCTCTAAAAAATATATATAATAAAGAAAATGTATTAACTGGGCCATGGTGGTGGGCTCCTGTGGTCCCATCTACTTAGGAGGCTGAGACAGGACGATTGCTTGAGCCCAGGAGTGAGCTATGATCATGCCACTGCATTCTAGCCTGGATGACAGACAACATCTTGTCTCTAAACAAAACAAACAAAGCAAAAAAAGGAAAAATGAAATTATATTACTCTGGCTATATTGGGTTAAATAAAATATATTATTAAAATTAATTTTATCCAGAAAGAAAGAAAAACAAGAAAAAAGAAAATTTCATCCACTTTTTTTTTTACTTAATGTCACTAGTAGAAAATTAAAATTATGTTATGTGGCTTGTATTACTTTTCCATGAGAAAGTGATGCCCAGTAAGGAAATGAAATTATAGAGCAGCTAAGTGACTTGCCCAGAGTCACACTGTAAATATTTTACGTTATGTGATCTGTTTATGCTTGCTTTTATTCCAATGACTACTAATTGGCCACATGTCAATGTCATTTTCTTAGTCCATTTTGTGCTGCTGTAAGAGAATAGTTGAGACCGGGTAACTTATAAAGAATAGATATTTATTCTCTCACAGTTCTGGAGGCTGGGAAGTCCAGGATTAAGGCACTGGCAGCTTAGGGCCCTGTCTCTCTGCTGCCAAGATGGTGTCTCCAATGCTGCATCCCGTGGAGGGGAGAAACTCCAGGTCCTCACATGGCAGAAAAGCAGAAGAGCGAACCCACGCTCGTGAGCATTATTTATAGTGACATTAATTCATTCATGAGGGCAGAGCCTCAGGACCTACACAACTTCCCACAGGCCCCACCTCCCAACACTGATGCACTGGGGATTCGGTTTCAACATGCGTTTCGGAGGCCATGACTGCCATGGTTTGGAGCCAAAAACAGCCAAACCATAGCAGTCATGACTTTGTGCTCAACTTGGGAAGGCAGGAAGAGATGCTTGTGTTTCTCCTGATGGAACAGTCGTGGATGGTCCACATGATTTTGGATGATGGATTCCATTTCAGGGTGCCACTGACGCTTTCCTTTTGTGTCTCCTGAACGCCATTGATGTATGGCCAACCTGAGGTCTGCTTGCTTTAGTACCTTTGCTCTATACTGATGTCTCAACTGGTACAGATATGCTGACATCGCCTTCTACCTTCCACTTTTCTCTCATATCTATTGTCAGTCTTGAAAGCAGATACTAGAAGCTGTGCTTTTAAAAACATTTCAGAATTTGTATTATGTCCTAAATAAGTCCAGCTAATAATGGCTAACATTGATTCAACATTATGTTAAATAGTGTACCGTGAATTACATAACTTAGTTTTCACAGCAACCCAATAGGTTACCTACTAGCATGGCTCCATTTCATAGATGAGGAAACCGAAGCTTAGAGAGGTTGCAGAAATTGCCCAAGATGCACAGGCAGAAAGGGTGTTAAGTCAATATTCTAGTCCTTGCAATTGAATTCCTGCTCTTGATCATTATTATGTATTGCTTGTTCAGAGGGTGAATTGCTTAATGAGTCCTCTATTCACAATAGAAATTTTATGCAAAGATTAAGTACCTATATCCAAAACATCTCTGCAAAACCCATTAAGCCTAACCACTCACAAATTGCACAGAAATCACACAACATACACCACCTTGAAGGTGTTAGAGTCGATGCTTGGGGCTTATGGGCATTTCTTTTTCTTCTTTTACTTTTTGAGACGGAGTTTCACTCTTGTTGCCCAGGCTGGAGTGCAATGGCGTGATATTGGTTCACTGCAACCTCCGCCTCCTGGGTTCAAGCGATTTTCCTGCCTCAGCCTCCTGAGTAACTGGGATTACAGGCATGTGCCACCACACCTGGCTAATTTTTTGTATTTTTAGTAGAGATGGGGTTTCTGCATGTTGGTCAGGCTGGTCTCGAACCCCTGAGCTCAGGTGATCCGCCCGCCTTGGCCTCCCAAAGTACTGGGATTACAGGCGTGAGCCATCTCACCCAGCCATGGCCATTCCTTTTTTTTTTTTTTCTTTTTTTTGAGACGGAGTCTTGCTCTGTAGCCCAGGCTGGAGTGCAGTGGCGCGATCTCGGCTCACTGCAAGCCCCACCTCCCAGGTTGATGCCATTCTCCTGCCTCAGCCTCCCGAGTAGCTGGGACTACAGGCGCCTGCCACCGCGCCCGGCTAATTTTTTTTATTTTTAGTAGAGACGGGGTTTCACCGTGTTAGCCAGGATGGTCTCGATCTCCTGACCTCGTGATCTGCCCGCATCGGCCTTCCAAAGTGCTGGGACTACAGGTGTGAGCCGCGGCGCCGGGCCCCATTTCTTCAATTCATTTCAGGCTGTATTCTTTTTAGGGGAAGATGTCTGTGCTTACATCCTCCCAGAACAATAACAAAGGGTTTTGCTTCACGATTCTTAAGTTCTAAAATTTCTTTAATTTTTTTTTTTTTGAGATGGAGTCTTGCTCTGTCACCCAGGCTGGAGTGTAGTGGCACAATCTCGGCTCACTGAAACCTCTGCCTCCCGGGTTCAAGTGATTCTTCTGCCTCAGCCTCCTGAGTAGCTGAGATTACAGGCGCCCACCACCATGCCCGGCTAATTTTTGTATTTTTAGTAAAGACAGGGCTTCACCATGTTGCCCAGGCTGGTCTCAAACCCCTGACCTTAGGTGATCTTCCCTTGTCAGCCTCCCAAAGTGCTGGGATTACAGGCGTGAGCCACCGCCTGGCCTAAAGTTTCTTTCATATTATCTGTAATTTATATGCTTACAAAAATGAACATGTATGTATGGAAAACTGGTGTTCCCAGTCCACCATTGGTACAAAAGTCTCGTATATCTTAGAATGATCAGAGTTGAAGGAGACTGGTTCTCTGCTGCAGGGGTTAGCAGACATTTTCTGTAAAGCACCGTAGAGTGAGTATTTCAGACTTTGCAAGCAGTGACATGGTCTTTGTTGCAACTGTTCAACCCTGCCACCGTAGGTTGAAAGCAGCCATAGAAAATAATGAATGGGCATGGGGATGTACAAATAAAACTTTATTTACAAAACTAAGGAGACATAGGAGACATAGTTTGTTTACCCTTGTTTTAGTACAACCCTTTATTTATTTATTTATTTTTTTGAGATGGAGTTTCGCTCTTGTTGCCCAGGCTGGAGTGCAGTGGTAGATCTCAGCTCACTGCAACCTCCGCCTCCCGGGTTCAAGTGATTCTCCTGCCTCAGCCTCCTGAGTAGCTGGGATTACAGGCATGTGCCACCACGCCTGGCTAATTTTGTAATTTTAATAGAGATGAGGTTTCTCCATGTTGGTCAGGCTGGTCTCGAACTCCTGACCTCAGGTGATCCACCTGCCTTGGCCTCCCCCACGGGTGTTAGCCACCGTGCCCGGCCTGTACCACCCTTTTTTTATAGTTCAAGAAAGAGGACTGGATTAATCAGCTTGCCCAATTTAAGCCAAGAGCTTGTTGTAGAACAAGGTCCAGAAAACAGACTTCCTGGCAATCAGCATTTCTTCCTACTATGTATATGAATTCACATTTAAGTTCCTCCCCTGCCTCCCTGTAAAAATTATAAAAATTACAAACATTCAAAAAGATGTAGAAAATAACATAAAAATCAGCTGCATACAGCCATCACTAAGCCTGAGGGAAAAAAAATTACAAATAAAATTGAAGCTTCTTGTGTACCTCGTCCCAATCCCTGCCCTCTCCCCATCCAAGGTAACCATTATCCTGACTTGGACGTTTATTACACCCTTGCCAGGCTTCATCTTTTATAACATGTATATGTCTCCTGAAACAATGTGTAATGCTGTTTTACATATATTAATGCAAATGGCATCAAACTATATGTATCCTTCATCACTCTCTCACAATAAAATGTAAACAATAATTTTAGAGGAATCTTTTTTTCCCAAAGCAAAAAGTTAGAGACCTAAATTACTATTAGCAGGAAAATGGATAAATAACATTAGAAAAATGGTCCAATTTTTCCCTAAAATTCTTGATTGGAAAGGGATTATTTATTGAAAAGAGAATTGGAAACAAGATGCACATAGAATATTTTTTGAATCTAAAGCTACTTGTAAAGATGTGGGGCCAAATGTCTAGCTGCGTGACCTTAAGCAAGTTATACAACCACTCTGTGCCTCTATCATCTAACAGTGGAAGGAACAAGTGTATCTACTTTTTAGGGCCACAGAGAGTAGCAAAGGAGTTAAGGCATATAACATGCTTACAATAATGCCTGGAATACAATGTTAGCGCTTATTGCGTCTAACAGTCAGAATTTGAAGTTTAAACTTTTAATTTTTATTGTTGTTGTTGCTGTTGTAGAGACAAGGTCTCGATATATTGCCCAGGCTGGTCTCAAACTCCTAAGCTCAAGTGATTTTCCCGCCTTGGCTTCCCAAAGTGCTGGGATTACAGGCATGAGCCACCATGCCCAGCCTGAAGTTGAAATTTTTAAGTTTCCATAAAAGGAATGAAGATAATGGAAATATACTGACTGAAACTGCAGATGTTACTTAATTAGTTGGAGTTGCTAATTCTCTGGACTAAGAACCAGTATAAATTTGAAAATTACCTTGATAAATTGGGAAATTGTTGTTGAAGGAAATAGAGTGGAGTAACACAAACCTGGTCAGTATAAAAAGAGGCCAGGTGCAGTGACTCATGCCTATAGTCCCAGCACTTTGGGAGGCTGAGGCGGGAGGATCACTTGAGCCCAGGGGTTTGAGACCAGCCTGGGCAACATAGTGAGACCCCATCTCTATAATTAAAAAAAAAAATTAAAAAATGTTAAACAGGTGGGGCTCAGTGGCTCACGCCTGTAATCCCAGCACTTTGGAAGGCCAAGGTGGGCGGATCACCTGAGGTTGGGAGTTTGAGACCAGCCTGACCAACATGGAGAAACCCCATCTCTATTAAAAATACAAAATTAGCCAAGTGTGGTGGCGCATGCCTGTAATCCCAGATACTTGGGAGGCTGAGGCAGGAGAATTGCTTGAACCCGGGAGATGGAGGTTGCAGTGAGCCGAAATCGCGCCATTGCACTCCAGCCTGGGCAACAAAAGCAAAATTACGTCTCAAAAAAAAAAAAAAAAAAAAATAGAGTGTTAAGGCCGGGCACGGTGGCTCACGCCTGTAATCCCAGCACTTTGGGAGGCTGAGGCGGGCAGATCATGAGGTCAGGAGATCGAGACCATCCTGGCTAACACGGTGAAACTGAGAGGTGACAGCATGCTGGCAGTCCTCAGAGCCCTCGCTTGCTCTTGGCACCTCTCCTGCCTGGGCTCCCACTTTGGTGGCATTTGAGGAGCCCTTCAGCCCCCCACTGCACTGTGGGAGCCCCTTTCTGGGCTGGCCAAGGCCGGAGCCCACTCCCTCAGCTTGCATGGAGGTGTGGAGGGAGAGGCACGAGCGGGAACCGGGGCTGCGTGCGGCGCTTGCGGGCCAGCGGGAGTTCCGGGTGGGCGTGGGCCCGTCTCTACTAAAAATACAAAATATTAGCCAGGCGTGGTGGTGGGGGCTTGTAGTCCCAGCTACTCGGGACGCTGAGGCAGGAGAATGGCGCGAACCCGGGAGGCGGAGCTTGCAGTGAGCCGAGATCGCGCCACTGCACTCCAGCCTGGGTGACAGAGCGAGACTCCATCACCCCCCCAAAAAAAAAAAAAAAAGAGTGTTAAACAAACAAAAACCCGCATTTTTTTTTTAAGTATGAAAAGAGGTAGTGTTACAGACTGCATGTTTGTGTCCTCCCTTCTTGACCCCAATTCATATGTTGAAACCCTAATCCCCATTGTGATAGGAACTTTGGAAGGTGGTTAGGGTTACATGAGGTCATGAGGGGGGAGCCCTCATCATGGGATTAGTGCTCTTCTCAGTGAAGATACCAGTGTGCTGTCTACAAACCAGAAGAGAGCCCTCGCCAGACTCTAGACCTGCCAGTGCCTTGATCTTAGACTTCCCAGCCTTCAGAACAGTAAGAAATAAATGTCGTTGTTTAAGTCACCCAGTCTATGGTATTTTTATTACAGCAGCCTGAGATGACTAATACAGATACTGTTAATTTCTTTCCTTTTTTTTTTTTTTTTTGAGATGGAGTCTCGCTCTGTTGCCTGGGCTGGAGTGCAGTGGCGCAATCTTGGCTCACTGCAACTTCCGTCTCCCGGGTTCACGCGATGCTCCTGCCTCAGCCTCCCGAGTAGCTGGGGTAAGTCATACACCACCACATCTGGATAATTTTTTGTATTTTTAGTAGAGATGGGGTTTCACTATGTTGGCCAGGCTGGTCTCGAACTCCTGACCTCATGATCCGCCCACCTCGGCCTCCCAAAGTGCTCGGATTACAGGCCTGAGCCACTGCGCCCGGCAGATACTGTTAATTTCAATCCACAGATCGACACTGAGAAGTACACAGCATGGCACTCAAGAGTGAGAATCCAGGGATCCAGTTGTAGATTAGAACCCAGTCTTCACCATTCACAGCCAGGATCATCTCAGGCCAGTTCCTGAACCTCTCCAAGCCTGGATCCTCTGCTATAAATTGCAGATGATGGTAGACTAACCGCAGAGGGCGGCTGTCAGCCATTAACACAGGGCAACAGTTAGATGCTGCTATTACTGTTGTTGCTGAGATTATTACAAGTTTAGTGGCAAAATGACCTGGGTGCAGAGAACTCGGTTTACTAAATGAATACTCCTCAGAAATATAGCAATTCTGTGGGAAAAAGCCAGCATGGTACTGAGATGTCGGAAGTATAACGGGCGCAGTTTAGGAAATCATTCTCCTTTGTGTATTCTTTCTCTAATCCACCTTAGTCCAAGCCTCACTAGAAAATGCATTTTGGGGGTTTGTTTCCGCTGTTAAAAAATATTGTAAAGAAATAGGAGGCACACAAATGTTTTAAACGATGACGGTTGGTTCTATAAGAAAAGGTTCAAGGGTTTGGGGGTGTTTGGTCAGGAGAAAAGTAGACTGAGGGGGTTTAATGACAATCTTTAGGTAAATGACAAGTTTTAATGTGGGGAATGTGCACTAGTTTTTCATCAGTTTTGTGGAGGACCAAATTAGTGGACATAGACTTAAATTAAAGAGGAGGATTTCACATCTGTAACAAGCTCCCAAAAATCATAACGAGAAACTGCTGCAGGGAGCTGCCAAGTGGGAAGGAGAGCTGGCATCCAGAGGGCTGAAGAAAAACACAAATGAAAATATGTCATTAAGATACTTTTTCTTGGCCTGGTGCAGTGGCTCATGTCTGTAATCCTAGCACTTTGGGAGGCCAAGGCAGGAGGATCACTTGAGCCCAAGATTTCAAGACCAAGCTGGGCAACATAGTGAGACCCTTGTCTTTATTTTTTAAAAAATATATATTTTTTAGGCCAGGCATGGTGGCTCACACCTGTAATCCCAGCATTTTGAGAGGCCAAGGCTGGCAGATCATGAGGTCAGGAAATCGAGACCATCTTGGGCAACCCGGTGAAACCCCGTCTTTACTAAAAATACAAAAAAAAAAAAAATTAACCGGGGGTGGTGGCAGATGCCTGTAGTCCCAGCTACTTGGGAGGCTGTGGCAGGAGAATGGCGTGAACCCGGGAGGCAGAGCTTGCAGTGAGCCAAGATAGCACCACTGCACTCCGGCCTGGGTGACAGAGCGAGACTCTGTCTCAAAAAAAAAACACAAAAAACAAAAAAACATATTTTTTTAAAAAAGTTATTTTTTCCTAAAATCCCTTCAGGCTCAATAGGTCATTTATTCTTTGGATCTAATTCTAGGCAAAAAATGTAAAAGTGCTCTAAATAGTCATGCAATTTAAAAATTTTCAGTGTAAACAAAACAAACGGATCTTTCTCACTGACGTCTAGGACATTTATCAAGTTTCGCTCTTCCTGGAGCCGTTTCCTACTGGCCTCTGGTTTCTTGGTTCCATTAGAGGGCTGGGGTTCCTAACTTTCTATGTCTGCCCATGGATGTTTATAATTCACCAGCTGCATTTTCTCCTTGACTGTGTTCCTCATATCCTCACTCAAGGCCACCTGTCTCCTTCCTCCAGGGTCTGAATTCCAGAAGCTGCACGTGTTTGCTTCCTCTTTTATTATTGCTACTTACAGCATCTAGAATGAAGTCACGCCCTGACAGCTTCTATGAGGATCGCCTCCTGCCACATGCATTTACAGTTCATAATGGAGTTGAAGCTTTTTACATTTTGTAATTCATATGTGCACATTCCTGAGAAGTATTTCCAAGGTATGTTTTTGCCTATGAAAATGTATATGCTCAGGCCAGGTGCAGTGGCTCACGCCTGTAATTCCAGCACTTTGGGAGGCCTAGGCAGGTGGATCACCTGAGGTCAGGAGTTCGAGACCAGCCTGGCCAACATGGCAAAACCCCGTTTCTACTAAAAATACAAAAATTAGCTGGGCATGGTGGCATGAGCCTGTAATCCCAGCTACTCAGGAGACTGAGACAGGAGAATCACTTGAACTCGGAAGACAGAGGTTGTAGTGAGCCGAGATCACCCCACTGCACTCCAGCCTGGGGGACAGAGCAAAACTCCGTCAAAAAAAAAAAAAAGAAAATGTATACACTCAGTCTTCTGACATGACAAAAATATAACAAGTTTATCCTAAAATTATAACTTTTAAGTCTGGAATAGTAGGGCATGGCATGGGATACACAAGGGTTTGGCCAACCACTGCCCATGGGTTAAATCTGGCCCTCCATCTGTTTTTGTACAGCCTGTGGGCTAAGAATGGCTTTTACATTTTCAAATATTTGAAAAACACCGAGTCTGGGAAACATAGGGAGACTCTGTCTCTACAAAAAAAAAAAAAAAAAAAAAGCTAAGGGTGGCGGTGCACACCTATGGTCCTAGCTACTCGGGAGGCTGAGGAAGGAGGACTGCTTGAGCTCAGGAGGTCAAGGCTGCTGTGAGCCGTGATGGTTGAGCTGCATTTCAGCCTGGGCAACAGAGTGAGACTCAGCTTGAAAAATGAAATAAAATGAAGGAAAACCAAAAGCAGGAAGCAGCACTTTCAGTTGGTACCTTCAGTTTTCCTGCTCTTTCAAGCCATGGGAGAAACAAAACCACATGGCAAAAGTCAGAGAAAAAAGCATATAAAGAAGTGCAGGGGAAAACTCTGTCTTATTTCTGAGAAGAAGGTATTATGTCCAGGAGTAGAAATTCACATTAGGAGACTTCAATAAGCCCAGTAATGGGACTGCTGGGTCAAATGGTATTTTTGGTTCTAGATCCTTGAGGAATCGCCACACTGTCTTCCACAATGGATGAACTAATTGATGAATAAACTAATTGATGAACCCACTAACAAATGAATAAATTGGAAACTGAAGTGCATTTTCCAAAAAGTAGGAGCAAAAGCCATTTTGAATACCAAGAACATATTGTGGGGAACAAGATTCTTTCAGGAAAACAACAACAACAACAACAACGAAAACCAGCTGTTTTAAACATCTAATGTGCAGAAAAACGAATTCCACCATGACCGTCGTTTCACAGACTGCCAACAGCTTCCCTCGGGTTCTTTTTCCTGTAAAAGCTGCCCCTCTTTATTACAAAATCACAGCGTCTGCTTATAAGGTCTGCGTTTTATTTTCATTAATCCTGAAAGCAAAAAAAAAAAAAAAAAAGTCATCCTTTCCTTTTGAACTTTAAAACTATTCTGACCAGTGTAGAAAATACTTCTGCGTAGATGGTATTAATCTCTTCATCATAAAACAACATGAAATGAAATGCATTTTGAAATGCAAAAAACCAGTTTCACAAGAAACAAATGAAATACTCATGCTAATCTATTTCATGTTAATTTGGAGGATGACAATAACTGGGGGTGTGTGGTGTGTGTGTGTGTGTCTGAGAGAGAGATCTTTTAATAAACATGCTAAAGCTTTTCAGTGGAAAAACACATTTCTTGCCATTTTATTTATTTATTTATTTAATTTTTGTTTATTTATTTTTTTGAGACGGAGTTTCACTCTTGTCACCCAGGCTGGAGTGCAATGGCGTGATCTTGGCTCACTGCAACCTCCGCCTCCCGGGTTCAAGTGATTCTCCTGTCTCAGCCTCTGAGTAGCTGGGATTACAGGCGCCTGCCACCATGCCCAGCTAATTTTTGTATTTTTAGTCGAGAGGGGATTCCACCACGTTGGCCTGGCTGGTCTTGAACTTCTGACCTCAAGTGATCGGCCTGCCTTGGCCTCCCAAAGTGCTGGGATTACAGGTGTGAGTCACTGCATCTGCCATGTTGCCGTTTTCAAGGGAACTAAGCAAAATCTTACAGCAAATTAGGGATAGAATCAATAAAATCACCTGTTTAATGTAAAGTGTTGGATTAGCAAACTGATTTTTGAGGTGCTTGGTTTTCCTTATTTTTGTTGTTTAGGTAAGTGTTCTTCTAATCTGTATTTGAAGTTGTCTTTCTCTTTTGATTGTATGCCTTGTGGCTAATGACTCATTACTGCACCTGACATCCAGGGAATTCAGTGGCTTTGTAAGCACCCCCTGGGAGGAAGATTACTTGGACAAACAGCAATGAAAACAGTTCGACTTACACATCTGAATGAAAATAAAATGAGAATTGTTTTCATTCTATGTGTTTTTGTACCCTTTTGGTGAATGGCTACTTCCCCAGTGCTCCTAGTAAATGCAAAGTACTGCTCATTCAGAGTAGTGAGCACCCATTGTTGGCCTCAGTGTTAATTTCTCACAGCCTGGAGAGGTTATAATAAGCAGATGATGGAATGCTTATACTAGGGTCTGTGTTGTTACTATTGACCTTGCTGTACATGTTCTCTAACGTACATTTCCCCCAAATTCATCAAGTGGGACAATATCTTCTTCTCTTAAGGAAAAAGCCCTATGAGGACGGAGCCAAAGGTCTCTCCTCACTAGGACCAATGCAGACTGCAGATCTGCGAGACAATCCGCTGTAGTCACAGCATCTTCTGTATGTGAAGCCTTTGAGAAACAAAGGTGACTTGAGGAGGTTGACTTTTGAAAAAGTGAACTGGCAGGGGCCAGTGCTGCTGATCTAATTACTCTCCTTCCTTCCCTCCTTCCTCTCCTTCCCTTCCCTTTCCTTTCCTTCCTCTCCTTCCCTTTCTTCCTTTCTTCCTTCCTGCCTGCCTTTCCTTTCCTTCCTCTCCTTTTTCCTTCGCTTCCTTCCTTCCTTCCTTCCTTCCTTCCTTCCTTCCTGCCTTCCTGCCTTCCTGCCTTCCTGCCTTCCTGCCTTCCTGCCTTTCTGCCTTTCTGCCTTCCTGCCTTCTTGCCTTCCTTGCTTCTCTTTCATTTCACTCTGTCACCCAGGCTGGAGTACAGTGGCACAATCTCCACTCTCTACAACCTCCTCTTCCTGGGTTGAAGCAATTCTCCTGCCTCAGCCCCCCAAGTAGCTGGGATTACAGGTGCCCACCACCATGCCCGGCTAATTTTTGTGTTTTTAGTAGAGATGGTGTTTCACCATGTTGGCCAGGCTGGTCTCGAACTCCTGACTTCAAGTGATCTGCCTGCTCCAGCCTCCCAAAGTGCTGGGATTATAGGCCTGAACCACTGGGTCCGGCGACCTAATTACTCATTTGAGGAGGTTTTTCGCAGTTTCCTCTGGGATACTGGGACTCCGGCAGCCGCTAGAGGACTACCATTTTGTTGGACAAACAGAGAGTGTAGGGAGTGTAGGATGGACCCACCTGTCACTCCTTTTTAATCTATCTGCATTTCCGCGGGTTTTAGTCTATTCTTTGTAGCCAGCCACAAGATCATCCATCCATCTGTGAA
This sequence comes from Homo sapiens, assembly GCF_000001405.40. Lineage (NCBI taxonomy): Eukaryota > Metazoa > Chordata > Mammalia > Primates > Hominidae > Homo > Homo sapiens. Next base: position 17,147,319 of record NC_000005.10, read on the forward strand.
GTCATTCATTACTGCGAGCTCAAGAAGGAAGTATGCAGTTGCATTCATTTCAGAAAGCACATGTCGTGCAAGTGTGAAAGGCTTTGTCCTGGGTTCTGAATGACAATGCTGGAGTTTGTGCTCGCCGAAGCCCCCTCCGAGACCACATGTGTTGCTCATAAGCACAGATGCAGGTGGCAGAGGCCTCTCAACTCTCAACTTGGCTCTAAGGAAAAGCACTTTTGACCTGATCCACAACATCGCCACGCTGAGTTAGAAAGCCCCAATTTGAGGATGCAACTTTTAGTTGAAGGGTATCCTTGCTGCATACGTGCTCAAACTTGATATTCCAGACATGATGACACGAAATGACCCAGATGTGGGGGCTGCGCCCATCCTGTATGCTGTCACCGCCAGGCTCAGCCTGTCAAGTTGCTCCTTTACAGTGGAACGCTTCCTAAAGTTAAGCAGGGGTGGAGAGGTCATCTTTTAGCTGGTTGAGACAGAGTTATTACCCAATTCGCTCTTTTGCTTTCTTCTAGCTATTCAAATTATCATAGTAGATATAAGTGAACTAAGAAAATTGGCAGAGTGCACTGGGATTCTTGTGATTTAACATTAAGTTTTGGCTCTAGCAGTCTTTCAGAACTTTGGGTAGGTCAAAAGATTTCTTAAGTCTCAGTTTATCTGGAGGAAAAGCATGAATTTCCTTCTGGTGTAAACTCATCGGTATTACAAAACAGGGCAATTACAGATCCACCAGAAGCAACTCTAACTTATGGATGCCTAGCTAAAGCCGAGCCCATACATCTAAATGGGTGGTGGAGATCGGGGTGGCAAGGATGGGTGTAATGGATTCCAGCCTTCATCTGCCCTCAGTGAAGGCAGAGGGCCACAACTCTTCTTCCCCCCACCTTTTTTAGAGACAGGATCTCATTCTGTTATGCAGGATGGAGCACAGTGGCTCAATCATAGCTCCCTGCAGCTTCAAACTCCTGGGCTCAAGTGATCCTCTTGCCTTGGCCTCCTGAGTAGCTGGGACGACAGGCATGTGCTATCTTGCCCAGTTTTAACATTTTTGTAGAGATGGTGTCTGTGTTGCCCAGGCTGGTCTCAAACTCCTGGCCCCAAGCAGTCTTCTCACCTCAGCCTCCCAAAGTGGTGGGAGTACAGGCATGAGCCACCATACCCTGTCTAACAACCTTTGTTTTTCTATTCTAATCGCCCCCAAATTTATTGACACATGGAAACATTTCCAAGTTGTGCTCAGGGCTTCTTTAGGTAGGGTAGCCAATTGTCTGTATTTGCCCAGAATGCTCTGGTTTTATCACTAAAAGTCCTACATCCTAGGAAGGCCCCTAGCCCTGAGAATATCAAGGTGCTCAGTCATTGTACACTCATCCCTAAGAGAAACACTGAGCACAACATGGTTCTGTAGTCAAAGAATCTTAGAAACCTCTTCCTCTTGTTTTCATTTAAAAAAAAAATTGTGGTAAAAAAACACATAACTTAGAATTTACCATCTTAATTATAGTCATGTGCTGCATAATGACATTTTGGTCAATAGTGGGCCTCATATATCATGGTGTTCCTGTAAGATTATAATATCATATATTTACATTATCTATGCTTTGATATGTTTGATATACAAAAATTTACCATTGTGTTACAGTTCCCTATAGTCTTCAGTACAGTAACCTGTTGTACAGGTTTGTAGCCTAGGAGAAATAGGCTCTACCATGTAGCTTAGGTGTGTAGTAGGCTATAGCGTCTGGGTTTGTGTGAGTACACTCTCTGATGTTAACACAGTGATGAAATAGCCTAACAATGCATTTCTCCAAATGTATCCTCATCATTAAGCAAAACAACTGTTTCTTTTTTCTTTTTCTTTTTTTTTTTTTTGAGACAGGGTCTTGCTCTGTCACCCAGCCTGGAGTGCAGTTGTGCAATCTTGGCTCACTGCAACCTCTGTCTCCAAGGTTCAAGCAATTCTCCTGCCTCAGCCTCCCAAGTAGTTGGGACTATAGGCGCACGCCACCATGCCCGGCTAATTTTTGTATTTTTAGTAGTGACGGGGTTTCACCATGTTGTCCAGGCTGGTCTCGAACTTCTAGCTTCAAGTGATCCACCTCAGCCTCCCAAAGTGTTGGGATTACAGGCGTGAGTCACTCTACCTGACCCATGACTGTATTTCTAAGCGTACAGTTCAGTGGTATTAAGTATGCTTGCATTGTTGTTTTTTTTTTTGAGATATAAAAGTCATAATAATATATTGAAGTATTTAATAAGCTTCTCAGTGAAGGAACTTGTTAAAACTTACTCTTTACCAAACTTCTGCGGTCATGGAGCCTTTGGGCAATAGCTCTTAACGCTGCTGAACATAACTTGAACATAATGCTCGTATGGAAACCCTTTTTTATCTTGCTCAGTAATAAAAGTATTGGACAATATTTTCCATTAAGCAAGTTTCTGCTTTCTGGAAGTATCTATAGACCTTCCCTAATTCACTTCAAGAGCTGAGAGAGAGACATGTATCTGATATCCAGAAGTTTAACTAAGAATATGTTTTTCCCTTAGTACAAAGGTGTTACAAGTGATGGTTAGAGTTACCAGAGTTGTATATGGGTTGAATAGGCTTTTATGCTTTGGCCTAGGAAGCTTCTCTCTGCAAAATTATCAGCTGCTTAGGAAGAACAGCTGGTACCTCTGGGGTCTGAATAGTGATTGGGACACAGTGGGCATTCAAGATATTTTTACTGAGCTGAACTAATGTTTATTTTTACTATTGCTTCCATTGAGGTAGTGAATTTTTTGTTTGTTTGTTTTTACTTTATTTTAATTTTTTGAGACAGGGTCTTGCTCTGTTGCTTAGGCTGGAATGCAGTGATGCGATCATAGCTCACTGCAGCCTCAATCTCCCGGGCTCAGGCCATCTTCTCGTACCAGCCTCCTGATTAGCTGGGACTACAAGTATACACCCTCACGCCTGGCTAATTTTTTATTTTTAGTAGAGACGAGGTCTTATTATGTTACTCAGGCTGGTCTGGAACTCCTGAGCTCAAGTGATCCTCCTACCTCGGCCTCCCAAAGTGCTGGGATTATAGGCCTGAGCTATTGTGCATGGCCAGTAATTAATTATGAATTATATATATGATACGCTTAGTTTAAAAACTGGAGACTACTTGTATTTATATTTGAAAGTTGTTTGTGATTAAAAAATTTTAAGGGTGGAATTTATAGTTTAAACCATCTTTTAAAATTTCCCACCAAAATAGCTTTCTTTGTGATGATAGTTCTATTTCTGAGAAAGAGCAGGCACAACTGCCGAATTCCAGATGTCAGAACATGGCATGGGCTCCAAAAATGGCAGCCAGGGCTACCATATGAGTTGGCAGTTCTCACAGAGAAGTCCTTGGAGAAGTTAAAAGTGGATGTAGATGAAGAGAACGTTGTGTATTCCAGCTAACATCAGAATGGAAGCCAGAATCTACGTCACCCAAATCCTGGGCTGATGAGCTCTTGTTATACTTTATCTTGGTATTCTTCAGAATATGTCTTCCCTGGAGAAAACATAAGGTGAGGATTCAATTCCAAGGTCAAATGAGTTAGCACAAGCTCTTTTCCCTTCCTCCTTCAATACCTAGTAAATTGGTATTATATTTTCTTTTCTTTTTTCTTTTCTTTTTTTTTAGAGACGGAGTCTTGCCCTGTTGCCCAGGCTGGAGTGCAGTGGTGCGATCTCGGCTTACTGCAACTCCTGGGTTCAAGCGACTTTCCTACCTCAGCTTCCCAAGTAGCTGGGATTGCAGGTGTGCACTACCACACCCAGCTAATTTTTGCATTTTTAGTAGAGACAGTGTTTCTCCATGTTTTCCAGGCTGGTCTCGAACTCCTGGCCTCAAGTGATCCACCTGCCTCGACCTCCCAAAGTGCTGGGATTACAGGCGTGAGCCACCGTGTCCGGCATATACATACATATATATATATATTGGAGCCAGGGTTTTACTCTGTCACCCAGGCTGGAGTGTGGTGGTGTGATCATAGTTCACGGCAGCCTCGAACTCCTGGGCTCAGGTAATCCTCCCACCTCAGCCTACCGGAGCAGCTGGGACTACAAACATGTGCCATCAGACCTGGCTAATTTTTTGTAAAGATGGGGTTTTGCCATGTTGTGCAGGCTGGTCTCGAACTCCTGGGTTCAAGCAATCCTCCTGCCTCGGCCTCCCGAAGTGTTTGGATTACAGGCGTGAGCCACTGCACCCGGCCTGTATGGTATTTTTTATAAACCAATGTTGCAGCGTCAGATCAGGTTTCCTGAAATTATCCTTGTTTGGAAGCGACACCATTTGTAGCTCCTCAGAGCTCTGTGATGATGGAAAAAAGGATGTTTCTTGGGGAGAGTTTTGGGGATTTACATCATAAAGGAGAAGAGAAGGAGCAGGATGAAGTAAGGGAGAGACGTTGAGCTGTGGCACAGTCTTAATAAAGGTCTCAGCCAGGACCTCAGGAGCTCTGAAGGCGGGATGGTCTTGCAAAGCTGACTCACTGTGGCCTCGGACCCCCACGGAGGTCAGCCATGGAATGCAGGCATCTGGAGATGGGTCTGTGACTTTCAGTGAAGAGGCTCCTTTCAATCCTTGTAGGGGATGGACTAGGAAGCTTTCATTCCTGAGGGGGAATCTGCAGAGCAGTGCAGCGCCGTCTTCCCAGGACGCTTGGTTGTTTCTGGGCAGGAGAGTATTAGTTCAAACTGTTCTACGCTGACTTCTGTGATGCCTCAAAGAGCACAAAGTGAACCCAATTCAGAAGTTGCTACGTAGCAGATTCCTTTTCAGAATGAACACTGCACAGATAATAACAATCCTTTTAATGTCCACCTGCTGGAGGCTAATTCAGTTTACTTTGATGAGGGGGGAGGGGAGGAGAGGGAGGAAGAGGATGAGGAGAATGAAGAGAGAGAGATTTTGATAGAAACAAGAGGCCTGGACTTTAAAAAAGGCAGTGCTGCCAGACTATGGGCATTGATGATTACTTTGTATATTTTCACACAACTGTAAGCTGTGCATCAGTTGTTTTAAGTTTAAGTATTGCATAATGTAAGTATAAAGTTGGCCCCTGTTTGGGGAGAGTCCTTGGAGCCCTTAACGCCAGAGACAGCCTGGAATAGTGGTCCATGGCCGCCTGGCCTCCAGAGCAACTGCCCCGCTCAATTTCCCCAATTCCATGACACCTGGGCTGCGTGGCTGTGCGTGTTGGGTTCTCAGCGTCATGCCAGAAGCTGCATCAGAAGCGGGTTGGAACTTTTCACTCTGAGGCACTGCTCAAGATGCACAATCCCTGGTTGCTGTTTCTCCCCCTAACTCATCCCCTTTACTACGTTGTCCTGTTTGGTTCATCTAGAGCCTCCTGTCCTTTTTATTGGAAAGTCTTTCCCTATATCTCCAACCCACTGTAGACTGGTCAGTTGTCCTCCCATAGGGACAGTTTATTTTTAAAAACTTAGAACCATTCCAATGGGGGCAGCTGTTTCTCCGGCATATCCTAAATCTGGAAGGAGGAGTCAACATTGACCTTGGTCCCCCTTCCGGTGCCTAGACATTACTTTACATCCCTTGTGTAAAATCCTCTTTGTTTTGGGTCATGTCATCTGCCTCATCTACCCAGCACCCCTGTGGAACCACCTCGTTGGTTCACGGTCTCTTTCTCTAGGTCACCACCTATGACATCTGGGGTCAATTTGACGTCCATGTGGACAGTCCCAAACACAGCAGCCTCTAATGCTGTTTTATTTTAGAATCAATAACATTTACCAGCCGGGCGTGGTGGCTCACGCCTGTAATCCCAGCACTTTGGGAGTCTGAGGCGGGTGGATCACAAGGTCAGGAGATCGAGACCATCCTGGCTAACATGGTGAAACCCCGTCTCTACTGAAAATACAAAAAAAATTAGCCAGGCGTGGTGACAGGCGCCTGTAGTCCCAGCTACTCAGGAGGCTGAGGCAAGAGAATGGCGTGAACCCGGGAGGCGGAGCTTTCAGTGAGCCGAGGTCATGCCACTGCACTCCAGCCTGGGCGACAGAGCTAGACTCCATCTCAGAAAAAAAAAAAAAAAAAAAAAAAAGAACCAATAACATTTCTCTCCCCTGCACTTAAGCATCCTGAACTCTTTTTAATACTCTTTTTAGCTTCAACAGATTCACCTCTGAAAACTTCAGCAGCAACCACCTACTGTCTTGGCTGGAGTTCCCCAAAAAACAGACCCTGAAGAAGGACTCCCATACAAGTCGTTTCTATGGGAGCTAATCCCAGTGTTGGGGTGGAGGACTGAGACAAGGAAGGGAAAGAAGCTAATAAAAGAGTCCAATGGCAAGCAAGTGCTCACCATGGGCAACTGGAACCATCCCCACTGGGGAACTCTGGGAGGCAGCAAGAACATCCCACCGGGGGAAGGCCAAGGAGCTGCATTAGACAGTCACTGATTCCTGACGAGTGTTGGCTGGGGGTTGCTTCTAGGGGGAATCTGGTGCCCAGCACTTCTGGCCTGGAAGGGAGTTGAGACAAAAGGAGGTGGCCGGGCATGGTAGCTCATGCCTGTAATCCCAGCACTTTGGGAGGCCGAGGCAGGCGGATCGCCTGAGGTCAGGAGTTCAAGACCAGCCTGGCTGACATAGTGAAACCCTATTTCTACTAAAAATACAAAAATTAGCTGGGCTCGGTGGCAGACACCTGTAATCCCAGCTACTTGGGAGGCTGAGGCAGGAGAATCGCTTGAACCTGGGAGGCAGAGGTTGCAGTGAGCCGAGATCGTGCCACTGCACTCCAGCCTGGGCAACAAGACCGACATTTTATCTCAAAAAAAAAAAAAAAAACCAAAAACCAAAAAACCTCAACTCCCACCCTCCGGCAAAAAGCAGGTGACAGTCTGGCCAGAGTAGAGGGCATAGAAGTAGAGGCTGCCATGCAGATATCAGGCTACATTGACAGCATCCACTTCACCTGTCAATTCAGCTTTCTTAACCTGCCTTCCCCTAAACATGCTTTTTGTCTTTATCGTGGTCTCTAATCCCTTGACTTATCTATTTGCAGCTAATTATCAGCCTCCTGGGGACAATTCCTTCCATATGGAGCCTGGCTCTCAGAGACAATTAGCACCTCTTCCTCTCAGGCTACTCAACTTCATTGTCTCCTTGTGTTTTTTATTTTTTCCTTTTTTTTTTTAACCACAACTTGGTGTTTCCCAGCTAAATTCAGACTATGATAACTAGAAAGAATTGCCCACCCAGGCAAACTGGTGCCACCGAAAATTAATGGAAATCTCTCTCCTCGGTTTATTTATTTATTTTGCATTCTTTTTGGTCAGGTCTTCCTTTAGTAACTCTCAGCTACAAGTCTGAACTTTTGCTCCTTCCTCAAATCACCTTCCTGATTTTACTGCTTTTATTCATAGTCAATGACTCAGTCATTCTGGATCTAGATAGAATTGTCTACACTCACTGTCTCATTCTTCAGCTTGACTCAGCATGACTTCTGGCTCCATTACTCTTCCACGTCAATCCAATGGACTTTTCTACTCTCACCTTTCTTCTTAGCAACATTCTTGAACATGTCCTCTTTCTGGAACTTTCTTGCCCCCATTTTCTGACCGTAAAGCTATCTTAGTTTTCTTCTGAACTTCCTGGTCATTTCTTCTTTCCTTTTGCAGTTTCATCATCTTCTATCTAGCCACTGATTCTTTGAGCTCCTCAAGAGTCTGTCTTGGCACCTCTCCTTTCCTCCATGTTCTGTCCATAAACAATCTTATCCTATCTATGCCTACTCTTCATATCAATAATTTGGGCTTCTCCTTTGAGATCTAGTCTTACCTGGCCAACAGTCTACTTGATATCCACTCTTGAATGTCCCAAAGGCACATTAAAATCAATATATCTAGAAGTAAATGCATGATCTTCCTTCGAAATCCAGGCTGCTTCCAGTGTACTTCATCCTGGTAATCTACCCAATTTGGGGCAGATCCTAAATGTAGGGGGCCAGCCTCAATATTCCTTCACCTTACCCTTACTGAATTTCAATAATATCTTTCTAAATATCTTTTAAAGTTATCTTCTTTTTCAATTCTCACCACTGTCACCTTTTTTGAGCTATAGTCATCTCTTTCCAGGGTTACCAAAGTAGCCTCACTAGCTTATTTTGTCCCCTCTGGATTCCTCTGGTCCATTCTCCAGGCTGCGGCTAAAGTCAACTTTTGAAAATGTATAAAATACAAATGTGATCATGTGAGCTCAGCCACCTATGCTTTTTAAAACTCATCAATGACTTCCTAGCGCTTTACTATTAAGATGAGCTTTTATGGGATGTCCTGTAAGATCCTACCTTGTCTGGTTCTACTAATGTCTCCAGGTTCGTCTTTTGTCATGCTCCACCTCACTCTTTTGCTCCGGTCACACTGACTATCTTTTGATCCAAGGACTTCCAGTACTCCCTGCTTCCACAGGGCCGTTGCATATGCCAAGCCTTCTTCCCGTCTTTCTCTTCTCATTGACTCTAACTTGTGAATTGAAATTATGCCACTTCATCAATGACAAGTTCTCCTTGTGCCAATAAGGGTTTGACTTGTGCTGAAAAAGAGTTTATAGTGAGGGGAATTGACCTATTCAGAGAGGAAGGCTTTGCTGACACCTGAGTAGGCCAATTCTTCTTACTATAAACTCTTATTGAACCATGTAATTTGACGTAGCATCTATCACAGTTGCAATTTTGCATTTACTTGTATGGGCATTTGATTAACACCTGCCACACTCCCAGCTTTTAAGTTCCAGGAGGACAAGGATGGTGGCTGTTGTGCCAGGGTATTTTGTAGGTGCTCATAGAATAGTGACCAAAAGAGTGACTTAATGAATCAATTATTTATTTTCTATTTTTTAGAGAAAAAAAGTTCCTAGGTGTGAATGCCTTCTTTTTCTAACCTAGACTTGCAGTTTCAGGGATCCGAGTGAAGACTACGATCTTTTTTTTTTTTTTTTTTTTTTTTTGACAGGGTCTCACTCTGTCACACAGGCTGGAGTGGAGGGGCATAATTGCAGCTCACTGCAGCCTCGGTGTGCTGGGTTAGCTCACTGCAGCCTCGGTGTGCTGGGTTCAAGCAATCTTCCCATCTCAGCTCCCTGAGTAGCTGGGACTACAGGTGCATACCACCACACCCGGCTAACTTTTGTATTTTTGTAGAGACAGGGTTTTGCCATGTTACCTAAGTTGGTCTTGAACTCCTGGGCTCAAACAATCAACCTGCCTAAGCCTCCCAAAGTGCGGGGATTACAGGCATGAGTCGCTGCATCCAGCCCAACTATGCTCTTAACCATATCCCCTCCCTGATCTCACTCTGATGATTACATCTGTCTCATATTTCAGTCTCTCGCTCTTGCCTTACTCCTTTCTTGCATCCATTAATATTTCAGGTTTCATTAGAAAAATACCTTCCTCAACTTTACATCTTGTCATTTTTCCTGTACAAGTGCCCCAGAATAAGTAGCTCATAGTAACTATTTCCTTTTTTCATTTTCATTGTGCTCTTAGCTACTCTTGTGACTCTTACCTTAAGAACAAATCTTGCTCTTGAACTCCAGACACTAAATAACCAATTAGTGCTTCAATATATTTACTTGCATGTTTTCAAGACTCCTGTAATTCAACCTATTATTTCTCTCATCCAAGTACTAACCAGGCCAGACCCTGCTTAGCTTCCAAGATCAAGCAGGTGTTCAAGGTGGTATGGTTATAGACGACCAATTATTTCTCCTCCAAACTTACTTCTCCTCCTGTATGCCTTTAGAACAGGTAAAAGTACTATCCTGTACTCACTTACCAAAGCTAGGGCCCTGATGGTTACCCGGGTCTCTTTCAGCTACTTCCCATCCTGGTAAGTCACCTTGCCCCATCTCTTGTGTTTTTTAAATGTTTCTGGAATGTCTGCAGAAATAGTATGGATACTCATCTTTAGCTCTTGGACTATGATGAGAGCTTCTGAGTGGTCTCCCAGGTCAGCCTGGCTCCAATTTGTCCCATATGTACACTGCTAGAGGAATCTTTCTAAAACACAAATCTGTTCTTGCACAGCTCCTTCCCCCCAGGCCTCAGCCCTTGCGTAGGCGCCCCAAACTCTCTGATTCATTGGCATAGCATGCATGTCCCCAAACGGTTATGTCTTCAGCTTCACCTCCAGCTGCTCCTTCCTTATCCCCTTTGATCTAGATGCTTCCCAGTCCTTGCTCATCTCGTAATGTCAGAATGTTGGACTGTTTCATGCTTCTGTGCCTTTTCCCAAGCAGCTGCCTCTCCACTGGACATCCTCCCTAGACCTTTGGAAGAATGGAGGACCTCTACCTGTGGTTCACGATCTTAGGTCAGTGACTGCTTGTTTTGTACAGCTATCCCTGGCCTCCCCACCTAGAACTGACCACTCTATCTACTGTGCTCCCAGTGTACCTCGTACACATTCTATTAGAGCTCATGCTGCCAGAGCTGCTACATAGGGTTGTTCAGGTTGTGAACTGCACAACTCTAAGGACCTTGTTCACGAAATGATGCATAGTGAAGACAGTCATATATCATGGCCCTGCTTTTTGGACTGTTTTTCCTTTTCTTGCTCTTAAGAATCATGGGAATGGGGAAGAAGGCATGAAAAGGTTAAGAATGTAACATGTGGAATCTACGTGTGTGGAAATGCTACATAACTCAAGAGGAATGAAGGACAGAGGGATCTGTGCTGAGTCAGGATGGTTCTGTGTGTGATGCAGGAGCTTCAGAGAGAAGCCTACGTGCTGTGCTTCAGTAGTAAATTGTGCAAGAGGCGTGGCAAGAAAAGGCTGGCTCAGTGTGGCAGACAGCACTAGAGGAGGAAGAGCGGGAAGGATGTAAGCCGACTGTTTAAACAAAAATGATCAAAACACAATTGGCCACTGAGAAGGGAGTGGAGGCTCCTTCATTTCTTCCTGGGGTTGGGACTGGTGTTGGCAGTGAGGATCTCTCAAGTAAATCTCCTCCCAGGACTGTTTCCTGCCACGCATGGATCGGGACAATCACTGCTGGAGCTTGGGTGGGTCACTTGCTTATATGCTTGTCCCCACTAGGCTGAGAGCTTCATTAGGGCCAGGGATTGAGACTTTTGATCTTAAATCACCAGCCTCTTACATGGTACTTTGGTCCACTATGGGCCCTCCACATCCTTCCTAGCCAGAGGGGACAGAGGAAAGAAAAGGGAGTTCGTGGACTTCAACAAAATCACAATAATAATAACAGTCAACACAAATATAGTCCCATGAATATAGTTTACCATGTGCCTGGCACCTTTTTTTTTTTTTTTTTTTTTTTGAGATGGAGTCTTGCTCTGTCACCAGGCTGGAGTGCAGTGGCGCGATCTTGGCTCACTGCAAGCTCCGCCTCCCGGGTTCAAGCAATTCTTCTGCCTCAGCCTCCTGAGTAACTGGGACTACAGGCGTGCACCATCATGCCTGGCTAATTTTTTTATTTTTAGTAGAGACGGGGTTTCACCATGTTGGCCAGGATGGTCTCGATCTCTTGACCTTGTGATCCGCCCGCCTTGGCCTCCCAAAGTGCTGGGATTACAGGCGTGAGCCACCGCTTGCTGGGCACCTTTCTAAATGCCTTATCTATATCAGCTAATTTTAGCCTTGTATGTAGGAATTATAATAATTCTCATTTCACAGCTAAGGAAACTGATGCTAGAGACATTAAGGCACCTGCCCAAGACGATACAGCTAATAAGTAGTGGAGGCAGGATTCAAGCACACGGAGTCTGTCTCTAGAGCCTGTCCTTTACAAGGCTGTTCTGTGCCCCACCTATTGTGATGGCAGTTTTAATCCGAAGAGAGGTTAAGCATTTTAAATGAGGCTTCTGTGCACTTCGTGCCTTGGATTCAAGTGAGTTTTTTCTTATTTTCTCCTTTGAGAAAATGTGTTTATTTAGTTTTGTGCCTTGGAAACCTCTATTTGTTGTTGTTTTGTTGTTGTTGTTTTCTTGTTTCTGAGACAGGGTCTCACTCTGTCACCCAGGCTGGAATGCAGTGGCGCTATCAAGGCTCACTACAGCCTTGGCTACCCGGGTTCTGGTGACCCTCATACCTCAGCCTCCCGACAGTCGGGACTATAAGTGTGTGCCACCAGGCCCGGCTAATTTTTGTATTTTTTGTAGAGATGAGGTCTCACGATGTTGCTCAGGCTGGTCTCGAACTCCCGGGATCCAGCAATCCTCCTACTTCAACCTCCCAAAGTATTGGGATTACAGGCATGAACCGCTGTGCTTAGCTTCCAGTCTTTTTTTTTGTTTTGACGTTGCTGCTGGGGAGACGAGGCTAGGAGCTACCTACCTTCCCATCTCGGAGAACACCTGGGATTTTCTGGGTAACATGTTTTAAAGATTTAGTATAAGATTTTCTCTTTTCATGTGTTGTAAGGACAGTGGATGAAACTTATTTTTCTCTAGCTATGCTTTTAAAATTTTTCTTCTTTGCCTTTTGTGAATTCAGCCATTTTAAAATTTGGTTCTACTTTGTCATCTCACCCCAGAGTCAAATAACTGTATTTCTTCCAGAAACATTCATAATTTAATTTTTCTTTTAACTTAGCTGTATTTCTCTCACCTGTGGAGAGACTTGAAACACTTAGTTATAATATAAAGTCTGCGAGTCTGAAGCTTTCTGGCAAAAGGCAAAAAAAATTCACACCTGGCTTGCATTTGATGAGGATTCCACATGCGTCATCATTTTCTTTGAATTCCCCATGGGAGTTTAAATATATACATGTTAGCATTTTTGTAGTGTACGTTAATAAATGAGAGCTTTGATTGTTTCTTATTGCAGCTCTGAGGGAAAAAACAGGCATTGCAGTTAACATGACCTGTAGCAACAACAACTACAGCCAGTTTCAATTCTTTTTTTTTTTTTGAGATGAAGTCTCACTCTGTCGCCCAGGCTAGAGTGCAGTGGTGCGATCTTGGCTCACTGCAGTCTCCACCTCCCGAGTTCAAGTGATTCTCCTGCCACAGCTTCCCGAGTAGCTGGGATTACAGGCACGGGCCACCACGCCCCGCTAATTTTTGTATTTTTAGTAGAGATGGGGTTTCACCATGTTTGCCAGGCTGGCCTTGAACTCCTGATGTCAAGTGATCCACCCACCTCAGCCTCCCAAAGTGCTGGGATTACAGGTGTGAGCCATCAGACCTGCCTCATTTTTGGATTTAGATCTTAAAGAATAGTTAGGGTTTTGTGTGTGTGTGTGTGTTTGACAGGATCTTGCTCTGCTGACCAGGATAGAGTACAATGGCACACTCATAGCTCACTGTAACCTTGAATTCCTGGGGCTCAGTGGAGCCTCTTGCTTCAGTCTTCTGAGTAGCTGGGACTACAGGCATGCACCACCATGCCCGGATAATTTTTTAATTTCATTTTTTGTAGAGATAGGATCTCACTATGTTGCCTAGGCTGGCCTTGAGCTTCTGGGCTCGAGCAATCCTCCAGCTTTGGCCTCTCTGAATGCTGGGATTACAGGCATGAACCACTGTGCCCTGACAAAATATTTAGTTTAAAATAATTCCTTTCTGTCCCCACCCCTAGGTGTTTTCCAGTTATGTAGGTGGTTAGCCTGAGGATGTGAATGCCGGTCTGTGCTACTCTTCTTAAAGGTATTGTCTTCCTGAAGGCATGCTAGATTCTCAGATTTCTTCTCTTCTAAAAATAGAACAGTGTGCTCTTACAATAATTTAACCTACACTTACATGTTATGAATGAAAAGTCCGGGCCAGGCGCGGTGGCTTACGCCTGTAATCCCAGCGCTTTGGGAGGCCGAGGCAGGTGGATCACGAGGTCAAGAGATCGAGACCATCCTGGCCAACATGGTTAAAACCTTGACTCTACTAAAAATACAAAAATTAGCTGGGCGTGGTGGCACGTGCCTGTAATACCAGCTACTCAGGAGGCTGAGGCAGGAGAATCACTTGAACCCGGGAGGCGGAGATTGCAGTGAGCTGAGATCGGACCACTGCACTCCAGCCTGGCAACAGATCGAGACTCCGTCTCAAAAAAAAAAAAAAACAAAAAAAAAAACGAATGAAAAGTCCATGAAGTCCATGGATTTCTGCCCTTAGTTCTCTCTAAATTGTATTTAGTTTGATTTTAAAAGGCCCAAAAAAAGATGCATGGTGTTAAAATTTCAGTTGCAGAACTTGGGATTTGGTATATTTTCAGGGGTAGGAATAGAACCCCATTTCCTAAGAGTTTATAAAGAGTTGAGTAACAGTATTTTTCTAGGATTAAGTAAAGTCCTGTTTGGAAGTAAGTTTGTGAATTAACTATGAATTAGATATGGCTGGGTTTCAAATATAGGGTATTCTAGTCAATTGAGTCTATAAATCACTTGTACTTGTCAAGCCACATGTCTCAATTTCTAGTTTGGAAAATATGGTCGCTATATTAGTTTACTAGGGTTGCCATAACCAAACACCACAAACTGTGTGGCTTAAGCAATAAAAATCTATTTCTCACAATTATGGAGGTTGAAAGTCCAAGATTAAGGTGTTGGCAGCTTCGGTTTCTTCTGAAACTGCTCTTTGACTTACAGATCATTACATTTCCTCTATGTCCTCACATGATCTTCTGTGTCTCTGTCCTGATATTCTTTTCTTATACGAACACCAGGCATGTCAGATTAGAGCCCAATATAAGACTTCATTTTACTTTAATTACTTCTTTTTTTCTTTTTCTTTTTTTTTTTTTGAGACGCAGTCTTGCTGTGGCTCCAGGCTGGAGTGCAGTGGCGCGATCTCGGCTCACTGCAACCTCCACCTCCCAGGTTCAAGCTGTTCCCCTGCCTCAGCCTCCTGAGTAGCTGGGACTACGGGCGTGCACCACCATACCTGGCTAATTTTTTTTGTATTTTTAGTAGAGACGGGGTTTCACCCTGTTGGCCAGGATGGTCTCGATCTCCTGACCTCGTGATCCGCCCGCCTCAGCCTCCCAAAGTGTTGGGATTACAGGCGTGAGCCACCGCACCTAGCCTAATTACTTCTTTAAAGGCCTGTACTAGTCTGTTCTGTTCTCACATTGCCATAAAGAACTACCTGAGACTGGATAACTTATAAAAAGAAGAAGTTTAATTGACTCACTGTTCTGCAGGCTATACAGCAGGCATGGCTGGGGAGGCCTCAGGAAGCTTACAATCATGGTGGAAGGTAACAGGGAGGCAGGCACGTCTTCACATGGCTGGCAGGAGAGAGGGAGGGTGAAGGGAGAGGTATTACACACTTTCAAGCAACTACATCTCCTGTGAACTCTGTCATGAGACAGCACTGAGAGGATGGTGCTAAACCATTAGAAACCACCCACATAATCCAATCACCTCCCACCAGGCCCACCTCTAACACTGGGGATCACAGTTCAACATGAGATTGGGGTGGAGACACAGAGCCAAACCATATCAAGGCCCTATCTCCAAATACAGTTATAGTCTGAGGCACTGCAGGTTAGGGCTACAATATATGAATTGTGATGAGGGGGACATAATTCAGCCCATAACAGTCCCTATGGGACTGGTCATATTGTAGCCTCCAGTGAACTTGAACTTTTTTGGGTCATTATGGCCCTACTCAGTGTGGCTTAAGAACACTTAAGAACAATGACAACCTCAAGGGGTTGACACATTACTCGATACTATGAAAGAATAATAAGTATTTTAATCCCAGAAAAAATAAAAATAACTATAATAATATAAATAAAATAATATTATATAATAAACATAAGAAGCCCAAGTGCCTCTAGATAATAAATAGCTTAGGCTAAAAACAGAATATTAGGTTACCAACTAGAATAAATGACATTTCACTACTTACTAATTAAAGTTTGTTAAGTGATCCGTTAATATTTTTTCATCACCCATTATAAGGCAAGCACTTTGCTTTGCT
The DNA here is from genome assembly GCF_000001405.40 of Homo sapiens. NCBI lineage: Eukaryota > Metazoa > Chordata > Mammalia > Primates > Hominidae > Homo > Homo sapiens. The sequence continues at coordinate 17,163,264 of NC_000005.10, forward strand.
AGGAGAAATGAATATCTTCTGCCTCCTGTTTCTGAGGAGTTCCTAGTTCAGGATCTCATCCAGATACAGCAGGATCACATATCTGAGGCAACCAGATGTCCACTGGGCTATCTGCCACTCCCTTCTTAGACCTAAATCATATCTGCTCAAACTCCTTGTCCATCAGACAGTGAAAGTTCAATGAGTTTGCCAAAATTTCTGGATATTCCTATCACACTCCCAGTCACCTCTGTTTTCTGCTTCCAGCTTCTGCTGAATTTTTGTTCTCCACTCTCTGTCCTGCAGCTGTTCCTTCCTTTTTTCCATGGAGTCAACACAATTGTGGGACACAACCCTGGATTGTTTGCTCTTTCCATGAAAATACGATGCACATGATGCAGCTCTCTGTGGTAAAGTTTTGCTGGCAATTTGATGACAAGGAAGGCATACTGCAGAACCATAGAGCAATTCATCTAAACTTGAACAACAGACTCCCCTATACTTCAAACTGTTACTTGGGGGTTTCCACCAACTCTAATTTCATTCTATCACTCTTGGTTTTTTTTTCTGAGACAGAGTCTCGCTGTGTCACCCAGGCTCCAGTGCAGTGGCGTGATCTTGGCTCACTGCAACCTCCACCTCCTGGGTTCAAGTGATTCTTGTGCCTCAGCCTCCTGAGTAGCTGCTACTACAGGAGCATGGCACTGTGCCTGGCTCATTTTTGTATTTTTAATAGAGACGGGGTTTCACCATGTTGCCGAAGGCTGGTCTTGAACTCCTGACCTCAGGCGATCCACCTGCCTCAGCCCCCCAAAGTGCTGGGGCATGAGCCCCATTATAGGCATGAGCCGTGCCTGTCCTCCACCACTATTGTGATGAGGACTCTTTCTGAACTCCCTGTTCCTGCTCCTTTTCCTTCTCTCCTCTTTTTCCTCCATTCTCCGCTTTCCCTCACCTGCCTCATTCCATCCATCGAATTCTCTTTTATTAATTAAGCAAAGCTGCTGAACTCTATTTTGGTAGTTTGCTTCCAAATTCCATCCTTAAGACCTCATCTTCTGCCCCTTATACGTAGTGTCATCCCCAAGGTGAAATGCTAGAGCTAGCTAGGAAAAATGAGCTTTCTGAACTAGAGACTCATGCAAAGCCATGAAACGTTTGCATCTAAGCAACATAAACAAGAAGATTTGTACAAATTCTGTGGAAATTTAGGATAAGATGTGAACGTCCTGTAGCCATTTCTGCAAATGTTTGAGCCTTGTCACATGAGGAGGTGACTCTTTCACAGGATCTTGAAGCATGAGAAGGAAAGACGACCCCCAACCTCACCCATTCTACGTGGAGGGAGTAGCGTAAGGGGATGAAGAACAAATGGCTGGAGCGCAGGGTCCTAGCGGTAGAAGACTGGGAAGTAAAGGGCAGAAAGTGGCTGTGGCTAAATTACTGATAGCCAGTGTAGGTTTGAATGGCAAAGCTTCAATTAGAGTTTTTACTTGTTTCACCTTTAACAGAATTTTCTGCAAAAGGCAGAGGCAGCTGACATCTTCAAAAGTTTAAGCCTTTCTACAGCAAAACTGCAGCAGCTCTATTACATTGAAACAGAAGGATGATGGGAGGGAAATTCCTTTGGGTTCTTTGCTTGCCTATCAAGAGGACATGTAAGTCTCACAGGTTTTCCTGGATTCTTGGTTTCTAAAGAACGTATCTAAGGAAAAAAACATATCTAAAGGATACGTTTTTATTAAAAAGGCAAAATCATGATTTCCATGAAAATGAACATGTGTAAAAGCTTTTATTTAACTCACCAATTAATGAGATAATTAGTAAGATGTTACAATTGATTCAAAGGAAAATTCAAATAACACATATTTAGGCAATCAGGAATGCTAAAATGAATCTTAAAAATGGATGCAAAACTGGTCAGTGTTCATAGGGCAGTATTATTGGTTGTATTCCAGTGAAAAAAATTCATTTGCATTTCTGTGGACAAGAATCATTTGCATTATCTTTAGTTTTCTACAACTTAGAGAGTTGTAAAATAGCTCAAAGACAATGAAAACTGCAGGCCCTTGTAGAATCAGATAATCTTGAAGGGCATGCTACCCAGGAGACACCTGTAAGTTTATTTATAACTTGCCCATTCAACGTCTTTCACAAGTTGTCCTTACCTTGGTAAATAGGCAGATCGTATGGGCCTGCCTTGATGAAATTAGAAGAATGAAATTTTCTGGCTTTTCTTCACTTTGAGGTCAAGTAGTTTGCTCAAAGTTTTCAAGTGGTTGACACAGAATGATACTTTATTTGGGACAGGATCCATCCCATTCTCTCCTCCTGAACTTTCTTTTGTGAAGCTTCTCCTTCTGTATATTCTTAGTGTTCTGGGTCCTTTGCTTTGATCAGTGATTTTTTTTTTCTTTCTTTCTTTCTTTTTTTTTTTTTTTGAGACGCAGTCTCGCTCTGTAGCCCAGGCTGGAGTGCAGTGGTGTGATCTCGACTCACTGCAACCTCCACCTCCTGGGTTCAAACAATTCTCCTGCCTCAGCCTCCTGAGTAGCTGAGACTACAGGTGCGTGCCACCATGCCAAGCAAATTTTTATATTTTTAGTAGAGATGGGGTTTCACCATGTTGGCCAGGGTGGTCTCGATCTCTTGACCTTGTGATCCACCCGCCTCGGCCTCCCAAAGTGCTGGGATTACAGGCGCCCAGCCTGATAGGTGATTTTTACTTAGCATTGTAGATATTTCTTCCCTGAATCTTATCACCATCAGCCCATGCCTTTCTCTGTCATTATGCTGGGCAGGTCACAAAAGCAAATTTAGATCAATTATATGCTCTAGAAGAGTAACACAAACAGCCTTCTTCTATTTTATAACAGTTATACACACTATGATTTATACTCACTATCAATATTTCCATAACACCATGTAACTAGAAGTAGAGTCATGACAAAATAGGTGAAAAAGCCTTTAATGATTTGAGGAATTTTTGCTATTTCTTTTACAATAGCAGTCAAAAATGCCAGTCTGAGGAGTTTGAATTTAATCCTGTGATTCAGTGATCCCAAAGGCGCTGTGTCTTCTCAAAAGATGCAAAAGGTAATCCAGTTGGGAGTGGGCAAATATATTACAACTATTTGAATTTTATCTCATACTTTCATTAAAATTTAGTTTTTAAATTTATCTGCAGTAAAATTGAGTTTTTTTAATTGGTGTATAGTTTTCTGGATTTTAACACAAACATATAAGTTATTGCAACCTATTATAATAACATCACTATAATCAGGACATACAACAGTTTCATTACCCCTCCTCAATGACACAAGAGATCATGCCACACTTTTTTTTTTTTTTTTTTTTTTGAGACAGAGTCTCGCTTTGTCGTCCAGGCTGGAGTGCAGTGGCGTGATCTCGGCTCACTGCAAGCTCTGCCTCCTGCGTTCATGCCATTCTCTTGCCTCAGCCTCCCGAGTAGCCGGGACTACAGGCACACGCCACCACGCCTGGCTAATTTTTTGTATTTTTAGCAGAGACAGGGTTTCACCGTGTTAACCAGGATGGTCTTGATCTCCTGACCTCGTGTTCTGCCCACCTCGACCTCCCAAAGTGCTGGGATTACAGGCGTGAGCCACCACGCCTGGCCCATGCCACACTTTTAAATTTATATTTGTATATATATATAATTTTACAATATGCAAAATATATTAGCAAAGTAATGCATGTTTATAATTTTTAAATAATCCCATTTTAGAGGTGTGTGCTCAAATGTTTTTACTAAGAGAGGCATATGGATATCAGCTAAACTTTTGTTTAAGAAGATAATTAGGCAACTGAGCTAAAACAGAGAACCTGGAGGTTGGTGGACAAAGTAGGAGATGATTGTAATTCCTCAAGCAAGACATGCTGAAGGCCTAGACTAATGAGTGTCAGAGGAGGAAAGATGGATTTCAAAGACTTCTCCGAGGCGGGGTTGGGGAGGTGTTGGTAAATAGATGTGAGCATGAAGGAGAGGGAGAAATTCAGTTTAAATGTCAGGTTTGCTACGTGGAAAGCAGGGTTGGTGGTGGTAGCATTCATGGGGAACTTGACTGACTATAGAAGGCAGAGCTGATTTATGAACTGGGGAGAAACCATGATGTCATGATTTACATGATTTCATGTAAATGATGTGGAATAGTTTAGGTGATGGGATGCATATTGGAATTACCTTTTGGATTTATGCTAGATTATTCTAGCCAGTTGGAGCAGGTAAAAGATGCCTAGGCTCGTTTCCTATCTGTCATATAATCACCTCACACTCCTGGAAATGGGCTTTAAAAGGGACATTTCTTAATCCTTCTGAAAAATTGTAGTTCAGACTTTGGCCAATTAAACCTCAGGGGTGCTCTCAACTGGAAAACCACTTGGCACAGGGCAGTCAAGAACTGCTGTTAGTGGTCAGTGCCTGTTCTATCTTAACTCCTTCCCTGCTGAGAGGTCAGCTGGACTCCAGCAAAGGCCTGGATATGCATGAAAAAGGATGAGGGGTGAGGATGGAGAGGTGCATCTGTTCATCTGAGCATTCCCCTGTTTAGCTCTATAGCCAGGTCTGAGGCTATCATGGGCAAAAAAGGAAACCCAGAAGGGCCTTGAGCTTATTTTAAAGTCAAAGTGAAAGACTATAGAGTCTTAATTATGAGTTGATATCATTTCAGAAACTTTTCTCTTGTAGCCTTTTTGAGCAGTGGTCTCTCATGTTACAGGGGAGGCCTGTACCCCTAAAAGTATGCAAGAAAATTGGATACAGATGTATTCTTTAATCTGAAAAAAAATAAAGAAGACACTAAGCTTTACTGATACTTACACATGACTGAGAGCAAGCAGTTCACGTGTAGAGTTGATAAATAAGTGTCATACTGGGGATGCCTGGTCAGAAATCTTTTACTGATAGGGCCACATGACCCAGAAAGTTTGGGCTTTAATGGTGTATCAGAGAGATGAGAAGCAGGCAGGCTAGATAGAAGCAGATAGGTTTTTGCAAGTGAGAGGAGAGGGGGCAGTCGGGACAGTGAGATAAAGAGGAAGAGGCAGAGGGGATGGTATTTAGGAGGTAAATTCTACAGGATTTGGTGACTGATGATTGATGAATTTTGAGTGAATCTTTGATAAGACACCCCGCCATGAAAAACAATTTTGTCTCCTTAGTGCTTCTAGAGACCTGCCATCATTTCTGTGATGGCAAAATTATCTACCTAGTTATTTGTCAGTCTTCTTCCTCTCTCCAAATGCCTTTGGAGTTGTATCTCCAGTAATTTAGTGGATACTAAATACATGTTGCTATGTGAATATTACATGAAATGTTTTAACAGCTCAAAATATGGAAGATAAACTTTTTTTTTTTTTTCCTGAGATAGGGTCTTGATCTGTCGCCCAGGCTGTAGTGCAGTGGCGCAATCTCAGCTCACAGCTCACTGCAATTTCCACCTCCCGGGGTCAAGCGATTCTCCTGCCTCAGCCTCCTGAGTAGCTGGGACTATAGGCATGTGCCACCATGCCTGGCTAATTTTTATATTTTTAGTAGAGATGGAGTTTCCCCATGTTGGCCAGGCTGCTCTCAAACTCCTGACCTCAGGTGATCCACCCACCTCGGTCCCAAAGTGCTGGGATTATAGGTGTGAGCCTGCACCTGGCCTAAGAAACATTTTTGAATTAGAGAGCGTTCTTGGCTAGACTCTGTGGCTCACGCCTGTAATCCCAGCACTTTGGGAGGCCAAAGAGGCAGGATTGCTTGAGCCCAGGAGTTCAAGACCAGCCTGGGCAACATGGCAAGACCCTGTCCATAGAAAAAATTTTAAAAATTAGCTGAGTGTGGTGGTGCGTGTCTATGGTCCCAGCTACTGGAAGCTGAGGCAGAAGGGTCACTTGAGCCTGGGAAGTTGAGGCTGCAGTGAACCATGTTTGTGCCACTGTACTCCAGCCTGGGTGACAGAGCAAGACTCTGTCTAAAAAAAAAAAAGAGAGAGAGAGAGTGTTTCATATAATTGTAGGTTTTTATTTCAATAAAATAATCATGCATTATGATATGACGTGGACTCAGGGATCTTAACACCAGCCTTAGGATTCTGCATTACAATTTGGAAATTACTAGGGATTTGTCAATGACTACTGTTTGAAATTTACATGGTGATAAAGGACATTATTTTACTACCTGCAAGTATAAGAGTCAACATTAACCATGAAAGTTATTTTCTCCTTACGAAAATATAAAAGTCAAAATTAGCCATAAAAGTTATTTCCAAAGCATTTCCTTTTGAACATGCAAGGAATGCTGACTATTCAACAAACAGTAGTTGCATAAAGAAGATTTTTGGTCCCATGATCTGGCTGAAGCTTTGCACAAACAGCTGCTTATCTCATGAATGGAATTTCCTGTTAATATTCTTGCAGGCTAATTGTTCATCAAAAGTACAACAAATGTCAACAAACATCAGAAACGTGTTACATCTTAATATTTACAAGACAGCAGAAATAGTTCAGATGTTTAACTTGGTTGAGCTTAAAAGGCAAGAGTGCAATCTTTAGCCCTTGTCACAAACTAGTCTTGACGGGATTAATGCTATTCACATAAACCATTTGTTTTAAATGCCCTCTTTCCTGTTAATTTACAACAACATATGGCTTAAGATAGCACAGGATAAGGGAAGAAACAAAACTGTAACTTCAAACAGTATAGTTGAAAGCACCTTTGTTTTGAATGGATTTCATAGACTTTTCATCCCAACTACATATGGAAATAAATTTTCTTAGAATAAAAATGCTTCAAATGGACTCTTAGGCTGGGCGTGGTGGCTCACGCCTGTAATCTCAGCCCTTTGGGAGGCCGAGGCAGGAGGATCTCTTAAGGTCAGGAGATCAAGACCATCCTGGCCAACATAGTGAAACCCCGTCTCTACTGAAAATACAGAAATTAGCTGGGCATGGTGGTGAATGCCTGTAATCCCAGCTACTCAGGAGGCTGAGGCAGGAGAATCGCTTGAACCCAGGAGGTGGGGGTTGCAGAGAGCTGAGATCACACCACTGCACTCCAGCTTGGGTGACAGAGCAAGACTCCGTATCAAAAAAAAAAAAAGGACTCTTAAATCCCGTGGCAGCAACCACAAAGATATCCACTTGTTTCAGTGAGAGGTGGGTTTCGTAGGGTAGAGGTCCCAGAAGTAGGAAGTAATATCATCAGACCACCAGGGTTCGGATCAGAGGTGAAATTTAGAATCAGTAGAGACTTCCTGAAACACAGACAACAGATTTTTTTTTATAAGGCATTTCCAGGTTTTTGTCTTTTTTTCTCTCAGTGAAAGTAGCATTTTTCACTGAGGTGTCAATTCAGGAGCTGTTTCAGGAAGGTGCTCAGGGAAGATATTTTAGTACAACACTCCGGCCTCCTTCATAATACTAATCACGCCCTATTTTCCTTTCCTTAGCCCTAACAAACTCAGAGTGCTGAAACACTGGAAGCCAGCTACAGGTCTTTTTCCTTTCTCTTCCAGATGGTATGCATCTTGTTCCTCTTTCAGACACAGGTGAAAATTGAAGTTTCTAGAAACTGGAGTTTCCTTCTCATCTTGTTGGCATCTTCCCCTGGGGAGAGGGGTAATACCTCCACAGGTACTGGGAGCCACTTTTTGGGTTATAAGGAGGGAAGTTTAGTTAGCCCCACCTCTGCCGTCTTGTCTATTCCTGTACAGTTTTAGGCAGGAAATGTCTCCATTGGATATTTGTGTTTAGTCTTTTTTTTTTTCTTTTGAGACGGAGTCTGGCTCTGTTTCCTGGGCTGGAGTGCAGTGGCACGATCTCAGCTCACTGCAGCCTCCGCCTCCTGGGTTCAAGTGATTCTCCTGCCTTAGCCTCCCATGTAGGTGGGACTACAGGCACGTGCCACTATGCCTGGCTAATGTTTGTATTTTTTTTTAGTAGAGATGGGGTTTTGCCATGTTGGCCAGGCTGGTCTTGAACTCCTGGCCTCAAGTGGTTTACCAGCCTCGGCCTCCCAAAGTACTTGGGATTATAGGCGCGAGCCACTGCACCCAGCCCTGGCTAATTTTTTTGAAAAGTTTTTCTGTAGGTTGGATATAGTGGCTCAATCCTGTAATTCCAGCACTTTGGGAGGCGGAGGCAGGAGGAACACTTGAGGCCAGGGGTTCGAGACCAGCCTGGGTAACATGGTGAAACCCTGTCTTTACTAAAAATACAAAACATCTTGGATCGCTTGAGCCTGGGAGGTCAAGGCTGCAGTGAGCTGTTACCGTGTTGCTGCACTCTGGCCTGGGTGGCAGAATGAGACCCAGTCTCAAAAAAAAAAAAATCATATCTATATCTATATATGTATACACACACACACACACACACACACACGTGTAGAGACAGGGTTTTGCCATGTTGCCCAGGCTGTCTCGAACTCTTGAACTCCTGGGGCTCAAGCACTCTGCTCACCTCAGCCTCCCAAAGTGCTGGGATTACAAGTGTAAGCCACCATGCCTGGCCTGTTTAGTTTTTTTTGTTTTTTGTTTTTTCTTTTTGAGACGGAGTCTCGCTTTGTCGCCAGGCTGGAGTGCAATGGGGCAATCTTGGCTCACTGCAGCCTCTGCCTCCTGGGTTCAAGCAATTCTCCTGCCTCAGCCTCCTGAGTAGCTGGGATTACAGGCGCCTGCCACTATGCTCGGCTAATTTTTTTGTATTTTTAGTAGAGACGGGGTTTCACCACATTGGCAGGATGATCTTGATCTCCTGACCTTGTGATCCACCCTCCGTGGCCTCCCAAAGTGCTGGGGTAAGGCTGGCATTGTAATTTTGATATAAAAGAAATACAAATTAAAAAATAAAAGGCATGAAGAAGGTTAAATTTTAATTGGGAGTATTGGTACGAATCTGTAATTTCAGTGTATGCATAGCTCCTAGTCTTGATTTAAAGTGTTTATCTGTGCATGTATTCCTAATCAAGGAACCTAGAGGTGATGGTGTCCAGTAGCCATGAGATACCTGCTGCCCAGAATGGGTTTCTAAAGGCTATTAAAAGGAACCAGATCTCTTGGAGAATGGCTGATCCTAGGCTTGATTCAAGGAAAGTTCAAGGTGAGAATGGGAATCTTACCATGCCAGAAAGCAAAAAAGTGTCAAAAGCCAATGAAGTCATGTCGAAAGGTTAAGGACTAGCTTGACAGCCTTCCCACCAGGGAAGAATTTTAGAAGAATTTGAGCATTATTAAGAATGATAAATGTTAGTGATTGTAAAATGTGGAGTAAATAAAAATATCTACATCTGTAGTTATAAAAAAGAAAGGAAGAATGAGAAAAAGAGGAGGTCTGGAAGTAACTACTGTAAAACTCTTTCCTCTGGAAATGGGTAACGATGTGGAAAAATTAGCATTTACTCTGCCTTTATAAACCAATCAGTGGTTCATCTCAAGTTGATGAGGAAATGCTTCTCATCATGGGAGAATGCCAGCTAAGAAATATAAAGGATGACAGAATTTAAAAACAATTATTCAACTCTCATATGCTATGGGGAGAAACACAAGATGGTCCAGCCACCATGAAAAAGAATTTAGCAGTTTCTTATGAAGTTAAACACACATTTACTAAACAACTTAGTGATTCTACTTCTAAGTATTTACCCAAGTGAAATGAAAACTTTAGTTCACACAAAGGCCTGGAAGAGAATGTTTCTACGACTTTATTTGGAATTGCTCCAAACTGAACACAACCCATCTGTCCTTCAATTTGGGAATTTGGGACTGAATAAACAAGCTGGCATACAATGGAACACAATGGAATACGTGGAATACGGTTCAGTAATAAAAAGGAAAAAACTGCTGATGCATAGAACAACATGGAGGGATCTCAAATGCATTGTGCTAAGTGAAAAAAAAAACCAGACTCAAAAGGCTGTACAATGTATAATTCTAGGTGTGTGACATTCTGGAAAAAGCAAATCTAACAGGACAGAAAAAAGATCAGTGGCTGCCAGGGGCTGGGGCTGGGCGAGAGTTGACATGGAGGAATTTGGAGGGGATAGTGGAACTGCTCTATATCTTTTTTTTTTTTTTTTTGAGATGGAGTCTTGCCCTGTCGCCAGGCTGGAGTGCAGTGGCATGATCTTGGCTCACTGCAACCTCTGCCTCCCAGGCTCAAGTGATTGCCTTGCCTCAGCCTCCCAAGTAGCTGAGTCTACAGGCATGCATCACCACTCCTGGCTAATTTTTTGTATTTTAGTAGAGACAGGGTTTCACCACGTTGGCCAGGATGCTCTCGATCTCCTGACCTCGTGATCTGCCCACCTTGGCCTCCCAAAGTGCTGGGATTACAGGTGTGAGTCACCTGCTCTATATCTTAATGGTTGTGGTGGTTACGTGAATGTATACATTTGTCAAGACCTGAAAAACTACAGAACAGAGGGTGAATTTTTACTGCCGTGTAAGTTATTTCTTAATAGAAAGTAAAACTATGATCATTTTTTTCCATTTCCAACCAAATAATTATTTCAGACAAAGTCATCAATGGGTGGCAAAACTACTAGGTGAAATTTCATTGGGGAAACAGTATATTCATGTGCCAGACTATCACAGGTTCCTGGCTAATTGCAAATAAAAAAAATATTGTAATGGAAAGATAGGATGGCCATTCCTTTCATCAAGTGATTAAGTTCAGCATCAGTAATAGTATGACAGATGGACAACATGTACTATCTGATGTGATGGGAAGTACCCATCTCCTATGAACTGTACTTGCCTCAAATGCTTAATCTGAATATAAATTCACTAGACTTAAACTTCAGTTTACAGGACCAAGTGGGAAAACACACTCAAGTTAAATGCCACCATGAAGAGACAGTCAGACCAAGATAGATTGTCGACTATTCTATAAGAGAGCTGTTGGCCCAGGCATGGTGGCTCATGCCTGTAATCCTAGCACTTTGGGAGGCCGAGGGGGGTGGATCACGAGGTCAGAAGATTAAGACCATCCTGGCCAACATGGTGAAACCCCGTTTCTACTAAAAATACAGAAATTAGCTGGGCATGGTGGCGGGTGCCTGTAGTCCTAGCTACTCGGGAGGCTGAGGCAGGAGAATCACTTGAACCTTAGAGGCAGAGGTTGCAGTGAGCCGAGATCTCACCACTGAACTCCAGCCTGGCAACAGAGCAGGACTCTCAAAAAAAAAAAAAAAAAAAAAAAAAAAAAGGCTGGCCTGTTTAAAAAGTCAAAATAAGAAGTAAGTAAATAAGAAGGTCGGGTGTGGTGGCTCATGCCTGTTATCCCAGCACTTTGGGAGGCTGAGGCGGGCGGATCACCTGAGGTCAGGAGTTTGAGACTAGCCTGGTCAACGTGGTGAAACCCCGTCTCTACTAAAAATAAAAAAGTAGTCGAGTGTGGTGGTGCATGCCTGTAATCTCTTCTCTTATTAAATAGTTCCGTGCTTAAACTTAGGGGTCAAACGTCATGCCTGCAAATTATTTTCAAATAGTTCAGTCGTATCTGTCTTCTATCTGTCTATCTATCTATCATCTATCTACTTACCCATCTAGTGTATTGCAAAATATTCACAATTATAATGGATCTACAGATTTGCATGTATTATTTGTCCAATTCTTGATATTAAAATTTTTTATAACAAAAACTAGGGAAAAAAATTAATACCAGATGCCACTCCAGACTAAATAAATCAGGATGTACTGGGGACAGGACCTAAGCTGCAGCACTTTTAAAAAGATCTCCAGATGCGTTTTTTAAAAAAAAACAAAAACAAAAACGTAAAATGACCATTTTATTTGGCTCCTGGATTCTGTTGGTCGGGAATTGAGACAGGGCAAATAGGTGATGATTTGTCTTTGTTCCACGATGTCTGGGGCCTCAGTTGGGGTGTGGTGGTGCCTGGGGTCTGGGGTCATCTTGGATGTATCTTCACACACATGTCTGGCAGTTGAGCCTGGCTGCTGGCTGGAACCTTAGCTGGGCTGGTGGCCAGAACACCTCCCTGTGGCCTCTGCATGAGGTCTCCCTGCAGAGCCTCCTGGTGATTTTAATGTGAAGTCAGAATTTTCCCAAACTTGAGCAATCGTTAGAATTACCTGAAGCATTTATTGAAATTCAGATTTCCTGGCCGGGTGTCATGGCTTATGCCTGTAATGCCAGCACTTTGGGAGGCCGAGGCGGGTGGATCACCTGAGGTCAAGAGTTCAAGACCAGCCTGGCCAACATGGTGAAACCCCGTCTCTACCAAATATATAAAAATTAGGCAGTCTTGGTAATGGGCGCCTGTAGTCCCAGGTACTCGGGAGGCTGAGGCAGGAGAATCGCTTGAACCCTGGAGGCAGAGGTTGCAGCGAACTGAGATTGCGCCACTGTACTCCAGCCTGGGCGACAGAGTGAGACTGTATCTCCAAAAAAAAAAAAAATTCAGATTTCCTGATATCTTTTCTGGGTCTGGGGTGAAGCCTATTAAAGTTAAAACTCACTTTCTAAGAGAAAGGGAAGTTTGAAAAGCGTTGACCTAGGGTGTCAGCCCCGCAGTTCTTTTAAGGTTCCAGATTTGTCCAGACATCATGTACCAACTACCATAGAAAATGGGAAATGTCACATAATGCTGTTCTATTTCTGAAACTTTGTCCCAGACTATTCCTTTGATTTCTAGTTTATCTTGCTGCCTACAGCTTTGTCTTTTCCTTTGCTATGAATATGATTCTCCGAAGGTTATTTATGTGGGTCTTGCTGCTCTAGTTAAAACACTTGTCTCACTTGACTATGCCTTTGGAACTTCCTTAGGCAAGACATGATTTTTTCTTTTTCCTTCTTTTTTTTTTTTTTTTGAGACAGAGTCTCTCACCTTGTTGCCCAGGCTGGAATGCAGTGGTGTAATCTCCACTCAGTGCAACCTCCGCCTCCCAGGTTCAAGTGATTCTCCTGCCTCAGCCTCCCAAGTAGCTGGGGTTACAGGTTCTTGCCACTGTGCCTGGCTAATTTTTGTATTTTTAGTAGAGACGGAGTTTCACCATGTTGGCCAGGCTGGTCTTGAACTCCTGACCTCAAGTGATCTGCCTGCCTCGGCCTCCCAAAGTGCTGGGATTGTAGGCGTGAGCCACCTTGCTAGGCCAAGACATGATTTTCTAGGCATAGAAATTAAGATAGTTTTGAGGTAAAATGGGAGAGAGAAAAAGAAGCTAGGTCATATCAATTCTTGAATGCCAAGCTGGGGAGTTTGACCTTAAGTCAATATGCAGTAGTAATCCAGAGAGGATTGATCGTGAATTCAGAAGGATCAGGGATGTACATTCAGAAAGGTAATCAGGAGAAGTGAAAGCCTAGAGGCAGGGAGAACAGACTAGGGCCTAGGAGAAAAGTTATGGAGCATTTACCAAGATGGCGCCAATCTCAATATTAAGGAGAAGATGGATCTGGGACACGTTGTTTAAACATCCCTTACAGACCGGACCGTCATCACTTTCCTTGGCATCATGTTGGTTTATAAAATAAAATGAATCAACATTTTAAGAAGAAAGATGACACTGCTGATTTCTAAGCTCCACTCTGACTGGGTTCTGGGCTTGTTAATGTGTATTTGAGGTGATCAAATGATATGAGACTTTTCTGCTTGCATTGTTTCCTTTTTAGCCAACAGGACTCAAGCTAAGCTAAGCTTTGGATCTGTGGACATTTTCCTCAGTAGTGTGATTCCCCAGCCAACTGAGCCTCCTATCATAACCTAAAGCCAAGAAAGACCTTCTGTCCCCAGATTAGAACCACAGAGATGGACTGTCTTCTGGGGAGGTTCCCACTGGTATCTGTTAAGTGATTACCTAGATATATGGGTGTGGTTTTTTTTTTTTCTGAGACGAAGTCTCACTCTGTCGCCCAGACTGGAGTGCAGTGGCACGATCTCGGCTCACTGCAGCCTCCGCCTTCTGGGTTCCAGTGACTCTCCTGCCTCAGCCTCCCAAGTAGCTGGGATTACAGGCACACGCCAGCACACCAGGCTAATTTTTGTATTTTTAGTAGAGACGGGCTTCACCGTGTTGGCCAGGCTGGTCTCAAATTCCTGACCTCAGGTGATCCACCCACCTCGGCATCCCAAAGTGCTGGGATTACAGGGGTGAGCCACCGCTCCCGGCTGGGTGTTTATTTATGTATTTGTTGTAAAGTTCTACCTACATTTAATGGAGGTATAGTTTCTGCTGGTTATTTAGAAATAAGGAGCAACTTCTAGATGAATCCAGGACAGGTCATCAAGTTACAGCCCACAGCTGAATAAGGCCAATGCCTGCTTTTGTAAAAAAAAAAAAAAAAAAAGCTTTATTAGATATAGCTGTGCTCATTCTCATTCTCATGTATGGTCTATAGCTGCTTTCAAACTGCAAAGGCAGAGTGGAGTTGTTGCAATGAAGGCTGTACAGCCTGCAAAGCCAGAAATGTTTACTATCTTGTCCTTTATGGAAAACATTTGCTGACCTCTGACTAGGAGACTGGCTTTCTCATCAACTGATGGTGTGGTCTCCTGCATGTTGATGATGCTGAAGGACAATGAGAAGATTGAAAACTTCTTTATCCATTTTCTTTTACGTCTTGGAAGTCCAGTTGGGAGAGACTTGGAAATTTAAATTCTCCTTTTTGTGTGTTTTCTTTGAAGTTCTTAGTCTTCTTTTAAGGGAACGGTTACTAGATTTTTATATTTGGCAGAACTACAGTCAGGTCTCCTGTGATTTGTGGTGCAGCAGTTAAATCCATGGGCTCTGGAGCCAGATTGCTCATATTCACATCTTCACAACTCCGCTTACTCCCCGTATAATCTTGGGCAAGTTATTTGACTGGTCTGTGCTTCAGCCCCAACTGTACTAGTAGAACCTGCTGTCTATGGTTCTTGGATTAAATGAATTAATGCATGAAATGAGCAGGACAGTAAGCAGCTGGTGTACAGTCAATATTCTGTAAACATTAGCTCTTATTAGTATTGATTTGATATAGGGTCATCTACAGTCAACATTCTTAGATGAAAGTGCTAGCATTCCTCTTGTCAATGATGACTTATGCTTTTGGCGGGAGGAAAGAATCTGTTGTGTGTTGTCTGAAATCAGAG
This sequence comes from Homo sapiens, assembly GCF_000001405.40. Classification (NCBI taxonomy): domain Eukaryota; kingdom Metazoa; phylum Chordata; class Mammalia; order Primates; family Hominidae; genus Homo; species Homo sapiens. The sequence continues at coordinate 17,178,337 of NC_000005.10, forward strand.
AGCCCTGAAATCAGACAACAGATTTCACGTCTTCCAAGTGTTTCTTAAAGTGTCCTTTCTGGACTAGCAGAATCAGCATTCCCTGGGAACTTGTTAGAAATGTAAATCATCAGGTCCCGTCCAAGAGTTACTGAATCAGGGACTCTAGGGATAGGAAGTAGCAGGTGATGTGCCAGTAAAGATTTAACAACCAGCTCTCCAGAAAACACAAACCCTCAAGTTGCTGATTCCAGTGGTTTAAATTCTTACACTATGACTGATTGTAAGATATGAACCTGCTGTTATTGACTGCGGAGTTGGGAAGAGGTGTGCACAAGAAGCTCTCCTGAGCTGAGAGGAGGAGCTGGCTCCAGCACACCGCTGGCCCAGCCATCTGTGCTTCAATAAGCATTGAGCCTGTGGATCCCCAAAGAGCATGCTCACCTCGAGTCCTGAGAAGAGAGCACAGCAGAACCTGGACTTTGGCACTAGAATTTCTGGGTGCAAATTCAACTCCACCACTTCCTGACCTTGAGCAAATGCCTGACATATAGTTAAGCATAACTGCACATTGGTTGTTATTATTATTGCTCCAAATGCATGTTTGCCACAGCCAACCAACACCTTCTCAAATACTAGGAGGGGCTCTAAGACCTTTACTGCTCCCCGGGGCCCCTAGGGAAGTGCGTGAGGCTGCATTTTGCAGTCAGATCTGTGTACTACCCCAGGGGCTTTGGTGTGTTGTATATTGTGCTTCACGGTGAGTATGTATAGTGGAAAATGGTTTTTACTCTCTCATTTTGTATGTCAATAGTAAAAATAGGCAACATCAACAGGGAGATTTACAGAGTCTTATTCTCAGGCTGGGTTGGGGTCCAGGATGTAGGCAGGGTGGAGGCTCATTTTTGCACTTTAGTAGCAGAAACTACTTAACTACTTTGTTTAAGAGGGGTGAGGGCATCTAACAAATTATTATTATTATTATTATTTTGAGATGGAGTCTCTGTTGTCAGGCTGGAGTGCAGTGGCACCATCTTGGCTCACTGCAACCTCTGCCTCCTGGGTTCCAGTGATTCTCCTGTCTCCGCCTCCCAAGTAGCTGGGACTACAGGCGCCCACCACCACGCCCAGCTAATTTTTTTTGTATTTTTAGTAGAGACGGGGTTTCACCATGTTAGCCAGGATGGTCTTGAACTCCTGACCTTGTGATCCGCCTGCCTCAGCCTTCCAAAGGGCTGGGATGACAGGTGTGAGCCACCGCGCCCAGCCAACAAATTCTTATAATTCCAATTTCCACCACAATAAAACAGCTAGACTGTGTGTGTCAGGGTGCCTCGCGGACAGAGAGGCCAGGATGGTCAACATGAAATCTAATGAGGCTCCTTAAACCCTGCTGAGCTTCTCACCCAATGGCCACACTCACACCCACAGTTCTGATCTCACCAGCGTCTATGCTGGTCTTCCCTCCTGTGTCTCCTTCATTGTTGATTACCAACCCAGCAGCCACTCCTCCTCCTTCCTTGTGAACACAGCCCTGATTTTGTTCAGACACCATGAGAAAATGTGCTCAGGGAAGGTTTACCCTCATCCAGCTGCGGGAGTGGGCTCTGATTCCAGCACTGTCTGACAGACCTTCCTGGATGATGGAAACGGTCTAGGGCTGCACTGTCCATTATGGAGACCACTGGCCCCACGTGGTTACTGAGCACCTGAAATGTGGCTCAAGTGACTGGGCAACTGAATTTAATTTAATTTAATTTAATTATTTTTATTTTGTTTCGAGCTGGAGCCTCGCTCTGTCACCCAGGCTGGAGTACAGTGGCGCTATCTTGGCTCACTGCAACCTCTGTCTTCTGGGTTCAGGCGATTCTCCTGCCTCAGCCTCCTGAGTAGCTGCGATTACTGGCATGCACCACCAGACCTGGCTGATTTTTGTATTTTTAGTAGAGACGGAGTTTCACCAAGTTGGCTAGGCTGGTTTCAAACGCCTGACCTCAGGGGATCCACCCACCTCAGCCTCCAAAAGTGCCAGGATTACAGGCGTGAGCCACCACGCCCGGCCTAAATTTTAAATTTTATTTAATTTTAATTTAAATCTAAATTGCTTTATGTGGTTATTAGGAGCTACCACGGGAGATAGCACAGAGGCTCCAAACCATGATGATTTCACTCTCCTTTGCCAGGTATTGCCTCAGACATCACTGTGTGGCCCAGTCCTGACCTGTAGGCTCTGAGAAAGGCATGAGGTCTGGGAAGGAGTTTTCTCCCTGCTAAAGGAGAGAGATGCCCAAGAGAGGCCTGTGTCATTCTTATCCCTTGCCTTGTCCCCTCCAGCACTTTCCTTCCTGTCCTGCATACTGTCGTGTGGTGTGAAAGCCTGCTGCTTTGGGAACGATCTTGTGACAATGAGGGGATGATAAAAATAAATAAAGATGACAAGAACTAACACTCATAGTGCTTAATACATGCCAGTCTCTCCTTAAGCAGTTTATAGATATTAACTAATTTAATTCTAACAGCAACTCTGGAAGGACAACTACTGTTCTCTCCAATTGACAGAGGAGGGAGCCGAGGCTCAGCGAAGTTCAGTAATTTGTGGGAAGTTTCACAGACAAGAAGCACCAAAGCTGGGATTTGAACTCAGGGAGACCCATGGCAGAGGCTGTACTCCTCACTGTTGTGACATACTGCCTTTCTAGAACCAGAATTCCAGAGAAGCTGTGTAACCCTGGAGCCATAAATCCCTAGACTTCCTGCTGCATGAGATAAACACACATGGTTATGTTTGAAGTCACTATCAGCTGGATCTCCTGTGAGTTGCAGCCTCAGACATCCTGAGTGATACCAGTGTCTTTGAATGTGTCTCCTTCAACCTGGGTACCCGACTACAGGAGTCCACTGAATCATTCCTCTATCAGGGGCTGATTCACTGCAGACGTGGGTTAGGAAACCATCCCAACGTCAAAGAGAAACAATCCATCTAAGGCAGGGGAACGCTGACGTGGTAACACCCAGTGCTGACACCCACAGGAGGATCCCATCTAGGCCCCACCCCAGAGCTCACAGCAAAGCTCAGCCCATTAGCATCTGCCCGTTATCTCTGATTCTGAAAAATAAAGTCTGTCCAAAAGCATTGTGAGAATGAGAAGTTCAAAGTCACAGGGAAGCTTGAAAGCCATCTCTAGAAGCCTGTGGCACATACCTGTAATGTTTCAGCCCTCATTATTCATTATGTTCTCATTGCGTAGTCAGCGTCTGGGTTTCCCCAGTGCCCCAAATTCTCTCTTTGGTGACTAAGAATTTAGGATGACTCGCCATTGGATTTCACCAAGTAGGGTGTTCATCTTTCCAGGCTTATGAAAATTTGGAAACATATAAATGCTTAATCCTTTCAATCAGATGCAAACATGGGTTCAATGGAATAACGCTGAGGACCACCTGTCCAAGGTGGTGTGACACACTTTATATTGGGGACACAGCAGGCTCTCATTAGAGGGCAGTTGCAGGAATTGCCCATAACCGTCCTTCTTCCTTCCTTGCGCCAGGGTGGCCCTTTCTTTCTCCCAGCTTCCCACTGCCCTTCTCCCTCCCCGACCCTGGCGTTCTCTTCTTACCACATCCCAGGATTAAGTAGGGCCTAGGCTGCAATGGCACGATGAATGGGGTCATCTAAGAGGAAGGAAGAACAAATCTACATGGCAGAGGGTCCCAGGGCCCACCTCTCACCACAGTCTTCATTTGCCCCTTCACTCACTCAACAAAGAAATATTGAGCACCTACTGTGTACAGCACTGGAGAGAGAAGTAGAAAAACTATTTTTTTTTTAGATGGAGTCTCACTCTGTCACCCAGGTTGGAGTGCAGTGGCACGACCTCGACTCACTGCAACCTCCACCTCCCAGGCTTGAGCAATCCTCCCACTTCAGCTTCCCGAGTAGCTGGGACCTCAGGCACACACCACCATGCTGGGCTAATTTTTTGTATTTTGGGTAGAGACGGTTTCACCATGTTGTCCAGGCTGGCCTTGAACTCCTGAACTCAGGAGATTCACTCACCTTGGCCTCCCAAAGTGCTGGGATTACAGGTGTGAGCCACCACGCCAGGCTGAAAAACTCTTCCTGGAAGAAAATGCAAACTGTTTGAGTATCACTCTGGGGTTTTATTTCTTAATCTTATTTCAGTATTTGCTATATTCAAAGAGCCAGCATTATCTTTAGATCAAAGCTAGGAGACAAATAAGTTAGGCATCATTGTCCCATTTTTCATGGGAGAACATGAAGACTGATGTCAAGCAACTTTTTCATGGGATGTGAGTAACGGGTAGACTCAAGCCTCAAACTCACATCTTCTGACTCATTTATTTTCCGCTGACATGTCTCACCCCAGAGGCTGGCCTGGGCAGGACCAACCACTGCAGGTGTTCACACTGCTCTGAAGTGGATTCTCCAAAGTTCTTTTCACCCAAGCCCCCTCATTGTGGGGAGAGGAGGGGTTCACTGCCAGCCCCCTGCATGATCCCGCTGGTTAGTCTTTGAAGTAAAAAGCCTTGAGATCAAAGGAAATATTTTGTTGAACTCAGCTATTCGTCCTTGATCTGCTAAAAACCTTAATTTAATTAGCAATATAAACTTTGTAAAGACTTCACTTTCTCAACTTGGTTCAACTTATACCTTTCTTTTATTTGGAAGTGAATAAGGAAAAAATAAGGAAGAAACAAGAAAGAAAAAGTATCTAAAATATCTCACATAAGACATGGACTATGCAATACTTCTGTCTCATGAGTATTTTTCAGTGGTATTGACCTAAATGTTTATACTGATCCTCCAATGAGTAATAAGTTATAGTGGGAAATATTTTGGACAGAATTGTCTAGTTGTGCTCCAAAAAGGCAAACTTCCCAGATTCCTTGATGTTTGAAATCATAGCATTTTAAGAAGGAGGGTACTAGCATTATGACATATTTCTTAAGTCAGATGCTTTATATATGTTTAAAGAATTCAATTCTTACAGGAATCTGTGACATAGGTATTCTTTATCGTTTTCAAAAGAAAGCAAGCAACAGTCTCATGGTTGCACTGTTTAGAAGCATGGAGCAAAGATTTCAATCCACACTGGCAGACGCCAAGCCCTACTCTGTGTTAATAGTTCACTGTGCTTGTAGAGCTGCCTTTATTTATTATTATTATTATTTTTTAAGATGGGATCTTGCTATGTTGCCCAGGCTGGTCTTGAACTCCTTGGCTCAAGCCATTCTCCCATCTCAACTTCCTGAGTAGCTGAGACTACAGGTGAGTGCCACTGCACCCGGCTGGAGCTGCCTTTAGAACTTCAAAAATCATCTGGCCTACTTTTTTCCCTTATGTCAGGGCAGAAGAAAATGAGGCCCCAGAACTTAAAGTACCTGTCCATTCCTGATGGAACAGAGAACAAACTCAGGCCACTAAGTCTCCAGACAGTGGTCTTTTCCCGTGCACTTTTGTAGATGGTCAAGGAAGAGAAGGTTTGTCCTAGGTGGATGCAGACTACTTCCAGGGTCCTTGAAAAAACTCATATTAGGTTGGTGCAAAGTAATTACCTTATGTAATTACTAATGTGGGTGTGTGTGTGTGTGTGTGTGAGAAAGCTGTGCATCCGCCTGTGTGTCTGCATTCATTTCAGACAAACATCTGCCCTAAGCATTTGTTTTAAGGAGGATTCCACGTGGAAGTCGGGAAGCCGCTGGCCAAGATTTCAGGCCCTGATCAATGTCATGCCAAACCTATGTTTGCTGTTATGTAGACGTGGTCAGTATTTTGGGGCAGTCATTTGAGTTCATTGAATCCCGCAATGGGAGGTTTCAAATGACTCTGGTTATAAATGACATGGCTAGATGGGGAGCTAAAATCGGCTGCCACTGCCTGCATTTTCTCCTTTCACTTTTCACCTGCTAACAGAAAACAGAAGACCCTGGCAAGTGACTGTATGATTGTTAATACTCATGATATAAATTCACTTTTTCTCCACTGGTCCTTGTGCTTCAAAAAAGAAAGAAAGGCCAGGCGCAGTGGCTCATACCTCTAATCCCAATGCTTTGGCAGGCCGAGGTGGGAGGATTGCTTGAATCTAGGGGTTAGAGGTTAAAGTGAGCTGTGATTGCACCACTGCACTCCAGCTTGGGCCACAGAGCAAGACCCTGTCTCATTAAAAAAAAAAAAAAAAAAAAAGGAAATAAAAGAAAAAAGAAAGGAAAAAAAAGAACGGAAAAGAAAGGAAAGGAGGAAGAAAGTCACGCTATACTTGAGAAATTCTCAACAGATAAACCAATGTCTCCTCCCACCTCAAGAACAGGCCAGTTCTGACTTCCTCTAGAATTATCTCCATTGATTCACCCTAAGATCTCCCATGATGCACTTTTCTTTAAACAATCTGAAATGTAAACTTCCATGGCTTGTCTGGAGTTTTCAGAAATCAAATGTTATTTCCACCACCCCTCCCCCGTCTCCCACCACTCCTGCCACCACCAGCATTTCTTTAGCTGGGAAATTTTTAAGCTTCTTACTGGAAGTTGCTGCCATGTGGTTAAAATCCCCAACAAGTAAAATGTGAGCTTGGCATCAATAATCAGTTTTGTTTTACAGTCACATTCATAATAGTAAGTTGCAATGAGACAGACTCCTTTTTAACTAGGCTTCTAGTGATTTCCCTGAAATCTAATTGAAATTTTGAATCTAGGAAGAATTTCATAAAACCAATTGTATGTAATTTGTACTGAGAACTGTTTTAACTTGAGTTCCAAAGTAAGAGGAAATATGGAGGAACATGCTCCAAATCTTGTGCAACACATTTTAACTTATTCTTCTTTTCTTTCTTCTTTTTATTTATTTTTTTAAAGGTGGGGTCTTGCTCTGTTGCACAGGCTGGAGTGCAGTGGCACAATCATGGCTCACTGTAGCCTTGAACTACTGAGCTCAAGTGATCCTTCTGCCTCAGCTTCCTGGGAATGCAGACACCTTCCAGCAAGCCTGGCTAACATAAAAAATTTTTATAAAGATAGGATCTCACTATGTTGCCCAGGTGGGTCTCAAACTCCTGGTCTTAAGCAATCCTCCAGCCTTGGCCTCCCAAAGCTCTGGGATTATACATAGGAGCCACCAGGCCTAGCCCTTTTCTTTTCTTTTCTCTTTTCTTCTTTTATTTTTGTCTTCCCTTCCTTTCTTTCCCCTCTTTCCCTCCCTCTCTCCTTTCTTCCTTTCCTTCCTTCCTTCATCATCCACTGAATATGGTGGCCAAAATGAGTTGACAATTGTCGAATGTTGCGGCAAGGTGAGGGGTGTACAGGTCATCATTGTTCTTTTCTCTATATTTTTGCATGTTTGAAACTTTCCATAATAAAAAAGGAAAAATGGATCAGTGGCCAAGAGAAATGATCCTCGCTTGAGTATTGGGCTGTTCTTAGCTTGAAAGAACCATTGCAGAAAACTCAACAGAAGCAGAAATTACATACAGTTCAAACTCATTTTCCTAGGAGGCTTTTTTTTTTTTTTAAGAAGTATTTTGCTGGAACCTAAAAACCACACTCCCAAACTGTTTCAACATGATCCCTGCTGGCAGGAGTCAGAGATGGCTGGTGTACAAGACGGTTGAGAAAGCCCATGACATACAGTTAGTGGCTGGTTGAGATAGTTTCCAAATATAAATAAACGGTTGGAGGACTAGAAAAATAGGCAGAAAGCAGTGATTCTGACATTAGTCACATGGCTGCCATACATGACCTACTTTACCTGAGAACCAAAAATATAGTTTTAGGTTCTTCCACGTTACAGTTCCTACATGTCTTGCTGCTTGTGGGGAACTCCTTGCCTGGCTTCTTCAAATAAGCAGAATGTACAACCATGCTTAGAGCAGGCTGCTCTCTATTTCAGATTTTCCAGGGGAAAAGAGGAATGTACATTAGGCAGATTATTTTACCTCCCTAGTCATGCCAGGGTAAGCTTCCTAGACCAACTAATTCTCCTTCAAGGTCTGGCAGCTCCCAGCTCCCAGCTGCCAGGGGGCCAGGCAGAGCTCCTTCCTCCTCCACTATCTGTGGCCCCAAAGATTCCCCTTCCACCAGGGCCGGCGACCAACTGACCACAGGCTGAGTGCTCCAGGCCCTGGCAGCTCAGAGGACGGGGAAACAGCAGCACACTTGCGGCCCCCTGGAGTCTGTCCCATCTGCCCTACCATCCTGTCATCTCCAAGGATCACCCAAGCTCTGGCCAGGCTGGTAATCTGTCTCCTTTGCATGCCCTTGCTCCCTGCTGCTCTGTGGGGCTTTCCCATGGACTCCTGACTCCTCTTTTACTCTCATGGCAACCCTTTCCATTGGGCTGTCTGGGATTCCTGTTCTTCAGTGGATACTTCCTTCTGTGTCCTCAGTCTCAGAGAATGCGCACCCTAGCTGAAGTTCTGCTCTCTCCAGAGTATCCCGGCTTCCCCCTTTTCACATTTCATCTACTGGGTTGGGGACCCATTTACGCCAATACTCCATGATCACTTGCAATCTATGACTCTTCCTCCTTTTGGAAAATACCCCTGCTCTGTAGAGTCCTTGATATTTAAGATGTGTGTGTGTGTATGTGTGTGTGTGCACGTGTGCGTGCACGTGTGCTCGTGTGTGTGCGCATATATAGCGTTAAGTGCTCCGGCTTCAATATCCAATGATGTGGGTTCTAATTTCGGTTTTGTACTCACTAGTCTGTGAGACTTTGGTCAAGTTACTTTTTTGAAGGCTTGTTAACTCTTCTATAAAATGTGGACGGCAGTACTTCTATAGCATGGGGTTGTTGTGAGGATTACATGAGAAGATCCATATGAAGTGTCTAGCACATTTCTGGTGTAACTCAGTCGACGTTAACTATGATCACATTTGGGCTGCTCACTTGCCTTTTCAAATCCCCCACCATTTGAAAAATGTCAGTGTTCTTTGGCACCACACAACCTGCTCCTGACAGTTCCCAGCTTCCTTAACTCTGGGGCATGCATTTCTACCACAGGCCTGCCCCACTTTCTGGCAACAACCTCCTAATCTATCTGCTCCTTCTCCCTGCCTGGGTCACCTCCTTCCTGTCTACCATGTCCTTGTCTCCCCGTAGCACTAGCCTAGGACCCTCCAACCTCAGCCAGATAGTCTACTTTCACTGAGACCTACACAGTTTGTGGTGTGTACCTGACTCATCTTGTGTGACTGTCATGTTTATTCTGTGGTTATATTTTTCATAATTCTTCCATTATAAGGATCCATATGGGGCTGAACCACTTCCTATACCCCACCCGCATTCCCACAAGCTGGATCGCATGTGAAGAATCTGATAATCTCTCTCTCATCTGGAGATTTGGTCTTAGTTCAGTAATGCCCCTGATCCAGGGAGTTAGTTGTCTAGGACACAGACTTGGCAGGGAGGTGAGGTGGCACTTTTCAGTGGCCATGACTCTGTAGCTGGGAAGCAAGGAAGCCACAGGGTGGTCTTGATCATGTGAACCAAGCCCGTGAGCTTGGAGGAGGGGTGGCACAGGGCCTGTGAGCGGTGGACACGCTCAGCCATGTTTCTGTGCTTCTGAGTTTTAGGCTTGTTAAATTTTCTTGATGTTCTTTGATTTCCCTTTCTCCTTTCTTTAGTAGCTTTGGAAATTCCAGTCTGTTTCACTTCTGCTGAAACACAGCAAGGATAAGGGAATTTTCCCTGGTGTGGCTCCATCTTTAAGATGACACTTAACTTTGGGAGGCAGAATGCCAGGGGCAGAGGGAGTCCGACCGAGGGCTCTCTATGGTGATCCCCCACCTGTGGCACACAGAGGATGCCCAAGTCAGCGAGCTGAGACCTTCCTGTCCCAGGGACGTGTAGAGCCAGGGAATTTGGGGGAGAAGATTTGGCTTGGCTTGTGCCTTATCTTTCCCATCATTCTGAGAGGTGAAGTGGCTCTTTCTCAGAATGGAATGGAGAGGAAGGAAGATTCTTGTGGTTACTGGAGAATTAGAACATGACAAGGTACTCGCTCCATTTTGTTTGAGATTTTATGAATTCTCAAAATATCAGAGGCATTTCTATCAAAAAAAAGAGAAAGGTCCCCAAAAGGCAACTCTTGAGTGACCACCATTTTGGAGGATTTATTCATTCTTGTCTTGTAGGTGGGTAATAAAGAATAAAATATAATTGTATAATACTTTAAAAAGACTATACAGGCAGTTGGGAGTCCGTCCACCAGGCTCTGCTCACTCGCTGAAAGGCAACGTGATTTACTATAAGATGCTTAACTTTGCTGTATATTTCCTGAGGTTTAAAATAAGATCTGTACTTATCTTTTCCTTTAAACTGACATGAATAAGGGAACATTTATGTCAAATAATTTGAGCAACTCAAAGGAGCAAAGTGCTTTAAAAATGCCAACTGGACTGTGAAGTTTTTAGGTATTTGAGGAGATCTACAAAATGGACTGGAAAAAATGGGCATGTCTCCAGAAATCACCAACAGCTGTGCGTTTAAAGATAACTAAAAATAATATTTCATATTGAGAAATTGGAATATCGGGGTTGAGTAGACCGGAAAATAGGGAAGAAAAGGAGAAGACACAGAAAAAAAAAGCCTTAAAACTTCGTGCTTCAGCAGTTGAACCTCTCTTGATTATCATTCCCAGAATTCCATTCTACTTTTTCCATTTTTTTTTTTTTTTTGAGATGGAGTTTTGCTCTGTTGTGCAGGCTGGAGTGCAGTGGCACGATCTTGGCTCACTGCCACCTCCGTCTCCTGGGTTCAAGTGATTCTCCTGTCTCAGGCTCTGAGTAGCTGGGATTACAGGCGCCCGCCACCACACCCAGCTAATTTCTGTATTTTTAGTAGAGACGGGGTTTTGCCATGTTGCCCAGGCTGGTCTCGAACTCCTGACCTCAGGTGATCCACCCACCTTGGCCTTCCAAAGTGCTGGGATTACAGGCGTGAACCTCCGTGCCCGGCCTACTTTTTCCAGATTTGGTCATGAGTTTCCTAGGGCTGCCATAATGAAGGACTACAAACTGGGTGACCTAAAACAAGAGATCTATTTTCTCCAATTCTGGAGAACAGGAGTCTGAAATCAAGGTGTGGGCAGGCCTGGTTTCTTCCGGAGCTCCTTCCATCTCTCCCAGCTGCTAACAGTCCTTGGTGTTCCTTGGCTAGTGGACGCATCACCCCCCTCTCTCCCTCTGTCGTCCCACCGCGTTCTGTCTCTGCATCTCAGTGTTCAAATCTCCTCTCCTTATAAAGACAGCAGTCACATTGGATGAGCGCCACCTAGTGGCCGAAGTTTAACTTGAGGACAACTGCAAAGACCCTCCTTCCAATAATGTCACATTGGCATGTAAAGAGGGGTTAGGACTTCAACATATTTTTTCGGAGAAGACATACAATTCAACCCAAAACACTGACCAAAACTTCACTTTCCCTGGGCGACCCCAGCATGGCAAGTTCTCTGCGTGAATAAGGCAGTGGTTGTTTAACAGGCGTGCCAGGAGGCTCAGGGAGCAGGAGCTACAGGGACCTGCATTGTATTCTAAGCGACATGAGGGCGCCTTGCTGTAGTTTCTTTCCTGGGTCTTATCATGCCTCTCCTAGCTCTCAGTTGCTCTTCAGCTTGCAATCCAAGACATGTATTTGTAGTTTAATGAACAAATCATATACTTAAAAAAATGGGTTAGTTTAATCTTAAAAAATCAAAGGCTTTAAAAAAGGGATCACAATGTATGTTTCTAGCCTCTTGCATTCACCTTTACCTTTCCTCCTCCATCTGCTACAGTCACAAGGAGAGCATCCACTTGACCTGTAGTCAGGGAGCACTGCTAAAGGTTGTATCTTCACTCAGCTGCAGTCAGCTTGTGACCGCAGATGCGTTATGAAATTAAATGTCCTCCTATTTTAAAGCTTCTACGAGTCATTAAAATTTTTTTGTTTATGGATATCATCAGGAGTGGTAGGGTGGGAGGAGGATAAGGGAAAGAGAAGAGGATGTTTTCAGCTGAGCAGAGGAAGCAAAGTTTGACATTTACAAGACCCGCATGTTATCTCTGGCCTGACCGTCTTGGTTCACATTCTTGTGTGGGTTCAAGTTTCCTGAGCACATGCATATTGACCTTAGTAAGAGGCCAACTCTGGATTGCCACGAGTCAGCTAACTCCTGCTGCCAGAAAATGGATTTTTTTTCTTCAGCAAGAAGTGCCTTGTGCAATTTTTCCTAATCAGGTCTGAAAAATAGTGACCTCTCATTTTGCAAAAACAGTTCACTATTGACAATATTAATAAAAACACGTGAGTTTACATAAATTAAGGGTTTTGGGTCTATTTCTGTGTGCTTTGACTGCAGTGCCTCCTAGTGGACACTTTTATGCTATACAAGTTTCTCATGGTTGATTAGTACTCACAGAAATGTTAAGAATGCATTTGAACAAACTCATTGTTTTCTACAGTAGGTTCCTCTTTTGTTTCTTGTTAGGTTTTAATTTTTCCCCAGCTAAGGTTCACTTCAATACATGACCAAATTGTGTCTATGTACAATCCTCTGATTGTTCAGAGGAAATTTTCTACACCCCCCTTTTCCTCATCTTAGGAGAGAATTTAAAGAGAATAAAATGCGCGCATGAGTAAGTTGCCATAAGAGCTTTTAAACTGTGGTTGGTAACATGATATATGTATCTGGAAAACTAGAATGCTAAAAATACCGCAATAATGAGGCTTTAAAACTAAGATGATTATGACTTAAACATTTAAAAGCAGGGTAGGAATATGAACTCATTCAGCAAGAGTTTGACATCTATTCCATTCTAGAGGGCTTGTGGCAAGTATGTGGGGAGGAATGGCCAATCCCCAGATAAAGGCCACCTGCTTGTTGCTTTCCTGCCTGTGACTTTATCCCCAGATGATTCAGAGAAGATAGGCTCTCCAGCCGCCCGCATGTTCCCTCTCACTGTGGATGTAATTGGGGTTCAGGTGAAAGTCCTCACCTCACTTCCTGGTGTTGTAGCTTCAGGAGTCTGCAGGGTGGCAAAGTCAAGTGATTCGAGCCAGGATTGTCTTACGTGGGGCCCAGCTTTGGAGGGTTCTGAAAGCTCCTTGAAAGTGACTGTAAAGCTATGACAGAGATTCCCAGACTTCGAGATTTTACAAAGAAGCCAAGGAATAAAGAAAGCTTTTAATGGGGGATTAAAGAAAGATGCCCAATTTAAAAAACAACAAACTTTTTTCCCTGTAATAGCGTTAAAAATAAACTACTAACGGGCTGGGTGCAGTGGCTCATGCCTGTAATCCTGGCACTTTGGGAGGCCGAGGCGGGTGGATCACCTGAGGTCAGTAGTTTGAGACTAGCCTGGCCAACATGCCAAAACCCCGCCTCTACTAAAAGTACAAAAATTAGCTGGGCGTGGTGGTGCACAGCTGTAATTCCAGCTATTCAGGAGGCTGAGGCAGGAGAATCGCTTGAACCCAGGAGGCAGAGGTTGCAATGAGCCGGGATTGCGCCACTGCACTCCAGCCTGGGCGATGGAGCAAGACTCCGTCTGAAAAAAAAAAAAAAAAGGAATAATGAAACAGCTACCATCAGCTACCATCACCTACCATCACTGGTTCATAAAAGAAAGAATGCTTTAACACAAAAGACAAGACATAATTTTAAAAGCAAGGACATTTCTTCCCAGGAGAAAATATTTTATGTAAAAGGTATAATGTGAATATGCATGTATATACACATACACACGCACATCTGTCCTTACTTTTCTTTCATTTCACCACGAAGCAAAGAATAGTTTCTTGTGAACTGGCAGTTGTCTGTGGACTGGCATTTGGGGACTGATATGAGAACTTTGTCCCTGAACTTTGACGTTCTCTGGTGTGACTTGGAGAGTGCCTCCACTAAGTTATTTCTTTGAAATCAGGACTCAGGACTACATTGTTGCTTTAGGAGAGCTTTTGCCCTCTTGAGTTACAGAACTCGTTCCCTGCTGGCCTCGGTTTGTGGTAGAGAACACGTGAGAAGGTCAGAGCTGAGAGGCTCTTGGGAACCACAGGACCCAAGGGGTCTGCTGGTTAATCCTCCTAATTTTGTGCAGAACAGTACATGATTATTCCAGACAGATGGGAATGTGCCCGTATGTTCAGAACCTCAGAGGAAGGATTCCAAAGCCTCCCTAGACATTGCATTCTAATGCTCAGGAATGCTCACTCTCACAGAGGAAATTTATAGACCCTTAGATAGCCATTTAGAGCCAGAACGGGTCTAACATGACTTGGTTTGAATTTCCTTATATTACAAAGTTGATAATCAGCCTTGATGACACAAAGGACATGCAGGGGTTCACTCAAGTTGTTTCTGGAGAGACCGACACTACTCTATCTGACCCACGCAGCCTAACACTGCAGCCTTACACAGGGAACCTAACACTGCAGCCTCGCACAGGGATGCACATCTCAGATGATGGGCGGGCCGGGTTCAGGTCTCCTGATGTAAATCACACTTAACCCACTCCCTGAGATGATACAGTGATTCATCTCGCACCTAATCCCACTCCCTTGAAATACAGGGATGCATAATTTCCCACCTAACCCCACCCCCTGAGATGCAGTGCTAACTGGTGAATATCCCCCCTGCCCCACATTTGAGCTGAGGAAAAGTCAACATTTCCTTTCCTGAGCGCCTTCACCTGATGGGCTTGGATCCATTATTTTATTTTCCAAGCTTTCTTTTAATCATGCTTGAACTTTTAATCCTTTATTTAAAGGCCTTATCTTTTTTTTTTTTTTTTTTTTTTTTTTTTGAGATGGAGTCTCGCTCTGTCTCGACCAGGCTGGAGTGCAGTGGTGTGATCTCAGTTCACTGCAGCCTCCGCCTCCCGGGTTCAAGAAATTCTCCTGCCTCAGCTTTCCGAGTAGCTGAGATTACAGGCGTGCGCCACCACAACCAGCTAATTTTTGTATTTTTAGTAGAAATGGGGTTTTACCAAGTTGACCAGGCTGGTCTCGAACTCCTGACCTCAGGTGATCCGCCCGCCTCAGCTCCCAAAGTGCTGGGATTACAGGCATGAGCCACTATGCCTGGCCTAAGGCCTTATCTTAATATTTAATTGTTTGATGTTTTTTCAAGCATAATTCCATTTTCATGTGTCATTCCAAATATGCACAATATTCTAATGCCCAGTTGATACTGAGCATTTACACAATACATGCATTATCCTACTCTGTGTGTTAAAAGTCTACACGTCACATCGTCTTACTTGTATGTATTTACTGTGTACCTTTCAATTTGCTTTGTTTTGTCTTCTAACCTTTGAATTGTTTTATATCTGGGCTATTTAACTTAGTTTGTTGGTTTTGGATAATGTCTTTATAGTGGGTTAAGTGACACCCTCTCAAAAGATACGTCCAGATCCTAACCCCTGGAACATATGGATGGTACTTTATTTGGAAGAAGGCTCTTTGCAGATATAATTAAGGATCTTGAGATGAGGAAATCACCATGGGTTATCCTGGCGGGCCCTAAATCCAATGACAAGTGTCTTTATGGGAGACACGCATAGGAGAGACAAGCCAAGGAGAGGGTGATATGAAGACACGGCAGAGATTGGAGCAATGTGGCCACCACAAGCCAACGAATGCTGACAACTGCTGGAAATGCTGGCAGCTACCAGAAGCTAGAAGAGGCAAGAGATGGATCCTGCCCTAGAGCCTCTAGAGGCAGTGCAGCCTGCCAACACCTTGATTTTGGACGCCAGAAGAGTACATTTCTGTTATTTTAAGCCATCAAGCTTGTATTACTTGGTTATGGGAGCCACAGAAAACTAATATGCTAAGTCTCCAACATGCCAGGGCTGTGTTCAATACATTTCCTATAAGGTGCTAGTCAGTCATTCCCTTATTTAATAGCTTCTTCTCTGCCTTTGGGGTCACAGATCTTGGTCATTTTGCATATTCTATTCATTACATTTTATATGGCCAGCTTATGGGCAACTTATGGGCTATGTTGGAGACTTCTGTCTCTTTACCAATCAACAAAAAAAAAATTGGTTTCTTTCTGTTTTTTTTTTTTTTTTTTTTTGAGATGGAGTCTTGCTCTGCCGCCCAGGCTGGAGTGCAGTGGCATGATCTCGGCTCACTGCAACTTCCTCCTCCCAGGTTCAAGCAATTCTCTGCCTCAGCCTCCCAAGTAGCTGGGATTACAGGCATCCACCACCACACCCGGCTAATTTTTGTATTTTTAGTAGAGGTGGGGTTTCATCATGTTGGCCAGGCTGGTCTTGAACTCTTGACCTCGTGATCCACCCAACTTGGCCTCCCAAAGTGCTGGGATTACAGGCATGAGCCACGGCGCCTGGCCTAAGAAATTGGTTTATTTCTAATTGATACATTTTGAAGCAAAAGCCTAGAAAACTTATAGAATTGAAGAGTTTGACATCTCAGAAGGAAATGTGAGTCACGTGAGGGTGTTTTTGAGCATTTACACTCATTGTACTGTTGTCACAATTAGTGTGTGGTTGGGAGCTGGGCTTGCTGGGTGGGAATCCAGCTTTATCAATTGGCTGTGAGCAAGTTATTTATTTTCTCTGCCTTGATTTCCATATTTGTGAAATGGGTACAATATAATTGTACCAAATTGCAGGGTTATTTGGTGAGGATTAAGTGAAGTGATATATGTAAAGTTTTTAGAATGACACATGGGACATAGTGAACACCATAGAAGTGTTAACTAGTGTTCATGTGTTTATACTTAAACATCTAATTAGTGTAAAAGCTCCTTAAAAATGGAAGGGTCTGAACTTTTACAACTTTAAATTATTTCTTTAGGCTAAAAGAATTAAGAAAGTGCTCCTAGGTACATAATCCTTGGTAACCTTGAAAATAGGGTTTTAAGTAGAATTATATATACTTGGATGAGTAAGATGACCTGCCCATAAAGCCGGTATTAACTATGCTTTATGTTGTTGATAGCTATAGTTAGCAGGCAGTATGACAAATGCCCTCCCTTATTAAACCAGCTACCCTGTCTCATTCCTTAATCCTTTGCAGTATTTCTCAAATCTATTCCATCATTTCAATTCAAAGGTGAATTGATTAATCTCATTTAGTGCATTATTACTTCATTCTAGCACTATTGTAAATCTTCGTGGAACCCATCCCCATATAACTATTTTCCCTTCAGCAGAATTTTGAGCAGAGCGTTCTGTTGTCCCCAAACCTTGTGAAATTCCCCAAGTCTACAGCAATGACCTCAAAACTCTTTCGATTCTGCATACATTCAGTGGGAAAAAAAAGTGACATGCCATATAAATAATACACAAATGCTATTATACTAATCATACATACTTGATAAAACACATCACAATAGAAAGTTTTGGGAAATGAGTTTAAGCTGAAATGGGAAGTATTTCCAAATATCTCTAGTCATGGCGCTAAGACCTATCATCAGCTACCCTTTCAAGGCACATTTTACACCTAGGGTGGGTTTTCTCTTTAATAGCAGTGGATACAAATCTCATTACAATGCATCTTCCTGGTAATTTAATTTTTTTTCCAGCGTATTGTTAGAGGTGAGGTGATCACTGTTGCTTTTTTTTGAGATGGAGTCTCGCTCTGTCATCTAGGCTGGAGTGCAGTGGTGTGATCTCGGCTCACTGCAACCTCTGCCTCCCAGGATCAAGCGATTCTCCTGCCTCAGCCTCCCGAGTAGCTGGGACTACAGGTGTGGGCCACTATGCCCAGCTAATTTTTGTACTTTTAGTAGAGACAGGGTTTCACCATGTTGGCCAGGCTGGTCTTGAACTCCTGACCTCAGGTGATTTGCCCACCTCGGCCTCCCAAAGTGTTGGGATTTTGGTCGTGAGCCACTGCACCTGGCCCATGTTGCTTTTAGCTCAGGCTGAGACATAGGTGAGTCGGCTCTGCAGATTTCCTGTTGCTTGTCTGTTCTTGCTCTATTAGTACTAATATTAAGTTCAATCTGTAATTTATTTCCAGGAGTCTTTTTAAGCCACTTGTCCATTTTTTGAGGGTTAATTAAGCTAACACATGAGCCACGTGTACTGCGAAACAGGACAATACATGGGAAGTAAGGGGTGGGAAAGCCTGTTTGTGAGATGGTCAGTGTGTGTATAAACTTATCCTCGCTCCCGTCACGCACACCACCTTGGGATAGATTCATACACTCACTGACCATCTTACATACAGGCTGAATGAAGATATAATGTCAATTGCTATAATTAATGTTGACAAAACAGAAGGCCCAACGTGCTCTTGCTGTCTGTCATTTTGTGCACCTTCAGTGTGGACCTGCATCTCTTTGGGGAATACTCAAAAACTTTTTAACCTGACTTCTAAGACCTTTTGGAGCCTGGACTCCATCGACCCTTCCTGGTTGGATGGTTGAACAGCTCCTGTAGGACCCAAATTGGACAAAAGCAATTAGCAATTCAGTCCAAACGGATTGCTCACTGTCCTCCCTCTCAGCATGTGTTGTGTTTGCGTCTAAGAATTCTTTGGCCTGACTTTGCCTTGTGTAAGTAAAGTTCCGCCTTCCCAAGGAAACCCAGGGCAGATCTTCCCACTCCACAAAGTCTTCCCCTGTAACCTCAAGGCAGCAACGAGCTCTTCTCTCTCTGACTCTGGAATTATTTTTTTTGGCAATTAGTCAAACTGCCTGGTGAATTGTGTTCTTTTTTTGTCCTTAAAACTTAAACTTGTATTATTCTTATTCTCTTTTTACATGCTGGTGTCGTATCTCCCCAGCTAGACTGGTAATTCCTTGATGATGAACTATGTTTTCTATTTCTTTTTTAAAAAATTAACTTAAAAAATCAAGGTAATATGTATATGTAATTTAAAACGTTATCAGTACAAAAGAGCTTATAATGGAAAAC
The DNA here is from genome assembly GCF_000001405.40 of Homo sapiens. NCBI lineage: Eukaryota > Metazoa > Chordata > Mammalia > Primates > Hominidae > Homo > Homo sapiens. Next base: position 17,197,201 of record NC_000005.10, read on the forward strand.
ACCATTCCCTACTCATTCCTTCCCATCTTTCTTTTTGCTTTCCTTAGGGGTATGGCCTTCCAATACTTAGTTGGTTTTCCTGGCAAGTTCCTCTATATTTTACTGCTCTTTTTCTAATTTTTGATTTGTCACATGTAGACATTGTTTACTGAATTTCTGTTATGCGATATAAGCATAGGGTGTTCTGATAGCTCTCCCTCTCATCTCCCCTTCCCTGCTTTTTCAGCCTTGCATTTTCCCAATATGTTGTAATTTGTCGTTAAATTACTAGTCAGGATTTACATTGTTATGACTATATAAATATGGTTTACCACTGAGCCAAGTAAGGTATATGAACTGATTCCTTTTTACAAACTTTTGTTTTTCCTGAAGTTGCCACCTTTTCTTATGTGTTATGTTGTCTCTGAAAGTGTAATTACTTCTTATTTCCAAGTGTCTTATCAGTATTAGTTTCCAAATTCTCAAATGCATCATAATCTTTTGGTTTAATTGATCTGACCTGGACCAGCTCTTGTCTGGATTGGCTGTGCTGTTGTTATTCTGGGACTTCCTTCTGATGCTCCCTTGTGTTGGACACCCTCCTTTTTGATTCTATGTCTCTCTTCTCCTTGGCTTTGACCCTCATTCTGACAGTCTTTAAAAGTCTGAATATGTCTATTCTATCCTTTCTTTGGATGGATAGATTGGTTGGGTATAAAATACTAGACTGGCCAGGTGCAATGGCTTATCCCTGTAATCCTAGCACTTTGGGAGACTGAAGTGTGCAGATTGTTTGAGTGTAAGAGTTTGAGACCAGCATGGGCAACATAGCAAAACCCCATCTCTACAAAAAGTACAAAATATTATTCAGGCATGGTGGTATGCTATGGTCCCAGCTACTCAGGAGGCTGAGGGGGGAGGATCATCTAAGCCTGGGAGAGTCGAGGCTGCAGTGAGCCATGATCATGCCACTGCTCTCCAGGCTGGGTGGCAGAGCAAGACCCTGTATCCAAAAAAAAAAAAAAAAAAAAAAAAATCTAGATTGAGAGCAATTTTCCTTTAGAATTTTGAAAGTCTTTATCTTTTTACATCTAGTATGGCGATTCTGATTCCTGATTCCATTTGTTTGTTTCCTCTCTGGAAGTCTTCTGTATCTTTTCTTTATCTCCAGGGTCCTGAGATTTCAAGATGGTGTGCTTTCTTATGATCTTTTTATCCATTCATTGGGCTTGGCACAGAGTGTGCCTTTTTAATTCAGAGACTTGTGATCCTCAGTTCTGGGAAAAGTTTGCCACAATCTCTTTGATAATTTCTTCTCTTCTGTTCTTTTTCTGGAATTTCAGAAATGTTGGTCCTCTTGTTTTGAATCTCTGCCTCTTCTTTTCACTCCTGTTTTCTATTTCTTGATATTTCCATTTTCCTTTCTAGCATTTCTTCCATATTGTATTCTAATCCTCTACTGAAATTTATATCTTGGTTATCACATTGTTAATTTACAAGGAATTTCTCTTGCTTTCTGAACTTGTTTCATGTTTTCTTGTCCTTATTTTATGAGGATACTTTCTTCTTTAATAGCTCTGAGGGTATTGATATTATGTATATATATCTCCAGTTCCTGTATCATTTATTTCCTTTGGAGTCCTTCCCGCCAGACTTCTTTAGCTCAGGTTGCAAGTTTTCCTTTCTTTTTTTTTTTTTTTTTGAGATGGAGTTTCACTCTTGTTGCCCAGGCTGGAGTGCAATGGTGCAATCTTGGCTCACTGCAACCTCCACCTCTTGGGTTCAAGCCATTTTCCTGCCTCAGCCTTATAGGCGCCTGCCACCATGCCCCGCTAATTTTGTGTGTGTGTGTGTGTGTGTGTGTGTGTTTAGTAGAGACGGGGTTTTGCCATATTGGTCAGGTTGGTTTCGAACTCCTGACCTCAAGTGGTCCACCTGCCTTGGCCTCCCAAAGTACTAGGATTACAGGCGTGAGTCCCCGCACCCAACTGCAAGTTTTCTTAAATACCTGGCAATCCTTGGCTGTCCTTTTATAATTAAGACTAAAATACATAAAAGCAATTTGCAAGTTTAGGCAGAGCTTGTGAAAAAGTGGGTTTCCCAGTAGGTGCAAAACTCATTTTGGCTAGAGAGCCAGCTGGCCTCTTCATTAGGGAACCTGGTCTCCAGAGAAGCCTCCAGTATCCTATTGGTGGGTATTTTCCTGGTTACAGACTTCTGGGATCAGATTGTGGAAAATGGAATAGGCACGCTCACATCAGTTGGCTGACTAAGGTTAATTTCCCCATTTTCAGGTCTGCGCCTCAATCTCCCTCCTCTGTGCTTATCAGTAACAAACAAATGGACTGGCGCCACTTGGAGTCAGTTTCTCCAGACGTGTTTCCAGACAAGGGTGGGAATCAGGGAGCTTGGAGGTGCTTGCCTCTTGAATGATTTGGAGGGAACCCCTGCCTCTAAGTCCTGGGCCTTGGAGGATTTCTGTAGGTGACAGGCTTTCAGACCCTCCAGTGAAAGAATTACAGTGTAAACTGCTTTCTTCTTCACTCAAGGGCCCAAATGAAGGAATATTGCTGTGAATTATCTGAATGGGTGGAGTCTGTGGTGCTTGATCTGGGTGGAAAGAATCGGTGGGAACTGCAGTTCAGAATCGACATCACTCAGGACGTTTTTGTTAACATGCAAATATTCAAAACTGTATGAAAAGCACTAAGTTGACATCAATTTGAAAGTACATTTGCATTCTTTGGGACCTTAGAATGCATCTGCATTTTTGACATTCAGCTACGTCAAGGAGATATCAAAATAATTCTAATTTGGCACCAAATAGGCCTGGCTCTTTTACCCTTCCCTAGCACAGATAGGGGTGTGTGCATTTGCCTTTCCTAGGTGCCAAGAACTCACTATCATAAGTGGAAGAAGATAATCATTCAATATAATTGAATCAAAATTTAAGAGTATCTTAGGTTGAGTGATTTCTTCTTACTGGTTGTTTTGAGCAGTCAAAGAAATGTGTACCTTCTGAACTATAAAAGGCCACGAAGGCAGAGTTGCAGTGCCAGGGAAATTACTGCTAGTGGCCCGAGACATATTCTGGAGCACATGCGTCCCATGAATTGGCACTTTGTCCTCTGCACTTCTCACTGCTTTCCATGGAGAGGATATCGTAACCTCTTTATTGGACTCTAAATCTCATTTTAAACCTCTGAATTATGCCAACACTTTGTAAGGGAAATTAGATAGTTTTACATGGGCTTTTATCCTCAATATGGCAGATAAATTGAATGAATGAATAGTGATCAAGGATATTAATAATATGTATTCGTTGCTTAAGATATACCACACATGGGGCTAAGGATTTTACAGATATGAGCTCACTTATTCTCACAGTCACCATATATTGTATCAGTTAACTTGGACTAAGTAATGCCTCAGTTAAAAAATAGTCCCCAGATCTCAGAGGCTCATAGCCATTCATGTTTACTTCTTGCCCACATGCTGTGTCCGTCATGGGGCTGTGTCATGGAAGCAAGTGCAGTACGTGGGTGGAGATTGGCAAAAGGAAAGGAGTGATGGCAAGCCAGGAGCTAGTTCTTGAACTTCTGTTCAGACGTGAAACACATCACATCTCCCCGCAATTCAATGGCCAAAGCAAGTCACAGGGTCCCTCCTGACCTCAATGGGCCAGGGAGGTTTTATCCTACTACTTGGAAGGGCATCTCAAATCCCATGGCCACGTGCGACATCAGTGGATGGGGAAAGCACAGTCCTCCACCAGGGAGGGGCAACAAATGTTTTGGGTAATACAACCCCCCACAGATAGATACTGCTATTCTCCCACTCTACTGGTGAGGAAAATGAAGCAGGGTAAGGATGGCGTCCAATTCTCAAACTCTATAAAGGAAGCAATTGATTTGAACACCTAAAAGACTATATAGATTTTATCTAATTCAAATGCAAGCAAAGCAAAACAGAACAAAAATACAGTGTCAGGGACATAATCACACAGAAGCATCAGAATCAAACCCTATATATCACTTTTTTTTTTGAGTCAGAGTCTAGCTCTGTCATCCAGGCTGCAGTGCAGTGGTGCAGTCTCAGCTCACTGCAACCTCCGCCTCCTGGGTTCAAGCGATTCTCATGCCTCAGCCCCCCGAGTAGCTAGGATTATAGGCGCCCACCACCACACCCAGCTGATTTTTGTATTTTTAGTAGAGATGGGGTTTCACCATATTGGCCAGTCTGGTCTTGAACTCCTGACCTCAGGTGATCCATCCGCCTCAGCCTTCAAAAGTGCTGAGCCACTTTGGGAGCCCGGCATATAGGCGTGAGCCACCACCCCCCGGCCTATATGCCAATTTTAAAAAAAGAACAAAAATTAATTTTCACCTGAATTTTCAATATCCCAGGGTGTAGTTAGGGGAAAAAAATATTAAGAAATTCTCTATAAGGAAAAACACCAAGAGATTTCTTTTCAAAAGAGCCAATCTAAGGCTGGGTGCGGTGGCTCACGCCTGTAATCCCAGCACTTTGGGAGGCTGAGGCTGGCGGATTGGTTGAGGTCAGGAGACCTGCCTGGACAACATGGTGAAACTCTGTCTCTACCAAAAATTACAAAAGTTAGCCAGGCGTGGTGGCGCATGCCTGTAGTCTCAGCTACTCAGGAGGCTGAGGCAGGAGAGTCACTTGAACCCCGGGAGGCGGAGGTTGCAGTGAGCCGAGATCGCACCACTGCACTCCAGCCTGGCAACAGAGTGAGACCGTGTCTAAAAAAACAAAAACAAAACAAAACAAAACAAAAAACAAAAAAAGAGCAAAACAAAAACAGCCGATGGAATCTTATCTGACTTATACAAATGAAATTCAGATTCTAAAATCAAGAGTCCAGACACCTTAGGTGATCTCAGAGAAGATCCTGTTTCATATGGGGGATTCTCTAGTGTTTTACATTTCTCATGTGACTTTGAAATTTGCCAAATGTAAGAAATAGCTGAGAGGCAGTAAGTATTGTTATTTTCAGGGGAAATCATTTCTACGAGAAAATAGGAACCCGGAATGAAAAGCTCGTGGAGTTTGGCGGGAAGAACAACCAAGAGGAAGGTGAAGATGCTGAGCTGGAACCCGGATAACTATGTCTGTGAAAGCAAGTTGGATTTACAGACTTCCCAGAAACTATGATCCTACCCTACATCCTTCTGCGGTCCCACGAGAATACTTAAGAGCTTTAAATGCTGTCAAACTGGAAAGAGTATTTGCAAAACCATTCCTTTTTCCCTGAATGGTCACTGAGACGGAGTCAATTGCTTGGCAAAGCATCCAAGGAGCCTGGCTCCTGTCCTTTCTGGGCCATGTGATGGAGAGGTTAGAATCTGGAACCTGACTCAACGGAAATGTGTCCGTACAATACAAGCACATGAAGGCTTTGTACGAGGAATATGTCCTCACTTTTGTGGGACTTTTCTTATTTTTTAATTTTTTTTTTGAGACGGAGTCTCGCTCTGTCGCCCAGGCTGGAGGGCAGTGGCGCGATCTCGGCTCACTGCAAGCTCTGCCTCCCGGGTTCATGCCATTCTCCTGCCTCACCATCCCGAGTAGCTGGGACTACAGGCGCCCGCCACCACGCCCGGCTAATTTTTTGTATTTTTAGCACAGATGGGGTTTAACCGTGTTAGCCAGGAGGGTCTCGATCTTCTGAGCTCGTGATCTGCCTGCCTTCGCCTCCCAAAGTGCTGGGATTACAGGCGTGAGCCACCGCGCCCGGCTGGGAGTTCTTTTTTTTTTACTGTTGGTGATGACAGGACTGTGAAGCAGTGGGAATTGGAGGGCTCAGGCTATGGAGAAGGGGAAGTCCTTTTGCATATGGTATTAAGAAGGCGGCGGACACTGGGACTGATCATCACTGGAAAGAAGCTGTTTTTGCCACATGTGGACAGCAAGTAAACATTTGGGATGAACAAAGAACTAATCCTGGCCGGGCGCGGTGGCTCACACCTGTAATCCCAGGACTTTAGGAGGCCAAGGCGGGTGGATCACAAGGTCAAGAGATCAAGACCATCCTGGCCAACTTGGTGAAACCCCGTCTCTACTGAAAATACAAAAATTAGCTGGGCGTGGTGGCACGTGCCTGTAGTCCCAGATACTCGGGAGGCTGAGGCAGGAGAATCGCTTGAACCCAGGAGGCAGAGGTTTCAGTGAGCCGAGATTGCGCCACTTCAGTCCAGCCTGGCGGCAGAGCGAGATTCCATCTAGAAAAAAAAAAATTCACTTAAAAGTCATACTGGGCTTATTACTTATTACACAGTAGAAATTAGCCAAGTAAGCGATACTGTTTTTTTTTGAACAAGCCTGCCACCTTGTGGTTATTTGGAAAACCAGACTGGCAAAACCAGGGCTCTGCAGTGCCTTTGCTTCCACACATACTTATTGAGTGTCTAATGTCACAGTCACCACGCTCTGTTCTAGGCTCTGAGCTTACAGCAGTGAATGAAATGGACTAGGAGCCACACTATTCTGGAGTTTATGTCTCATAGCATAAGAACATGTGTATCTAAGTTAGTATTTGGAAACGTATCCCACCTTCATCAGCCTCTTAACCTAATAGCCTACCTACATGGGAGCCCCTCTTCCCTATCATTCTTCATTCTGTAGGTAGGCAAAATACCCCTGTTCCTATAAAGCCCATCCCTTTCCTGTTTCTATTCCCTGCACCCAAACACACCTTGCCTTTTCAAGGACTCAAGGACTCAAGGACTTTGCATCTGTATCTGGCTCCTCTTCCTCCAACATTCAGCTCCCTGGCCCTTGTATACCTATCAGCATATACACACGCTCTCAAAAGCCTTCATTACAAAACCTTTTCCTTAATCCAAAATTCTCTCTAGCTAATGCTGCATTTCTCTGCTTCCTGTCACAATCAATAAAACTTCTGGAAAGTTTCGTCTGTGTTCACTGTCTCCATTCCCCTCCACTCACCTTAGCCCAGGGCATCTGTTACCACCACTCCCCTGGAACCTGTCCAGCCAGCGCCACACACCACTCCCATCCCCAAAGCGCCCCTGGGTCCTCACCCCACTCTATCTCTCAGCACTGAACACAGCAGACTGCTGCCCTTGCCTCCTTCCAGCAAGCCTTTGTGGCTCTCAACTAGCGGCACCCTGTACCCACTACCATCCTCTCCTCATGATCGCAGGGCTGGCTCTCATGGCTCAGCTCTCCTCCTCCTACACACCTTCCACAAGCGTTCATTAGAAAGCGGCCCCTCCTGAGAGGAAGCACTATCTGGAGTGACCTTATTCTTTTTACCTCTTATGCCTGCAAGCCTTGCGTCTGCCCTGTTTGTTGCTGAATTCCCAGCACTCAGGAATCGTTTCCAGTGTTTAGTAGGTGACTCAAATTATGTTTAGTTTGCATATGTTTAAAATTCATGTTGCCATAGTGGCCACCCCATCCCCTCCTGGTGTAGGGGCAATCTGGTATTGCAAAAACAGAAGCAGAAAGGCGTTGAACTGACTGGAGCAGCATCTTTGGCACTGAGAAGATCCTTTAACCTCAATATGTCTTAGATTTTCAATTTATAACATGAAGAAATTGGACTACAGTGCAGATGACAATGACATATCAGCTTTGGGGTGAGATCAGATTAACTGGCAGTAGAATCTGGGGCATAGTATTACGAAATACTTTTTAGCCACAGAAAGAATGCTTTGATTGATTGATATTGATTGGTTATCAATACCTACCCCGAATGTGGGAGGGGACTTGGCTGTGTATTTTTGGACATGGTTTCTTTCAGTTCTAAATTTTAAAGAGTGTTTTAAAAAGCTTTTCAAAACATTGTTGTTTCAACTGAATTTAATTTAATTTAATTTTTTTTGAGATGGAATCTCGCTCTGTCACCCAGGCTTCAGTGCAGTGGTGCGATCTCTGCTCACTGCAACTTCTGCCCCTGGATTCCAGTGATTCTCCTGCCTCAGCCTCTCAAGTAGCTGGGACTACAGGTATGCACTACCACGCCTGGCTAATTTTTGTATTTTTAGTACAGACAGGGTATCACCATGTTGATCAGGCTGGTCTCGATCTCCTGACCTCAGGTGATCTGCCCGCCTCGGTCTCCCAAAGTGCTGAGATTACAGGCATGAGCCACTGTGCCCAGCCTCAGTTGAATTTTAGAATTGAACTAGACAAACTTTTGAAGGGTTCTCAACATGTAGTGATATAATAAAAATGAAATTCAGACTCAGAATTATTAAACTGCAGTCTTCAGGAATTAATCTAAGATAACTGAAAATACATCTGCATCTATTCATTTAGCCAGGATTCATCTGCTATCCTATATCATGAGGTAAAAGTATTATATTGTAGAATGTTAAAAAATGTCCCATTCAGAAAAATGTCGTGCACTAAACCTGGCATTTATTCTGCTTCCTATTTCATTTCCTTTTATCTCTATGCCTTTTAGTTGACTGACATTACTTGCTTTCTTCCCCCCATTTTGCTTCTCTACAAGGAGATAATTCCAGATTACATTGGCAGATATTTCAAGCTATATTTCAATTACTAGGATATTGTGAAATTCATGAGATTAAAATAAAATAAACCTCAGAAGGGAGTATAAGCCTCTCCTAATGGAAATTGGGATTAAATTCAAATGTCATCACCTTATGTCATAAATGTTTTGAGTGGATGAAAAAAACAATGAAATGTATTTAAATACATGAAAGAATGTACAGAGTTAACCTTAGTGAAAAGAAAAAATAATGATTTGAGAATGTGGAAATATTCACATGAAATTCTGTATATGACATGTTAAAAAATTAGAGAACTCTTTTTTCTCCATTTATTTGTTGCTCCCAGATAATTTCCTAAGGTAGATAAGATAATACATATTAAAGCAATTTGAGTTATTTGAAAGGAACCTTCAAACTCACATTATTATAGTTTAGGAGTGATTTTAGCAGAAGCAAATTATTAATGATACAGATCAGGAATGGGCAAACTGCTTCCCTTGTGTCAAGAGTGACCTGCTAGGTGTTATGTAAATAAAGTTTTATTGGAACATAGCCATGTCCATTTGTTGACACATTGTCTGTGGCTGCATCCTGATACAGTGGCAGTGGTGGGTAGTGTCAACAGAAATCTCATGGCTTTCAAAGCAAAATATATTCACTATTTGACCCTTTATGAAAAATTTTGCTGACTTCTGCTCTAGATTATCAGCATCTCTATCAGACTCTGTATTTCTGAAGGCATGGACTCTGTGCTTAAACTTAGTTTTCAACTGTTCTTAAAAAAATATGTTGGCCAGGTGCCGTGGCTCATGCCTGTAATCCCAGCACTTTGGGAGCCCAAGGCAGGAGGATCACCTGAGGAGTTTGAGACCAGCCTGGGCAACACAGTGAAACCCCGTCTCTACTAAAATACAAAAAATTAGCTGGGCGTGGTGGCAGACGCCTGTAATCCCAGCTACTCGGGAGGCTGAGGCAGGAGAATTGCTAGAACCCGGGAGGCAGAAGTTGCAGTGAGCCGAGATCCATCACTGCACTCCAGCCTGGGCGACAGAGCAAGACTCCGTCTGAAAAAAAAAAAAAAAAAAGTTAGGGTCGGGCGTGGTGGCAGCTCACACCTGTAATCCCAGCACTTTGGGAGGCCAAGGCGGGTGGATCACCTGAGGTCAGGAGTTTGAGACCAGCCTGGCCAACATGGTGAAACCGTGTCTCTACTAAAAATGATTCCAGTTACTTGGGAGACTGAGGCATGAGACTCGATTGAACCTAGGAGGTGGAGGTTGCAGTGAGACAAGATCGAGCAACTGCACTCCAACCTGGGCAACAGAGAGAGAGACTGCCCAAAAAAAAAAAGTCAGTACTTTTGAGATTATCAGTTAATGACAACATTAAGAAATATAATGACATGGCTGGGCCTGGTGGCTCACACCTGTAATCCCAGCACTTTGGGAAGCTGAGGTGAGTGGATCACCGGAGGTCAAGAGTTTGAGACCAGCCTGGCCAACACAGCGAAACCCCGTCTCTACTAACAATACAAAAAAATCAGCCGGGCGTGGTGGTGGGCGCCTGTAATCCCAGCTGCTCCAGAGGCTGAGGCAGGAGGGTCGCTGAAACCCAGGAGGCGGAGACTGCAGTGAGCCAAGATTGCACCACTGCACTCCAGCCTGGGCAACAGAGTGAGGCTCTGTCCCCCGCCAACCCACCAAAAGAAAAAAAAATATAGTGACAAACACAAGTTTATGCAGTGGGTGGCATTTTTTATACCAGTAGTTACATATGTCCTTTAGGCTAATTCCACTTCCCCACCCTCAGGTGGGGTCTTCAGCATCCCCATCCAAGAAGGAGCTCTGGAGGCTGAGGCAAGAGAATTGCTACAACCTGGGAGGTGGAGGTTGCAGTGAGCTGAGATCACGCCACTGCACTCCAGCCTGGGCTACAGAGCGAGACTCTGTCTCAAAAAAAAAAAAAAAAAAAAAAAAAAAAGTCAGGGTCCGGCGTGGTGGCTCATACCTGTAATCCCAGCACTTTGGGAGGCCAAGGTGGGTGGATCACCTGAGGTCAGGTGCAGGTGTCAGGTCCCTGGTCTTCCGGTTCGGATCTCCTCCCGGTGTTCCCCAGGAGCCACTTAGGGTGCCTCTGTGTGGATCCAGGGGGTTGCTGGGGAACAACTGCCCTCCTCCTGGCCCAGGTTGCCTCTTCCTTTCTCTGTGCTTCCTGCCTCTTGCGCTTCCCCCCAGCAATTTGCAGGCCCTTGAACAGGTTTTTTTAATAGGATTTTTAATTTTATTATTAATGAATTTTTAAAATTGAAAAGTAAAATTATATATATTTATGATGTATACGACATGATGTTTTGATAGATGTATACAGAAAATGTGAAATGACTACATGAAACTATTTAACATAGACATGGCCTCATATAGTGACTACAACTAGTAACAATATATTGCATACTTGAAAATTGCTAAGAGAATAGATTTTAAGTCTTCTCATCCTTCAGAAGATTTGAAATAGCTACTAACAAGACGTGGGGTGTCCATTGTTAGAGTCCCACCGTGCCCTTCCAGGCAGAAATGGTGGCCATAATGCTGTGGTTCATGCCTGTAATTCCAGCACTTTAGGAGGCTGATGGGGGTGGATCACCTGAGGTCAGGGGTTTGTGACCAGTCTGGCCAACATGGCGAAACCCTGTCTCTACTGAAAATACAAAAATTAGCCAGGCATAGTGATGCCTGTAGTCCCAGCTACTTGGGAGGCTGAGGCAGAAGAATTGCTTGAACGCAGGAGGTGGAGGTTGCAGTGAGCCAAGATCGCACCACTGCACTCCAGCCTGGGTGACAGAGAGAGAGAGAGAGAGACTCTGTCTCAAAAAAAAAAAAAAAAAAAAAAAAAAGAAAGAAAGAAAGAAAGAAAGAAAAATGGTGGCCAAATATAAACCAAGGTCTTAAACTCAGAAGCTGGAGGAGGAAGAGGAGGAGGCCCTTAAAATACAAATATTTCTTATTGTTTTTCTGCCAACACAATACTTGAAAAATCAATTTTTGTTCTTCAGTATTTGTTTAAAGTTCAACCCAAAATGTCTGGCATTTAGTGAAAGAAATCTGGGTGGAGGGGGGCAAGAACTCCCTAATATCTGTCCAAAATCCCCCAGGAGACTGGGGTCCCCAGGTTGAAAAGCTCTGCTTGAGACGCAAGAAGGGAGGCAGAATCAGAAACTGAGATGTGTATGTTTTGAAGAGACCTTCCTTCCCCAGTGGAAATCCTGACACGGACCAAGGACAAGCTTCCAGCTCCTTCCCTCCACCCTCCAGCCCATGGAGGGAGAATCTCACTGTCAACTCCAGCACAAAGTTGCCTGTCTGGACAACATTATTTTTACCTTCTTAGAAAAACACTTTGGAAGAATTATATGATGGTCTCTGCCCTTTGGAGGTTGATATATTTATTAGTTCATTTTCACACTGCTATAAAGAACTTCCCTGAGACTGGGTAATTTATAAAAAGAGGTTTAATTGACTCACAGTACTGCATGGCTGGGGAGGCCTCAGGAAACGTATTATCATGATGGAAGGGGAAGCAGGCACGTCTTCCATGGCAGCAGTGGAGAGAGAGAGAGCAAGAGAGGAACTACCAAACACTTATAAAACCATCAGATCGCATGAGAACTCACTCACTAACACAAGAACAGCATGGGGGAAACCGCCCCATGATTCAGTCACCTCCCACCATGTCCCTCCCTCAACACCTGGGGATTACAATTCAAGATGACATTTCGATGGGGACACAAAGCCAAACCGCATCAATATAATATGTGGCCTGACGAGAAAATTTATTTATCTCTAGTAAAAATATACATGAAAAAATTGACTTTAAGAAATTTAGGCTGGGCATGGTGGCTCACGCCTGTAATTCCAGCACTTTGGGAGGCGGAGGCAGGTGGATCACCTGAGGTCAGGAGTTCGAGACCAGCCTGACCAACATGGTGAAACCCCATCTCTACTAAAAATAAAAAAATTAGCCAGGTGTGGTGGTAGATGCCTATAATCCCAGCTACTTGGGAGGCTGAGGCAGGAGAATGGCGTGAACCCAGGAGATGGAGGTTGCAGTGAGCCGAGATCGCGCCACTGCACTCCAGCCTGGCGACAGAGAGAGAGACTTTGTCTCAAAAAAATAAAAAAAAGTTGTAATGGTCAGGCATGGTGGCTCAAGCCTGCAATCTCAGCACCTTGGGAGGCTGAGGCGGGGGGGTTGCTTGAAGCCAGGAGTTTGAGACCATCCTGTGCAATAAAGTGAGACCCCATTTCTACCAAAAAAAAAAAAAAAGTTTTAGGATGCCTTGGTGTTGAGGCTCTTGGTTGCACTGAATTTGTTTAATTTTATTGAAGAGCAAAAGTCATAAAAATCAGCATAGCCCTGATTCAGCAGCAATGCTGTGTCATAGAAGATCATTCAGAGATACTGAGAAGAACACAAAAAACAATGTCATATGAAAAACAGAACTTTGTATTAGTGTTATGGGCTCATCAATACAAAAAGGTTAATATATGAATGGAGAAGGTAGGGGCTAACTGTAGGCTAAAACGTTCTTTTCCTGTAAGCGCTAGTCATTTGATCAATGACCTCAACATGAATAAAGCTAGAGAGGAGTTTCCTTTGCACTAGAAGTGAACTGGAGACCTGCACCAGGGGTGGAATATCTTTCTATTTGCTCTGAGGTCAGAATGAGTGGAAATAATGCAACGAAGTCAAAGGAGAAGTGCTAGGGTTTTGGCCCCATTCTTGACTCACATGGCGTCACTCATTGTAAGATGAAGAAGCAGAAAGACGCAGAAAGCAGATGTATGGTGTTAAAAAGAGTCCAGGGGGGCCGGGCTTGGTGGCTCACGCCCGTAATCCTAGCAGTTTGAGAGGCCGAGGCAGGCGGATCACCTGAGGTCAGGAGTTTGAGACCAGCCTGGCCAATATAACGAAACCCAGTCTCTACTAAAAACACAAATATTAGCCGGGTGTGGTGGTGAGTGCCTGTAATCCCAGCTACTCAGGAGGCTGAGGCAGGAGAATTGTTTAACCAGGGAGGCGGAGGTTGCGGTGAGCCAAGATAGTGCCATTGCACTCCAGCCTGAGTTAGAGTGAGACTCCATCTCAAAACAAAACAAGACAAAACAAACAAACAAACACAAAGCCCAAAAAACAGCCCAGGGAAAGTTGATAAGAAGGCAGGGATTTCTTAGCCCTGAACAGGAATCCTGAGCAACTCCTAAAATTGTATATTCTGATTACCAAAGTAACAAATGGTCATTGCAAAAACATTTGTTCAACATAAAATGTTATAACATGGAATGAAAGCTAAGCTGTCCTCTATCCCACCTCTGAAATGACACCAGTGCCCGGCGAGATCCACTCTTAGCAGTCTGGGGTATTTTCCCATGTTTTTGTTTATAACATCAATGGGACAGTCTCTACATACTGTTCAGGAACTTGCTAGAGGCATCTAAGAAGTTGTTTTTGACAACTTCCCTTGTGTTTGATTTTGATAAAACTAATACCTTAATTACCATGAAATTGCTTTTCTTTTTCTGTCCAAGTTTTTCCAGGAACACTGAGGCTTCAAGACGGTGACCATGATTTCCTTGTCGCGTCAAGTACCTTGCTACATCATGTGTTCATCTACCACATTTTCATACATGCCCTTCCGTTTCCCTTAAAACTACTGACACAGTAGTTGGGTCTTGCTTGTTTGTTCAAACCCGGCTCTCTTATTTCTTATCACTTACTTTCTTCCTGTGGAAAGAAATCATTCTGACACTGAGTTGAACTTATCTGAGTAGGAGATTCCTAGGCTTGAAATGCAAGAGGGTTATGGTATCTGTTTGGGAGTCTTAGGGAGTTTATCAAAAAGCAGAGTTAGGTAGACACTGGAATTTGGTCCGTATTTGCACTTTAGAGAAGTAGGCAAAGCAGCATCCCTTAATGTATTTACTTATAGTAAAAATGTGCATCCTTTGCATTCTGGTTAGCAATTTGCTTTTGCACTTACCAATTTATTTCGGGCACCATTCCTTGCACTGAAGTTAAAGTAGAAATATTCTAATTATGGTAAGGGCTGATCTGAGAGTAGAAGCAGGTGGTGCTGAGGAGTGGACGCAGCACACACTATTTAACACTAGGACCTCTACAGTCTCCATTATTCAAAGGTGGAGCCATGTGATTAATTGTTCTACAACATTCTTTGTGCCATTTTAAGGTAACTTGTTCTCTGACTGGTTTAACGGGTGACAATGGGGGAAGGGTAGCCAAGGAATCGAGGACTGTTTTCCCAAGACTGAGCTTGCTATGCCATAATCCCCTCCCTGGTGTCTGTAGGAACAGGTAGGCACTGCATGGAAAAAGCCCTCGCTGCTTAGGAGGCTATCACCTTTTTACCATTGGTTTGTTACAGGAAAGGGTCCCAATCCAGACCCCAAGGGAGGATTCTTGGATCTCATGCAAGAAAGAATTCAGGGTGAGTCCATATAGTACATTGAAAGCAAGTTTATTAAGAAAGTAAAGAAATAAAGATGAGTACTCCGTAGGCAGAGCAGCGGCATGGGCTACTTGGCTGAGGATACTTATAGTTATTTTTTGATCATATTTTTAAAACAAGAGGTGGATTATTCATGACTTTTCTGGGAAAAATGTGGGCAAGTCCCAGAACTGAGGGTTTTTCCCCTTTTTTGACCATATAGGGTAACTTCCTGATGTTGCCATGGCATTTGTAAACGGTCATGGCACTGGTGGGAGCAATGAGGACAATCAGAGGTCACTTTCGTTGTCATCTTGGTTTTGGTGGGCTTTGGCCAGCTTCTATACCACAACCTGTTTTATCAGCAAGGTCTCCAAGACCTTGCTGTATCTTATCCTGTGACTTGGAATGCTTAATCTCCTGGGAACGCAGCCCAGTAGGTCTCAGCCTTACTTTGCCCAGCCCCTATTCAAGATGGAGTTGCAAGGGTTTAAATGCCTCTGACAATTTTATGTATTTTCTTAATAGAAAATGCTGGGCCGGGCGCGGTGGCTCACGCCTGTAATCCCAGCACTTTGGGAGGCCGAGGCGGGCGGATCACGAGGTCAGGAGGTCGAGACCATCCTGGCTAACACGGTGAAACCCCATCTCTACTTAAAAAAAAAAAAAATTAGCTGGGTATGGTAGCATGCGCCTGTAGTCCCAGCTACTTGGGAGGCTGAGGCATGAGAATCTCTTGAACCTGGGAGGTTGCAGTGAGCCAAGATCGCACCACTGCACTCCAGCCTCGGCAACAGAGTGAGACTCTGTGTCCAAAAAAAAAAAAAAAAAAAAAAAAAGAAAATGCTGGTGACTAGAAATGTACTTTGGGACTGAAAGGATAGGTGGCAGAATTACAGTCTATGAAAGGGAGAACGGGGTTGGGAATGAGAGCTATTCAGGTAGACAGGCTTGTTTTTATCTGCCTCTCATCTTGGGCAAATGTTCCTAATGTAGCACCAAGGCCAGGCTGTCCCCTCCATTTCAACTCCGATGCTTCGTAGTAAACAAATGTTTGCTCAGGTTTCCCAGCTCTCCTTTTACAGTACATGAAGAGGAAATTAAATAGGGAAGCAAGGTTAAGTCATTTTCTTCCAGTTACTTGGTGTGCAGTAACAGGGAATGCAATTCAAAATCATTGCTTTTAATCTTTGACATACCTCTTGAAACTATTGCCTCAATTTGTGTTATAGTGGAGAATGGTGGTTAATGAAGGGCTTAGCGCACATTGTGCATTGCAGGCCCTTGTTAAAATTTCTCCATTAAATTTTGTGCCTCCAAGCCTTTTGCCCTGCTGAAGATACCTTAAGCCACAGGAAGAGGCAGCTTCCCTCTGCAGCATGCGCTCTTAGAAAAAAAAAAAAAAAAAAGATCAGGTATTTTCCAACTGGGCAGCAACTTGATGCTCATTTAAACCTGGGTTTCTCAACCTTGCCATTATTGACATTTTGGCCCAGAATGACTCTCGTGGGGTTGGGTAGGGTTGGGGTAGGAAGGAAGACAGACGAATATATAGATTTCAATATTTTCCTTTGGTTAAAAAATTATAAATATATTTAAGAGAAAAAAAGCCGTACACTTTCATCTGTAATACTGTCTGGCCTTTTGCTTGCAATTTGCAGATAAGATTTTGTAAACAAATTGCAGCAAGTTGGTCCTCCACGGAAAACTTACCAGTAGAGCTGAATTTACTTTCAAATTCTCTAAATGGGTTTCTGAGGGTTTGGGTTAATGCAGTGGCCTTGAACAGGAACTATCCAGAAAGATGTCAAGCAAAGGTGGCTAGAGTCACACTCGGGTGACACTACTGTCACCATGCTTCTGCTTCATTCTTGTTCTACATCTTTTATTTGAGATTTTAATCCTCTTTTTACTATTTAAGAGGAAAGGATGGGGAACTGAGAAAGACGCTAGGCCTTGGTGGGTGATGTGGGAGGTGGGGAGAGGGAAGATAAGAGTGAGGTTTTGAGGCTTGATGAGGTCTGTATAATTATCTATTGTAGGTGTCTTAGTTGACACAATAGATATGATTTGAAAAGCTGAAGGCACATGGAAATTTTTGTAAACTGACTAGTAATTTAAATGACAATGAGACCATTATATTGCAAGCAAAGACAAATCTTTTAGAAAAAAATTAGTAATCACGAATAATTTATCTTTTGGATAATGATTTTCATAATGCAGGTTATGCTTCCCTGGAGCAAGTTATGCAGGCAATTAAAAATGACAATGGAATTCAGTTTATAACCGATGAAATCCAGCTTTGTTTGTCAAAAACAAATGCATTCATTCCATTTGGAGAGTAAAACAGTCTTTTTTTCATGAGCATAATGGTGAAAGCTAATTAAATTTATCATAAATTACACCCTTAATATTTGTTCTCAAGATCATTAGTCTATAATGTAAACAGACACATTCACAATAGTTAATGTTAACAGTTTTCTAAAATTCAGAACTTTAAAGGTTTATTCATTTATTCCCTAAGCATCAGTTTAAAAAAATGTTTTAAAGAGCATACACATTAAAAAGTATGATATTAGATGAACAACTAAAAATTAGACTAAAAACATCGCCAAATTGGATTTTATATAGTAATATTGTTACATTGAGAGGTAACATTTTGGCAACCATTTGCTGCAAACCTACAAATTCTGTAAAAGCTTCTAAAGATTAATAGCACTATCAGTCAGTTGCATCATTATCTCATTGAAAATGAATTCTCACCCTCCTTTAAAAAAATTTAAAAAAATGTTTTAAGAGAACAACTAAATCTGATGGAAGACAAAATTAAGGAGACCTGCAGTTCTCCTTGTTGGTGTAAGCTTTTGCCTCCGGTTTCTATGGTAACCCGTGATCTGTATTCCAATCACACCTTTGAAAGGTTTGTTTTCTCCATCATGAAAATTTAGCTGGAAGCACTGAAGGTACTGAACATTAATTTTTATGTTGTCTTTTTTTTTTGGAAAAATTGGAAAAAGAGAATAGAGAAGGAAGATAACACCCACAGGCTTAGACTGCAAATACAATGAGGAAATGTATTTGCTAATTTTTAGATGATTTACATGCCTGGAAGATCACAAGGATAAAAACCCTGAATGCTAAATGAACAAGTAGGCAGCTCCTCTAACAAACTCAGGAAATGTCTTGAGCAGAACATTGCAAATATTCATCTAATTCGATAGGGTAAAAACCTAGAGACTTGCTCATAGAGGTTGAAAGAAAATGTAGCTCAGTGGTTTTCAGCCTGGAGTGATTTTGCCTCCCAGGAGACATTTGGCGATATCTGGGGACATTTTTGGTTGTCACAACTGGTGCTGGTGCTGGTGGTGTGTGTGGAGGGTGGTACTGGCTGCTAGTAGAGGCCAGCAATGAATGCCAGACATCCTACAGTGCATAGGACAGCCTTCCACAACAAAGAAATATCTGGCCCCAAAAGGAGGTGGGAAAACCTGCATCCTCCATTTAGCTTTATAGATGGTGTACTGGTGTGAGGGAAATAAATATTCAAAAGAATAAAATGCTTTAGAAGCAACCTCATTTGTAATTTGCTTCCCTGGTATTTTACTACACTAACTTTTTATTTCACTTTAAATGGCAGAAAGAGAAACAGGAAAAAACAAACAGTTCCCGCTTTTTTCTTACCTTTGGTTTAAATTTGAACATTTCCAGCTGGCATGCATTAATCTAATTTGGTGCTGCCTCCTATGACCTGTAAATGTGTACAGTAGGGTCGTCAAGTGTTTCCACTGCAAAATCGCTAGTGCAGTTGAGTAAATATTGCCACTTTGCTTAATTCAAATATGTACGTTAAAGTTACGATAAGTTAATTTTCCTGTTAAGTGAAAATGCACTTACCTTTACCCAGTTGAATACAGATGTACTTGCCTTTGACGTCTGCCTCCCTAAGTATGGTTACAGTTTGTCACTCCGGTTCTGGAGGGCCACCCTGTCCCTGAATTCACGCCCAGGTCCTGAGGGCAGAACCATCCTGAGGACAACCTGCAGCTCCATCGATTTTTTCTTGGCTGGGACGCAGGCGAGCATGAAAGCGATCCAAACACAGCCAGAGGGCGCCAAAATGCCGCAAATAAAAGTTCCAAAGGCGTCAACTGGCTTTTGCGGGAAGGTAAAATTGGCTTTTGTGTAATCAAAGAGCTACCGTTGTCAACGATGTCACGTTACGTTATTTTTGTATGTCCCTCTTGCCAACAGGTAAGCAAAGTGAACGCATCTTCCTACCCCGGTGGCTATTCTGTGTCCCGGTGCTAAACCAAGTGTCCGCCCCCTTAGGGCACCCGGACAAGCCGCGGTTGGCCCTAGCTTTGACTCGAGCGCTCGCAAGCAGCAGCGTGCGGGCTGCCTCGGCCAACCCCGTCTTCTCAATATTGGTGGCCTCCATTAAAGCACAGACATCAAAAACATCGACGGCCCCTTTCCCCTCTTCTCTTCCCTCCTTCCTCTCCCAAGTTCCGAGAGCATCCTCCGAGGGGCGACGTCTCTCGCCCCACCAGCTGGACCTCGGCGACCGCGCCTCCCCCGAAGCTGCAGCCTTCGGGGCTGAGCCCCGCGGGTGCGGGTGCAGGTGCGGAGCCGCCCAAGGTGCGCAACTCGTTTGCAGCGGCGCAGCCCAGACGCGCCTGCAGCTGGGGCTCACCCCAACCTCGCTGCCAGCCGAGGTAGCGGAATCGTAGTCGACGTCGGGAGCGGGCTGGACTGGGGTCTGAGAAGGGTAGCTGGTGCCAGGGGGTGTCATTCATCACCTCGAGGCAGCTCCCTAAGTCTGAGCGAGAGCCCGAGCACTTCTTATCCAACGGTTCCAAATAAATGAGGGGGAGAGAGAGAGAGAGAGTGAGAGAGAGAGAGAGAGAGAGAGAGTGAGTGAGAGAGTGAGAGAGTGGGAGAAGTCCACGGACAGCCCAGGCGGCGCGGCGGGGGAAGGGGGACGCAGGAATGGAGGAGAGGAGAGGGGAGGCGGAGGGGGGATCTGAATAGAGGGCATTTAGGAAACGTTGGCGGGGCACAGAGTTGGGAGGTGGGGGGAAGGGAGGAACCAGGATGGCGGATAGGAGAGAAATGGGGGTGACTGTGCTGGAGGGGAGGGGAGGTGGGGGCCCAGAGCTGGGGGGAGTCAAGGGGAGGCGGGCGTGTCCAGGCTGGAGGGGAGAGGGGAGGGTCTGCGCCGGAGGAGGGGAGGGGAGCAGAGGGAGTGCAGGGGGTGGGGAGATGGAGCTGGAGGGGGTGGAGGGGAGACGGGCGGGGCGCCGGGCTGGAGGGAGGGGAGAGAGGCGGGCGGGGAGCGCGGGAGGAGGGAGGCTGGGCGGGCGGACGCGCGGGGGGAGGGCACTGGGCAGGAAGGGGAGGGGGAGCGAGCGCGAGAAATGCAGAGGCTGCAGCGGCGGCGGCGGCGGCAGTAGCGGCAGCGGCGACGACGGCGGCGGCAGCGCTCCAACTGGCTCCTCGCTCCGGGCTCCGCCGTCGAGCCGGGAGAGAGCCTCCGCCAGCGGCCAGGCACCAGCCAGACGACGCCAGCGACCCCGGCCTCTCGGCGGCACCGCGCTAACTCAGGGGCTGCATAGGCACCCAGAGCCGGTAAGGAGGCGCGCCCGGTGGCCCCGCGCCGCCGCGGACCCGGGGGCCTCCGTCCCCCACCGCGCCGCGCCCCGCCCCGCAGCCCCCGGGCTCTCCCTTCATGCAGCGGGCAGCAGGGATGTGGGCCCGGATTGGACGGCAAGGGCCTGGGGTCCCTCTGTGAGGGCTCCGTCGCACTTCGGGGATCCCGGGTGATGGGGGGCCCAGAAGTGGGAGGCTTCAGCCGCTCGCATGGTGGAGGGGTGAGGGGGGCGGCGAGGTTGGTAAACGGAGCTGGGGGGAGGGGGCTGTCGGGGAGAGGAGCTGCGGGTGACGGGAGGAATTGCCGAATGCGAAACCCCCTCAGTGCGTTGAGTCCCGGGGAGACGGTTCTGTGGGCTGAAGGGAGCGCTTCCGTCATCGGAGCCCTTACCAGCCTGGGAGAAAGCGCTCGGGGCGAGGGGCGCAGCAGCCAAAGATGGAGGGTGGGGGTGGGGTGGGGCGGGAGTCCGGGGAGAAAGAAGATGGGGAATCTGGCCCGATCAGAAGGAAGTGGGTGGCTTTTTGCTTTGGCAAACGGGTTTTCTCGACCCATGGGACTCCTGGATCTTGGTTCTGGGGCCAAGGAATACGAGGTTCACACGGCGACGTGCACTCAGAAGCACCTCCCGAGCAGATCGGAGCCCCAGCCTCGTCAGTGGCGGAATTGCCTTCCTACGAACCCGTGGGCTGCCTCGGAGCAGTTTGTTTTTTCGAGCCTTTGGTTCCAAGAATGCGCCAGGCGCCTCCGCCCTGGGTCCCGGCCCCGGCCCGGGCCCGGGGGGTGTGGGCTTGAACCTGACAGCGCGCGGCCCTAACTGGGCTCAGCCCCGCTGGGAGCGTAGGGTTGGGGTTGAGCAGCTTTTGCCCAAAGCGCTAAAGCTGAAACCCGGCGCCCGGTTCCTGCTCCCCCCGCCCCCGTCCCCCCTCCATTTCCAGAAAAATAAAAATTGCGGAATCCTGGATCCGATCGCACGCACAATGCGCGGCTGCAAACCGCATTCTTTTCATGAATATTCATCGAACGCTTGGCCAGGCTCCTTATCTGCGTCCCCAGAGACATTTCCGCCTTGAAACGAACTCGGTGGACAGCCCTTGCCCATGTAATTCTCACTCTGCTGAAATTAGCACAGCACACATGGGTGCATTTTTTAGGACCTTGTACAGGTTGACAACACCTCTGTCTCCCCCGCGGCCACTCGCACTGTGGGGCGGGCTAAAACCCAACACTAGCGTCGAAATGGCCTTCTGCTATAGGGTTGTGGACCGACCCCCCACCCCCACCTCCCGGGATTACAGCCCGGGCCAACAGACCCCCAGTATACTGCAGGCAAAATGAATGAATCGGGACTGTAATTACCTATTCCTTTGTCTTGGCCTCGCGCATGCGCCGGAGAGCAGGGTGTGGAGGGCCCGGCAGCCCCATCCCATCTCCATCATCCAGCCACCCACTCCCCTCCCGAGCCGAGGAACAAAGGCGTTTGCCCTAAATGTTGCGGGAAACCCTTGGACACCAATGACAGTTTTTCCCGCCTGTGTGTGTGTTTCTTCTTTTCCAGGCTGTCTCTCATCTTTTGCTTTCTTGCTGATTTCAATTGACCAAAATTAAGATTTGCCTTGATGAGGATGAAGGCAAATTGTGGATTAAATATTTTGTACCCGCACACTGTTATTTTCCTTTCTAGTACTGTTCATTGTTCTTTTTCCTGTAACATATCTTACTGCAGTGAGGGTGGCTTTCTTAATTTGCATCAATTAACCGTTTGACAGATCTTTTTTGGTCATTTGATTAAGGGAAGGTGGCCTCAAAACTGTCAGTGGGCGTTGCCTCCAGTGACACCACCTGGGGAAAATTAAGACATCTTGGCGTTTATTCGAACAAGATGGCCTACAAAAACCGGAGAGAAGAAAACGATTACCTTGTCGGGATCCTAACCCTTTCTGTTTTCTCTGGACTCCGAACTCATTGTTTCATTAAGGATTCCAAAAGGCGAATGGCGTCCAGATGGAAATCTGATGGGGGCAGAAAGAAGGCAGTCGTTGGGGTGAAGCTGGTTGATTAGGTTCGCAATGATTCCTTTTTCCCCATTACCTAACAGAAGCCATGATATACCTTTGATGGCTGATTTTCTTTCAGATGATCTATTTTCCAGGTTATGGCCATTTAGATTTATTTTCAGGTAGTTTGTTTTTACCACACAAAAAGGGACTTATTGTGTATATTAAATAGGAGCCAAATATGATATTTTTTGCAGTGGTAGGTTATGTTTAATAGGGTTTTATGCTTAAGTACTGTCAGTACATCCTGGTGGAATAACGCGTGGCAGCAATGGAAATCATCTCTTTTGTCCTTTTTGATGAGAACTTGATATTGACCACGTTTAATATATCAGGGCCCATCTACTGGCTACGGTGGCTGTCTAGCTGTCTTCTAGGTGGCATGGATTGTACCCTCTGTACTCCTTAGTATTGAGTAGGTTATTATGATTTAGAGAGCTACGTTCTTTCTTTTTTCTTTTCCTTTAGGTTGTGTTTTTGGCGAGGGGTATGTTGGAATATAGAACAAATTCAATAGCAAATATATACCAGCATGTCCCCAATTCAGTAAATCTTAGGTTTTTGAGTGAGATAATATTTAAATCGATTTTTAAAAATTATTACAGAATTAAAATATTTCTATCAGTTCGCTTATTCTTTTAGCCAGCTAGCTTTTTGCCAAGCTTTAGCAGATAGAGAAATTGAGCCTTTTGATAAAAAGCACCAACAATGACAGTGGCATTTCTGTTCTTTAACTGGTACTCAGTCTGCCATTGTGACGTGTAGAAGAGAACCTTATCTCCCCACATCACCCTAGTTTAAAGGTCCAATGGGAGAGCCCTAAACATTTAGGCTGTCTATCCTTGGAGGCCTCTTCATAATCCTGGATTTACTAGGATCCATAATCCTCCTGGATCTTATGGTGCAAGAGGTGATGCGTTCTGTCTCTTTATTTTTTAATTTCACAATTAAGAACAGTTTGAAGCCATTTTCATTTCATGGTCAAGCGGAGTATGACATCAGAGAGAAACTTTCATTTGGAGGAGATTTGATCACTCTAAAATGGATGTCTGTGTTATTTACGGTAGTTTTGTAAAAATTGCAAAATCCACACCCATTTTTAAAAACAAGGTGTCATGTATATACACATGTACACATACACATACTTGTTTATACACACTCTAAAATCTTATGAATAACTTGAAATCAAACTGGTTGGTATAGAATATTATTTTATAGTGCTTTGATACTGGTCTTTGGAACATAATCAATTTCTGTCTTTCTAAATATGTGTTTGAAAGGGAAAGCCTAGCAAGTCTATTAATAAGCTCACTTCCCATTTATCCCAGTGTACCTGGAGCATTAAGCTAAGACGTTCATCCACAGGCTTAAAAACTTACATCAAGCACTACTGAACTTTACAAGCTGGAATAAACAATGCCTACTAAATAAAAGATTTATAAAATTGTTCTGTCTTATTTTTGTGATCTCTTGTAAATGTTTTTTTTTTTTTTTTTTTTAAATATCCAAAGAAGACCTGTGAACTATTATTTGTCAGAAGCAATTGCCCTTGGTATCTGATTCTGTTGAAAGAAATGCGTTGATTTGTCCAGACCTTTATCTTAATGTAGTTTGTACCTACTTATTTCACATCTTCTTTCTCTTCTTAATGATGGTCTTAGCTGGTACCCTGGAAACCAGGTAACTGCTGGGGAAAAACACTGAGTAGATATATAGACAACTTGAATATTCTCTGAAAATGGGCATGGAATCTTTATTGTTATATCAAATTTTCTCTAATTATATCTAATCCTTTAAATTTATTGTATCTCTTAAGACATTAGATAAGCCAGTGAACATGAGCTTTTTTCTTTGGCTTAATTATAGTGGACAACTATTAGGAAGGAACTGTGAGGTTGCAAATAGAATATTTTGAAAGATAAAGTACTCTTTATGTGTTTTGGGGTAATGTTTTTGGAGTGGTTTCTCAGGAAATCGTATAAAGACTGGATTTGAAGAATCTAATAATTCCTATTTTGGGGTTGTAATAAGAACTACATATGATATCTAAAAATGACTTAAGTGTGGAATGGCTGGCTCTGAAGGGCTCCTCAACCTCTCAGTCTCAATTAGTGATATCAATTACACTGAAAGTGTTTTCAACAACTGAAAGTGTCAATCAACACTTTCAGTGTAATTGACATCACTAACTAATTTCAGTATATTCAGCTGTATTTTTGTTCCAGCTTGATTAATGAAGCCCGGGGGACCCCAGGAGTATTAAGTTAGAAGTAGGATGTCTCAATCCTAAAGGGGACCAAATATCATGGTTCCTATTTTCTGTCCTTGTGTTTGTAGATATTTGAAATTCTGTATTATATGGGAATTAGCCTGAAAGTGGATTTCATGATATCAAGATGGCCACCTTCCTTGAATTCCCCAGGTCTGCTTATACTTATACTTATGTAACTTAAGAAGTGGCATTTAAGTTCTCTTGAGAAAATACAAGGGTAGTCTTGAAACCACAGCAGTGCCCAGCCTGCCAAAGGAAGGCTTTTGTGAAACGCCTTTCCAGCCACAGCCTTTGAGGCAGACGTCTAGGTAAGTGTCACATGAGAACAGATGTCTGGTAAATGCTCTCAAGAGTAAAAATCAACCATACAGAGTCCATTTCTCACCAGAATATAGTTCAATTGTAATTTTGAGGAGCCACAAGCCTAAGAAGGAAGCAGTGTGATTAAAACAGCATTCTCCTTTTCCCTCTAGAAGTCAGAAATGGGATGAAATGGGAGGCAGAGAGAATGAAATAGTGTGTTTTTCTTCTGCACCCTAAGGATTTAAATAACATAAAAAATTATTTCTTAATGTTTTACAGACTTTCCATACTCAGTACATTTTTGAACAAAAATAGGGAAAGCTGAGATTTTTTGACTCAACAAGGCCGTCAGTGCTGAGAGGTGGTGATTGAGCAGGCTTGGAAGTCTAGGAATACATTCCTGAAAGCTTTAGAGATTTAGAAATAGAAACCATCTGCAAGCACCACAGGGGCCCAGGGCATAAGGAAACACTTCAGGATAATATAGGAAAATGGTGTGCAGTGGAGAAAGCAAAGCATTTACACAATATTTTCCCCTTATCACTTAAGCATTTTATAAACTCTTTTTTTTTTTGGTTCGTTTTGAAGGAGGCAGGACTGGACTTCATTGGTTTGTGTTTTGAACTTCTGTTTGAAGTAGATATTTCAGCAATTTGTACATTGTGTAGGGAGTATAATATTTAGAAAGCATGATTTGGAGGGTTAGGCATGGTGGGGATGGACTTTGGAGCCACAGCACCAGGTTCGAATCTTCTCTCAGCCATTTACTGGTTGTATGATCTTTGGTAAATTGCTTACCTTCTCTGTGCCTCAATTTTATTTAGAAAATGGGAATTGTGATACATGGTTACTGTAAGTATTAAACAAAATTGTCA
This sequence comes from Homo sapiens, assembly GCF_000001405.40. Taxonomy (NCBI): domain Eukaryota; kingdom Metazoa; phylum Chordata; class Mammalia; order Primates; family Hominidae; genus Homo; species Homo sapiens. The sequence continues at coordinate 17,223,337 of NC_000005.10, forward strand.
TGCACTTAGGACAATGCCTCCTTATATTCAGTGCATCTTTTTAAAGGAGTGTGAATATCAGTTTTCTTTACTGCATCCTTCATCTATAGCTACTCATATGTTTGTTTCAAAGAGACCATTATTGCAAGACAGGCCAATGGTGGTGCCTTGCTCAGTAGGTAGAATATAGAAGTCTGCGGTTTAGAAAACTCCTCCAGGTGTGGTTAAGAATACGCTAAATACGTCAGTAGTTCATGTGGACTAAGTTTCAAAAGTGGGTAGGTTAATACAACCCAGCCTCCATACTGAATTTGTACTTTTTTTAATTGAAGGAAAAAAATGAAAGTCCTTGGAACTTCAGAGACAGGATTACTGCTTTGATATGTTGAGACCTGGACTCACCCTGATTAGCTGTATGACCTTGGGTGTAGATGTAACTCATTCAGATTCCTGAAAATCCTTAGCTTTGTTGTGTCTTGAATCAGATGTATCATTAGCATTTGAAAGAAGTCTAAGTCATTAGTACTAAGGTTGATAAGCCAACTTAGGTATTTTACATTCCATATTATTCCCACTACCTCCACCCTGCCCCTGCCAAACAGGCATCAGATGCCCACCGCCTCCATACCTGGAGTAAAACTGAAAGTTGTATTATGTAGGAATGTAAAGATGTTGTGATCTATTGACAAATCTTTGGAAGGAATTATCCCCGTGGGGACCTTAGAAATCAGGAACTCTGAACAACAAAACAAAAAAGTCTTTGGAATTTCAGCTATTTGGGGTGGATCAATTCTGGAACTGGTCTTAACATTTCAGACATTTACTTCAGGGATATGCCCAAGGATTTGCTTTTGTCCTTCTGGACACTTTGTTGTTGAGCAAAGGTGAATTCACTCTCATTTTGGGTAAATTGTTGTTTAACAGCTTCCTTAAACAGGTTTTTGTATCTTACGGATTCTGGAGGGAAGTCATATATTTTACTCTATCTGTCAGGTGTTCACTGTAAGGAAGGGGATTTTAGATATAGTGGTTATGTCTTTTAAAAAGTTTCCTAGGATTTCAATCCGTGTAGATGGAGCTACACTGTACTTCTCCTAAGCCTTGGCCATTTTATCTTAGGTAATATGGACTCTTCAGGGGGGGAAAAAAGGGGAAGGGGGGCTCTTGAATAAAATGGGTAGCCTTTTCACATATTGACATCTTCAGTATTAATTTAGAGAGAGCGATACTAACTTCTTCAATGAAAAATTATTTATGGAAGAGATCCAGTGTATACTTCTAATATTTCATCAGTATTACGTTAAATTGCTTGTAGATTAGAGGTGCTTCTTGTCATAGTGAATGGAGACTAATACCTTAAGTCATTCCTTTCTAGTATGATGATTGTGGTTGCTCTTACTGAGGACTATAAATGTGGATTTGGTTGATACTTTCACGTTTCTCCTTGGACATTGCAGATGGAAGTCATAACCCCAAATGTCTTACTTATCTGCAATTTTGCTCTGAGATATGGACCAGGCTCTAGCAGACCGTCTGCCACTGTGTAGTTAGTGTTGCCTGATTAGAAATAAACCAAGTCCTGCCTAAATTGGTCAATCTGTTTTGTTCCGCGTCCACGCAGGATCCACTTACAGAAAGCCAGTGGCTGCTTTTAACCACTATCGAAACCTCAGTCCTTTGTAAGTACTTTCCTTGGAGCAGAAGGTTTAAAAGCTCATGACTAAACACTCATTTTGGAACTCAAAATAATCTTAGAGAAGTTAGTGGGTTGCTCAGAGTCCCACGAGCTGCTTATGGGCTGCGTGGAAACCCAGGTTATTTCCCCATAAAGCCTCACTCCTGCTGCCCCTCTCTTCTGAGAGAGAAGCAGAGAATGTCTAATTGAGTCACTCTTACTCACTGTCTGCAACGTAAAACTTTTTTTTCTACCATTTTTTTTTGTACCCTAGAACCATTAAAAAAAAAACCAGTCTGGATCCTATATCCGTCTCATGATCTCCCCCAGAGGAGACCTCTTCGGCCTTTTAATACACCACACATGCCCCAGGGGGACGGTGCAGTCACTACCTGCTGCCACTTCATCCACAGGCCATCTTCCCCTCAACTTACTCCTTTCTGCTTCTTACATTATGTGCACGTGGTTTCCTTTATATGCCAAAAAGTATATGGCATGCACTGAAATAACTTTCTTCATAAAACTAAACTTTAGTTTTTCTAAAATTTAAGTTAAATCCTTGTTTTTCTCCCAAAATGCACAGTGGTTGGGGGCTGGGAAGCTGGCGATGGTGGGTATGTGTTTGAAAAGAACGCCAGCTGGCTTTAGACTTATTTGGGGGCTATAGAGCAAGCGGAGCAGTCAGGCATCCCACCCACCCCTGAAATGCTCGGGGCCCTCTTGGCAGATCCAGTGTGCACGTTGTCGTGGCAGGTGGTGGATGGAGAGCTTTTATGCCGATTTCTAGCGTTATCTGGCTTATTGGTTTGAGAGCTGCATACAACGGGATGTTTAATCTTTTTTATTTAAAATTACCATTTATAGTATTTGGGGTGATTTAGAGGATTTAAAAAATCTGTTAGATTCTGAAGTAGTCCTTAAAATATGGAACATAAGTGCTTAAGATGCTAAAACACTTTCTAAAGCATACTATTGGGATGTTTGAAACTGATGTTGGTAAATGTAAACTGTGTGCATTTGTGTTTGGATAATCTGTGATAAGTTTAGTTTTTGATGAGACACAATTTTAATTTCACATTTAAAATGACATATTGAGGTCAATAAGAGCAGGTTTGAATTTACATTTTCCAGAGAAACCCACAATTAATAGGTAACTTTTATTTTCATAATGCTTTTAATTATTACACTTACGTAGATTCAGAAATGGATATATTCCTAAAATAAACCAAAATTAAAACTTCTTTGTCTTTTTAAAGAAAAGCTGTGGTTCTATTAGAGAAAAATACTTCTTTTTTAAGTTTATGAAGAAATAGCTGTTAGATAAAAACTTTTCCTGGTTGAGCTTTCTAAATTACAAATTTCCTGAATTGCATGGCAAAGTGACTTTGAAAAGACCCACTTCATTTTTCCTTTGACAGTCTATTCAAAACACCATTACCACGTAGACTAATACAATAACCAAGGTAAATAGTAACAAGATCTAATGGGGGAAATAGTGTATCAAAAGGGGGAAAACAGTATCCACTGACAGAGAGAACTAGCTGTTTCTTAAAGAGACAGAGAAGAAAGGTTTCCTCGGAGTTATTGGGTCTTCATAGGATGGTCTCCTGTCCTTCTCTGAGCTTGCCTTGGAAACTGTAGAGGCTGTAGGAATATTTGCTGTCTTTAACCCTTACTAATGTTCTCAGCTATTTCATTAGAGGATCACAGTGTCTGTATTTGCCTTAGGTGTAAGATGATTGGAGAAAAGGAAAATGTAGAGAAATCAGATTGACTTTAGATGGACAGGCAGAGAGTTCTGGAGTGACTTCCCACTCCTTAATTCTGCAATGCACCCAGAAGGCAGGGTGAGGTTAGATGATCACCTGGGTATTTACTATAGCCATTATTACTGTGATTAGATAAAGTGTCCTGGAATCTTCTCTGAATAACTCATTTTTCTTTTTTTTTTTTTTCTTTTTTTCGTTTTGCTCTGTCGCCCAGGCTGGAGTGCAGTGGCGCAATCTCAGCTCACTGCAACCTCAGCCTCCTGGGTTCAAGCGATTCTCCTGCCTCAGCCTCCCGAGTAGCTGGGATTACTGGCACCCGCCACCATGCCCAGCTAATTTTTTCGTATTTTTAGTAGAGACAAGGTTTCACCATGTTGGTCAGGCTGGTCTTGAACTCCTGACTTCGTGATCCACCTGTCTTGGCCTCCCAAAGTGCTAGGATTACAGGTGTGAGCCACCGCACCCGTCCTTTTTTCTTTTTAGACAGTCTCACTCTGTCGCCCAGGCTGGAGTGCAGTGGCGCAATTTCTGCTCACCACAACCTCTGCCTCCTGGGTTCAAGCAATTCTCGTGCCTCAGCCTCCCTAGTAGCTGGGACTACAGGTGTACGCCACCAAGCTTGACTAATTTTTATATATATATATATATACAATATTTTTTTTGACAGAGTCTCGCCGTGTCGCCCAGGCTGGAGTGCAGTGGCACGATCTCGGCTCACTGCAACCTCCGCCTCCCAGGTTCAAGCAATTCTTTTGCCCCAGCCTCCAAAGTAGCTGGGCCTACAGGTGCCGCCACTATGCCCGGCTAATTTTTTTGTATTTTTTAGTAGAGATGGGGTTTCACTATATTGGCCAGGCTGGTCACAAACTCCTAACCTCAAGTGATCTGCTCTCCTTGGCCTCCCAAAGTGCTGGGATTACAGGCGTGAGCCACCATGCCCGGCCAATAACTCATTTTTCTAAGGAAGAAAGAATCTCGATTAACAATTGGTGATGACAGTGCCTCCAAAGGCTTCTCATAATCACCCAACCTCAGGTAAACAGGGTGAATGCCACCCTATTGACAGGAGGTTTATTGTGGCACTGGGTTTTGCTCAGTAGCCCTGGTGATCTGTTGTTGAGAACCCAAGCTCATATTTCCCAAGGCTCACCCAACTGGACTTTAGAAACCTGGTTCCAGAATTTTCAAATGTTTGGTTTTCAGGCAGATAGTAACAAGTGTTTGTACCAATGTTCTCCAGAAGGTTGTTAAGACAAGATTGATAATGCTTCCCAGGTATGTGTTTCTTTTTCTGACTCACAGCTGCATGTTACTAGTTTTCCTCATCTGACCCGATGATTGACTGATGGAAAGTCTCATTGAAGGTTTGGTTATCCTTTCATTGGTAGAAGAGACAAAAACAGGACATAAGTGGCTTATTCCATTCACCTCTACTTTTCTATTGTAACTGGATTTATTTCTGCCATCCAGACAGAGAGCCTGGGCTTTGATTTCATCTGTACCAAAGTTTTCTGGGTGGACAGGTACAGGGGGTCATCGTAAGAGAACTCAACTGACCACAATGCAGAGAGAGGTAACTATCCAATGGAATGGTAACATGGTTCCACTACGGTAAGAACTGTAGTGTTAAATGAAATGAATTCTTAATGGGAAAGGAGTCCTATGAATATTTCTAAGTTGTTATGTTTAACTTAACTAACTCTTAAATGCAGGGAATTTAACTTAAAAGTGAATTTAACAAAGAAGTGAATTTAAAAGCCAACAAGCTTCATATCTCTCCACCTCACCCCAAACCCGTGTTAATTAGCCCTTCTTGCTTAAATCAAATCACCTTGTTGAAATTTAATGCTGTGACTAGCAATGTATTCTTTGACCATATCCTTGTTTCCAGCAACAAATACTGCCACGTTAAGGGGAGAAGGAAGTGATGGATAGAGGGACCAGTTGGCAGATTGGGACACACGTACAAACACTATTCCTTTAACTTGCTTTCTTTAGATCCGTAGTTCCTACCTGTGAGTCTCATTTCTGTATTGATCCGCATTGGCTAAGCATACGACTAAAGCGGGATTCTTTGTCTTTTCTTCAGTGAGCTAGCCAGGAATCTCAGAAAAAGGGCAAAGAAGTCCAGAATGATGTAATGCTGCAAAAAATGTTACTGCTGTTTCTAAGGGGAGTGGAAGAAACCCAAGCCAGTTTTGAGTTGAGTGTGCTTCCTGTTGGAAGGGGGTGAGAATTCAGAGATGTATACCTATTAAAAAAAAAACAAAACTCTTAGGATATCACACAGCGTGGCAAACCAGCAAGCCCTGACCTGTTAGCAGTTGTTTGCATAGTTTACCAGGTAGAGAAAGCATCCACAGATAGAATCAAATGTTTGAGGACACTAACGTGCACTGTGGTTAGTGTGAGGTTTAACTGGCTGGGGACACATTTCCACTTAAATCTGATTCTGATAACACATTTAACTACTTCCCTAGCTAATTACACAGTTCCAGGCTTGAGAGAGGAAAAGGCACCTGTGAGCAGTGGCATGTCTTGTTAAATAAGGTTTGAAAACCCTTCCGAAAAGGAAGAAATGGCTGTACTTGGGGACGTTTGAGCATAGTAATTGTGCAGCCTTGCTCCTGGCTGAGGGGAGGGGAAAGAAAGCCCTTGGTTTCTGCTCCAAGAAGTGTTCAAATTCCCCTTATGTGGGCAGAATTTTTGGTAAGTACAATACAGGAAGCAAAACTGCATTGTTCTAGGTCAGCAGTCAATGACCTATTGTTTCTGAGCCCCTCTGTTCCCTCCTCACTTTGTGTTCAGGGGACGAAAGCCCAGAGCAGGAGAAGAGGAAGGGAAGTCTGGGAGAGGCTGGGAAGATGCACCCGCATTAACACAAGTTGGAGAGGCACCAATGCTCTCCTCCTGTGTCTACTCAGGCTGCCATAACAAAATAACAGATGGGATAACTTAACAAAAATATATTTTTTCATAGTTCTGCAGGCTGGAAGTCCAAGATCAACATGTTGGTAGGATTGGGTTTTTTTTTTTTTTTTTTTGATGGAGTCTTGCTCTGTCACCCAGGCTGGAGTGCAGTGGCACTATCTTGGCTCACTGCAACCTCTGCCTCCCGGGTTCAAGCAGTTCTCTGCCTCAGCCTCCCAAGTAGCTGGGATTATAGGCGTGTGCCACCACGCCCAGCTAATTTTTTTGTATTTTTAGTAGAGATAGGGTTTCACCATCTTGGCCAGGCTGGTCTTGAACTCCAAAGTGCTGGGATTACAGGCATGAGCTACCGCACCTGGCCCAGACTTGAGTTTTCTAAATCAGAATGGAATGATCCTGGGGAAGCTCATTTTAAAATCTCCTACCCAGAGTGGCAATGGTAGAGAGCCCTTCTTGTTCTAGACAGAAGAGTTGACCAGATGCCTAGGCCACTTTAAAATCCTATTCTAGCATCTGTGCTTTCTTTTAGGGATTCATTAGACAGACTCTTAACGGTGGAACAGATTTTACTGGATAGAGACTTGGGGTTGAAGACAGAAGGCAGGGGCTTGAATAGAAGCAAGTGCAGGAAGAGTGGTGGGGGTTTTGACAGAAAGTTTATGAATCAGTGGGACACCGAGGAAAGGGAAGTGTGTGTCGGGAATCATGGAAATCCTCCATGACTATAGAAACCAAGGCTAATGAATTTTGGGGCCTTTCCAAGCAATAAAACAAGTAGTGATACTTACAGGGATTCTTTTGAGGGGCATTCTCAACAAGTGTGGGTGTGGGTAAGTCTACACTTAACCCTTTTGAGAGGGTCCTTTTTATTATTATTTCATTTTATTTTATTTTTTGAGACAGGGGCTCGCTCTGTGATGCAGGCTGCAGTGGTGTGATCTCATCTCACTGCAACCTCCGCCTCCCGAGTTCAAGCGATTCTCCTGCCTCAGCCTCCCAAGTAGGTGGGATTACAGGTGTGTGCCACCATGCCTGGCTAATTTTTGTCTTTTGTTTTAGGGGAGATGGGGTTTCGTCATGTTGGCCAGGCTGGTCTCCAACTCCTGACCTCAAATGATCCACCCGCCTTGGCCTCCCAAAGTGCTGGGATTACAGGCCACTGCGCCCAGCCCGAGAGGGTCTTTTTAAAACAGTTTACGACTTTTAGGCGTACCCTGTCAAGTAATTCAGTTATTGCTTTCCTGGCTCAAATTTAAGGTCACATTACGTTAACTCTGGCAATACAAATATTGCCTCATGAATCCCCAGTGAAATTGAGAATTAACAATTTAATTTTACTACACTAGATAAACAAACCACTGGTCTTAAAAATAATTGAAACGATGCTGTTTAATGTCTTTTATAACAACTTTCACTGAATTGTTTTCTACATAAAACATAGGATGTAAGTTATTGTAGAATTTAAAAATTTTAACTCTTAAAATTTATGCAGTGTCTATTTTCAATGCAATGTCAGTGAGGACCTTTAGCACTCACTTTCCTGGTAGATAGCACCTTCTTCCAATCATGCCAGAAAACTAGGCTTGTCTCCTGGAATTCCCCATATGGCCTCCTTCCTGGGTAGTGAAACTCACATATGTCCATTTCCCTCTACTTGAAGCCATTAATCTAGTGGAAGCTTCTATTCTCTCCTGGATCACTGCCCTAATACTCTCCTAAATCCAAGCATGACATTCCTCTGCTTAAGATTTTAGGCCTAACTCTCCATTAAACCTGGAATAAAACACCGGCTCTCAGCATGTTCACCTTCTATTTTCGTCTCTTACCTCCGTTCCTACACACTCTCTCACCCACCCTCTTCAGCCATACCAACAGGCTCCCAGGTCTCCCAGGGCTCCAAGCTCATGCCTACTGCTTTTTCTGCCTGGAATATTCTTTTCCCCACTGTTGAAGTTACTCCTAGTTCAGATCTCAGCTTAAATGTCACTCTTGCAAAGATGTTCCCACACCTCCTGGCACTGGGCATTTTTGTCCCTGCATTTGCCAGAATTGATGAGATTATGTAACGTCTCTGCTCCTCTAGATTAAAACATCCAGGAGGCAGGGATGTGTCTGTTTTGTGGACCCATAACAGTGCCCTATAACAATTTCTGATCCATACCAAGCACCCCATGTCTGTTCAGTGTTGAAGGTTGTCTACAGTACATTATGTTCATGGAGAGCACGTGTCTTCTGAACATCGCCTTTGGCAGCTGAGATGACTTCCATAAATGGGCCAAAATTTCACCTCATCAGTTGTGCTTACTATGAAGATGAATAGCTGATGAACTCCAATTACAGTAATTATTCTGTTTCCAGGCAATAACCTTAGCAGTAGTTGTTCTAAAGCCCTGAGACATTACAAGTAATGAGTACTGATGGCTCATGCATCTGAGTGTCCTCCCAAGGTAGAGTCCGAAATGAAAAATGAAGCTGTGTATTATTTGAGGGAGACAAATAGTATTACATTGTGGGAACCTTTCAGAAACACAACACGATGAGTGAAAGCTGAGGATGATTGTGGTTACACTCCTCGTCTGTCCTTCCAGGTTATTGAATGCTTTTGGTCTGCTTTGGATCAATCATTATTGAACAACTTAACTGAATGCATTTTAGTAACAGCCTTTGTGAAGCTGCGAACATCAGGTCCCTAGAAAAGCAGGTGGCTTGAAATCTTTACACATTAGTCAATTATAAACCTAATGAAGTAAAAACGAATTTAGCTCTAATTCTGCGCTGTGACTACTTACTCTGCATCGTGAGTTCTACGAGGTTAGGACCTTGCTTTGTTCATCTTTGGATGTCAGTTTCTAGCACCTAACCGAACCTGTGGTCCAGTAAAGGGCTGGATACGTGGAAGGGCATGTTTCATGGTCATGTGACATCATGCTGTGCAAATAAGGCACATTTCAGAACGCTGTCCTTTACTTTCACATCCAGGAACCAGCTTGTAACGAACCTTTGGCAAACATCACCGTGGATTTTTCTTTTTCTTTTTTTTTTGGAGGAGGAGGTGGGGCACAACTAAGACATCATTTGTGATTTACTCCCCCTCCTCTTCCATGTCACATACCTCTTAGATGGTCAACATTCACCTTCTGCTGTCTCATTTCTGAGACATGAGACAGCCATCGGACTTAGTTTTAACTAGGATTATTAGAAATATTTTTGTGTCCATCTTGAGATCTCTCATCAGATCAATGTCTAGTTTTCTTTTGCTGATTCTTATTGATGGAATTCTTATTAAATAAAAAAGTTTGTAGCTTTTCACAATGGTATGAAATTGATTTCTAAAGTAATCTGTAGTTAAATAATAATGCAAGATTCCAGTAAGCATGTCTAGTTCTAGCAATACAATTTACTCATTCCAAAACATTTCTGGATGTTGATCCTTTATTTGCAAAATTTTTATTTTCATAGGCTTCTGGTTTGCATATTAAAACTATAGTTGTAGTTGAGGTGATGGTAGGCGTCTTTATTGTCTATACCTGTGAGCTGGGTTGAAATATAAGATATTCTCATACCATCTCTATAATCTATGCCATAAACACTTGGCACTTTATTAAATCAATACTTGGTCTGAAGATTGTCTCATTTTAAATGAATTCAGCTCATGAATTGGCCAGTGGCATCCTCTTCAGCTGAAACTCCTATATCTCCTTCCCCTTCTTTGTGTTCCTCCCCTAACATACAGCTGATACTCCCTGGGTAAGATCTGAAGGAGCTGGCTGTGGGTCATCTAGTCCAGAAGGCCATGTCAGTGTTATTTAAATCAGGTAGTAGAATGGGAAGGGCAGTTTGCAATTAATTTTTTATCTTAATGTTTCGAGTCTCTAGTGCACCATACTGCCTCCTGGTTTCTCACAGACCTACTGTATGTTTTGTTTGGAAGCCTTGGCTCATCTTGTGGGTTGTGTACTTAGCTGGAATGACATGGTATCGATGGTTGAGGAGCAATTTATGACACAGATGAGTAATTAGGTGACTGATACGCCTTTTGATGTGTGTTTCCAAGTAGATGATATTTTCTTTTCTTTGTTTTTTTTTTTTCAACATTCTGATATGATTTGCTAGTGATGGTGATGGTGTCATTTTGGTTTCAAAACTGGAAAATACAGGCCGGGCGCAGTGGCTCACGCCTGTAATGCCAGCACTTTGGGAGGCCGAGGCGGACAGATTGCCTGAGTTCAGGAGTTCTATACCAGCCTGGCTAACATAGTGAAACCCCATCTCTACTAAAAATACAAAAAAATTAGCTGGGCGTGGTGGCACACGCCTGTTGTCTCAGCTACTGGGGAGGCTGAGGCAGTAGAATTGCTTCAACCCAGGAGGTGGAGGTTGTAGTGAGTTGAGATCGCGCCACTGCACTCCAGCCTGCACGACAGAGTGAGACTCAGTCTCAAAAACAAACAAACAAACAAAACAAACAAAAAACAATACTGGAAAATACAAACAAGCCCAAGGAGTGATTGGTAGATGTTTAGAGTCTACCATTTCTCGACTTCAGGAAATGTCTGTGTGTATCTCAGTCTTCTGCTATTGTAGGCACACATCATACTTCAACTGTATGAAGATTATTCTATTCCTGCTCTATAAATATGTTATTGGATTGGATGAGCAAGATATACACTTACACATTTGAAGCCGTAAGTAAAAAAAAAAATTATATAGTTAAAAGGTACAAATAATTGCTTTTGTGATGAATTTGTTCTTTAAATGAAACATCAGTGGCATTTGTTCATGTAGTTCTCAGATAAAACTTCCTAAAAGTGGTTCAAGTGATTTCAAAATGCCAAGAATATGTTGCAAACTTGTTTTTTTGTATACAAATGAACAGCTGACATGAGGTTTTTCTACCATGTGAATGTGACGTGGGAACATACAAACCACACTAAAATATTGCAGAATTGATGTTTGTTTATTGATGGAGTTGGGAGACGCATCTCCTTTAAGTAGCTTACAGTGGGTGAAGGCAAACAAGGAAATCAGTAATTACAGCGAAGCAAATGTTGGTCCGTAGATACATGGGGTAGAGATATAAACAGCAGATAGTCATTAAGTTTACTACTCCGATCAATTATATTCTTTTTCTTCAATCTGTCCCTAGATCCACCTCTTTTGCCTGACTAAGCCATGTGAGATATTCCAGTGAGATATTCAATTGGCTATTATTTAAAGAGTTTTATGTGAATATCACTGTAGAGAATATGGAAGAATTCAGCATCGATTACATTTAGTTTAAAGGTCTTAATCACTAGATAGAAAAGAGATTTACACATCTTAAATTTCCATTAAAAAGCAGGCATTTGGGGATTAGAAACTGAAGGAAAAGATTTCCAAGAGTAGCTAGTTCTTAAAACACAGTAAGAATATGCTTTAGCTCTTGAACACAGTGTTTGTAGTTACTGTCAGACTCCTTGGGGAAGTGTCTTCTGCTGGGGCTCTCACCTGACAGGCTAACTGCATTAAGATGGGCCACTCAGCTTGAGAAACAGGAAGAATTGCTGTTGCTCCCGTCTGCTATTTATGTTTTTCTTTTTTTTTTTTTTGAGACTGAGTCTCACTCTGTCACCCAGGCTGGAGTGCAGTGGTGCGATCTTGGCTCACTGAAAGCTTCATCTCCCAGGTTCACGCCATTCTCCTGCCTCAGCCTCCCGAGTAGCTGGGATTACAGGTGCCCGCCACCAGGCCGGGCTAATTTTTTTTGTATTTTTAGTAGAGACGGGGTTTCACCGTGTTAGCCAGGATGGTCTCGATCTCATGACCTCATGATCAGCCCACCTCGGCCTCCCAAAGTGCTAGGATTACAGGCGTGAGCCACCACGCCTGGCCTGCTCTTTATGTTTTTTCATATGAATTACATTTCCTTACATCCCTATTCAGATGTCGACGTTACTTTTGCTCAAAAGTGCTCCTTTCTCTTGACTCCTGAGTTGCAAATAGCTTACCAAGGTAGCTGGGACTCTTGACCATGATGTTTTTTAAAATGAAATCTGTCAACAAATGAAAGACAGGATTGGTAACTAGTATTTTATCATTCCTCCAGCCTTCATCCTCCAGCTTGATTTATACTAACCACCATCTGAAATTGATGATTGTTTCCCATGACCCCACAGGGAGATTCCTTGGATGTAGGAACTCTGCCTGATTTTTGTTTTCCTAGACCTTCAGACACTACTTGGCCCAGAGTAATTGCTCTTTATGAATCACTGCTTTAGTCCAAGCTTGTCCAGTTCTCTGCCCAGGACTGCTTTGAATGTGGCCCAACACCAGTTTGCAAACTTTCTTAAAACATGAGACTTTTTTTTTTCTTTTTTAGCTCATTAGCTATTGTTAGCGTATTTTATGTGTGGCCCAAGACAATTCTTCCAGTGTGGCCCAGGGAAGCCAAAAGATTGGACACCCCCACCCTTGCGTTTAGTCTTTAAGACTATTCTACCTTGGGGGAGAAAAGCAAAAATGATTTCTTATTACACGTATTTAAACCAGTATTTACATTTGTAGGGATCTTGGGCAGGTTATCCAGAGAGCGAGTTTCTTTTCTTTTTTTTGGGATGGAGTTTCACTCTTGTTGCCCAGGCTGGAGTGTAATGGCGTGATCTCGGCTCACTGTGGCCTCTGCCTCCCGGGTTCAAGCAATTCTCCTGCCTCAGCCTCTGGAGTAGCTGGGATTACAGGCACCTGCCACCATGCCTGGCTAATTTTTTGTATTTTTAGTAGAGACGGGGTTTCGCCTTGTTGGTCAGGCTGGTCTCAAACTCCTGACCTTAGGTGATCCGCCTGCCTCTGCCTCCCAAAGTGCTGGGATTACAGGCGTGAGCCACCGCGCTCGGCCGAGAGCTAGTTTCCTGATTGATAAAATGTTCACTGTTTGTTCATATCCTCTCCTGTGTAGTTAGATGGCTACTGAATATATCCTGAGAGCAGGTCCTAAGAGTTTATTTTTCATGTTATTGTTGGAAATAAAAACCCAGAAATATTTTAATAATAGGAATTAAAGATATGAAGACCCTGATATCTGAAAGCTGAGTGGTTCAAATATGGTGAGCAATGCACTCTTAACTAGACCCATATCTTAAGGGAAAAAAATGTTTTTAGTACTTTTCTTGGTATCTTCTAATCTTCAGAAAAAAATTCTTAATAGGCAGTCGATGTAAATAAAACAAAATTCTGTATATTTAAAAAGCTGCTTGCGCTACTGTGTCATTCCTCTGGAATTTTCAAAAGCTGAGATTTTTCTGTATACTTTGAAAGCTAATGAAATCTACCAGCCCACCGGGTAGTAAACAACCAAGAATTCTTGATGGAGGTATTGTAAAGAAAGGTGATAAGGTGGCTGGGCATGGTGGCTCACGCCTGTAATTGCAGCACTTTGGGAGGTCGAGGTGGGCGGATCACGAGGTTAGGAGATCCAGACCATCCTGGCTAACACGTGAAAACCTGTCTCTACTAAAAATACAAAAAATTAGCTGGGCGTGGTGGTGGGCGCCTGTAGTCCCAGCTACTTGGGAGGCTGAGGCAGGAGAATGGCGTGAACCCGGGAGGCGGAGCTTGCAGTGAGCCGAGATCGCACCACTGCACTCCAGCCTGGGCGACACAGCGAGACTCCGTCTCAAAACAAAACAAAACAAAAAAAAGAAAGAAAGGTGATAAGGCTATCTAATGAAGGACCCAAAGAACTCTCACTGAGCTCACCCAGAATGCTTTTCTGGATTAAAGCACAGACTGAGAACCTGTTCTTAACATTAGTGACTTCGGTATGGCTCATTTTGAAGAAAGAAAATTGCCTAAATCTATAGTTGAGCTTGCACACATTACAGGTCTCTGGAAATAAGATGCTTAAACAGGTTCTATAATCTGGTTCTTGCTAGGTGAGTGTCCCCTGACATTGCTTTTTTTTTTTTTTTTCCGTGATGGAGTCTCGCTCTGCCACTCAGGCTGTAGTGCAGTGGCTCACTGTAACCTCCACCTCTTGGGTTCAAGTGAATCTCCTGCCTCCACCTCCCGAGTAGCTGGGACTACAGGCATGCACCACCATGCCTGGCTAATTTTTGAATTTTTAGTAGAGACAGTGTTTCACCATGTTGGCCAGGCTTGTCTTGAATTCCTCACCTCAAGTGATCCACCCACGTCGGCCTCCCAAAGTGCTGGGATTACAGGCATGAGCCACTGTGTCCGGCCCCCTGACATTGCTTTCTAAAGTAAGATTACCTGTAGTTCTCAGTGTTCGCCAAGCATGTATGAAACACAACGTATGTTAAGAGGCTGTTTAATTACATAAATGCTTATTTGGGGGATTCTTGTTCTCAGTGGCCTTCTCTCTTTTGGATGGATATACACAGTTTGATTGGCACTCCTATTGACACTTTATTTGGTTTGTGACTTGTTTGTCTCGGTGCCTTTCTATTAATATATTTTTTCTATTTAAACTACCCTCTTTTTTTCAGTACAGCACTGGACATTTTCTTTGAAATCTTCCAGATTCATTTGGTTGTCTTCCTCATCTCAGCTGTCTTATGCAGGAAAAGTGGTCACTGTTCAGTCAATTCATTCTACGTAGCTGGCTATCTGAGTTTTTTTTTTATCGAAACCAAAATAAAACTTAAAAGAAACAGAAGAAGCTGAGTCTCCCTCCCCTCCCTTTCAACTAACACCTACTGATGTTTATCTTGGAAATAATTTGACGTCTATTTGATGAAACCTGTAGTTAAGTGTTAATGGAGACTAACGTCAAGCTTCAGAACAGTGAGGAGAAACCTTTAGTATTGTGTGTCTAGCATTTGATGCAAGTGCTCTGTGGAAACCATGGAAGCTGGGATAAAAATGCTCGCCTGATCCCCAGATAGTCTCATCTGAATGTACTGAGGCATCACCGCATTCATTCCAAATCTGAACCTGACCTACTTTTCCCCTTCATCTCCTGCCATCTCTTCCCTAGTTTGTCATCTTCTTTTCCAGCACCACGAATGGTTCATGCTTTCTGATAAATATCTGATGTATGGCATCAATTATATGACTATTTAAACATGACTCATAGTGAACTGTATTTAAATATTGATATGACTCCATGCGTTTTCAAAGAATGTGTGGAATGTTCTTTTTGAGTGTCAGTTATTAATCATCTGTTTTCCGTTCAACTTTGGTTATCTTCAGTAAATTTTAATATCTTTCCCTTCAAGAGGACTTCCCAGCTGTCTGATCAACGGGTAGGAAAGGACAGTTGGTTCAGTGCTTGCTCATGTTAGCCCTGTAAGAAGTCAGCTCAGTTTAGTTCATCCAATAGCTGGGGAATAAAACCACACAATTCCCTTCCTTACTTGATATCAATCAACACTTGACTAAATCTTACATCCTGTCTTCAGCTGTTTTTTTTTTCTTTTTTGAGATGGAGTCTCGCTCTGTCACCCAGGCTGGAGTGCAGTGGCATGATCTCAGCTCACTGCAACCTCTGCCTCCCGGGTTCAAGTGATTCTCCTGCCTCAGCCTCCTGAGTAGCTGGGACTACAGGTGCCCGCCACCATATCTGGCTAATTTTTTGTATTTTCAGTAGAGACGGGGTTTCACCATGTTAGCCAGGATGGTCTCGATCTCCTGACCTTGTGATCCGCCCGCCTCAGCCTCCCAAAGTGCGGGGATTACAGGTGTGAGCCACTGCACCCGGCCCAGCTCTTTCGTAAAGAAAGCCTTGGCAAATGTGGAAATTCTCCCTATTCACTACGGTAAATAATTCTTGAGGTTACTAAACTCAGTATCTAAATAAAACAGATCAGTGTGTTAGTACATGGAACAGAAGGCCATATTTTTGGTTATAACCGTTGACCCCACACTCACCCTGGGGTCTTGGTGTCAATGTCAGGATGTGTTTAAATACCCTAGGCTGTCAATCTTGTAATACAACTTTGGTTATCTTTGTTCTAGAGCCTTGCAAAGTAAAGCTGATCCTAGTTAGGACCCAGTTAGGAATTTGGATATATGTGTTGTATTTGCATGTGATACTGCCCTTCATTTGAAAACACAGGCTTAAATTAGTGAAGTAGAACTCTTTTAGTCCAGATTACCCCCAAAATCTGTGAATTTGTACTAATTCAAAATCCTCTTTGCTGGTAACCGTTGTAATGAGGTCTTTGGAAATTTTATCCTGGTAGCATGGAGGTGTTGCTTCTTTTCATTTGTCTAGTTTTGTAGTCAGAACTGTTTATAGAGATGTAATTTTAAAGTGACCCTATGCTATGGTTTGAATATATGTGTTCCACCAAAATTCCTACGTTGGAACCTAATGCCCAGTGTGATGGTATTAAGTAAGAGCTGGGGCCTTTTGGGAAATGTCGAGGTCATGATTATTCCACCTTCACTAATGGGATTAGTGCTCTTATAGAACATGTTGGGAAAAAAATAAAAATAAAGATAAATAAATAAATAAATAAATAAATAAATAAATAACAGGTTGGAGCCCAGGAGTTTGAAGCTGGGGTGAGCCGTGATCATGCCACTGCACTCCATCCTGGGCAACAGAGTGAGGCTCTGGCCGGGCATGGTGGCTCACGCCTGTAATCCCAGCACTTTGGTAGGCCGATGTAGGCAGATCACCTGAGGTCAGAAGTTTGAAACCAGCCTGGCCAACATGGTGAAATCCTGTCTCTACTGAAAAATACAAAAATTAGCTGGGCGTGGTGGCGGGCACCTGTGATTGCAGCTCCTCAGGAGGCTGAGGCAGGAGAATCACTTGAATCTGGGAGGCAGAGGTTGAAGTGAGCTGAGATTGCGCCATTGCACTTCAGCCTGGGTGACAGAGTGAGACTCCTCTCAATAAAATAAAGTAAAATAAAATAATAAAATAAAAAACAGAGTGAGGTTCTGACTCTTTAAAAAAAGAGAAATAATGTGCCCACTTCATCAGCACATATACTAAAATTGGAACCATATAGAGATGAACATGGCTGCTATGCAAGAATGACAGTGCAAATTTGTGAAGCATTCCATATATTTTGGAAAATAAAAAAGTTGAAGGGAGTGCCCTAGTCCCCTTTTGTCTTTGATCTTGGACTTCCCAACCTACAGAACTGTGAGAAGTAAGTATTGATTCTTTATAAATTACCCAATCTAAGGTATTTTGTTAGGGTACCTACTAAACAAAAAGATAAAACTCTTGTGATTTTGATCTTAAGTTGGAAACATAAAACCATCGTTACAGAGAAGGCAAAACTAGGCAAAGATTTATTTTTGCAATGGCATTTAAAAATATTTAATAGTTTCTTTTAATTATAACATTACAAAATAACACCTTGTAGTCTGGTGAGCACAGGCTTGCCTAGTGCTTAGCATGTGCCAGGCAGGCCACATTCTAAGCTTTACACAGATTGACATTTTCCTTTTTTTTTTTTTTTTCTTGAGGCCGAGTTTTGCTCTGTTGCCCAGGCTGGAGTGCAGTGATGTGATCTCGCCTCACTGCAACTCCCACCTCTCAGATTCAAGCGATTCTTGTGCCTCAGCCTCCTGAGTAGCTGGGATTATAGACATGTACCACCAGTCCCGGCTAATTTTTGTGTTTTTAGTAGAGATGGGGTTTCGCCATGTTGGCCAGGATGGTCTTGAACTCCAGGCCTCAAGTGATCTGCCTGCCTCAGCTTCCCAAAGTGTTGTGATTACAGGAGTGAACCACTGCGCCTGGCCCAAAGATTGACATTTTAAAATACAGCAGCTAGGTGGGGTGGATTCTATTATTATCCCATTGTACAAATGAAGAAACTGTGGCACAGAGAAATTAATAATAGGTTACGTAGCCAGTGTAACCCAGAACATCTTAGTTCATGTTGCATGTCTCTCATTTGCTGGAAGCATATCAGTCAACAAGAAAATTATTGTTTTGCTTCCAGTTTGAGTAATGTTCCTGTGACTTCTTTAAGTGCTGTATATTTGCTGCATTTGCTGGGAGTGAACGAGGCCCTGAAGCTTTCGTAGATCTGTGCAGGAACTGGAGTGAGCCAGTGTGTGCCACCATGGGTGTCCCTCGATGTTCTCTCCTGTCCCTTCAACTGTGCTCTGCAGGAGTCAGACCTGTGGGGACAGTTCACAGGAACAAAACAGAAGCTCCAACCAAGAGCTGCAGGATTTAAGGACAAGGCTGCAAAACAAGTACGTGGAGCTGGCACGCAAACTCAGGGCTTTCTGAAACACAAACTTCAGCATTTAATTAAATGGGGGAAGGAAGGAACTCTCAACCGAGATACTGAACTGCACTGTGTCTCTACAAAATGCGAGTGTCCCACATTTTAAGGGTGAATGGATATCTCTAAAAGAAAACACCTCTCTCATTCACGTCTATTCTGTATGCTTTCTTGATTGGCTGAGGAAGGGGTGAAATCATGCTCTCCTTTCATTCCCCTCCTTCGACTAGGAAGGCGTTCTTTGATGCACCATTAATAGTTTTAGCAATTACTCTCAACCATAGTGAATGTGTAACTCCTGTTTTCATTTAAATTTGATCAATGACTCAGTTGTTATTAAAATGCAAGAAATAGTAGAAGTTTTTGTATATATATACCTGTGATGAGTGCGGGTGAGAATGGTCCTGTGGTTTTATTTCTCTTTTTTGTTCGACTTTATTTGTTAGATCAGTTTCATGTTCACACGAAATTGAGTGGAAGGTACGGAGGTTTCCCATATAAGTCTTGCGCCGCCCCCCACCCCATGCATAGTTTCCCTCATTATCAACATCCCCCAGCAGAATACGTCTGTCACAATTGATAAACTTGCATTGACACATCATTGTCACCCAAAGTCCTTTGTTTACATTAGGGTTCCCTCTTGGTGTTGTACCTTCTGTGAGTTTGGACAAATTTATAATGACACGTATCTCCAATTAGAGTAGCATAATTTTATCTCTTTATAAATGCTCAAGTCAGGGCTTCTTATTTTAATTTAAGGGGGATTAAATGATCGTAAGTGCATTTGTTACATCATTGTGCTTATTAATAATCTGTTTAAAGTATCTGTAATGCTTTGTGTTATAACTTTAAACAACAGAAAATGATGTTATTTGTAACGGTACATCCTTGCTCTGCGTGCTAATGTCCTTGAGGAGTCGAAGTAAGTCTAGGAAAAAAAAAGTCAACTCAGTTTAAAAAAAAAAAAAGGTAATCGTAAGCATTTTTTTTTCCTTCTAAAAGGATTTCTTTGTGTTTGGGGGCAGGGAGGACATGTCTTGAAATAAGTGAACATGTGCTTGTAAAATGTTTTTTAAGTGTTGTCGTCCCTGTAAGTCTGTGCCTTTCTGAAAATCTGGGTATGAAACCAGATCATGTGTGTAAAGGGAAATGGAACATTCTGGAACACCTGTAGTCTGTTGCCCCCAGCAAGTTGACATGCTAACATGCTAGGTGACAAAAGGGCATCATGATAAAGCCACTGAGACTTAAATTCTTGCTTTTTTTTTTTTTTAAGAGGGAGTCTCATTCTGTCGCCCAGGCTGGAGTGCAGGGCCGCGATCTTGACTCACTGCAACCTCCACTTTCTGGGTTCAAGCAATTCTTGTGCCTTAACCCCCCGAGTAGCTGGGACTATGGGCGTGGTGCGTACCACCACGTCCAGCTGATTTTTGTATTTTTAGTAGAGACAGGGTTTCGCCACGTTGGCCAGGCTAGTCTCGAAGTCCTGACCTCAGATGATTTGCCTGCCTTGGCCTCCCAAAGTGCTGGGGTTACAGGCATGAGCCACCACGCCCGGCTCCCTCCAACCTTCTTAACTTCAGTTTCCGGTGTCTAACTTGACACTATTGATGTCTGCCTCTTGCTATGAATTAGCAAAAGGTGAGGATTGGCCAGGCACAGAGTAATGTCTCCATAAGGGTTGGCTGTTCCTGCCATTCTCCTGCCTGTTCTAATCTAGATCTCTGTTTCCTTTATAGCATTCACAACACATGGTCATTATTTTATTTGTGAATTTGTCTTACTTGTTTTTGGATTGTGTCTCACCATATGATCTTGTTGTTGGTGAACTTGTCTTATTTATGTGTGACTCTCACCATTTCCCTTCCTAGTCTGTCATGGAAGCTCTATGCCTCCAGACCCTGGGTCTGTCTCCCTAACACCCTGCACCTTGGTTCTCACCGAATGCTTGTCCACTGCCAGCAGAAAACAAAACACTGCTGTGTCCCTGCAAAGCACTGCAGCTCTTGCCAGAATGTTCATCGTGTGTGACTTTTCAAGTGCAATAAGTCACGGGTACTATGTGAAATTGGATAAAGATAATTTTTTTGCAAATATATCCTTACATTGTAAACTATCAGCTAGGGTTGAAGTTTTCTAATTGATATTTTAGGTTCTTAAATATTGGAAGATAACTTTTAATTTGGTGAGATTCTATACATGAACATATTTCCAATGTATACCTTCTTGATAAGATTATACGTATTGTACATTCTCGGAATCTGGAGGACACAATAATTAAGTGAAAGGTGGCTTTAACACCATGTGTGCTTTTTCAGACAAGTAAATTAGTCCATGCCAGTGTAATGGGATCTGCTTATAAGTGATCTACTTTAACATCAGACTTGATTCTCTATGGTGTCACTTTTTGTTTGATTTGTTTTGTGTATTTAGGTAACAATGATATCAAACCTCAAACATAAAACATAATAGTGTTTTCCAGTATCAGGAAAACAGATTCCTTAAGGATCCCTAATGCATGAGTGTCTAGGGGCCTAGGTTCTAGTTAGTAAACTCCACTAAGCTGAGGATCTGAGACTGGGCACGGCCAGAGGAATCCTGGGAGTCATCGTTTACAACTCTGCATTTTAGGGGTGAGGGAGCTCGTGACAGAGGGTCTGGGTGTGACCCACAAGCACACTGCCATTGTTTACATCGTCAGACTTAAGAGTTCTGTTTTGGCCTTCGTGGGACTTGATAGGAGGGAAGGCATTGAATATATATTTGTGTTTATGTATATCAAAGATACTATAATTGTAGTGTTTTTTTTTTTTTTTTGAGACGGAGTCTCGCTCTGTTGCCAGGCTGTAGTGCAGTGGTGCGATCTTGGCTAACTGCAACCTCCACCTCCTGGGTTCAAGCGGTTCTCCTGCCTCAGCCTCCTGAGTAGCTGGGACTACAGATGTGCGCCACCATGCCCAGCTAATTTTGTAGTTTTAGTAGAGATGGGGTTTCACCATGTTGGCCAGGCTGGTCTCATGATCCACCCGCCTCGGCCTCCCAAAGTGCTGGGATTACAGGCGTGAGCCACCATGCCCAGCCGATACTATAATTATAGTTTTAAAAAATGTACTTAAATATCAGTGTTGAGCCGGGTGCAGTGGCTCACGCCTGTAATCCCAGCACTTTGGGAGGCCGAGGTGGGTAGATCTTGAGGTCAGGAGTTCAAGACCAGCCTGACCAATATGATGAAACCCCGTCTCTACTAAAAATACAAAAATTAGCTGGGTGTGGTGGTGTGCATCTGTAATCCCAGCTACTCAGGAGGCTGAGGCAGGAGAATTGCTTGCAGCTGGGAGATGGAGGTTGCCGTGAGCTGAGCTCACACCATTACACTCTAGCCTGGGCAACAGAGTGAAAGTGAGACTCCGTCTCAAAAAAAAAAAAAAAAAATCAGTGTTGAAATGTGACATTTTTTTCCCTGTAGTGGCTGTCAAATAATTCATATTTAAAATTATTTTTGCTTTCTCCCATTTTGAAGATGGAGTTTTATGTTATAATTGTTGATATTACAACAGACATCTTACAAATGCTAAATCTAAATGCCAAATATATGATATTATTGTATTCAGGAGACCAAATCTATCAATACCACTTTGTGGTTAATTTATTTTTAAAAATAAACACTCTTACCTCAGCAATTTAATATGAGATTAATGATAATAAATTTTATAGGCCTTTAAAAATTAGTAGGCTCTGTGTAGAAAGTTACTTTTTTTTTTTTCTCTAGGCAGAAAATCTCAGTTTTTACTGTTTGGCTTACTTTTTTAAAAAACAAAAACTTACAGAGAAAAATTGCTGGAGTGGCTGAAGGAAAAATGGAGAAAGGGATAAAAGAAAGATGGAAGAAGAAATTGAGATCACAGTGAATAAATACATTGCTCAGGATAACTCAGGGGGTAGCAGAAGCCCTGGGATTCAGAACCAAGTCTGTATAATGCCTGAGCTTGTGTGCTGGCTTTCATGGAGTCAAAATGTAAAACTAGGGGACAGTAGGGCATTACTACTAATAAGTCGAATAATACCAACGCGTGGATAGAGAAAAAAAAATCAAGAGAATTCCAGGAAAAAGAAAAAAACACCACGGTTAGATGTTTTCTAGAATTTTCTATAATTATTGGAGAAGGTTTCTCTGGGGTATTTGGAGGAGTTCTTTCAGCCAGAAACAATAGCCACAACTTGTCCCAGCTGTGGGATGGGCTTGGCCTCTTTAAAGGACAGTTGAGACTCTCTTGACAAGAACCCAACACTGTAAAATAAAAGACCTGGCCGGGCGCGGTGGCTCACGCCTGTAATCCCAGCACTTTGAGAGGCCAAGGCGGGTGGATCATAAGGTCAGGAGTTCGAGGCCTGCCTGGCCAACATGGTGAAACCCTGTCTCTACTAAAGATAAAAAAAAAAAAAAATTACCTGGGAGTGGTGGTGCGCACCTGTCATCCCAGCTACTTGGGATGCTGAGGCAGGAGAATCGCTTGAACCTGGGAGGCAGAGGTTGCGGTGAGCCGAGATGGCACCATTGCACTCCATCCTGGGTGACAGGGTGAGACTGTGTCTCAATAAATAAATAAAAGACTTTTGGAAAGGTGGAGACTCTAGACTGCAGGAGATGTGGCCGCCCCGAAAACTGGCTGAACTTTGTTAAATACAACTCATGATTAGAGGAATGAATAGTGCTGTGTTTTAACTTTGTAAAATACAACTCATGATTAGAGGAATGAATAATGTCAACTCACATCTCTGTGACTAGATGCAGGCTTCTTAGGATATTTGTAACTTGAAGAAATCTGGAAGGACCTCATTCTCTAATTGCCCATTTTCCCAATTTGCTTTACAAATCCTTCTGTGGAAAGTCTTTTTGAAAATAGCATTTTTGCTCCCTCTTAGCCTCTGGGGTTCTGAACGCTTTGGCAGTGACCATTGAGAATCACCCTGCCTTCCATCAGTTACCTTGTATCACCTTATAAAAGTCATTTGGCCGTTGCAGTGGCTCACACCTGTAATCCCAGCACTTTGTGAGGCTGAGGCCAGCGGATTGCCTGAGTACAGAAGTTGAAGACCAGTCTGGGTAACATGGCGAAACCCTGTGTCTACAAAAAATACAAAAAATAGCTGGGCATGGTGGTGCACCTGTAGTCCCAGCTACTCCGGAAGCTGAGGTGGGAGGATTGCTTGTGTCCAGGAGGCAGAGGCTGCAGTGAGCCGAGATTGCGTTGTTGCACTCCAGCCTGGGCGACAGAGCCAGACCCTGTCTCTAAATAAATAAATAAATAAGTAGATAGATAAATGCCATTTGGATTTCTGAAAGCAAGGTTTGTCTTTTAAATGTCAGTTGGATTTCCGAATGTTGGATTCTTAAAGTTCTGAACATGTAAAGTATAGGCCACTGGATCTCAGAGCTTTTTATCCAGGTGCCCAGAGGCTGAGAAAATGCCCCATAGGTTCTATAAAGGACATGGATCCTGACTTCATACAGGTCAACAACTATGTTACTGTGTTTTTATCTGGTTTAGAGGATGGGAAACCCATCAGTGTTATTATGCCTTCATTCAATTATGGAAGAAATCGGTTGAATACCAGACTGCCCAATGAATGTAGTTTCTGTATATTTTCAGGCTTTTAGACTGATCTGAAGTTGTGCCTCTATGCACGAATGCTGCTTCTTCAAAAGGTGCCAGTGGCTGGGGGTCAACTTTGATGTGGCCTATAAAGTTCCTGGCCCAGCACTTAGGCCTGCCTTTCAGGACATAACCTCTCAGCTGGATTTAAGAAATAGCATCTCTTTCAGTGTGAGGCAGCGGCAGGAATGAAGTGTGTTCGTGTCCGTGTGCTGGCGCTTCGTATGTACATTTTTGTTGCGTCTTTAACTTAGAAAATCAGTAGACTTTATGAGTATCAGAGGATAAATGTACTGCAGAGGATGAGAAAATATTTAGCGTTTTTGTGGTCTCTCTTCAGCAGTGCCTCCCTCTTTCCTGGAAAAGGGCATTGGTGACCAGAGAAATTGTGATTCTGTTTGCATCCTAGGCCACCATGGAGTTGACTTATGTGTAGACTGGCCATAGCCCAGGGTCATCCCTCCCCTCTCTGTCTTGTTCTCAGTTGCTTGTCATCATTTCCATTCAAACACTTGAATATTCCAGATCTGGGATAGTGGGCAGATGGTTTCATGCTATTCAATATTCTAGTAAATATCTTTTCAATGGTTACCTGTAGTCAGTCACATTGTCAGAATTCTCACTTCAGCTATACGTGTGACAATCCCTTGGCTCACACTTAAATTTAACCCAGTGCTTGTAAACTGTGGAAATTAAAGGACCTAGTTGATACCAAATGTCCGTTATCTGGAGTAGCCTCTGTCGGTAGCTGGATGCCTTCATTTGATGTGAAAACAATTGTGTCATAGTTGAAAATAAAAGAATGTTTTTCAGCATGTGCTGTTGCTGTGTGCTGGATAAGACTTTTATAATTAAAAATTTCCCCTGAATGTCAATACATATATGGTATTCATTTTATAGTGGACTATGCTGTGTTACTTTAGAGAGGCTACTGCTGCAGAACCATCAGAAAATATCTGTTTCAGCCCCAATTGGACATGACTCTCGGGTATGCTGTTGTTTAATAATCATTACATTAGACGGTTCAATCTTTATCCAAAGATTGGACATTCTCATTGCATACATTTGAGGGTTAATAAAACCAAGCTCAGGCACTTCGGTATTCTTTTAAACTCTGAATGATGTCCCCTGTAGAATGTGAATGATTTCCAGCCCGTGTTTACCATGTCCTAAAACACGCATATTTATGGGTGCCTACAAGATGGCACAGAATGAATCAAAACCATAATCTCTTAAAAAATATGTACCACACTGCAGTTGTGCTTGTTGATAATTTAAAAAGCACGTTTACATGTGGTGCGCCTATTCTAGGTCTCCTTGATTTCCTTCTTCCCTTTGTACCACCACTCCATGGGCTGTAGCATCCTTTAAGTATGGAGGCCCTGCTCCATGTCATAGTAACCATCAACACACACTCCCATCCCCAATTAACTGTAGTTTGCAAAATTATATATGTGTTGCATTGTAGAGGCTCATTGGCATAAGTATTCCTGTAGACAAACACTTATTAAAATCTAGAGGTCTTCTTTTTTGTATTTTGGTGGCACTATTTTATTTTCTGAGATCTCAAACTTTTACACTTTCATGGCCCTTGTGAGCTCAGACCCCCTTATTCTGTGCCTGCAGAGCCCAACGCAGGAACCGTCCCTGTTGTTGGCCTTGCATTGATGGTGGGCCTGTCCTGTGTGGGGTGCAGTAAATGTGAGTCTTCCTGCAGCCTTCTTGCTTTCATCCAGAAGCAAATTTGGTCAAAACAAGAAGCCATCTGCTCCTCTCTTGGGGATGCCTGTAGCAGCAAGTCAGGATTTTTATCTCCTTGGATTGCAACATTCAGGGCCTTCTGCGTGGTAGATCCCTACTGAGCTTTGGGGCCAGCAAAAGTCTAGATGGGTATGATTAACTGGTGAGGAATTTCAGAAGCCAGATGCAGTTACTGTTCCAACCATGAGGCTTTTCCAGTCACATTGAGTCAATGCTAAGGCATTTTCCTGGCATACACTTTTTTTAACCCTTCCTAAAATCACAAAACCAAAGGGTTTTAACCCTTTGAGTTTGAGATCTCAGAAAATAAAATAGTGCCACCAAAATACAAAAAAGACCTCTAGATTTTAATGTGACCACAACCTTTTTACCTTTTTTAAACTTCAATTTAGACTCTATTTTTTTTCTATAAATGATTCTGTCTGTAGTAACGTTTATCTATCTTTGCATCTTCCGACTTTATTAATTTTTCTTCAACCCACAACTTGATCTAAGTCTTTTTCTTGACCATTTGTAAGGCTTCTCATTCTAATGTGTTTTAAGGATTTCCTTTTATTTTTACCTATTGCTGACACCCTTCTTGCTAGTGCTGTTTTGTCCACCTATACTGAGGTACACCATTGATTTTAATTTTTTT
The DNA here is from genome assembly GCF_000001405.40 of Homo sapiens. Lineage (NCBI taxonomy): Eukaryota > Metazoa > Chordata > Mammalia > Primates > Hominidae > Homo > Homo sapiens. Next base: position 17,249,946 of record NC_000005.10, read on the forward strand.
TTCTTCTTGTTTTTAAGACTGGAGTCTTGGTCTGTCCTCCAGGCTGGAGTGCAGTGGTGTGATCTCAGCTCACTGTAACCTCCGCCTCTTGGATTCAAGCAATTCTCGTGCCTCAGCCTCTAAGTAGCTGGGGTTACAGACATGTGCCACCACGCCCAGCTAATTTTTGTATGTTTTTTTTAGTAGAGATGAGATTTCACCATGTTGGCCAGTCTGGTCTCAAACTCCTGACCTCAAGTGATCCACCTGCCTTGGCCTCCCAAAGTGCTGGGATGATAGGCGTGAGCCACCGCGCCCGGCCCTGATTTTAATTTGGGGCATATTCCACTTGACTTTAAAAGGTCGCTTTGTTCTTTACAAAACTTTGCACTTCGTAAAAAGTGTGTTCTTTGATGAACTTGTCTATTCTTTTCTGAAATTTTCAGCATTGACTTTATGGTAACTATTAACAATCAGTCTAATTTTTTGTTACTATTTATTTTTTACAGCATCAATATATAATTTATGTGGAGAAGTCAATGAACAGACTTGGCATTTTTAAGTGATTCTATACTCCAAATACTGGTCATTGAGAAAAGTTTGTTTGAGAGATGATCATAGGGGAAGGGGTCGCATGAATATTGTATCGTCTAATGTATTGAAGTTTATTTTTATTTTTATTTTTATTTTAGTTTTTTGAGACGGAGTCTCGCTTTGTCGCCCAGGCTGGAGTGCAGTGGCCCGATCTCGGCTCACTGTAAGCTCCACCTCCCGGGTTCATGCCATTCTCCTGCCTCAGCCTCCCAAGTAGCTGGGACTACAGGTGCCCACCACCATGCCCGGCTAATTTGTTGTATTTTTAGTAGAGATGGGGTTTCACTGCGTTAGCCAGGATGGTCTCGATCTACTGACCTCGTGATCCGCCCGCCTCGGCCTCCCAAAGTGCTGGGATTACAGGCGTGAGCCACAGCGCCCGGCCAAAATATTTTAACCTGAATTTTTGGTGTTTGAAGAGTGGTTTTGAGCGATCTACACGCTGTTAGATTTAGATTTTGCTGCATAGAACAGAAAACCTAAAACTAAAATGGCTTACGTGAGAGAAAAGGTTAACTCTTCATATGTTAAATTCCAGAAATGGGTTCTAGGGCTGATCTGGTAGTTGAGGGGTGTGATCAAGTTTCCAGATTTCAGATATCCAAAATACCCTGATTTTATCATTACACATTGTATACAAATATCAAAATATCACATGTACCCCCAAAATATATAATGTGATTATATGTCAATACAAAACCATTAAATATCCCAAATACCCCGATTTTATCATTACACATTGTATACAAGTATCAAAATATCACATGTACCCCCAAAATACATAAAATGGTTATACATCAATACAAAAGCATTAAACATCCCAAATACCCTGATTTTATTATTACACATTGTATACAAGTATCAACATATCACATGTACCCCTAAAATATATAAAATGATTTTACATCAATACAAAACCATTAAATATATGTTAAAAAGATTTCAGACTCATCTCTCAGCTCTTCCTTCCACAGTGTTGGTTTCTGTGGAAGGGTCCAAACAGCGGCTGGAGCTCCAACTGTCTTTGTCTAGCAGCAGGAGGAGGTAGGGAAGAACAAAAGCTTTCTCAGAAGGCCATGCAGTATTTCAGCTCATATTTTGTTTTCTAGCACCTAGCAGTGGAGTTATGAACATATTTTAGTGGAACATATTTAGTGGAACATAAGCATTGGATGTGAGGGTAGCGGTGGTGGTGGTGAAAGTTGGTCCAGAAAGACTCCCACATTTCTGGCTGGGCGATGGGGTGGATGTGGTTCTAATCTCTTGGGAGGGAGCAGAGGAGAAAGAAGGTTCGGGTAGGTGAGAAAGGTAGTGATGAGCTCACTTGGGGAAATGTTGAGTTTGAAGGACATCCTGTTGGGTCAGTTGTAGACCACTATGTGCATGAGTCTGAAGCTCAAGAAATAATCTAGTGGGCGCTAGAGTGTAGACAAAGAATCCTCAGTATCCCAGAGGGCTTTCAAAACCCTTCAACTGGATGGGTCTCCCAGCAAGTGCACCAAGACTGAATTGGTGAGCGCCAAGGATGACAGCCCCTTGAACCTTTGGAGGAAGTCATGGACAGAGGGCAGAGGAGAGGAGCTTAGGTTGGGACTTGGAGATGAGAAAGCTAGGTCTAGGGAGAATTAAAGGGAAGCTGTGACTGGGGAGTAAGCTCATGATAAGAAACAGCTGTGTTTTCTTTAGCTTCATTTTTGCCATTCGGCTATTATTTTTTGGTATTATGGAAACATCGCAAACATGAACATTCTAACTTTAGAGGTGGGCAGGCAGGAGATAATCAGAAGGGCGCCACAAGACCATGTAATCTGCTCAAGAGGGAGCATTTAAGTCTTTATTGTCTTATTTAATTTTTATAAATCCCCTCTCATGTAAAGGTATTATTATCCCTATTTTGTACTTGTGTAAAAACAGGCTCAGAGGTTAGGTTACTTGCTGTGTGCCATGCAGCAGAAAGGGATGGAACTCTTGCTTGACACCCAAGCACGTTTTTTGGAGATGTTCTCTGTGGATGTTGTGCCTTGGCACCACACCTCCTGGGGAGTTTAACCTGTGTGTCCAGAGTTTTTGACCTGGTACGTGCTGTGTAGCAACCTGTCTCTTTGCTCTCAGGCAGAATACATAGAAGAAGGAATTAGAGTTAAGAAACAAAAAGACTATCTTGTTTCCCAATCTTAAAAAGTTCCCATGTGACATTGTTTTTCACTGATAATATTGTTGCAAACCAAAAAGTTCCTGATTAATCTTTGCAATATCCTTTAGACCTGAATCACACTCTCATCTGATCATAGGAACTGAGTCACTAGTGAAGTACCTTCATCTAAGACTCTGGGCAGGGGTCAGTCAAGTTTTTCTTAAAGGGCCAGATAATAATAAATACTTTAGACTTTCCCAGCCATGCAGTTTCTGTTGCAGCTCCTCAACTCTGCTCTTGAGTGTGAAAGCACTTGCTGATAATAGGTCAATGAATGGCCATGGCTGTGTTCCAATAAAACTTCAGGTAGCCCAGTATACTCACCTCTCCTCTAGAAGAAAAGACGAATTCTAGAATTTCTAGCTCATAATCTGGCAAGTAAAATCATCTGACAAAATCATAAAATAATCAATTGGTTTTTTTTTCATTATTTTCAAAGTTCAAAATATTTAGTTACTTTAAAAAGGACTTATCTCTGTAATGATTATTTATTTGTTTATTTGTATTTACTTTTTTAAGACAGGGTCTCACTCTGTCACTCAGGCTGGAGTGCAGTGGCGTGATAATGGCTCACTACAGCCTCACCCTACTGGGCTCAAGTAATTCTCCCACCTTAGCCTTCCCAGTAGCTGGGACTACAGGCGTACGCCACCATGCCCAGCTAATTCTTTGTATTTTTTGCAGAGATGGGGGTCTCACTATGTTTCCCAGGCTGGTCTGGAACCCCTGGACTGAAGTGATCCTCCTACCTTGGCCTCCCAAAGTGCTGGGATTACAGGCATGAGCTACCATGTCTGGCTTATAATGATCTTTTACAAGTGTAATGATGGTTTTAGGAGAACAGATGCACAGTATGACATTAGATTCCCCACTTTCTTCTCTATTTTGTTTCTTTCTGTGTAGTCTTGCTGGAATTCTGATTAATCATGGTCCTTCCCAATCTCTCAGAATGACCCATATCTTTCAGAACTATTGTCTTAATCATGAAGACCCTCAATTACCAAATTGAGAAGTTTATGTTGCTTTGACCACCATCTGTGTGCATCCCGATACCTGGGGTTACAGACTGGAATCTGTGATCAAGGGAGAGCGTGGATACTTGCTTTATTAACAAATTTACGTGTGTTTTACTCACCAGTGATGAGAAGACCACCGACACATTCAGGAGGCTTTATGGAACAGAGAAATCCTTCAACATTAATTACTGTATCTAGTGTTTTTTTTTGTTTTATGCAAAAGATGTACGTAGCTATTTTGGAAAAGCATTATAAGTAGAACTTGCATGTTGATAGCTTTAGGATGTGTTCAGATTACAAATCTCCATTTGTACTATACTTGAGTTTTTGGTAATTTGAACTAGACTAGATCTTTAAGGGAAAAAATATATATATATTTTTTCTCAGAGAACAAACCAGGAAAACTTTAGCATCTTGAAGGTAAATTAGTGTTGATTATGACAAGTGAGAATAATTAATTTGCAAATAGTCATAAGCAGATTATCTTTTTAGCAGTTAGTTCTCATTTATTTGTAATTGAAAAAACAAATATCTGCTAACATAATTGTAATTCATCTTTTGTGTTCATTTTTAAAGTGCCTGTTCCTTTCCAGACAAGCTGCACTCATGCATGGCAGTGTTACAAGGGTGGGCTTGTAGACTGAGTTTGGGAAGTGCTATGAATCTACTAGGATCACCTATCACAATCAAGATTCCATAATTCCAAGTAAAGGAAGATGCTTTTGCCTGACTTAGATGATGGTTCGGATTCTAGTGTAGTTTTTTTTGGAAATGCAGTTCTGTCACTTTCACAGCTATGTTACCAATGAAATAAGTCTGTGTGAATAAGTAAAGGGAGGTAAGTTGATAAAAGCATTCAGTTTGCAACGGATCTGCAGTGCATCATGGTGCTCAATACAGTTTTTGAATAATCACATTTATTTATCAGATTTTAATTGGAGAAGATTTGCAGATCCCACCTTTGAATCATTACAAAGTATGAATCCTGTCATCTAGAATACTGAAATTTAGTATGTACCATGCTTAGGACTGATCCGAAGACATTTTAGGTTTGAATAAGAAAAAAGAGGCAAAGAGGCCCAATATAAAAACAGAGAGAATAAATCTTAAAGCACCATCTATGTTGGATATCCTTATTGCAAGAGATCCCACATTGGACAGACGATTTCAGTTGACACCAAAGGAAGTAAGAATTTTCTGAGACTGACGGGTATCTTGGTAAATGTTCCCTCTTTGCAGGTGGTCGTAGATAATTTCAATTCACCCTCTGCTTTCTTCGAACTGACGAAGGTGTAGCTTTGATATTTTCCCCTCTTCATGTTACATGATCATTTATTCTAACTGGCAACATTTTATTTATTTATTTATTTGGACCCATTGTTCCAAACATGTAAAAGATTTGGACCTGCAAATCTTTCTATGTTAGTATTTATTGTATTAGTGTTTGAGATACCTGGAATTTTGGAGATGAAGTGACTCAATCCATTTATTTTCTAGAAGAAATCTTAGAGATGTGAGGGACAGGTGTAGATTCACAAGAGCTAGGACATGCTGTTCTAACAAAAATCCTCCTTCCCTTTGGTTCAATTTTTAATCTATTTTAGGTCCTTCCATTTCACATTAATGACATAGTAATCTACCCACTTAAAACTATAATAAGTTCACTAGGTTTTTTTTTCCCATTAAAACAGACTCATGAGTCATAGTTTACTATTACTTTCCAAGCTTTTATTCTGTATTTTCCTTAACATCTGAGAATCATGTGGAATCTGTGGTACCTGTGCTAATCTGAAGCCACTATGTATTTTGAAACCTCTTGCCCCACGTTGGATGCCTGGTGTCGATCAGGAAGTGTTGCAACGTGTAACACATCACTCACCACTCTTGACGGTGTTACAGGGTAGGAAGTTGTAGAGATGCAAGGCTGACTGTGGACGTAAATAATAGAACATTCAGAATCATCACTGAGGCAGAGTTTTGCCAGCTTGTATAAATCAGGTAAATTTGCTCATGTTAAATGCATCTCTTTCACTTCCACCTTCTGTTTCAAGTTGACAATGTTTGCATTTGACTCCTATTAAGACACTATGCCTTTCCTCAAACATATCTGTTGCAATTTCATGATTTCTTAAGACTAATGCTGTCACCAGTATATTTCATTTAGCAACGTCCTGCACACCAGAGTAGGTTTCTAGATAGGGAACTCAAGATACTCACATGAAGGAGGCATGGGCTGAGTGTGTAGGGTAGAAACTTGGTCTTTGAATCAGAAGGAATTTGCACCCAGCTGAGGGAATCTTGAGGTGTCCTCTTGTTGACATCTGAGGTTTCACATGCTCTTCATTTGTCTGGTATCTGCATGACTTGCCTGCACCCCACTTTTTTGCAGCTTCCACCTTGGCCCATATCTCAGAGCACAAACAATTTGAAGGACATTCCAAGGTGAATCCAGAAAACTACATTAGGAAAGATTTAGGAGCCTGCCTAGTTCTTTTCTACTCTAACTCTTGTGGAATAGATTGATTTTTCTGTTGTAGTTTATTTGTTAAAATTGTTTAAGGCCACACTGTCAGAATTTAGCTCACAGGCTAGCATCGGCTCTGCTACCTTTGACCCTTTTAAGAGTCATAGTTTTCCTATGATGTAGAATGGAAAGATCTATGGGCAGTCAGGGTCGACCTTTGGGTGCCCTGCTTCTAGTGCAGTGCCTGGATGTTTGTGTCATTTCTCAAATAAATAAGTGAATTTGAGTGCTCAATAGAATCTAGTTGTGTGTATACATTATTACTGCACGTTTGTGCAAAAACTAAAAATTATAGACATAAAGGATACAATTCTAGTCATTTATATTACAAATGAAATAACCAACCCTGGGAGGTTAACAGTGGCTTGTTTAATGTCAGCAGCTAGTTTAGTGGCTGTAACGAGACTGAATCCCAAGTTGAACAGAAATCGTTTAAAAATTCAAGTTTTAAAAATCAAGTACAATGAATGATATTGGCTGCTTTTCTAAGGAGAGTGATTCTCTAAGCCTATAGGAAAAAAATACTGGTGGCTGACTTGTGGCCTTAATTGCATGCTAAGGTTGAGGAAGGATCTCCAGTAATTCTTTGCTTTACTTTGTGTTTGAATATAGGATTTTATAGCTGTGGGTGGAAAAAAAAATATTTCTAGGGAAAAGGTTTCCTGATAATTTAACTGAACCCCAAACAAGTGAACTGGGTGAAACAGAATATGGCACATGGTCCTTTATCACAACCTTTCTACCTAACCTAAAGCCAGTAAGATGGAAATAGTTTGGAAAAGACACTATCTGCTGAGGTTGCTTTAAATAGAGTCTCTCCTGGGACTTAGAACACATTTTGAGGCTCATTCTCCCTTTTGATAGTTTCTTGGAGACATTTTTCTGTATATACTGGATGCAGGCATTTGTATTCCTGGATGGCATTCATCTTTTACCAGTGTGAGGAGGCTGTTTTTATCATTGTGAGATTTATTAACATTTACTTGCTCTTAGAATCTACAGATTATATAACAGATATTGCAGGCTATAACCTAGAATTTAAATATTAAAAAGAGTGATTAAAAAACAAAACAAAAAGAGTGATTCTTTTTGTTATAATTGAATCAATTCCTATTGTTTACCTGTGTTGAATACAGTAATTGGTCCCACCGATCTTTTACTTAATCTTGAAATTCAGAGTTATTCTCTATTCTACATGAATGGAGCTGGGAAATGGTTTTAGGTAAATGAAGGTAAAATGTACTGAATACCTACTGTGTGTAGTGAGCTGAACTATATCCTTTACTGCAAATATTCCATTTAATGCTAACAACCACCTCCCCTTCTATTTTCTTCTGTAGGCAAAGGTTGAGTTCACTGAGGCTGACTCCCTGCCCCAGGTCACATAGCTGAACGTGGTCTCTCATCCCCTTGCCTATGTGCTTTTTTTCACAGAGTATATTGGATTGAGATCCAAAACTTATTGGCAAGCCATCAAAGTTCCGCTTGAACTAAAAGAGGAAAACCTGTTTTCTGAAATGTGAACTTTAATTACATAAAATGGAGGCTTCTGAAAACAGTATTGTCTCACAGGGCAGGCTATAAACCTTGAACAATGGAAGCTTCATGTTGTGTAAGAAAGGAGCTTACAGAGCCAAACAGCACCGTTCCTGTGTTTCCCCTGCCAGTGACAGGAGCATCTGGGGTAGCAAGGGGACTGCCCAGGGCCTGGTGTTATCATCAGGGGTTCTTGAAATTGCTCACACTGCTCTTGCTTTTCCATACAGGCTGCTTATATCTTGCCTCCTCTGGCTAAACTGTGGTACTAACAAGACGGCAGTTGGCTGCTGGGGAAATTCTGATAGGGAGAGTAGGTCTGGGTCATTCTAATTTATTTGTGGCTCTGGTAGCAAAGAGAACTCAAAGGCAGTATATCTCTATAGCTGATGAGATTTCACTGGGGCCGACACCACCTGTTCTGTGCACACTCACTTCTCGGTTAGACCTGGCTAGGTTTTCTGCTGTGCTTGTTTTTAGCTTTGTAACCAGCAGTAATCACATTGGTCTTTGGGATTTTCATGTTTCAGGTTTTACAGATGATGCAAAAGCATTAGTTTTCAAAGTCACTGCAAATGCTATGTATATGTATTTCTCAACATGCAGCCCCTGCACTACTTGTTTTGGTGTTACCTGGTCAACTTGGTAGAAAATAGATTCTTGGGACTCATGCTGAGCCCACTAATTAATTATCTTGGGAAAGAGATAACACTCCCCCCACCTATATTTTTAACAAGCTTCTCAGATGATTCCTGTTTACATAAATTTCACTCCCAATATTAGACACGTTATACAGAAACATTGGCAAATAAGAGGTTGAAGTGACTTTGTTCTGAGTCACATCATGAGTAAGGGGCAGTTGGTATTGAATTCTAGTTTGTGTTTCATCCCCAAGTCTGGGGATGAAATGCATCGTCTCTGGAATTCCATGGCTGGGGACAAATACCCTCTGTTATGTTTTTAAATGTCACAGCCCTCTGGGATTCACACCTTGGGTGTTGCCTTGTGGCTCAGTGCCTGGTTTTTTAGGTAGCTAAAGGGCTCAAATTTGAAGAAGGCAAAAGTGTGGAGCAGAAAGTGAGCATGGACAATTTGGGGTGAAGCATTTGCTTGAGAAATCTGGGGAGATACATTTGAATTTATAAGGAGGGACCAGATGACAAATGTCATTGAAAGTCACACTATGCTGTTTGAACTCAACATGGCAGTAGAATCTGGAAATGGCACACTGCATATGTATTAGTCCATTTTCATGCTGCTGATAAAGATAAACCCGAGACTGGGCAATTTACAAAAGAAAGAGGTTTATTGGACTTATAGTTCCACATGGCTAGGGAGGCCTCACAATCATGGGGGAAGGTGAAAGGCAAGGATGAGCAAGTCATGTCTTACATGGATGGTGGCAGGCAAAAAGAGAACTTGTGCAGGGAAACTCCTGTTTTTAAAACCATCAACTCTCGTGAGACTCATTCACCACCACAAAAACAGTGCAGGAAAGACCTGCCCCCATAATTTAATCACCTCCCACGGGGTTCCTCCCAGTACACACGGGAATTGTGGGAGTTACAATTCAAGATGAGATTTGGGTGGGGACACAGCCAAACCATATCAGCATAGTATTCATCTTTGGATTGAATACATTCTTTTATTAATTTGGCAAACATTTACCAAACCCCTGTTAGTGCTGAACATGACAAAGGAAAAAGCAAATTCTTTGTTTAGTATGTCAAGGACATACATAAAGGATTTTAGATGGTTTTCACTGAAAATCATTAAAATATGAAATAGCATTAGGACTGAAAATACTACATTTGCTGTTGGTGCCAAAAAAAATTGATACATGAAAATGTCAATATGTAAGAATTTTAGGTGGTCGTGAAAAGTGTGAACCAGCCCTTTATTTTTGGAGACAGGAACTACTGGAAATAAATTGCAGTTATTTCTGGAGTAGGCAGGCTTCCCCTCTTCTCCCTAATCACCAGCCTGTCTTTGTCAGGTGGCCACATTGATCGAGCCTGTCATGGCTCCAAGCCCATCATGGTCTGTCTAGTCCATTAAGAAGCAGCAGAAATATCTCAGCTGCTCTAAGTGTTTTCCTTGTGCCTTATTTTGAGCTCTGTTTGGAGAATTCTAAATTAGTTGTGGTGATATGATCTATTAGTTTCCTGGTCTATGGAAGAGAGAAATGGTACAGAAATGATCTCTGCAGTTTGCATTTCCTGAGCGGGTTGTGGTTCACTTACTCCCTTTATTGACCAAAAGAGCAGGTGATTCATGTAAAATCATATGTTAGGCTGCAATAACTGGGGCTTTTGAAAGGACCACCCGTTAAGTGCAAATAAATAACAATGTGAACACACAGCAGACTCTAAAAAGCATATTAGACTATTGACGAGAATGAATAATGCATGTTTCCTGATAGTGTTTGCTACATGTGGCAGGATGTATTAAAAAAGAAGAAAAAACCTTCTGCATTAGTGTCTATACAGTCAACCTTTACATTCAAGGAGAAGCTTAACTATTATCTGCCACCTTTATAGAAGCATTATCAAGTCAGGGTTTTATGGTTAAATCTTGTAGAATCAATTGGGAGATTCACCTTTAAAAATTGGTCTCTACAATATGCACATAGTAACAAAAGAAAAAAAAATCTTGACAATATCATTGTAGTGATTTCTGCATTCTGGTCTTTAATTATGTGCTGAGTCCCGGTGGCAGAGAGTTTGTGATCATGGATGGCGCCTGGAACTTGACCGCATTTCATTTAATGCAACGGAAATTTCAGTTACAATTTAGTTTATTGATTTTTTTCTACTGCTGGTGAAAGGTAAGTTACATAACCCAACTTCTAGTCAGGGACTCTTCCATCTTACAGTTCATAATTTGCAAATTAGATGTTCCCGTCTGTAGTGAGTCTGTGATGTTTATCTAGTACCCATTGTGCACGAACAACCACAAAGCAAAATCTTTGTTCTGAAGCCTCAGATTGATGTTGAATAAATATTGAAGAAACGCCCTAGGTCAAGATTCAAGTGAAGTCAGGCAAGCCTATTTTACTGCTAAAACTTTGAACGCAATCCAACAATATAAAAGGGTTAAGCAGGCCTGGCCTGGTGGTGGCTAACACCTGTAATCCCAGCACTTTGGGAGACCAGGGTGGGAGGATTGATTGCTTGAGCTCAGGAGTTAAAGACTAGCCTGGGAAATATAGTGAGACTCCCATCTCTAAAAATTTTTTAAAAATCTATTTTATAAATAAAATGTAAAAGGCTTAGGCAATGATGATTTAGATAAATGACCAAAGATGGATGGTTTATCTAAAGACCAAGACCAGATTGCACAGTAAGGACACAATAAGAAGTTCTTAAGAATTAAGGTTCGTTTTTTTACATTTATGTAGGGAATACACATGTGGATGCTGACTGTGCATTTCCTTATCTCAGAAGCTCCTAAAACCATTTATAATGTAGCAAGCCTGTTTGCTTTACTTTTGCATACCGGTTGTTTCACACAATAAGACCTCTCCAGGTTTAGTGGTCACTGTGGCAGTTCTTCAGCATTTTAGTTGTTGAAATGTCTGTCCCTTTCCCAGTACTTAAGAAATCCTAAGTGTTGTAATACGAGAGTACTATGAAGGTAAATGACTGCAGAATGAAATACTGTAAGGTAAAGGACTATTTCAAAGAGACATGATCTAACGTTTACTATGTGGAGATCTTGTGGAGCCATTACTCTGGAATAATTCAGATTTAACCATATTCATGTAAAAGAGAGCATGTTGAGTTGGAATAACCATCAGATTTGGAATTTATCTCATTGGCTTCTCTCCCCCCCACCGTCTGCATAACAAAGTGTTCCACTTCAGCAAACATCTGGACTTAACTTTCTGAATCTCCCAGAACTTTGCGCTGTCAAGATTCCTCCCTCAACTTTCCACTTTAGTTTTGATTTTTATCCTTTGTCTCATCCTATCTTCCCATAGATATTTTCAGTTCTTGCAAATCCTTGTAAACAAATAAAAGTCTTGCCAAAATTGCACGTTTCTGCCGTTACCAACACTCTCTGGTATTGACCATTGTGGCTTTCTCTTCTGGCGCCTCATGTGCTCTGTGAGCCCTTTCAAAGAGGCAGGTGTCTTCACTCCTTTATCGAAGTGACTCTAGGGTCCGTTGTTGACAGCCCATCACCGGATCAATTTGCGCCATCTCTTCTTATCTTTTGTAACCTTTTTGTAGCAGCATATGCCTCCTCCAAGCTGCTTTGTAAAATTTTCTCTTTTGATTTTTTGAGACATCATCTTTTCCTTTCTAACTCCTACAAGAGCTGTTTTTCTGCTTTCTGTCATCTAAGTAATTTTCCCTATTAGGCAACCTTTATAGATTTAGAGTCCATCTTTTCTCACTCCAAGTATCTGAGAGTCCTCTCCTTCCTCTTAAATATCAATAGGGTTTTCTAATAATCTCAACTGGACATTTCCTCTTTGTTCCCTTTGACATAAACACTTTGCATTTACCCATCCTCATCTGTAGAAAGCTTATTTGTTCTTCAGGGCAACTTATCATGATGGCTAAGAAACCTTAACGTTAACCTGGTTGAGTGAGCCAGAGTGCCTGCATTCACCTCACACCTCCACAAATAACTGGTTGGTTGATCTTGGGCAAGTTATTTATCTCCTATGTGTCTTTGTTTCCTCATGCTAAAGTGGGGATAGTAATAATTCCTCCCTCGTAGAACTGATGAGATAGCTAATGAGTTGATATGTGTAAAGATAAGTATCAAAACAGTCTTATGCTGAGTGTATATGAATAAGTATTTTTTATATTTCTACTGTCTCAGACTCTACCTTCTCTATAAATCTTTCTGATCCTGATCTCAACTAATCGTCATCTCTTCTGGTGAAACTATTGCTTTTCCTTCTCTTGATAACGTTTGACTTACTCTCATTTATATTTTAATTGTCTTCATATGTCTTCTCCCTCTTGCTAGACTAGGCTCTTCACTCACTTATGTTCCCTGTCACGTCTTACACCTAAAGATATTTCCTCACTAAGATCAAATCTTCTTTTTTTTTTTTTTGAGAAGGAGTCTTGCTCTGGCGCCCAGGCTGGAGTGCAGTGGCACGATCTCGGCTCACTGCAAGCTCCGCCTCCCTGGTTCATGCCATTCTCCTGCCTCAGCCTCCCGAGTAACTGAGACTACAGGCACCCGCCACCACGCCCGGCTAATTTTTTATATTTTTTAGTAGAGATGGGGTTTCACCGTATTAGCCAGGATGGTCTCGATCTCCTGACCTCATGATCCGCCCGCCTTGGCCTCTCAAAGTGCTGGGATTACAGGCGTGAGCCACTGCACCCAGCCCTAATCAAATCTATTTTTCTAGACTAATTCTGAACATCAGAAGTTCTTGAGATCACTCTGGATGTTGACTTTTACAAATTATATTGTGACAGAGTCTCATTGTGTATCTTTATGGGGTACAAAGTAGTATTACATTTTTTTTTTAACATTTCTTTTCTTTCCTTTTCTAATAGAGACAGGGTCTCACTATTTTGCCCAGGCTGGTCTCAAACTCCTGGGCTCAAGTGATCCTCTTGCTTCGGCCTCCCAAAGTCCTGGGATTACAGGCATGAGCCACTGCACCCCAGCTGGTATTACAATTTTTGAATAAAATGTGGTAAGATAAAATTAAGGTAATGAACATTGCTCACCTCAGATATTTATGCATTTTGGATTTTTGATGAGAGATCCCCAAAGACCCTGTGCCAGTGCATCTGTAGGACTAGACTGGGCTTCATGAAGAATAATGGAGGCGTTTCTTGTGATTAATCTTCTTTTGTATTAGGGACTTTCTGACTTTGTAGATCCAACTCATCTGGATCACCTCTTTGGGAAAATTTGGTTGTAGAAATGTGAGTGTGTGCTAATCTGTGTATGTGTACTTTGTTCCCTCAAGTTTGTTGCATATCTTTATCATACTTTTTTACAGTGAGGAACATTTTTATTGTGACAAGGTAATAAATTGTCTCGAATGTTTTCTCTAAATTTTTACTCATGATATTTCAAAGGTTTACCTAGAAACTTAGACATGGGTTGGCACCTCTTAGGACAGTTTCCTCTCCCCAGAGGACATCTGCATCCTCTAAATGATGGGGATGTTATTAGAATTGCTAAATATGAGCCTTGGCTGAATCAGACACCGACAACAATAATTTCAACAATGGAAATTGCCACCAGGCACTGAAGACTTGACAAGTCACTGCGACAGAGCACATACTGGTTGGAATACTAAAAATACACATGGGCTGCATTACCTTTATTTCATTTTCCTCTTTTAGAATAAAAATTTTGACCTTTAAAAGAAAAGGGCCAGTCACTTGTTGAAAATAGAAATTGCTGGACATAAATATTTTAGATTTCTTTCTTCTGACAGTATTGAAAATACTTTGTATGTGTTGTGCTTTTTTATTGTTTGTAAATTCTTTTCTTTATATAAAAAAGAATTTTTTCCCTCTTATTCCAACATTTGCTTCAGGTAGGTTTGACCAATATCTTGGATTCTTTCCACTTGTGTAATTATAAACCCAACTTGTTGGTGATGGATTTGCTTGTAGATGCAACTCAGTTGTAACTTTGTGTTACTTAAAAAAAATTGTTAGTGGATTGGCTGGTGTATAATTCTTGTTAACCTTTGCAGCTCTGAATTAGTAGATGATAGTTGCTTGTCCAAGGGTACACAGTTAATGTGCTGCAGCCACACATTGAACTTTGTCTTGAAACTTTGATTCATTCCCTGCATCTTTGTAAGCAGATATATTTTTTTCTGATTATAAGATGGAAACAGAATGAAAAGGAGATGACTTCTTGTCTTGATTGCAATGATGAAGCTGCAATCAAACCAGAAATAACACTCCAGTCTCTGACACACATTGTTGCATATTTATGTTGGGTTTTGCTATAGACTTGGAGCCATCTTCTCCATTGTCATCTGTCTGATCTCATCCTTAATAACTTTATTCTGCTGGTTCTAGATGAAATGGTTAATAAATCCAAATTTGCATTTTCAAAGTAGAAACTTTATAGTGGATAGGGCCTTTGTATGATTCAAACTGCCCTATATAGGAAGTGCTTAGATATTATAATAATGCAGGGAAAGAAGATATAAATAGGAATGGCATGTAAAGTAGTGAACATAGTAACTTTCAAATCATATGGAGAAATTTGATATCATTTTCTTATTTTATATGGCAGTTAATGTATGCCAGTGATTCTTATTACATTACAGAACCATGGTATTGTTAATTGACAGAGCAACGTAAATGTAAAAATGTGTTAATGAAAAATCTAATTGGAGATATCATGGAGCACATGTGGTAATTATGGGAAGGACCCAGTGCATGTAACCCCCTTGGCTTGTGGGTGGATAACTCCTGGAAATTGTGCATTGTGCAAGGTTGCATTTTCTGAAGAAGGGCAATGGTATATTGGGGGGCTTGCCATTTTTCATCCAAAAACCATATCATGCGAAGACTTGAATAACATTAAATAATGGATGTAACCAACAAAGTGCTACTGAAATGAAGGTTCAACAGTCCACAAATGGTGAGCCTCTGCATATCAAACCTTCTAAAATTAAGTGTATAGGCTGAGATAAACATTAGCATTTCATTACCCATAATTTTGCTTGCCGCCAAAAATGCAGAAGGGCTCTTGAGAGCTATTTGGATGACCCTGGTCTCTGGAGGGCATCTTTTAGAAACCTGATGGCATGTCATCACTTAGACCTGCCACAAAGCACTGAAATCCTCTTAATGGTGGTAATGATAACACTATTGTTTTTCCTACTTGATACTCCTTTTGAGCCAACATTTCTCCCTTTCTTGCTCTCCTATATCCAAACAACCTGTTTAGTAAGTGTTTTATTTAAAGGACTAAAGAAAGGAAGTAATAAATGATAGTTCTCAGAAACCTCACATTTCATTGCAAAGCTATTAGAACAACTTCCAGCTCAAATGTTAATTAGATACCGTTCTGATATATAGGGTTGTGTCTTTAAATACTGCAGGAGTCTTGACCCAAACCCAAAGAATGCATAGGCAGCAGGGCTGACCCATGCGTTTTCACTTGGTACCAGCAAAGGGATTTGAGAACCCTTAGTCACTGCAAGGGGCAGAAGTGTCTTCTATTAAGGACATAATAAGTCCTGCTGAAGAACAGGTCAGCTCAGTAACTCCAGTCGCCACAGCAGTTGTTGGTCAAATTGGGTTCCTCTGGTAGCACCACAGAGCAAGGGACACTAACCCGTTGGGCTTCCCGATTCATTGCTGTCACTTTGGGGCAGAATGGAGGTATGATTTAAATCCTACAGTGCGGGATATTTTCACCCTGGTGTGTCTCTGACAGTGTCCTGCTATAGAAGTTTAAGGAACAGTATATGTGGCTTCAATTTCCATAAGTTAAAAATGCAGGAAAAAGATTATGTCTGGAGGAGTAGATTTTCAGAAAAAGCGGTTTTAAGGATGATGAAAAGAGAATTTATTCAAAATGAGAGGCATTTTTTCTGTTCCTTCGCCACCTCTCCCTCCCTTGCTTGCTCTGTTCTGTCTCCCTCCCTCCTTATTTCATTCTCACTCTTGCTCTTGTTCATCTAAGAGTAATGAATCTTTGCCTTATTGTGTTTGAATTCACCATGGCCTCCTTGTTGATATTCCTAAAGTTGGCATTAAAAGCTATATCTGGGGTGGGGCATGGTGGCTCACGCCTGTAATCCCAGCACTTTAGGTGTCTGAGGCAAGCGAATCACCTGAGGTCAGGAGTTTGAGACTAGCTTGGCCAACATGGTGAAACCCCGTCTCTACTAAAATACTAAAAATACAAAAATTAGCCAGGTGTGGTGGTGCACAGGTAATCCCAGCTACTCAGGAGGCTGAGGCACGAGAATCACTTGAACCGAGAGGCGCAAGTTGCAGTGAGCCGAGATCGCGCCACTGCGCTCCAGCCTGAGCGACAGAGCAGCAAGATCCTGTCTCAAAAAAAAAAAAAAAAAAAAAAAAATCTGACCTGGAACTCTTTCTCAATGTAGGAACTCCAAACATAATCTTTCAAAATGTTGCCTGTGGATAGCTCTGTAAAAATGGTGATACACCCTGGTTTCGTTTTGTTAAGTGGTTGTATTGCGCTGGAAATTTGGGGCTGAGAACTTTTCCCACTTTATTTTTCTCAACGTTTCTACATAACACTAAACTGAATATCACATTAGTTTTCGAGAATTGTGATTAGCCCTTGTGAGATTGATTTAAACTATATTTGAAAGGATAATTTAAAGTATCTGTAGGCTGATACTACTTAGCATCGCATAAAAGGAAAAGATGGTTTGATTGTTTTTAGGAAGCACGCTTGCTCAAAGAGATTGGGTCTTGCAAGGCAGGACCACCAGTGATTGGTAGATGACCCATCAAAAGTAGGTAAAGGGGAAACAACCGAGTGTCTTCCACAGCCAGGGCACTGTGAGCTAGTTCTGCGTGAGTGAAGCTGATGAAACCTGACTTTTCTGACAGTTATGACGCTATTTGAGATGTCTTCAGTGAGCCATTCCATCCTGACTCATTCCTTACAGAGTTTACACATTATTCTGAGAAGATTTTCTAAATATAATTGAAAATGTTAAAAAACATTCTGTGCTTTAATAAATATTTGGATGTCATTTTACAATTTTTGTTTGTATTTTTTTTTGCTTTTTTTTTTTGAGACGAAGTCTTGCTCTGTCACCAGGCCCCAGGCTGGAGTGCGGTGGCACGATCTCATCCCGCTGCAACCTCCGCCTCCCGGGTTCAAGCGATTTTCCTGCTTCAGCCTCCCAAATAGCTGGGACTATAGACGCACGCCACTGCACCTGGCTAATTTTTGTATTTTTAGTAGAGACGAGGTTTCACCATGTTGGCCACGCTTGTCTTGAACTCTCAACCTTGTGATCCTCCTGCCTCAGCTTCCCAAAGTGCTGGGATTACAGGCGTGAGCCACCGCTCCCAGCCCTTTTTTTTTTTTTTTTTTTTTTTTGCTTTTTAAAATTTTTTTTATTTCTAATTTTCAGCAAGCTTCACGTTGAAATGACGTATGAAGACATCCAATCATAGTAATAGCAGCTGGTTGTCAATTTAATCTTCAGGGTGTAAGATGATATATTTTTATGACAGTGATTAGTAGATGTATTGAACTCTGTTGATAATACCACTTGTTTCTTTATCTTGCATTGCATTTTATTTAGTGCCAGAAGCATTCATAAAATTATTTTTCCCCCTAGAAAGAGAATACACTTTAAGTATCGTTGTTTTACTGATTAGGAAATTTGAGATCCAGAGTGGGAGGTAACCACTGAGTCTCATAGCACTTTGTTGACAGTGGAGACCAACCCCTAGCACACCTATCGTTTTTAGCAAACTTCATACTGAGTGCTAGGTGGCTTGTTTTTGACACAAGTCAAACAAATAAAATATTTCATAATTTATTTTTTTCTTATACGGCATTTTGCTATCTACTCTTCCACCTTTATTTTCTCAAACTGAAAGACTGAATTTTAATACAGTAGGCTGTGCTAATGGAGTGGTGTAAGGTAAGAAAAAATGTAAGTGCGTATTAGGAAAGTTCTGGATGAGTTGGTCATGTCAGCAGCCAAATCATGGTTGTTTAGTGAAATTATTTGCTATTAAGTGTGTACAGAGGGGATCCTATTATAGTTTGTAAGAATTGTGGTTTTTTAGTGAAATTCTTAGCTATTAAAATAGCGTGTACAGAGGGGATCTGGACCCAGTGTGTCCTGTGGATTCTGTGTACAAAATAAACACAGCAGATGATCTGAAGGGATAAGGAATATCTTCTGTGTTCCCTGACAGGCTTCCTGGAGAAAAAGGAACAAGCAATTGGAAAACTCGGTAGAGGAGATTGTCTCTATTACAGAGTGTCTTCATTATAACATCAGATTTCAAATTATTTCTCACCTTTACTCTCCCAAAGAAATTTTCATATTAAATTTAAGCTCTCAATAGTAAGAAGGAGTTTACTGGTTTTTCTTTTTGGGGGGTTTGCTATTATAGCAATGCATAGGACCACATATTTTTCCTATAAATAGAAATTTCTGTAAAATAAGAAATACTTGTTAGCTCTAAGACTCAACAGAATTGTTTTAATTTGCTTTGGAGGAAGAATTAAAACCTATTTTTTAGGCCTATGTTCATTCTTTATTTTTATTTATTGATTTTTTAACCAGATCCTCTGAAGACACTAAAGTGTAGTTGTCTCTGAGGACAAAAACAAACGAACAAACAACAACAAAAAAACTTCACCTTACCTTGCTGACCTAGCTATGAAGTTGCTCTTTTATGGCCTTCCTAGGCATGAAGAAGTTAGAGAAACTTGTCTTTAAAAGTTTCATGAACGTTCATAAATGTACACGTTTATTTATTAGGGAACATGATTTGCTGCCAATAAACGAAAGAAAGATTTGTGTCAGGACTGAGTGTGTAGTCTAAGCTAACATCAGTTGTAGGAAGTGAGACTCAGAAGGTGATGGGTATGTATTCCACGGATGCAAACACTTTTTGAGTTTCCTGGCAGGTGTAGGCAAAAAAGGACCAGGCTGGTGTGATGAATAATCACTTCCAACCCTCCCTCTGACCTTTTCAGGCCTCCCTCTGATTTGCCTGCTTTCCAGCCCAGGTTGCTCTGATCAACTCACAGTGCTCGAATGGCACACTCTCTTCTCTCTTCACCGAAAAGCAGAACTTTATCACATTTCTTCCAGAATAGCTGTTTCTAGCCAGGTGGGATTAATTGGATGGAGGCTTGGTTTTATAAGGTGGAAGGGAATAAAACTAGTCACAAGATAGTTGTGGGGGATTTTAAAGATGTAAGTTAGTATCTCTATTAAGCTATTTGACATATGATAAACAAACAGTATTCTTCTGCAGGAAGTAGCAAAACAAAATGACATTTGACAATGTTAGCTTCTCTCATTAACATGGTGTGTTTAGCTTATTAGCCAAGATAAGCTGTAGACCAGGTTTTTACCCTTTACACGTGAAATTTGAGGCATTAAATGAGTAAAAGAATTGGGATTCCTTTTCCATCTTGGTGATCAAAACACTTTTCTCTTGTTTCCTTGGACCAAGTGATGAAGAGGTGGTGAGGGGACAGCAAAAAATGCAATTACATTTCTTCTCTTTATTTTTATTTTTTGAGACAAGAGTTTTGCTCTTGTTGCCCAGGGTGGAGTGCAATTGTGCGATCTCGGCTCACCGCAACCTCCACTTCCCAGGTTCAAGCGATTCTCCTGCCTCAGCCTCCTGAGTAGCTGGGATTACAGGCATGCACCACCACATCTGGCTAATTTTGTATTTTTAGTAGAGACGGGGTTTCTCCATGTTGGTCAGGCTGGTCTTCAACTCTTGACCTCAGATGATCTGCCCGCCTCGGCCTCCCAAAGTGCTAGGATTACAGGTGTGAGCCACCACACACAGCCCCCTCTTCTCTTTCTCTGATCACTCCAATACTCGTTCTAATTGGGAGGAATGGATTTAACTAATCTTTGGTTTTTATCTCTGTGTAGAAACTGATTTCTTGGCAGAATGGACTGTTAATATATTTAAAAAGACTGAAAACCTCTTAGAATCTTAAGTAGTAAAATATTCAGAGCGAAGAAGTAGAGATTTTACCTTTACAATATGGTGACAACAGATAACTGTAAAAACTTCTTTTTCAAATAGAACCAGCAGGAGCATGCATGGAACACATATACCAAACATCTTTCTGATAACATTAAACATTTTTAAAAGATGTTAAATGTTCTTTTCATTGTGGTGCTTCAGATTCCTGATTCTAGAACTTGTGTGTGTGGAACCTGTGTGCTAACTATTCTGTTGGAATTTACCAGCAAAGAATTATCTAAGAATTTTCAAACTAAATGATGGGGGAAGGAACTAACATTTTTGCAGTCCCTGGAAATGTAAAATGTTGTACTCACATGGCCTCACATTAAATTCCCATTAAATTGACATTTAAAAAAATTTTTTTATTTTAAAGGAAACGGAAGGACGATGAGATTAAATAACTTGCCCAAGGATTCTGGGTGGGTGTGCTGTGGAGGTGGGATTTTTATACTCTGCCATGACCCAATGTGCAAAGTCTCCTTGAAATTCAATTCTTGTCCAATATTTACCAGATTAAACTCAGTGAAATTCCTCTCTCTACTACTGTTTATGGTTATTTTCTATGCCAATATTAATCGGTAAGCCTGTCATTTTCGCCCTTGTGGCATCGAGTTTTCTTTGAAGGACAGCTTTTTTGTTTGCTTTTTGTTTTTTGTTTTGCTTTGTTTTGTTTTGAGGCAGGGTCTCACTCTGCCCAGGCCATAGTGCAGTGGCTGATCTCGGCTCACTGCAACCTCTGCCTCCCAGGCTCAAGCCTCCCCAGTAGCTGGGATGATAGGTGTGCACCACCACGCCTGGCTAATTTTTGTAATTTTTGTAGAGACGGGGTTTTGCCATGTTGGCCAGGTTGATCTTGAACTCCTGACCTCAAGTGATCCACCCACCTCGGCCTCCCAAAGTGCTGGGATTACAGGTGTGAGCCACCACACCCGGTCTTTAAAGGACAGCTCCAGAATTAGCTTTTTTCTGAGATGTCATAACAGAGGTCAGTTTTAGTGTTTGGTTAATACATAAACACATAGAACTGAGGTCAGTGCCTTCAGCATTGGTCTGAATTTTGTTGCTGTGCTACAAAATTCTAGTGAATTTCCTAGTTGTGGAGAAATGCAAAGTCAGTCTCGGCCTTTTCAGTAGAGCTTTGGTTTAGTGACTTTTTTAGTTGAAGTGACTTTTCAGCATGGATTGTCTATTGCTGTATTTTTTTAACTGCTTTATTTTAATCTTAGAAGTTCCAACTTCTAACTTTCTATACCAAATGATGTCTTTCAAAATTAGAAGTAACAGAAATGAATGAAATCGGCTGGGCATGGTGGCTCACGCCTGTAATCCCAGCATTTCGGGAGGCCGAAGTGGGCAGATCACCTGAGGTCAGGAGTTCAAGACCAGCCTGGCCAACATGGTGAAACCTCATCTGTGCTAAAAATACTAAAATTAGCTGGGCATGGTGGCAGGCTCCTGTAATCTCAGCTACTCGGGAGGCTGGGCAGGAGAATTGCTTGAACCTGGGAGGCGGAGGTTGCAGTGAGCCGAGATTGTGCTGCTGCTGCACTCCAGCCTAGGTGACAGACTGAGACTGCATTTCAAGAAAAAAAAAAAAAAAAAGAAAGAAAAGAAAAAGAATGAAATCATTAAACTGTATGCTCATTGCTTTCTCTTGGTAAAAAGCTTCTCTGGCAAATAGGAAGATGAAATGTTGAGAGGCAGAGGATACTCAAAATACTGAATTTCTTCCTTATTCCCTCAACACCTGAGTTCTGAACTACCCCAGGTGGCACCATCCTTGTAACCCAGGCGCATAACATTCCTGGGCTGAGAGCTTTGCCCCATTGCCGGCTTCTCAGTGGAGTTCCTTCTATCCCCTCTGTGGTGCCTTCCTGCCTTACTGAATTTTGCTGGACTTGGCCTTTGCTCATAGTACAGCTCCACGAACTCAGCTAGTAGGATTTCCTTATGGGTAAAAGGAGAATGTGAATGGCATACTACCCCATGGTGCTGTTGAGATTACATATTTTATGTAATATATTTATGAGTAGGATTGTGCTTGATACCTAGGAAACAGTTAATAGATGTTGTAGGCAAGGTCTTCACGCATATGGTCTTGGGAAATAATGAGACAATCCTGCTTTTCGAGGGTTCAGGTGGGTCCTATGAGCGTCCCTCTGATACCTCAATATAACCAGTAGAGGTAAATTAGCAAAATGCCAGGGGCGTTTGTTAACTTTGTTTGAAAAACAAACTGGATTGAGACATATTTTCTTACTTATAACTTGATTACGTGTGTTCATTTTCGACCCAGAAACAAATCGCAGCTGGGCATAAAACAAAGAATAGAATGTGGCCTTAACTATGTGTCAGAAAAGCCAGTTTTAGTAACTCAGATTTTAGGTTTGTAACCCAACATGACTTTAAACCTCTGGGGATTGCTGTATAGAATTTCATGCTGTGGGTGTCAGAAAGCAGCACCCCATGTTATACTTACTGGACCCCCTATGTTTGCACTTTATCTTAGTGTCTGTAATTTCTAAGTTGGTGTATGGGTTTCTATTACTGGATTGAGAGAAGATCCTAAAGGCAGACCTGTTAGGTTTCCTGTTTCTTATTTAGCTCAACCTAAGGGACCCAATGTATTTTGAAATATCAGAGCTGAAATTATATTTGGTATAGGCCATTCGTGCATACTGACTAGTTAAGAATTCAATGGAAGAGTTATAAACTATAATTTAAAATATTGATCCGGTTTATTTCTTTATATTTTCATGTACTGCTCTGTGATTGCTTATAGGATGAAAGTATATTTAATTGTATTTTTTGCCATGTATGTTTGTTTCTACTTTTGAGGGAGAAATAATCAAAAATTAAATCCAATAGAGCCTGTCTGAAGCAGGTTATGACCAATTGCCACCCCCTTTTCTAAAAAAAAAGGACATGTAAGAGAATCTTAGGTAACATCATAAAGACCTTTCTTGAGAATATGAATAGTATTTTAGTCAAATTTCAGTTTATTGCTTTTCTCTTCCCCCAACTACTGAAGTCATTCCAGATTAGAAATTAGCATATAGAATGGTGAGAAAAATTTTGACTGAAGAATTCATTTTCTTCCACCAAAAACTCGACTTTTAATAAGATAAATATAGGTTATTTCACTGTCATGAATCTTGATTCCAAGGAAGTAATAAACAGCAAATCCTTCTTTTCTAAATAAGGGATGTATATATTTGCAAAGCTGGCAAAGGAGTGTGTACAGTTCTGCCAGTGGACCTGACCTGGGCAAAACCAGGTGGTTCCCCCCTGCTCTTTCTAACCTCCCTTGGGGTCCAGGGCAAGGCTGATGCTCTCTCCTGGGCTTTTCTCATTTATGGGACTAACGAGGATAGTATAATGTGATTTCTGCCACGCTTCATCCAGGAAAAGCAACCATTTTCTTTGCAAAAGCAACATTTCAGTGGATTTTCACTGATGTGTGGTGACAGAAAAATGGACTTGAAGGAAAAAAAATGCACCAAGAGTCTGTTTAGCTCTGGCCATGGTTCTGGATGAAATTTATTATTTATAAATTTATAATTTATTATTTATCTGGTTTAATGCTTGGTTTTCAGAGGAGAGAATTTCAAGATTCAAATACAAATGGAGTTTCTTGTGCCAGAATGAAAGCGGCAGCCTTAAGACAGTTGTTAATGACCATTGAACGTGCATGTATAGTTTGAATTCTAACCAGGAAATTGATAATGAACAACAATTTTATGTTACTATAGAACTACTTTTTTTAAGCTGAAAATACCTTGAAATGAATTTATGTCAGACACAGCCAGCAAGAGACACTGGCTTTTTCATAACTGCCCCTGCTTGGTAAGAAGATAGACTGAATCCTGTTTACCTTACGTGTTTGAAGATGTGTTTGCTGATATAACACACACACATATGTAGCAGAGAGAGTTTGTAGTTTGAGATTATTTTCTAGAAATCTGTGATTTGTGCTTTATTACAGCTGTGCAGTTTCTCCAGAAAGCATTTTAAAATTGCAACGCCTTTCTCTAGCTCTAACCTGGGTCTAAGATGGCTGCCCCTGCCATGCTGCACATGCCTGTTCCACGCTTGGTGTTTGCATCAGACATGGGATTGCAGATGAAAAACAGATAGCGCTCCTCCTCTCCAGGGTTGACAAACTTTGCCTCTAATCACTGATTCTTTGATCTCAGCTTATTATTCCCTCAACTGGCTATGATTAGAAGCTCCACAACTGAGCTCCTTAATTTCTTTTCGTGACACATTGTTTTAAAAACTCATTTAAAATTATTGCAGAACTCACTTAATTGAGCTCCTTAATGTTTTTGATTCTTTTTAAAATTTTTAACTTTTAATTGTGTAATAACAGTGTAATATAATAATTTAACTGATTACTTGGGCGTGGTGGGTACACCTGTGGGCCCAGCTGTGTGGGAGGCTGAGGCGGGAGGATCCCCTGAGCCCAGGAGGTGGAGGCTGCAGTGAGAAGAGATCTCACCACGGCATTCCAGCCTGGGTAACATAGCGAGACCCTGTCTCAAAAATAAATACATGAATAAATTGAATTTAACTGTGCCTAACTATAGTTTACCATGCCACCCCTTTGGGGTGTGCAGTGCAGCAGGCCCAGAACCCCTTGCTTTGCAAAATGCAGCTTTTTGTGGTCCCCACACTTGCCTAGTAACCGCCGTTTTGTTTTGTTTTGTGTTTGCTTCCAGAACTCCAAGATGGGAGGCAAGCTCAGCAAGAAGAAGAAGGGCTACAATGTGAACGACGAGAAAGCCAAGGAGAAAGACAAGAAGGCCGAGGGCGCGGCGACGGAAGAGGAGGGGACCCCGAAGGAGAGTGAGCCCCAGGCGGCCGCAGAGCCCGCCGAGGCCAAGGAGGGCAAGGAGAAGCCCGACCAGGACGCCGAGGGCAAGGCCGAGGAGAAGGAGGGCGAGAAGGACGCGGCGGCTGCCAAGGAGGAGGCCCCGAAGGCGGAGCCCGAGAAGACGGAGGGCGCGGCAGAGGCCAAGGCTGAGCCCCCGAAGGCGCCCGAGCAGGAGCAGGCGGCCCCCGGCCCCGCTGCGGGCGGCGAGGCCCCCAAAGCTGCTGAGGCCGCCGCGGCCCCGGCCGAGAGCGCGGCCCCTGCCGCCGGGGAGGAGCCCAGCAAGGAGGAAGGGGAACCCAAAAAGACTGAGGCGCCCGCAGCTCCTGCCGCCCAGGAGACCAAAAGTGACGGGGCCCCAGCTTCAGACTCAAAACCCGGCAGCTCGGAGGCTGCCCCCTCTTCCAAGGAGACCCCCGCAGCCACGGAAGCGCCTAGTTCCACACCCAAGGCCCAGGGCCCCGCAGCCTCTGCAGAAGAGCCCAAGCCGGTGGAGGCCCCGGCAGCTAATTCCGACCAAACCGTAACCGTGAAAGAGTGACAAGGACAGCCTATAGGAAAAACAATACCACTTAAAACAATCTCCTCTCTCTCTCTCTCTCTCTCTCTCTATCTCTCTCTCTATCTCCTCTCTCTCTCTCCTCTCCTATCTCTCCTCTCTCTCTCTCCTATACTAACTTGTTTCAAATTGGAAGTAATGATATGTATTGCCCAAGGAAAAATACAGGATGTTGTCCCATCAAGGGAGGGAGGGGGTGGGAGAATCCAAATAGTATTTTTGTGGGGAAATATCTAATATACCTTCAGTCAACTTTACCAAGAAGTCCTGGATTTCCAAGATCCGCGTCTGAAAGTGCAGTACATCGTTTGTACCTGAAACTGCCGCCACATGCACTCCTCCACCGCTGAGAGTTGAATAGCTTTTCTTCTGCAATGGGAGTTGGGAGTGATGCGTTTGATTCTGCCCACAGGGCCTGTGCCAAGGCAATCAGATCTTTATGAGAGCAGTATTTTCTGTGTTTTCTTTTTAATTTACAGCCTTTCTTATTTTGATATTTTTTTAATGTTGTGGATGAATGCCAGCTTTCAGACAGAGCCCACTTAGCTTGTCCACATGGATCTCAATGCCAATCCTCCATTCTTCCTCTCCAGATATTTTTGGGAGTGACAAACATTCTCTCATCCTACTTAGCCTACCTAGATTTCTCATGACGAGTTAATGCATGTCCGTGGTTGGGTGCACCTGTAGTTCTGTTTATTGGTCAGTGGAAATGAAAAAAAAAAAAAAAAAAAGTCTGCGTTCATTGCAGTTCCAGTTTCTCTTCCATTCTGTGTCACAGACACCAACACACCACTCATTGGAAAATGGAAAAAAAAAACAAAAAAAAAACAAAAAAATGTACAATGGATGCATTGAAATTATATGTAATTGTATAAATGGTGCAACAGTAATAAAGTTAAACAATTAAAAAGAAGTAATAAAGACTATTGGGTTTTTTGTTCTGTTTGTTTTACTTTTCTAGTCCCCTTCAATAACTACTTTATCAGAGAACAGAGCACTGTATTGGCCATTTTTCTGAATATATTTGGATAGAAGTAAAAAAATAGACCAGGGACGGTGGATCACGCCTGTAATCCCAGCACTTTTGGAGGCCGAGGCAGGTGGATGGCTTGAGCCCAAGAGTTGAGGACCAGCCTGAGTAAGATAGTGAGACCCCACCTCTATTTAAAAAAAAAAAAATGCCAACATTATTTGTTGAAAAAAATAGCTAGGGCAATGTCAGTAAACTATCTCAGAAGAAGTTAAACTGAAAACTTACTGCATCTATGCATATGCACCCTCTGAAAATGTAACTAATTAAGAAGAAGAAAGATTTTGAATAAAACACGTTAAAAGACAATAAATAGATTTGATCTTGAAGGCTGGGGAAAAAATGAATGACAGGATCTTATAGAAACCTGTGTTTGTAAATTGTGGCACCACTAATGGTTATTCTGTTCTATCCCATCCCCTATTTTTATTTTTATCATATTCATGGTAGAGCCAGGAAAGGCCACCTGAGAATTGTGCTATGAGACAGCAGTGATGCGGAAGCAAGCATGGAGCCGGCCTTTATGGTGACCGGATTTCGGTCCTGATTTTGCCACTAGTGACTTGGATGGGTTTTAAGTCACTTCCAACCTTCCCAGACCTTCCTTGCTTTACTTACAAAAGGGTGTAGCCTTTATGATCTCTGAGGCAAGGTCCCATTTAATGGTTTGGGTACATACCCGGTGACAATTTAATGTCACGATGCATAGGTATGCACAGACTGATGGGATGTCTCTTCCATGTCTTGATTCTCCAAAACTCACAGAGTAATGAATAACAATTTCATAGTTTAGAAAACTCCGACATAGGAAATGTCCTGTGGAATGTGTGAAGGCCAGTGTAATGGAATTGATTCTCAAAGGGACATTAATGACACAATGGATTCAGACGAACCTGGTTCCATTCTTACGGGTTACATTACACATGGTTAAATAAAAAAGGGAAAAAAATCTTTGAGTATTTTGGGAGTAGCCTATAGTCTGTCTCTTACCTCATTGGGAAAGAAAAAGTGGTGAAAGTGAGGATTATGTAAGTATTATACCCGTTGGGTTCAACTGGTATTTATGATCATTTTTTGGCACTTTGGGTTCTTGTTTCTATAGTGAGATAAATTTGAATTCTTAATGCTTGAAAGCACAGCATACAAGAAATCTGTAAACACAGTAACCACCAGGCAACTGTTTTACATAAGGAAAAAGAAGGGGAATGTCCAGGTAATTACCCGCGTGTCCTCGCATATACAAAATAGCTTGGGGGCCGGTGATGGTGATGGAGTGGTAAAAGATTCAGTGAACCATGGAGGACATTTATATAGTTACTGATTAAATGCCATGCATTTATTGCAGAAAAATATGCTTGGTGGAAGTAATATTTTATATATTCACTGTCTTCCCCACTTCCCCTTCTTCTAATAAAAAAAATGCTAAGCTTTTTGGTAATTAGAACAATCAAATCAGCCTCCCAGATTAGCATTTATTACTACAAATTGCCATTTTTTGAATAAATGAAACTGAGACATTTTTCTGAATTTATTTGGAGTTGCAGAGTAGGAGAATTAAAATCTGAGCTATATATATTTATTTTTCTTTTTTATAACTCCATTAGGTGTTGAAGCAACTAAAAAGTGTTAGAAATATAGTCACCAAAATGTTTAAATCAGAATTTTAACCTAGCCATGGTTCATGACATTGAATTTTACCATACTGAAGAAAAAAACTTGAGCTGTAGTTTGAAGTTGTATATGCAGCAGAAAATGTAGTACGTGTGGGAGTAATTGGCTCAGCCAGGAAGGGAACAATGTTGGGCCATGTTAATTTGGATTAACCTAGATTGTTCTTGCCTCATGAATGATTTAAAATGAAGAGAAGGGACTGCACAGCCTGTGCTGAACAGGCAAGTCAGAACCATCGGGGAACTTACCGCATATTTGCTTCACTAACTTAGGCATGTCCCTCTCCTCTATGAAGAATGAAGTGTTCCAGGGTCTAACGTTCATTTACTGGGTGCCTTTGTGCGTACTGCAAGGAGGAAACTATGAGGAATCCAGAGGAACTTGTACAGGGATGCCAGGCTTGTCCCTCCACTTTGAAGATTCTTTTCCGTAGCTGATGCCGCCTCTGCATGATGGGAATGGACTCTGGTCCCCAAGAGCTGGCATGTGCCATGCATCCCAGGATGGCCCTTCCTGGTCTCAACCCTGAGAGAAGGCCATCTTCAGTCTGTTCCTGGCAATATGGAGGCAGAGGTGGTACTGGCACTCCCGGAATGTCATTCCCCAGTCTTGGAGAATCTTCTTTCTCTCTGGAATCAAGACGTAGGTCTAGTGGACAGTAAGGACTTGGTTGTCAACTACTTGCGCTGACAAGACCTAGACATACTTTAGCTGGGTAACTTCTTTACCTAAGTTGGGTAAATCATTAGGTACCAGCATAGCCAAGAGTACTTACTGCATTGCTAACAGGAAGTTTGTTTTCGTAAAGCATCCTGGGACTTTAATTTTCCTTGAATGAAACATCATGGTATAACAAAACACAGTATCTTCACTGAAACAGGCACATACTAGTTAGTGTCCATGATCAGAGCTAACTATAGGACACCGATCTTAAGTGTTCTTTCATAGATAGGAGGCATATACATATCCAGCAAATTTCAGTCAGGTTTCATCTATGAAAAAAACTCATTTATGAAATTTCCTATTTTGGTGTTTTCCGGTTTCTTGTCTCAAGATTGATGGGATTAATCTCCATCCTTTTGATTTCTATTCTGCTATTTGGGAAGGTAACTGGAGTTATTTTGAGCTTTGTTTTAGCTAATTTGCATAATAATGAAAACTGGATGCTCAGGAGGTAATCTTAAAAATGTACCAAATGGCAGTACCACTAGTAGTTGTGAGATTAATCAGGTGAGCTTTTACATTTATCCTCATAAAAGGAGGCACAATTTGCTTGATTTGTAACTGACACTGATTTGGTTTACTAAGTAGTTAATATTTTAAATATTTAGCTCAGAGAGTGCTATTTGGCCAGAGTGTCATGTATTTTCTCAATGCTATCTCCTCACAGAAAAATTAAAAGGGCAATGTAGGGAGTTTTTCATGAAGCTATATTTCTTTGATTTTTTTATAAATGCTATCTCTTACCATGATTCTATATGCTTTCTACTGTTTCTTTTTGTTTGTTTGTTTTTAAATTTTTTTTTAGAGAGTCTCACTGTCACTCAGGCTAGAGTGAAGTGGTGCAATCATAGTTCACTGCAGCCTCAAACTCCTGGACTCAAGCGATCCTCTTGCTTTAGCATTCTGAGTGGCTAGGACTGCAAGCAAGCACCACCAGGCCCAGCTAATTTTTTTCTTTTTTTTTTTTTGTAGAAACTGGGGTCTCACTATGTTGTCCAGACTGGTCTCCAACTCCTGGGCTCAAGTGATCCTTCCCAAAGTGTTGTAATTACAGGCCTGAGCCACCATGCCCAGCCTCAATCTTTTTAAGGACAAAATTTATTAGTAGTATATAAAATCTCAAAGTCCAGGGAATCATGGATTTGGTACATTTCTCCAAGTTTCCTCAGTCTTCATTTTATTAAAAGCATTATTCATTCTGAAGCTATATGCTTCCATTCACATACATATTTAAGGAAATTCCTGAGGGAAATAACTTTGAAAAAGAACTACAATCATAAAAAAAAAAAAAATAGTGCAACTGTACACACTGAAATAAATAAACCAAGTAAAAATCTCATACCTATCTCCTTATCTCTTTTTATTATTTTTTAAATTTTTATTTATTTATTTAAGACGGAGTCTTAAACTCTTTCACCCAGGTTGGAGTGCAGTGGCAAAATCTGGGCACACTGCAACCTCCTCCCAGGCTCAAGTGATCCTCCAGTTACTCAGCCTCCTGAGTAACTGGGACTGCAGGTGCATGCCAACACTCCCGTTTAATTTTGTGTATAATATTTTTGGTAGAGACAGGTTTTTGCCATGTTGCTCAGGCTGGTCTGAAAGTTTTAAGCTCAGGTGCTCTGCCCACCTTGGCCTCCCAAAGTGTTGGGATTACAGGCATGAGTCACCATGCCTGGCCCTATCTTTTTATCTCATGTGCACTTGATTTCCATTTTTTCCTAAGGTCCATATGTCACATTTATTTTTCATTTTGTTGTCTTTGAAGGTAATTTTATATTTT
The DNA here is from genome assembly GCF_000001405.40 of Homo sapiens. Taxonomy (NCBI): domain Eukaryota; kingdom Metazoa; phylum Chordata; class Mammalia; order Primates; family Hominidae; genus Homo; species Homo sapiens. The sequence continues at coordinate 17,281,129 of NC_000005.10, forward strand.
CCCTGAGTTTCCCTCTGGGTCCGGGAAAATTTGTCATTAATACCATTCATTTATAATTTAATGGCTTTGTATAATGTACCCATTCCTTTTATTGCAACTCCTTGAGGTCAATGTGTTAAAATGTTAAATGGAAAAATGATGGGTTAATAACTACTTATTTAGAATCATCTAGAGAACACATGAACTTGCTTTGTTTTGTTTTGTTTTCATTTTTATTGCTTATATAGTCCAGGATTTAAGAGACTAAAATGGTCTCAATAAAAATGTTGTCTTGGGGAATTCTCATCTTAAATATAATTTTTACATATATTTCATGAATTCTGAATCAGAGTTTCAGATAATAAAAACAAAACATTGGTAGTCTTCAGGCTTCCCCGAATATCTGGGTATAGAAACTTATACCAAAGCTTAAAAATAAATATATTTTGGCCCAGACGCGGTGGCTCATGACTGTATCCCACGATTTTGGGAGGCCAAGGTGGGCAGATCACTTGAGGCCAGGAGTTCGAGACCAGCCTGGCCAATATGGCGAAACCCTGTCTCTACTAAAAATACAAAAATTACCTGGCCATGGTGGTGCACACATGTAATTCCAGCTACTGTGGAGGCTGAGGCAGGAGAATCACTTGAGATTCTTGGGGTGGAGGCTGCAGTGAGCTGAGATCGTGCCACTGCACTCCAGCCTGGGCAACGGGATGAGACTGTCTAAAAATAAAAATATACATATATACACACATACACACACACACACACACACATACACACATACACATATATAAATCATTTAGAGAGCACTTTATATATATGTATAGTTTGTAAAACTTACATATATATTTTGATAAAAAAAGAATGATCTTACAGACTGAGTTCCAAACACTAGAGGCTTATTATTGGTGATCTCACTGTCTTTTGGCTTTTTAAGCTATGAATTTATTAAAGTAGAAAATATGTTTGAATAGGCAACAAAGATTCTTGCCTTGTAATTGAATGAATTAATCTTTAATGTTGATTTGTTGTATTTAAAAGCCACACACCTGAAAGTCAGGCACATCACATAATTACTCAAAGAAAAACAGGCCCCTGTTTTACCTTGAGGAAGATTGGTTGACTTGTCACATGCTTTTGTTAACAAAAAAAGTGGGGAAAAAAAAATCCCCCCAGCCCTTCCTCTAAAAAGAAAGCAATCCTCTTAATGCAGGAGAAAGACTGCATTTCAGTACCTCAGAAACAAACCAGTTTTGAGTTTTGTCGTGAAAAGAGATGACACATGTAATTACAAGAGCCTTTTACACAGGTTGGGAGATTTGATTTGACAGTCGAACCCCATTAAAAGAAATGACTCTAAGGTCCTAAAGCAGCAGTGAACAATTTCCGTCCCACTCTGCCTCAGCACAGACATCTAAGAATAGACAAACTCTCAGCCGGAACCACCCACTGCGGGGCACCCAAGTCTGCCTAGTATGCAAATTCCCCAGAGGGTAGAGTTTTTCTTTTCTTTCTGTTTCTTTCTTTCTTTCTTTCAATTTTAAGAGCTGAAAATAATAGTTACCTTCTCTTTCAGGAGCTGAAATTGCCTTGACATTCAGAGCAAAACCTACCTTTACAAAATAAAACACACACACACACACACACTATAGTAGAAATGACAAAATCAAAATCAATTAAATAGAAGACAAGCCTAATTAGAATGAATCAGAAAGAGTTGCTTACATTTGGGCTGCTAATTAGAACTTCATAATAACTTTTTTGTCTTTTGTTTATTTCCTCCCTTCCTTATTCTCTTTCCTCTACATTTTGTCTTTCCCATCAAGTTCCCTACTTCCTCTTTTTTTGTTGTTGTTCAAGTACGTAACTTCCATTGTGATAGTTTCACTCTTTACCTACTTCCTTCCTTCCTTCTTTCCTTCCTTCCTTCCTTCTTTCCTTCCTTCCTCTCTCCCTCCCTCCCTTCCTTCCTTCCTTCCTTCCTTCCTTCCTTCCTTCCTTCCTTCCTTCCTTCCTTCCACTGACTGCACTCTGAGGCAAACACTTACATTGGGCCAGAGCTTGCTGGTTTTTCGGACTGCATAACCCTCATTCTTCATTTGTTCGGGAAGAACAAATATAATTTACTTGGAACTTTACTCATCTTACTCCTCCACTTCCCCCTGCCCCTCATTTATCTATAAGAATAATAAAGATTAAGAGAGACCATGTTCAGGAGTCAAGGTAATTTGAAATAGTCCTTGATGTACAGTGCTTATTAAAAGAGAATCTTGAAGATTCTACAACTAGAGCTCTGTTTCAGAAAACAAGGCATCAGTTCCTAAATGTCATACAAATTGACTACATAAGAATTTTCTTGGATGTCTAAATAAAGAGATCCCAGCCCCTAAGCTGTGATCCTGATTCAGTAGTTTTTTTTTTTTTTTGAGAGAGAGAGTCTTGCTCTGTTGCCCAGGCTGGAGTGCAGTGGTGCAATCTTGGCTCACTACAGCCTCCACCTCCTGGGTTCAAGCAATTCTCTGCTCAGCCTCCCAAGTAGCTGGGACTACAGGCGTGTGCCACCACATCTGGCTAATTTTTGTATTTTTAGTAGAGATGAGGTTTCACCATGTTGGTCAGGCTGGTCTCGAACTCCTGGCCTCAGGTGATCCACCTGCCTCGTCCTCCCAAAGTGCTGTTAGAGGCATGAGCCACTGTGCCTGGCCTGATTCAGTAGTTCTTAAGGAAGGTAGAGGGGCAGGGCAAGAGTTTCGTGAAGCTCCTCTTTGGGAATCTACTGGGATAGAGTGACTCACAAGATTTGAACAAAGAAGCTTGGACTAGAATGAGGGTTTGGTGGATCATTCTTTGATTTTAAGTTTACCTCATTAGAAAAAAAGATGGTAATAATAACAACAGAGTTGCTGTGAAGATTTTCAATAAGACCTGGAAGTGACTGCTTGTGATATACACTCAGTGAACCACAGCTATTCCAATGGAGGCTTCAGTTCAAAAAAAAAAAGCTGGGTTCATAAGCTCTGGCCTGTCTGTCTACTTCAATTGAGAAGGAATTTCTTAAGGTTTCCTTGGAAATAGAGTCACAACGACCACAGAATTGAGATCTGAATTGTCCTACAGAGAACAACCCCTCTTTGTAGGAGAAAAAGAAAACACAAATGTATGGCAATCTTTTTAGGGGAAAAGGGGGAGTCAAAATCCAAGATGGTTTTCCTGAGAATATTCAAATTAGATTATGGAGATAACAAGATGTGAACCAAGGAAAAAGAACGAATTGCCTTTATGCATGGGAGGTGAAGTAGCTGGAATCCCACCTTCATATCTTAGTTACCTCTGTAACCTGGGGACAGATTTCTTCTCAGAACCTCTGTTTACTCAAGAACTGGAGAGGCCGGGCTCAGTGGCTCACACCTGTAATCCCAGCACTATGAGAGGCTGAGGCGGGCGGATCACTTGAGGTCAGGAGTTCGAGACCAGCCTGGCCAACATGGTGAAACCCTGTCTTTACTAAAAATACAAAAATTAGCTGGACGCGGTGGCATAAGCCTGTAATCCCAGTTATTCGGGAGGCTGAGGCAGGAGAATCGCTGAACCTGGGAGACGGAGGTTGTAGTGAGCCGAGATCACGCCACTGCACTCCAGCCTGTGTGACAGAGTGAGACTCCGTCTCAAAAAAAAAAAAAAAAAAAAAAAAGAACTGGAGAATATATCTGCCTTGGGGGCTGTGGAGAGGATAGAAGGCTGTGTTTAGCGCACAGCCTAGTACACGAGCATTTGTTAAGTGGATGCAAGACCATGACGTTCATTTCCTTCTGAAACAAGTGAGCAATCATGAGTGAGGCAATCTCATCTTTTCCCTCACCATTTTTTATGAGCAATTTCTCTTAAAGGAAAATTCTGATGTTACGGATTAACTCTGGTTTAGTTTTTATTCATTCTGTATATATAACACTTTCCCATATGTCACCTCTCCTAGTGTGTTCTACATTGCTTCATTCATTCATTAACCAAATATTTATTAAGCAGCTGCTATCTTCCAGGCACTATATTCCCACAAATGCTAGGAATATGTTGAGCCTAAAAACAGAGCTGGCCAGGCTCAGTGGCTCATGCCTGTAATCCCAGCATTTTGGGAGGCTAAAGTAGGAAGAGCCCTTAAGTCCAGGAGTTCAAGACCAGCTGGGGCAACACAGTGAGACCCCATCTCTATTTAAAACACAAAAAGCAAAAACAGAGCTCATGAGGGAGATGCAGATTAAAACCACAATGAGATATCACCTCTCACCTGTCAGCATGGCTATTATTAGAGAGACAAAAGATAACAAATGTTAATGAGAATGTGGAGGAAGGGAACTCTTGTACACTGCTTGTGGGAGTATAAATTAATACAGCCATTATGGAAAATTGCATGGAGGTTTCTCAAAAAACTAAAAATAAAATTACCATATAATCCAGCAATCCCACTTCTGGGTAGTTACCCACAAAATTTGAAATCAGCGTGTTGAAGAGAAGTCTGTATGCCCATGTTCATTGTAGCACTAGTCACAATAGCCAAGATACGGAATCAACCTAAGGGTCCATCAGTGGATGACTGAATGAATAAAGAAAATGTGGCAGGCCAGGTGCAGGGGCTCACGCCTATAATCCTAGCACTTTGGGCAGATTGCTTGAGCTCAGGAGTTTGAGACCAGCCTGGGCGACATGGCACAACCCCGTCTCTACAAAAAATGCAAAAAACTTAGCTGCGTGTGGTGGTGCATGCCTGTGGTCCTAGCTACTTGGGGAGCTGAGGTGGGAGGATGACTTGAGCCCGGGAGGTGGAGGTTGCAGTGAACTGAGATCATGCCACTGCAGTGGAAAAAAAAAAGTGAGACCCTATCTCAAAAAAAAAAAAAAAAGGAAAGAAAAAGAAAATATGGCATACATATATATAATGGAATACTAGTCAGCCTTATAAAAGGAAGAAGTTCCATCATTTGTGATGATATGGATGGAATTGGAGAACATTATGCTAAGTGGAATAAGCAAAACGCAGAAAGACAAACACCACGTGCTCTCACTTAAACTAAAACAACTGATCTCAGAAGCAGAGAGTAGAACAATGGTGATCAGAGACTAGCCGGTGGGGGGAACAGGGAGATGATAATCAATGGATACAAAGCCTCACTTAGGCAGAAGGAATGAGTTTGATTTTTGTTTAGATCTATTGCATAGCATGGTGACTATCCCTAACAACTGAGTACTGCACATTTCCATTCGTTAAAAGAGTAAATCTCAGATGCTCTCATCACAAAAAAATAGGTCAAATATTGGAAGTGATGGATAAGTTAAGTCACTAATTAATAATTTCATATTATATTAAAAAATCATAACATTGTTTTGTACTCAGTAAATATATACAACTATAATTTGTCTATTAAAAGTCCCCAGAGCCCACAACTTTCACTTCAACTCTGGACTCCAAAACATCACTTGCCTCTTGGCCGCTGCCCTTGGACGACCCACAGGCATCTCAGAGGTAATATATCCTGACATGAACTTCTGATTTCCCCCAGACCTTGCTCCTTCATCCTTTCAGGGTTCATCTGAGGGTAAATTCATCCTCCAGATACTCACCCCAAGTCATCAACTCCACCCTCGGTTCAGCTTTTCTTATACTTGATAGTCCACGTGTCAGGAAATGTTGACTCTACATGTCCCCCATAACTGGGATCCAACCAGTCTTGCCACCCTGGCCCAGGCCAAATGAATCTCTTATTGTTTATTTTCCTGAGAAAGAGTCTCACTCTGTCACCCAGGCTGCAGTGCAGTGGCGCCATCTTGGCTAACTGCAACCTCCGCCTCCTGGGTTCAAGCAATTCTCCTGCCTCAGCTTCTTGAGTACTTGGAATTACAGGTGTGTGCCACCACGCCCAGCTAATTTTTTTTTTTTTTTTTTAGAGTCTCACTCTGTTGCCCAGGCTGGAGTGCAGTGGCGCAGTCTCGGATCACTGCAACCTCTACCTCCCAGTTTCAAGTGATTCTCCTGCCTCAGCCTCCTGAGTAGCTGAGATTACAGGCGCATCACCATGCCCGGCTAATTTTTGTCTTTTTAGTAGAGATGAGGTTTCACCCTATTGGCCAGGCTGGTCTCGAACTGCTGACCTCGTGATCCTCCTGTCTCAGCCTCCCAAAGTGCTAGGATTACAGGCATGAGCCACTGCGCCAGGCCTTTTAAAATTTTTAATGGAGATGGGGTTTCACCATGTTGGCCAGGCTGGTCTTGAATTCCTGACCTCAGGTGATTCACCCGCCTCGGCCTCTTAAATTGCTGGGATTACAAATGTGAGCCACGGGAATCTCTTATTCCGATTATTTGCAAGAGACTTCTCACCAACTTCTCTGCTCCTACCCTTGCTACTAAAATTCAACTCTTCTCATTAGAGCAGCCAGAAGTACCTTGCTAAGGTGTAAGTGGGATCATGTCACTCCTCAGCTCAAAACCTTCAATGGGCTCCCTGTCTTGCTCAGATGGAGAGCCAAGGTCTCCACTAGATTAGACCTGGCAGAAGGAACAGTAACTCACTAGGTCCTACAGGCAGGACTGACTGCAAAAAGGGCTGGGCCTTGCTTAAACTCTTAAGAATTTCAAGAGAGCAAAGCATTCGATCCAGCACAGGACTCTGAGTGTGGGGTCCTTTGTGACTGTCCAGGTGGCACACCCATGAAGCTGGTCCTCCCTGCAAGATCTCCATGGGTTCTCCTTCCCATACCTCCCTCCGCTATCTCTGACTCCATCTTCTTCCTTTCTCTCTGCTTAACCAGGCTGGCCAGCTGACAGGTCCTCTAAGAGGAAATCAGGCACCTTGCCACTTTCTGGCCTTCGTGCTTGCTAGTCCCTCTGCCTGGAACTTTTCCAGATTCCCTCCCTCCTCTCATGACTTTGCTCCAATGTCACATTCTCACGAGGCCATCCCTGATTATCCTATTTTAAATTGCAAGCCACTGCACACCCCTTCTCACACACACACCTTGCTCTCCTCCCCATTCCCTGATTATTTCCTTTATAGTGCTAGTCATCAAGATATGAGACCTTTTTCTTAAATAATTCGTTATTCGGTCTCCTTCCATAGACTATAAACTTCAGAGGACAGTGATTTTTGTCTTTTTCATTCAATGTTACTTCCAGTGCCTAGGATGGAGTAGATTGTCAATACATCTTATTTGAAGAGATGAGTAGGTCAGTGGCAGAGGATGTAACAATTAAACAAACAATCATCCAACAATACACAATTAAACCAGAATCATGTACTGAGAAGGAAGGTAACTGTATTAGTCTGTTTCCATGCTGCTAATAAAGATATACCCAAGTCTGGGTGATTTAAACAGGAAAAAGTTTTAATGGACTTGCGGTTCCACATGGCTGGGGAGGTCTCAAAATCATGGCAGAAGGCAAGGAGCAAGTCACATCTTACATGGATGGCAGCGAGTAAAAAGAGAGCTTGTGCAGGGAAACTGCTGTTTTTAAAACCATCAGATCTCATGAAACTTATTCACTATCACGAGAACAAAATCATGGGAAAGACTCGTCTTCATGATTCAATTACCTCCCACCAGGTTCCTCCCATGACATGTGGGAATTGTGGGTGTTACAATTCAAGATGAGATTTGGGTGGGAACACAGCCAAACCATATCAGTAACCTAGTTCCACAAAAGACATAACCCCAACCAGGAGCCAGCTGGGGAGGGGGAAAGGTGTCCAGGCAGAGGGAACAGCTGGACAAAGGGCCTGTGTGCTGAGGAAACAAGGAACACTTGATGAGCTAAGAGAGGCCACAGTAGTGGGAATGCACAGACAAAAAAGCAAAGTTGGAAAAGATGAGTGTGGGCACCTGGCTGAGGTTCGAGCCAGCAGACCCTTGCAAGCCATGCAGAGGACACCGCCCTTCATCCTTGGGATGATTAGAAGTCACAGGAGGGCTGCAGACAGAAAGGGCATATGAGAGAAAAGAAAAGATTATTCTAGGTTCAGTGTAGAGAACAGATGGGGGTGGCCTCAGGGAGACTGGAGAGAAAGTTATTTGCAGACTGCTGGGTGACAGTTGCTTGGATGATAGAGGGGGCAGAAAAGATAGAGAAAACCAGGCTGTTGAGGCTTTTATTTAGGTGGTAAAAACCACAGAATTGGCTCATGCCTGTAATCCCAGCACTTTGGGAGGCTGAGGCAGGTGGATCACCTGAGGTCAGGAGTTCAAGACCAGCCTGGCCAACACGGCAAAACCCCGTCTCTGTTAAAAATACAAAAATTAGCTGGGCATAGTGGCGCGAACTTGTAATCCCAGCTATTTGGGAGGCTGAGGCAGGAGAATCGCTTGAACCTGGGAGGCGGAGGTGCAGTGAACCGAGATTGTGCCATTGCACTCCAGCCTGGGTGACAGAGCGAGACTCTGTCTCAAAAAAAAAAGAGAAAAGGCTGTTGCAAAGTGATGTCATCAGAGGCTTCAGTTAAGGCAAGGAGGTGGGAAGGATCCTCCAAAAAGAAGGTTGAGGGTAAAAAGGAGTTTGCACATGATGAGGCAGAGGTTTTGGAGGGTGGCATGGCAGCATTCAGGAGGTAAGGGCAGAACTTGGCTGAATCTGGGGCAAGGAACCATATGAAACCTTATGGATTTGCTGGTGTTGCAGCATGAAATGTTTGTTCATGGTAGTTTACCCTGGTGTTGGCTGATAGTGATGGGAGATAAGGGACATGAAGATTCGATTTCCGCAGTCCCGTGGGGGATGGCGAGCCCTGGGCCTAATGGCTAAAGGTCTCGAGTCACAAGACCTGGGGTGAGGTCCTTCTAAGCTTCTGGGTAGGGAGGTGAATTCCACCCCTGCACAACTCTGGGTCATAACTTCTTGGAGGTTGGTGCTATCTTAATGAGCGCAAAGGAGGAAGCCCTGAATTTTCTCTAAGCTGTCCCCCACTTTGTCTCCGTCCACCTAGTAGGCTGGCCCTCAAACCAAGCATGAGTGGGCGGGCGTACTTTACACTCGGGTTAGGTACTCACTGTTCTGTCACCTCAAATCTCTTTGAAGACTTGCGTGGCTTTATGCTTCTTGACCCTCCCTCTCTCATGACTAGAAGATGCTAGCAGACCCCGGGCTTGAAGCTTGGCACTGAGACTCTGGGGCAAGTTACATAACCTCTTTGTGCTTTATCTTCCTTATCTGTAAACTGGGAGTAATAATCTGGCTCAACTCACAGCGTTGTCACCAGAATCAAATGACGTAAGTGGTCTAAAGCACAGCATCTAAAACCTAGTAAGAGATCAAAGAAAAAGTGCAGCCCCATCTCTTCCCACTTCCTGGTTTGTTCCCTTGACTCTAGCTGTACGGGACACTTTCCAACCCATCGTACAATTCTCCCTGCTATGCTTTTGAACATGCCTGGAATTCCTTTCCTTCATGAGTCTCCTCTGCCTTCTCCACTTCACTACGGCTCACTGTGTGTCTATAAGTTTCTACCCATTCTACCCATTCCTGACTCAGGAGTGCTGACATGTAACTACTCCGGTGCTCCTCTGTCGCTCACTCCAGCTCCTTCCTAGCAACCATCAACTTACCAACATCGACTCATGAGCACGAGGGTCTCCTCACTAGGCTGTGCGTGACTTGTGGGCAGGGACCCTCCTCATTCTCTTATCCCCAGTACCTTGAATATTGCCTCATGCTCAGCGTTTCAAAATATCTGTTGCGATGTAAATGACTTAAGTAACAGGACTGTCTTTTCTCTCCAGATCTATTTGTCTTTTACAAGGAGACGAAAACTTTAAGTAAAAATGACTTTTGGCCAGGCTTGATGGCTCATGCTTGTAATCCCAGCACTTTGGGAGACTAAGGTGGGAGGATTGCTTGAGTTCAGGAAATTTGTGATCAACCTGAGTAACATGATGAGACCCCCGTCTCTACAAAAAATTAAAAAATTAGCCAGGCTTAGTGTCACATACCTGTAGTCCCAGCTCCTCAGGAGGCTGAGGCAGGAGAATCAATTGAGCCCAGGAGGTCAAGGCTGCAGTGAGTCGTGATCGTGCCATTGTACTTCAGCCTTGGTGACAGTGTAAGACCCTATCTCAAAAAAAAAAAAAAAGAAAAAAAAAGAAAATGACACTCAACTGTCCCATTTCAGGCAATGGTCAGGCAGAGGAGAAGGTATTTATCTGGGGAAGAATAGGGTGACTTGCTGAGAAGGGAGACATATTGGTGGGAGTCACCCTAGAATCACTAAAACTGTGTTATTTCTTATGAACACTTCTGACTCCCTCTCTTAATAAGGCCAATTTTGTATTTGGTAGCAACATAATGTGTTATCTTGTGTGAATATGTTTTAAAAATAAAATAATCTTATATTTTATAAACTTATGCAGATTATTTTCTTTGTATTATAAATTGTATTATTGAGCATGCTTATGTATAATAATGGGATTGTTTCTTTTTAGTAATTAAAAATTTTTATTCTTCATTTACACAACACATACAAAAAGAACGTTGTACTTTTTAAAAGACATTCCCATTGGTAGTGGCTTCATTTAAACTGGGAGTTTGATTTTAGGGAGACATTCTGGGCAGTTGTGCTATCTACCTAGCTTGATTGGTACTTTCTTATAAACTTGGTCTTCCGGGAAACATTTGCATCTGGCAGGGGTCTGTAATTCTCAGTGGGCTAGATTTGGTCTTGGCTGATTTTTTGAGGCCACCATTTTGTTGGTTGGTTATTTATACGTGCCCAACCACCTCACTGCCCAACCAGTGAGTTCAGGTTCACTCACACAAAGTCCTTCTGACATTAGAATCAGAATTCTTCCTGTAGATTTCCCCCATCATCTGATTCTCTGAAGCAGGTATAAATTCACACTTAGGAGAGATACCACACCAGCTATAAGCCACTCTCAAATGCAAGAGGAGGCCAAAAAGTATTGCTGTTGAATCAGACACAGCTTTGTTGTGTTGAGCCTAAAGATAGTTTTAATTTGAATTTTTCTTTTTTTTTTTTTTTTTCTTTTTTTGAGACAGAACCTCCCTTTGTTGCCCATGCTGGAGTGCAGTGGTGCGCTCTCGGCTCACTGCAGCCTCTGTCCCGGGTCCAAGCGATTCTCCTGTCTAGGCTTCCCGAGTAGCTGGGACTACAGGCATGTGGCACCGCGCCTGGCTAATTTTTGTATTTTAGTAGAGACAGGATTTCACCAGTTGGCCAGGCTGGACTTGAGCTCCTGACCTCAGGTGATCCATTTGCACCAGACTCCCAAAGTGCTGGGATTACAGGTGTGAGCCACTGTGCCTGGCCTCCTTTTTTGTCTTAGATAACGACTCCGTGTTGTTCCTTGAGATGGTTTCGGGTTTACGGGAAGAGTTAGAAGAGAGTCTTGTGTGGTGTTTGAGGACTCAGGAAGATCAGGGTTCTGGGGCGATAGTTTCTAGACACGATAGATGCCTGAAAACCAGCAGGGCCCGAAAGGAGCATACCCCTGGGGAACCAGCAACTCAAATGCAGAAACTGGTAACCCACGTGAGCACCCCATCAGCAGACAAGGTCAGAAATCAGAGATCTTTATGATTTGCGAGGCAGAACAGCCAACTACATGTGCATTTGATGTAAATGCTCAGTGCCTTCAACTTTTCCCCAGTGTATCTCTGCCTTCAGGCTTCTCCCCAGTCCTCCAGGGCTTTTCTTGAACATGTGGGCTGCCCATTGCTGCCTGCACCATTCCTCATTCCAGCTGTGTTTGTCATAATAGGTTTGCCAAATAAAAAATAATTTTTGGCTGGGTGCAGTGGTTCACACCTGTAATCCCAGTTCTTTGGGAGGCCGAGGTGGATCACCTGACATCAGGAGTTCGAGACCAGCCTGGCCAACAAGGCAAAATCCCGTCTCTACTAAAAATACAAAATGAGCTGTTCGTGGTGGCATGTGCCTGTAATCCTAGCTACTCAGGAGGCTGAGGCAAGAGAATCACTTGAACCCAGGAGGCGGAGGTTGTAGTGAGGCGAGATTACACCACTGCACTCCAGCCTGGGCAACAGAGCAAGACTCTGTCTCAAAACAAAAAACAAAAAACAAAAAAAAAGATTTTTCATCTTTTTGAGATGGGAGGGCTGGAGGGTAGAGATAGGGATTAGTGGCTTAGTATATTTACCTTCATATAATAACTGTATTTAAAGGGAACTGATGAGAACTATGATGGAGAGTTTTCTGAAATAGAAATAAATGTAATTTTCAAAAGTTCTTCATCATTACTGAGTACACTGAAGAGGCAAATGGACTAGTGTATAGCTCAGAGTATTTCTCCAACTTAATATGTATACAAATCACCTGCAGCTCTTGTTAAATTGCAGCTTCTGTAGGTTTGGATTAAGCTTTGCTTCTACAAAAGCTCCCAAGGAACATTCATGCTGCTGGTCCTTGATCCACACATTGAGTAGCAAGGTTTTAGGGGACTTCAAATTATTAATATTATTCTATGTAATTGGAAGTTACCTGCTTCTTAAAATATATGTCATAGGTATGTATCTAATTTCTTCAGGCCTGGTAATTAAAAATTATTTCTAGGGCTGGGTGCAGTGGTTCACGCTTGTAATCCCAGCACTTTGAGAGGCTGAGGCGGGTGGATCACTAGAGCCAGGAGTTCAATACCAGCCTGGCCAACACAGTGAAACATAATTTCTACCAAAACATACAAAAGTAAGCTGGGAGTGGTGGTGCACGCCTGTAGCTCCAGCTAGTCAGGAGGCTGAGGCAGGAGAATCGCTTGAACCTGGGAGGCAGAGGTTGCAGTGAGCCGAGATCGTGCCACTGCACTCCAGCCTGGGCGACAGAGTGAGATCCTGTCTCAAAAAAAAAAAAGTATTTCCAGGCTTTATACTTTGCTGTGTATATTTGAATAATGCTAGGCTTAAGTGGTGAAATGTTGAATGGATATTACTTGCCTCCAAAAAGAAAGCTAAATGACAGCTTTTGTATCTTTAGGTACTTTTAGAGTTGTTTTCTTTTTCCCAAAGAATGGTTGATAATTCCCTCTGTCTCCCTCTATTCACATAGGACTGAAATAGAAATAGGCTTAAATTAAGGCTGCACAACTTTTATTTGCTCCTAAGGGAGAACTTACAGAATGCTGGGGTATGCACGAATCTTCATCACTTTGAAAAGAGTTATATTTTCAAAGAGAATAAATTCTAATATAATCCCTGCCCTTGAAGAATAACCCAGATTCAGAGCAGAACCCACTGATTTAGATATAGAAGTTTGGATTACTGGACCTCACAAGGATGTGGCTCCATGTAAGAATGGGAAGATGGAACTGTCACTGTCCATTGCACAGACAGCCCCTGCTCAGTTCTCATCCTGTGAATCCTGCTGTATCTGCCTCTGGGAGCACTTTGTTCTCACATAAAGATTCATCTTTGCCCCCAGGATAGAGGATCATTCTTGATCTCAGAGAGTTTGAGGACCTAGGAAGCCCTAGTTCAACATTGAAGTTAATAATGGCATGGTGGGCCGGGTGCGGTGGCTCACGCCTGTAATCCCAGTACTTTGGGAGGCCGAGGTGGGTGTTTTGCTTGAGCTCAAAGTTTGAGACTGGCCTGGGCAACATGGCAAAACCCCATCTCTACAAAAAATGCACTGGGCATGGTGGTGTATGCCTGTAGTACCAGTTACTCGGGGGGCTGAGGCAGGAGAATCACTTGAACCTTGGAGGCGGAGGTTGCAGTGAGCCGAGATCTTGCCACTACACTCCAGCCTGGGCAATACAGTGAGACCCTTTCTAAAAAAAAAAAAAATTATGAGACTGTGGCCTTAGTCCTGAGGCACAGTCCACCCTTACACCCCACTTAGGGTAGGAGGATCAGAATCATATTCCAGAACATAAGCTCTCCCAAACCATGCTCCTCCAAAATGCAGGCCTCACTGAGATCTTCTCAGTCTTCTAGATTAGGAAGCTTCAACCCGTTGCCAGTGACAGAAGCCCAGCCAGCAGCCTACACAGGTTTCCCAAATTCTCTGCAGAGGCTGCCCCTGTGGAGGAATCTCTGAATTTCCCCTCTTCCTGGATCTCCTGTCCCCTTTACCTGTATAGATGATTCTGTAATTGTTATTCCATTTTTTTTTCTTTTTTTCTTTTTGAGACGGAGTCTCGCTCTGTAGCCCAGGCTGGAGTGCAACCTCTCAGCTCACTGCAACCTCTACTTCCCGGGTTCACACCATTCTCCTGCCTCAGCCTCCTGCAGAGTCTTGCTCTGTCGCCCAGGCTGGAGTGCAGTGGCATGATCTCTGCTCAGTGCAACCTCCGCCTCCTGGGTTCAAGCAATTCTCCAGCCTCAGCCTCCCGAGTAGCTGGGACTGCAGACATGCACCACCATGCCTGGCTAATTTTTTGTATTTTAGTAGAGACGGGGTTTTACCATGTTGGCCAGGATGGTCTCCACTTCCTGACCTTGTGATCCGCCCTCCTCAGCCTCCCAAACTACTGGGATTACAGGCATGAGCCACTGTACCTGGCCTGTTATTCCATCTTACACATCCTAAAATTGGGGCCATTTGTTTGGACTGGAAGAAATTTGCCAAATTCTCTGAAAAAAGGGTTTCACTGCCAGACTTGGCTCTGTCCTTGAGCTGGCAGGAGTCAGGGTGCTCTGAGATGCCCCCTCTTTAAGGTGCAGTTCTGTTTTGGAGCTCAACTCTCCCAGTCTGATCTTCCCACTGTAGTGTGTCTGACTCTGCCTGACAACATCCTGAGATGAGCCACGGGTGCGGGGGAGCAGATGTTCCTTGATGCTTCTGGTGTTCAGTGATGCTGTCACTCATTAGAAGAACTGTGTCCTAAAATTTTGAGATGAAGATGTTATTGAAAGTTTTGGGAGACTGGGCACGGTGGCTGAGCTTGTCTTCTTCACACACCATTAAACATCTCCAGAAATGATCATAGAGTACCTGTGTTTGACCATAGGCTATGTTAACTCTCTGTGAGGAAAAAAGGATTCTTTTGTGAAATACAGATATAGTCATGAAACTATCATTGGGCATTCACAGTTCATTTTACAAAAATATTTTTGGCATTTTAGACACTTTTTAGTTCCTTAAAAAAAAAGTTATGACCATTCCCATAACTCTCAGGTGGGAATCCTTCTTCTGTCAACAGTATGAAGAGGAGGTGATTAAAACATCATCTTTCATTTGATGATGCTTTACGTCTCATTATCCTGGTGCCCTTTTCTGTGGAATAATTGGGATGGGAGAAATCAATTTGAAGGCAAATTTACAATACACTGTGAACATGTGACCATCCCTACAAGTTTTCTGGTGGTGAAATTTTAGGCAGTGTAATTGTTGGATGAGAGAGATCTTTCTGGGAAGTGGACATCCTCCAGCCCCACTGCAAAGATGATTGTCTTTTTTGCCAGATGGTAAGGCTTGTCCTAAATACCTACTCCTTGGGCTGATATCACAGAGGAGATAAACTGACCTGAATATAAAATATAAAGCCTTTAAGAAAAGGCCAGAAGTGTTCTTAGGAAAATGACCTGAGATGGTTAATTTTATGTGTCAACTGGAATGGGCTAAGGGAGGCCCAGATATCTGGTAGAACATTATTTCTGGGTGTGTCTGTGGTGGTGTTTCTGGAAGAGGTTAGCATGTGAATTGGTGAACTGAGCAAAGAAGATGTCCCTCCCCAATGTGAGTGGGCACCATCCAATCCATTGAGGAGCTGGATAGAGCAAAAAGGCAGAGACGAAGGATGAGTTTGCTTCTGTTTGGGCTATACATCCATCTTCTCTTGCCTTTGGATTTGGGTCTTCTGGTTCTTAGGCATTTGGACTTGGACTGAATTATGCCACTGGCTTTCTTGGTTCTCCAACTTGCAGACAATGGATCATGGGACTTCTTGGCCAATTTCTAGAATAAATCTCTCTCTCGTTCTCTGTGCTTTTGTATCTATATCTATATGTAAATAGAGTCATGCATCACTTAATGATGGAGATACATTGTCAGAATTGCATTTTTAGGGAATTTTGTTGTTGTGTGAGTATATATATACATATATATTTATATTTTTACTTGGAAAACCGGATGTCTCAGCACCATTACTGAATATCAGTCAATTCCCCTACTTGATTTGCAATGCCAATGTCAAGTGCCAAATATCAGATTTCTATATGTGCTTTATTACAATCTGATGAGCCCACCATTGTATATGCAGTTAATTATTGTATGTGCACAGTTAACTGGAACATTGTTATGCAGTGCATGACTGTATATATATATGTCCTATCGTGTGTGTGTATATATATATACATTATGTGTGTATATATATATACATTATGTGTGTATATATATATGTATGTCCTATTGTGTGTGTGTGTGTATATATATATATATATATATATACAAACAATAGGATCTATCCATCTATTATCTATCAATCATCTATCCTATATATGTTTATATATCTTCTATTGGTTCTGTTTCTTTCATACTGACCAATATAATTCCATATGTCATATTTTAACATTTTAATTCCTTACAAAAAGCCCCATCACCAGATTAAAAAGTAATGATTTGTTTCTGTTGCTCATGGGTACCAGGTAAGCAGATGGCATAGTGGTTGATAACAGACTCAGAGGGTTCACTCACTGGGTTTGAAGTCCAGGTCTGAGTCTATCCAGAGCTAAATCCTAGCTAAGTCACTTACTTTCAGACCCACCTGTAAAATGGGAATGCTAACAATACCTACCTCACGGGGTTCTTGTGAGGATAAATGGGGTTAATCGTGCCAGGCCCTTGGAAAGTGCTGCTCACATTTTTATTTTTATTTATTTTTTCACTCCATGGAAGTCTCAATCTGAAATGGATATTTGGTAGCATCCAAATGTTTTTACGCTGCTGTTTTCTTTTTTCTTTCTATTTTATTTTATTTTATTTCGAGACAGAGTCTCGCTGTGTTACCCAGGCTGAAGTGCAATGGTGCGATCTTGGCTCACTGCAACCTCCCCTTCCTGGGTTCAAGCAATTCTCCTGCCTCAGCCTCCTGAGTAGCTGGGATTACAGTCGCGTGCCACCACACCCAGGTAATTTTTGTATTTTTAGTAGAGATGGGATTTTGCCATGTTGGCCAGGCTGGTCTTGAACTCCTGACCTGAAGTTATCCGCCCACCTCGGCCTCCCAAAGTGTTGTGATTACAGGTGTGAGCCACTGCGCCCGGCGTATGCTGCTGTTTTCTAATGTCCTGACTTTCTGTGGATTTATGGCTGTACATAAATATGTCTCAGTTTAAATCTGGCTTAAAACCTTTCTTGTTCTTGATTGGGTAGCCACTTCATTGAAAAGTAATTTTTATCTTCTCTGATTTACTTCAAAGGGGAAAGCCATGAGTTCTGGGCATACATGTGCCCAGTACGCACTCAGCAAGCAGCTGAGAACGTGAGTGTGACGGTGGGTATGCCTTCTGACTTAATAATCCTTTGGATGTTTCCATTCTAATGCATTCATTATCTGTGTTCAAGATGGCTTATGCTTCCAGAATAAGATGCTACCAAATCACTGTCTTGAAGAATGCTTTTGGTCTTCATACATTACATTCACTATTCTCACAGGCAAAAGTCATAATTTAGAAAAAAAGGCTACCGTATGTGTTGGAAATATGGGCTGGAGTTCCATGCCTTGTTTGTCTAGTTAATCAGACCTCTGAAAGGTCAACCTTCTTAGAGAAGTACTAACATGGTTTGGGAGGGGCTATTATTGATAGATAATGGGTTCAGGTAAGGGCATGGCTGATACGTCCATATTTATTAGAGATAGAAAGTGGAAAGAGAAATTGGAAGGAGACATTGCTGATTCAGACACACACACTTTAGATTAAGTTTATATGTGGACAAGCAAGTGACAACGAGTGGAAAGCATATGTACGTTTGCATGTGCATGGATGTGCATATAAGTATTAATAGGTAGAAAGCAAATGAACATACTGGAGATGTAGACAATTAACATGAGACTGCAGCAATCCTATCAAGGAACTGATAGTGCAGGGCAGGAAGACAGACGCAGCTGCTGTCACTCTCTTCCCTCCCTTTCTGAGCTGGTCATCTAAGAAGTATTGCCGTGCTGAGAGGAGTTTGGGGAAGAACCAGTTTACATTTTTCCCATAAAAAAAGAGTAGAAGTAAGAATGGAAATAGGATTGAGTCTCCTAAGTTGTTTTTATTATAAATTCACCTAGCCCTTAAAGAAAATGTATTTGTTATCTTGGATTATTCATAAATTGGGGAAGCATCTTTCATAAGTAGATATTTGGAGTTAAAATTGTAAATACTTATGAACTGAAGCATTTCGGTAGCCAAAGCCATGCACATTTCCAACAGTAAAAATTTGTTTTTTAGGCCGGGCACAGTGGCTCATGCCTGTAATCTTGGCACTCTGGGAGGCCGAGGCAGGTTGATCACTTGAGGTCAGGAGTTTGAGACTAGCCTGGCCAACATGGTGAAACCCCATCTTTACCAAAAATACAAAAATTAGCCAGGCGTGGTGGCACATCATGGCAGTAGTCCCAGCTACTTGGGAGGCTGAGGCAGGAGAATCGCTAGAACCCGGGAGGCGGAGGTTGCAGTGAGCTGAGATCACACTACTGCGCTCCGGCCAGGGTGACAAGAGCGAAACTCCGTCTCAAAAAAAAAATTGCTTTTTGTTTTCAAAAATACAAAAAAATATATTTTTTTATGATCAGTGCTGTAGGGTAAGTACATTTTTTGAAGACCAAGAGCACCCTTCGTGGATGCACTGGGTACCATGTAGTTTCCTTCTTACCTGGGAATGGAGGTTGGGGATGGGGACTAGGTTGATGGAAACTCATGAGATGTGAACCCAGGAACAAGTCAAAGAAAACAAGGTGCAACAAAGAAAATCCCTGCCACGGAGCCTAGGTGCTGCTGTCCAGGAGTTCCTAGACCCTCCTTAGACAAATGTCTGTAAGTAAGGGAGTGGTTGAGAAAGACAGCCAGCTTATCGCACAGTAATGGTTGTCATGCAGAGAGGAGACAGGACGGAGTCTGAGTCCATCAAGCACAGGCAAGGGGTGCCACAGGTCTCAGGAACTCTTGAAAACATCCTTGCGCTGAGGTGCACAGTAAAATATCTGACATGCATAAAAATGACTGAATCACAAAGAGAAGCTTAAATTATGCTCAAGGTCATTCACAGGTCAATGTCTTTTCATTTCGCCCACCAGACACTCATTGTTCTCCTTGGTCATGCTGCTATGAGTGCCTTCCTCCTCTTCCTTTGATCATCCTTGAGTCCCCAGAGCAGTCTTTGACATTAAGCAGAACCTTCTGGTGCCGCATCAAATGGTAACATCACGGTGCTATGCACAGTGTATACATGCACAGAACTCTCAGCCATGACTCTGCCTTCATTCCCAGGTCTCCTTCATCGCTAGCTCTGATTCGCCCTCACACTCCCTCACTAGGGGTGGGGGTGTGGAGACTTCAGGTGCCTGCCGGAGCCAGGTAGGGCTGTGTGGGGACTGGGGCAAAGTGCTCTGGGCCAGTTGTGGCTCACTTCCCATGCTGCCTGTTGTAAGTGAATGCAGGACCGGAGTCTCCAGACCTCTTCCCCAAAAGAAGCCCCCAATTTGAATTTTTATGTGAAATATCTATTTTTTTTTTTTTTGAGACAGAGTCTTGCTTTGTCACCCAGGCTGGAGTGCAGTGACAGGATCTTGGCTCACTGCAACCTCCACCTCCTGGGTTCAAGTGATTCTCCTGTCTCAGGCTCCCAAGTAGCTGGAATTATAGGCACCTGCCACCATGCCAGGCTAATTTTTTGGATTTTTAGTACAGATGGAGTTTCACCATGTTGGCCAGGATGGTCTCGAACTCCTGACCTTGAGTGATCCGCCTGCCTCCACCTTCCAAAGTGGTGGATTACAGGTTTGAGCCACCGCGAAGGCATGAAACTTCTAAATTTTTATACGTATGTTAATGTAATACTTAAAAATATATGGGCCAAATGTGACACTCTGTAGGACCAATCTAGCCCATAGGTTTGAGTCTGTCATATCAGCCTTATCTATCTTTAAAATTCATCCCATTTCTGAGTCTCTCCCATCCCTGACCTGTATCCAATCAAGTATGTATTAAGGACAAAGACGTGTATTAAGACATGACTTCAAGCTCGATTACAATAATAATATTATATAATCACATATTATAATATATAATAGAATAGTAATATAATCTATAATATAATGATAATATACCATAATAATAGAACCCTGGACAGCAATATATTTCTCAAAAGGATGATATAATCTTTAGTTATAAATGACATATTAGGGGAAAGAAAGTTTATACACAACTTATTTTTAAAAAGTTGAATTCGTAATGAACAAAATAAAGCTCTAGTTAGTATTCTTCAGTGGTTGGAAATCTCTCTAAACTGTTAAGACGTAGCTGGGGGCACATTTAGGATGGAAGAAAGAGAATTCTGATCAAGTAAAATGTAACTACTATCATGAGCACAGCAAACATGCATTTTAATCAAACCATGGAAGTAGGGAAGTCAGAATCGATTATATTAATCATCAGAAATATTTTATCAGCAATTTTGTTTGGTCTATCAAGTTTCTTTTTCAAAGAGAGTGATTTATTTTTAAAAATTGTATATATTTATGGTGTACAACATGATTTAGTACATCAACAGTTTCTATTGGTAAAAATCAATGTATCAGTCTCATAGTCCTTTGTGAAGTTCCTAGCTCCAAAAAACACAGAAGAGTCCCATAGTCATCCTGGTTACTAATAACTTCCTTTTATCCCCTTTGATGTATACCTCAAGAACCCCAAATTTAGCCTTGGGTAGCCCCAAATTCTCAGGCTAAGATTGTTTTGGGATCCTTTAACAGCTTTGAGTGGACGTTGTGGCATGAGCTTTATGCCAATCTAGTCTAACTGTACAGACTGGGGGAGGGTGGAGGAACTCAAAATAACCTTTCCTAGATGTCAACCCCAGGCTACCCTGATGGCTGTCCCCACCTTGAGTCACTGCGTGGCACTTGCGTGTGCCATCCCAGGAGGCCCTTGCTCACTGCTGTCACACTTTCTTGACTTGTCCTTGGATCCTTCTCAGCTTTGGGTCATCACTTCTTCACCAGCCTTGCAACTCTGGGTATTTCAAATGATTCACTATAGGCCTGAGGCAAATTTGCCATGCTCTTAGCTGAGCAGCCAGTTGTCACCTTGAGTCACAGGCTTGAGGTCACCATTGGTACTGCCACTTAAAAACTGAGATCTATGCTTCTGCTCCGGCCCCATGTTTTCTGCATAGACTTGTGTACACTTGCTGTTCTCTGCTGCATCTCAAAACCCTGAATTTTTTGTCTGTAGTGGGGCTGAGAAGTCTTGTTTTCTTATCATTACCCTATGGTACCTACCTGGAGTAAACTGCTGCATGTAGAACTTCTGTGTGGAGGGCCTCTCATTCTGAGACAGAGTCCAGACTTGCAGAGAGCTGCTCCAAAAGCAATACTGAGTGATTTTCACAGCCTTGTAGCTTGGCTGGGGGGAGGGTGGAGCAGAAGAGCTGCTGCCAATTCCAGTTCAGCTTACGGGAGGCAATCCTCCTGTTCTCCCCTGGGAATCTTGGGTGGATACTGTGCAGGCTGTTATGCATCACACTTATTTTACCCTTAACAGTATAGCCTGGAGATCGTGCCGTATGAGGGCATGTCAAACTGTCTCATATTTTTAGAGACTACGTATTATGATTTATTTAGCAATTTCCTTATTGAGAAATGCCCAAACTTTTGATCACAGACACTGTTACATCAAATGTGCCTGCACACAGGCTATTTCACCCATGTGCCAATAAATCTTTCTCAGAAACTTTCAGTTGACACAAATTAGTAAAATGAAGAAAGAAAGATGCTGTACTACTCGTAACAGAAAGGCCATGGGACCAGGAATCAGAAGACCTGGGTTCAAGTCTCAGCTCTACTAATTTGTGAGATTTGGACTAAACAACTTGTCTGAAGCTCAATTTCCTCATAAGTAAAATGGAAATAAAATCCCTTGCTTTGCTTTACTTATGAGGGTTTTATAACCGTTAGATCTCCAAACACCCCCCCTCGCTCCCTCCTCTCCTCTTTCGCTTCCTTCCTTCCTCCTTTCTTTCTCACCCAGTGTTCTTTCTACTCTTCCAAAACTTTAGGAAAATTCAATTTTTCGTCTTCCAGAACCTACTCAGTAGCATACTCCGAAGGAGCTCTGCTCCCTTTTTGGTGTCTCTGGTGTGGGATGGGCCCACGTGCTATCACTGTAGCTCTTATCCGTTTTCAGTAGGCCCAGAGGGACTAGACTGCCTTGAGATGGGTCTAATATGCTCGCCTGAGAATGGTTGAAGGGGTGAGTTGGTGTCTGAAAACATTTCAGCAGGCAACATTCTTTGCTCCAGAAATTCTAGCAGATCCTCTTGCACTTGAAAGAAATGTGATTATTTTTATTTCAAGGGCAATCGTTGGAACTCTAATGAGCAATTTTCATACCACTGAAAAACTAATATAGGACATAATGACTCTGAGTTTGCATGTCATGGGGACAGGACTTGGGAAAAACTTTCAGTGTTTCTAAATTGGGGTGGCCCAAATCTCCCTGGTCCTCTCCATTTCACTTACACTGGTGGGAGAGAGTGACTTCAACTAAGGATTCGAAAGGAATGAAGCCCTCTTTGTGCAAAACTGTCAGTCGGGAGATCATTACGTTTCTTTTTTCTTTTTTGAGACAGAGTATTGCTTGGTCACCCAGGCTGGAGTGCAGTGCAATCTTGGCTCACTGCAACCTTTGCCTCCCAGGTTCAAGCAATTCTCCTGCCTCAGCCTCCAGAGTAGCTGGGACTACAGGTGCGCACCACCGCACCCGGCTAATTTTTATATTTTTAGTAAAGATGGGGTTTTACCATGTTGGCCAGGCTGGTTTCAAACTCCTGACCTCAAGTGTTCTGCCTCCCTTGGCCTCCCAAAGTGCTGGGATTACAGGCGTGAGCCAGCACTCCCAGCCTGGTAATTACTTTTCACAGGACAGCCCTCATCCTGCTTTATTTATTTCATGATTAACCCCTTATAGATTTGACTTAACAATGACAGAGCAGTTTTAGAAATTATTATGGAACTAGGTGCTTTGCTAGCCAGTACAGTTATATAAATGGATAAGATGCACTGTAGTTCCCCTTAATCAGCAGAGGATATGTTCCAAGACCCCCAGTGGGTGCCTGAAACTAGGGATATTACCAAACTCTATGTATACTATGTTTTTGCAATCTGATAACCGAGCTGGCTAAGTGAGGAACTGGTGGGTAGCATAGACAGCTTGAAAACATAGGACAAGGGGATGAGTCATGTCCCTGGTGGGACAGAGTGGAACGGCGTGAGATTTTACACTACACAGAACGGTGTGCATGAAAATTCCAGCATAAAGACAGAAACATAACTGGAATTTCATGCACACTGTTCTGAGTGTAATTTTGTTCCACTGTGTGGAAGTTTGTTTCACACACACCATTCTCAGTGGAATTATTATTTATGTCTGGAATTTTCCATGTAATATTTTTGGATTGTTGTTGACTGTGAGTAACAGCAGAAAGTAAAAATATGGGTAAGGGGGTACTATTGTAGTTTCTTTCCAGAAACAATTTATTGTTCAGTGGAGAAGAAAGACAGACAGACAGATAATTTGTTGTTGTTTTTTCCCCAGAACAAATCCACTCAATATTCACAATAAAGCATTAAAATACTCTCGGTAGTCTGGGCAATACTGGTAACTACTTGTTCCTAGAGTTTTCAAGTTCTAGAAAGGAGAATATATCAAACCTTGCTGCTTAGCAGCTAACATGAATTGTGCAAATAATCATTTCCATATTCATTCAGCATCAGAATATGAATTACCAGGCACCAGAGATACAAATCCTTGCCCTTAAACACCTTCTAATGGCAAGGTGGAAATTGTAGCATCACAGACTCGTGTGAAAGACTGCATGCTTGTCTGTATGGTAGAGTGTCCTGCGTCAGGATCAACAAGGCTGCAAGGTTGGGAAATATTTTTCTTGTAAAGAAATGTTGCTTATAATGGTATTTGTTTTGCTTAAAGTTTGACCTAAGCCGTGACGATAACTCAGTTGGGTCACTCAGCTTTGAGATAACAAAGATCTCTGTGTTTATCTTTTACCATTCGGGAAAATTTTCTAAAAGGTTTCATCTGTCTGGAAAAGGATACATTGAGAAGGTAGAGCTATACACTGAGTAAAAACAGAGCTTGAAAGTTTTTGACAGGTGGAGAGCCCTAATTATACATACATGAATAAGGATCTTGTTTATTATAAAGAGGAATGTTTTGTTTGTTTAAGGAAGACAACATGTCTTTCTTAAAACTGCCACTTCAGTGAGAGTATCAGATTGGCATTTGGTAGGAACAAGAAGTAGCAGAGTTAATTCGGTTGTCACAATTCTCTCTCACCAACATAATTAATATTGTAATAAATGAAAAACCCTTTCGTGGAATTTTTAAAAAAGGCATAATTAATGTTAGAAAGCTAACAACATCAACCTTAGTTGTGACTAAGTAGCGACTTATACAACTCATAACCATTTTGACTGAATTGACAAGGATAACATAAATAAATACAAGCTAAATCTTGCAACTTTTGTTGAAGTACATAGGTTCAGGAAAAATAACCTCCATATAATGAGGAAGTAGAATGATGCCTGGGGTTTGTGCTCTTTGAAGTCACAAAAGAAGTCACAGCAAGATTAGGAATATCTCAAGATCTCCTAAACTCCAGCTCAGTGCATCCCCCATATTCACATACTTCGTATGATCGCCAAGTGATTATTTGAGCAGCTATTTGGCTCTAGATAGAAATGGAATTTTTATTGTCACAATTCATTTAAATGGTGTTGACTTTGGGTGGCGAACAAGCTGGGATCAGACCAGCTTGATAGTGTGCTTCAGGCAATGATGTCAGCAGTTGCGTGTTAAACAAATAAATTAGAGATTCCTTTAATGCCAAGTTACACAATCAGAAAGACAACAATCTGTTTCCATTTGCTTTTTACAACGTTTGTGTAACTTCAGGGCAAAACTTAGAGCAAGTCCACTGGCAAACCCGGGAGGCGGGGGCTAGTGATTATTTTCTAACATGGCAGATAAATGCGACAAACGCTCCGACCGTAAGTCCCTGAGCCTGGCAGTGGAATGCTCCCCACCCACAGGCCATACTCCTGGTGCGCCTGACTTCTCAGCTGTTCAGGGCTGTTTCCTGGGCAGGCTGCAGTCTGCCCTGGCCTGTTTCTGGAGTGCTGAGCAAGCATGCCTGCAGGCCCCATTACAGCACACAGCCAACTGGCCCAGGTAGGGCTGCCTCACTCCCCAGCAAGGGGGCCCAGCTGGAGCTCGAGGAGATGCTGGTCCCCAGGAAGATGTCCATCAGCCCCCTGGAGAGCTGGCTTACAGCCTGCTGCCTCCTGCCCAGACTGGATGCCCAGACCCCAGGGACTGCGGCTCCAGCCCAATTCTATGAGTGTCTCCCTAGCCAGATGGGGGAAGGGGCCAAGCAGGAGGATGAGAAGGCCTGGGATACAACTCAGATGCAGAGCAAAAACGTGCTGAAGACCCGCCGGCAGAAGATGAACCACCACAAGCACCGGAAGCTGTGAGGCCGCTGTTCCTGCGGCGGGCGCCTGAAACGGAAGCCGATCAAGCTCAAGAGAGACCCGAGGAGTATCTGGGTGAAGGCGGGTCTGAAGGAAACCCCTGGAGGCTGGCAGACCCCCAAGATCTACCTGAGGGGCAGATGAGTCTGGTACCTCCCTTCCCGCCCCGTTGCTGCTGGTGATCCATGGTAATAAGTGCTCAGAGGACTCAGCTGTTAAAATAAATAAATAAATAAAAATAAAAAAATAAAAAAAAAAAAGAGAGAGAAATGCTGAGAAAAACTTCCAGCCTATTTCTTCAACCTCCAGGAAGTGTGTGAGGTGAACAGTTGGTTGTAGGGCGAAGGCTGTAAGAATCTTCATTCAAGGGACCAGTCCGCACTGACACCTGCCTCCAGATTGCAACAATTCTCTATGAAGTGTGCATTCAGCTGTATGCTATTTAGCGCTGTGTTAATTATTATTGTTGGTAATAACAACTATCGTCTATTGAGGGGCTTTTTTTTTTAACTTTTATTTTAGGTTTGGGGGTACAAGTGATGTTCCACAGGTAAACAAGTGTCACAGGATTTGTTGTACAGATTATTTCATCACCCAGGTATTAAGCCCAGTACCCAATAGTTACCTTTTCTGCTCCTCTCGCTCCTCCCACCCTTCACACTCAAGTAGACCCCAATATCTGTCGTTTCCTTCTTTGTGTTCATGAGTTCTTATCATTTAGCTCCCACTTATAAGTGAGAACATGTGGTATTTGGTTTCCTGTTCCTCCATTAGTTTGCTAAGGATAATGGCCTCCAGCTCCATCCATGTTTCCACAAAAGACATGATCTCATTCCTTTTAATGGCTGCATAGTATTCCATGGTGTATATGTACCACATTTTCTTTATCCAGTCTATCACTGATGGGCATTTAGGTTGATTCCATGTCTTTGCTATTGTGAATAGTGCTGCAATGAACATTCGCGTGCATGTGTCTTTATAGCAGAATTATTTATATTCCTCTGGGTATATGCCCAGTAATGGGATTCCTGGGTCGAATGACAGTTCTGCTTTTAGCTCTTTGAGGAATCACCATACTGCTTATGTGCCAGGCACTCATTTAGGGGCTTAAATATATTTGATTCTTCACCACTGTGGGGTCATCTAAAACATCTTTTAAAATTTCAAATATGACTTATAAACAGATCCAGAAATGGATTAAGGAGGGGGAGTAAAAAGAATAAACTTGAAAACAAGTACTCAGATAAATACCTGTACATGACTTTTCATAGAAGCATTATTCACAATAGCCAAAAGGTGAAAACAGCCTAATGTTCATCAATGGATGAATTAATAAGCAAACTTTGGTATATCTATGCAACTGAATATTATTTAGCAGTAAAGAAAAGAAGTACTGATACATGCTACAACATGGGTGAACTTGGAAAACATCATTCTGAGTGAAAAAAATGCAACACGAAAGGTCTCATATTGCATGCTTTTCTTTATTACCAGTGGGTACCTGGTTTTCTTTTGGGGCAATGAAAATATTTTAGAACTAGAGAGAGGGGGTAGTTGAACAACACTGCAAATGTACCAAATGCCACTGAATTGCACACTTTAAAATTAATTGTATGTTATATGAATTTTACCTCAATAATAATAACAGGCTGGGTGTGGTGGCTCACACTTGTAATCCCAGCACTTTAGGAGGCCGAGGCCAGTGAGTCATGAGGTCAGGAGTTAGAGAACAGCTTGGCCAACATAGTGAAACTTTTAGTCTCTACTAAAAATACAAAAAAATTAGCTGGGCATAGTGGCGGGCGCCTGTAATCCCAGGTACTCGAAAGGCTGAGGCAGGAGAATCGCTTGAACCCAGGAGGCGGAGGTCACAGTGAGCCGAGATCTTGCCGCTGCACTCCAGCCCGGATGACAGAGTGAGATTCCATCTCAAACAAACAAACAAACAAACAGAAAACAAAACAAGAAGAAAGAATAAACCTAGAATAAAAGTCTCTCTCTCTCTCTCTCTCTCCCTCTCCCTCCCTCCCCCTCTGTCTCTCTTTCTTTCTTTCTTTCTCTCTTTCTTTCTCTTTCTTTCTTTCTTTTCTTTTCTTTCTTTCCTTTTTTCTTTCTTTCTCTCTTTCTTTTCTTGACAGGGTCTCACTCTGTCCCCCAGGCTAGAGTGTAGTGGTGCAATCTTGGCTCACTGTAGCCTCAGCTTTCTGGGCTCAAGTGATCCTCCTACATCAGCCTCCTTAGTAGTTGGCACTACAGGCTAATTTTTATTTGTTTGTTTTGTAGAGACAGAGTTTTGCCATGTTGCCCAGGCTGGTCTGAAACTCCTGGGCTCAAGTGATCCTCCCACTTTGGCCTCCAAAATGCTGGGATTACAGACATGAGCCACTGCACCTGGCCTAGAAATTTTATTATTTTTATTCACTGCTATGCCTTAAACAATGCCCTACACAGGGCAGGTGTGCAGTACATATTTGGTGAATAAATGTATGGATGAACATCAGTATTGAGTCTTAGTTTTCTTCAACATCAGGCATCATGGGTACTATATTAGCCAGGGTTCTCCAATGAAACAGAACATATAAATATAAAGAGATTTATTATAAGGTATTGGCTCATGTGACTATAGGGGCTGAGAAGACCTAAGGTCTACTGTCTGCAAGCTGGAGACCGAGGAAATCCAGAGGTGTAGTTCAAAGGCCTCAGGACCAGGAGCACTGCAAGCAGATCCGTGCCCTAGCTCAACCAGGAAGGAAGAGAGGGAATCCAATCTTCCTCCACCCTTTGATTCTATTGAGGTCATCAGTGGACTGAATGATGCTCAGCACAATGGGGAGGATTATCTGCTTTACTCAGCCCACCAATGTAAATGATAATCTCTTCAGGAAACATCCTCACAGATGTGCCAGAAATAATGTTCAATCAGCTATCTGGGCATCCCATGGACAAGCCAAATTGACTCATAAAATTAACCATTAACCATCACAGATACCATAAAGGCGTAGAATTTTCTAAAGAAAAGGAATTTTTTTTTTTTTTGAGATGGAGTCTTGTTTTGTTGCCCAGGCTGGAGTGCAATGGCACAATCTTGGCTCACTGCAAGCTCCACCTCCCGGGTTCAAGTGATTCCCCTGCCTCAGCTTCCCGAGTAGCTGGGATTACAGGTGCCCACCACCACACCCAGCTAATTTTTGTATTTTTAGTAGAGACGGGGTTTCACCAGTTTGGCCAGGCTGGTCTCGAACTCCTGACCTCAGGTGATCCACCCACCTCGGCCTCCTAAAGTGTTGGGATTACAGGCGTGAGCCACTGTGCCTGGCCAGGAGGTACTTTTTAATCTTTTACTGCCACCTGGAAATGGAGGATGCCGTTTAGATAGTTTTGGAATGAAACTAAAGACAATCTAGTTGGCAAGATGAGACAGGTAAACAGAAAGTTAAATGATAATGCAGGAGAATAATATGATGTTATAGTGGAAGAAACAACCATCTGGGAATCATTAGATTTCATTTTTGATTCTGACTATTTTACTCAGGAGAGGATTTCAATCTCTGTGGGCCTCAATTTTCTCATTGGTAAATTTAGAAGGTGAGACCAGATGGCTTCTCTGACCCATTCTATACTTTACTTGTTATGCACATTTGTTTGGCAAAGGACACGAACTCTATGAATTTAAATGAATAGAAAATCCTCCTAGGTCAGGTCAGTTAATTCTTCCTCCACCCTGATCATGTGACAGGTCAAAAGAAGAAGAAAGCTGAGAAAATCTCTTCTAAACATGAAATTCTGTTGCTTAGTATAATTTTGTGAAATGTGGGCGAGAGTGAATCCTAAGATATATCCCAAGCTTTTTGAGGAAACGATTCTTATTTAGGAAAGTGATGAGTATGTGAAATTTGACTTACTCTTGTAAATTTTTTTTGAGATGGAGTCTCGCTCTGTCACCCAGGTGGGAGTGCAGTGGCATGATCTCGGCTCACTGCAACCTCTATCTCCTGGGTTCAAGTGACTCTCCTGCCTCAGCCTCCTGAATAGCTGGGATTAAAGGCATGTGCCACCATGCCCAGCTAATTTTTGTATTTTTAGTAGAGATGAAGTTTCACCATGTTGCCCATGCTGGTCTCGAACTCCTGACCGCAAATGATACGCGCACCTCGGCCTTCCAAAGTGCTGGGATTATAGGCGTGAGCCACTTCGCCTAGCCTGATGCAAACTTTTGAAGAAACTAAATACTGTATTCAAAAAAAATTATAAAGGCTACTAGGATCGTAAGTGCATCGTTAAGCCTACACATCAGTGAAAGTGTATCCAGAATTGGTGGGTTCTTGGTCTCACTGACTTCAAGAATGAAGCCGCGGACACTCGCGGTGAGTGTTACAGCTCTTAAGGCAGCACTTCTGGAGTTGTTCGTTCCTCCTGGTGCGCTCGTGGTCTCGCTGGCTTTAGGAGAAAAGCTGTAGATCTTCGTGGTGAGTGTTACAGCTCATAAAAGCAGTGTGGACCCAAAGAGTGAGCAGTAACAAGATTTACTGCAAAGAGTGAAAGAACAAAGTTACCATAGCGTGGAAGGGGACCCGAGCGGGTTGCCACTGCTGGCTCAGGCAGCCTGCTTTTATTCTCTTATCTGGCCCCACCCACATCCTGCTGATTGGTAGAGCCCAATGGCCTGTTTTGATAGGGCGCTGATTGGTGCCTTTACAATCCCTGAGCTAGATACAAAGGTTCTCCACGTCCCCATCAGATTAGTTAGATACAGAGTATGGACACACAGGTTCTCCAAGGCCCCACCAGAGCAGCTAGATACAGAGTGTCGATTGGTGTATTTACAATCCCTGAGCTAGACATAAAGGTTCTCCAAAGCCCCGCCAAACTCAGGAGCCCAGCTGGCTTCACCCAGTGGATCCTGCACCGGGGCTGCAGGTGGAGCTGCCTGCCAGTCCCGCGCCATGCGCTCACACTCCTCAGCCCTTGGGTGGTCGATGGGACTGGGCGCCGTGGAGCAGGGGGTGGCGCTCGTCGGGGAGGCTCGGGCTGCACAGGAGCCCACGGAGGCGGGGGAAGGCTCAGGCATGGCGGGCTGCAGTCCTGAGGCCTGCCCCGCGGGAAGGCAGCTAAGGCCCGGCGAGAAATCGAGCACAGTGCCTGTGGGCCGGCACTGCTGGGGGACCCAGTACACCCTCCGCAGCCACTGGCCCGGGTGCCAAGTCCCTCACTGCCTGGGGCCGGCAGGGCCGGCCGGCTGCTCCGAGTGCGGGGCCCGCCAAGCCCACGCCCACCCGGAACTCCAGCTGGCCCACAAGCGCTGCACGCAGCCCCGGTTCCCGCTCGCGCCTCTCCCTCCACACCTCCCTGCAAGCTGAGGGAGCCGGTTCTGGCCTTGGCCAGCCCAGAAAGGGGCTCCCATAGTGCAGCGGTGGGCTGAAGGGCTCCTCGAGTGCCACCAAAGTGGGAGTCCAGGCAGAGGAGGCGCTAAGAGAGAGCAAGGGCTGTGAGGACTGCTAGCACGCTGTCACCTCTCAAAAGGTCTAATTGCAATGATTTCTCCAATTGGAGTTCTAAAGAATATTTGTTTCTAAAGATGAGTAAGGCATTTGCAAACTCTACATGAACACAAACACAGAATTGAAGTCCAAGCAAGAACTCTGCTCCTCTTTGCCTGGGGTGTTTGAAATGAAACAACAGCAACATCTTACTAACAAAGATCAAGGTTCAACTGGCTTCTTAAAGAAGCTGGTGGCGTTCAAGACACTTGACGTGTTTGCTGAAGTCTTTGGAATGCGATGGTAGGATTTGGCAGGTCTGTTTATTTGCAGTGTTAGTATAGAAGCCAAAAAGGGAGCTACAATAGAGTAAAGCAAAACACGATAATCTTGCAAAGAAAAAATCAAATGGAGCAGCACTATGAAGACTCTTATGAAAGGCAGAATAAAAATCTATTTAATGATTTTCCCTGTGAGCACTGTGAAAAAGAAATAACCTTGCCAAAGTAAAATAATTTAAATTCAATTCAACAAACATTTATTGAGTATATACTGCAGGACACATACTATTTTTCAGTGAAAACAAAAATGGGGTTGACTTTTTAAAAAAGTGTAAAAGTTACCATATAAACGTGACCAATATATGAGTAATTTCTCCCTTTTAGTTTTTTCTCCTTTTGGGGAATATTTCTGCCTTATTCTCATAGAGAATGTAATTTTCCTCCCACTTTCTGTATTCTTTTGAAATGTGCATGATTATTTTTCTCCATACTTACTTTTTCTTGTGTTGTTTAATAATATTTAAAATTATATGTATTCTTTATATATAAAAATATGATTTACGATTATATACATATATATCTATATTCTTCTTTTCCCTCTCTCCTTGGTAATAATATTTACTCCCTACTTCCTCCCATCCCTACCTAGAGGAACTGTGGGTGAATATTGGATAGTATTCTTCACTTGGATCAAATAAGCAGAATGAGAGTGAGAACTGGGTTATAATCTTTGTAACTATTATTCTGTTGTGCAAATTAAATTCTCTAGGCCTCATTTTTTTTTCTATAAAATTTACAGGGTGTAAAATGTGAAAAAGTAACCTTCTAGATTCATTACTGGAACTCTTGGTTGAGTTTGTAATTCAGAGATGTCAGGAAGAATGATGGCATATGACACAGATGGCTGATTGGTGGTAATCTATTAAGCTGGCCCTATATTAGCATATATGGAATGTTTATTCAGTTGCTGGGTGGACATGCAAGATATAGCTGCTGAGGCTGGGCCGGGTGGTTTGTGCCTGTAATCTCAGCACTCTGGAAGGCCGAGGTGGGCGGATCACCTGAGGTCAGGAATTTGACCAGCCTGGCCAACATGGCGAAACCTGGTCTCTACTAAAAATACAAAAATTAGCTGGGAGTGGTGGCACGCGCCTATATTTCCGCTACTTGGGAGGCTGAGGCACGAGAATCTCTTGAACCTGGGAGGAGGAGGTTGCAGTGAGCTGAGATCGCCAGGGTACTCCAGCCTGGGCAACAGAGCAACAGAGACTGATATGGTTTGGCTCTGTGTCCCCAACCAAATCTCATCTTGTAGCTCCCCTGTGTCATGGGAGGGACCTGGTGGGAGATGATTGAATCATGGGGGTGGGTCTTTCCCATGCTGCTCTTGTGATAGTGAATGGGTCTCACATGATCTGATGGTTTTAAAAATCAGAGTTTCAGCTGGTCACGGTGGCTCAGGCCTGTAATCCCAGCACTTTGGGAGGCCTAGGCAGGTGGATCACCTGAGGTCAGGAGTTCAAGACCAGGCTCTAACATGGTGAAACCCTGTTTGTACTAAAAATACAAAAAATTAGCCGGGCATGGTGGCACACGCCTGTAATCCCAGTTACTTGGGAGGCTGATACAGGAGAATTGCTTGAACCTGGGAGGTGGTTACAGTGAGCCGAGATCATACCATTGCACTCCAACTTGGGCAACAACAGCAAAACTCCATCTCAAAAACAAAGAAAACAAAACAACAGACCTCCTTCTTTCCTTCTTTTGTAAATTGCCCAGTCTTGGGTATGTCTTTTTTTTTTTTTTTTGAGACAGAGTCTGGCTCTGTCGCCAGGCTGGAGTGCAGTGGTGCCATCTTGGCTCACTGCAACCTCCACCTCCTGGGTTCAAGCAATTCTCCTGCCTCAGCCTCCCGAGTAGCTGGGACTATAGGTGCCTGCCACCACACCCAGCTAATTTTTGTATTTTTAGTAGAAAGGGGGTTTCACCACATTGGCCAGGATGGTTTCGATCTCTTGACCTTGTGATCTGCCTGCCTTGGCCTCCCAAAGTGCTGGGATTACAGGCGTGAGCCACCGTGGCCGACTCTCAGGTATGTCTTTATCAGCAGGGCAAAAAGGGACTAACACAGAGATCCTGCCTCCAAAAAAAAAAAGATATAACTGCTAAATTGTGAAAGGGATCTTGAATTAATAATAAGTCTGAGATAGCGTAAGATAAAATATTTAACTGGAAAGTATTTTTATATCTTATCAAGTAATAAAGCATTAAGGATGCCTGCCTGCTAGGTTGAATATTCCCCAACAATCAACTGATGAATTGGATTAATCCAGAAGACTCCAGCACATCTATTGGGAGATGGTCAGAGAGGTTGCCTGCTACTAGCAATTGAATTGGAGATCAAATTACACTTGTTAGACAGGATTAGTATTCTGTGTTCTATCATCGATGTGACTTCTGAAACGAAACTGTCGCAAACAACATTGAAAGATACTAGAATAGTAGAGAGTGTCACCTGGATGACACCAAACACAAATCAAGACCACTTAGAATATAAGAAACTGGAAGAAAAAAAAAAAGAAAACCCGAAACGAAAACCCCCAAACATAACATCCTTAATTGAGGTCATGTTTGTTCTAATCATGCTCATTTGAGAAGCTTGTAAATGAAAAGACAAGAGACTTCCTACTAAACAGCTGTTGTGGTTGAATTAAGGAGATAAGTGGTGACAAGCAACACTCAATTGCCATATGAGAGCAATACACAGATTGGGGTAAAACAGCCAGAATTAGGGTGGTTCCTTAGGAAGGGTGTCAGATTACCTCTGAGTAAAACCAATTCCCAGGTGAATTTTAAATCTGTTTATGTGGAAAACCTGGTTACTTAAGTAGTCTGTACCTACCAGCACTAGCTCTTTTAGTAGATGAAGTATCTTCAACTAAAGAATTATTTTACTCATTATTTACCTAAATAAGTCTTACCCAGATGGAGGAAAAATTAATTTACTTCACCTAGAATTTTACTACTCTGAGATTGATGATGGGTGCCCCATCTAAAGATCCATTTAGCTAAATGCTCATGTGTGTCTGTGCAAAAGACACTATAAATAGGGGTTTTCATATTTCTGTGTCAAAGAGAATCAACTATGAAGGAAGAGTTATTTATTTATGTTTATACAAGGCAAGCTGTTTTTAATGAAGTCTCTCTTGGGGATCATGAAACAGCTCTACGTGGCCCAAACAAATGATTATTGCTGACTCATCCTGGCCAACGTGGGCCCTTTTTTTTTTTTTCTCTCTCTCTGTCGTCCAGGCTGGAGTGCAGTGGCACAATCTTGGCTCACTGCAACCTCCACCTCCTGAGTTTAAGTGATTTTCCTGCCTCAGCCTCCTGAGTCGCTGGACTACAGGTATGCGCCACCATACCCGACTAATTTTTGTATTTTCAGTAGAGCCGGCATTTCACCATGTTGGCCAGGCTCGTCTTGAACTCCTGGCCTCAAGCGATCCACCCACCTTGGCCTCCCAAAGTGCTGAAATTACAGGCATGAGTCACCACGCCTGGCCATGGGCACTTCTTTCCTCCCTTCTCCGTCTTGTTACTTTGTCTCTAAACCATAGTTCTCCATTTGTGTTCTTGGTAGCATGAGTATCACCTGGGAACTTGTAAGAAATGCATATGGTTAGGCTCATCCCAGACCTGTGGGATCAGGAACGCTGGGGCAGAGCCCAAGGATTTGTGTTTGCTCTCATCAATGTACATGACTGATGCATGCTCAAGTCTGAGAATCAATGCTCTAAATCAGGGGTCTGCAATCTACGGCTTATGGGCAAAGTCAGCTTCTTGACTGATATGGTACAGCTGGTGAGCAAGAAATGATTTTTATATTTTTAAACGTTAAAAAAGGGGGAATAGTATTTCATGAGAGATGAAAATTATATAAAATTTAAGTTTTAGTGTTTGTCCATAAATACAGTTTGATTGGAACATAGTTCCACCTATTCACTTATAGCTTTGCACTACAACAGCAAACTGGGGTCATTGCAACAGAGACCATATGGCCCAAAGGCCTAAAATACTTATTATCTGCCCCTTTACAGAAAGAGTTTGCTGACCCCGCTTGAAATCCTTTGTTCCTTCATCCTCCTCCTCTGTCTCCATGCCCACCCCCCCACACTCATTCCCATCTGAGGCCAGGACTCAGTCTGTGTCATTCGTTGTCACTGATAGTCTCCCATCTTCTTGGAACTCAGGGTCAAAGAGATTGTTGACCTTCACTTTAGCATCGTGTGCAGGGAAGCAAAGAAGCCTCGATTTTCATATGCAAACTGGATTTACTGGTGTCTGTCCAGAGGGAACATTACCCCGTGTAGCTTGCATTCACATTTTTGCTTCAGGGTTGAGGGCATGTATTTTCTTAGCATTTGATTATGGATCTGTTTTTAGAGGAACATGCTGTGGGGCAAAGGCCGGCCTGTTACTGTTTGTTCTGTCTAGAATGCTTTGGCATGCACACGGTAGATTATTGCAAATTGTTGAAATGAATATTTGTGGTTTAGGAACTCGTTAGTTGTCATTCTAGATGAGGTTATGTGTCTGTCAACTTCGGGTTCTCACTTCCTGAAAAAGATCCTCTCCTAATGTTTCATGAATTAAAGGCTCATACACACACTGCAAACTGAAGCAAGAAGTATGAACGCAATTGTACTGCCTGTGGCAAGACAAGATGCTTCTGCCCTGCAACCATCAGCTTCTTTCTGGGACAGTATGCTTATTTGCTTAATGCTAGCATAACCACCACTGAAACTGTGATCTGTGTTAAAATTAATCTTTTAAATCACTTAATAATGTGCTGCAGGAGCGGCCAATTGTACATGGACTACTTAAGTGAACTACTTTTAACATGAAGAGGAATATTTCATTTTGATTTTAATTTCACATTAATTTAGTTATGTGAGTGTCTGACAATGACACAATTTCACTTATTTTTCCCTGGGGAGATGTCAATGAATTCTCAATTTCCTTCCAAGGAGCCAGTCTTAGAATATTTGTGTGGTCTGTTTCATTGCTTTCCTTTTCCGTTCTAATAGGGCCAGCTGGGCTTTGACTCAGTGTAGCCGAGTGGGGGTGGAGGAGGGGGAACTGAATGTGTGTGTTTGTGTGTGTGCACGAACGTGTGTCTTATAAGGAGGGAAGGACTGGCTTGAGTTCCGGATTCAGCAATAAAGGGTGTAGAAGAAACAGCACTATGGAAATTTCAAATGGCAACAAATACAAGTGGAGGTCTACAGTTCAACAAAAATCACGGTTGATTATTAGTAAAAATTTTGTTTTAGACAAAATTTTCTCTCTACAGAGAGCAACTTTCTGAATGTGCACAGTGAGAGGCAGGAAACTGTTTTACTTCCTTGTTGCCTGGGACGAGAAGAAGAAGGCAGTGTCAGGTGAAGAGATGATGGGAAGGCGTGAGTAGTTTGGGAGGAGAAAAGATGGCAATACTGTGAAAAAGGCCTTTGTTGTGTTTATACCAATGACCTTTTATTCTTGCAAGTTTTTAATGAAAAAATTTAAAGATACAGAACGTTGAAAGAATAGTCCAATGAATACCTGTATATGCACCCGACTAGATTTAACAGATTCTTAACATTTTCTTACTTTTGCTTTATCCACCCATCAATGTATCCATCCGTCCATCCATCCCTTGTCCATCTGATATATCTCTCTCTCTCTTCATCCATCCCATTCCATCCATCCAAACTAGGGAGACTGAATAGTGCCCTAATTAAGAACCAGAAGAAGGCTGGGTGCGGTGGCTCATGCCTGTAATCCCAGCACTTTGGGAGGCCGAGGCGGGCGGATCACAAGGTCAGGAGGTCGAGACCATCCTGGCTAAATCATGAAACCCCGTCTCTACTAAAAATATAAAAAGTTAGTCGGGCGTGGTGGTGGGCGCCTGTAGTCCCAGCTACTCCGGAGGCTGAGGCAGGAGAATGGTGTGAACCCGGGAGGCGGAGCTTGCAGTGAACCGAGATCGCGCCACTGCACTCCAGCCTGGGCGACAGAGCGAGACTCCGTCTCAAAAAAAAAAAAAAAAAAAAGAAGAATGGTTTCTGCTCTTGATCTTCAGAGCAGAAGGATGTCTTTTTTTAGACCCACAAAAAGGGGGGTTCCATAAGGGAAGTGAAAGATGAAGGTGACTTTTGTGTTGTGATCTTTATAACAGATTCAATGGGAAGCTAAATGTCTGGCAACGATGATTACTGAGATGAAGGAAGGCAAGGACTTTCATTTGACTGAGTGACCATAACCATGAACCAACCTGAAAATTCGTTGGTATTAGAAAGTAGAAGAGTAAAGCAGATAGATAATTTTATCTTAAATTGTTGAATTTTATTACCAGGTAATACAGAAAATATTAGACTTCTTTTCTGGGGGGCAGGGTGGCGGGGGGGACAAAGTCTCACTGTGTTGTCCAGGCTGGAATGTCGTGCAGTGATCTCAGCTCCCTGCAGCCTCTGCCTCCTGGGTTCAAGCAATTCTTGTGCCTCAGCCTCCCGAGTAGCTGGGATTACAGGCATGCACCACCATGCTGGGCTAATTTAGTAGAGATGGGGTTTCACCATGTTGGCCAGGCTGGTCATGAACTCCTGACCTCAAGTGATCTGCCAACCTTGGCCTCCCAAAGTGCTGGGACTACAGGCATGAGTCACTGTGCCCGGCCAGAAAATAGTATCCTTTTTTATGTTTGTTTTCTCAGTTTGGTTTACTAATACTATCCAAACCTCAGGGTTTTTATGTATTCAGGTAAGAAAATGGAAAATGAAGACAGATTTCCAAGTACACTTCCCCCAGAGTGATTCCATAGTGACAATAGGAATACATGAATGGAAAATTCGCTTAAAAAAGAAGATGTTGGAATTATCCCTTTTATTTCAGTCTCTTAGATATCGCTTCCATGCACGTGCTGAAAACGCAGGTCTCAGGATCCTGCAAAGAACATGGCCTTGTTTCCTCCCGAGTGGCTGAAGACAATTGTAAGCCACAACACTCTCAGCCGTATCAAATCACAGGATATGGATTTTATGGATCTTTTAATTCTTACTTCAGTCTTCCTTACAAAATTTCTTAAATATGAATGGAGAGAAAGTCCGTGTTTCAAAGTAATGTGATTTTGTTTACCACTTAGAAACAATTAGTGACACGTCCTTCAATTCTTTCCTCTGCCTCTTTAAAAGTGCTATTGAGAAGCAAGGAAGCAGGACAGGACAGGCAAGACTGCACAGATAAAGAGGACGGAGCATGGCCAGGCATGGTGGCTCATGCCTGTAATCCTAGTAGTTTGGGAGGCCGAGGTGGGCAGATCCCTTGAGCCCAGGAATTTGAGACCAGCCTGAGCAACATAGCAAAACCCCATCTCTACAAAAAACAAACAAACAAACAAACAAAAAACAAAACGTTAGCCGGGTGTGGTGGCAGGTGCCTGTCATCCTAGCTACTCAGGAAGCTGAGGTGAGAGGATCACCTGAGCCCAGGAGGTTGAGGCTGTGGTGAGCCCTGATGGTGTCACTGCACTCCAGCCTGGGTGACAAAGTGAGACCCTGTCCCCAAAATAAATAAATAAGTAAGCAAATAAATAAATAAATAAATAAAGAGGATGGAGCAGCTTCTGACCTTGGGCTGCTCCGAAGCCCTCCACCACACATCTAGCTTAGCTCAGTCCAGTGGAGCATTAGCTTATCTTTGTGCACTTCAGTGGAATATGCCCCCTGTCTGGCCTGGTGTTGGAGAGTCTTTGGCATCAGGATTTACAAACTCCTCCATCACCATCAACCATCTGTAAATTCTTTGCTTTCGATTGTACTCTTGCTTCTATTCTTCTGCTGACATCTTGGTCAGGGTCCTCAATTTCAGTCTGCTCTGGCTTGGTATTCTGTTAAAATTCCAGCAAGTTAGAATACTGCCTCTCAACTCTCCCCAAAGTTGTCCATGCTGTGTGTGGCACTCCATCAATCCCCCTGAAAACCACATAGCTCAGATGGCCTTGTACTCAAAAGCATAGAATGGCCCCTATGGTGGGTACAGAGAAAAAGTCCTAACCCCCTATTTTTTTTCTATGGCCCTCAATTCCCCATCCAACTTTATCTATCTCTTACAACTCACTAATAAGAACCCCTCTGCCTTGGTTATATTCATTTATAGTTTGTAACTCCCTGAATGTATCACACTGTAAACATCAAAGGCAACAGAAATTATTATTTTTGTAATGAAATCTCGGGGAAAGTGTTAAAGATAAACACCACTGGATGTAGCAAACTTACTTAAAGTTTTAATAGCTGTTATAATTCCATATGAACCTGGCACAGTCCTTATTATAATGAACTTTTTGGTCACAATAGGTGGTAAGACAGAGTGTGTGACTAAATCCCTCCCACCTGGAAGCAGATCATGTTGTGTAGGAAGCTTCATCTTCATATGATGACTTCCTTCAATTTTTCTTTCTCTGTCCTCTTCTTTTGAACTCTCCTTCTTGACATTTATTTATTTATTTATTTTATTTTATTTTATTTTTTTGAGACAGAGTTTCGCTCTGTCACCCAGGCTGGAGTGCAGTGGTGCGATCTCAGCTCACTGCAAGCTCCGCCTCCCGAGTTCACGCCATTCTCCTGCCTCCGCCTCCCGAGTAGCTGGGACTACAGGCGCCCGCCACCGCGCCCGGCTAATTTTTTGTATTTTTAGTAGAGAAAGGGTTTCACCGTGTTGGCCAGGATGGTCTTGATCTCCTCGTGATCCGCCCGCCTCGGCCTCCCAAAGTGCTGGGATTACAGGCGTGAGCCACCGCGCCCGGCCGTTGACATTTATTTTTAAGAGGGTCTGCAGTCCCATGTTCCTGAATGTTTGCCATCCTCAGAACAGCTGGGTTTATTTTGATTGATGTCCATTGCTCATCATGCAAATACATGATTTTCAATCTGATGAATGTTCTGAGGGTTGATTATGCATGGGTGGTCTTGTCCGTGTCAATTCTGGTGGCTTCCCACATTCCCATGCTTATTACTCTAGAGTTCACTTTGCTCACTAATTCTAATCCCTGCATTCCTTTATTCTTAAAATCCTTGTGATGAAATGAGTACTTTCGAATTCAAATATTATATATTTATATGTTTGAAATTAATTTTACTGGCCAGGGGCGGTGGCTCACGCCTGTAATCCCAGCACTTTGGGAGGCCGAGGCAGGCGGATCACGAGGTCAGGAGATCGAGACCATCCTGGCTAACGTGGTGAAACCCTTTCTCTACTAAAAATACAAAAAATTAGCCGGGCGTGGTGGCGGGCGCCTGTAGTCCCAGCTACTCGGGAGGCTGAGGCAGGAGAATGGCGTGAACCCGGGAGGTGGAGCTTGCAGTGAGCCGAGATCGTGCCACTGCACTCCAGCCTGGGTGACAGAGCAAGACTCCATCTCAAAAAGAAAAAAAGTAATTTTACTTTTGGGGTCTAGTTTAGCTGTATATGAGATATTAATACATTAGTTCATGTTATTATTTGTAAATAAATAAATGCACACATATATTGAAGATGAACACTCACCTTTTTTTTTTCTTTTTGAGACAGAGTCTAATTCACTCTGTTGCCCAGGCTGGAGTGCAGTGGTACAGTTTTGGCCCACTGCAATCTCTGCCTCCTGGGTTCAAGTGATTCTTCTGCCTCAGCCTCCTGAGTAGCTGGGATTACAGGCATGTGCTCCCACACCTGGCTAACTTTTGTAGTTTTAGTAGAGATGGGATTTCACCATGTTGGCCAGGCTGGTCTCGAACTCGTGATCTTAAGTGATCCACCCTCCTTGGCCTCCCAAAGTGCTGGGATTACAGGTGTGAGCCACTGCACCTGGCCAATCCTCACATTTTTAATGAGGGGTACATGATAATATGATATTAAAAACTTGGATACCTTTTAATTTTATTTATTTATTGATTGATTTTTTTGAGACAGCGTCTCACTCCTGTTGCTCAGGCTGGAGTGCAGTGGCATGATCATGGCTCACGGCTGTCTTGACTTTCTGGGCTCAGGTGATCCTCCTGCCTCAGCCTCCCAAGTCGCTGAGACTACAGGCATATGCCATCACACCGAGTTAATTTTTTTGTATTCTTTTGTAGAGATAAGGTTTCGCCATGTTGCTCAGGCTGGTCTTGAACTCCTGGGTTCAAGCAATCCGCCCATCTCAGCATCCCAAAGTGCTGGGATTACAGGCATGAACCACTGCGCCCAACCATTTTATAATTTTTTACCATTGGTTTGACATTTATCATGTTTCACAATATGTAATTATTTTTTAAACAGCTTTATTGAGATATAATTTGTATTTCATAAAATTCTTTCATTTTATATATACAATTAAATTACTTTTAGTCAATATGCAGAGTTATGCAGCCTTCAGCACAATCGAATTTGAAAACATTGTTATTATCTCCCAAACATCCTCTGTGTCCATCTGCAGTCACTCTCTGTTCCCACACCCAGCCTCAGGCAACTGATGGTCTACTTTCTGTCTCTATAGATTGATTTGCCTCTTCTGAACTTTGCCTAGAAATGGAATTATACACTACGTGGTTTTGTGACTGCCTTCTTTCACTTGGTATATATTTTTGAGATTCTTCCATGTTGTAATGTGTATAAATACTTCATTTGTGTATTCTTCTTAACAGTATTCCACTGTATGGATATACCACATTCTGTTCATCTGTTCACCAGTTGCTGGCCTTTGAATTATTTCCAAATGGCTATTACAAATGAATAACGTTGCTATGCATATTCATGTGGACGTATGTTTTTATTTCTCTTGGATAAATTCCTATGAGTAGAATAGGTGGGTGATATGGTAACTTCATCTCTAACTTTTTTTTTTTTTTATGAGATGGAGCCTTCCTCTTGTCACCCAGGCTGGAGTGCAGTGGCATGATTTCGGCTTACTGCAACCTCCTCCTCCCGGGTTCAAGTGATTCTCCTGCCTCAGCCTCCCAAGTATCTGGGATTACAGGTGCCCACTACCACGTCCGGCCAATTTTTTGTATTTTTAGTAAAGATGGGGTTTCACCATGTTGGCCAAGCTGGTCTTGAACTCCTGACCTCAGGTGATCCACTCACCATGGCATCCCAAAGTGCTGGGATTACAGGCATGAGCCACCATGCCTGGCTTTTACTTTTAAGAAGTGGCAAAGCTGTTTTCTTTCAATTCTTGTTAAGGGTAAAAATATTTACTACCAAGCAGGCACTGAACAGTCATGAGACCTATTCTCATAGCTCGGAAAAGTCTCCTCTCTGGCATACTGACTGGCGCCATGCATAAAAGTTACACTCTTAGGCAGATTAAAGGATGTTTTGCAGACAGGACCAGGTCCTGGTGAGTTGTCAGCGTCCTCCATGAAACAGAGCAATGCGGGACTAATATGACTCTAGACTTCAAATGTTACACTGACTGTGTCAGCCTCCTGGGCTTCCTGGGTCCTGTACTAAAGACACTGGGACCCATCCGATGTTTCTAACCACTCACTGACTTTGAAAAACACTCACTTCACCACTGAAAATGTATTGCTTACATCCCAGTTGCTAATTAATAAATCTCTTAATTGCAAGACACGTGAAGTAATAAGTAAATGAAGAGTTGGTTCCTCACTGTGATACTGTACACGCTAACGATTCACCCTAGAATATCCTTTCTGACTATGGTGCTTCAACTGCCTTTAGGTGTAAAGTTAATTTTAACCAGGCGCATTACATTATGTGTGCACAAGGAAACATTGTTTTAACAGCCAGTCCTAGTTTCCATGGGATATAGTGAGAGGAAAACCAGAGAGTCAGTGTATCAGTATCAATGTATCAGTTGATATAACGAATCATTAATACATTGTATCATTGATAAAAGAACTCAAGAACTACTCAGAAAAACAGTTCTAATAGCCATTACTGCCTACCTGGGTAGAAATATTTGTATACAAAAGGTACAAAAGATAATT
Organism: Homo sapiens; assembly: GCF_000001405.40. NCBI lineage: Eukaryota > Metazoa > Chordata > Mammalia > Primates > Hominidae > Homo > Homo sapiens. Next base: position 17,324,587 of record NC_000005.10, read on the forward strand.
TGCCAGGCTATAATACTACAGTTTCTTGTCCATATCTACTGGTATAATTCTATGCTCACCAGCAAGTTCTTATTTGGTCTCCTCACTTTCCCCGGCTGAAGAGTGTCCTAAGTAAAAAAGACAATTCCCGTTATCCTACCAGATATCTTAAAATTATAACTTAAAAATTGCCATTCTGGTTTTTAAATCAGCACATTGTTAGTGTGAGAGGCTGAATAATGCCCCTTCCCCACCACACACACACACACACACACACACACACACACACACACACACACAAAGAGGCCCATATCCTACTCCCAGAATCTGTGAATATGTTACTTTATAGGGCAAAAGGGATTTTTCAGGTGTGATTAAATTAAGGATCTTGAGATGGGAGGATTATCCTGGATTATCGGCTTGGGCTCAAAGTAATTACTGCGGCCTTTACAAGAGGGAGCCAGGAGCCTCAAAGTCAGGGAAGAAGACGTGATGATGGAAGCAGGGGTTAGATAGTTGGAGAGGATCTGAAGATGCTGCCATGCTGGCTTTGAAGATGGAGGAAGGGGTCCTGAGCCTCCAGAAGGAGCCAGCCCTGCAGATACCTTCACTTTAGCCCAGTGAGACCGATTTTGGACTTTTAACCTCTAGAACTGTAAGATAATAAATATGTGGGGTTTTTTTTAAAGCCATTATGTTTGTAATAATTTGTCACAGCAGCAATGGGAAACTAATACAGTTAGTGTGATTTAATTTTCCAAAATTTAATAACCTTTGGATAAACTAAAAGATTACATTTCTGAAAGATGAAACTGAGCCCTGGGATTACGATGAAGCCCTATGGCATGTTTTCTCTCTCTCTCTTTCATCATGATCATCCTCACAGCCTGAAAAAATAGAAAGTAGGAATTCATTCTAGAATTGTATTCCTTGAGCATTCAGACATGACAGAAGAACACATTATTTCAATAGAGTTTACGTAATATTTTCAATAGCCTGTAACAGAAAAAAAAAAAGTCCAGAATTGTAACAACTGGCCAAGTTAGATATAACATGTTCCATTCACTGAATTTCCTCTACTTGATCCCTAGGAGAGTACCTCTGTGCCTACTCACTAAGTTCTAACAAGCTTGGTGATCTATTTGTCCAGTCCATTGTAAGATGGGCTTATAGATCTGAAGCCACAGATCAGAAAGTGGGGATGGGAAGTGAATTACTAAAAGAGATCTCATATCAGTAAAAAGAAAAGAGAGATCCAAACCTGACAGCAGGAATGAGGGAGAAGAATTCTTAAAATATAGACCTCAGAATTTAGAAAGAAAAATAAATAAGGCAGCAGTCTGGTGGGGCCATTCAGTGAAGGACCAAGTAGCCCTACCCCCCTCAGTAGGAGTCTCTGGCACATCAGTGTGTTTAATAACAATGCAAAATTTGGGGTTCTTTATGATAAACCTGTCATCAATATAGCATTAGATTGTGGTTTTTACAAAATCCTAATAAGGCAGAGAAGTAAAGATAAATACATATTTTATTGCTTATTGACACAAGATGACCTAATGATTTACAGAATAGTAAGCCTCTCACTCCTTAACTATGCCAAATAAACAAAGAGATAAGATATTATTAAAGGCCAGGCATGGTGGCTCATGCCTGTAATCCCACCACTTTGGGAGGCCGAAGCAGGCAGATTACTTGAGGTCAGGAGTTTGAGACCAGCCTGGCCAACATGGTGAAACTCCATCTCTACAAAAATAGAAAAATTAGTGAGGTGCAGTGGCACATACCTGTAATCCCAGCTGCTCAGGAGGCTGAGGCAGGAGGGAATCATTTGAACCCAGGTGGCAGAGGTTGCAATGAGCCAAGATTGAGCCACTGTACTCCAGCCTGGGCAACATAGCGAGACTCAATCTCAAAAACAAACAAACAAAAAATATTTAAAACTTTAGCCCTAAGCATAGACTTCTTTTCCAAATGAAAGTAAGGTGAATTTATATGACCCTACCAGTTTACGGATGACCTAAGCCCTTTAATACAAGAAGATGAAGTCATATTTTTGGCATATACAGATCTTCACCACTACCAGCCCTGAGTTTCCTTAGGCAAGGATTAAGTTCCATAAACTGATTTGGTAATCATCACTTTACATATCATAAAAAGCAGTATTTAATACTCCCTGGGGACTCTGTTGGAGGAAGTAAATGGATAACCAGGCACAGCCATAAACCAGAGTGAAACGACCTGTCAGACAACATGCTGGATGGCTCCACAGCTTGGAGCTTCATCTCCAGATTCCAGATAATATCCTACTGAGCTACTCTAGTAAACCTCATTCCAGAAAAAATGTTAAACGTTTCCCAAGGTTCAAACTCAGAGGAGAATATGAGTGAAAATCATGTACCAACCCGGTGGGCCAGTAGATGGGGATTTTATTACATCCTTGCTCGTCAGGGTTAGTGGCTCTTCACCATAATGCCATTCCCCAAGATGATGCTATAGAGTCCCTTATAGATCTTTTTCTCTCCAGCCAGAAGCTCTGTTCACTGCGAATATACCAATAGATAATATCCCTGCAGTCCTCATGCTCAAATAGCAGAGAAACAACGAGAAAAGACAAAATTACAATAAAATGTGAAATGTGCTCTGGCAAGAGTAATATGAGATCCTACGGGGGTTTTTAGGAGGGTTGCATCATATGAGAGCACAGAAGGCTAAGTGGGAGTTACCAGCTGAAGGTGTCAGCGGAGGCGGGGGGGGCTGGGGTGGGTGGGGAATCTTATAGAAGCTGAAATTGCAGGAGCGAAGAGCTAGTGTTGACAATGTGAGCTCGGCATTAACACAACCCAGGTCAGTTCCCCTTAGAGGCCGCGTTAGAGCATTTGGAGTTGATCCAAAGAGCAATAGGAGTCTTTGAAGGGTTTTAAGTGTAGCAGATATCAAGAGGGTTGCACTCAGAAAGATGTCCCTGGCTTTGGAACTATCAAAGCTTGAGAAGAGAAGACCTATGAGAAGACTGAAGAATCTCTCCTAGAAGATCCTCATGGCACCAGAGTGAGAAAGAAACACACCCTCATTAGTGTCTTGACTTCTCCTGAATTACGTTCAAGGGATGGGTCAGTGATATCTAACAAGGGGTATCAATCTGACATCTCTACAGGTCAAATCCAATGGCAAATGCATTTTCTTGGCCTGCACAGTGATGATTTTTTAAAAAACTTAGATGTCTTTTTAAAGTAGGGCATGCACTCTCCACCACTCTCAATTTTTTTAAAGTTGAGCCAAGTTGCATATTTATCTTACCAGCATGGCCTCTGTGGGCATTTGAGTGTGTGAGCCTATGAGATAAGATATTACTTTTTTTTTTTACATTTAATCTATGAAATCATCATCATCCTTTTAGGCATTTGGACCACTATTACGGGAACAGATCTATCATGTGCCAGGAAGCCACACGGACTTCAAAGAAGTATAAAAACGTCATTCCTTTCCTCATGGAGAGTTCACTTTTTTTTGGAAAAGGTATAAAAAAGATAATTAGCAAAAGATCTGAATGAACATTTCACCAATTAAGTTATACATTGAAAAGAGGTTCAGTAACGTGGGTCATTAGAGAAAAGCAAATAAAAACAACAATGAAATACCACTCCACACCCACCAGAATGGCTACAATAAAAAACACAGTGATAAATGTTGATGAGCATGATGCAGAGAAACTGGAACCCTCACACATTGTTGATGGGATGTAAAATGATGAAGCCACTTTTTTTGTAATCTACCACCTGGTATTGGCAGCAGGAGCATGTAGCTCCAGAAGGATGGATGAGTAGGTCCTTGGCTCTCCAGCTTTAGCCACCAGCATCAGTATCACCTGGGGTTGCTGGTTAGAACACAGGTGGCTCAGCCCCAACCCCTGAGTTTCTGAGTCAGTCGGTCTTGGGTGAGAGGTTGAGACTTTGCATTGCTCAGGCCCAGGTGATGCTGCTGCTGCTGGTTGAGGACCACTATTTGAGAACCACCGAGGTAGGTTTTGCTGTGGATTAAAGCAACAAAGGGTTATTTTCTGGCTCGCACAACATGTCCACCATGGGTTGACTGGAGGCTCAGCTCTGTATCATGACTGAACTTGCTTTGCGACCCAGGCCGATAGAACAACCGCAATCCAGAGCATTACTATTTGCAGTGCACATGTGGAAGAGTGCTGGCAGGTATGGCCTTGGTCATGTAAAAAGACTCCTCGCAACTCAACGTGAACTGGTCACGTAACTCAACCCAGCAAGTGAGTGCCAGGGTGTACAGTGTGAACATGTGTCTCAGAGGATGATAATCCGAATATTTGTAAACAGCACTAATGATTACCGCAGGTATTACCCAACTTTAACCAAAAGAACCTGATAACAGCTTAGCAGCCAAATTGATTTAAGAAAGCTCACAATACTTGGGCATGGTACAGCGGACATTATTATGGCTCAATCATGGTTATTGTTTGGTCTTCCCAAGCAGAGTCAGAAATTATACTAACCTCATTGGTCGCATACTTACAAAACATTTCTAACTTGGTTCCTCTTAGATAAATGGTTAATCTTTCTCTCCTTGCACCCATATCACCTTCACTACCACCTTTGTTGATTTTTAGATTCTTTTGCAGATGTGACCTTTCCTGACTTTCTTGTTAAATTCTGGAGATAGACTTGGCTTTGGAGTCTCACTGCCCCAATGTGCTGATTACAACCATGATGAGAACAAAGTCTGAGAATTCTGGTCATCAGCAACCCTTATTTTGTGAGGCCCTCCCTCCATCCTTCCCTCCCTCTCTAACTCCCTCCTCCCTCCCTTTTTTCTTCTTTCCTAATGCAACTTTGCCGTCAGTTTAACCATCCAGAAAATTGACAACATAATGTACAATTTAAACATAAACTTAAATATTTGCCCCAAAATTGTATCTCAAGACCTCTCTCTAAGTCATCACTTCAACCAGTATTCTTGTTAGACTATCCTATTACAGGTTCTTACTTTCAAGCAGGGCAGAGAGAATAGTCACATCTTCACCCAAGGACGGACTGCGAGGGGAAACATCAGGGTGAATGAAGACTGCTTGTTTTGCATTCTTTGGTCCAATCACTTCAGTTCATCAGGGAAATAAAACTGTCAGCACAACATCTCTGAGCACAGAGGATGATGGCACAGTATATGATTCAAAGGATTGCCCAAGGCTAAAGCCACTGTGTAAGCTTTAATTAACTAGGACAGTCAGGGGCAGGTGCTGTGGGAGGGAACACTATCGCTATTAATGTTAATTTTTTATGTGAGTATAGAGGAACTCCTAGATGGATTATTTCATAATTAATTTTCTTATAAGTTATGAATGTCCTAGATATCCCCTAAAGAAGGGTTAGAGAGATCAATTCATTTAATACAGCTAATTTTTATGGCTACCATTTTGGCTACCATTACCATTACCATTTTTATGGCTAATTATTATGGCTACCATTTTGCTTCACTTTTTTTGTATGTTTTTTCTGGAGCCTAAAATAGTTCTGTCTTTAAGATGGAAATGGTTAATGATTACTACTATGCTTTCTGGAATATTCTAAGTTACTTGTGTGCATTTTAGGGAATAGGTCAAAGTGAGATGAGGAAAAATGATGGCTTTGGAGTTCCTGATATAATCAAGTATTGCAGGAAATATACAGGTATTTTTCAACCAAATAAATGTTTGCTTTTTTATTTTAAGTTGAGATTATCCTGACAATTAATTTTATTGAGTCAAAATAGTTTGCCTTTTGCAAAATGTTTTATATATTTTAATATTTTATTATCTTAAACACTGAAGTTTTCTACCTATCTTTTGTTAACATTGATTTTTTTTGTTCTTTACCACACACTTAAATGGGAACAGGTAGGACTCAGCTATTTGTATTTGCCCCAAGGTTTAGAAACAAGGCTGATAAGACGGTGGTTGAGGTGGTTCAAATCAGTTAAACCAGATTTTCAGGTAGGGCAGAACTGTCAGGATTCATCAGAAACCTGAACTCAACCCTGGGGGTGGGTGGGGTAATGGGGAGGGATCAGTGGGGTAGAGAAGAAAATTTTTCTTAGAGAACATGCTTCCTTTTGAACACTGGTAGGTTTCTCAAACCACAGCATGCCTGAGATGTTTGTTGTGTGGGGGTCGAAAACTCATCAAAACAATTATCTGTACCAACCTGTAGCTCTTAGGCATATGGTGCTGGGGTCAATTGTTTGGCTGACTTCAAATGCTCCACCACTGACTAGCTGCAGAACCAGACCATGGTGGGCATATTCCACCCATCTGTGCCTTATATCCCTCATTTGCAGGATAAAGATAGTAAGAATATCTGCTCTCATAGAATATGGAGATTAAGTGATACAATGTATGTAATCCCAGCACCTAAGGAGGCTGAGGCGGGCGGATCACAAGGTCAGGAGTTCAAGACCAGCCTGGCCAACATGGTGAAACCCCATCTCTACTAAAAATACAAAAATTAGCTGGGTGTGGTGGTATGTGCCTGTCATCCCAGCTACTCGGGAGGCTGAGGCAGGAGAATTGCTTGAACCAGGACCTAGGAGGCAGAGGTTGCACTGTGAGCCGAGATCCAGCCACTGCACTCCAGCCTGGGCTACAGAGGGAGACTCTGTCTCAAAACAAAACAAAACAAAACAAATAATATGCAAATAGTAGATTGAACCGTAAGTATCTGACAGGTAAACACTTAGTGATATGGTTTGGCTCTGTGTCCCCACCCAAATCTCATCTTGAATTGTACTGTCATAATTCCCACATGTTGTCGGAGGGAGGTGGTAAGAGAGAATTTGAATCATGTGGGCAGTTTCCCCCATACTGTTCTCGTGGTAGTGAATAAGTTTTACGAGATCTGATGGTTTTATCTGGGGTTTCCTCTTTTGCATCTTTCTCATTTTCTCTTGCCACCCCTATGTAAGCAGTACCTTTTACCTCCCGCCATGATTCTGAGGCTTCCCTAGTCATGTGGAACTGTGAGTTCAGTTAAACCTCTTTTTCTTCCGAGTCCTGGTATTTCTTTATCAGCAGCGTGAAAACAGACTAATGCACTCAGTAAATGTTAACAATTATTGTTATTCCTTTTTCTTCCATCACTTCTTTCATAAATTAACAATAATCAAGCAACAAGTGTACATTGTCTTCCTCCCAGTTATAAGACATTGCTGGGTTCACAAATAAATAGACAAAGTCTCTCTACTATAGAAAGGTTCAAAACAATTGGTAAGATAAATCATAAATAAGTGATGATTTAGCAAATATAAGAGAAAATAAATTATCAGTTTCCAAATAAATATTGCAGAGCGTGTACATCAAAGAAATTCAGAAGGGGGAGAAGTAACTCTGGAATGATGTGATCTGGAAGTTTTTACAGAGGAGGAGCAATTTGGATAGGCACAAAAAGTGTAGGTGGGCCGGGCGCGGTGGCTCATGCCTGTAATCCCAGCACTTTGGGAGCCTGGGGTGGGTGGATCACCTAAGGCTGGGAGTTTGAGACCAGCCTGACCTATATGGTGAAACCCCGTCTCTACTAAAAGTACAAAATTAGCCAGGTGTGGTGGTGCACACCTGTAATCCCAGCTACTCGGGAGGCTGAAGCAGGAAAATCGCTTGAACTCAGGAGGCGGAGGTTGTAGTGAGCTGAGATTGCGCCACTGCACTCCAGCCTAGACAACAAGAGTGACGCTCCATCTCAAAAAAAAAAAGAAAAGAAAAAAAAGTGTAGGTGGAGGTAAAAACAGTGGGGAGGGAGAGCGAGGATTATAATGTCAGACAGGGAACGTGATGAGACTAAAAGCGTGGAGGCAAGAAAGTGCAGGGTGTGTTTGAGGAACAGGAAATCACTGTTGGTGGGAAAGTACTTCACTGGCGAGTGTTTAGTGAGGAAAAAGGGTGGTTAGAGTTATTTTAGGGGGAAATTTGTTGGCATATGGACATTTTTGTTAGAGCTATCTTACAAGTGAAGTTGAAAAAACATGACCGGTAACATTTTAGTCGTGGGTGAGAAAGAAAAATAGCTCAGAGCATTCTGAGGAATGTCAGATATGCAAAATTTATCAGGCCCAGAAAGATGCGAGCATGAGACTTCAGTCATTTGCCCCCCATCCCTGCACCCACGTTTAGGGACAATTGTTTAAAGGCACTTTATTCTTTCTTTCCTCCTGGTAGTTTCCAAACTAGCTGATAAATTATCTAAAATGTCACTGCAAGTTGCACCATGTGACTGTCACTACTGTCTTCATGTTTCTGGAATTTGTGATACAAAGAAAAATGTACAGGCAATCACTAATCAATGTTATTTTTGTAAACCAATGAGAATCCCTGTCAAGCAAGTTTGTAATAGCTACTTCCTGTCCCCTTTTTTTTGCCTATAAAAGCCTTCTTGTAACAAAGGCTCATATTTAAGGTTACTTGGGTCTGAGTCTTCCAGGCAGCTGTTCTTATCTTGGCTCTAGTAAACTCTTTTTTTTTTTTTTTTTTTTTTTTGAGATGGAGTCTCACTCTGTGGCTCAGGCTGGAGTGCAATGGCACCATCTCGGCTCACTGCAACCTCTGCTTCCTAAGCTCAAGTAATTCTCCTGCATCAGCCTCCAGAGTAGCTGGGATTATAGATGTGAGCCACCAACCTGGCTAATTTTTGCATTTTTAGTAGAGATGAGATTTCACCATGTTGGCTAGGCTGGTCTCAAACTCCTGGCCTCAAGTGATCCACCTGCCTCAGCCTCCCAAAATGTTGGGATTACAGGCATGAGCCACTGCACCTGGCTGAGCAAACTCCTTAAAATTATATTTTGTGCCCCAGTTTCTTCCCTTAGGTTGACAGGGGTACACATTTAATTCTTCTCTAGCATTGCATGGCCATTGTACTGGTTCATTTTATGTGTCAACTTGACTAGGTTAAAGGATGCCCAAGTAGCTGCTAAAACATTATTTCTGGGTATGTCTGTGAGGGTGTTTTTGGAAGAGATTAGCCTTTGAGTTGGTTGACTGAGTAAGGAAGACTGTGCTCACCAGTGTAGGTGAGTATGGTCTGATCCCATGAGGGCCCAGATAGAAACACAAAGATGGAGAAAAGGTGATTTGAAAAAAAGAAAACCCAAATTTTAGACAATATTAATTTAACAGAGTTTATTTGAGTAAAGGATAATTCATGAATCAGACATCACTTAAAACCAGAAGAGGTATAGAACGCTCTGCTACAGCAGGGTGGGCAGAGAGCTTTTGTAGGTGGACACACGAGTAAGACAAAGAAAATATACTTGATTGGTTAGAATGGAAAGACCTTGGTTAGAGGGCAGCTGCAGTTTCGATTGGTAAAGTCTCTATTTTCATTTTACTGTTTATGTTGGGCTTAGGTAGACACTAGAACTACCTCAGTCTAACCACCTCCCTGTTAAGAATTTTTCAGCAGGGTGAATTCACTCTTCTTGAGCTGGGACATCCATCTTCTCCTGCCCTTGGGCATTGGTGCTCTTGATTCCTGCACTTTCAGACTTGACCAGGATTTCCACCATTGGCCCACCCCCACATTCTCAGGTCTTCAGACTTGGACTGGGATTTAAACCGTTGGCATCTCTGGTTCTCAGGCCTTTGAGTTTATCCTGGAATGACACCTCCAGTTTTCCTGGGCATCCTGCTTGCAGAGGGCAGATCACAGGCCTTCTCAGCCTCCATAATCATGTGAGCCAATCCCTCATGCTCAATCTCTTTCTATATATCTATACATACCTTATTAGCTCTGTTTCTCTGAAGAACTCTGCCTGATACAGTCATAATATGTTCTTTAACATTGTATTAGTCCGTTTCCATGGTGCTGATAAAGACATACCTGAAATTGGGTAATTTGTAAAGGAAAAGAGGTTTAATGGACTCACAGTTCAACATGACTGGGGAGGCCTCACAATCATGGTGGTAGGTGAAAGGCACATTTTACATGGTGGCAGGCAAGAGATAATGAGAGAGAAGTGAAAGGGGAAGCCCCTTATAAAGCCATCTGATATCGTGAGACTTACTCACTATCACAAGAACAGTATGGGGGAAACTGCACCAATGATTCAGTTATCTCCCACCAGGTCCCTCCCACAACATGTGGGAATTATGGGAGCTATAATTCAAGATGAGATTTGGGTGGGGACACAGCCAAACCATATCAAACATGAATGTAATCAAAATAGTAGAAGGCCATGGGCATATGCCAAACTCTTCACAGGGAACCCCTTTATACCTTCTCTCCCAGCTTTTAAAACAGCACTTCAAGCCAAACAGCTATCATGCAGCATTTACCTGGTATCATGCAGTGTAAAACCTGCTTTTATAGACTGCTCATTCTTTGCACTGTCCATTTTAAGCCCATGAGACATACTCATTGACCTGGCAGAAGAAAATATTCAGCCTTGGATTGATAGATAAGTACTTATATTATATTAAATGTAATTATCTATTAAATCACATCTACTGTTGTCACAGTTTATCATTTTTTGGGGGTGTGATGATGCTGAAATATTATGGAACAACTAGAGTAATTTACATATTCTTTACTTTGGTCACATTTTTCATTGAAGCCATCAAAATACTTAAAAATAATTTTCACTCTTTAGTATCAAATTATCTCATGTAGATTGACTGTTTCAATAAAAGCATCTAAAGCAGCATTTGTAGCCCAAGTGTCAGAGTTGATGTTTTCCAAGATTAAAATGTTTTAATTGTAAAATACCCAAATAAGCTCAGGTCCAAGAAATATATTTTTGATGATAAGTGCTTCTTCTTTTAAGATTATTTTTTAGTGACCACAATCAAGAGTGATAATGAAAAACGAAAGAAGGGAAGAAGGAAAGGAAGGAAGAGAATAATCCAGGGAGAACAGATTTAGGTTGGTTGAATGTTCTGGATGTATATGGATTTTGTTTTCATTTTATTTCAATGTTATGTTGTAAAAAATTCAAAACATACTATGAATTTGAAAGAATTTTAAGTCAACACCCATATACCTACCACCTAAATTGTACCACTAACATTTTACTATACTTGCTTTATCACATATCTACTCATTTCTCTACCTTGGATGTATAAATGTTTTAATTCTATGCAATGAATGAATCAATTTTATACAGAGTTCCAGTTGGTTAGATCTATGCTGTTTTCCTGTTTCTGTAGTATCTACCATCACTTCCAAGCGAGACAAATGAGACAGATTAGAAGAATCAATTCAGTTTATCAAAAAATGCTTCTTGAGCATTTAATGATGTGCCCAACATGCTTCTGTGGAGCTGGGCAGGCTTAGAGGCTTAGCAACTGTCTGGGGAGTTTCCTAACTTGGCATTCTCATGGGCTGTACTCCCCCAAATTCTGAGTCAATAAATCTGACACGGGAACAACTTGAAATCTGTATTTTTTTAAAGGATATTTTTAAAAGACATCAAACACGATTTTGAGGCAAAAACAAAAAACAAAAAACCTGATAAGAACAACCGTCAGAGTGAAAGGATAATAGCAAAATCTTTGGTGATACTAGTGACTACCCTCAGTAAGACAGGGCAGCTACAGAACTTGAAAACTAATCTCTAATGACAGCAGGCAAATCAATGGTTGTCAAGTGGTGTGCTTAGAAGCCTTTCCTCTCAGCCAGGCCCACTCCTGGGAGCTAGAGATACAGAAATAGATAAAACCTGTCTTGCAAGTTAACAATAGGATTTAACAGGTGCTTGGATTTGGAAACCATTGACCTTGACACTGTCAAAGAACTGTATGTTACAGTCCTTTTTTTTGGTGGGGGGATGGTGGGAAGGGACAGGGTATTGCTCTCTGTTGCCTAGGCTGGAATGTAATGGCATGATCTCTGCTCACTGTAGCCAAAACCTCCTGGGTTCAAGTGATCCTCTTGCTTCAGTCTCCTGAGTAGCTAGGACTGCAGGTGAGTACCACCTGTAATTTGTATTTATTTTTAGTAGAGACAGGGTCTTGCTATGTTTCCCAGGCTGGTCTCAAACTCCTGGGCTCAAGTGATCTGCCTGCTTCAGCCTCCAAAAGTGTTTGGATTACAGGCATGAGCCACTGCATCCTTACAGTCTTGAGAGAAGGCAAGACATTTTGGAGGAAAAGTCAATCATCCAATATCTAACCAAGTACCCAATTCTGTGGTTTACACTGTAAGTGCTTGTATTAGTCGGTTTTCATGTTGCTGATAAAGACTTACCTGAGATTGGGCAATTTACAAAAGAAAGAGGTTTAATGGACTTACAGTTCCACGTGGCTGGGGAAGCCTCATGATCATGGCAGAAGGCAAGAAAGAGCAAGTCACTTCTTACATGGATGGCAGCAGGCAAACAGAGCTTGTGCAGGGAGACTCCTGTTTGTAAAACCATCAGATCTCATGAGACTCATTCACTATCATGAGAACAGCACAGGAAAGACCTGCCCCCATAATTCAATCACCTCCCACTGGGTTCCTCTCATGACACGTGGGAATGTGGGAGTCACAATTCAAGGTGAGATTTGGGTGGGGACACAGAGCCAAACCATATCAGTGCTTTAAGTTTCCAGCAGATAGAATGACTAATGTAGACTAAAAAGCTGGTCAAAATTTCATGGATAGCAAGATGGGTAAACTGAGTCAAAGAGAATCAGTAGTACTTGAATAAGTCATGAAAGAAAAAACAGACAATCCAAGTCTGGAAAACACAAAAAGGAGTGTCAATAAACTGATGGCAGGAAAATGTCTATGCTCAGGACATGGGGGGTTGTAGTCTTTGGAGGGTATACAATGCTAGACAGTAGCAAATGTAAATTTCTGAACAAATTTTACAGAATAGCCTCAAGTCTCCAGCCCCTGCCATAGCAGCGAATGACACACTGATTATATTTTGTAACTCTCTCCTGTGGTTTCTGGTAGACACAGAATTACATACTCAATAGGAGGTCAGTGGAGTCCAGGGCAAGCCATTTTCATCCCAGGAAGAGGCATTCTCCTAAGACTCCAGTTGCTCACTCCCTTTTGTGTATTAGGTACTTGCAGTTTGAACTAGTGAGATCACAGAGGGCTTCTTCTCACTTCAGCATTGAGTTCTTGGTGCCAAAAACCTTGTTTAGCTCATGGAAAAAATGACATCGAGATTTCTTTCCATCTGCATGCATCTCCAAGATCTCTGGCTCCCATCAAACTCATATTCATTGGTTGTTGTTATTTTGTTTTTCACTTTCTGGCCTCCAGTATTAAGCCTGACTACTGAGGCCATGAAATACCTAGATGCTGCACTGCCATCTTGGACGCCTATAGACCCATGACTTATTTATAGAATATTAGGAACTTTATTAGTTATTAATTACCGTTCTGATTTCACAATTTCCAAGGGTCGGGAATCTGGGCGTGGCTTGGCTGGGTGGTTCTGGCTTACTATGTTTCCTGAGGTTACAGTTGAGATGTCGGCTGGGGCTGCAGCCATCTCAAGACTTGACAGGGGCTGAAGGATTCACATCCAAGTTCACTCATGTGGTTGTCAGCAGGCCCCAGTTCCTCACTGGCTGCTGTCAGAGGGGATTGGAGTTCCTTGCATGATAGGCTTCTCCACAGGGCAGCTCACAAGGTGGGAGCTGCTTTCCCCAGAGCCAGTGGTGTCCTAGAGAGAAGGCTGAAGAGCTGGAGAGAGCCAAGCTGGGAGCCTCAATGGTCTATAACCGAATATCAGAAGTGGCAGTACATTACTGCTGCCATTTACTATTTGTCACAGAGACCAAAGTATCAAAGTCCACTCCTGGTACAGAGTAGAAGGGGACTATAAAAAGGACTCTGAAAGTATCAGGAGGCTGAGTTCCTTGGGGACTGCCTTGAGGGCTGGCCAGCACAGGCACCATCACCCCAGTTAGGGTGTCTAAACCAGCTCCGTATCCATCCAGATACTTCTTTCATCCGTCTTGTTTGAACATGAAATGGGAGAGACACTAAGTACATTTTCAAGAAAGCAACAATGCATTGCCTGAGTGCCTTTTGTGCACTAAATGCAACAGTGGGTTCCATAGAGTTCACTGAAACAATAGGAGAACTTTTTCCCCTCAGGATCTTTAGGATGTGTTTGAGAAAACAGTACAGACACTAGGGTATGGAGAATACCATTTCTCGTGGAACTATACAAATTCAACTCAACCATAGCTTAGGCAAAGAGGGTCATTTCCTGGAAGCCTTGCGTGGCTCAGGGAAGGGCAGGGGTGTGGGCACAGCTGGACACAAGGCACAAATCCCACCGGGACTCTTTCCGTCCATCTTCATTCCTGTTGCTCTCTCTGTATTGATTGGCCTCATGCACTCCAACTGGCTTCTTTCACATGGCAGCCAACGAGGCTTCTGGCAGCTCTTGGTCTATGTCTTACAGCTGTGCAGTATGGAAGGTAATGATTGTGTGTAGTTCCAAATTTTAAAGTTTAAGGGGAGGGCTCTGATTGGTCCAGCCTGATTCCTGGACCCATCAGTGTGTCTCCATGGCGTTGTCCAAGCTCATTAGGTGTCAACCCTGTGACAGATACTGTGGAGGTGCTGGAATTACAAAACCCAAAATAAAACGCAGTTTCTTACTAAAGAGATGGCAGTGATCTGGAGACAGGGGGCAGGAAGCTTAAGAAACTCATCTGTAGGTCTGAAACAATCCTAAATGGAAGATCCTGCTTGCACAACTGCACTGTGTAACAGGGGAGGCAGTCAGAGTGTGGGTGAGCCTGCAGGTTGTGTGAGGCTATGTATCATTTCCATTCCATTTTCTTTCTTTCCTTCTTTCTTTTTCTTTCTTTCTTTCTTTCTTTCTTTCTTTCTTTCTTTCTTTCTTTCTTTCTTCCTTCCTTCCTTCCTTCCTTCCTTTCTTTTTTTTTTTTTTGAGATGGAGTCTCGCTCTTTCACCTAGGCTGGAGTACAGTGGGGCGATCTCAGCTCACTGCAACCTCTGCCTCCTGGGTTCAAATGATTCTCCTGCCTCAGCCTCCAGAGTAGCTGGCATTACAGGTGCGTGCCACCACACCTGGCTAATTTTTTATATTTTTGGTAGACGGGGTTACACCATGTTGGCCAGGCTGGTCTTGAACTCCCAAACTCAGGTGATCCACCCACCTTGGCCTCCCAAAGTGCTGGGATTACAGATGTGAGCCACCACGCCCAGCCTCCATTCCCATTTCGAACTTCAGTTCTTTTCCACTTGTCTTGATTTAGTTGGGTCTACTGGCTGTCTCTGTGCTGCGTCATTAGGATGCCAGTTCTTTGCATAAGAAACCCTTCCTAGGCTGTGTTCTGAGTAGCATGGAGCTTACTGAAATGCACAGGATTTCTAACAAGTCATAATAGTTTCTGACAGGAGCTTTCTTTCAGAGGAAAATGTGAGAAAGCAAGTGGGGTAGAAATGTCTTTGTTTTCACTGAAGTACAGTCAGGATGAATAATTAGGAAATTGATACTGAACTCAGCTGTGTTACCTGAGCTGTTAGTCAAAACAAGGTGGATGAGGGTGTGGGTGTGTTGGTGCTTCCAGAAGGCAGGTAGAAGTTCTCAAGTCTTCGAGTCCATGTGTCTGTTAAGGGTTCCATCCAACTGGATGATGAGGGCAGAATTCCTGTTTTCCAAAGTGACACATTAGAGTAAGTGTGTATCTAGCTAGTCAAATGGTGTAATTTTAGGAAAGACATAGGTTTCTAACTCTAAAATAATGCCCTTCGGTAGTGAGTCATGTTCGTGCCACTGTACTGCAGCCTGGGCAACAGAAGGAGACCCTGCCCCACGGACCCCCACCGGAAAATAATGCTCTCAACTCCATGCTCAATATCAAAATGCCTCAGTCAGAGACAAAATATTTTATTTTAAGGTTAAAAAGAGATAGAAATATTTCTGAAAGATTTAAGACACTGGTTTATATTAGAATGTTAATAAATCACATCAAGTGCTTTCTTGGATTTTTTTTTAATTGGGTGAGTCATGTGCACGGTCATCTGCATGTGTGTGTGTGTGTGTGTCTGTGTGTGTGTGTGTGTGTGAATAAGATTAGGGACATGGACATCAAATTCCTAATACCCAATTTTACCTAGAGCTGATTATGATATTAAATTCTCATTCTGCTTCATGCTACATATAATTAATACGTTTGAATGGGAATTCTGTCTGCAAAGTAACAATGGAGAGCCAGACATTGGACTCTTGTAGAATACTTATGACTTTGACTATTTATTTTAATAATGTGTCTGGATATTTGCATTCCATAAGGTTAGTTCTCTCACAGCTTAATTCTATTAGATAGGAGCATACAAGTTAACTTTTTTCCTTCTCAAGTTCAGGAACAGAGAAAAGTTCAACATTCCTTTCCCAATGTGATATCTTTCACTAGAGCCTTATCGCCTTCAAATGACAAGGTTTGGCTATAATTCAAATCAGATAAGGCATGTTATTTATTTTAAGGCCCTTTAAGAACATAGCCAATTAGAGCCTGTTGAATGAGATGCACATCACTGAGGTTTCCTAGAAAGGGCTTGGTCATGGGGTTTTGAAGCCCTGTTACAAAGCATGGCAGATTGCCTATTTTTAAAAGGACATTTATTCTTGGAAACCTGTGATTCTCTTGTTAGCCTCAAACTCCCTTGCTTGTAGGTGTTTCAAAGAAATCTGAGCCCTTGCCAGGCTATTTCTATAAAGTCGCCTATTTTTTCCCCCCAGAGGTTGCCTGGGAGAAGGAATTAAGTAAAAATAGGCTTAACAAAACTGTTCCATGCTTAATTCAACTGACTTCAAATAAATAGTTTATCAAAGTTCTATTAATGAATTACTTGATTAATTCATTTATTTGGCAAATATTTATTTAGGGCCGACTATAAGCTAAGTATCACAGTTAATGCAGTAGATTTTGTCTCTTCTTATATGGCAATATCCAAATATACAAACACATGTGAACATGAACACACAAATGAACAGCAGATACAGTTAAGAGCCTGGCTGGGTCATTGCCTGAATTGAGAGGGCTAGAGATACTCTCTTTAGGGGAAGCCATTGATATGACGTCTGCATGGCCAGAAGGAATTAGACCTGTGAAGACCCAGGGTAGTGCATTCAGAGCAGAGAGAAGACTTGGTCCAAAGGCCCCAAGGTGGGAATAAAGTCAGTATGTTGGAAGAATACAAAGAAGGTTCTGTGTGACAGAGTTTGGAGGGAGGGGCTCAGACAGTGGCTCAGAGAAGTGGGCAGGGCCTAGACCATGGATGAGTTTGTAGGCTGGGGGAAGGAGTTTAGATTTGAGTGCGATGAAAAGCCACTGGAGAGTTTTAAGCAGAGAAATGGCAGGGTCTAATTTAAATTTTCTTTGTGGAAAATTGATTATAGGAAATAAGAGTGGGCTGGGTGTGGTGGCTCACGCCTGTAATCCCACCACTTTGGGAGGCCGAGGCAGGCAGGTCACCTGAGGTTAGGAGTTTGAGACCACACTGGCCAACATGGTGAAACCCCATCTCTACTAAAATGCAAAAATTAGCTGGGTGTGGTGGTGCACACCCATAATCCAAGCTACTAGGAAGGCTGAGGCCAGAGAATTGTTTGAACCTGGGAGGCGGATGTTGCAGCCTGGGCAACAGAGCAAGACTCTGTCTCCCCAAAAAAAAAAAAAAAAAAAGGAAATAAGAGTGGAGATAGGGAGATCAATTAAGAGGGAATTATATTAAATAGTAGGCTAGGGCCAGGATATACGTAGTATAGAGAGTTTGTGGAAAAATCTCACAGTATGGAGGAAGAAAATACACACTTGTGTGTGTATATACATTTATACACAGACACGCAAAGACACACACAGACACGTCTTAGTCCATTTGGGCTGTGATAACCAAATGCCATAAACTGAGTAGCTTGTAAACATCAGACATTTATTTCCCACAGTTCTGGAGGCTGGAGTCCAAGATCAAGGTGCTGGCAGGTTGTGTGTCTGCTGAGGACTTGTTTCCTGATTTCTAGATGGGTCTCCTTGCTGTGTCCTCACCCGATGGAAGAGGTGAGGCAGCTCTCTGGGGTTTCTTGTATCAGGGCACTAATCGCATTCATGACTGCTACACCCTTATAACCTATAATCAGCTCCCCAAAGTCCCACCTCTTAAGAAGTATCATCATGCCGGGCACGGTGGCTCATGCCTGTAATCCCGGCACTTTGGGAGGCCGAGGCCAGTGAATCACAAGGTCAGGAGATCGAGATCATCCTGGTCAACATGGTGAACCCTGTCTCTACTAAAAATACAAAAAAAATTAGCTGGGCGTGGTGGCACATGCCTGTAAACCTAGCTGCTTGGGAGGCTGAGGCAGGAGAATCACTTGAACCGGGGAGGCGGAGGTTGCAGTGAGCCGGGATCGTGCCACTGCGCTCCAGCCTGGCGACAGAGAGAGACTCTGTCTCAAAAAAAAAAAAAAAGAAAAAGAAAAAGAAGTATCATCACATTGGGGGTTAGGCTTCAACAGAAATTTTAATTGTTGTGGGGACACAAACTTTCAGACCATAGTGATATATATTCAAACCTTTTCTTTAAAACATTCTATTTACATTTTACAATGTACATAATATGTGGATACTATAGTGTATCTATTATTCATAAATAAATCCGAATATCTAATGGTGAATTGTATGTGCTCAAAAATAATTTATTGGTGGGGTGTGGCAGCTCACACCTATAATCCCCATGCTTTGGGAGGCCAAGGTGGGAGGATAGCTTGAGCCCAGGGGTTCAAGATCAGCCTAGGCAACATAGTGAGATCTCATTTGTACAAAATAATAATAATAATAATAATAATAATAATAATGAGGGTGTGGTGGCTCATGCCTGTGGTCTCAGCTACTCTGGAGGCTGAGGTGGGAGGATCGCTTGAACCCAGGAGGTTGGGGCTGCAGGGATTGTACCACTGCACTCTAGTCTGGGTGACAGAGTGAGATCCTCTCTCTCTCTCTCTCCCAAAAGAAAAAAATATGTACATAAATTTACACACACACACATTATATATGTTTTATTGATGTATGTGTGATCAAATGGTTTCGGAAGTCATGGTCTAGGTGTAAGATGATGGTGACTTGGATTTGTTGGTAGTAATAGAAAAGGAGAGAAGCAGATGCATTGGGGATAAGGTTTGAAGGTAAAATTAACAAGATTTGTTGATGGGATGTGCCACACACAGTGTGGGAGCCGTGAGCACACATATGGCTTAGATGTGGCCCAGCTCTCAGAAAGCCTTGCAGCCTTGTGGTGTTTTCTTGCCTGAAGACTGAGGACGTAGCAGTTCTCAAGTTTTGTTTACTTTCACATTCATGATGACTCACAGTTTCCCCAGGGAAAATGATTTTTTCTTCACTTCACAGCCACCTCTTTGCACACTTCTAGGGGCCACCATTTTGCATTACATTGTCTGGAATTGTCCAGACAAACAGTTCAGAGTGATATCCTGAAAAGGTGCTATGTATGTGTCTGTGTGTGGGCATGCATGTGTGTCTGTCTTCAAGAGTCTTTTCTAGTAAAGCGACTCTGCCTTAGGGTTGTATTCTTTTTCGTTGTTTTCTGGAGGTGGGGGGGTTCTTTATCTGAGATTCCACAAACAAAGGAATAGTTGGAGATTAACCATCTCACTGCACGACTAACAGCTCAGGTCTCAAGGATGAGTAGCAGATTTCTCCTGAGACTTGGAGCCACAAACGGAAGCTCTCATTTGTTTTTACTAAATATGATTATAATAGAATGTAACCCAACTATGGTGATATAGTTTGGGTGTGTGTTACAAATCTCATGTTGAGGTGTAATCCTCAATATTGGAAGTGGGGCCTTGTGGGAGATGATTGAATTATGGGAGTGGTTTCTCATCAATGGTTTAGCATCAACCTTGGTGCTGTCCTTGCAATAGTAAGTGACTTCTTGTGTGATGTGGCTGTTTATAAGTGTGTGGTACCTCCCCCCTCTATCTCTTCCTCCTGCTCTGGCCATGTGAAGTGCTGGCTCCTCCTTCGCCTTCCGCCATGATTGTAAATTTCCTGAGGCCACCCCAGAAGCTAAGCAGATGCATCATGCTTCTTGTACAGCCTGCAGAGCCATGATTCAATTAAACCTCTTTTATTTATTTATTTTACTTTATTTTTGAGATGTAGTCTTGCTCTGTCACCCTGGCTGGAGTGCAGTGGCACAACCTTGGCTCACTGCAACCTCCACCACCTGGGTTTAAGCAATTCTCCTGCCTCAGCCTCCCAAGTAGCTGGGATTACAGGTCACGCCCAGTTAATTTTTTGTATTTTTAGTAGGGACAGGGTTTCACCATGTTGGCCAGGCTGGTCGCAAACTCCTGACCTTGTGATCCACTTGCCTTGGCCTCCCAAAGTGCTGGGATTACAGGCGTGAGCCACTGTGCCCGGCTCTTTTCTTTATAAATTACCTAGTCTCAGGTGTTTCTTTATAGCAATGTGAGAATGAACTAATACATGTGGTGATTTCTACATATAATCTGTTTTTGTCTTTGCCAGGCTTTATGCCTACCCCCTTTGTTCTTATTCTCCTGACACACTACAAAAAAACCCACTCACACCAAAGGCATTAGTGAGCACTATTAAACTTATTGAAAATGTTGACTTCAGAAGGTGTCTGTTTTTTCCTGAGTTCACTCTCACTGGCCATCCAGAGGCTCTTTTCCTCACCCAGTCCTGAAACCAACTTCACTTCTCTCAGCTTTCTTTTTCATTGCAAATTGCTGCCTCCTTTGGGGGACACCCTGCTATGGGCTCTTGAAATTATCTTCTAGACAAACCTGATCCCTCATTGAGATGGAATTCATGCACCAACTTCTACAAAGACAACACTTCCTCTATGTTATCACGATACAATTACAGTGATCACCACGTGTGAACAATCATAATATTACCATGATTAAAAAGATTTTTGAGTTCCGTATGACTGACCAACAAGTGCAGTTTTGGAATATGATTTGTACTTACGTTAGAGACCATCTTTTATCTATGAAAATTATCTACTAAAATTTTTCTAAGAAACAAAAAACTGGGTGTGAGGGCGATCTGGCTGTGACATCTGTCACCCCATCGATCGCTAGAGTTGATTCTGCTGATCTGGCTGGCTAGGCGGGTGTCCCCTTCCTCTGTTACCACTCCACCTGCGTCCCTCCCGAAGCTGCGTGCTCAGTCAAAGAGGATGACCATCCCTGATAGAGGAGGACTGGTCTTTGGTCAAGGGCATATGAGTAGCTGCGCTCCCCTGCTAGAACCTCCAAACAAGCTCTCAAGAAACAAAAAACCTATTTCTGATTATGTCAGAGTGTTTTAGCTTTTCAGGGAAAAGTGAATACTCAATAAACAGATAAAGTAGGCTATGTCGTTATTATTTTTATTCTAGGAAGGAGACTCACATTCTATTAGGTTAGATATTAGGTTAGAACATTTTTTTTTTTTTGAGACAGAATCTCACTCTTTTTGCCCAGGCTGGAGTGCAATGGTGCCATCTTGGCTCACCACAACCTCCGCCTCCCAGATTCAAGTGATTCTCCTGCCTCAGCCTCCTGAGTAGCTGGGACTATAGGCATATGCCACCACGCCAGGCTAATTTTGTATTTTTAGTAGAGATGGGGTTTCTCCATGTTAGTCAGGCTGGTCTCGAACTCCTGACCTCAGGTGATTGGCCCGCCTCGGCCTCCCAAACTGCTGGGATTACAGGCATGAGCCACTATGCCCGGCTGTTAGAACCATTTTAAAGAAAAACATGGCCAGGCACAGTGGCTTATGCCTGTAATCCCAGCATTTTGGGAAGCTGAGGCAGGTGGATCATTTGAGGTCAGGAATTTGTAACCAGCCTGGGCAACATGGTGAAACCCTGTCTCTACTAAAAATACAAAAATTACCAGGCCGTGATGGCAGGGGCCTGTAATCCCAGCTACTTGGGAGGCTGAGGCAAGAGAATCGCTTGAACTCGGGAAGCAGAGGTTGTAGTGAGCTGAGATCGCACCACTGCACTCCAGCCTAGGTGACAGGGCGAGACTCTGTCTCAAAAAAAAAAAAAAGAGAAAAACATAAAGTCGCTGTTTTCTAATAAAGAGGCATGAGAGGAACTACTCTGCCATTTTTTAGCTGTTGTTGTTGTTGAGTGGAAACTAAGTCTTGGGGTCTGGGTTTTGGTCTTGAATGTTTGTTTGCAAAGTATAGAAGACTCCTGTACTCTAACAAGTGAAAATAACGTAAGAATATTGAACATATGCTCACAAAATGATGCAATTAATTCACACTTGGTGAATTGATGGTTAGAGGCTAAGCAGAGAACGTGTCATTTCACTTGACAAATGCTGTTTTGTTTGTAGCTTGATTATAAGAACCACAAAAGCATGTCATAGTGTAGTTTGAGTGAAAGGATGAAAATATAAATAGAACATTTAAAATCATCAGTTGTTGTGCAATTGTCATTCTTTCTGACTGCCTGATACATTTTGAACACTCTTAAGGTATCTGGAGAATTCCACAACTATGTTTAGTCTTAGTGGCTTAAAAAGCACAAACTTAGTATCTTAGAGTTTTGGTGATCAGAAGTCCGAACAGGTCTCTCTGGGATAAAGTCAAGGTGACAGCAGGCTGCATTCTTTCTGGAGGCTCTAGAATTGGTCTCTTTGCTTTTTTCAGCTTCTAGAAACTGCCTGTATTCCTTAGGTCATGGCCGTGTTTATCTTCAAAGCTAGTAGCATAGAGTCTTCCGATCTCTCTGCCCTTTGCTTCTCTGTCACCTCTCCTCCTCTCCCCCACCTGCCTTCCTCCCATAAGGAACCCCTGTGATTAGACAAGGCACACCTGGATAATCCAAGCTAATTTTCCCACCTCAAGTTCCTCAGTCACATCTGCAAACTCCTCTTTGCCATGTAAGGTAGTATATTACCAATTTCCGGGGTCAGGACATGCATCTCTTTGGGGGCTGTTTTCTGTGTACCACATCCCCCATTCAATTTCATACCCAGAAACTCACTTTCCCAGCCTCCTTTGCATGGGCTATGGTCAGCATGAGTGAGGCACTCACCTCACGGGACAAACTTAAGGGGGCGCCAAAAAATGCAGTAATCAAGATAAGTAACTTTTTTTTTTTTTTTGAGACAGAGTCTTGCTCTGTCACCCAAGGTGGAGTGCAGTGGCACCATCTCGGCTCACTGCAACCTCTGCCTCCTGGATTCAAGTGATTCTCATACCTCAGCCTGCTGAGGAGCTGGGATTACAGGCACATGCCATCACACACAGTTAATTTTTGTATTTTTGGTAGAGATGGGATTGCACCGTGTTGGCCAGGCTGGTCTCAAACTCCTGACCTCAGGTGATCTGCCTGCCTTTGCCTCCCAAAGTGCTGGGATTACAGGCCTAAGCCACTGTACCCAGCCTAAGATAAATAAAATTTTAATGCAATATTTCAAAAAATTCAAAAAATCTATGTTGGTTAACATTTTAAAACAAAGACAGCATTACAGATTTTCCCTTTTGACTTTGGCTTCAATGTGGCCAAGCATGGCGGTATCCTTTGCAACTAAACAAAGCATGTGACCCAGACTGAATAGATGAGGTGCACTTGTGGTAGGCTTTAACTTAGAGCAAGCAAAAGAAGCAGGGGCCTGGCACACAGCATTCATGCCAGCTTGTTTGGGATGCTCATGGCTGAGAGCAGAAGTGGAAAGCATGAGGCCTCAGAGACGTGAGCTGCTTGCCAGGGCCCTTGCTCTGGGACAATGTCAGTGGCTTGTGGGCAGTAGGTTGGTGAAACTCAGGTTTTGTTCCTCGTCACACTGCCTATAAACCCATTCTCTGATCAATCAGGAGATTCTGAGAGTTACTTGTTACCCTTTATGAAACCTCTTTTCTGCTTAAATAACCAATCTACTGTTTTTTGTAACTACCAGCCCTGAATAATGTAACTTATCAGTAAGGACCATCTGAGTTGGTTGGCACAGGCAAGACAAAGCCACAGGTGCAGATCAATGTTAAAGGGCATCACGCTGGGTCCTTAATCAAGGAAATAAAGCACACATGCCTCATTTAAAAACTCACCCTTGTTGGGCATGGTGGCTCACGTCTGTAATCCCAACACTTTGGGAGGCCGAGGTGGGTGTATCATTTTAGGTCAGGAGTTCGAGACCAGCCTGGCCAACACGGTGAAACCCCGTCTCTACTAAAAATACAAAAAATTAGCAGGGGTGGTGGCACACACCTGTAATCCTAGCTACTTGGGAGGCTGAGGCAGGAGAATCGCTTGAGCCTGGGAGGCGGAGGTTGCAGTGAGCCAAGATCATGCCATTGCACTCCAGCCTGAGCGACAGAGCGAGACTTTGTCTCAAAAAAACTCAAAACAAGAACAACAATAAAAACCTCATCCTGTTCTCTGGAATCTAGAAAGAAAATCTTTACTTCTCAGTTCCTCACCTGGATACTTCACCAGTTCTAAATTAGTAGCTTATTTAGGGCTTTGTTAGTAATAAGAAGATAATGACTTTATCTTTGCACATTGACTAACAAATCAATTCCTGTTGGAATCATAGGTGCTGGAAGATGTTTCTGATGATATGAGCCTTGGTGCTCTCTCTCTCTCTCTGAGTATTCTGAGAGGGGCAAAATTGTTTGTGATTCCATATTTCAGGATTTCCAGGCCTTATATTCTGGCTCTTAATTTAGCTGATTTTTCTGTGGAGGGTCAAAGATGGCATTGCGACAGTTTGCTCCAAAATTCTCACGAGGTATCTGGCTTGTATAACTCCTTTCTTTAAGATATTTCTTGTACAGATCCTTTCTTGGAGAGATTTCTTGTCTTTTTATCCAAGCCTATTTAATTAAATTGACTATGTATTAGAATCAATTACGCATTTGAAAAATAATTTTCCCCCAATCCCTCAATAACTCTGATTATTATTATTGAATCACAAATCTGTGTCTAGCAGAAAATAGCAGATACAAATAAGCAAATGTTGAGATTAATAATGAAGGGAGCTTAAGTGAAGTAGGCTGTCAGCTTAGTTAGGACAGCATCCTGTGACATTTTGGCAACCTCGAGATCTGTGAAAATTAGCTAAAAATGGCTGTTGGGCTCCAGGTGTTAGCAGACTCATTTTTACTGAACTGAAATCATAGATTTTTACATGTAAAACCAGGGGTCCTATAGAAGTTCTTCTGTGCTAATTTTTTCCTACCCTTTATTTCTTTCTAACTCCTTCAACTGTGTTACCAAAGTTTAAAGTGGTTTATGGAAGGTTGACAAGTAGGATGATATAATCAATGACAGTGGCCAAATCAACGCCCTTCCACACTGATGTGAGAAATACTCTTTTATTCCTTTCAAGTGAAACTAACACGTTTATATATTGGGTATTGACAAAATGCCCAATACTGTCATAGGTATTACCAGAGATAAAAGTAAAAGCTCCGAGGCTTGCCTTCTAGATACGTAAAATATAATTGGAGAGTGCAAATTTGTATTTAAGAAAAAAATACAGAGTAAGATATGACAGTGTGAAATTAGGTGAAAATTGTGGGGTGCTGACTACCATATGTAATTTAGGAATTCAGACAAAAGACAGATGAATGCTGGCCAGAGGGAACCATCTAGGACAGTTTTCTTTCCCTTCCTTCCTTCCTTCCTTCCTTCCTTCCTTCCTTCTTTCCTTCCTTCCCTCCTTCCTCCCTCTCTCCCTCCCTCCCTCCTTTCTTTCTTTCTTTCTTTCTTTCTTTCTTTCTTTCTTTCTTTCTGTCTTCCCTCCCTCTTTCCTTTCTTTCTTTCCTTCCTTCCTTCCTTCTTTTCTTTCTTTTCTTTCTTTCTTTCTTTTCTTTTTCTCCTTTCTTTCTTTCTTTCTTTCTTTTTTTTTTTGACAACGTCTCATTCTGTCACCCAGGCTGGAGTGCAATGGCACAAACTTGGCTTATTGTGCCTTAACCTCCTGGGCTCAAGAGATCCTCCTGCCTCAGCCTCTTATGTAGCTGGGACCACAGGCATGCACCACCATGCCTGACTACTTTTTTAATTTTTTTGTAGGATGGGGTCTCACTTTGTTGCCCAGGCTGGTCTTGAACTCCTGGGCTTACATGATCTGGAGAGAGCTTTCTTGAGGGTGGTTGCCTGTGTAGCCTTCTTCCCCACCAGGTAAACCTTAGAATTTAGAATATGAATTAAAGAATATAAATTCAAGTCATATTTAATTGAGAATATGAATTAAAGAATAAATACGCTAAGAAGTAGCAGGTTCTCAGCTTAGATTAAGTCAGGAAAAGAAAAAGAAAAAACACTTCAGATATTTCCAGCAAAGAGGTATTTAATATGGAGAATTAGATTACAATTTACATTAGATTTAGGTTAGATTTAGATTTACAATAGAATTAAATTACAATTGTTAGACGGGTTGGAGGAGTGGAAAGGAGAGTGTGGTTTTCAGAGGTCAGGAGCTACAGAAACCTGCTTCCAACTGCTTAGATACCACTAAGGCTTCAAAAGGAAAGATGTGTACTCTCCTTCTTCCTTCTAACCTTCCACAAGAGCCTCCTGTTGGCAGATCCTTGGCTGGAACCAAGCCGGCATGGGCGTCTGTGAAATGTGGTCTCCATACTTCTAGCCCCTGTGAAGAATCAATAGGCAATATCTAGCTCAGGACTGGTAGGACGCACGTGATGTTTTAGAAGGATTTTTCTGCTAGTGACCAAAGTCCTATTTCCCTAAGAATGCTTTTTCTTTTCTCTTCTAACCCATTCTGTATCCCATTGCCACTGCTTTTGGGTTTGTTTTTGTCTTGTTGATTTGTATCATATTAACACTTTATGCTTGCTTTACATATGTTGGTTTTATTTCCCTAACTGGATTTTTTTTTTTCCTAACTAGATTTTTAAAGATTGGGAGCAGGCTGGATGCAGTAGCTCACCCCTGTAATGCCAGTACTTTGGGAGTCCGAGGAGGGAGGATTGCTTGAGCCCAGGAGTTTGAGACCAGCCTGGGCAACAAAGTGGGACCTCGTCTCTATTTTTATTTTTTTAATTAAAAAATTTAGAAGCCGAACTTCACATACTAGCAAATAATAATCTGTGTGCACAAAGAACAAGACACTGTTCAGGATGCTGAAGGCAGAGCAATGACCAAAACAATCTTAATCTTACTACAGCTTCCATTCCAGCAAGGAAAACTGAGAATAAACAGCAAATGCATATGTAATATCACATGGAGAAAGATGCTCTGGAGAAAAAAAGAAAGTATTATAAAGTGATAGTCAAGGACAGTGGTGGGTGTGGCAGGGGGCTACTTCATAAATAATGGTCAGGAAAGAATGCTCTGATAAGAGGAGGGTAGGATATGAGAGAGAGGGAACCATGTGTGTTTCTGGGGAGAGGTTTCCAAGCAGACAAATGAGGAAATATGGAGTGAGGTGGGAGGTCGCACAGCACATTTGAGAAACGGCCAGAAGTCCAATGAGGATGGAAAGGAGAGAGCAAGGGGAAGTGGTAAAAAAATAAGATGACAGAAGGGGAAAGACCATATGCTGCTTATATCTTATTTCTTCTGTATCCTTCCTAGAGTTGGCCTTCTTTCGGGAAAGTAGCCATGTTTCACTCCAATCTTCAAACCCAACACCCACCATCTCAAGCATTATCATTTTCCCTTCTGTATTTTATTTTGTGTCTTCTCTCCAATGTGGCTCTGTAGCTACATTTATTTTTTCTTTTATTAAATTGCAAAGACCGCTTGCTGGAATGATGTATAGATTGGTTATTCCTGTAGGCAGGTTGCCCTAGCAACGGGAAAATCTTACCCATTTCAGCAAATTTTATCAATAAAGCAGTCTAACCAGAGACTAATGTTCACATAATTAAATGTCTGCTGTACTTTTCCTCTGTTCCTTAACCATGGTAATTTTCAGATTGTTAATTAGCCGAGTGCCAATTGATTGAATGGCTCCACAGGAGTGGAAACTAAGAAAGCATAATAATAGAATGATCCTAAGCATCACAGGTGACAGCCCCAAATCACCCTCTTGCTTTGGTTTCCAAGTTAACCACAGCAAATCTTTATCCTTTCCAGGAAGAGGCATACAGTTTCCACGCTGAACACCTGGAATCCATTTAGACTGGCCAGTGTCCACTACCTAAAAAGCCTTGAGTGCTAAGGAAGCAGTGTTTGGAAGGAGAACAGAGTGTATCCAGTCATGCCAACTGCAGTCTAAGAATGATCAGTGAAGTGGCTCCCTGAAGGGGCAAAGTGAAATAAATGCATGCCAGCCGGGCACGGTGGCTCACACCTGTAATCCCAGCACTTTGGGAGGCCGAGGTGGAAGGATCACTTTCGCCCAGGAGTTTGAGGCCGGCCTAGGCAATATAGTGAGACTCCATCTCTACCAAAAAACAAAACAAAACAAAACAAAACAAAACAAACAAACAAAAACCCCCAAAATTAGCTGGTTGTGGTGGTGCATGACTGTAGTCCCTGCTACTCAGGAGGCTGAGGCAGGAGGATGGCATGAGCCTGGAAGGTTGACGCTGCAGTGAGCCGAGATTGAGCCACTGCACTCCAGCCTGGGTGACAGAGTGAG
Organism: Homo sapiens; assembly: GCF_000001405.40. Lineage (NCBI taxonomy): Eukaryota > Metazoa > Chordata > Mammalia > Primates > Hominidae > Homo > Homo sapiens. The sequence goes on from NC_000005.10 coordinate 17,353,145, forward strand.
ACTCTGTCACACGCAAACACAAAATACATGCCATTCCTTTCAGGTTAAAACTTAAGGTGACCTCAGGTTCAAATGATAATAGTGGTTACACTGAATATGTGGTCACATATTTGTTAGAAAACATAAACTTTTAAGTATAACCCCCTCTATAAGATCATATATCCAATTCATTCATAACAGAGTTGCTCAATATGTCCACTTTCTTGCATTCATAAAATGCAATATGTACATTTTTCTGATCTTGTCTGCATTTGTGATTTTAAAAAAATCCTTCAGAAAAGATGATATCATGATCTTCTATGGCTATAAATGGCATGAATATAGAATCATCTTCATTTTCTTTTGGGGGAAGTTTTCTTTGAAACACAACCCAAGTCTTTCTAGGTTCTGTGTCATGCATAGATATCTAATTTGGCATGAAGGATTCTGTGAAATGATTGTTTTGGCTTGCCACTCAATAATAATGTAACCTCCTTATTCCGAGGGATGTAGTTCACTACAATGGGAAGGGGTATATATAGGTATTGGAGAGAGACTCCTATCTCTTCACTTTTTTTTTTTTTTTTTTGGTACCCAATTTCTTTATGTGAAGGAATGGTACAAATCAAAGAACTTAAGTGGATGTTTTGGTACAACTTATAGAAAAGGTAAAGGAAACCCCAACATGCATGCACTGCCTTGGTGACCAGGGAAGTCACCCCACGGCTATGGGGAAATTAGCCTGAGGCTTAGCTTTCATTATCACTGTCTCCCAGGGTGTGCTGGTCAAAGAGATATTCCGCCAAGCTAGATTCGGGTGCTCCCATCTTGCACAAGTTGGTCATGTGGTCACCCAATTCTTTGATGGCTTTGACCTGCTCATTCAGGTAATGTGTCTCAATGAAGTCACACAAATGGGGGTCATTTTTGTCAGTGGCCAGTTTGTGCAGTTCCAGTAGTGACTGATTCACATTTTTTTCCAAATGTAATGCACACTCCATCGCATTCAGCCCGCTCTCCCAGTCATCACAGTCCGGTTTCTTGATATCCTGAAGGAAGATTCGGCCACCTCCTTGGTTCTGCAGCTTCATCAGTTTCTCAGCATGTTCCCTCTCCTCATGAGATTGGTGAAGAAAGTATTTGGCAAAGTTCTTCAAAGCCACATCATCGCGGTCAAAGTAGTAAGACATGGACAGGTAAACGCAGGAGGCGTAGAGCTCCAGGTTGATCTGGCGGTTGATGGCGGCCTTTAGTCCTGGTGGTAGTCCTGGCGCACCTGTGAGGTGGACGCGGTCGTCATGGCGGCGACTAAGGAGAGGCGGCTGCGTTCGCGGTGGTGACTGCGCAGTGCTGGAGCGGCGGCGGGGGCCTTGGGGCAGTCCGAGGGCGCGGTGAGGAGGTGACGGAGGGCTGGCTATGGGCAGCCGGCCGGTGTGGGGGACGAGCGCCAGGTTCTGTCCAAGCACTGTTGAAGCAGGAAACCCCGACGACTCTCGTGGAAGAACGTCCATCTCTCTACTTTTAAGCTAAGTTGAAGCAGTCTGTTATCCTCACTGATACTCACTTCCATCACCACTATTTTCCCCACTGTGAAATGACTAAAATACCATCCACCACTCCTGCTCTGAGAATTAAAAGATAACCTACACAGAGCCTGGCACATAGGAAGCATTCAGTGAACTTTTTTTCCTTTTCCTTCTCTTGTCCTTAAAAATATACAACATGAAATTAAATAGGATGTAGTCACACTATTGAAATAAATTTTCTTGTAGCAAATCTTATATGTCTTATTTATTTATTTATTTATTATTTATTTTGAGATGGAGTTTTGCTCTTGTTGCCCAGGCTGGAGTGCAATGGCACAATCTTGGCTCACTGCAACCTCCACCTCTTGGATTCAAGCGATTCTCCTGCCTCAGCCTCCCGAATGGCTGGGATTACAGGCACGCTCCATGACGCCCGGCTAATTTTTGTATTTTTAGTAGAGATGGGGTTTCACCATATTGGTTAGGCTGGTCAGGAACTTTTGATCTCAGGTGATCTACCTGCCTCGGCCTCCCGAAGTGCTGGGATTACAGGCGTGAGCCACCGCGCCTGGCCATCTGTTTTATTTTTATAAAAAGAAACATAAAGGTAAGTGAAATGTAAGTGTAATAAATAAATGTAAGTGAAAAGAGTGACTAAAAACACAAATGCCAAAAGCAATTCCATAGAAAGACTTTAATTTTCTATCACTTTATCCATAAAGGTACCAAATATATATTTCAAAAGATTACTCTCCTTTTGATAAAATAACTGCAAACCATTGTTTCATGTAAAAATATTAACACATTTCTTGGTATCATCCAATAACTATTCAGTGTCATTATGTTTTACAATTTATTTTTATAATCAGATTCCAAATAAAAGATACATATATTTTGAAAAAATAAACTTAAGATGATCTCATACCATTGAAATAAATTATTTAGTTACTGGTAAAACAAGCTCATATGGTTTGGCTGTGTCCCCACTCAAATCTCACCTTGAATTGTAATAATCCCCACATGTCAAGGGCGAGGCCAGGTGGAGATAATTGAATCATGGGGGCAGGTTTTTCCTGTGCCGTTCTGGTGACAGTGAATAAGTCTCAAGAGAACTGATGGTTTTATGAAAGGGAGTTCCCCAACAAGCTCTCTTGCCCACTTCCATGTAAGACACATCTTTGCTTCCCCTTTGCCTTCCATCATGATTGTGAGGCCTCTCCAGCCATGTGGAACTGTGAGTCCATTAAACCTCTTTCCTTTATAAATTACCGAGTCTAGGTTATGTCTTTATTAGTAGAGTGAGAACAGACTAACACACAGGTATATAAAAGATTTTTTTGTTACAATAAGTTGTATCTCTTGTCTAAAATATTTATAAGCAAACCAAAAAAAAAAAAAAAAGCTTGCCTTAGTCAATGAGTCAATGTTCCCAGAGAAACAGTACACACACTGTATTAGTCCATTTTCATGCTGCTGTATAAGATCTCATGAGACTGACTCACTATCATGAGAACAGCACAGGAAAGACCTGCCCCCATGACTCAATCACCTCCCAATGGCTCCCTCACACAACACATGGGAATTCAAGATGAGATTTGAGTGGGGACATAGCCAAACCATATCACACATGCATACATATGCACACACATATACATATATACATGTGTACATACATTTATCTATTGATTGATTGACTGGAATTGGCTTACATGATTCTGGAGAGTGACAACTCCAAAATTGGTAGGGCAGACTGGTAGGAAATTTAGCTAAGAGAAACTTCTGTCTTTGCTTTTAAGGCCTCCAACTGATTGGATGAGGCCCATCACATCATGAAAGGTATTGTGTTTTACTAAAAGTCTACTGATTTCCATGTTAACCACATCCATAAATACCTTGACAGCAACATCTAGACTAGTGTTTAACCAAACAACTGGGCACCATAGCCTAGCCAAGTTGACAGGAAAATTAACTATCACAAAGCTCAAAACAAGAGATTTGATATTTTGATAGTTCTGGTTTTCTAATGGTAGTTTCTTTTTTAAAATGTAAAGGGACAAAAAAGAAGTGAAACCAGGATGTAAAAGAAGTATGGCCACCAGGATAAAAGTGATTCTGCTCATAATAGCAACTTCCTTGTCCTTCATCTTTTTCATTTCCTTAATGATAGCTCTTTTATATGATAAAGCTTTAAGGAAGTTGGGTAGAATATTCATAAGGTGGCTTCATAATTATTTTATATAATACTGTCAAGATAAAAGAGTAATCATGGCTGGGCGTGGTGACTCATGCCTGTAATCCCAGGACTTTGGGAGGCCAAGGTGGGTGGATCACTTGAGGCCAGGAGTGCGAGGCCAGCCTGGCCAACATGGTGAAACCCCATCTCTACTAAAAATACAAAAATTAGCTGGATGTGGTGGCTCACACCTGTAATCCCAGTTACTCGGGAGGCAGAGGCAGGAGACTCGCTTGAGCCTGGGAGGTGGAGGTTGCAGTAAGCCAAGATGTTGCCACTACACGCCAGCCTGGTTGGCAGCAAGACTCTGTCTCAAAAAAAAAAAAAAAAAAAGGATTTAAAAAGAAAAAGAAAAAAAAGTAATCACCTTGACAACAGAAAACTATTACATATCCTGGGCAAAATTAAAATTTGTATAATTTGAGACCTTGTTCCCTAAGATAACATTGTTTCTTTAATGTGATATGGTTTTCATTTATTTTATTTTAGGTTCAGGTGTACATATTCAGGTTTGTTACATAGGTAAATTCATGTTGCAGAGGTTTAATGTACAGATTATTTTGCCACCTAGGTAATAAGCATAGTACCCAATAGGGAGTTTTTCGATCCTCACCCTCCCCCAACCCTCCACCATCAAGTAGACTCTGGTGTTTGTGTTCCCCTTTTTGTGTCCATATGTATTCAATGTTTAGCTCCCACTTATAAGTGATAACATGCAATATTTAGCTTTCTGTTCCTGCGTTAGTTTGCTTAGGAGAATGGCCTCCACCTCTATCCATGTTGCTGCAAAGGACATGATCTCATCCCTTTTCATGGCTGTATAGTATTCCATGGCGTGTGTGTACCACGTTTTAAAAATCCAGTCTACCATTGAGCATTGAGGCTGATTCTTTGTCTTTGCTATTATGAGTAGTGCTGCAATGAACATATGTGTATGTGTGTCTTTGTGGTAGAATGGTTTCTATTCCTCTGGGTGTACACCCAATAATGGGATTGCTGGGTGGAATGGTAGTTCTGTTTTAAGTTCTTTAAGAAATCGCCAGAGTGCTTTCCACAATGGCTGAACTAATTTACATTCCCACCAGCAGTGTATAAGCATTCCCTTTTCTTCACAACCTGGGCAGCATCTGTAATTTTTTTACTTTTTAATAATGGTATGGTTTTCTTAAGACAAATGATTTTTGTTTTGATAGCACAAGTGTACAGAGGACTAAAATCAATGAATTAATTGGTGTTGGGTTTTGGCCTTGCAGAGATGTCTCTCTTCAGCTTGTGTGGTTGTAGCATATGTATGTTTATGCAATTTTCCATGACTGTCAGTTTATCTCATTAGATGATCTTCTCTTGCACAAAAGGAGCTATGCCTTCAATATCTTTGCAACATCGTCCCAATCTGATTTAGACTTTGCTGATATTGGAACTACATTCTGTATTCATAAGGACTGCCACACTGTGATAGTCAACTTTGATGTCGAGTTTATATGTCGCTTTTGCTAGGCTATTGTATTAAGTTATTTAATCAAACATTAATCTAGAGGTTGCTGTGAGAGTATTTTGTAGATGTGGTTAATATCTGCAATCAACTGACTTTAAGTGAAAGAGATTAGCCTTGATAATACAGGTAGGCCTCAACCAATCCATTGAAGGCCTGAGAGCAAAAACTGAGGCTTCCTCGGGGGAAGAAGAAACTTTGCCCCAAGACTATAAAGTAGAAATCTTGGTAGGGTTTCTATCCTGTCCCCCGCCCTAAGTATTTCAGTCCTGCCAACTCCCACAGTCACACAAGACAATTCCTTGAAGTAATTCTCTGAAAAATGTGTACATATACATTTATATGTATATGTATTTATATTCACACACACACACACACATCCTCTTAATTTTTTTCTCTAAAGAACCCTGAATGATACTAACACTAATACTGCTTTTGTTTGACTCATCTGTTTGCATTATTGAACTTGAAATATGTCTGTTAAAAATCAGCTATCTTTATGAAATTGCTTAGTCCGACGGACATAAGAAATCATCTAGGCCATGCTACTGTGGACGTATTTGTATTTCAAACAGTCTGGGAATGGTTGGTGGTTTGGAAAACGTTTTGCATGTTACATTAAATGTAAGGTTTATTGAATGCAACGGTACCATCTTATAACACTAATTCATTTGGCTGTGGGATTCAACTTTGAAAGTATTCATTGGCAAATATTCCTAGGATTGAGCTTCTAGTAATATAATTAGATGAATGAAAGTACCTAAAGTCATGACCAACTTCAAATTATATATATAGTTTTATATATATGGTAGATATATCTGTATATATATCTGTGTATATCTCTCTCTATATATCTTTATCTCTCTATCTGCAAATGAAAGCATACATGAACACAGGGGTGTGGGAATTGAGAGCATTTAATCATGACTGATGGGTGAAGTTCAAAGCATGTGGTAAAGATATCTGCACAAAATTTCAGTACCTTAAACAAGGATGCCAGAAACTCTGCTTGGTTTAAAAACAAACACTAGCTTGAGGATGTGGTTTAGTTTTCTGATAAGGATACAAAAACGGAGAATAGCATGGATGTTTAGGGTATGGACCGATTCGTACACCTTCTCATAATTGCGGCCAACAGAAATCTGCTTGAGACGAGGCTGGATGTGGAGTTCATTGTTAGCATTTTTCCAGAAAGGCAGCCACAAATATGTAGGCTTTGGAAACTCAACCTGGAGCCACTTTGTGACAGAGAACAGAAAATTGGCAACAACTGTTTTTTGAAAGTGAATTTTCTGTGTGCGTGTTAAAACATGTGGTTTTACAAATGATCACGAGTATCACCAAACCCACAGTTTTATTACTCACATAAAGTTTTCTTCTGCTTTCTTGAGTTAACCAATGGAATTGGAGGAGCCTGACATATGAGTATTTACAAAAAGTTGGGAAAGCGATGTCAGGAAGTACAGGATTAGAGGGGATGATTTCTGGGTAACTTGCATCGAGCAAAGCGTAACCGCTCCTTTCTGCTGACGCTGCTTTTTTGAAGGTCATAATCTCTCTCCTCATTGTCAAGTCCAGTGATTTTGAATCTCCCCTTGTTCTCCAGGGCTTCTGCTGGAGCTGCTCCTCCAGCATGCTGCTTTCTGACATCACTTTTCTCTGGCCAGTTGTTCTTCTGGTCTGCGGATTTCTCCTCTTTCTCCCAGGCTAGGTTGCTCGAACTTTCTTTTTTACAGAATGAAATTTAAGAGCCCCTAAGAATAAAATCATTTGGGGGAAGGATTATTTCATCACTGGGAAAACAAGTTTTCTAGTCTCAACTTTTCCTACCCTCTGCTACCCTTCTTCCTTACCCTTTGTAAAGAAAAGAATTTTTCAATCACAACAAAGCATGCTAGGAATCCTTCAAAATTAACCAGAGAAAGATATTTCTTGGGTTGTGACTACTTCACTAAGAAAAGTCTAAAAGACCCCTGGTGTTTCCTGAGATAGATGGGTACCCCAGCTCCAAGGAGCTGGCTTCAGCATGGAACCAGGGACATGGGTCCCGGAGGCCCCAGCTGGCAGCACGTGTTGGGAGAAACAGGGCAGGAGAAACTGGGCCTCACAAGGGTAGAACAGAAGGGAGGAAAGAGAGAGAATGAGATGGACACGGGTACACTTCCCGCAGGCCAGGAGAGCCCCAATGTGCAGGGACAAAAGGTGCCCTTGGGAAAAGTATAGACGTGTTTTCACAGTTCCTTCTTATGTTGCATGTTTGTGAAGTATGCATGTCTGCCAGATTTTCTCCTAGAGAGGACCGTGCCTGCCTACTCTTCCTGCCATCGCAAGGCCGCTAGAGATCTCACCTGTGAGACCAGGCAGCACAAGGTCTGGACTGTGGGATGCACTTGAGATGCAGCAGTTGCTGTAATCTCTCTTCTGTCATTTCACCAAAGCATCACACCCACATCCCTAACTACCTTCTGAAGCAGCATCCTTGTCTGGGGTAAATACTAGGGGTCCGTCATATCGTGCCAAGATTAAGGACACGGACACATGCAGGTGGGTTAGGGAGCAGAAAGTTTACTAGGCAGATGAAAGGAGAGAGGAGAGCAGCTCTTTCTCTTGTGAGAGAGGCGTCTGAAAGGGAAAAGCCAGCCTGCAGGGGACCACTGCAGATTTTATAGGTAGGCTTGAGGAGGCGGTGTCTGATTTACATAGGGCCCACAGATTGGTTTGACCAGGTGTGACATTTACACCCTAATCTTATTATGCAAATGGGCTTTCCCTTTGGCCAGAGCCATCTTGTCTGCTCCTTACTGTACATGTTGCTGGCAAAGAGAAGGGCCAATGGAACTGCCATTTTGATCATGCCTAGTCACAGGTAGCCTTTTCCTATTGGCACAGTTGCCGGCATTCACCTGTGCAAACTTCCAGCTTGCCTGTCTATGTCTGCAGCTTGATTTTACAGGCTGCCTTTGTTAGAAAAGAAAATGATTTAGGGGCTGCTTTTCATTAAAAGGAAAACCTTACCAAGGACCTCTGTACCCTCATTATCTGGCTAAGTACTTTCTTCTGAATTCCTATATCATTTCCAGAGGTATCACTTAGATCTCTCAGTGCCTGGACGAACCCAAACTGCCCAAACTGCATTCTTCCTTCTCTCAATATTTTGTCTTATGTTCCTCATTCTCAAAAATATCATTATCTTCCCGATCAAAGGCTTGAAAATTTAGAGTTTTCTTCGACTCTTCTTTGCATCTGATAACTCATATTTGGCCTACTTTAAATTCTGTGGCTTGTTGGCTTGTGATTCATAGTTTGTATCTGCGCTCTTTACAACTAACTTTGTGAATGTCCTTATTCAAGGCTTGTTCACCTTGTGTGACAGCCTTTCAATTGGCTTCTTCCTCTTCCCTCTCTATCCTAAGCTGAAGACGTTGTGTAGACATTTTTTTTTTTTTTAGAAGGAGTCTCGCTGTGTTGCCCAGACTGTAGTACAGTGGCACAATCTTGGCTCACTGCAACCTCCACCTCCTGGGTTCAAGCAATTTTCCTGCCTCAGCCTCCTGAGTAGCTGGGACTACAGGCAGGAGCCACCACGCCCGGCTAATTTTTGTATTTTTAGTAGAGACAGTGTTTTACCATGTTGGCCAAGCTGGTCTCGAACTCCTTGTCTCACACATCCGTGTGAAGACCACCAACAGGCTTTGTGTGAGCAACAAGGCTGTTTATTTCACCTAGGTGCAGGCAGGCTGAGTCTGAAAAAGGAGTCCACAAAGGGTGATGGGATTATCATGAGTTCCTATAGGTTTTGGGATGGGCGGTGGAGTTAGGAGCAATGTTTTGCAGGCAAGGGGTGGATCTCACAAAGTACGTTCTCAAGGGTGGGGAGAATTACAAAGAAGCTTCTTAAAGGTGGGGGAGATCACAAAGTACATTGATCAGTTACGGTGGGGCAGAAACAAATTACAATGGTGGAATGTTATCAGTTAAGGCTATTTTCTTTTTCTTTTTTTTAATTTTCAGTTCTTTTATGGATCTTCAGTTGCTTCAGGCCATCTGGATGTATACGTGCAGGTCGCGGGGATATGATGGCTTCGCTTGGGCTCAGAGGCCTGACACTCCTGACCTCAAGTGATCCACCTGCCTTGGCTTCCCAAAGTGTTGTGATCACAGGCGTGAGCCACCGCTGCCTGGCCTAGACTTTTTTTTTTTTTTTTAAATGATTCCCCTTAGTCTGCCATTACTATTAAAATATTCTTGGTTTAAATCCATCTGTCTGGTTTCCAGAGCCCTTTGGTCTATCTTCATGTCTCCTGCATAACCTTTTCATTCTCGTTAGAATGGTCCTATGGGTACGTAGGCTACAAAGTTATCTCTGATCACTACACTGACCTGGAAACAAGGTGTCATGTTTACTTACAGATACCAAAGAAAGTGTTTCACAAAGCATTAGTGAGCAAGGTGAATTTTACCAAAGATTTCCAAGGAGATGTAGGAAAGGGTGTCAATTACACAGTCACTAATTTCATTAAAATCCTGTAAGATTAAAAATCAATATGTAATTTCTTGTCTCTGTGTTAAACAATACTGGGATCAGGCATACTTTCCTGTCTGTGTGTTAAACAACATGGGGAACAACCCCAAAAACCCAAACAAAAGTGTCAGCTACTCGCTTTGGGGCCGACAGCTTGCTCTTCAGGGCTCTCTTCAAACGTCTCACCCCACTCCCCTTCAATCCACTCCTGTTATGTCAGAAACTCTGCCCAGGCCCAACCATTTCCCCACCTTACAATCACCCAGACCCCCAAACTCTGTAAGTATGTTTTCCCATTTTGAGACACAGCTAAGCCCTGTCAAGCGTTGTTCGCATTTATTACAGGAAGTCTAGTACATCTAGCTGTGCTTTCTGATGGTTTTTGGAGAGATCAATGAGATATTTTTGCTCCCTCAAAGTCCTTCATTTTTCAGGCTTTCCTGCCCCATGATTCATGTAGCTCCTAACTACCCCTCTCCCTACCAACTACCCCATTTGTGGGCAGGGCAATTTAGATCTGTTCCCACTCACAAACCCATCAGCCCTGGAGAGCCAATCACCAAGTAGACTCACCCAAAGCATTCGCCCAACTGGGTGGGTCTCCATGTAGGGAGATTAATATGATTGTCTCCACCCAGCATAACCCAGCTGGGTGTGGTGGCTCATTCTGTAATCCCATCACTTTGGGAGACTAAGGCAGGAGGATCGCTTGAGGCTAGGAGTTTGAGTCCAGCCTGGGTAAGATAGAGAGACCCCTGTCTTTACTAAAAACTTTTTTTAAAAAGCTTAGCTGTGTGTGGTGGTGCATGCCTGTAATCCAAGCCACTCAGGAGGCTAAGGCAGGAGGATCCTTTGACCCCAGGAGGTTGAGGCTACAGTGAGCTATGATGGTGCCACTATATTCCAGCTTGGGTGACAAAGCTAGACTCTGTATCTAAAAAAATTTTTTTTTTTTTTGAGACAGAGTCTTACTCTGTAGCCCAGGCTGGAGTGCAATAGCGTGATCTGGACTCACTGCAACCTCCGCCTCCAGGAGTCAAGCAATTCTCCTGCCTGAGCCTCCGTAGTAGCTGGTATTACAGGCATGAGCCACCATGCCTGGCTAATTTTTGTATTTTTAGAGTTTTAGTAGAGACGGGGTTTTGCCATGTTGGCCAGGCTGGTCTCGAACTCCTGGCCTCAAGTGATCCTCCTGCCTCAGTCTCCCAAAATACTGGGATTACAGGCATGAGCCACTGTGCCTGGCCTAAAACATTTTTTTAATTAAAAAAATTAATATATATAAATAGCACAACTCTACCTAAAGTCTGGATGGTGTGGAAGTCTCTGTAGGTTTGTATTCTTTTTTCCTTTCTTTTCCTCTCTACCTATCTCAGGAGGCTGAAACAGCTGCCTAGCAGCTGCTCAAGAAAGAGTTTGAAAGCATAGAATCAGCAGATGGTAGGAAAAAACATTCAAAACCCTGACTCTGCCTTACCTCCTTTCTTCCAAGGACAGGAACATTCATTTTTTTGTGTGTGGATATAGATTTACATGAAGATTACGTTCCTCTCCAACCCACTTCCCCCTGCTTTAGCACCATGGCGTGGCAACATCTCTGATTTCAGAAAAGAGAAAAGGAAAGAAAGGCTTTGAGGAAACCCAGAAATTCTTTGGGATTAACCAGTGTTTCTGTGAACCTGTCGGAAGCATGGTTGAATTCCTTAAAGCACAAGTGTGCTTTTAAAAGTTCCCAGTAAAAATAATTTTAACGACTATATAACATTCCATCAAAGGCACATTTAGTAATTTTTCTTTACTGTTTCCCGTTGATGGACATTTAGGTGGTTCATATATATATATGTATATATATATTTTTTTTTTAGGATTTTGAACATCCCTGAGAATAAATACTTGTCTGCATTTCTTATTGTTTTCTTTCAGCATGGATTTCTGGTTGTGCAATTACTGGATAAAAGACTATGACCATTTTAAGGGCTTTAAATATACACTGTGAAAGGGTTTCTTTTTGGAAATTTGAGATGCCCCTTGTGAGATGGATAATTATGGCAGGGAAAAGATATGCAGAATTAATCACTGGCATTAGCTGCTGGATGTATTTACATGGAAACTGCACTTTGGGCTATCAGTATGCACCAAACTGTATCTTTGTTTCTGAACAGCAGGCTGACCCAACAGATGGTTGTCAGGGTCTGTCTGTTTAGGGGAAAAACTAACATTCCAAATGCCAGATTCAAGAAATGCCATGATTCGCTGTTTCCCACTGGAGCAGCCAGGACTCTGGACTCCTTGGAGGACATTGAGGCAATGAAGGTCCAATCCACTTTCTGGCCTCAGCTAAAGCACTCATTTCCACTTAGAGGTATTCTCCTCTCTTGAAATATTTTTCTGTGTTTTCTTTTTCTCAGAGCTCATTGTACTTTTGAAAAGCCAGGCCCCCTCCTTTCCCTTTCCCTTCCCATGTTGAAAGTGGTGCATTTTTCTAAATTGTCTAACCAGGCAGAGCAATTAGTGCCCAAGGAGGCAGGAGGCCGATTGCTTTGCAGAATGAATTGTTTTCATGGGAACAGCGTTGAGAGGACTTTACTGAGCAAGAAAGCTTGCCAGCAACCTTGTTTGGTGCTGGCCCTCCTGTTTGGATTTCTAGAAGTTGTTTATATTTGCTGCTGCTCTAATAAACAGACCCTTTCATGAAGCAAATCCTTAAAATAGTTTCATTCCCAGCATGAGTCCTTGTCACCAGTCGGATGCTACAGCATAGAACCAGCTGAGATTAATTGTGGTCTCTGCTGTTTTCTGGTAAATAAATTCAGTCATTGCTAAGTCCTGGATTTTCACCTTATGTGTGAAGGCTTTCTTCAACCACCTGGTCTCTAAACATTCATTAGCTGGCTGAGTGTGTCAGGTCCTGTTTGGACACTGAGGATTGGAGTGAGGGATGAGACAGAGAAGGTCCTGTTTCTCACGGAGGTTACATTCTAGGGCTCGTAGTCAGACAATAAACTGATAAATAAACACAAAACGTGGCAGACGCTGATAGGATGTGCAGAGAATTAGACCAACCTGCTGTGCTGGTGGCTCTCTGTCCATGATTGGATGGTCCAGAAAGGCATCTCTGAGCTGACTTCTGAGTGACAGCTCAGACCGGCATGTGGAGAAGAGGGCGAGGATGCCAAGCTGAGGGAGCGATGAGTCAAATCAAGAAGACTGGTGGGTTTAATAAACAGAAAACCAGAAGGAAGGCCAGCATGGAAAGGATTCAGTGAGCAAGTGGGTATGGTATGAGATAGGAAGGAGTCAGGTCACCAAGAGCCTTGCACGTCAGAATAGGGTTCGGACTGGGTTTGAATCTAAGTGTAATAGGAATCACCGGAGGGTTTTTAGCAGATGATATATTGTGGCTTGAGTTTTAAACAACCCACTCCGCAGGCTAAGTGTTGGCTGTATCATAGGAACAGCAGAGGAAAGCAAGATTAGTAAGGAGCCCCGTGGTAGCTCACGCCTCTAATCCCAGCACTTTGGGAGGCTTAGTGGGGTGGGTCATCTGAGGTCGGGAGTTCAAGACCAGCCTGGCCAATATGGTGAAACTCCTTCTCTACTAAAAATACAAAAATTAGCCGGGTGTGGTGGCGGGCGCCTGTAATCCCAGCTACTTGGAAGGCTGAGGCAGGAGAATTGCTTGAACCCAGGAGGCGGAGGTTGCAGTGAGCCGAGATTGTGCCACTGCACTCCAGCCTGGGGGACAGAGTGAGACTCGGTCTCAAAGAAAAAAAAAGAAAAATTAGGAAGGAGCCCATTACGTATGGCAGTCCAGGAAACAGATGATGATGGATTGGGACTAAAATGGTAGCAGTGGAAAGAGAAAGCAATGTCGGAATTGGGATATGTACCTGTGTGATTTTTCTCTAACTACCATCAATTCTCCATTTCTCCAACACCAATTGGCTGTCCAAAAATTCAATTCAATTCAATTCTGACACTAACTCCAGAGTGAGCCCAGGTCCCACAGGTTGAGGGTTCAGTCCTACAAGACTGCCTCCATTTCAGACATCAGCCATGAATGAGGTGTCCAAGGCTACCCTTACTTCTGCCTGGGCTACCACGAATGTAGGGGTTCCCATGACCTCCTCCCACTCAGGTTTGGTGATTTGCTAGAATGACACAGAACGCAGGCAAGTGCTCTTCTTCCTATTGCAGTTCATTATAAAGGACACAAATGAGGAGTCAAATGAAGAGTGCATAGGGTGAGGTGTGGAATGGTCTGTCGCGCAGGAGTCTCTGTCCCTGTGGAGTCAGTATGTGCCACCCTAAACATGTTCGCCAGCTCAGAAGCTTCCCCGGCCTCCTTCTCTCAGGATTGTTATTGAAGTTCCATTATTGCAGGCATAATTGATTAAATCATTGCCATTGATGATTGAACTCATTCTCTAGCCCCCTTCCTATCCCCCGAGGTGGGGGGATGATGGTGAAAATTTCTACCCTCTAATCATATGCTTGGTTCCTCTGGCAACCAAACCAGCCCCCATCCTGAGGCAATCCAGGGGTCCTGCCAAGAGCCACTTCACTCACATAATCCCAGGTATAATTGAAAAGGGCTCATTATGAATAACAAAAGACACTCCTATCACTCAAGGAATTGCAAGGGTTTTAGGAAGTCTATGCCAAGAACACGAACAAAAGCCAAGCATATCTTTTTTATTATACCACTGTAATTGCAGTAGAATTCACAGACTTCCATGTGGGGAATTTGGAAAAGGAAAGTGTGCGTAATTCCTAGTTTTCTTGCCCAAGTATCACTAAATTACCCTGGTTGGTTTAGCTTATTCAGTAGGAAAGACATATGACATATCAAAGCTTGTTTAGATTACTCTGCATTTAATTCTGTCCCCAGCATTTTCTGTGAGGTGGTGAGAACAAACTTGGAAGCAGGAGAAGAATTGGAAGCGCTAGTTAATGTATTTATAAATGTCAAATTGACTGGTAATTCCACGCCCGCCGTAATATGAAAGAAGGAATGAAAACCACGTGTGAGCGTGTGTGTGGGGGGTGCAACATCCCGCCATGTTGCCAGCTTCGGTCTCAGTTCCAGGTCTTGGAGCTCCTTCCATTCAGCAGTTTCCTTACCCATGTGCTGATCTCAGTTATGGGCTCCATTTTCTTGATCTTGATAGACATGACATGAGCAAAGTTTGCATCAGGGAGGGGTATCCAGAGGTGAACTGCCTGCTGGGGAAGCGAAGTCCTTGCAGAGTGACGAGGTCAAGGACAGCAGCACTGTTTCTGGACACAGGCAGGGCTCATGGGCGTGATGGCTGCCGGTGCAGCAGGACATGGGCCACGCAGCTCTCCTGAAGCTTCAGGGGCTCCAAGTCCCTTGCACCTCTCCTGCATGGCCACTCCAGGTCCAGTCCTTTCATGAGGAACTCCCAAGCCTCTTGTTTTCTCTGTATGTCTCCTCATTCCCCTAACCTAGAAGAATTGCTTTCTGGTCTTTGGGGGAGAAATCCCTTCTTCGGGGATATTTCTGCCAGCGATTTCCTTCTCTCTCATTTTGCACAGCCCGCCGTGCAAATTCTAAAGGACCTTTGCTTTAGTTTGGAAATAGGGCTTTGGGAAGCTAAAAGCTCTGAGCTTTGAGTTCCTGCAAGCAGAACCCTCTTTGAAATGGGGTGGATGAGGGAAGATGCTGGGGGATTTGGAAAGGAAAGGGAAAAAAATAGAAGGAAAAAAATTATTTAATATACTGAAAAGAATTAGCTTGACCCATAAGGAACAGGATTTCAACCTAATATTTCTCTTATTTAATTTAATTCGATTTAATTAATTTATTTATTTAGAGACAGAGTCTTGCTCTGTTGCCCAGTCTGGAGTGCAGTGGCGCGATCTCGGCTCACTGCAGCCTCCGCCTCCCGGGTTCAAGGAATTCTCCTGTCTCAGCCTCCTGAGTAGCTGGGACTATAGGTGGCCGCCACCAAGCCCAGCTAATTTTTGTACTTTTCGTAGAGACGGGGTGTCATCATATTCAGGCTGGTTTCAAACTCCTGACCTCAGGTGATCCACCTGCCTTGGCCTCCCAAAGTGCTGGGATTACAGGTGTGAGCCACTGTGCCCAGCCTAATATTTCTCTTTTAGATAAGAAATCTACTTTCCTGTCATTTTCTGAAAAGGAGGCTCTTCCATGCTTTTGGCCAAGTTTTAGTAAGTAATCTTGTTTTATTTTTTAATAATGAGTCGAAAGGTTTTCCAGATATCTGAGGAAGCTGTGAAAATGACCGAAATAACTTGTGGCCACAGAGAAGCTGTTTATGAGAAAATATAAACAATAACCTCAATTTAAAAATGTTCCCTTCCAACCGGCCACCCTTTCCTCACAACATCGCCTACACATGGAGGCTTTACCCCATTGTACGTCGTTCTCTCTTTTTGCCTCGAAGCTGGTGGTCTCCAGAGTGGGGTGTGAGCACGAGGTTGATGTGTGGGAAAGCCAGGTGGCCTGTTTGGATGTGGGAAGAAAATATTAGGATTTACAATTATGTTTTCTATCAACTCCTTTAAATGTTTCTATTTTGTTGATGTAATGTTAACACAATGAACACGGATAGAATATAAAAATAAATACAACTGTACAATAAAAATATTCAGGATTCCTGACCTAGAACTCTTACAGGTTCACATTTTCTTTTCTAAGCCTGATTCCCTAAGTCATTGGTCCCCCAAAGCCAGGGTTGCTTGTTAAAAGTGTTTCTCCTCACCCTTCATTGTGTTTCAGTTGGTCTTGGGTTGGGCCCACCAGTCTGCATTTTAAGAAGGTTCCTAAATGGTTTTTTATTGTTTCTTTTTTTCTTTTTTTTTTTTTGAGACAAAGTCTCACTCTGTTGCCCAGGCTGGAGTGCAGTGGCGCCATCCTGGCTCACTGCAACCTCCGCCTCCCAGTTTCAAGAGATTCTCATGTCTCAGCCTCCCCAGTAGCTGGGATTACAGGCATGTGCCACCATGTCCCACTAATTTTTTGTATTTTTAGTAGAGACAGGGTTTCACCATGTTGCCTAGGCTGTTCTTAAACTCCTGAGCTCAGTGATCCACCTGCCTTGGCCTTCCAAAGTTCTGGGATTACAGGGGTGAGCCACTGTGCCTGGTCTTTTCTTTTTTTTTTTAGATAGGGCCTCGCTCTGTCGCCCAGGCTTGAGTGCAGTGGTACAATCACGGCTCACTGCAGCCTTGAACTCCTGAGCTCAAGCGAGTCTCCCACTTCAGCCTCCCATGTAGCTGGGACTACAGGTGTGCACCATCATACCCAGCTAATTTTTTCAATTTTTATTAGAGACAAGGTCTTACTATGTTGCTTAGGCTAGTCTCAAGCTCTCGAATTCCTGAGCTCAAGCAATCCTCCTGCTTTGGCTTCCCAAAGTGCTCGGATTCCAGGCGTGAGCCACTGCGCCTGGTCTTCTTTTCAATTCTTGCCACTACGTAGCCTTCCATTACTCATTGCACTGTGATTGAGTAGTCAGAACTCTGCAGTTGTTCCCTGTAATTATAAACAATGTGACAGTGATTTCCAATGATGCTTTTACTGGCCTTCTGTTCCTGCCCTGCAGCTTCGTCCCCCACATCTGGTAGATGGCCTTTGACATCCAAATCTTTATACTTCTATGCAGTTATGCTCCCAGCAACACTGGCACGGGGCATGCCCATGAATGAACTCGAGATGTGACCTTTTAAATATTACTCTTAAGGCCTCAAGCTGTGGGGTGAATACAAGGAATATGTCATACCAAATGTTATACAGCCTGACTAGTATAATTTCCTCTATTTCCACCATGGAGAAGAAAACATCTGTGTCTTTAGCTGTAGATGATTTCTTATTTTGATAGTGTGTAGAGAAGGAAACACAAAGGAAATAAATGAAGGCGGGGCCAATTGTTCATGGCTGAGCAATAACCTCACCTGGCGATACTCAAGCTGGGGCGTGCATACCTCATGCAGCCGGTGCACATTTTCTGAGTTTCAAGTGGAGGCCTGGAGAATGTTAATGGCTTCGAGTTCTAGATACTTAATTTCCACACGTGCTCTTTCCTGGAAACTGATTTGCCTCAGAAGGTGTCCATGACAGTGCCCGGCCCTTCTCTTTCCCACCTCTCCTTGCAAAATATCATTTTTGCTGCTTTATAAAGGACAGCAAGACCCTCCTCTATGTCAGTTTTATTATGTGGCCTTATTTGTAATGAATAAACTTCAGGGAGGCCAAACAAATGGACAACTCAAAACACTACATTGGTATCAGATAAGTTTTTAAAATCCATGCATCCAAACCTTGCCTAGCTATCTCATTAAGAAATGTATTTCCAATTTTTTGTTTGCATTTTATTGCCTATTAAGTACCAACATATATGTATTTATGTTGTTTGGATCAACTTTGCTTTTTTTTAAATTTTAATTTTATATTTTTGAGACAGAGTCTTGCTCTGTTGCCCAGTCTGGAGTGCAGTGGCACAATCTCAGCTCACTGCAACCTCTGCCTCCTGGGCTCAAGTGATTCTTATGCCTCGGCCTCCCAAGTAGCTGGGATTACAGGTGCCTGCCACCACGCCCAGCTCATTTTTGTATTTTAGTAGAGATGGAGTTTCACCATATTGGCCAGGCTGGCCTCGAACTCCTGACCTCAAGTGATCTGCCCACCTTGGCCTCCCAAAGTGCTGGGATTACAGGTGTGAGCCACCACACCCAGCCTGGATCAACTTTGGACTAATAATATAATTGATTCCTGAAACTCCTGCCCTCCAAATTTTAACACTTAAAATGATATGAGCACAATGACTTAAACATTATATAAACTTAAAATTATCTACCTGTGTTTGATCACTTAGGATGATCAACAGAAGACATTCAAACATAAAAATATATTACATTATGATAAATTGTGTGGGAAAATGAAATAAAAATATGTTTTCAAGGAGAAAAGAAATAATGTAAAATTTCTGATTTTTTCAAAAGAGCTCATATATATATAATTTTTTTTTTTTTTTTTGAGACAAGGTCTTACTTTGTCACCCAGGCTGGAATGCAGTGGCATGATGATAGTTCACTACACCGTTGAATTCCTGGGCTTAAGTGATTCTCCCGCATCAGCCTCCCCCGTAAGTAGGACTACAGGCACACACCACCATGCCTAATTGTTTTATTTTCCTTTGTAGAGATGGGTCGCCCAGGCTATCTCAAACTCCTGGCCTAAAGCAATCCTCCTGCCTTGACCTCCCAAAGTGTTAGGATTACAGGTGTGAGCCACCATGCCCAACCTTTATTAATATATTTAAAAAATGGATGGTGGTAGAGTTCTAATTGCTTTAATATTTCAAATAAGAGTCTTGTTTCAAAATATTACAATTTATTTTTTTATTTTTTATTTTTATTATACTTTAAGTTTTAGGGTACATGTGCACAACGTGCAGGTTAGTTACATATGTATACATGTGCCATGTTGGTGTGCTGCACCCATTAACTTGTCATTTAACATTAGGTATATCTCCTAATGCTATCCCTCCCCACACCCCACAACAGGCCCTGGTGTGTGATGTTCCCCTTCCTGTGTCCATGTGTTCTCATTGTTCAATTCCCACCTATGAGTGAGAACATGCAGTGTTTGGTTTTTTGTCCTTGCGATAGTTTGCTGAGAATGATGGTTTCCAGCTTCATCCATGTCCCTACAAAGGACATGAACTCATCATTTTTTATGGCTGCATAGTATTCCATGGTGTATATGTGCCACATTTTCTTAATCCAGTCTATCATTGTTGGACATTTGGGTTGGTTCCAAGTCTTTGCTATTGTGAATAGTGCCACAATAAACATACGTGTGCATGTGTCTTTAGAGCAGCATGATTTATAATCCTTTGGGTATATACCCAGTAATGGGATTGCTGGGTCAAATGGTATTTCTAGTTCTAGATCCCTGAGGAATCGCCACACTGACTTCCACAATGGTTGAACTAGTTTAGAGTCCCACCAACAGTGTAAAAGTGTTTCCATTTCTCCACATCCTCTCCAGCACCTGTTGTTTCCTGACTTTTTAATGATCGCCATTCTAACTGGTGTGAGATGGTATCTCATTGTGGTTTTGATTTGCATTTCTCTGATGGCCAGTGATGATGAGCATTTTTTCATGTGTCTTTTGGCTGCATAAATGTCTTCTTTTGAGAAGTATCTGTTCATATCGTTCACCCACTTTTTGATGGGGTTGTTTTTTTCTTGTAAATTAGTTTGAGTTCATTGTAAAATATTACAATTTAGATATATGCCAGAAATTATATCCTTTGCAACTGCAGCCATTTAAACCAACAATAAAGAATTTTAGATGTCAACTTAAAAATGTATTAATCAAAAGTTTGAAGGTCTTAACCACTGGCTAACAATGTTTTGAGTTGCTATTGGAGGCGTTATATAATAGGCATATTTTTTTTCCTTCCAATGAGTTCTTTGTTTTTAGTTTATTCACATGTTTAAAATATTTTCATCAATCTTTAGTCCTATCACAATGGGGGAACGTGGACACTTTTACATGCTGAAGGACAAGAGCTGGTAAAGAGGAATCTATGGAAGATACAGATAAGACAAAGGGAGCATTGATGGCCCAAAGCCCTGGAGAGGGGAGGAGCAGCAGGGATGCATCGCTGGGAAATGTAGCTTGGACTGAAGAACGTGAAGAGGCAGGCCGGCCTTTTTCTCTGCCTCTGGTGGGAAGGAAGTGAGAATGAAAGTGGATGTTACTAAGTTTGATGGTGATGGTGGAGATGGCAGAGTGGAGTTTTGTTTAGCTAATACAAGGCAAATCGCCTCAATTTGCTTGCTGAAGGAAGAAGTTATTCTTTTTTCTTTTGTTTGAGGGTGAATTAAGCAGAATTTGAGTAGTCAGCATGCAGCATGCAAAGGTTTGGGACTGCCTCCTTTAGAATGGGAGAGGAGTCTTTAACCAAAGTCTACCAAAAGATTTTGAGATGGTGCCCAGGGTCCGGTTGTCTCCTGACTATGACTATTTATATGTGAGTCAAATGTTGGGCTTACTCCTTGACAATGAATTTTAATTTAATTTTGCTTGTGAGACAGAATCCTGCTGATTTGCAATTCCCCCTCCCTGCTAAACTGCTGATCTCTGACCATTTTTCTAGAAGTTGATTCTCTCAGGATTTAGACAACTTCACTGTTTTCTTCTTCTTTCTGTTACAGCAGGAAGAAGAAAATGCAGAGTCTAGTTTGTGTCTGGTGCTTATTCTCTACTGTGAATCAACCCCAAGCCTTCTCTGGTCCTCAGAGCTCTGCATCAGCCTGTTTAAATGCGAGAACCAGAGGGACCCTGGGAGTCACTAACCGGGAATTTGTGTTGTGATGTAGGAAGAGGTGGCTGACAGGACCATAGGCAGGTCCCAAGCTAACATCTTGTGTCTCAGAGTTTATTCATAGACTTTAACAATGGATGACGTCAGGGATCAAAACTGCGCTGCTATTTAAATTGTCTAGTATTTGCAATGCCTAGCAGACTATGCCCTGAATATTTGCTACTACTGTTTAGCCTCTTAAACATCACCTTGCAATGCCCTCGTCCTGTTTTCTTTACCTAATTTACCCCTTTCTTCTGAACCATGCTCTATGCCAAGGATTCGCAACAAAAGTTAGCACCAAAATTAAAGTAATTAACAGCATAGCTTCCCCATCACTCAGGGGCTCATAAACAAAAACTGTTTCCTAGGTCTTGGCTTAAAAATCTTTATCTGAGGGTTTTTTCTTTAATTAAAAAAAATTTGCACCTGGTGTTATTTTTGGTTGTGAGCACAAACATCTAATAAGCACTTTCAATCAACTGTGTTAGATTGACTGTTTCTCATCCTGTTATTATTTGTTTACATCTGTCTCCTATATTTTATTCTCTCCAATGTTATAATGGGGGCATATCATGGTGCCTAAAAACCATACAATGTGGATCATATTCTTTCTGATCATAATAATCCACTTTTAGAGAAGTCTCATGAATCTTATTACTTTGAACCATAGGCATTTCAGGTGAGTGGTAGGTTGAGTTTGATTTAATTTTGTAATGGGCTACTCCATCAACTTGCAGCTGTGAAATGTCGGCTAACCCCCATCTCCCAGCTCCCTAAAGGAAGGGAGCCTAGTGTGGGAGCTCCAACTTGGATATGGCTTTGTGTAGGAGTGAAGCTGTTTTGCCCCCTGGGACAGACTTCCTGAGAGGAAAGTCTCCCTCACCATCTCTTCTCCATCCACCCTTCTTTTGTAGTCTCTGGCCTTGGAAATAAATCTGAACATGCTCTCTCTTTCTCCTCCCTCCCTCCCTTCCTCTCCCTCTCCCTCCCCCTGCAAGACCATGTGAGTGCAAATCAAAAGCCACAGATTCCCGAGTGCAGGAAATGTAACTTAATTTATTTTCCAATAATGGAATTTAATTCCTATTACATACCTTCATTTTACCAGGCAGCAAAACCTTTAAGTTAATTTAGTCCCCACCCACCCTCCTCATTTTTAATGGGGTCCAGCCTCATTTCCAAGGAGCTTTACCTGGTGCCTCTGCCTCGTGGGGATGGGAGGGGGTCTGGCTGTCCCTGTTATCAATCCGCAGCACTCATTTCTGCCCGCCTGTTGGTCATTAGTTCATTCAGATAATGCTCCGGGTCCTCTGGCTCTAACAGTGGACGCCTGCCAGGCATGACCTCCAGAGAAATACCTGCATGCCTCCCGCAGGGCTCCTAGATGGACGTCCTGTCTGGGTAACCACCCTATTGTGCTCCTCGCTCACTGTGCTGAGTCACTGGGATTTTTTTTTAAATGTAAACAAAGGTTTTTTTTTTTTTTTTTTTTACTTTAAGTTCTGGGATACATGTGCAGAATGTGGAGGTTTGTTACACAGGTATACACGTGCCATGGTGGTTTGCTGCACCTATCAACCTGTCATTTACATTAGGTATTTCTCCTAATGCTATCCCTCCCCCAGCCCCCCACCCCTGACAGGCCCCAGTGTGTGATGCTGCCCCCACACCCTGTGTCCATATGTTCTCATTGTTCAACTCCCACTTATGAGTGAGAACATGCGGTGTTTGGTTTTCTGTTCCTGTGTTAGTTTGCTGAGAATGATGGTTTCCAGCTTCATCCATGTCCCTGCAAAAGACATGTACTCATCCTTTTTTATGGCTGCATAGTATTCCATGGTGTATCTGTGCCGCATTTTCTTTATCCAGTCTAACATTGATGGGCATTTGGGTTGGTTCTAAGTCTTTGCTATTGTGAATAGTGCCACAATAAACATACATGTGCATGTGTCTTTATAGTAGAATGATTTATAATCCTTTGGGTATATATCCAGTAATGGGATTGCTGGGTCAAATTGTATTTCTAGTTCCAGATCCTTAAGGAATCACCACACCATCTTCTACAATGGTTGAACTAATTTACATTCCCACCAACAGTGTAAAAGCGTTCCTATTTCTCCACATGCTCTCCAGCATCTGTTGTTTCCTGACTTTTTAAAGATCGCCATTTTAACTGGCATGAGATGGTATCTCATTGTGGTTTTGCTTTGCATTTCTCTAATGACCAGCAATGATGAGCTTTTTTTCATATGTTTATTGGCTGCATAAATGTCTTCTTTTGAGAAGTTTCTGTTCATATCCTTTGCCCACTTTTTGATTGGGTTGTTTTTTTCTTGTAAATTTAAGTTATTTGTAGAGTCTGGATATTAGCCCTTTGTCAGACAGATAGTTTGCAAAAATTTTCTCCCATTCTGTAGGTTGCCTGTTCACTCTGATGGTAGTTTCTTTTGCTGTGCAGAAGCTCTTTAGTTTCATTAGATCCCATCTGTCAATTTTGGCTTTTGTTGCCATTGCTTTCGGTGTTTTACTCATGAAGTCTTTGACCGTGCCCAAGACTGGGTCTTGCTCTGTCATCCAGGCTGGAGTGCAGTGGTGTGATCTTGGCTCTCTGCAACCTCCACCTCCTGGGTTCAAGCGATTCTCCTGCCTCAGACTCTCCAGTAGCTGGGATTACAGGCACCCATCATCATGCCCAGCTAATTTTTTGTATTTTTGTAGAGAGAGAGTTTTACCATGTTTGCCAAGCTGGTCTTGAACTCCTGACCTCAGGTGATCTGCCTGCCTCAGCCTTCCAAAGTGCTGGGATTACAGGTGTGAGCCCCTGCGCCCGGCCGGCTTTGGGATCTTATGGCTTTCCCAGGATGTGTATGGGTCCTTCCAGGAAGAGGGTGTAGGTTTCAAGCCTATCAGTGCTCTTTTGGGATTGGAAGGAGAGCGGCTGGGGCTTAGGGCTTCTTCTTAGTCACCCATCAGCTCTGAATTGTCCTCGTCTCCTCTGAATCTTTCTTTCCCCTCTTTCTTCTAATTGAAGCAAACTTCATCTCATCTTCAGGAGAGAAAAAAGAACCTCTGCCTGATATGAAAATTACTTCCCAGTGTTTTTAGGCTGGGGCCCACCTAGGCTTTTTAAACTCAAACGCTGAGGGTAGCAGCCTGCCTCCTGTCCCTCTGTTCTTTATGCCATTATCTTTTTTTAAAGAAATTTTTATTTTTTGAGATGGACTCTTGCTTTGTCGCCCAGGCTAGAGTGCAGTGGTGTGATCTTGGCTCACTGCAACCTCTGCCTCCCGGGTTCAAGCGATTCCCCTGCCTCAGCCTCTCAAGTAGCTGAGATTACAGGCACTCGCCACCATGCCTGGCTAATTTTTGTATTTTTAGTAGAGACAGGGATTCCTCCATGTTGGCCATGCTGGTCTTGAACTTGTGACCTTACATGATCTACCCACCTGGGCCTCTCAAAGTGCTGGGATTACAGGTGTGAGCCACCATGCCTGGCCCCATGATCTGGTCTGATTGTTCTCCACAGCATTTTCATCAACTGGTACTTTAAATTTTTTTAATTTTCTAGTTATTTGTTCATTGACTTCTCCCTACTAGAATACAAAAGTCAATAAAGATAAAGACTGGGTCTAATTTATTCACTGCTTTATTTTCAGCACTTAGAACAGTTTCTTGCACATACATGGGGTCAATAAATGTTCGTTAAAAAAAAAAAGTGAATAAATGAGTGGAGTTGATGATCTTGTCCTTTGAGTTATTCCTTTCTTGAGGCAGTGGAAGTGGCCTGAGCTGGGGAAAGGGCTTTAGAGCCACAGATCCCAGAAAAAAAATACGTCGATACTATCTCACGATGTTTCCCATTACAAATAGGCACCAGGTAATAACTATATGATTTATAGGCTTATTATGAAAATGGGGTTGTTTTCCTAAAGGTAGAAGCATCTCTGCCCAGTTCCTTCGAGGCAGATATATTTCACTTTCTGATGTGTGTGCCGGAAGGCCCTTGGTGATTTGGAATGTAGCACGATGTTTTGTCTCCAGATAGCTCAGTAGAGATCGTTTTTTTTTGAAGTTACTTTTTTTCATCTTACTTATTTAGTTACTACAAAATTGACTAAAGTAAGTAGAGATATTCTGTTCTCAGTCATATTCATGTGTTCTAGCTGGAGTCACTGCAAAATCCTTGTTTACATTTTTCTTGGAAACTCTTGATATGGCTGGTTGCAAAACCACTGTGGAATGCAATAAAACATGGAAATGAAGACACTAGTGGGAAATGGACTTGTAGTTTATGATGTTGTTTTCTTCTGACAAGAATACACGTATAGATAGATTTATTTTTATAAGACTAACGTATTTTTTCTAAGCTGCTTTGTTCTAAATAGAACTGTCGCTCCTACTTTTTTTCCCCCAAATCTGAACTGAGTATGAAAGAACAGAACTATTTTGAAAAGATTTACTGACTCACCGGTGTATCCGCAGTAGAGATAGCAGACGCCAAAGACATCCACTGGGGAAAACCTGTGAAAATTCATAAGGTCACAAGTCTTTGTGCAGATTCTCTTGGGTTGCAGAGAGGAGAGATTTGGAATTCTCTTTGAAAGTACAGCTTAGTCATAGATCACAAGCACCAGCAAGACTAATATTTTAAATTATATGTTTATTCTTGATACTGAATGATTATTCTGCACCTAGGGAATTAATGTCTTTGCAGTCATTTAAAAATACTTGACAGTAACAGACCCTTCTCTACCAAATGATCACGAGGGTTAGATATTGGGGGGTTGAAAGTATAGCTCATTTTTGCAGATTCTTGTGTGTTTGAGGACCTATTTCTAAGAATTACGCTTTCCACATAATTCAAGCCCTAGTCAAGCTTTTCCATTCTGATAGCTTTCAGTTCAGATGTTCCTCATTTTATGCAGTAGCGCTCCTTTGAAAATGCAACTAAGCTAGACCATCTTTTAAATGTACTGAAAGCACTGGCTGTAATAAATCACGAAAAGCGATATCTTCTCCAAACTGAATCACTACCACTAATGTAGCTGACTTTTAAATTTGAATTCCCTGAGGTTTGGCTTAAAGCTTGGCTTTGGGCCAAGCTGCCATTAGGAGATTGTGCGGCTAACTCCAATACACTCTGTGTAATTGCCCTCAGGCTTCTAAATGGTCCCAACTAAAGGGTGAGACACATTTTTTATATAATTTTGTAGTCAACAAAGACACAGTATGGAAATTGTATTACAATTTCCACTTTACATTAGCTGTTGCTGCTTGTGTGCATATAAGAAAAGTAATAATAAAGGTATAATTAAATTGGAGAGAAGAGTGTATTTCTATCCTGTTGGTGCTTATCCTATTGTAGAGAAAGTGAGAATAAGATATAATCTGGTAATGTGGCCACATGGGTCATGACTCTTTGACCACATATACATTATATGCTTGAGGCCACGTTTCTCATCCATTTTCCCTGTTCACTGTCAAATGGAACAATTTATGAACGATGTCTAAGAGCTGGTGGAAGGAATGTATTTATTACAGGGTCTCTGCATCTTAGTTCCTGCTATATGGTTTTGTGGCTCATAAAAGAATGCAGACTTGCCCAAAATATCATTTGACTGTAGGTGATGACTGTCAGTACTACTCTTAGAACTAAGGGGCTTTCTCCTGTTTCCCTGGAATGTGGACAAATTATTTCCCACTGAGAGCTAAACTTTGAAATCATTTCATATGAGATCAGAACTCTGAAAAAACACAGAACTCTTCAAAAAGAAAAAATTACACAGAACTCTCAAGAAAGAAAAAAAATGGCCGTTAGGACTTTCTAACCCAGTGAAAACTGTCTTTCATTAGCTGTGTTACTACCATCATCCTGAATGGAGGTGGAGCCCACTCAGAAGCTTGACTAAAAGGAGAGTCACAGGCAGACATGGTATTACCCGTCTTAGCCCTCCGTCTTAGCCCTCTCTGGGGGAAGTTAGTTTAGCCAAGAAACCTCAAATATTAAGGACTCCAACTGATGCCACTGTCTCTGTTCTAGAGACTGTAGCTCAATAACATGACATTTCCAGTTCATCGTATTCATTCTGTTCTGATTCCAGTTTCACTAGGCTGCATACTGAAGCTAGCTCTTCCTTTCTTTTACAGGTATACACCCATTTCTCAGTTCAGTGAATCAACTGGATGTTGCCGTATGTTGGAAGACATACCTTCATCTTACATCCTTGATTTCTGTGAATTCGCACCTGAAAGACAACAGATCTCATATCAAGCTTACTGAAAACAACAACAAAAAACCCCATAAAACTTTCAAATACCAAGTTTTCTTTGTTCAGCCAATGAGTATTCATTGTGCACCCATGAGGGGCTAATGCCACTCTGCAAGGCCTTTTGAGAGAGGGCAGAGGATGCCTGGCTCAGGGCCACTTTCCACTTAGAAATATCTACAGGCTTTTTTCTCTGTTCCCTCCTCCACTTGAGCCTTTCTCAGTGTCTGATGTGGCACTGTTGTCACCAGATGGTCACTCAACCTTTCAAAAGCTTTGCTAATTTTCACTAGCTTCCTGCCTGGCAAAAATGGGAGAAAATTAAGTTCTGCTTTGCAGATGCGGCTTGTGAAAACCATTCATTGTGGCATTCATTGCAGCCACCCTTCATGATCACTCCTGGGGCTGTCCTTTCTTTGGTGGAAGGCTTTTGGATTTAGGGAAAGTGCCTTAGCACACAGCAGCGTTTTCACTAACAATTGGTTGTAAAATCTTGGGGTCACTCTCGAGATGGAAGAAGTCTGAGAGATTATCTGGTGTAACATTCATGTTTCCAAAAGGAAACTGAGATCCAAAAAGCCAAATCCTTTGGCCAAAAACACATGGCCTAATTTTACTCACTTTCTGTGATTTGGGGCTAGTTTCCAAAAGTCTTCAGCACTGTGTTTTTTTCTTTTTTTCTTTTGCTCATGGATACTTCTGACAGTCATTCTTGTACTCCTCAAGTTATTAAGGTTCAATGTAGTCAAATTCAACTTTACTCAGATTCCACTGGAGGGTAGGTCATACAATTGTAAAGAAGCAGACAGGTTGTGTTGCAGGACATACCAAGATTGTTTAGTTCTGATTAATACTAAAAATCCAGCTGGGTGCAGTGGTTTATGCCTGGAATTCCAGCACTTTGGGAGGCCGAGGCGGGTGGATAACTTGAGGTCAGGAGTTTGAGACCAGCCTGGCCAACATGGTATGAAACCCTGTCTCTACTAAAAATACAAAAATTAGCCAGGTGTGGTGGCACATGGCTCTAATCCCAGCTACTCACGAGGCTGAGGCATGAGAATCGCTTGAACCTGGGAGGCAGAGGTTGTAGTGAGCTGAGATCATGCCACTGCACTCCAGCGTGGGCGACAGTATAAAACTATGTCTCCGCACCCCCCCGCCAAAAAAAAACCATTGAGGCAGCTGCCTCAGCAGGAAGACATGTGGCTCTGCCCCTGTTGTTTCTAGGACCCTGAGCATTTGGTGGCATTGATTTGTCTTCCAGTGTTATTTGTTTTATTCATCTTTGTTGTAGACAAGTCGTGACCAAGATCCTCTAAGAGACAGCTGTGGTAGGCAGGCTTCTCAGATGGCCCATGATGAACACCACTGCCTGGTTTGATGGCCATGTGCTATTCTCTCCCCTTGAACATGGGTTAAGCCTAGTGACCTGCTTGTAACCAACCAACTCCAGCTAAGCTGAAGGGATGCCACAGTTTTCAAGCTTCAAGGATTAGCTTACAAAAGACTGTGACTTCCTTTTTGCTGATGGACTCTCTTTATTGCCTTCTTGGCTTGAAGACTTTGAGGAAGCAAGCTGCCATGATGAAGAAGCCAACATGACAAGGAACTTCTGAGGGTGGCTGCCAGCCAACAGCAGCAAGGAACTGAGACTATAAGTTCAACTGTCTGAGAGGAACTGAATCCTGAAAACAGTCTCATGAGCTTGGAAGCAAGTCTTCCCCAGTTGAGCCATAAGATGGCTACAGCCCAGCTCACACCTTGATTGCAGCCTGCGGAGAGACCCCGCAGTGGAAGATGCAGTTACACCCTTCCCAGCTCCCTGACTTACAGAAGCTATGAGATAATAAACATGTGTTGGTTTAAGCTGCCACATTTGAAGAAATGTGTTATGTAGCAATAGATAACTAATATGATAGGAAAAAAGGTAAGACAAGGTTGTAAGCATAAGTTTAAGTGCATTGCCAGCCATACTAATTTTTGCATCACAAATGACCTGAATTTGACAATTTCAAAATGTAAAGCATTTTGAATGAAAGTGCATTCAGACAAGAACATGTGAGAGTCCTCTGTATCTTTTAAATCCACAGAGGCAATGAAGCAGCACTCGTGACTTAATATGCAATTTGAATTGCACCAGACTTTTCAGATGAAAGCAATTGAAAAATGTGGAGGGAAGATGAAGTGATAATTGCCATTTTCCTTTTAATACTTACACAAATCATGACAGAAACTATTTATTGGACACCTGATAATAATAATTTGCAGCTTATTTCAAGGAATTCTCTCACCAACTCTATGATGGAGGTAGATTATCCCAATTTTTCAGGTGAGAAAAAAATGCATTGGTGAGTTTCCCAACCCTTACTTGGTGACAGCGATGATGTTGGGACCCAGTGTGTCTCACTTTAAAGGCTGTGTTCATAGTTTTCAAGCTTAAAAAGTTGTCTGAAGTGGCTGGGTGCGGTGGCTCATGCCTGTAATCCCAGCACTTTGGGAGGCTGAGGCGGGTGAATCACTTGAGGTCAGGAGTTCAAGACCAGCCTGGCAAACATGGTGAAGTCCTGTCTCTATCAAAAATACAAAAATTAGCTGGCGTCGTGGCACACGCCTGTAATCCCAGCTACTCAGGAGGCTGAGGCAGGAGAATTGCTTGAACCCAGGAGGTAGAGGTTGCAGTGAGCTGAGATTGTGCCACTGCACTCCAGCCTGGGCAATAGAGTGAGACTCTAACTCGGAAAAAAAAAAAGTTGTCTGAAGTGACAACTATTCCTCTCCTCTGCTTTGTTCAACCAATGGTAGCAGGTCATTACAAAAGCTACCTTTATTTTGTTAAAAAAACAAAACAAAATGAATTTTCTGAGTCTAAAAGCCACTCTTTTTCCAAGGATATATTTGCAATTAATCATATTCTGAGTTGCGATTTTTTAAACGCTTGCCCTCTGTGTCAGTTTTATTATTACTTAGGCTTTTTTCATCCTGCAGATTTTTGTGTTGTATTCACAATTAAATTAGTTTTTTTTTTTTGAGGGCAGGAATAGTTTTTTAATACTTTCATGTCTCCAGCCACATTTGTCACTGTATTTTGCAAATAATAACCATCTGGTAAATCTTTTTTGATGAATTTGATTAACTCTGAAATGAAAACGGTAATGACCTGAGGGATTGTTTCTTTCTAGGAAACTGTCAGCCTCGTCTAAGGGACCAGAGCTGCCAGGAAAGAACCATGATCAGTGTTGTTCAGAGAACCAGGAGAAATTGCTGCAAGATCAGTCTTACGAATTCTCTCTGCTGCAGCTTTGCTCCTGGACCACTTCTGAGAGGGATCATGGGTAAATCAGGATGATTAAACATCTGGGTTTGCCTGGGACTGATGGGTCTTCACTACAGTCTCAGGCAAATGAGGATGAAATGCTCTTCCTAGCAAGCATGTGCATTTCGTGGGAAGGGATGTGCTTTTGCATCTTTGTGTGGCTTGTTTTTTCTATGACTTTAAACCTAACCAACCAACCGACCAACTGATCAATCAACCAAACAACCAACTTCTGGGTGTCTTAAAAGGTGTACTGGAGCCTACTGTTTCATAAGTGTTGTATGTTTTCTATCGTAAATGTTAGCTAGATTTAAACAGCAGTTTTAGTACGGAAGATCTAGTGGTATTTTGGAGGTCACTATCATCAATATTTAGCTGTAATGTGCAGACAAGGCTCCTGGGTCTGTTCCATGTCACAGATCTCCTTTGAAGTCCTGGAGAGTTTTGCCCACTGAGCCACTATGCAGGGGACAGACAGGAATAAAGCTGGTTATTAGCATGCACTCCAGGTCCAAGAGAGCTGTATCAAAAGCTCACACACCAGGCTATTTAATTTGTTGGCTGCTCAGTGGAAAGAGGCCTGCTGAGCAGGCTGGGTTGGAAGAATTAAATGGAGAGAAATATAAACCAGTATAATTCACACTACTGTTTCTTGGCTGCACTCACATGTGGATAAAAAATTTTTTCCTACCCTAGAGCTGGCATATTTGTTTTGCCACTTTGAGCTAGTACCCTGGCAGCTGAAAGTTGGTGGAGAAAATCACACAACTGAGCTGACTGCTTTTTAACTTTTGGTAATTTTGAACTTCCATTTGTCATTGCCTGGTAGTTGGATTGTGTTTCTCTAGTAGGTGGTCTTTCCCGAACTTTCTTCTTGCCCTCAAACCACACATATCCTTTCCTTCAGCAGACAATCTTGCCTCCTTCTTCAAGGAGATAAACAAATAGGTCATCAGCTTTGGTCCTATAACTTGTCACCACCAACTACAACAGTCTACCTCTACCTTCTGCCACGTGTGCCTCTCCAGCTCGGTTATGAGGGAAGAACTGTTCCTCCTCTGCCAGGATGAACCATCTTGTGCATGCTTCGTATACTCCTTGGTTCTAGGCAGGCAGCTTCTGAATTGGCCTTCAGCAATCCCCATCTCCTCCTATTTATGCCCTTCTGCAATCTCCTTACTTAGAGTGTGGGACTATTGACTTGCTTCTAATGAGAAGAATATGGCAAAAATGATAGGCTGTCACTTCCAAGATCAGGTTATAGAAGACTGTCACTTTCATCTTGCTTGTACTCTGTCACCAGCTGGCTCTGATGAAGCACCTCCCATGTTGCAAGCTGCCTTATGGAGAGGTCCTTATGGCAAGGAACTCAGGGCAGCCTTGGGCTGACAAGAACAATAAACAGAGGTCCTCAATTCAATAGCCCACGAGGAGTTTGCGTCCTGCCAACAACCATCTAGGGTGGCTGAATGTACATCCTTTGCCAGTTAAGCCTTGAGATGATGGTAGCCTCAGGTGACACCTTGATTTCAGCCTGTGAGAGACCCTGAGCCAGCAGGCCCGCCTAAGTGGCACCCAGATTCCTGGCACACAGACCTACGAGATAATAAATGTTGACTTAAATCAACTTGTTTTACACATCAATAGATACCTAACAGATCTGAAAGTTTTCACACCTATATTTGATCCTCGATTCAGGATGAATACCTGCAGAAATACAGCTTGCTTTCTATCTCTAAAGTGGTGCTGTCCAATAAAATATATAATGAGCCACAAATGTGAACCATATATTTTTCAGCCACATTAAAAAAAGTAAAAAGAAACAGGTGAAATTAATTTAAATAATGTATTTTATTTCATCCATATGTCAAAACTACATTGTTTAATTATGTAATTCATATACCACATGATTAAAGAGATAATTTAGATATATATTTTTTGGACTGAGTCTTTGAAAACCCATGTTTATATTACACTGGCAGACATCTCCATTCAGACTAGCCACCCAATGGACCACCTGTGGCTAGCAGCTACCATACTGGACAGCTCAGCTTGAAAGAGAAAAACCTGGCCAGGCGCAATGGCTCACGCCTGTAATCCAGCACTTTGGGAAGCCGAGGCAGGAGGATCAACTGAGGTCAGGAGTTCGAGACCAGCCTGGCCAACATAGTGAAACCCCATCTCTACTAAAAACACAAAAATTAGCTGGGCGTGGTGGTGCATGCCTGTAGTCCCATCTACTCCGGGAAGAGGCTGAGGCAGGAGTATTGCTTGAACCCAGGAGGAGGAGGTTGCAGTGAGCTGAGGTCGTACCACTGCACTCCAGCCTGGGCGACAAGAACGAAATTCCGTCTCAAAAACAAACAAAACCTCAGTTTGCTCAAAAAACAATTTCTCTTCAAACATTTTTTTTCTGTTTTATTTATTTATTTTTTTGAGAAAGAGTCTAGCTCTGTCACCCAGGCTGGAGTGCAGTGGCGCCATCTCAGCTCACTTCAATCTGCCACCTGGGTTCAAGCGATTCTCCTGTCTCAGCCTCCCAAAGGTCTGGGATTACAGGCGCATGCCACCACACCCAACTAATTTTGTGTTTTTATTACAGACAGGGTTTCACCATGTTGGCCAGCCTGGATTCGAGCTCCTGACTTCAGGTGATCTGCCCGCCCTGGCCTCCAAAAGTGCTGGAATTACAGGCGTGAGCCACTGCACCTGCCTTTTTTTTTTTTTTTCTGTTTTAAAAAAGGTCTCTTTTGCTGGGCACAGTGGCTCACACCTGTAATCCTAGCACATTGGGGAGGCCAAGGCGGGAGGATCACTTGAGTCCATGAGCTAGAGACCAGTCTGGGCAACATAGTGAGACCCCATCTCGAAAGAAAGAAAGGAAGAAAGGAGGGAGGGAGGGAAGGAAGGAAGGAAAGAAGGAAGGAAGGAAGAAGGGAAAAGTATCTTTTGAGAATTTTCCAACCAGTTGAATTTGCTTCTGTGGCCTCCCCGGGTGCCCTGTAGCCGTGTGGACAAAACCAGCATGGCGTCGAGGGAAGCGCTAGTCCCCTAAACCCCACATGGTCTCCAGAGGCTGGCTTCTGGGAAATGCCTCATTCTGTTGGTGTGCGGGTTTCCCACTATAGTCACTGTGCCCAAGCTCCCCCACGCCTGCTCTCTCAGCACAGGTCTGCCCTGCCCTTGGTTGTCGGGAGCTCTGCCATTTCCCCATCGGTTTCCCCCTAGTTCCGCTGATTCCCCGGGACTTGGAAGACTCCTCCACTGGCTCTCAGCTTTGGGCTGTCCTTCCTGTGCCTCTGCTACGGGGTCTCCTGGCCCCACACTTTGGTGACCCTCGGCAGGCATACAACTTACTAATTTTCTGTTCTTTTCCTCCTCAGGGCCTATGAGAAATTTTCTGGGTCTTCTGCAGGCCTCACTGGAAATGAGGGGGCCTGGGGTGGGGACCTCCCAGCCCTTCTGCGCTTGGCCCCCGCCCCATCCTGTTCTTCTGGAGCTGCTCCGTGTTGGGCAGGCAGTCTGGGAAGCTGCCTCGCCTTAGGATTCCAAATGGAAACAGCTTTCTGCCTTTGGATTCTCATACATATGATGGAGATTTCTTTCCTACCCCTCACATCCATCAGCCTGGATTATCAACCACGGTCTCTCCTTTTCCCCCAACCTGCTGAAACAATCAGCAGTATCTGATTTTTTTTTCTCTTTCCAGGCTCTTAACTACAGCAAAATAAGAAACTGAAACAAGCAAACAAAAAGGCGTGGGCAGTGTTAATTCCTTTCGCCAGTGTTAGGAGCTATCCTGCAGCCTTCCTTATTCCAATGTTAACTGAGACAGACTCTTTGCCTAGGTATCCAACCTCTGTCTTCATCTTCCTATCAAAGCCCGCTTAGTTTTGAGAGCAATACTTTTCCCTCAACTAGTTCTAAGCTTTTGCTAGTTTAAAAGCACTTTGGTGTAAGATCAACATGAAAGTCATGTTAAAAAGAAAAATCATCATTCACCACTTCAACTGACCCCATGTGTTGTTAGTCTGGGCCTGACCCCCCAATGAATGTCACTGAGCTAGTGGGAGAAGAGAAGCATACCTCATTAAAAGTATGTAAAGATATTATTCTCTCCCTCTGCCACCCTGGCATAGCCCCCAATGCAGTCTATCCCTTTCTGCAGGATTTTTTTTTAGACCGAGTTTCACTCTTGTCACCCAGGCTGGAGTGCAGTGGCATGATCTTGGCTCACTGCAACCTCTACCTCCCAGGTTCAAGTGATTCTCCTGCCTCAGCCTCCCAACTAGCTGGAATTACAGGTGTGCACCACCATGCCTGGTTAATTTTGTAGTTTTAGTAGAGATGGAGTTTCATCATGTTGGCCAAGCTGGTCTGGAACTCCTGACCTCAGGTGATCTGCCCCCCTAGGCCTCCTAAATTGCTGGGATTACAGGCATAAGCCACCACACCTGGCCATTTTTAAAATTATTATTATTATTTTTGAGACAAGATCTCACTCTGTCACCCAAGCTGGAGTGCAGTGGTGCGATCTCGGCTCACTGCAGCTTCAACCTCCCAGGTTCAAGAGATTGTCCCACCTCAGTCTCCCAAGTAGCTGAGATTACAGGCACGCACCACCACACCCAGCTAATTTATATATTTTTCTGTAGAGACAGCGTTTCACCATGTTGGCCAAGCTGGTCTGGAACTCCTGACCTCAAGTGATCCATCCGCTTCAGCCTCCCAAAGTGCTGGAATGACCAGAGTGAGCCACCGTGCCTGACCTCTGCAGGATTATTTACCACTAGCTTGAAAACAGGCTGCAGCAGGAATGGCCACATTCTGTAATAAAACTCTCCCTTTTCTCCCTAGATTTCTGGTTTTGTAGAGAGAGGTATGCCCAAGTACATTTTCTCACATCCTTTGCAGAGAGATGAGGCCGATGAGAAACAAATCCAAATCACTAGTGTTGCTTCTGGGAAAGCTATCTTAAAAATGATTACTCAGCTGGTAGCTGCCTTTTGCTGTCTCCCTCCTTTTGCATTTTTTCCTTATTTGGAATGTAGAAAGTGATGGCTGGAACTAGCAACCATCATGTGATCATGAGGCATCCTTGAGAATTGAAGCCTGGTGCTAAAAATGAGGTGACAGGGTAGAAGGAGTACAATATTGATGTCTAATGTCAGCTTAGATAGCCTAGATTTATTACCACAGGCCCTGGGATATCTATCTCTACATGTCATGTTATGTGAGAAAAATGAACTCTTGTCTGGTTGAAGCAATATTTCCATTTCTAGTAGTCAAATTCCTATCCTAGGCATGCTTACTTTAACTTCACTTTTACTGTTTCCAACCATTGCAACTTGGACTTTCCTCCTGTCACTTCTTTGAAACTGCTCTGTCAAGTTTTTTAAATTTTTTTTTATTATTTTATTTTATTTTTGAGACTGGTCTAGCTATGTCGCCCAGGCTGGAGTGGAGTGGCACCATCTCAGTTCACTGCAGCCTCCGCTTTCTGGGTTCAAGCCATTCTTCTGCCTCAGCCTCCCAAGTAGCTGGGATTACAGGTGCATGTCACCACACCTGGCTAATTTTTGTATTTTCAGTAAAGATGGGTTTCACTATGTTGGCCAGGCTGGTCTCAAACTCCTGACCTCAAATGATTTACCTGCCTCAGCCTCCCAAAGTGCTGGGATTACAGATGTGAGCCACCACACCTGGCCAACTTTTACTTAAAATAACTAGAAAAAAAAAAAAAAAAAAAAAAAAAGGAAAGCAAAGGAATTGCTGAACTTCAGAATAATTCTTCCCATTTTTTTTTTCTTAAAAACATCTGTACATTAAGAAAAAAAGATTTGGGGCCGAGCGCGGTGGCTCACGCCTGTAATCCCAGCACTTTGGGAGAGCAAGACGGGCGGATCACGAGGTCAGGAGATCGAGGCCATCCTGGCTAACACGGTGAAACCCCATCTCTACTAAAAACAAACAAAAAAAAAATTAGCCGGGCGTGGTGGCGGGCGCCTGTAGTCCCAGCTACTCAGGAGGCTGAGGCAGGAGAATGGCGTGAACCCCGGAGGCGGAGCTTGCAGTGAGCCGAGATCGCGCCACTGAACTCCAGCCTGGGCGACAGAGCGAGATTCCGTCTCATGCCTGTAATCCCAGCACTTTGGGAGGCCGAGACAGGCGGATCACGAGGTCAGGAAACCGAGACCATCCTGGCTAACACAGTGAAACCCTGTCTCTACTAAAAATAAAAAAAAAAAAAAAAAAAAAAAAAAAAAATTAGCCGGGCGTGGTGGCGGGCGCCTGTAGTCCCAGCTACTCGGGAGGCGGAGGCAGGAGAATGGCGTGAACCCCGGAGGCGGAGCTTGCAGTGAGCCGAGATCGCGCCACTGAACTCCAGCCTGGGCGACAGAGCGAGATTCCGTCTCATGCCTGTAATCCCAGCACTTTGGGAGGCCGAGACAGGCGGATCACGAGGTCAGGAAACCGAGACCATCCTGGCTAACACAGTGAAACCCTGTCTCTACTAAAAATAAAAAAAAAAAAAAAAAAAAAAAAAAAAAAAAAATTAGCCGGGCGTGGTGGCGGGCGCCTGTAGTCCCAGCTACTCGGGAGGCGGAGGCAGGAGAATGGCGTGAACTCGGGAGGCGGAGCTTGCAGTGAGAGGAGATCGCGCCACTGCACTCCAGCTTGGGTGACAGAGCGAGACTCCGTCTCAAAATAAATAAATAAATAAAAATAAAAAAAAAATAAAAAATAAAATAAAATAAAAAATAAAAAACACCTGACACTTCACAAGCACTCAAGAAGTGGTAGCCATTTATTTAAAAAAAGAAAAAGAAAAAGATTTGGAATCAGTTATATAAGTTGAAGTCATTGTTTTTTAAGCAATATCTTTACATTTTAGGCACTATTAATCATTCATTTATCCTTTGAGTTCTCTCTCATCTTCCGCTTTTTGATGGTTACATTATTATTGTCACATGCAATTCTATAGCATTGCATTCTGTTCTGTACCTGTTATTCTAAAATTGTTTTGCTTTAATTCCAAATTTAAACTCATTCTGAATTCACCCTTATCCTTTTATCATAACTTCTTTAATCCTTGGTAGAGATAAAGGTTTCTATTTCTTTCTTTAGCTGTCACTTAAAAAAATGACATTAGGGTACATTGCCTTCTTTTTGGTTCCTATGGGTGATTTTTTTTTTCTAGTTTCAGTATTTTTGTTTTGATTATTTTTGTTTCAGTATTATAAGATTCTATTTGTCAGATGTTTTTGCTTGCACATTACAGAAAATCAACTTAAGCCAAGTAAGGCATCTTACTTTCTTATGCAAAGGGAAACATTAAGGGGGCATTCTAGCTTCAGGGATGGCTGGATCCAGGAGAGTAAATGTTGTCACTAGGACTGTGTCTCTCCATGTCTGGGCTCCATTGGTGTTATTCTGAGGTACCTTCTATACTTGTGGTGACAATGATGTCTACCAGCATCACAGGTTTCCATTGTCATCACAGGCAGAGTAACAGACAACATGGGTTGCAGGACATATTTGGTCTCAGAATTAAAATCTTTTCATTGCATTTGAGAAATACAATGTTAGACATATAACTATGCAATTTTCTAGAATTGGCTATTAGTTATATATGGCCCTTTCCTCCCTATTGTGGTCCCATTTTGAATCTTTCAACCTTATTCCAATTCCTTATTTCTCATCTAGTTGACATGGATGGGAAATTGATCAGCCGCAAACCATTTCCTTGGGAGAGAGAAAGATATGATTATTTTATAAAAATATGCCAAATTTTCTTGATGATCTAACATCATGCTTACCTGACAGAAGGGCAGGGGGAAAGAGCTGGTACTCACCTTGACACCTGTCTGTACCCGATGAGGGGCAGCCTGACTGTGGGTGAATATCGTGCCGAGGGCTGAAGTAGTTTTTATTTTAATCATTTACAAAGAAAAAGCTTCCCAAAGAAATCAGAGATGTTTCTCAGGTGCTAGGTCTGCAGTCATGCTTCTGATCTGTTCAGCACCCATAAAAGGTGCCACAGGCTCCACTGCAAAGCAATGTGTAAGTTTTGGATTATGTGAGACCCTGAATGCAAATGGGGAACTCAGAGGATGGTGGAAAGCCAGTTCCATGTTGGCAGGAAAGTATTCTAGTGTTTTCCCCTCTAGATCTCCAACATGTTTATAGCACATAATAAGCACTAAATAGATATATATTAACTGATTTTGAGTAACCAGGTCATATGTAGAACAGTTAAACATAGACATAGAGGTAAAAGGAAAAAAATAAAAAGGCTGGGTGCGGAGGCTCATGCCTGTAATCCCAGCACTTTGGGAGGCCGAGGTGGGAGGATTGCTTGAGCCCAAGAGTTTGAGACCAGCCTAGGTAACATAGTGAAAAAATTAGCCAGGTGTGGTAGCACATGCCTGTAGTCCCAGTTACTTGGGAAGCTGAGGTGTGAGGATCATTTGAGCCAAGGAAGTCAAGGCTGCAGTGAGCCCGTGATCTTACCACTGTACTCCAGTCTGGGCAGTAGAGCGAGACCTTGTCTCAAAAAAAAAAGTAAAATTAAAAAATTTGACCTGAATGGCTAGCTACTTACTAAATTTAATCCTTGCACCCTGAAAAGACTTAGTACATGTTCCTTTATACCATTAACTGATATCCAAATAACTTGTAATAACTATCTTAATAATTCTACAGCAGCAATTTGAGTCTCCTTAAAAATTGTCAAGCATTTTCTTTTGTTAGTCTGTTCTGGGGTAATGAGTCACAAGTAGTAATTACTGGGTGGGAATTCATTTTTTTTTCTTTTTTCTTTTTAAATACAATGTTAAGCATGTTGTATTAATATTAAATAATTCTAAAGAGTGTTTCAATAATTTGGAAGTTATTAATGATTGGTGGATGAAAAGATTTTATCCAGTTGTCCAAGCATATGGCAAAAGAAAACTGGCTTAAGTTGTTGAATTTCTGTTTTCATTTTCCATTGAATTACTGTTTAAAAATGGAACTGGAGAACATGTAATTACTCCAATGGAATGATCATGGGACATCAAAAAACTTGTTGCCCTAGGTGGTTAACTGCATGACTAAGAGACAACAATGGGGTGGACAAGGTGAACCTTGTTCAGTAGTGATCTCAATTGCATTTTGGTTCTGTAAAGCGCAAATAGGTTAACTGAATACCAAAGAGTAGTGAACTGCCTATGATTTGCATCTTTATATGATGGCTAAGAATTCAAGAAATTGGAATATAGTATTTATAACACTCTGTGACCACGACCACAATGTCCCATCAATTTCCTAGACTTCTGAGTGTAGGAAAACAGAAAAGGCCATATTCTCAACTTATGTAATTGATAACTACTAATTTTCTAACAATTTTCCAATGATTGCTTGCTATAAAAATGTAAAATGGAGCCAGAAGCTTTAGCATATATTATTCACACTGTAATTTTGGTTTATTTCCTTCTAGACTTTTTTCCATATTTTTTAGAACAGTTGTAATCATGTTGTACATATAATCTACCCTTATTTTTTAAAACCTACTGTTATAAATGTTACTTATGTTTAAAATAGCAAAAAAAAAAAACTATCTTGAAGATATTGGTTATAAAGATGATATAATTTATTTTATAATTTCCATATGGCTGGCTATCTAGATTATCTATTTTTTATTTTTGCAATGAGACAGATATTGCTGTGCATTGATTTTTTGCACACATTTTTTTCCAGGATTTTGCCTGTTTTCTTAGAAGAACATTCTACAAGGAAAATTAATGGGTGGAAGTTTATAAACCTATTCATAATGACTCTTGAAGCAAATATTATTCAGGATCTTTTTTTTTTTTTTTTTTTTTTTTTTTTTGAGACCGTCTCACTCTGTTGCCCAGGCTGGAGTGCAGTGGCATGATCATGGCTAACGGCAACCTTTGCCTCCCTGGGCTCAGGTGATTCTCACACCTCAGTTTCCTGAGTAGCTGTGTCTACAGGTGTGTACCACTATGCTTTGCTAATTTTTGCATTTTTAGTAGGGACAAAGTTTTGCCATGTTGCCAAGGCTGGTCTTGAACTCCTGGCCTTAAGAGATCTGCTTACTTCAGCCTCCCAAAGTGCTAGGATTAAAGGCATGAGCCACCACACTTTGCCAGACCTATTTGTTTTCAAGTGACATTAACTAGCTTAAAAATAAAGGGAAAATTTATTAGAAGCAAACAATTATATCTTATGTAACAGGAGAAAGTGCATCTAGATGGCTAGAATCAGAGACTTAAGTCCACCAGAACTTTCTCTGACTCTAATTTCTTTACAAGGCTCAGCAGTCAGCCTCATTTCATTCATTTGCTGGCCGGAATTACTGCTCTAGAATTGAAGTAGTTTTTCCACACCTGGTGCCTCAGCTGGAATGTCTACAATGTCTGTGGGCTTGCCAGATCTCTCTCTCTCTCTCCATGTTTTCTCTCATCATTCTGTAGCCCAACTCAAGATTCTTTACATATTAGTTGTCTTCTAAAAGTGCAAAACATGGGAGATGCAAGATCCCTTAAGTCACACAACACTTCAACTCTGTTGCATTTGTCAAAGCAAGTCACAGGCTAGGCCAGATTCAAGGAGAGGGGGAATGGGCTTCACCATCTGATGGGAGGAGTGGCATGGATGATGGTTACTTTTATGTGTCAACTTGACTGGACCACAAGGTGCCCAGATATTTGTCTCTGCATGATTCTGGGTATGTCTATGAGGGGTTTCTGGATAAGATTAACATTTGAATCGGTAGATCACGTAAAATGAGTTGTCCTCTCTAATTTGTGTGGACCTCCTCCACTCAGTTGAAGGCCTGAACAGAACAAAGAAGCGGAGGTCAAGAGAGAACTCCTCCTGAACTGTGGGGTCAGGAAAGGCTGGGGTGCCGTGGAAATTAGCTTCAAAGGTTTTTCAAAGTTTATTGCTTGGTGTAGGTAATAGGGTCGATTCTCTGTAGAAGGACTTTTTCTTCTCTATATTCCTCCAACATAGTACGTTTTCCCCTGGTCTGGAGCAGGATGCTTTCTTAGTTTATGATGCAACGACTTCACAGTGGATGTCTGCTTTATTTCTTTTTGAAATTCCATGAACTTTGAAATGAGTTCTTTTTACTTTGAGTTCTTCATATACATGTAAACAAAATGTTTTCCTGAATCCAAACAACCAGAGCTTTAAATTTTGAATAACTGTGAGAAAAATTGAGTACTTGAGATTCAAAGAAAAACACAGGCAAAGTCTCTGACATCGTTCCCCATCCCAAAGCTAACTTTGATGGTAAGTCATTAAACCGAGATTCTCTCAGGACCTGGGGCAGAAAACTGCACTAGGATGTTTTTTGTTTGGTTCAGGTTGGGTAACATTGGCATGTGATAGAAGTTATCTTTTGAATTAGCTCAAGAATAAGAGGTTCACTTTTATGAGCAGGGAGTTTCAGTATGGTTTGTGTCATGAATAATCCTGCCTGACATGGACCATGACCCTTGAACATTCTGAAATGCAGGAAAATTCTAAGTCTTCATAAGATAAACAAGGAGCAGCATCTTGTTACTTTTTCTTTCCAATTTAAAGTATTATACTTCGGACTCTATGTTATACATAGAATTTTAAATGTGGGTTTATATTTAGACTTGAATATGGTAGAAAACAAGGCTTGATATGTTCTGCTTCATAATGACACATCTATATCTATCTATCTATCTCTCTATATATATTTTGTAATACACTTTTTATTTTGGAAAAATCTGGGGTTTACAGAAAAGTTCTAAAGATAGCACAGACAGTCCCTGTATAATTCTCTTGCAGCTTTGCTTTCCCTTCATGTTATCAGTTCACATTACTGTGGTGTATTTGTCAAAACTGAGTAACCACCATTGGTGCGTTACTAGTAGCTAAACTCCAGCCTATATTTAAGTTTCACTAGTTTTTTCCTAATGTCTTTTTCTATCCCAGGATCCTAACCAGGCTACCACGTTGCATTTAGTTGTCACATCTCCTTTGGTCTGTGACAGTTTCTCAGTCTTTTTTTTTTTTGAGCTGGAGTCTCACTCTGTCACCCAGGCTGGGGTGCAGTGTTGGAATCTTGGTTCACTGCAACCTCTGTCCCCCGGATTCAAGTGATTCTCCTGCTTCAGCCTCCCGAGTAGCTGGGATTATAGGCATGCACCACTACACCTGATTAATTTTTGTAATTTTTTTTGTTATTGTTTTTAGTAGATACAGGGTTTCATGATTTTGGCTAGGCTGCTCTTGAACTCCTGACCTCAGGTGATCCACCTGCCTTGGCCTTCCAAAGTGCTGGGATTACAGGCGTGAGCCAGCTCACCCAGCCTCAGTCTTTTCTTGTGTTTCATCATCTTGAAAGTTTTGAGAGTATTGGACAAGTGTGGTATAGACTATTCTTCAATTTTGGCTTGTCTGATGTTTTTCTTAAGATTAGATTCGGGTTATGGGTTTCGGGGTAGAGTAACACAGGGGCAAAACACCATTCTCATCACATCTTATCAGAGTTACATGACATACACGTGATTTATCACTAGCGATGTTGTCCTTGATCATTTGGGTAAGATCATGCTTACCAGCTGTGTACACTGTAAAGTTACTATGTTTCACTTTCTTTGAAGTGAGTCAGTATGTCCTGCCCACACTCAAGGGAGTGGGAGGGATGGAGCTTTACCCCTTGCTTATTTGGAATGCAAAATAATATTTTGGTAATGTTTTCAATTTCAGTGGACCAGTATTTTGTGTGTTTGAAGACAGGAAATAAATAAAGTCCTGGTACAAGCTCTTCCTTTTTGTTTCTGTTCTGAGTAAAGGGCTTGTGTCCAATGCCTTGCTGACTCTCCTGAATATTTTGTCTAAAACACCCAACAATGTTGACCTATGCAGGATTATGATGGAAGTAAGTAGAAAGAGGTTTGCATATTATTTTGAATGCATTTTCATCTTCAGATGAAGTAAAGATGAATCCCGTACTAGTTTGTTCTCACACTGCTATAAAGAAATATCTGAGACTGGGTAATTCATAAAGAAAAGAGGTTTAATTGGATCATGGTTCTGCAGGCTGTATAGGAAGCACAATGCTGGAATCTGCTCAGGTTCTGGGAAGGCCTCAGGAAACTTACAGTCATGGCAGAAGGTGAAGGAGAAGCAGGCTTGTCTTACATGGCTGGAGCAGGAGGAAGAGAGATGGGGGAGGTGCCACACACCATTAAAAAAACAGATCTTGTGATAATTCACTATCACCACAACAGCACCCAGTGGGATGGTGCTCAAGTATGAGAAACCACTCCCATGACCCAATCACCTCCCACCAGGCCCCACCTCCAACACCAGGGATTACAATTGAACATGAGATTTGGGTGGTGACACAGACTCAAACCATATCAAATTCTAAATATGGAAATGTAATAAACTCATTGATTTATTTTTTATTTTTGAGACGGTG
Organism: Homo sapiens; assembly: GCF_000001405.40. Taxonomy (NCBI): domain Eukaryota; kingdom Metazoa; phylum Chordata; class Mammalia; order Primates; family Hominidae; genus Homo; species Homo sapiens. The sequence continues at coordinate 17,397,319 of NC_000005.10, forward strand.
TCTCACTCTGTTGTCCAGGCTGGAGTGCAGTGGTGCAATCTCGGCTCATTGCAACCTCCACCTCCTGAGTTCAAGCGATTCTCCTGCCTCAGCCTCCTGAGTAGCTGGGATTACAGGTATGCACCTGGCTAAATTTTGTATTTTAGTAGAGACAGGGTTTCACCCTGTTGGTCAGGCTGGTCTCAAACTCCTGACCTTGTGATCCAGCTGCCTCGGCCTCCCAAAGTGCTGGGATTACAGGCGTGAACCGCAGTGCCCGGCCAACTCATTGATTTTAAACCAAAGTTAGGGTTTGACAAACTCCATCTAGCCACACGGTTCTCTGTCTCAGTTTTAGCTTTGTCTTCCTATGCATGCTCAGTGATCAGCTGGCAAACAGGTTCCTAGCTGGATGAGCATTCTTGCCTCCTCCCTCAGACCTTAGCATGGACACCCAGGGTAGATATTAGGGGTTGAATTGTGTCCTTTCTCCCCCAAATTCATATGTTGAAGCCCTAAACCCCTGTACTTCAAAATGTGACCTTATGTGGAAATTGGGTCTTTGCAGGTTAGTTAAGATGAGGCCATTAAGGTGGACTCTAGTCCTAGGTGACTGTTGTCCTTAACAAAAGGGGCTATTTGGTGACATAGATTGGGCACACAGGAAGAACCTCATGTGAGGACGAAGGGAGAGATTAGGATGATACTTCTGTAAGGCAGGAGAATCGTTTGAACCCAGCATCAGATGTTTGGCAAGAGACATTGAGCAGGTTCTGTCTCACAGCCCTCAGAAGGAACCAACCCTGCCAGTACCTTGATCTTGGACCTCTATTCTCCAGGACTGTAAGACAACACATTTCTGTTGTTTAGGCCACCCAGTTTGTGGTACATTGTTACAGCATCACTAGGATTATCAGATAATGGAAGTTGAACTGAGCAACCCAGCTTTTGTGACCCCAAACATGGTTGGTGGTAGGGCTTTATCTTGGTCACAGGCTCTAGAAGAATCTGCACTTGTCATTTACTATAAGCCCTTCACAACTGGACTCTTCTACTCAATGCTTATTCAAGATTTTTTTTCAGGTGCTGATCTTATTGAAATTTGTAGTATTAATATTTTAGAACTGTATATAATGTATTTACCTTCCAAAATTTCCTTCAATGCCTGACAGCTTTCTATCTACTGACCCAATTGTGATGACAAACCAATGCTGGCTTTGGTAGTCAAATTCCTGACCACATGCTAATGGTTGACTCATTCAGTTTTTTGCCTGCAGATTTAGTCTCAACGAAATGAGCCACACTTTTTTTCTTACAAAGCAGCATTACCTTCTGGGGAGAATGAAATGTGGTTTTTCTTTGACAGATAAGTGGGAAAACCATCTGTGCATTTCCCGTCTGAATCAAGCTTAAGCCCCTCCCCTAGTCATCCAGGGCTGCATTAACCATGGACTACCGGTGCCCCAGCAAGGGGAGGCTGTGGATGTGGATAACTCCACACAGCTGTGCCTGGAGGCTGACGGACTATGGCAGATATTTCTCCACTTTATTCAGGGACCAGAATATGTTCACTTTGCTTGGAGGAACTGATTAATTAAGTGATGGACTGGAGAACAAAGAGGTAGCGGTTGATTATATTCATTAGAGGAAATAGAAAATTAACTCCTTAATTAAGGTATTATATTGTCATACTTCAATATCACATATTCTGCACTTCCTTAAAAGAGTTCAGTGTATTTCTTTTGCATGCCTGGTAATAACCTCAGGAAGCAGGACTGACTGAATATCATGATGTCTATTTAGCATTTAAAGGAACTGAAAAGTGGAAATGTACACGTCTCTTTCCCCCCTACTCTAAAGTTTAATTCAAATGCAATTGCAACCAACATTTCACTAGGAAGGTGGCTTGTACATTTGAATAGACAAATGGATATTTGGCACTTCTGTCCATTTTTCAACAAACTGTTGTCAAGTACAATTTTGGTAGCTTGAGGGTTGCAGAAGGTGCAACAGGTGGCTGCACCTCAGCTCTTCCTTCTCTAAAGGAAGAAATGCAAGACTGGGAAGATTGTTCTCTAACTGTGGCAGGTAAACACGGTCTGCTCCCAAAGTGAGTTGAGACCACTGGGGAATGGACTCTGTGCCCATGATTATAGAATTGAGATTACCAGTTGGGAAATTAGAGGCAACTTTCAGGTTTGTATAGCATATAGTTTGCTGAATCCAATTCCTATCTATCCTATATATTAGGATTTTCATTTTTAGAGCAAAAATTTGAGTTCGTCCCTCAAAATGCCTATTTCCTCTCTTTTTGGAGTTAATGTATTTTTAAGGAAGTGCTGCCAGCTCCAATTTCTACAACTGTCAATTCCTTATCTGCTATTTGGAAATCACTGCAGAGCCTGGATCATCGGAGGCAGTTTTGGGGCCATCTCCCATTCCCAGAATGGCATCAAACCTTAAATTGGAAGGTATCGAAGGAGGCGAAGAAACTATTTCCAGCAGTGAAGTGAACTAGGATTAAACAACTCCCCAACAAAACAAAAACTGAAAAAATGAGAACTGGGACCTAAATACCTCAAGGTGGTGAAATTGTCACTTATCAGAGCAGAACCAAACAAGACAGCCTTCAGCTAGAGCCAGCCTGAGAGCTGAAAGACCAGAAGTGAAGGGAAGGAAGCTTGGAGAAGGGGAGCAGAAACAGAATAAAATAAGTCAAAATAAAATAAAAGCAGCCTAGCCTAGTGGAAAGGTACAAGTGTGGTGGCTGATTGGCTGCAGATGGAGACTGTAATTTTCTTAGGCTATCAGTGACTAGCAGGCAGTGACAGGGAAGAGGGGGTGTCAGGTCTGAGGAGAAGAAAACCGGAACTATTTTGCTGTGTAGAAAGTCACCATGCTACACGTCATGGCCCACGAAGGGCTGATTATATTACAGAAATATTATATTATATAATATTATATACAATATATAATATATAATATATAAATATTATATAATATATAAATATTATATAAAGAAATATTATATAAAGAAATATTATATAAAGAAATAGTGGCTCAGAATTATGATCTTCAGCTATCAAGAAAACTTTGAATCATGTTTGTGTATTTTACTAAGGAAGGAAAATAAGTTTATAATATATGACGTGTTTCATTTGAAAGTGAGAGTTTGAGTTAAACGGTTAAATTCAGCGATCTGGAAAAGTGTTACGTAGAGTCACGTATCCCTTGAAATATTGGGAAATTGATGTGGAAGTTATGCTGCGCCTCACCCTTGAGATGAAAAGATTGAAAATTAGATTTCACAGAACAAAAATCATTGCTGGGGGCAGTTTGTGAGACAACAATGTTGAAGAATAAAAGGAGTAAAAATAAAGATGAACACACACACACACAGATACACATACACACAATCACACGCTGACAGAGACATACGCCAACTCACATATACACTCACACTCATACACACAAACATACACTCTCATATTCACACATACACTCACTCACTCACACACGATCAATGCCCTCCGGATTCACTTTATTCTTTTCCCTCCCTTGCCTTTTTCTAGAAAGAGCTGTATTTGCTGTTTCAGGATTGCTAATGTGAAATTTACCCAGGTGGAAGGACCAGGAGGAGAGAAGTGTTTGCTGAATGAAAATTTGTAGCAGAATGTGGGCTATTCTCTCCCTTCTGTGTCGTCAAGTGACTTCTTTCTCCCCCACTCCCCATTTCAAGTTGGCCTTAGGCACACATTTCTAGGGCTTTCTGTGCTCATGTATTATTGACAGGTAATCCCTTTCTCCATTCCCACGGGGCGCCGAATGAGTCCTGCGGTGAGCTAGCACTTTAGCAAGGGGAAGTTGGGAGTAAGAGTCTGTTATTTCATCATCCCAGCAAGCAGAACAACTAACTGCCTCCCTACCTGTTTGTGTATTAACTAAATGGACACCAACAAAATGTCATTAGGACGGGAAGTCCGGGATCTTGCAGTTTCAAGCCATTGCATCTCTAGCCCCTTCAGAAGAGAGATTGCTGGGCCCCAGGAGATGGTTTTGAAGGAGGAGGGTCGGTTGAAAAAGATCAAGGCCACTGCAGTGGGGCTGGGTGGAGATCACCTCAGTGATCCCTGGAATGCATTATTTGTCTTTTCACTTTCAAAATACAGGGTTCTAAGGCACATGTCTGTGAGGAAAGAAAAATAGAGCGTTCTGAGCTACATGAGGTATGAGAAATTTATCAGGCCCAGAGAGACAGAAGTATGGAACTCCAATCATTCCCTCCCCACCCTGCACCCCTGCCTGGGGGTAATGTTTTAAAGGCATTTTGTTCCAGATTAACTGCCTAACACATTATCTTCTTGTTGCTGGAATTTGCAATACAAAGAACACCTTATGTTATTTTAACATAATTTATTGGTAAACAACTCAGGAACTGCTTTCTTCTTTTTCCTTTAAAAATCCACTTGAATACTCTCCAGGGCGGCAATCCTCAAGCTTGGCCCGAATCAACTCTCTACTTATGTTAATTTTGGCTCAGCTTCTTCCTTTTAGTTGACAGCTGAGATGCCCAGAACATTGAAGGGACAGGTAAACATTTCGACAGTGAACAGATAAGAATTAGAATGTCTTGAGTTTAGAGAGAGCTTTGTGTTTGCTCTCTGACATTTGTTTACTGTGTGTGAGGCTTTTACAAGTGAATCCCAGGGTGGGATAATAATAGCCGTGGGGCACCAGCTGCCGGCTAGGCTTTGGGTGCCGAAGAATTTGTGGACATTTTACAGGCTAATAGATTTTTTTTTTTTTAAACTGCAGGAGTTCTGTGGGAATTCCTCTGCAAATTTTAAAATAAGTTGTAGGAGTAGGAAAGTGAGACTTTCTCTTTCTCTCTCTCTCTATTTTTCCAAAGAGCGAAAATGAGCCAAATTTAGAGCTAGTTTTGAAAGCATTTTCTCACTTTGCCTTAGGAACGAAGAGTGAGGAAAATCAAGTGTCATCAGCACCAGCTCTTTGAATGCGGGTGAGAGGAAACACAAAGCCCCGGCTTATTTCAATTGAGCAAGACAATGCAAGAGATTTAGAGATTTTAGGTCGTAAAGGACCCGTGAGCTCCTTTGTTCCAAAGTTTGTCCTATTGCCATTGAGGCATCTGTTTTCCAGTAACTATAACCCCTGTTTCCTGAATCAGGGCTGCCCGCTCGGGTGGGTCACAGAGAGAAAGCATCGTGGGCCAAAATGTGGGTGTTGGGAGCCATATGGTGGGTTAAGAGGAAGATGAGGAGGAAGAGGTTAAATTGGGCTCAGGGATCAGAGCAGGCAGAGGGGTTTCCAGGAAAGTTAAGACGCAGGGCAGAAATACCATTCAAAGAGTCAACATTGTAACCCTGGAGGTGGGGACAGATTCTTCCAAGGTTATCTCAGGACTAATCTCTCATTCCACTTTCAGACTTACAACTAGGAAAAATGTGTTCTTTTCCCTTTGAGCTAACGTGGGCTATCAGCTTAGCATACCTGCCCTCGTTTCATCCTTTCTTGCAGGTCCACTCCAGGACCTGCCAGGATTGCTGTGAAAGACTCAAAATAGGACCCTCTGAGCCAGTTTTCCAATTCTCTTTCCCAGAATTCTGGGGTGTGCCTGGAGGGAGAGAGGGAAGCTGAATCTTCTCCATCCTGCCTTTCAGGTTTCCTGTCTCAGGATTCCTGGTAACATTTCCTTTGGGAAAAAGAAGGGAGTTCTGTCAATTAACAAAACATTTGAAAAATCACTCATCCACTCTCTTCTCATTTTACAAATGAGGAAACTGAGATCAAAATAGGTTAATAGACTGACCCAGGATTCTGCCATTAATGGCACAGATTGAGTTACAGCTCAATTTTTCAACCACCAGGGCACTGGTGATGATTTTAAAGAACTAAGATAAGGAGAAGAAGACTAAGTGTTAAATGCACTAGCTGCATTTCTATTTTAAACTACTGTAATATAGTAATTCTAAAAGGCCTCTTTTGCTGGTTTGCTTCTTTTATGAAAGCAGAATCAAACTCAGATTTCTTGCTTTAAATAATTCAGTTGATGACTGAAATTTAACCAAGTGGTGAGTTTCCTCACATTTTTCAGAACAGCCCTTAAGAAACAAAAATAATTATGTTTGTTGACTTAAAAAATTTATAGGAATACTTACTTTTTCCCACTTTCTCCCTTTTTCCCAACTTGAAAGCTTAACCTCATTTGATCATCTTCCATTCAACTTTCAAACACTGTCCATACTGTTGTGTAGTAACCATGCAGTGTTCTTCTTCAGTAGGGGATAAAATGCAACCACTATCTAGGGGTGAATAAAAATATCTAACGGTATTAGCAAACCAGTATAAAGTGTACAGTAGAAAAAATTTAAACTTGGAATTATGTCCTCTTTTCCAGTTTCTCTGGTGTTAATATTTTCTGGAAAACATCCTCAAGGCTTGTCCTAGCTACCATCTTCCTGACATTGTCCCAGGTGTTGCAGTTACTAATGTGAGCAAGACATCCTCCTGGCCTTAGCGAGTGTACCCAGGAGTTATATAAAGGATATTCTGGGAGCCGGAAGAAGGAGCGAATAAAGCAGACTGCACAGATGGAACATGGAAAGGCTTTTAACAGAAATGAATACTTTCAGACTAGGTTTGAAGGACTGAGTAGGAGTAAACTAAAAGAGAAAAAGCAGGACAAAAGAAGCACCACTTTGGAAGCTCAAAGCCGCACTGGAAACACAGTCTTTCAGGATGTCTGAAAGGGGCAAGTCTGTTTGTGTGGGGTAAGAAATGCGGGGAGACAAACGGACAGTGGACAGATTGCAGAGAGCTCTGTGTGCTGAGAGGAGGGTGCAGACCAGATTTTTAAATTGAGAATGCAACAGTGAAGGATTTCAAGCTTGGAGTGAGAGGGGAGACTACGAGCCTGCAGTGATAAGGCAAAGCTGAAGATTTCAGAGCCAAGGCCACACCCTACAGTTGCCATGGAATGGGGTGGCACAGTGGGCTTTGGAGGTAAAGTCTGCAGTTGAGAAGTTCAAGGGTAGTAAGTACTTAATGCCAGGTCAATCATCCCTTTTAAGACACAGATATCATCTGCAGCGTTTTCAGGAACAGCGATAGAGAAGAAAAGCGGGCAGCTACTAGATATTCAAATCTTCCACAAATGTCAGGGAGAGAGTCAGGCAGTTGGTAGAAGAGACCTGTAAAGCTGGGTACCATAAGCCTCAACACAGGTGTTTTTATTTCAAGGCTGGGGAGCTGTGCTTTGGAAAAGCAATGAGGAGGTAACAGGAAGTCTCTTCTCCTTCTAAATCCTGTGTTCATGGAGGAGGGTGGGTTTTCTCCTCTTGAGAGGGAGTTACATACAAGTTTAAGGGAAAAGAGTCTGAAGTTTCCACCTAAATGATTCTGAAAGAATCAGGTAAGTAGTTGCTTAGAAATATTGCTAAATGTTGCATAAAGAGATACAGCTCTTCTATGGAGTAACAGATCCCGGCTACTCAATAGCTTTTTGCATTTTTTCCTGGGCTATGGAGATATTTGCAGCTTTCCATTACGTGTTAATATCTCTCATCTTACCACTGAAAGTTTATTTCTATCAATTTGCCTTCAAGTGAACTGCAGTTTCATATTTGTGATTTTATTTTTACCAAAATGAAATGGCTTATTTTTATCAAAAAATACTATTGAAAAAAATACTATTTTACCAAGAATATTATTGTGTGCTAGATGCTGGAGGCATAAAAGGGAACAAGTTAGGAACTGTTGCTTTTCATGGACAGTTGGTGTGGAGTTTTAGTAAGACTTTTGAACACTTAAATTTATATCTTTCTTTTAAGAACCAATAAAAAAAGAGCAACTCTTTATAACAGCATTATATTACATCATCTTCAAAGATCAATGTGTGTACAACATTTAAATAAATCAATATCTAGGTGTGATCATTAATCCTTAATCATGATGAACCATTGCTTAATCTAACCTGTGTTTACTTTTATTTCTGTTATAATTTGTTGACATTTTAGAAGTATAGTTCTTGTTCTCCAAGAAATATGGCACTCAAAGTCCCTGAAATTACTTGCCAAGTCATTGGGCTTTTGTCTCATGTATTTCTTAGGTCTTTGAAACAACTAGAGATTTATCTTTACCCATCTTCTGGTTTTATCTTTTTGAGTCTTTTTTTTTCTTACAATGGTCTGTAGTCAATTTAGGCAAATCTCTGTGTGAGTATTATGTGTGAGTATTATATATCTCTATGCCTCTTGGCAGAGGTGAATAACTTTTCCTTTTTATAAGAGGAATATAATTTTCCTCATTCCCAGTAGACATTAAGCTTATTAGCTACTTAACATTTTGGTAATTTGCATTCATTTTCTCTATAGCAACAAAACATCTGAATTGGAAGGAGAAAAAATTAGTTTACACCCAAAATTACTTTTATAAAAGGTTATATATTTCCTCTAACAATTATTTAAAAAGCAAACACTGAAAAATAGTGTAATAAGTCGCAAAAATAAAACTAAAAATGGCTTTAATCACAGGTGTAGTCAAACCCCAGTGATCGTTACAAAACCTGTTAAGACTCATATGACTAAAATTGTGATTACTACATAAATAGTTTTATTATTTTTAAGCACATGTGTAAAGTTTAAGGAACATTTAAGAGTAATTGTTATTAGCAAATTATTTCTAAAGTCATCTTAAAATGCCTTATTTTTTTATTTATTTGAAAAGGGTAGAAATCTCTGTTCACGTTTACTTTGTTCCACTCTGCCAAAAGGGCATAAGTGTCCCAATTGTTTTATGAGCAAAACATATGTGTGACTGTGTGCATACAAGTATAGACATGAATTCACACACAATTCCATTAATAACAAGGGATATCCTTGATGGGTACTGTTAGCTGAATATCAAGCAGTTGAATCATTTCATTTTCTTCCTGGAAAAGTTATTTTTCAAGGATTGGTAAATGATTGCCCTCGCACCTCAGGGCAACCATGTTACCAATGAGATCTAAGGAGAATTCCACTTAGGGGCTTCTAGAAAAGGTGTTTCTTTCTGTGGAAAGGGTCAGGTGCAAAAAGACAGCTCCCTGGTTCAGCCCCTCGCCCTATTTTCCTGCCATGAATGCAATTCTGCCAGAGAATGATTGTGGCTCTGTGGCAGCTATCTTGGTCTAGCCCATAAGGCAGTAAGCCTAAGGGAAAAAAAAATTCATCGCATATCTTGGATGATAGAAGATAGAGAAATGATACAAAGGTTGAAGGGAGAATAAGAAGAAGCCTACATCTCTGATAACATCAGTTTGTTACTGCACCAAATCTGGAACCACTTACCTAGAGTTTCACAGTGTGTGAGATAATTAAAAGTTAACTGTGCTGACACACCTATTGGCAGCTGAATGCTAACTGATACATTACCACACTTTCTGACTCATTCCTGATGTCACGTTTGATTAGTAAGTATAGCAGATATCCAAACCCAGGTTTTTGGATTCAAAGTCCAGGGTTTTCCTGGCCTTGATGTCTCCCCATATTGTCACAATCTGGGAAATAAATCCACATACTGTGAAGTAATAACATACACTGCTTATTTTGAACAATTTCCCTACTCTGATTTAAAGCCCTGTTTCTCTCTTCACCCTCTGGACTTACTCTGCTCATGATTTGTCCAACAAATTCTGGCTGTGAATATCTCTTTATAGTCACTTGTGACTGAATGTCCATTTGCTGTATTAAGACTTTGGGCACGTTACCAGACATCACCTTATATTTCCTCATCTTTATAAGAGGATAATTTCTATTAACCTCTTCACATATTTCATACTCTTGTTGGGTGGGGAGGAGCTCATGGGGTGGGGCTTAATTCATTATCAACATTTGGCTTTTTAAATTATTTTTGTTTATTTATTTTTTGCGACAGAGTTTTGCTCTTGTTGCCCAGGTTGGAGTGCAATGGTGCAGTCTCAGCTCACTGCAACTTCTGCCTCCCAAGTTCATGCCATTCTCTTGCCTCAGCCTCCTGAATAGCTGAGATTACAGGAGTGCACCACCGCATCTGGGTAATTTTGTATTTTTAGTAGAGATGGGGTTTCACCATGTTGGCCAGGCTGGTCTCGAACTCCTGACCTCAGGTGATCCACCTGCCTTGGCCTCCCAAAGTGCCAGGATTATAGGCGTGAGCCACTGCAACTGGCCATTTGGCTTTTTTAAACTAGTGGATGTTCCATAGGTGTTCACATGTTTTTGTGTGTTGTAAACATTTAATAACGACTACTAATAAGAACACAGATGAGTTTGCAAAGCTTGTGAAATTGCCCGGCTGATGGAAATTTGGCTTGCAAGCATTCATGCGGGAGAGAAGGTAGAGATTGAAGGAGCTCACGATTGCCTGCCAAAGTTGTCTGCATCTCAGTTGGAGAGGATTCGAAGCTTACTTTGAACCTTTAACTAAGAAACTTTTTAATATAAAAGTAAAGTATATATGAATTTAGCATTTGAATTTCGGTTTTTTTTTAAATTTACCGTCTACTATATGACATATGTGTAGAAATTACATACTGAGTCAAGGCCCATAATGAACTATTACATTTCCACTTGGCATTATTTGTAAAGAAATGGGTGTGTTCAATATTTTTCTTCAGTCTCTTTCGAGATATGAAGTGTTAAAGATCTATATGTAGATGTTTGCCATGTGTGTGACTGAAATCTAATTATAGAGTTATTTGTGTACTCAAAGAAACTACAGTTTCTCCAGTCAGAGCTTATGACCAAACTGGGCACTACAATGGGCTCCTTAAGAATGCTGCATTAGGCCGGGTGCCGTGGCTCATGCCTGTAATCAAGCACTTTGGGAGGCCGAGGCAGGTGGATCATGAGGTCAGGAGATGGAGACCATCCTGGCTAACATGGTGAAACCCCGTCTCTACTAAAAAATACAAAAAATTAGCCAGGTTTGGTGGTGGGCGCCTGTAGTCCCAGCTACTTGGAAGGCTGAGGCAGGAGAATGGAGTGAACCTGGGAGGCAGAGCTTGCAGTGAGCCGAGATCACGCCATTGCACTCCAGCCTGGGCAACAGAGTGAGACCCCATCTCAAAAAAAAAAAAATAATAAAAATAAAAAAAAAGAATGCTGCATTAGGAAACTCGAGAAAGCCCTCTGAGTACACTGTAAAACTGAGTTATAAGGAAGCAAGAGTAGGGATTTGCAAAGATACTGATTAGGGGAAAAATGATCCTAGGCCAGTGGGACCTCAAGTCTCAGTCAATGAAATGTATCCATATATTTAAAGAAAAATATGTGTCCAACAGATGGGGGATTGAGAAGCCAGAAAAGCGTAAGAAATCACAGAAGAGCTTTTTGCTGTTAAACCAAGACTTGTCTGAAGAAGATGATGCTTGGAACCAGGGTAGACTTCCAAGGGGAGGCATATTATTATTGTTGTTATTATTATTAGCTTCTAGTATATATTGGTTGTTTTCTACATCAGATGCTACATATTTTATGTATCATGTAACTTATTCCTCATAAAAACTCATGAATGTAGGCACTACTATTTACTTTATAAATGAGGATATTAACGTGGAAGGAGATCAAGTTTCTTATCTAGGAGCCTAGAGCTAATAAGTGGCAGTGTTGGTATTTGAACTTAGCCTTGAGAGCCTGTACATATAACCACAATTATGAGAACTTACAAGGACAAAGGAGAATTTTCTCCTCGATTTTGCAAAGAGGTTCAGAATTTGTGACTAACCCAATAGTATGTGTCAGAATTAAGACAATAATTCAGGTCTTCTGAATCTTAGTTTGATGTATTTCTGGTATACCTGAATTCTTCTCCACAGGCAAGTCATTAAAGATAGGCCAGTAAAGAGTAGATTGCCTTCAGAGTTGGGGCAGCAATGGAGAACGGTATTCTCTGGAAGAAAGTCACTATGCATAGTTCACACTTAAGGAGTGGAGAGTTATTCTCCACCTCCTTGAGGGAAGATTATATATTGGAATTCTTCTGCACTGGAGATTTGTCTATTTTTCTCCATTTATTTATTTTTTCAGTCATTTATTTATATCAGTATGGACTCATGGGTATTCATGTTATGTTTTGAGTTATAATCCAAAAGATTTTATTTATCTTTGTGCCCGAATTGTGCCAGCATTAGCCATTGGGAGCATGTTCTGTTGGCCCCTTTGTCTTCTTGACATGCCCATAATTGTGGGTTTTTTTTTTTTTCTTAGCACTTATGAAAAGAACTTTTAGTTTCAGGGGTACATGAGCAGGTTGGCTCTATAGGTAAGTTGCATGTCTTGGGGGGTTGGTGTACATATTATTTCAGCCCCAGGTTATGAGCATGTACCCAGTAGGTAGTTTTTTGGTCCTCACCCTCCTCCCACCCTCCACCCTCAAGCAGGCCCTGGTGTCTGTTGTTCCCTTCTTTGTGTCCATGTGTACTCAATGTTTAGCTGTCACTTGTACGTGAGAGCATGCAGTGTTTGGTTTTCTGTTCCTGCGCTAGTTCGCTTAGGATAATGGCTTCCAGCCCCATCCATGTTGCTACAAAGGACATGATCTTGTTCTTCTTTCATGCCTGTGTCGTATTCCACAGTGTACATGTACCGCATTTTCTTTATCCAGTATACTATTGATGGGCATTTAGGTTGATTCCATGATTTTGCTATTGTGACTAGTACTTAGCACTTCTTTGTTTTCTGGCATTATAGGATGCCCTAGGTGTTCCTGCTTCAGTCTTAGAGCTAGCCATTTCTCCAAGGTGCCCTGGTTCCTTTGACTGAAGAATGGCATTAGAAACCAAGGTTGAGGTACTAGGTGTGAATCTTATTTTAAATAGTAATTAATACTCGGAAGTGAAGACAGTTGTTGCCCTTGGTGGGGTGGTGGTGACAGGAAGATGTCCCCAAGAGGCTTCAAGGGTATCTGATCTGTTTCTTGATCTCAGTCTTGGTTGCCTGGGCTTCTTCATTCAGTGAAATTCATCAAGGATACACTTAGGCTACGTGTACTTTCCTGCCTTCATGTTGTATTTCAATAAATACTTGTTTATTTAGAAAATAAAGAAAAACAAAACAAAACAAAAACTAACTGTTAACTCTTAACTGAGTATCAGATAAACATGCTCTGGATTTCAAATCCCTGGGTTTAAAGACTTTCCAGCTTTATAGCTTTTGGCTGCTTACCTAACTTTTCCATCCCTCCATTTGTAAAATAAGGATAGCAGTATTACCTGCCTCAGGTTTATAAAATAGGGATAGCAGTATTATGTGCCTCAGCATTAAATATCTCCACACACTCCCTCCTCTGGACATGTATATATGTGTGTACTTATACACATACAGTCACTTATCATTATTTATAGATTCCATATTTGCAATTTTGCCTACTTGCTAATATTTATTTCAAACCTCCAAATCAGTCAATTCTTATGGCATTTTTGTGATCATTTGTGGATACGCACAACGTAGCAAAACATTTGAGAACTGCCTGACGCCCATTTCCCAGTGAGCTCAAATAACTATATGTTCTGCCTTCTTGTTTCAGCTCTCATGCTGTAAACAAGGGCCCTTTTCTCTCTCCATATATAATGCCACGTTTTCACATTTCCGTGCTTTTTGTGGGTGATTTTGATGTCTAAAATGCACCCCCCCACTGCAATGTGCAATGCTCATATCTTGTCTAGTGTTCCTAAAGGCAAGAAGTCTATGATGGAGTCCTTATGGAGAAAATGTGCGTATCAGAGAAACGTCATTCAGACATGAGTTACAGTGCTGTTGAGCTTAATGTTAGTGAATCAACATTATACATTAAATAAGAAACACAACTAAAATAAAATCAATTATGAATTGATTGATTAATCAAAATGTTGTGACCAGATGCTCTTAGGAACCTAATTGTGTATTTCCCAAAGGAGCAGTAGTTCAATATTTGCTAATTTAGTGTTTGTTGCAACTTTACGGAACATAAAAACTACAAATAATGAGAATCAGTTGTATATATGTGTATATACATACATATCTACATATAAAAATATCTGTGTATGTCTGTCTACCAATATGAGAACAGTGCCTATTAGTATATTATTAATATAATAAGCCCTTAACAAATGTGTTTAGCTATTATTATCTAGGTATCTGAGTAGAATTGCTCTGCAATCCACAGTCACTCCTGAGAAAGATAATGATGTTTTTTGGCTCTCAGTAAAACGTCTTTGTGGTATGGAAGGAACAGCAATAAAGGAAGCACAGCCCTTACTCTTATGGAATTTACATTGCAAAATAACTCAGTACAGACTCAGTGTTTTTTGTACTATCTAGAGATCATAAGGAAAAAGTGGGAGTATGATGAAAGAAAGTTCAAAGTGAAGTCACTATATTAGCTTAAAATAGACAAGCATACAGATGAGCAATGTGTAAGAGGTTTTTGTAATGACTTGTCTATATCCTGAAACTTAGTAGCCTATGGATAGATGCCTTGAGATTTACATAAACAATGAGAAACCTGCCTGATGTAGGAAATGAACACACGTTCTAGCTTTCAAGTCAATTAGCGAGATATTCGTATTTCTTTTCTAGGTTAAGAAGCAAATCTGTTCCGATGTGATGCCAACTAAGTACATGATCTGATTGTTCCAGTTATCCTGTGCCAAAAAGAAGCAAAAAATGGGCTTTCCACGGATTATTGAACACGGTGTCAGTGTGCCTGAGAAACAAGCCTCTATTAAAAGCTTTCTAGGCAATTTGAATCAGGTTGCTGAGCTTTGAAAAACATTCTACAGCCAAGTGTAGGAGACCCAAGAACTTGGAGAACATACACGCTCTGAGCTATTTCAAAAAATACAGCACTTAAGCCAATTGAGCTGTAGTCAGGGCAACACAGGCATGAATAACATGAAGGTAGATTTTAGTAGAAGAGAAGAACAGGCAAGGGATGCAGTCATGTGCATTTGAAACACAGGACAAACATAAGCCCTTTTTATCTCAATAAAGTAAGCGCAGTTTGGGGGCATTCTGCGGGGTGAGATAATTTGTTGGAATTTAGACGAGGCCCAGAATCATCCATTGGATATTAAATCCACACATAAGCCTCTGCTAGAATTGTGCCAGAGTAAGGGCAATCCTGGAATTCCTCCAGGCAGTCCTACCACATCACCCAGATGTCTGGTTTCTAGGTGAATGAATTGAAGAAAGATCAAGAAATATATGGTGGGTAAGAGGTAGGAGAGAAAGCCTGTGTAAATTAAATCAGATCTCCTCATACATAAACCTACTCAATTACTTCTAAAGCCTCCTTTTATTTCTAACATACAATAATTGAGTTAAAGAAATATAATATTCTTGTTTCAGGAATAGGAATTATTTTCTCAGGCAAAGAATGAAAGGTAAAAAGTACTACAGTGTGCCTACGTCATGTGCTGCTAATGCTATTTTCTTCTCGAGGTGCTGAATTGTTTGTTTTCCTGGGAAAGCTCTAGGGCAGAGCTAGCAAAATATCAAGATAGCAGATATGCATGTAGAGCCATGAGGCGCCTTGCTCAGCTCTCCCTTCAAGAGAACTTGCTTCAAGGTGGGAGGCTGGGGAACACCGTCCACCTGCTCTGTCTTCAAATGCACTGGGGCATTCATGCAGAGGCTATGTTTTCCCGGGGCTGCTCCCAGCCTGTGACTGAGCAAGGCAGAAGTGCTAGCATCATGCCATTCCTGCAGAAGGTGGGTTTCCTCTAATGGGTAAACTTGGCTCCAGGGTTCGCCATCAGCATGGACATAACACACGCAGAGCTTGCCAGAGGCTGAGGCCCCTCCTACCACATCCTGCAATTTTGTCTCTTCTGTCACAGGTGTCAGAACTGCTCTCAGTCCAAGGATCGTCCCCCACATATTCCTCCTCCTCTCCCCTTTATCCTTCCCAGGTCCCCCACCCCAAACTCTCAAATCTACTTCCATCTTCAAATCTGCTTCTTGGAGATTATGAACAAAAGAGGATTTGCATTTGATAAGATCCCAAAGAGAGAGGAAGGGGATAATCCATATAATTCTGACACTGGTCACCAGGCGCTTTTTTGTTTTCTTTTGACTGAACACCTGATGGAGCTGTTAGAATTAAGTCACATACGAGGTGACACAGACTGGCTTCCCCTTTTGGGGCAGTGCCTGGGAGGGACAGATGACTCATCATATTGTGGACGGGGGAGTGGAAGATCCTGGCTCCATCTTGGAACATAGGCTAATTAGGGGTGAGAAGGAACAGACAGGTCCACACAAACAACCTCCCCCACCTCCAAGTTTCTCAACTGAGACTGAGGTGAGAAATCAGCTCAGCAGAGACAGACAAAGGTTGTGTGCTCAATTCATGCCAGTTCACTTTGCACTTTCCATTCAGGTTTCAGGGTTTACTTCTGGGACTCCTCATGTCTTTCAGGGTTGTCCTGAATGTTCATTTGTCCAGGATCCTTGGAGGGAAAAAATGGGGGACTGTGCCTGGTTTCGTATCTCTCAAATGGAATATGAGAGCTTCAGACCGTTCCCTTGTTTGCAGCTGAGAAAGTGTCAGTGCTAAAAGCAAAGGGAGGTGGGGCAGAGGGACCATGGATAGTACCCAAATGTGAGTCACACCTACACCATCAGCTTTAGAACCTGTGAACTAGAAATCTCAGAAAATAATCATAAAATTATACTGGCTTTTCTGCCCTGTAGAAGGACTGTAGAGACAGATTCTTGCAGAAATCTTGCCTTGCTCCCACCCAGCCCATGACTTTTCTCGCCACAAGGAAAGCACTGGTTAAGGAGGTGATTCAGAGGTAGGTTCCCCAGGTGCGTCCATCGATGAGTGACCTCTCCTCTGCAACAGGGAAATACTTTCATCATTCAGGAGGAATACTGAGTTAGGAGGCAGAAGCTCTGGGTCCTGCTTTTAACGCTTGCACAAACTTACTGTGTAGCTTTAAGCAAGGCATCCAGCCTCTCGCTCTCAGTGTCCTGTGCAGCCAAACTGATTGATCTATGAGGCAATGTGTGGCCCAGCTCTGCCGTTCACTATATTACCATGTATTCGCCTAATAAAAAACTGGCACACGGAATGTAACAATGCGATTGCATATTTGACATTGGGGTTGTCCTTATAAGTCTAGGTAGCCATCTTTGCAGCACTGGTTCTTTCAAAAGAAAACTATTTTCATAAATATTTCATTTGGAAATCCCCATTTATCTGGAAGACTTAGTAAAGCATCTTCTGTAGACACAGAAGCACATTATCGCCTGCTTACTTCAGAGTTAGGTTACCAGGCATGTTCATAAAAAAATAACAAAGCATATTACTTTAGTCAAACTTTACAGAGAGGATAGATTGCCTACAAAGAGGTTATTGTAATATAGCTCATAATTTTTTCAGGAGTATGCTAAATATATATATATATATAAATATGTGTGTGTTTATGTGTATATATACACACACATATATCTACATAAACACATATATATGTTTATACATATACACATGCACAAACATACACACATTTATATATTTACTAATGTATTTAACTTCTCCAAAATATTAGCTACCAAACAGAATATTAGATTAAAATATTTTAAATTAAAAAGTTATTTAGAGAAAAATAATAGAACTGTCATATATCTCAAATAGCTTATGTTGACCTCTTCCCTGAACTCTAAACATTAAACTTTATTAAGAGGAAAATAGTGCATATGCGGGACAAGCATAAGAAAGCGACTCAGGAGTACGGAGTAAACAGAGCAGGCTCATTGTTCAAGTTCAGTGAGTGTAATTATCTGATAGCCATTTGTAGTTCCTATAAAATACCCTTTCCCCCCCGTATTTGTTGCTGCCAGTATTTAAAGACAGGTCTAATCTTTTCTGCTTTTAATCCCTTTGTCAACCATCAGCAGCCAGTGGGAAAAAAAAGGAAAAAAGAAAAAAAGAAAAAGAAAACAGAATCATTTAGGTTTGGCCTTCATGTTATCCTGTCCCCAATTGCACTGAGAGGGGACAGATGGGTGACCAGCTGTCGTGACACAGGACCAGGGTCACGGGGTCCCCGCACACAAAGCAGCGAACGCTGCTGGGTCCTCAAGCCGCCTCTGCCTCTGAACACAAAGCAGCGAGTGCTGCTGGGTCTTCAAGCTGCCTCTGCCTCTGAACAGCCTCGTTGGGAGCGAGGCTCTCTCAGGCCGGCATCACTCACGCTCACCAGTGAGGCTCTGAATGTTTTGTCTCAAGCCAGGAATGTTAAAGGCTCTGGTTCTCTGCAGCCAGTTAGGAACCCTTTCACCATTGTTTGCTTCCATGCATATGCCCTGTTCAGCAGCCACTCTGTGAAGAGGAAACCTCAGTAACAGGAGGGGGAAGGACGCTGCCATGGATGCCTTTCTACCCTCCAGGGAGGTGACGTGAGAAGAAGGACTTGATAAATTGTAATATCCCTCTGGAGGAGTACCCCTTTAAGAGAATGAAGAGGACCACCTTCAGGAATAAAACTGCCTTGGAAAAATTGTAACAGAAAATTATGAAAGTGGAAGATGCCTGACCTAATCGAGGCCATCTTGCTTCTAACCTCCAAGCTGCCCTAGTTCATTCCTGGGCGAAGGCTGAACTAACCTTGGGAGAAACTTAGGTTTTTTTTTTTTTTTTTTTGAGACGGAGTCTCGCTCCATCGCCCAGGCTGGAGTGCGGTGGTGCGATCTCGGCTCACTGCAAGCTCCGCCTCCCGGGTTCACACCATTCTCCTGCCTCAGCCTCCCGAGTAGCTGGGGCTATGGGCACCCGCCACCACGCCTGGCTAATTTTTTGTATTTTTAATAGAGACCGGGTTTCACCATGTTAGCCAGGATGGTCTCGATCTCCTGGCCTCATGATCCGCCTGCCTCGGCCTCCCAAAGCGCTGGGATTACAGGTGTGAGCTACCACGCCAGGCCTTTTTTTAAAAAATTTAAGTTCTAGGTTACATGTGCACAACGTGCAGGTTTGTCGCACAGGTATACATGTGCCATGTTGGTTTGCTGTACCCATTAACTCGTCATTTACATTAGGTATTTCTTCTAATGCTATCCCTCCCCCAATCCCCCACCCTACGACAGGCCCCAGTATGTGATGTTCCCCACCCTGTGTCCAAGTGTTCTCATTGTTCAATTCCCATCTATGAGTGATAACATGCGGTGTTTGGTTTTCTGTCCTTGTGATAGTTTGCTCAGAATGATGGTTTCCAGCTTCATTTTTGTCCCTGTAAAGGACATGAACTCATCATTTTTTATGGCTGCATAGTATTCCACGGTGTATATGTGCCACATTTTCTTAATCCAGTCTATCATTGATGGACATTTGGGTTGGTTCCAAGTCTTTGCTATTGTGAATAGTGCTGCAATAAACATACATGTGCATGTGTCTTTATAGCAGCATGATTTATAATCCTTTGGGTATATACCCAGTAATGGGATCGCTGGGTCAAATGGTATTTCTAGTTCTAGATCCTTGAGGAATCGCCACACTGTCTTCCACAATGGTTGGACTAGTTTACAGTCCCACCAACAGTGTAAAAGTGTTCCTATTTCTCCACATCCTCTCTAGCATCTGTTGTTTCCTCACTTTTTAATGATCGCCATTCTAACTGGTGTGAAGTGGTATATCATTGCGGTTTTGATTTGCATTTCTCTGATGGCCAGTGATGATGAGCATTTTTTCATGTGTCTTTTGGCTACATAAATGTCTTCTTTTGAGAAGTGTCTATTCATATCCTTTGCCCACTTTTTGATGGGGTTGTTTGTTTTTTTCTTGTAAATTTGTTTAAGTTCTTTGTAGATTCTGCATATTAGCCCTTTGTCAGATGGGTAGATTGCAAAAATTTTTTCCCATTCTGTAGGTCACCTGTTCACTCTGATGGTAGTTTCTTTGGCTGTGCAGAAGCTCTTTAGTTTAATTAGATCCCATTTGTGTATTTTGGCTTTTGTTGCCATTGCTTTTGGTGTTTTAGTCATGAAGTCCTTGCACATGCCTATGTCCTGAATGGTACTGCCTAAGTTTTCTTCTAGGGTTTTTACGGTTTTAGGTCTAACATTTAAGTCTTTAATACATCTTGAATTAATTTTTGTATAAGGTGTAAGGAAGGGATCCAGTTTCAGCTTTCTACATATGGCTAGCCAGTTTTCCCAGCACCATTTACTAAATAGGGAATCCTTTCCCCATTTCTTGTTTTTGTCAGGTTTGTCAAAGATCAGATGGTTGTAGATGTGTGGTGTTATTTCTGAGGGCTCTGTTCTGTTCCATTGGTCTATGTCTCTATTTTGGTACCAGTACCATGCTGTTTTGGTTGCTGTAGTCTTGTAGTATAGTTTGAAGTCAGGTAGCATGATGCCTCCAGCTTTGTTCATTTTGCTTAGGATTGTCTTGGCAATGCGCTCTCTTTTTTGGTTCCATATGAACTTTAAAATAGTTTTTTTTCCAATTCTGTGAAGAAAGTAATTGGTAGCTTGATGGGGATGGCATTGAATCTATACATTATCCTGGGTAGTATGGACATTTTCATGATATTGATTCTTCCTATCCATGAGCATGGAATGTTCTTCCGTTTGTGTCCTCCTTTATTTCGTTGAACAGTGGTTTATAGTTCTCCTTGAAGAGGTCCTTCAGATCCCTTGTAAGTTGAATTCGTAGGTATTTTATGGGAGAAACTTAGTTTTTAGTTTAACTTTGAAACAAAGATGATAACAGCCCTTTCCCAAAACAAGCCTCCTTCTTGCCTGGGGGCTAGACTCACTATGTAGGACTAACAAATTAGCCACAAGATTAGAAATTATGGTTTAGGAGTCATGCAGCTAAACATGCAGCCAAACAAATTCAGAGTGATTTGAGTAATCATAAAACTCTGGTCTCCTGTATAGCCGGCTCTGCAGGAATTCGACTCTTTCTCTATTGCAATTCCTGTCTGGATGAATAGACTCTGGGCAGTGGGCAAGGAGAACCTGCTGGGTGGTTACAGGAGTACGTAGCAACAATGTGTACCCTTTTCTTTACAACTCAAGACAATTTATCAATCCCACTTTACAAATTAGTTGAATACAGGACTCTCTTAACTGCTTATTCCAGTGGTTTTCAAAATGTGGTCTCTGCACATTTATACACTGTTGGTGGGAATGCAAATGAGTCCAGCCCCTGTGGAAAGCAGTTTGAAGATTTCTCAGAGAACTAAAAATAGAACTACCATTCTACCCAGCAATTTTATTGCTGGGTATATACCAAAATGAAAATAAATCGTTCTACCAAAAGACACCTAGACTCATATGTTTATTACAGCAGTATTCACACTAGCAAAGACATGGAATCAACCCAGGTGCCCATCAATGGTCGATTGGATAAAGAAAATGTAGTACATATACACCATGGAATACTATGCAGCCATAAACGATGAGATCATGACTTTGCCACAATATGGATACAGCTGGAAGCCATTATCCTAAGTGAATTAATTCAGAAACAACCAAATACCAAACGTTCTCACTAATAAGTGGGAGCTAAACATTGGGTACACATGGACACAAACACGGGAACAATCAACACTGGGGGGTCAGGCACAGTGGCTCACGCCTGTAATCCCAGCACTTTGGGAGCCCAAGGCAGGTGGATCACTTGGAGTTAGGTGATTGAGACCAGGCTGACCAACATGGTGAAACCCCATCTCTACTAAAAATATAAAAATTAGCAGGGAGAGGTGGCACGCATCTGTAGTTCCAGCTACTCGGGAGGCTGAGACAGGAGAATTGCTTGAACCCGGAAGGCAGAAGTTGTAGTGAGCCAAGATCACGCCACTGCACTCCAGCCTGGGCAACAGAGTGAGACTCCATCTCAAAAACAAACAAACAAACAGACAAACAAACAAACAAACAAATAAACACATAAACAAACACTGGGGATTCCAAAAGTGGGGAGGGTGCCAGTGGGGCAAGGGTCAGAAAACAACCTATTGCGTACTATGTTCACTACTTGTGTGACAGGATCATTAAAAGACCAAACCTCAGCATCATGCAATACACACATATGACAAACCTGCACATGTACTCCCTGACTCTAAAATAAAACAAAACAAAAAACAAAACCAAAGTCTTGTCCCTGGACCAGTAACATCAGCAATATCTGGAAGCTTGCTAGAAATGCGAATTCTCTGCTGCACTAAGACCTCCTGAATGGAAGACTTTGAGGCGATGCCCAGAAATCTGTATTTTAGCAGGGCTTCCAGATGAATCTATGTATGCTGAAGTTTTTACTATTTTGAGATTTTTGCTGATGGTTTTATAACAATATTGGTACTTTCAAATTCATATTATCAACACTCATATTTTCATATTCATATTTGTAAAATATTTCATCCTACACATGAGAAAACACACCTAAGATAAAGCGAGTGGCTTAAAATCACCCAGCCAGTGGGTGAGAAGCCAAAATCTTCCAGTCTGGGATGTTTTTAATTCCATTACATTGAAATGCAGAATTAATGTTTCCTTTACCTAGGCATTAAAGGAGAGAATAGGGTTAAGCTCACCCAGGGAAGGTCACCTGGCTGGCCAGAGGGGTGGCCCCCACCTTGGGAAATTTACTGTCGATAGCAGCCCCACAGTCTTAGAGATCTATATTGTCTGAAATCCAAAAGGAGAATCCAACCCTTTCCCAAACAGAGGGATATTAACCAGGCCTAGGTCCATCAGTGCCAGCCTCTCTCAGCAGCTCATCTCCACTCGATGCCCAGAAAGCCAATTGATCACGGGAATTCTGTTTTTTTCCTGCAAAAGGTGAGGCGAAAATGAGTGTATGTATGTGTGTGTGTGTGTGTGTGTGTGTGTGTGTGCATTTAGTTACATTACTAAAATGTTAATCAAAATGAAGTTAAAAATGGCCTGATTGGTCCCCCTGATAATTGGGCCATTTTGAGGAGCAGAGGAGAAAATGCAGAAAATAGCTCTTTGTAAACTAAATAAAGGCAAGCAGCAGTATTATTATCATTTACCTGTAGACATTCAAGGTGTTTTAAGTTTTTTTGACTAAATTTTACTAGATTTATGGTACATACCCTTCAGAATTCAAGAAAGCTTTCAGCATTTGGTGTTCAGAGTTCAGATCTTTTAAACTGTCCTGGAGAATGAACTTGTTAACAGAAAGTTACACCCACACACATTCACTCTTGAATATGTGCTATGGAGTGTCTACCAAGAAATCCTGTTGGTTTAGTCGTGGCTGCAACAGCACGGTTTTGGGATAAAGGGAGCCTCTGCAGAGAGCAAGGGTGCTCAGATCCAGAGTCCCCAACTCTGTTCTCTGTCACAGCTGCGGTTCTCCAAGAACTTGCATTGGACAACTTCCTTCCCTTCCCAGTCTGGCAAGTCCTACCTGGGTTCATTTCTTCCTCATTCATGGTGTCCAGAGCACTTTGAGTATTTTGTGATGATGATTATTATTTTTCTTGTTCAGGGAAAATTTCCCTTTCTGCCCATAATACTATTATTTTTGGGCCACTTGTCTAGACGCTGCCACTATTCCCACCCATTCCCTACCCACCCATTCCCTCTCCAGTCCCTGCACACTGAGGACATCCCACTCTCCTGACACCAGCTTTCCTTGGTTAGGAGTCACACATTTGGGTTTTCATCTTCATTATTTTTTTACTCTTCCCAAAATCTTTTTTATGTGCAGAAAGGTGTATAAAATTTAGAAAAGATCAATTGTCTACTTTTATTTTGAACCAACTAGTATTCAGTTTATGAAAGTTGGGAATTCAAAACTCCAGTTGTTTTTGAATCTTTAAAGCTCAGTTTACAAACTTTCTTGTTTTTTTTTTTTTTTTTTTTTTTTTTTTTTTTTTTTTGAGATGGAGTTTCACTCTTTTTGCCCAGGCTGGAGTGCAATGGTGCGATCTCAGCTCACTGCAACCTCCACCTCCCAGGTTCAAGTGATTCTTCTGCCTCAGCCTCCCGAGTAGCTGGGATTACAGGCATGCACCACCACGCCTGGCTAATTTTGTATTTTTAGTAGAGGCGGGGTTTCTCCATATTGGTCAGGCTGGTCTTGAACTCTCCAGCTCAGGTGATCCGCCCAACTCTGCCTCCCAAAGTGCTGGGATTACAGGTGTGAGCCACTGCACCCGGCCCACAGACTTTCCTATTCTATTCTATTCTATTCTATTCTATTCTATTCTATTCTATTCTATTTAGCAGATTTTCACAATAATTTCTAAAGGGCCTGGGAATAACGTTGGTTCCATTTACAGACCTAGATAAATCCCATTTCATCCTGGTATATTACTGTAGTAAATAAGCATTTATACATTTTATAGTTTTTACTTTAATTTTGTTATCTGCCTTAACAAATAAAACTTTCCCTCATCCCAAATAACTATTATAAATATAAAAATATACTTTATAACGAGAGCCTTAATTATCTTTGATATTCTAGTATAATGCCCAGACTTAGTATGATTTTATCTTAAGACCTGAAGTTTAAGTCAATGACTCAAACATACATTTTAAATGAACATTAAAATGTTGTCACTTCAACAGGCCAAATCATTCCAAGTACTTTGAAATGTTTGATTTGAGAAGTTTGTCATGAGAAGCACACTAAATGCATATAGATTCCATTTCAATATAATGATGGCCAATGTTTATTGAACACCGTTTTTTTGTGCCAGGCATTCTTCTACATTGTTATTATTATTATTATTTGAGACAGGGTCTCACTCCGTCACCCAGGCTGGATTGCGGTGGTGTGATCTCGGCTCACTGCAACCTCCGCCTCCTGGATTCCAGCGATCCTCCTGCCTCAGCCTCCCGAGTAGCTGGCACTACAGGCACATGCCACCACACCCAGCGAATTTTTTTGTATTTTTTTGTAGAGATGTTTCACCATGTTGTCCAGGTTGGTCTCAAACCTCTAGACTCAAGCAATCTGCCTGCTTTGGCCTACCAAAGTGCTGGGATTATAGGCATAAATACATTTTTTTTTTAATGAAAAATTTTTAAGGAAAATTTTAATGGTGGGATCTTGCTATGTTGCTCAGGCTAAACTCAAAATCTTGGGCTCAAGTGATCCCTCTATCTCAGTCCTATGAGTAGCTGAGACTACAGGTGCACACCACTGCATCTGGCCTCTCGATTCTGTTTTAACACAAATAATATGCCAAGATCTTCAGGCTCTTAAAATTTTATTTGGTAATGCTATATTTTCCCAAGGTTAAAAGATGCTTCCCAATTTATGGAAGATAGTAGGCTCCTTCCCTGTTAATTCAGGTTACTTAAGACTGGGAGTCTTGTGAATGATCACAATGGGATACATGGAGCCCCATGTTACAGTTGTCATTTCATGGACTTTGAAATGTAATAAGGGTGGGCCTCTTTGGTCCCGTAGCCCATTCCTCTGGCTTGATGTTTCATACACATAGCTCCCCAATTCTTCTCTTTATTCACAGAAATCTGCAGATTTTATCCAGGTTGATCACCTGATAGAACTCAATATTTTTTTTGTTTTGTAAGAGTTGTAAATATATTTTTCCTTGACTTCTTAAGACCATTGTACCATCTAAAGACAATTGATGGAATCTCAAGGTATTTAAAAGTATAGTTTTTATTAAGTGGTAAAGATTTTTTTTCTTGGTGTGATTCTGCATTCTTTCATGGTCTTAAGACCTTACAACTCTGATGAATATTTAAGATGATATTCAGTTGAATTTTGGATAGCTCACTTGGCTTTCTCTGACTTGCTGTTACAATTTATGAGGCCATTCTAACAACAGATACACATGTGCAAACATTTATGCACAATGGAGAAAATTTGAGCTCACAGGCCTACTTTCCACTTTTTCTCCTCAAAAAGTGTAACTTTGGTTGGAATAGAAAGAGAGGAATTGAATCTTCTTTTATTCCCTTGTGGATTATGTTGGGGAAGTAAATCAATATTAAGAACTGTATGTAAGAAAAAGGAAATTCCAAAATTTGCAATGGAGTATATTGGTATATTGGTAAGGGATAGCATAATTTTAGCCATTTCCAACTCATCTTTCTTTCAACATTCATTATCAAATATTTACTGAGCCCCTACTATGGGTCAAGTATGGTTCCAGGTGATTTGAGATATACAGGTGAACCAAATGAACAAAGACAGATGATAAACAGTCACCATAATACAATGGTAATTTATATAATATCCCAGAAGAGACAAAATGCTGTGGCAACAGGGAACAGTGGAGTAGGGTAGTGGGGGAAAAAGAAAGGCACTGGTTACCATTTAAATAGGGAGGTCTGGGAAGGCCTCACTGAAATGGGATAATTTGAGCAAAGATTTGAAGAAGTGAAGGGAATTAGCTATGCAGATATGTAGAGGAGAGGTTTCTAGGTAGAGAGGAGCTGCAGCCAAGGCATCATTGAGGGCAGCAAGAAGCCATTATGCCGGATCAGGGATGAGAAGGAGAGCTCTAATGGGGACAGTTCAAGGAGGGCCTGGTGGCCTTTATGGGTGTTGGCTCTTCCTCAGAGGGAACTAGTGAACCATTGCAGGGTATT
Organism: Homo sapiens; assembly: GCF_000001405.40. Classification (NCBI taxonomy): domain Eukaryota; kingdom Metazoa; phylum Chordata; class Mammalia; order Primates; family Hominidae; genus Homo; species Homo sapiens. Next base: position 17,423,865 of record NC_000005.10, read on the forward strand.
GGGCAGAGCGCTGACATGATCTGACTTATGTTTTCAGAGGGTCATGTGTTTGGAATCGACATTTGAGGAATGTCTATTCCATGTAATTACATGGAATCACAAAGAGTCTATGACCTAAGTGAGGGAGAATGGCTTGAGCCAGTATGGAAGCAGAAGAAGGAGTGAGCAGTGGTTAGGTCCGAGGTAGCCTTTGAAGGTAGAGCTAAGAGCATTTTTGACATTGGATGTGTGATATGGTGTGTTTTATTTATAAAATAAACATCTAGTTTGGTGGAAATTTTCCAACTCAGTCTATTGAAGGAATTTCCAGAACTAAGCCAGATTTTTCATCTTTTGAATGAAAGGGTCAAATTGCAGTGCATGCAATTTTACACTTTACTCATTTACAACTTATTTTATTCATGGCTGTGAATGGCACAGACTTTATGATATGTAACTCAGAAACGGTTTCAAAGACCCCAACAAAACCTACTCATATTCCACATTGAGATAATCATTTAAATTGAAGAGAAGCACATTCTTTGTGGTCTTTGGAAGCAGCTCAGCCCTTAATGATTGTGACTCAAACAGAGGCAACACAGTTTTCATTTGAACATGTTATTCAGATACAGCAATGATATAAAAGAATATTGAGCTGGAGGTAATTTTTAAGCATTTTTTTTGATAAGAAGGATATCTGCTTACCATTTAAAGAGACTCAACTTGTTACAGAAATATATAATAGAGAAAGGGAGAATCTCCTGTAATCTTGCCCAAGAGTTTGTTGAAGATGCTGAAGGGAGAAAAGACGGCTGGGCTGGAATGTGTCTACCTGCAGACGTTTCGAAACCCCTCTGAAGTTTAATCATGGGAGTTGTTGGGATTGCCCTGGCCACACACAGACTGTAATTAGTTTGAGCTTCGGCTTTGATTTGTTGGCCCAGGCTGATGCATTTCTGAGTGCCCAGGAGAAGCACAGCAACTCAGCCCCCGCTAGGTGCGGGATGCCCGGCAAGCCCCAGAAAGGTTCTGTTCCGTCCGGTGCAGGCAGCGCAGTGAGGCTCAATCTGACTGCTGCTGGCTCTTCTCAGGCCCACCGCCTCTCTGCCCCTGACCGGGAGGATTTGATGCCCTTCAAAATGTAGAGCCTATTGATCTGTTTTCTAGGCAACGAATGCTGAAGCCATGTCCACTAATGTGGCTGCAGAAGGTTAAATATGGATTTGGCAAGAATTATGAGCTGCCCACGAATGTTTTAGAGATGGTCTGAAATGTAGACATAGAGAAAGAGGCAGCTCAGTGGCGGGTTTTGTGGGCACGTGTGCATCTCCTGAGGTGAAAGTTATGTCCTTTGTGTTTAATTGGCTTTGCAGTATCCTGGATCTTCATTATACAATACTCATACCTGAAAAATTAGTAAAAATGGGAGGAACACAGGCAATGTCAAAGACAAAAAAAAATTCTCTTTACACATGTCTTACACATTTTTGATATTATGCATGTATTAATCAGTCACCCTGTCATTCTCCCATTGCACTCGAGAAGGTAGAGTATTAAGAGAGAGAGAAAGAATATAAAATCTTCTGTAGAAGGCAGACTTTTAACATATGCGGACAAAGAAAACAAGAATTTAGCAATATGTTACTAAGTGACAGATTTAGAAAGTTCTTTGTCATTTGATCTTCAGGCTTTTTTCTCCTCTTGTTTTTTATACAAAGCGTGGGTAATAAAAATAGTTCTGTTGGTTTTCATTTCGAGTCTGGTTTCACGTCTGTCTTTTATGTGGTGGTAGCTGTAGTATGCTTGAATTCATAGAAAATACCTCACGGAATGCTTACATCTACTCTTAGGATATTTTCTAGATTTTTGTTTAATAAAATGTATGTACATATGGCCTGATTCATATTAAAGTGGATTTTTGCTGAACATTTCAGCCTCGGAAAACCTAGGTATGAATCTTGACTGTAATATCTCCCAGCCATGTAACCAGTAATAATATTACATCGCCTCTCTCAGGTCACATTTTTTATGTGTAAAATGCTGATAATTGCATGTCACTCACATGACATTTCACAGGGTTGCTTGGTGTGTTACAAGAAAAATATATGAGGTAGTAAATTGCAAATGATAAAGCCCACTAAAGACTAGTTATTAATATTGAAATATTCCTACCTTTATTTGAATATTACCATTAAGAGAACCTGTTTGAGAAAAAGTCCTAAAACGGAATTTAAAGCTCTCCTTGAGTAAAAGAGATGTGGAAATGATGGGATGGTTCAGGCTTCTGGATTTAGGTATTAGCCCTGGAGACAAACTAAAAAGGGAGGGGAAATTTTTCTAAACAGGCTTATGGATAAGTAGATACCTCAGAGACATGTCTTTGATTTTTCAGGTGGCTGTAATTGATTTATTGTGCCTGTGTGAAGTTTGTATGCAAATGTGATATTAACCCATAATTATATTCTAAAAGTGTGAATTATGTAGGCAATTAAATGTTATGAGACTGAAAGGTGATGCTATCCCAGAGGTATGGTTTTGTAGGATCAGATTTCCATTGTGTGTGTTGCTTTCCAGAATTAAAAACAGCACCCTACTCCCTCACCAGCTCCACTGTAAAAGTAACATGGGTCTGCGTGATTTAGAAAACTTTCTCTTCTGCTGGTTGTAGGGTGGAGCTTAAAAAGAAAATTGAAACTCTGCTTGTCTCGATGATCATATCTAAAAGCATATGATGTGCCACCAGATACAGGAACAAGAAGTTCTGCTGGTTTTTCTCTGGCTTTTTTCAGAGGGTGAGGTAGAGATAATATTCTTTCATCTTCTGTGCAGTTCTAAAGGCATTGTGGATTCTCAAAAATTACTAAACTACCCATGACAGTTTCAGATCTATGGCCTGGAAGAGTCTCTGGATGGTTTAATAGATTTCACCAGTTATTTGCTTCCTGAATGAATATTCAGGTTTTGTCAAGTTCAGGAGAACAGAGCACTTTAATAATCAGGAGAGTGAGAAAGCGTATTTATTTTGTGGATGAATGACGATGACTGCAGATGTAGCAAGTAGAACCAAATCAAAAAGTCATTAAAGATGCTAGTTGATGCTAATTGATTTAATGTGTTGGAATATCCGAGAGTTCAAAAGTAGCTTCGAATAAGCTGCTTTGTGGTTGTAACCCAGTTTCATCACTTACCAGATGGGAAATTTTGGGAAGGTTGCTTAGTCCCTCTGAGCCTCAATCTCCTCATCAGCAAAATGAGGGTAGAGCTATTGTGAGCTTTCCATAAATTATTACATTTAAGGTACCTGAAAGTATACCTAGAACATCACACTCACTCATTAATGCCAGCTATTAGTTAAATATTTTAGCAAAATAATTTAAGCAAGGAAATCTCTTCATATACTGAAATTCCTTGTAAAGCCAGAATAAAAACAATGTGTTCAAATTCTTTGGTTGGCTTTTTTTTTTTTTTTTTTTTTTTTTGACAGCACCTTGGTGACCTTGCTTTGTCACCCAGGCTGGAGTGCAGTTGTGTGAGCTCACTGCAGCCTTGAACTACTGGGCTCAAGTGATCTTCCCACTTTAGCCTCCTGAGTAGCTGGGATTACAGGCATGCACCACCATGCTTGGCTAATTTTTATTTTTCTATTTTTAGTAGAGATGAGGTCTTACTATGTCACCCAGGCTGCTCTTGAGCTCCTGAGCTCAAAGAATCCTCCCATCTTGGCCTCCCAAAGTGCTGGGATTACAGGAGCCCCCGTGTCCAGCTGTCTGTTGGCATTTGTATTATGACATTTGTCACAGTTGTTATGTTAATAGAATTGCTGAGAAAAAAGGGTATTGTGCTAGGTGAACCCAGGCTTCACTTTTCCTGCATCCCAGCCCTCACTGTGACGTAAAGAGGGACACTGACATGTAACAATAAGAGAAAGTACTGATGTGTAACAACTGGGCTTGAAATGTTCCTTATACATAGCGTAAGATAGGCATGCAGCAAATTCCCATTAGCCAATTCATTTTCAAAACAACCTCTGCTATAGTTATCCCAGTTTCATATACAACATATATGGCATCTGGCCAATAACCATATCCCAAGAGTCTCTCAATCTACATGGAACTGACTCCTTCTCCATCCTATCAGACATACCTCTTTCTTTCATTTTTTTCTGTTTCCTCCTTTCCCTCTCACAGTTTTACTGTACTCTTTGTTTTCTTCAATTTTTTTGTTCTTTTTCCCTGTCATATCTGAGGTTTTCCAAAAAAAGCTGTAGACATCCTCTACTACCTATTAAGTGACAGAAATACAGAAATTAGGCTCTCCTTAGCAGAGTATGCTTTACTCAATAAAGGAAGGATAGCATAATTTGGCCCTTCTAAATGTTAAAGTCACTGCACATATCTTTTGTTTGAATTAATCATGGTTTCCAGTCATTGTTGAAGTGAGGGTTAACTTATTTATTTCTGTAATTCTTCCTGCCCGCATATGAATACAGCAAATGGTAACTTGATCCAAGCCAAAGACTCCAAAAAAAGGAAGTAGTGGTGGGTTGTGCTTCTGTTGCTCTGGGGTTATACATTTCTTAGTGCTCTTTGGAAAAATAAATGGAGATACCAATAGGCATAATTATCACAAAGTGAAGGAGGGAAAGAACAATGAAACTGACATGAGAAGAATTGCGCATAGGTTGGCACTTCCGAATGTGGAAGTGTTGCTGCCAGGGAGGAACAGAACATACCGCTTTGGGCTCAGCTCTAATCCTGCAGAACAGGAGACCTGGCGGGGAAGGGGAAGAAAACGTGGGTGTAGCACAAAAGAAGCAGAAAGAAAATGAAGCAGTTTCCAAGGAACAGGTGACTAGGGCTCACCTAGTTGTGAAAACAGATCAGCTTTTTTTCCGAGCTTTTTTTTACTATTGAATAAAGTACAGTGACTCCTTAGACACTGCCACAGAACCTTCTTGTCTTGATGAATTGTCCTTCTTCTTAGCTTGCAGTAATGGGATTGTATATTTCCTTCTCTAGCTAGACTGGCAGCCTATCCCCCATGTGCTATTCCTCAAGTTGTGCAATTGCACAGCCATATTTTCTTCTTTGTTCAAAGTGTGTGCATGAGGCCTTGGAGACTTCACTGTTTTGAGCTGAAGTCAGTCTCTCTTACTCTGGTCTCAAGTTTCAGTGGGTATCTGCCTGTGTTCCAGACACATTTTCTGGTTGTAATTTTTCTACTTTCTACAATGCTTAAAAGTCAATGGGAATTGATCAAGATGTAAGAAAAACTCAGAGTTGTCTTTGGAGTACCTTCACGCTTTGTGATGCCCTTCTTAGAATTAGGACATTGAGAACGTGTCTATCCTACCTCTTTAGGGCCCACACTAGGATACGTGGGACTCTGGGCAAGTATTTTTTTTTGTGGGTCTCTCATTTATACAAGCAATTCCTTTGAAAAATGCTTTGCAAAATTTTAAACATATACAAGGTTTAGTGATTGACCACTGAAGATTAAGAATGATGGGTAAGGAGGTACTGATATATTTGTTTATTGTCCAGACTACTTGATAATTCTTTGCAGCATCCTGACACCACCTCTTTCCTTCTGGATCCAGGAATCATCTCTTCATATTAGTTATTGTCAAATGTGTTGTTCCTGAGTAATTCATATCTCCCACTGTGAGAAAAGGGTGGCAATCTTGTTATTATTCAAGACCTATAGCTTGTCAGAACCTGTCTGTGTTGAGACGTTCTGACTCTTCTTGCCTCTAAAGTCCCCAGTGCTATTTGTTTCATGCTGGCTACATCATTACTCATGATGCTGTACCATCCATCCTGCTGCCTGTGAATACTGGCTTCTGATGGCTTTTTCAGAGGTCGTGCCGGTGCTTCTTTGAAGGCGACCACAAATGCACAGAGTATGCAGGAAAATGTGCACAGTCATTTATTTTATGGTCAGGTAAATTTACCCTTTGGAACTTTATGGTATAAATATAGAACAACACATTTTCCAACCATGTCTTCTCTTGAACCCTTGAGGCTGTAATCACAGCACTCCTAAAATGTGATCTCTTTTCATGTTGACTGCACCCCTGGTTTCCTCACACTGTTTCCAGTGGTGGAGCAAGAAGAGTGATCCCATTTAGGCAAGGAATCCCTGACCCTTATCTGGCTCAGCTTAACCTGGGAGGGCACAGTCATCACATCAGCTGGAGGAAAGAATGAACATGGATTGGAAGAGCCTGCTGGTGTTGCAGAACAACAATCCGGAAAGCCCTTGGAGGAGGTGGGTGAAGCCACCTTCGAGCACTATGGTGCAGCCTGCAGAGGGATGGGGGATGGCCCTGGGTTTCAGCAGCAGGGGGTCCACAGCATAAACCTTGCCTGCCACCGCGGGTGCTGCAGAGCAAAGACAGCACCATAGTAGCAGCAAGAGGGACAACTGAGGAGGCAGGGAACCTCACATGCAGCTCGAACCCAAGAGCTGGCTGATGGCTGTTGGGAGCCCAGAGTCCTGAACTCATCCTGTGACCAAGTGAGTGAGAATCATTCAAAATCAGGATGTCAGCACCATTCTGGCAGCCCAATCGCACACCATCCCATGACAGCAATCCTGTGCCAGTCAGCAGAATCAATCCACTCACTAGGCTGCTTTTCTGGAACTGGAGGTCAGCCCCAGGGCCCCAGGATGACCTTGCAGGCACGAGATCTGGAGTTCTTTGGAATGTCAAGCCTACCCTGTGCATAAGAAAGTGGGTTGGAAAGAACTCTAAACGGGAGAAAGGGGGACTCGGTACAAGCAAATCCCCATTTGGGCTCAGGAAACCTGCCCAGACCACACTACCAGCTCCAGCCAGGCCCAGGAACCAGAGGGTTGGGGGTGGGGGTCTCAGAAACTATCATGAAAGACCTTTTCATGGGCCCCTGAATCATGAGGACTGAGGGAGGAGCCCAGCTCACCTGGGTCTAAAGTGAGCCCTGCCGTTTGTTTCTTTCTGCAACAAAAAGGAGTGGAAAGGATAAAACAGAGGGTAGGCATGGAAGAGATGAGGTCAAGTATGAACCGCTCTTGGAAGCCTGAGTCCTGATAAGGGCTGTCCACGGGTTGGCCCCTATTCAAGGGCTAAAAGTTTTCCATCAAATAATTTAACTAATATATAAACAGTCACAGCAGCAGCAACAGCAGCAACAAACACTTTTATAATGAAGCTCTACCTATTCTGCACTGGAGGGAGAAAATGCAAGAAAGGATATTATTTGGTCAATGGACAAAACTAGAATATGATTGTTAGATTAGAAAAAATTATTGTATCAGTGCAAATACATGAAGTTGATGAGTGTATGGTGATTGTAGAAAAGAATATGCCATAGGATACACTGAAGTATTTAGGGGTAAAAAACAATGTTCAGAAAAAAAGTATCTATTTATCTGTCTATCAATCATCTGTCAGCCTACCAATCTATTGATCTATTGATCATCTATCATCTATTGCAAATGACAGAGCAAATGGGAATAAACTATTAACAGCAGCAAAATCTGGGTAAAGGCTAAATGGATGGATGATCTTTGTACTATTTTTATTTTTGCAACCCTTTGTAATGTTAAAAATTATTTCCAAATAGAAAGTTAAAAAGGTTATCCCAACACAATGTATCACTTCTGGTAAAATTAGTTATAACAATGTTTTCTTCCCTTCCCCCATCTTCCCCTTCCCATCCCCCACCCCCTTTCCTTTCTTCCTCTTTCCATTTTCCCTTGGCATCATATAAATGAATATAGTTAGGGAACTTCTGGCATACTGGCATATTCCACAGATTAAAAGCATTTAAAATTAAAGAATTAAAGGGAAGTATTGGCTAGATCTAGGATGGGCGAGATGGCAACAGAGTTGCAAGCAGAGGCAAGAGGATCCAGAACTTGACTTTGTGTTTCTGTAGCTAATAGGAAAGTTGTATAGAGAACTTGAGTAAAAGAATCACAATAGGCTGGGCGCAGTGGCTCACACCTGTAATCTCAGCACTTCGGGAGGCCGAGCTGGGCGGATCATCTGAGGTCAGGAGTTTGAGACCAGCCTGACTAACATGGTGAAACCTCATCTCTACTAAAAATACGAAATTAGTCAGGTGTGGTGGCGTGCGGCTTCCCTTCCCTTCCCCCTTGCCCCTTCCCCCTCTCCTCCCCTCCCCTCCCCTCCCCTCCCCTCCCCTCCCCTCCCCTCCCCTTCCCTTCCCTTTCCTTCCTCCTCCCTTCCTTTCCCTTCCCTTTCTTTTTCTTTCTTTCCTTTCTGGCTCTATTGCCCAGGCTGGAGTACTGTGGTGCAGTCTCAGCTCTCCGCAACCTCTGCCTCTCCGGCTCAAGCAATTCTCCTGCCTCAGCCTCCTGAGTAGCTGGGACTACAGGCACGCACCGTCATGCCTGGGTTCTTTTTGTGTGCGTTTTTAGTAGAGATGGGGTTTTGCCATGTTGTCCAGGCTGGTCTCGAACTTGTGAGCTCAAGTGATCTGCCCACCTGGGCCTCCCAAAGTGCTGGAATTATAGGTGTGAACCACTGGGCCAGCCTAGAATGTCCATATTTCTAATCTAATGGTTGCCAGGGGCATCACAGCATGCCATAGTGGTTAGTAATGTGGGCTCTGGGAAAAAAAGAGTTTGAGTTTAAGATAAGCTTTTGCATTTCCCACCTGGGTGATCTTAGACAGATGGCTTCATTTTATCATGTCTCAGCTTCCTCACCTATAAATGGCACCGGATAGGAATATCTTCGCCTGAAGGTACCAGAAAGTATGACTTACAGTAGCTTAAACAAAGAGAAACCCAAAGAGCAGGTGCTGCTGATCAATAGTGTGAGAGAAATGAGGTTTTTTGTCTCTGCCATACTTTGTGTGCGATTCTACTTTTCATACAAAAAGAAGGGAAAAGAGGCATGGGAGAATTTTTGCTGAGTCTGCCTTTTTATCAGAAAATCAAAGCTTTTCTCAAATTTCCAATAAGCAGAAACTCACTTATGGGCCTGATTTGTATCTCCTGACCACCTTTGCTTGAATTTGGGAGAGAAAGGAGATTATAGATAGGGCTTAAGTCAGACAATCAAGAGTGTGGGTTATTGTGTGTTACAGGGTTCTGAATATTAAATGAGCCAACGGCTGTAATGTTCTTAGAAAAATTCACAAGTGCTCAATTGTTAGCTTGTTATCATTATTGGTAATACTAATAGAAGTGGAATTTTTATGTACATATTGAAAATATCATCAGAAATAATTTTGATAAGACCTGTGGAAACAGGGGAAAAAAGATGAAGTCAACAGCTCCCTCCTTAGTTTCACCCTTGGAGAAGGCTTAGAAGGAAGTGAAGCATTGATGTGTAAACCACCTACATGCTTGCAAACACCTGTGATTGACCCTCTCTGTAGGCCAGGTAGGACTGTGGGACCTGCTTCCATAGAGAAGGGCTTGTAGATTTCGAAGAGGATGCTGGGATCCCAGAGTAGCACAAGTGGCTGCACTTATTCACTTATTTTGATTATAATAATATATGTGGTCATCAGTTTCTCCCTGATTTTCCATGTGGTTGGGCTATATTTATTTTGTTGGGGTTGGCTCAGAGTAGACACAACAATCTTTGCCTTGAACATTTTCGGTGAGCCATGTTGCCCTTCCTGGAAGTAGGGGTGCTTTGTCTGTCCACTGGGGCTCCATGTACACAAGTACACCCACATTTTATTGGTGGCTGTTTTCCAAGTTGCTAGCTTGGCGCTTTTCAAAATGTGCTGAATGGCCGTTTGGAACTTGTCTCTGCTGACTCCACTGGGCTCGGTTTCAAATCTCTCCTAATCCACTAATGAACCTTTATTAAAGTGGGAGAGAGAGGTTGAATCAGTCTTTGGCCGCATTATTAAAATAAAGTAGGAGCAGTGAAATGATCAAAACAGAACGATAACAAAGGAAAGCTCAGTCTCTCCACCACTCTCTATTCAGTTCTTTAAAGCTGATATTTTTGGGGAAGAAATGCCAATATTATTAGATTAGTTTTCAGTAGTCTTTAACTTTGTTTTATTTTAACTTTAATTTTGTTTTATTTTTCAGGGAGGAGACTGTCATTCACCAGCAAACCCCTGCCCCCTCACTTTTTCTTTTTTGTAATTGGAAGTTCAGGTTGAACTGCTCTGTAGTTATTCACCCACTTCTGCTGGTCAAAGGCCCATGAGGATTTAAATGACTAAATAGGCCATAAAATGCCAACCTTTTAGACGTCTAAAAAGTGTCTGCTGGATCAAACAGTCATCACGAACCACCCTTAGATTCCTCTGCCACTCACTCTGCTCCCTGTGTCTGGGACACCCTGAGTCCACAGTGACTCTTTGCCAAAGTATAAAGAAACCACCATGTACCTTTTCAAAAATGTCCACTTGTCCTTAAAGTCATGAATAAAGGAAGAGATGGCTTCCAGATATGCAACTGGACTTCTGACAGCCATCATCCTCTAAAATTTCCCTGTGTTTTGACTGAAGTTATCCACCCACTTCTGCTGGTTCCTGGCTCACATAAACATTGAGCAAGTAACTTTCCATTAGACCCAGAGGATAGACTAGGATAGAGTTCCGAGTGTCTGAAAATTCCTGGTCCCCAACAAAACTGTGTTCTGCTCAATAATTTATTTCGTAAGAAGTTATAATAAGTCTAGTCATTAAATCAAAAGAGAAAAACCTTAATGAAGTATAATATTGCTTGGTACTTGTTTTTGTCAGTTCCATTTCTTCATTAACTTTTTGATTGGGAAAATAAAGATAATTACACAAATCTATTCTCAAATTTAGCCATGGATGATTTGATTTCTCTTTCTGTCTCTTCTGTGCCTGTGCATACACACACACACACACACACACACACACACTCAGAGAACAGAGTTGTCTCTTTCTCTCTCTATATATATACAGAGCATATATATGTGTGTGTATATATATGTATATGTATGTGTATATATATGTATATATATATATAGAGAGAGAGAGAGAAAGATAGAGAGAAAGATGCTCCTCAACTTATGATGTGTTATGTTCTGATAAACCCATGGTAAGCTGAAAATATTCCAAGTCAAAAATGCATTGAATGCACCTAACCTTTCAAAAACCATAGCTTAGCCTAGTCCACTATAAATGTGCTTAGACACTTAACATGTAAATGTGGAATACTTACATCAGTTTACAGTTGGAGAAAATCATCTATCACAAAGTCTATTTCATCATAAAGTATTGAATATTTCATGTAGTTTATTGAATTCTGTACTGAACATGAAAAACAGAATGGTTGTATGGCTACTTGAAGTACAGGTTCTACTGAATGTGTTTCACTTTCACACCATTGTAAAGTTGAAACCATCATAAGTTAGGGACCATTTGTGTATATACCTATATGAGATATATGTTAGTAAGATATATATGTAAACAACATATATGTAAATGAGATATATAAAAACATATAAATAACACATAGATCTCCTTGTTGAATCCTACTGTGTACAAGACATAATTTTTTATGCTGGGATTCAGCAGTGAAGAAAAGGGAGGAAAGCTCTTGGCTTCACAGAGCTCACACTCTGGTGAGGGAGAAAACAAATATACAGAATATAAGAAGGTGAGGGCTGGGCATAGAGGCTCATGCCTGTAATTCCAACACTTTGGGAAGCTGAAGTGGAGGGATTACTTGAGGTCAGGAGTTCAAGGCCAGCCTGGCCAACATGGTGAAACCTCGTCTCTACTAAAAATACAAAAATTAGCCAGTTGTGGTGGTACATGCCTGTAATCTCAGCTGCTTGGGAGGCTGAGGCATGAGAATCGCTTGAAATCAGGAGGTGAAAGCTGCAGGGAGGTGAGATCGCTCCACTGCATTCCAGGCTGGGTGACAGAACGAGACTCCATCTCAAAGAAAAAAAAAAAAGAAGGGGGTAAGTACCATATGCAAAAGCAGAGCCAGGTGGGGGACAAGAGTGTTCAAGAGTTGTCATTTACCCATTTAGATGATATGGTCAGAGAGGCCTCCCTGAAAAGGTAATGTCTGAGCAGAGACTTATGGGAGAAGAGAGAACAGGGTGAGAAGATCTCTGGGGGAGAAGTAGAAAGTGCAAAGACACAGAGGTGGCGATGAGCCCCATCTGGTTGGGACAGAGTGAAAAAGGGGTTCAGCTGGAGGGGCCTGAGAGGTGAGGGTGGCAGAACGTGTGGAGGTGTAAGCTCAGCAGATGGTGGACACCCTGGAGGCCATTGTGAGGCTCTGGTTCTCCCTCTGTGTGATTTCAAGATCCATTGCATGGTTGCAGCTGAGAAGTGAACAAGCCTTATGACCTGGTTTCTCTTGAAGAGGATCTTTCCGGTAGGTGCCTTGAGAAAAACACAGGAGGGATTGGGAGGATGTAGAAATTCCTATTTGTAAGGGTTTGCGATCTGGGTATATGTCCACTGAGCCGTGAACTTACTGTCTCGAGTTCTGTATTCTAGTTGGGACTGTTCTGCTAACTGCTGGAGGGTATTGGCACAATCACTTAACGTTTTATTCAGAAGGGAAATAGAAGTGAACACTTAGTATTTAAGTTTGAGCCAGTTTCTTCTTAATCCCTATGATCTGTAGCCTGCTAGGATCCTCAAGTTTGTTTTTCTTTTTTTCCAACACCAGAGCATGTGTCTTTGCTTGCCCCACCTCTGTCCTCATAGTTTCTTTACTAACAGCTCTGACTTCCCTTCCCAACCTCTCTTAGTACATGCGGAAGATGAGAACAGTGGACAACGGCTTTGCTAAGCCCTGAATTGTTCCGAAGTTTGAAGTTGTAACCCATGAGCTACCTCTTTTACAAAAACAGTCAAAACTGGATGTTAGAAATATTTTGGAGGTTAAAGGAAGAGTGTCTTGAACCTCCCTACCACTGAACTGTTTAATATTCTAGAATTTATGTTACACAGTAAAAGATAGACAACTCTGTCTGCAGTTCTGGGACTGGGATATGCCTGTGCATACACGCATCTGCTCTGTTTTGGTTTCACTTCACTTTAGTTATTTGATTTGGTGTCTGCAAAACCCTGTGTGCACATTTTTATGATCCTTGGGACAATTTACTGCCAACCTTGCTTGAACTCTAAAATATGCCTCCAGTTTCGGAAAACCACAAATTATTTACCAAGGAGGCAAGGAAATGGAGGTCACTGGGCTCATTTCTTACATAATTTTCAACTTCCTTTCTGAGGCCTGACATCTCCCGGCAGTCACAGTGATGTCTTCCTTAGATGGATTCAATAATGGGGAAGAACAGATGAAAAGTGGTGAAAGTTGCTAACTGCTGTGTTCCTCTGCTTGCTTTTCATGCTGTGTGCCAGGAATCAAAGCTGGAGGAGCGGAAGGTAGATATAAAGTAACCCTGTTTCCTAGGTTATTGTGTTTATAAAGTGTTAAATAGGAAATGCGAAAAAAAAACCCCTCTGCTTTGTGGGAAACAAGGTCATTTAAGGTACGAAAACAACAGTATTAAGCTAAAACAATAGAATAAATAATCACTAAAATGAAAGTACAGAACAGGTATAGAAAGTCAATCTTTGAAACATCAGCTGTTGTCAGTTTCTTTCAAGATAATTCAAGGGTGACTAACATATAACTAGCAGATACATTCAACATACAAGAGAAAAAGAGTGAGGATAAAAGGGGGCAATAAAATAAATAGTGGAATAAGTGATGACCATAGATCAAATGGAAAGGACAAGGAAGGAGGAAAAGATAGCTCCTATGTGTCTAGCTTGGAAAGATAATGACTCAATTGAGTGAATAGGGGAGACACATTGAGGGTTTGAAAGCCAGGAACTCAGGAATTTTTGTTTATTTTTATTTTTATTTTTGAGACGGAGTGTAGTTCTGTTGCCAGGCTGGAGTTCAGTGGCCTGATCTCGGCTCACTGCAACATCCGCCTCCCGGGTACAAGCGATTCTCCTGCCTCAGCCTCCTGAGTAGCTGGGATTACAGGCATGCTCCCCCACATCCAGCTAATTTTTGTATTTTTAGTAGAGATGGGATTTCACCTTGTTGGCCAGGATGATCTCGATCTCCTGACCTCGTGATCCACCCACCTCAGCCTCCCAAAGTGCTGGGATTATAGGCTTGAGCCACTGCGCCGAGCTGGACCTCAGGAATTTTTAAAGACATGGCAACATTCTTGTTGTATGGGTTTACTTATGACAGATGGGTACATAGGTCTGTCCAAAGGGGCTGGGATACTTTGTTACGTTTGAGGAATTTTTTTCTGCTAAATTCTCTTTTCCCTTTCTTCCAAGGAGGCAGGGTAAGGAGAGGTACCAGGTGCTGGTGGATTGTTTACCTTGGAGATTTCCGCCTTACGGAGGAAATAGCTGGTAGAGTCAGCAGAGACCTCTTCTGGTGGGCCTCAGGGTTGTGAGTTGAGCACTTGGAGCAGGGAAATATTGGATGTTTTCATGACATCAGTAGGATTTAATTCAATCAATGAATAGGACCCAGAAATAAATTAGCTGAGACGGGTGGGGGAAGAGGGGCAGAATCCCAACTGTGCTTAGTTATAATTTGAGATGTAGAATAAAGAGTGCTCCAGGAAGCATGGCTCCAAGCAAATGATGAGTTTTTGAATCCCTTCATGTTTATGATTTCATTTTTTTTCCCTTCATGCTTATGATTTTAATTATCTCTGTTTCCCAAAGTGATTAGCGGAAACAGTTTAAGATGAAATGAATATATGTGCTGGAAGGGGAGGCAAAAGTAGGGTGACATCCCACTTCATAGTCAGGCTTGTGGGTGGGGAGGGGATGGTGCAAGTGAAGAGCGAGAGGGCTTGCTAGTGTCTGAGAGGAGGAAGAAGACGAGGAACACGAGCTCAGTTCCTGAAGAAAGAAATCGATGGGAATCCAGGCTGATTCCACTTGGATCTGCAACACTTCAGACAAATCCAGAAGCTGGCAGCTAGAATGAATGTTTATTTCTCAATGGAATGAAAAAAGAACTGAGATGGAGCTGAAGATATTGTACTGTCTAAAATGATTTACCTTACGGGCATTCAGGCTAATGAATGAGTTCATTTCCACATCCATGTGTGATCTATGTGAAGTTCATTTCATATCTGCAATGCTCTCTGTAAGAAATGTAGTCTAATGCCTGGCACTATTAAGGGCTCAGTAAATATTATTTTCTTACTTCTGATTCTACCCACAATTATACCTGATTCTCTATTATTCTGGTATGTGAGCAATCTCAGTCAAGCTTTCTACAGTGTATATCTTACTTTCAACATACAAAGTGTATATCTTACTTTCAGCATACAAAGTGTATATCTTACTTTCAACATACAAAGTATGTCGTACAGTGTATATCTTACTTTCAACATACAAAGTAAGAGTTAAGGCCAGGTGCAGTGGCTCACGCCTGTAATCTCAGCACTTTGGGAGGCCAAGGCGGGTGGATCACCTGAGGTCAGGATTTCGAGACCAGCCTGACCAACGTGGTGAAACCCCGTCTCTAGTAAAAATACAAAAATTGGCTGGGCATGGTGGCACATGCCTGTAATCCCAGCTACTCAGGGGCTGAAGCTTGAACCCAGGAGGCAGAGGTTTCAGTGAGCCAAGATGGTGCCATTGTACTCTAGCCTGGACAACAAAAGCGAAACTTCATCTCAAAAACAACAAAACAAAACAAAGTAAGAGTTAAGATGTAAAGTTCTAAGCTCCATTTCTTTTGAATTATTTTCTCAATGTTCCAATTAACTCATACTTGTCAGGCATAAAGTTTCTCCTTAAAATTGGTTTTATTTATCTCAGTTATGAGACAATTAGAAACAAATGGTTTCTATTTGTTTTGAAAAGCAGCTACAACCTTCAAATGATAAACGCAATTTATCCGTCTTTCATCTGTTCCTTGTTTTGACTTTGTTGAAATGAATTTCCTTTTTAAACTAGCGATATTCAAATAATTTGTGAAATATTTTATTTAGGTTTAAAATAAGGACTGTGGCACATTGATCATCTAGCCTATTAGAAACAGCAAGTCTTTCATCTTCAGCAGTTTAGTTGTAAAATGCCTAGCTATCCTGAGTTGGCTGAGATTCTTGAATGTAAAGATTGCTAGCTTTAAGAGTTTTGGGAAATTCTTGACTATGTTTTTTTTACATATTTGTCTCTCCCTATTCTTTCTTTTTTCTTTAGTAACTCCAATAATAAGAATAAAGGGGTTTGCACTATGATTTGCATGTGACTGATATGTGTATTCTTTTGTGTTCTCTGTGCTCTAGTCAAATACTTCATGTTGATCTGTCTTTGGGATCACTGAGCCAATCTTCAGCTATACTGTTCAGCTCATCTGGTGAGGTCTTCATTTCAAGTATTGTATTTTTCAGTCTTAGAGCAATTACTTTTTACAGATTTTGATTCAATGATTGAACCCCACATCTTTTCATCACTTTCATTCATATTGTCTTTCAATCTCTTTACTATATTGATCATTGTATCAAAATGTAATTTTAAGATGCTAAATAAAATATCATTTTCTTTCTTTGCATCTGCTTATGTTGTTTGTATGTTTCACCTGGTAATTGATCACAATCTCTTGCCTCTTTTTATGTTAGTAATATGTGACTGTATGCCAGATATTGTGGACAAAGCACATGTCAAAGCTCTGTATGATGCTACTTCGACCAGATAGGAATCTGTGCTTTCTCTGTGGGGCAGATAAGGTGAGGAGGTGATCACCCCAATCCAAGAGGCTGAACTAGGTCAAGACTGGGTTGACATTTTAGTAAAATCCTCTCCACTTCTAGCTATGTTTTTATTCCTCAGGCCTGTCTCTTCCACACTGTTGATTGACAGCTCTGAAAGAAAGTGGAAGTTTCGGGCTGTGTAGTATCCTGCCGTATGCTCCATCCAAATTTGATGAGAATCTTGGGGAGACCAGCCACCTTCTGAGCAGACTCCTTTCCTCCAGTGGAACTTTTCCTCCCAATTATTATGGGACTTCTGAAGATTTTAACTTACTTTGCAGAAACTCCTAACCTTTTACTCAGCCTCAATTTAGCAAGGGTACTATGAGGAAAATTGGCAAGGCATTTGGGGATACTTTTGTTTCCAAATTGTTGTGGTTGCTTCTATGAATGCCACAAGCTTTGCTGGCTTCTCTTTCCTTCCTACAGTGCTTCTGCATGAACCAGATCTGATCTGTGTTTCAAATCAGCAAACATCCCAAGAAAGAAAATAGCCTGTGAAAGGTAGCTAATCTTGGCAAAACACTCTGCTCTCTGGAATTTTTGTTCTTTTAATTCTTTTTGTTTCCATAATTCACTGATCTCTTTATATGGATTTTTTTTGCAATTAATTTGTCGTTTTTAGTTAGTCTAACAGGATTGTATTCTCCTGCAACTAACGGCATTCTATTTATAACCACAAGTCCCCTTAGGGTCAACTTTTAAGAAGCCTTGGGCAGCTATGTTCTTCCAACCTAACAGTCCATAAGATCTTCCCCTATTTTTCCAGAAGCTTCAGATGAGACTATCACAAAGAAAAGTATGGACATATGTGACAAATAGAGATTACAAATTAAATTCTTACTGTCCAACATGAAAAACTTGACTGTCCTTTTTTTCTGTGTGTCCAGATATACAGGGAGTCCACGGAGCCTCCCCTGCAAGCATCAGTACAGAAGTCGATGATAATCTGGATGCAAGCCCAGGAGTGTGGAGTCCACTGACTCAGAAGACCTGCATCTAAGGAATTGGCTGTTCTTATCCTTAAGAATGATGACTGTGTTTCCAATTCCAGTAGACCCTTTGATGCGTTCTGAATAAATATTCCTTTTGGAATTGAACTTCTAGAGCCCTTAACTTTGGCCCACTCTAGTTTTCTGTCTGTTTTTTTTTTTTTTAATATTTTTTTTTTGTAAAGATAAGGTCTTGCTTTGTTGCCCAGGCTGGTCTTGAATTCCTGGACTCAAGCAATCCACCTGCCTTGGCCTCCCAAAGTGCTGGGATTATAGGTGTGAACCATTGTGTCCGATCGCTCTCTGGTTTTTCTAATATCATGATCCCAACTCTGTTCTTTATGTAAATTTCCCTGATCACATGGTTGTATCTTGGCATTTCAAAATCCTTGACAGACTTTGTTTTGTTTGAATTTTACAATGAACTTACATGACTAGGCACGGTCCCCAGTTCAGTTTTATAGACAAGGATTCTGTAGGTCAAGAAGTGAAACACAACCAATAACAGCAGGTGACAGGATTTAAACCTGGGTCACTTTACTTATTTTTTTCTACTCTATCATTATGTGAATCTATCCTACCTCTGCAATGACAGATGGCCCTAGAGCAAGAACACTTCCTTACATCTGGTATACAGTCAAAAAGTAAAAATTCCACACAAATAAATATGGAAAGAATTTTTACCTGCTCCTATAGCTTCCTTTCAGGGACCTGGCACCCACAAATGTTGGGTAACAGAAAGAGGACTTATGTAACTTAACTCAAAGCAGAAAAGTTACAGAGACTGTCTTAGCATAATAGAGCATGGAGTGGTCATGCTTGGATGTGCAAACTGTCTGATAGTCTTGCACATGGCTTGACCCCGAATTACACTAGTGGGGCAAGTTGCCTGGGGCAAAGCAAACTTATTGGACCCAAAGCTCTCATTTGAGAATTTTGTTGACTAAAAGTTATAAAATATCAGCAATTTCATATGGTTCAGCCTAATATTTTATCACTCTTCCTTTTTCTATTCTAAAACAATAATTTTTAATAACGTAAGCTATACACATACATGCTTTAAACATACAACACCCTGACTATCATATAGTGGATATTTCAAGAAGTAAATGTTCAGCATGTCTTCACCCCCACTTGAAGACATAATGTATGTATTAGGCTGTTCTGGCATTGCTATAAAGAAATACCTGAGACTGTGTAATTTATAAGAAAGGAGCTTTAATTGGCTCACGGTTCTGCAGGCTGTACAGGAAACATATTGGGTCTACTTCTGTGGAGGCTTCAGGGAACTTTGACTCATGGTGGAAGGTGAAATGAGAGCAGGCACCTCATGTGACTGAAGCAGGAGCAAGAAAGAGAGAGCGAGCAAGGTGCCACACACTCTTAAACAACCAGAACTCTCTCTTGAGAATTCACTCACTGTCTTGCCGTCAGCACCAAAGGGATGGTCCTAAACCATTCATGAGAAATCCTCCTCCATGATCCAATCACCTCTCACCAGGCCCTACCCCCAACACTGGGATTACAATTCAACGTGAGATTTGGGCCTGGACACAGATCCAAACCCTATCAATATATTAGCCAGATACTTGCAGCTGTATGAAGAATACCCTGGTTACCCAGCTACAAATGCAGATGTTATTGATAAGGGAGGGGGGCAGGGAAGTGCTGGGAGGAGAAAGCAGGTCTCTGGCGAGGGCTTCACCCCGGTGCCTGTGCCCACAGACCTAGGTAAGGGCAGGCACTCCTGCCTTTGCGCCCAAATGTTGCATTTCCCAAGACCACCCTGGCCCACCACGCCCCCATCCTGTGCCTATAAAAACCCCGAAACACTAGTGGGCACTCACACAAGCGGCTGGACGTCCAGAGGACGTCAACAAGAGCACGCCGACAGGCAGACCCTGGCAGGCCATCGACTGGCGGAAGGACATGGAGTTTGGCTGCGTGGTTGGAGGAGAGCCAGGCCGCTAGGTGGCCTGACTCCAGGAAACTACACCTTCCCACTCCATCTCCCTTCTGTCTCCCCTGTCTGCTCACAGCTACTTCCTCTCAATAAAACCTTGAACTCATTCTCCAAGCCCACGTGTGATCTGATTCTTCCGGTACACCAAGGCAAGGACCCTGGGATACAGAAAGTCCTCTGTCCTTGAGATAAGCCAGGGGGTCTAATTGAGCTGACTAACACAAGTCGCCTACAGATGGCAAAACTAAAAGAGCACCCTGTAACACACGTGTGCCCACTGGGGCTTCAGCTGTAAACATTCACCCCTAGACACTGCTCTTGGGTTGGAGCCCCACAACCCAGCCGTCCGCATGCTCCCCTAGAGGTTTGAGCAGTGGGGCACGGAAGAAGCGAGCCACTCCTCCTGTTGCACACCCTGCGGGTGGCGCAAGGGAACGTTTCCTGTTTCATCATCAGGGATATTGTATCGGTGTCTTAAATAACACTAGCATTTTGACATATTTGGAGCTGCTACTGGGCCAGCTCTGTTTCCAGGCCTGCCTTTCAATCTTTTCCTTGCTTCTGGCATGAGTTACCATCTCTTTTAAGAAATTGGTTATGCATTTGAAAATACACGTAGCTATACATACTTTAAACATATCATTTAGCAAGGATGCTCCTTATCGGACCGTTGCTGGGAACAGAGAACACGACAGTTCCAGGTGAGCGAAATAGTGTGATCTCATACATGATGAAAGCTAAGCAGGCAACAGCTTTTCCGTAAGCAAGCATTTCAAAATGTATTTGTAGAAAGGCAGTAAAAGAATAAGATGCAAATCAAGCTATTTTTAAACCATCGTTTTCAGGGCCAAGGAAGAAATTATGAGAATGAATTTTTTAAAAAAAGATTATAAGGTCTTTAGTGGTGTTTTTAGTTGAAGTAATTTAGAGATGATTAGGTATTGCTATTTTTTATTCAATTCTTTACAACAAAAGCTTACAGAAATAGAAAGCTTTGCCATTTCTTTTCCCCACAACTTTAAAAAGTAAAGAGTGAGTGTTGGGTCACAATAATCTTTCTTTTTTAGTCTCCTTTTTGTGCAAATTCATCCACCATCAAATTACATTGTACTCCTTCCTCCTCTGTGACTACCTGTGGAAGAATGTTTATATAAATAAACCCAAAGGCCTGTCTTTTTGTCTGTTGCTCTGAGTAAGTGGTGCAAAATAGATGCCTTAGTCTGGTGATTTGATTTAATACAAATGGACCTTGTTAGAACACTTCTTTACACCTGAGATATTGGGAGATTTACTTGTAACCTTCCTTGCTACGTGAACAGCAGTAGTATTTGCTGTTTCTAAGATGTGTTGTAGTTTGAAAGATTTTGTTTGTATCATGCCAAAGTGACTGCATTAAGAAGTTCCTAGTTGACTGATTAAAACAAAACAAAACAAAACTCCTTTAATCATTCAGCTGTTTGACCTATGCTAGTGTATAGGTGCTATACACAATTATATATTTTGATGCTTTCTGTTTTATTATGTGGCAGTGTGTAGTCCCAGTATTTATGCTAATTATATCGTTCTTTGGAATCCAGTTTTTCTTTTTGTAAATTTGGATTAAAGTCTATCATGGCTCCTTTCAAAGAGAGCACTAAATGTAAATGGAGGGTTCTTTGATACCATTAGAGAGATGGGACTGAGATCTCAAAGAAATAGGCTGCACTGGCTCTGGGGTGAATGGGTCCTATGACTTGTAGGGCTTCAGAGTAGGACACACAACTCTGGGGCTAAAGCTCAGGACATTGGCCATGCAGTTGAACATTTCTGCCCGTTCTTTCCTGGTCCTGCCCTGTGCAATTTCCAGCTTCTGTAAATACATATTGAAGGTATGTATACATAGCAAAGGTGTGCCAAAGTGTACAGTTGCTCAGATTATTTGCACACCTTGGTTTGGCCCTGGCCAGTTGAAGGAGTCATGAGGAAATACCTTGCTGCGATGACTTCTGTCATTCATTTCTCTGTGTATATTGGTACTAATTGATTTTTTTTGGCAGAGTTTAAAGTACTTTTGAACTTTTCCCCTTTCTTCTCTCCTCTGCTTCTTTTTCCAGACTGTTTCCAAGATTGGATGAAGAGATTCAATTGACAATGCTGTGAAGAGAGGGATTTGGAGCTTGTTGGGGGAGGTAGTGTTGACTTCCTTGTGCAATCTAGGATTGAGTGGGGGATGCAGTTGGAAGGCAAGAGAAGTAAGACTCCTCCATCTTCCTGGTCCAGAGAAATTATGCTGGATCCCCCTACCCTTAATGAGAAAGGAGGTGTTTGTGTTTCCAGCATCTATGAGATCTGATTGCTAATGTAGCTACCTTTAAAGAATTCTGCTATTTACAATAAAAGTGAGATCTCCCTCCTCCATCCTGTGTTACACAGCCTGGGATTGCACCGTTGTTCCTGGCACCTTTGCATTGCAGGAGCCTGCCTTTGACTTTCTTTCCTCTCCACACATCTTCTATTCCTGCTGCTTCTCTTTTCAGAAAGTGCTGAGCTTCTAGGCTAGTGTCCCTCTCAACGGATGAATATTCAGCAGAGAATGGAGAGCTTTCAACCGTAAGAATCAGGATGTGGCTGTTTATAAAGTTATTGCATTTTTTTGAAGAGTGGCTGCAATTAGTTTTGGTGTTAGGCAGCAAAAACCCCAAAATGTTCTTTCTGATTTCATGTTGCTTGCATAATACAGATACCCATTTACTGGAAGAAATCTTCATGGGTAAGTGTATGAGTGTGTATGCATAAGTATGTGTATGTGTGTGTGTGACTCCACATATATTCCTAGAGTGCCTTCTATGTGCCAGGCATGGTGTTAGTTGACATATGTAATTGAGAGTAAAACAGTCATGATCTCTGCTCTTAACCAATTTACAATCTAGGATAAAATAGACCTTCCATGTTCAAATCCACAATGACATTAATTGCAATATGATCATTGTTGTGCTTGAATAATAGCTAAGAAAAGCACAAAGAACTTACAAGGTGGCTTAACAGAAGAACATCATCTAGCTTAGAAGTCTGGATAGCCCCTTTCTAAGAAAGCGGTACGAGTAAGGATGAATAGGAATAGGCCAGATAAAATACGAAGCCAGGAGTTGGAGGTGGACACGGGGGAGGGAGGTGACATTGTACTGATGGAGAGATGTGGAGAGCTGAGGAGGCTGATGAATGTAGAGAAAGTTGAAGTGTCACTGGATTGCAGTTCTTGATAGGTAGAAGTGTTGTATGAGGGGACGAAAACAAGGCCATTGGAAAGGGAAGTTGAAGATGGTGGTGGTGGTGTTTGTGAAGGTATTTATATTATTGCAGAATTATCTGAAGTGCAGTTTCCAATGTTAACCAAATTCATGGTGTGACTGTGGAAGTTGGTGCTTGAGGTGAATGATGACAACTATCAGTGGGTATCAGGGTAAGGAACTGCTGGGCAAGGTGTTGATGGTGCATCCAAGTGATGTTAAATCTGCTTAGCATGATGGTAGGGTTGGGTGAAAAGGAGACTATGAGTTGAGTGCTAAATTCTTTAAGGAGTGACCAAATGATTAAGTGAGGACTAGAGGGAGAAGAAGCTCTTATTGTCAACTACTCAAAGGAGCAACTTACAAAAGAGAGTGCAGTCATTCGTCTGCAAGTGGCATTGGGTAGTCAGGAGGACGTTGCCTTGGTTCTGATACTGAGATATTTGGAGTTTGATGGAAAATATCTCCCAGCCCCTGCTTGAGAGGAGAAGCAGTATCCTTAGGGGACAGTGGGTTTCAGTGAAGTCGAGAAACTGTGGTGTGTGTGTGTGTGTGTGTGTGTGTGTGTGTGATAACTTTGAGATAATGATGGGTTAGAAACATGTAGATTAAGGTAAGAAGAGACTACCCTCAGGCATTCATCTAAACTTTGAATTTCTTCTAGAAACCTCCTCTCAAGTCACAGTCAAGTGATCCAGCAATTGCAAAATCACTCTCTTCTAATGTGTACCATTTCACTTGGTAGCTCTTTCTGTTGAATAAATGATACTCTATATAATAGACACTCAAACATTCTAGTATTTTCTATGCAAATGTGTAGAAAAAAGTGTTTGGGGGTATGAAGTCAGGGTAGGTAGGCTGAAAGATGATTTTATTTATTTATATTTGTTTCTGTAGTGCTCATGTGATTTAAAATACAAAAATTAGACATATATGTTGGAAAAGTGCATCAAAACCTGAAAAATTAATTTACAAACATTTTATGCTATGGTTGGAGTTATGAATGTAACTTGTCTGAAGATGCTTCCTGATCATTGTGCTTCATTTTCTTCTTATTTGTACTGTAAACATTGTACAGTTTTTATTTGACAGATGAACATTAGCACTGAAGAAGCAAATTGAATAAAATATAGGCATTTAAGTTAATTTAAAATGTAAGTTTTATTTTATTTTTGGATGGGGTCTTGACTGCATCCTGAAAACATAGCTGGTCTTTTTATTACCTTAGTGTAAGCTGTGTAGTCAAAAGAATAGTGGGAATGGTCACTGTGTGTGAGTATTGTTCCCGAGGTAAATTCTGTCCTAGGCAACTACTAGCCAAAGGATCTTTCAGAAATACTCTCCCAAACCACTGCCCACTGGATAGCAAACACAGTATCTATTTTAGAGGAAATTATTGCATTAGATTAAAATGGTTAAATTGTCTTAACATGCCACGATCTTATCTTTTAATGAAAACATTTTTTATTAACTTTTTTTAAAGGAGGACAACTGCTCTTCAGATTTCTCCCATGAGAACTGGAGATTAAACTTTGATTTTCCTCCTTTTATCCTCCCCGACAGAAGCTGTATATTTTGAGGATAACCACTTGGTTAAAAGCAAAATAGCCCTAAATAAACACACATACCTCAAAATGAATGAGCATTTCGGGTATAGTCTTAGATTTCACAGTGTCAAACTGACTGGGTTGAGAAAGCCACCAGAATTTCATAGCTCAAAGTTCAGGTTTTATACAGGATTTATATGTCCTGTAGAATATTTTGTTTGCTGCAGTTTGAAATGATAGTATCTTCTTCTCTAGGAAACTAATGTTTAACAGATAAGTGCAACCAGATTGCTAACAGGAGCTGCAGGAAAAAATTTCACCATTTTGAATGGGGTTTGTGTTTACCAGTACACAAAATGTATGCCTGTATTATCCATTATGTGAAAATATCCATAATTGTTAGAAAGATAAAACCCATGTTTGCCAGGAAAAATCAATTTTTTCCATGTCTCTCTTTGTGCCCTGTGGTTTTACAATTTCGTTTTCATTTTTAATGGTGTTTTCTGTTTAAAAAAGCTTATTTGAAAAAATTAAACAAAAATTGTATACATTTATTGTGTACAATGCAATATTTTAAAATATGCATATATTTGGAATGGCTAAATGTAGCTAATTTTCATATGCATATTTATGATTTTTGTGGTGAGGACACTTAAAATCTACTCTCTTAGAAATTTTCCAGAATACAATACTGTACATTGTTATTAACTGTAGTCACCATATTGCACAATAGAACTCTTGGACTGACTACTCCTGTCCAGTTGAAATTTTGTATACTTTGACAAACATCTCTCCAACCTCCACCTCTCTCCCCACCAGTTCCTTGTAACCGCCATTCTACTTTCTGCTTCTGAGAGTTCAACTTCGTTAGATTCCACGTGTGATATTTGTCTTTCTGTGCCTGGCTTATTTCACTTAACATAATGTCCTCCAAGTTCACCCATGTTTCACAGATTACAGAGTTTCTTTTTTAAGGCTGAATAGTATTCCATTGTGCATATATATCACATTTCCTTTATCCATCCCTCCATTGTTGGACATTTAGGCTGATTCCATCTTTTGGCTATTATGAATAATGCTGCAATGAACATGGGAGTGCAGATATCTCTTTGACACATGGATTTCATTTCCATTGGACATATGCGGTATGCTCAGAGATGAGATTGGTGGATCATATGGTACTTCTTTTCAAATTTTTTTGAAGAATCTCCATATGGGTTTCCATAATGGATGTACCAGTTTATATTCCCATGTGCATTGTTTTCTGACATTGATAAAGCTGTAGATCTATTCATTTCACAAACCTTTATTGTGTGCTTACTACACAAAAGCATAATGGGAGGTGCAGTTGATACAAATAAAAGGCACGGTCTTCCTCAGAAGCAGATATGATAACTATTTATTAAACAAAGATGGCAGAGGTGGGCAACTGACCACATGTGAGAAGAGTAACAAGGAGAGTGGAATCTAGGATGATGTATATTTTGGCTTGGGCTATTGAGCTGATGGGGAATATATATTTTTTGAAGTGGAATATACTGTCACCTTATTTCTAAGTAGGGTCAAGTTGGAAGCCAAATAAAACTTTCCAATATTGGTTCTTCTAGCACGTTAATAAAATGTACTTTGTGATTATGAGCAGCTGGTTTGAAGACTGATTCATTTCTACTCCTGTTACCTTGATAAATAAGAAATAAATTTCATGGACAAGAACTCATCATTTGAAATAGATGGTAACAGTTGATTACATGAGGTGATTTACAAGGAGGTCCAGCACATGCATGTAGTGTGCTAATCCTTGCCACGTCAGTTTTCTGTTAATTAATACAAATGTTGTTGTGTAGTTTTTGGTATTCTGACTCAAATTGAGAAAATGTATACACTTTTATATACATGTATTAATGTAAAACTTGGACCTGGAAAAGCAGAGGTTTCTAATAAATTAGCCAACATTTTCTTT
The DNA here is from genome assembly GCF_000001405.40 of Homo sapiens. Taxonomy (NCBI): domain Eukaryota; kingdom Metazoa; phylum Chordata; class Mammalia; order Primates; family Hominidae; genus Homo; species Homo sapiens. The sequence continues at coordinate 17,450,307 of NC_000005.10, forward strand.
GAAGAATTCTTGGTACCCTGAAGTACTTTCTCTAATGATTGAATTGTTATTGTTGGAGACCAATTCTCCACAGACTTTTTGTATTTCTGTATCTCTTGTGAGTGAGCGACTAACTGTCCTTCATTCTGAACTATCTTTTCAGGGACATTTGTGTTGTGAACAGTCTTGGAACATAGAGCCAGTGTCTCTCTCTGGAGCAAAGGCCAGGCATGCTCACTGCCCATTATAAAGGATTCAGATTCCCTAAATTCAATATTCCTCTTCTATAGCACAATCACTGAATATGTAGGTACCATCTGGTTCTCTTTGCATCACATTGCAAAAATGGAGGCCTGGTTAACTGGTACAAAAAATGCTAATACTTTTGCTACTGCTATTGTCGTGAGTACCAAACTATTCTTTGTCTGTGACCCAGGAGTCTAGTGTCTTCTACCAGCATTCATGAAACTTTTGTCAGGCTAACTTGTTAGTTTGCAAGAAGGGTGAACTCTCAGACCCTTGGCGGTTTTTGTTTTTGTTTGTTTGTTTTGTTTCGTTTTGTTTTTTGAGATGGAGTATCGCTCTGTCGCCCAGGCTGGAGTGCAGTGGTGTGATCTCAGCTCACTGCAACCTCTGCCTCCTGGGTTCAAGCTATTCTCCTGCCTCAGCCTCTCGAGTAGCTGGGACTACAGGCGTGTGTGACCACGCCCGGCTAATTTTTTGTATTTTTAGTAGAGACGGGGTTTCACTGTGTTAGCCAGGATGGTCTCGATCTCCTGACCTCGTGATCCACCCGCCTCGGCCTCCCAAAGTGCTGGGATTACAGGCGTGAGCCATGGTGCCCGGCCTCCTTCGCAGTTTTTGATGGTTAATGCACTTTAGTGTCTTATCTTCCAATCCGTAGACTCTATTCTACCATAAAATAGGAAACATTCTAACTTTTCCAGCATTGAGAGGATGGAACTCTAAGTTGTAGATTGACATGGTTTGGCTGTGTCCCCACCGAAATCTCAACTTGAATTGTAGCTTCCAGAATTCCCAAGTGTTGTAGGAGGGACTTAGGGGGAGGTAAATGGATCATGGGGACTGGTCTTTCCTGTGCTATTCTTGTGACAGTGAATACGTCTCACGAGATCTGACGGGTTTATGAGGGTTTTCTGCTTTTGTTTCTTCCTCATTTTTCTCTTGCTGCCACCATGTAAGATGTGTTTTTCGCCTCCTGCCATGATTCTGAGGCCTCCCCAGCCATGTGGAACTGTTAGTCCAATTAAACCTCTTTTTCTTCCCAGTCTCGGGTATGTCTTCATCAACAGTGTGAAACAGACTGATACATAGATGAAATAACAAAAAGTCAAAAACTACTACATCTGCTTGTCCTTGTGATTGCAAATGAATATGGTGCCTATAATACCTCACATTTATTACATATCACGATTTTTGAAACCTCTCACTGAGAAATATTGGAGTGTAAGTGTACATTTAAAGCAATGGCTTTTGTGAAATGTGAATATTTACTACCACTCATAGTTCATTTATTTTCAGCGCATTTAACTTTTATCTAAGCACCATAAAGAAGTGTTTTGCTTTCTTATTGTAATCAAGTTTATTGAGGTGTAATTTATGTGTAATAGATTGCATCCAGTGTACAGTTTGATGAATATTGACCATTTAACATGCCTGTAAGATCACCATCACCATCAAGACACAAAACACTTCCATCACCCCCAAAGGCTTACTTGTACCCTTTGACTAAATGGATTTCGATAATGTGTGTAAGCCCTTGATAACGAGCAATTTGGGAATAATTTCTACTGAGGAGTTTTTGCTAGTTTCTTATTTTATTTACTTTTTTAATTATCATAAGCATTAATATTTTATTTTTTTTCCTTGGTTATTTGCTTTGATTTCTGTTTTCCTTTTAAGGGTCCTCTTTTTGGTATTTCCTTCTCTTTCATATCTGTTGGAGCAGAAATACCAAATAATATTTTCATGAGCTTACATAAATGAGATAAATAGAATAAATTTGAAAAAACATCAAGATTAAGTTGCCTCAAAGGAAAAAAAAGTCACACAAAAAGAAGGTGGGAATTAATGTACTTGAGTATGGAAATTAATTAAGCAATAAAACTATGATGACATTTATTTTTGTAATTCAGTTATGAATCATGCTTAAATGTGTACTTTATTCACTTTAATTATAGTGTTTGATTTTAAAGTTTTTCTTTCTCTCAATTATTGATACATTTTCTAGGGAAGTCTTTCTCAAGTATTTGTTTTCATGTGACTTTTTATAATCATGGCTCTCAAAATCTAAGGATGGATTTTGGACAGCCCATTTCTCTCAGCAGTGTAAAATGAGTCACATGGGTCACATTTGTCTTGAGTCCCTTCAAAGACTGGAATGTGAGTAGAAATCGCAGAGCAACTTTCCCACGGCACTAATTGCATGTGAAGGACAAGACACTTCCATATTGTAATACCAAATATAAAATAGTGCAAAAAAAATCATTGGTTAGAACTGTTCCATTTGTCATACACCTTCCAATTTATAAAACAGGAATTTCTCTCTCTTCTCCCACCCTGTTGGAGGATCAGCTTTATTTTTCAAAATTTGGATGGAAGTCAGTCTTCAGTCTGCTCTATCTGAAAAGAGAAAAATGCTTGCAACAGTTTGAAACACTATAAATTGGAATACTTGAAGTCGGTTATCTAGGATTTTTATATCACTCCTCTTCCAACCTCCCGCTTCTCACTGATGAGGGTTTATTTCTTACTTTGAGGGGAAGAATACACAGCAACTGTAAAAATGTAAAATAAAGTGAGTTCATCTGATTAGTCTGCAATCTCTCTCTTTTCGTTTGCATCTGGAAATTCTCAAGTAGACACATAGAAACTTGCAGCAAGCACGCTTTCTTCCTGTGTGTTTGTCTGCACCTTCCATGCCATTTTCCAGCCATGCTTGTCTTTTGTTAGGAATTAGATGGTCAGAATGAGAATAATTTAAAACATTTTTTAAAAACTTTATTTTTTAAGGACACTTTTAGGTTCATAGCAAAATTGACAGAAAAAAACAGAGATTTCCCGTATATCCCTCCTGTCCCCCTCACCTGGCCTCCTCCATTATCAACACCTCTGGCCAGAGTGGTACCCTTGTTACAATCCATGAGCCTATACTGACACATGATTATCACCCAAAGCCCAGAGTGTACTTTAGGGTTCCCTTGGAGTTGTATATCCTAGGGGTTTAGACAAATATGTAATGACATGTACACAGAAAAATAAAAATTTTAGGTCAACATCTCACCTTTCCTGTTCAGTATTAAATATGAAGCAATTGTTGTGCCTTTTCCAAAAATAGTCTGCCACAAGGAGCAATAAGTAATCAGAATTTAAGAGGAAGGAAAACGGAAAATCAAGAGGCCTGCTTTACATGAACACACACACATTTTATAACTTCTATTATACTTTAGAATGTTATTCCACTGGATTCTGGATTTCTAGATATCACACGAAAGTTTAACTGTAATTAGGAAGTACTTAGCCCAGGGTGTGGCAGGGTAGTCTGGGCTCTGTTTAGAATTGGGTCAACTTGCGATGCATCAAACACTCAGAGCGAGTATTTTTTTTGGGAATCATCCACCTGAACAGGGAAATTTTCTAATTTGCACTAAAGTGCAGTACCAGCTCTCAGAACATGATGAATTGAAGACAATCACACTCCCCCTCCTTTGCAGCAAAAGCATTTTTTACACCGGAGATCTCTGTGGAATTGTGCCTAGTTGGTATTATCTATGCAGGTTATAAGTATGAGATGTTTTGATCCAAGAAAAAAAAAGCATTTTTTGCCTTTTTCTTGTTTTTGTTTGCTTGCTTATTTTTATTTGTTTGTTTTCACTACTGTACCAGTCCAAGGAATCACTGGCCAAAAAGGAGGACAAAGTCATAATTGGGAAATAAAGGAGGCTGGTGGGAACTGGAAAGACCTGAATAAGTGGTTCATCAAACTGAGAAAACTGAGAAAGCAAAGCTCAGGGAAAGCAAAGCTCACTACTGAGAAAGCAAGGTTCACTACTGAGAAATTGTAGTAAGGGTGGGAATGGGGTTGAAAGAAATGCAACTCTATTGTAGACAACAGAAAGGCCAGTTCAGGCACTAACTCATAAAGGCAGTGCATCTGCCCTGGTTTTCCTTTCATGAACAGCTAAAATACTAGGTGGCATTGGACATGGCAAAAGCACATAATAGGATGAGGAGGTTGGTTTTGAAATTTGGACTAGGTCAAGATTTCTGGCTCATAGAAGTTAGTTGATCGTGGAGCAGTCAATGTGCACAATGGGTGTCAGCAGCTAAGGCAGGCAATGGGGAAGCCAGGCAACGGATCAGAAACCTGGAGGAGAGGTGTGGAGAACCCAGAGTCTAGACCTATAGTCTGGGAAGAAAAGATCAGTAAGCCTGGTCAAAGATTTCAGGAAGGAAAGATTTGGATATCAGCACAGGTGCTGAGTTGTGGCGTGTCAAGTACAAGAATGAAGCTTGATTCCAAGCTTAGTGCCACAGGATCTTCTCTTTTCTGTGTATGCACAGAACTGTGTGCAATTTCGACAAGGCCTGAGCATGCGGTTTGCAGAAAGTAAGTTCTGCTTGATCTAAGTGTGGTGTTTGAACAAATGGAGAGAAGTAAATTTCTGATGCATAATTCAAACGGGAATATATTTATAATTATAAAGGAAAACCAGAGGGGCATTGTCAAAGTGGATGGTTATGCTCAGGTAAGAAAAAGGCATAATCCTCCTCAAAGTATCATTTCTTTACATAAAAGCCTAGAAATATTTTCTCATTCATTTATTCATTAGTTCATTTATACATTCATCAAATATTTATTAAATGTCTACTACATGTCGATATGTTTAACATCTTGCAAATTCACTTTAATTAATAACTTTCATTATTTGTCTGTTTCAGTTTTCAATAATGAAGTCCATCTCTCTAATAATGTTAGCAATTAAAAATGGAGCCACTGTTGAGGCAAGTTCAAGCTCTGGGGAATTATGAAATTTACCAGAAAACATTGATGACAATGGAGAGAAACAGGATAAAATTATAAGAGCCTGAGGTGATGGTTTATAACTAAAATATTGATTTGAGAATGAATTAACTGAACCACTTAGCTACGATAAGAGTGAGGATGGACATCCATAATGGGAGTCATGATTGATTGTACGGTCATATAGAAGTTGGTCAAAGTCCCCAAACTGGATGAAGAAATCAATTTGGTGGCTTCCTTTACATTTATTATTTGAAATAATTTTAGCAGGAAATAGTAGATTAAAAAATGTAATGGCATTTTTTTTCTGGGCTCTGGCTCAAGTGGTTTGCCAGAAATAAAGTCTAAAAGGCTCTCCTTACTGTTATATTTGTGACTTGCATGTATGAGCCAGTTATTGTATTCTCCTGAAAGAATGGCTGTTTTTATTTAGTTCTGATTTTACCACAATGTGTGTGTGTTAGTGTGCATGAAAACACAGCATAGGATGTGTTGGGGTTGCAAGGAATAAACCTAGAACTGAGGCATGCTCCTCTATAAGCAAAGACTGTTTTGAGTAGCAAATTATTTTAAACTACAAATTCTACCCAGGTGGTACTGTAGTATTTTTCTTGGCCAAACTAAACGTGAATTATTCATCAGATAAAAATTCTATTGAAAGGAGATAAGGTAGGGATTTGGAAAGAGAAGTGTTGCTTATTTTTGTTTTGTTCTGGTAAACGTGAGGGACTTTGGATAGCAAATGGGCAAGATAATGATATTGGCCATAGAAAGAACCATAAAGAAGAGGGAAGGGAAGTGGAAGGTTTCAGAAGGGAAGTGAGAGGATTCATGTTTGCCTTGGAACTGAAGTGCCACTACACACCGACTCTTCTTCCCAAGTTAAATTATAAGGAGAATTTGTATTTATACATTTAGATGTCCTTCAATTTAATCCTTTATACCAGAACCATGTTAATTCAGCCCAGTCTTTTTCTGATGGGTTACTCCCTATCTCCTCCTCCATTTGGTGGGAAGAGAAGAGGAACAGACAAGAGGAAAAACAAACTAAAAATAAAAGTACTATGAGAAATTTATGGCTGGGCGTGGTGGCTCACACTTTAATCCCAGCATTTTGGGGGGCCAAGGTGGATGGAACGCTTGAGTCCAGGAGTTTGAGATTAACATAGACAACATGGCAAAACCTCATCACTACAAAAAATACTAAACATTAGCCAGGTGTGGTGGTACACGCCTATCGTCCCACCTACTTGGGAGGGTGAGGTGGGAGGACCACTTTAGCGCAAGAAAGTTGAGGCTGCAGTGAGCTGTGGTCACACCACTGGACTCCAGCCTGGGTGACAAAGTGAGAACCTGTCTCAAAACAAACAAAAAAAGAAAATTCATGGCTGGGCTTGGTAGGTCATGCCTATAATCTTAGCACTTTGGGAGGCCAAGGTGGGTGGATCACCTGAGGTCAGGAGTTTGAAACCAGCCTGCCTAACATGATGAAACCCCGTTCTGCTAAAAATAGAAAAATTAGGCATGATGGCCTGTAGTCCCAGCTACTCAGGAGGATGAAGCAGGAGAATCGCTTGAACCTGGGAGGCATAGGCTGCAGTGAGCCAAGATTGCGCCACTGTACTTCAGCCTCAGCAACAGAGCGAGACTCTTCCTCAAAAAAAAAAAAAAAAAAAAGAAATTCATAAGAAATATTTATCTATATTTTCTTTGTTGTTAATGTCCTTAATTGTTCATGAATACATGGATCTTTTCCCGATTTCTAGGACCCAGTGAATGCTAAAGCTATGCTGTCAAGAATGAACTCTGTTGACACAATGGATTCATGTTATATGCCCATTTAAGACATGCAAATTCTACTATAGCTTGACAAGAAATAAGAATTTACATATAGAAAATGACTATGCCTTTCATGTCACCCAGTGAGCGTGTGCTCTGCTATGAGAATGAGATGGGTGATGTAAAGCTGTAATCTCAGCCTCAGTTTCTGGCTGTTATTCATGGCATGAGCATCTGAGTGTGCTGAGATTCTGGTAGTATTATTTAACCAGCCAGCTAATGGACTGGCCAACCAACTGACCTTTAAATACTGACCCTTGGTTGGGCGAGGTGGTTCACTCCTGTAATCCCAGCACTTTGGGAGGCTGAGGTGGGTGGATCACCTGATGTCGGGAGTTTGAGACCAGCCTGACCAATATGGAGAAACCCCGTATCTACTAAAAATACAAAATTAGCCAAGTGTGGTGGCATATGCCTGTAATCCCAGCTACTTGGGAGACAGAGGCAGGAGAATCACTTGAACCTGGGAGGCAGAGGTTGCGGTGAGCTGAGATCACGCCATTGCACCCCAGCCTGAGCAACAAGAGAGAACTCCATCTCAAAAAAAAAAAAAAAAAAAAAAAGAAAAAACTGACCCTTATTTGGTCTTTATTGCCCAAATACCATTTCCTGTGCTCTTTTCTTTTTTTTTTAATTTTTAATTATTTAATTATTTATTTATTTATTTTTGAGACAGAGTCTCAGTCCATTACACAGGCTGGAGTGTGTTGGGAAGATCTCAGCTCACTGCAACCTCCACTTCCTGGGCCCAAGCAATTCTCGCACCTCAGCCTCCTGAGTAGCTGGGATTACAGGCACACACCGCCACACCCAGCAAATTTTTGTATTTGTATTTGTTTTTTTATTTTATTTATTTCTTATTATTTTTCTTTATTTCTTCTATTAAGAAATGGGATACATGTGCAGAATGTGCAGGTTTGTTACATAAGTATATGTGTGTCACAGTGGTTTGCTGCACCTATTGACCCATTCTCTAAGTTCCCTCTCCTCACCCCCCACTCCTCAGCAGGCCCTGGTGTGTGTTGTTCCCTTCTCTGTGTCCATGTGTTCTCATTGTTCAACTCCCACTCATAAGTGAGAACATGCAATGTTTGGCTTTCTGTTCCTATGTTAGTTTGCTGAGGATGATGGCTTCCAGCTTCATCCATGTCCTGGCAAAGGACATGATCTTATTATTTTTTATGGGCGCATAATATTCCAAGGTGTATATGTACCACATTTTGTTTACCCAGTCTATCATTGATGGGCATTTGGAGTGGTCCCATGTCTTTGCTATTGTAAATAGTGCTGCAATAAACATATATGGGCATGTGACTTTATAGTAGAATGATTTATACTCCTTTGGGTATATACCCAGTAATGGGATTGCTGGGTCAAATTGCATTTCTGGTTGTAGATCCTTGAGGAATCACCATACTGTCTTCCACAATGGTTGAACTAATTTACATTCCCACCAACAGTGTAAAAGCATTCCTATTTCTCCACAGTCTCACCAGCATCTATTGTTTCCTGACTTTTTGATAATCGCCATTCTGACTGGTGTGACATGGTATCTCATTGTGGTTTTGGTTTGCATTTCTCTGATGATCAGTGATGTTGAGCTTTTTTTCATGTTTCTTGGCCACATAAATGTCTTCTTTTGAGAAGTGTCTGTTCATATCCTTTGCCCACTTTTTGATGGGGTTGTTTTTTTCTTGTAAATTTGTTTACATTTCTTGTAAATTCTGGATATTAGACCTTTGTCAGATGGGTAGATTGCAAAAATTTTCTCCTATTCTGTAGTTTGCCTGTCACTCTGATGATAGTTTCTTTTGTTGTGCAGAAGCTCCTTAGTTTAATTAGATCCAATTTGTCAATTCTGGCTTTTGTTGCAATTGCTTTTGGCATTTTTGTCATGAAGTCTTTGCCCATGCCTATGTCCTGAATGATATTGCCTAGGTTTTCTTCTAGGGTTTTTATGGTTTGGGGTTTTACATTCAAATCTCTAATCCATCTTGAGTTAATTTTTGTATAAGGTGTAAGTAAGGAGTCCAGTTTCCGTTTTCTGCATATGGCTAGCCAGTTTTCCCAGCACCATTTCCTGAATAGGAGATCCTTTCCCCATTGCTTGTTTTTGTCAGGTTTGTCGAACATCAGATGGTTGTAGATGTGTAGTGTTATTTCTGAGGTCTCCTTTCTTCTCCATTGGTCTATACATCTGTTTTGGTACAAGTATTATGCTGTTTTGGTTACTGTAGCCTTGTAGTATAGTTTGAGGTCAGGTAGTGTGATGCCTCCAGCTTTGTTCTTTTTGCTTAGGATTGTCTTAGCTATACAGGGTCTTCTTTGATTCCACATGAAATTTAAAATAGTTTTTTTTCTAATTCTGTGAAGAATGTCAATGGTAGTTTGATGGGAATAGCATTGAATCTATAAATTACTTTGGGCAGTATGGCCATTTTAACGATATTGTTCCTTCTTATCCATGAGGATGGAATGTTTTTCCATTTGTTTATGTCCTCTCTTACTTCCTTGAGCAGTGGTTTGTAGTTCTCCTTGAAGAAGTCCTTCACATCCCTTGTTAGCTGTATTCCTAGGTATTTTATTCTCTTTGTAGCAATCGCGAATGGGAGTTCATTCATGATTTGGCTCTCTGTGGGCATATTGTTGGTGTAAAGGAATGCTTGTGATTTTTGCACATTGGTTTTGTATCTTGAGACTGCTGAAGTTGCTTATCAGTTTAAGGAGTTTTTGGGCTGAGATGATGGGGTTTTGTAAATATATAATCATGTCATCTGCAAACAGAGACAACTTGATTTCCTCTCTTCCTATTTGAATACGCTTTATTTCTTTCTCTTGCCTGACTGCCCTGGACAGAACTTCCAATACTAGGTTGAATAAGAGTGGTGAAAGAGGTCATCTTTGTCTTGTACTGGTTTTCAAAGGGAATGCTTCCAGTCTTTGCCCATTCAATATGATACTGGCTGTGGGATTGTCATAAATAGCTCTTGTTTTTGAGGCATGTTCCATCAATACCTAGTTTATTGAGAGTTTTTAACATGTAGGGATGTTGAATTTTATCAAAGGCTTTTTCTGCATCTATTGAGATAATCATGTGGTTTTTGTCCTTGGCTCTGTTTATGTGATGGATTATGTTTATTGATTTGTGTATGTTGAGCCAGCCTTGCATCCCAGGGATTAAGCTAACTTGATCATGGTGGATAAATTTTTTGATGTGCTGCTGGATTTGGTTTGCCAGTATTTTATTGAAGATCTTTGGATCATGTTAATCAGGGATATTGGCCTGAAGTTTTCTTTTTTTGTTGTGTCTCTTCCTGGTTTTGGTATCAGGATGATGCTGGCTTCATAAAATGAGTTAGGGAGTAGTTCCTCCTTTTCAATTGTTTGGAATAGTTTCAGAAGGAATGGTACCAGCTCCTCTTTGTATTTCTGGTAGAATTCAGCTGTGAATCCATCTGGTCCTGGGCTTGTTTTGGTGGTAGGCTATTAAATACTGCCTCAATTTCAGAACTTGCTATTTTCTATTCAGGGATTTGACTTCTTCCTGGTTTAGTCTTGGGAGGGTATATGTGTCCAGGAATTTATCCATTTCTTCTGGATTTTCTAGTTTATTTGCACAGAGGTGTTTATAGTACTCTCTGATGGTAGTTTGTATTCTGTGGGGTCAGTGGTGATATCCCCTTCATCATTTTTTATTGTGTCTGTTTGATTCTTCTCTCTCTTCTTCTTTATTAGTCTAGCTAGCGGTCTGTCTATTTTGTCAATTTTTTCAAAAAACCAGCTCCTGAATTCATTGAGTTTTTTTGGAAGGTTTTTCCTTTCTCTACCACCTTCAATTCTTCTCTGATCTTAGTTATTTCTTGTCTTCTGCTAGCTTTTGGATTAGTTTTCTCTTGTCTCTCTAGCTCTTTTAATTGTGATGTGAGGGTGTTGATTTGAGATCTTTCTAGCTTTCTGATGTGGGCATTTAGTGCTATAAATTTCCCTCTTAACACTGTTTTAGCTGTGTCCCAGCGATTCCAGTACATTGTCTCTTTGTTCTCATTGGTTTCAAAGAACTTCCTGATTTCTGCTTTAATTTCATTATTTACCCAGGAGTCATTCAGGAGCAGGTTGTTCAATTTCCGTGTAATCATGTGGTTTTGAGTGAGTTTCTTAATCCTGAGTTCTAATTTGACTGCACTGCGGTCTGAGAGACTGTTTCTTATGATTTCAGTTCTTTTGCATTTGCTGAGGTGTGTTTTACTTACAATTATGGGGTCGATTTTAGAATAAGTGCCATGTGGCACTGAGAAGAATGAATATTATGTTGATTTGGGGTAGAGAGTTCTGTAGATGTCTACTAAGTCCACTTGATCCAGAGATGAGTTCAAGTCCTGAATATTCTTATTAATTTTCTGTCTTGTTGATCTAATACTGATAGTGGGGTGTTAAAGTCTCCCACTATTATTGTGTGGGAGTCTAAGTATCTTTGTAGGTCTCTAAGAACTTTCTTTATGAATCTGGGTGCTCCTGTATTGGGGTGCATATATATTTACAATAGTTAGCTCTTCTTGTTGAATTGTTCGCTTTACCATTATGTAATGCCCTTCTTTGTCTTTATTGATCTTTGTTGGTTTAAAGTCTGTTTTGTCAGAGGCTAGGATTGCAACCCGTGCTTTTTTTTTTTTTTGCTTTCCATTTGCTTGGTAATTTTTCTCCATCCCTTTATTTTGAGCCTATGTGTGTCTTTGCATGTGAAATGGGTCCGCTGAATACAGCGCACTGATGGGTCTCGACTCTATCCAATTTGTTAGTCTGTGTCTTTTAATTGGAGCATTTAGCTCATTTACATTTAAGGTTAGCATTGTTATGTGCGAATTTAATCCTGTCTTCGTGATGCTATTTGGTTATTTTGCACACTAGTTGATGCAGTTTCCTCATAGTGTCATTGGTGTTTATATTTTGTTGTGTTTGTGCAGTGGCTGGTACCAGTTTTTTCCTTTCCATATTTAGTGCATCTTTCAGGAGCTCTTGTAGGGCAGGCCTGGTGGCAATGAAGTCCCTCAACGTTTGCTTCTCTGGAAAGGATTTTATTTCTCCCTCACTTATGAAGCTTAGTTTGGCTGGATATGAAATTCTGGGCTGAAATTTCTTTTCTTTAAGAATGTCAAATATTGGCCCCCAATCTCCTCTGGTTTATAGGGTTTCTGCTGAGAGATCCACTGTTAGTCTGATGGGCCTCCCTTTGTAGGTGACCTGGCCTTTCTCTCTGGCTGCCCTTAACAGTTTTTCCTTCATTTTGACCTTGGTGAATCTGATGATTATGTATCTTGTGGTTGATCTTCTCATGGAGTATCTTAATGGTGTTCTCTGTATTTCCTGAATTTGCATGTTGGCCTGTCTTGCTAGGGTGGGGATGTTCTCCTGGATAATATGCTGAAGTGTGTTTTCCAGTTTATTTCCTTTCTCCCTGTCTCCTTCCGGTACTCCAATCAATTGCAGGTTTGCTCTTTTTATGAAGTCCCGTATTTCTTGAGGCTTCGTTCATTCCTTTCCATTCTTTTTTCTCTAATCTTGTCTGCATGTCTTATTTCAGCAAGGTGGTCTTCCAACTCTGATATCCTTTATTTTCTTTAGTTGATTTGGCTATTGATACTTGTGTATGTTTTACGAAGTTCTCATGCTGTGTTTTTCAGCTCCATTAGTTTGTTTACGTTCCTCTGTAGACTGGTTATTCTAGTTAGCAATTCCTCTAACCTTTTATCAAGGTTCTTAGGTTCTTTGCATTGGGTTAGAACATGCTCCTTTAACTCAGCGTAGTTTTTTATTACCCATCTTCTGAAGCCTACTTCTGTCAATTTGTTTATCTGATCCCCTATCTAGTTCTGTGCCCCTGATGGAGAGACTTTGTAATCATTTGGAGAAGAGGCACTCTGGCCTTTTGGGTTTTCAGCATTTCTTCACTGATTCTTTCTCATCTTCGTGAGTTTGTCTAGTTTCAGTCTTTAAAAACCCCACCTGACCCTCAGGTGGGGTTTTTGTGGGGGCTTTTTGTTGTTGTTGTTGATGCTGTTGTTGTTGTTTTTTGCTTGTTTGTTTTTCTTTCAATGGTCAGGTCCTTCCGTAGGGCTGCTGCAGTTTGCTGGGAGTTCACTTCAGGCTCTATTCATCTGATTCGCTCCGGTGCCTGGAGATGTCACTCAAGGAGGCTGGAGAACAGCAAAGTTGGGTGCCTGCTCCTTTTTCTGGGACCTCTGACCTCGAGGGGCACTAACTTAATGCCAGTAGGACTGCTTCTATATAAGGCATCTGACAACCCCTGTTGGAGGGTCTCATCCAGTTTGGTGGCACGGAGAGCAGGACCCATTAATAAAGCACTTTGTGTCTTGGTGAAGGGGTTGTGCTTCTCTGGGGGGGAACCCACTTGTCTAGGCTGCCCGGATTCCTCAGAACTACTGGGAGGAAAGGTTTGCAGAGACTGTGGCCACCCCCTTTCTGAGGGGCTAGGCCCAGGGAGATTCAGCTTATTCCCCTGAGCCTCTGGCTGGAGTTATTGGAGTTCTGCAGGGAAGCCCCGCCCAGTGAGGAAGGATGGGTCAGGGTCAGGGTCAGGCCTGAAGAGGCACTCTGGCTGCTGACTGCCACAACTGGTGTGTTAGGCTGTGGGTACAAGCCTTGGGAGCAAGCCGTCCAGTCTCCTTGGCTCCAGCAGGGGAAAAGAGCAGCCTGGAGCTTTAGAGATGGATGCCACCCTTCCCCCACCCAGGGAGCTTCCGTGTTAGGCAGTTGCAAGTCCTAGTGCTGGCTGCTGCCCCTTCTCCAAGGAGCTCAAATGGCTTAGACAGCAGGCAGCCTCAGCTGTGTTGCTGGTTGACCCTCCTCCCGGAGGTTCGGTGGGTTTAAGCAGATTCCAACTGTTGAGAATCTGTGTGTTCTGGGGTTGGGACACTAGGCCCTGGCGGCATGGGTTCACAAATGGGATCTTCCGATCCATGGGTTGCACAGTTCTGTGGAAAAAGCACGGTTTCCCGGGCTAGGTAGCACACTCACTCACCGCCTCCTTTGGCTGAGGGGAGGGTGCTCCCCTGCCCCACGTGGCTGCAGCACCACACTGTTCTTCCTCCTCTCTGTGGGCCACACCAGCCTTCTAGTCAGTTCTGATGAGAGAACCTGGACACCTTGGTTGCCGGTGAAGGAGTCACATGCTTATTATGTTTTTTTTGTTTTGTTTTTTTTTTTTTTTTTTTTTTTTTTAATAGGAGCCACCCAAGGCCGCTGTTTCTAGTCGGCCATCCTGGCCCCTCCTATTTCTGTATTTTTAGTAGAGACGGGTTTTGCCGTGTTGGCTAGGCAGGTCTGGAACTCCTGGCCTCAAATGATCTGCCCACCTCGGCCTCCCATACGGGTGTGAGGCACTGCACCCAACCACTCTTTTATTCTTTTCTGCAGATTAGGCTTTTCATCTGTTGTCATTTCCTTCAGCCTGAGGAACTTGCTTTAACATTTCTGGTAGTGAGGTTTTGCTTACAATATATTCTCTAAGCCATTGTCTGAAAATGGCTTTAATTCACCTTCGTTTTTGAAAAATGAACAGTTAACATTTTTCATTTAGCATTTTAAAGATATCATTTCATTATCTTCTTTCTTTTTTTCATGAGAAGTCAGCCATCATATTTATTGCTGTCACCCTGAATATAATGCATAATTTTTTTCTTTAATTGTTTTTAATATATTTTATTTTAATCATTAGTTTTCACCAGTTTGGCCAAAAAATTCCTGGATGGGTTTATCTTTGTGTTTGCCCTGCTTGCAGTTTGCAAATTTTTTGGATCTGTTGATGTATTTTTATCAGTTTTAGAATAGGTTTTAGCTATTATCTCTTCAAGTATTTCCTCTGTTTCATTCTAATCTCTTTCTGGGACCTGAATTACACATATGTTAGATGATAAAATATTGCCCCAGAGGTCTTGTATGCTCTGTTCGTGTGTGTGAATTTATTCTTTTTTTTCTATATTTCTGTTTTTAAGTTAATTTGCTTATTCTTTCTTCTGTAGGTCTGGCCTGCAATTAAACTGATTTAACAAACTTTTTATGTATGGTGATGTATTTTCAGTTTCGTAATGTTTATGATTTGGTTGGTTTTTTTCTTTTAGGTTTCTACATCTGCGCTGAGATTCCACATCTGTTCATCTATTTTGTCCACCTTTTCCCCCAAATTTTTAATCAGAATTCTATTAACTGTTTTAAAGCCTTTGCTAATTTCAACATCAAAGTCAACATGTCAATATCACCAGTCTGAGGATCTGCTCCTATTTACTATTTTTTTTTTCTGTTAGTTGTGGGTCATATTTCCATGTGTTTTTGTATGCCTAGTAATTTTTGATTGGATGATAAACATTTAAGACAATAAACCTTTTGTTATCTTTTTATAGAGTGTTAAATTTTGCTTTGGAAGGTGACTAAGTTACTAGCATATTCCCTTGATCTTTTGGAGGCTTGGTTTTAGAGTTTTTGAATGGGCATCTGTTATAGTTTTTCCCTTAGTTCTGTGCCATAGACTTTAGTCATGATATGTGTTTCTTATTCCTAATGTGTGGTCCTTGTAGAGTCTTAATGAGCAGCAACGGTATTTATCAAGCTCCTCTAACCTCGCCAGATTTGAGCTGTAGGCTGGAGAGTCACTAGGTAGCTGCTGAGGTAGTTTCTCAGTTCTTTATCCTTTCAGGTGCTGCTTTCTTCTGGATTGCTTAGATTCTCACCACGAAAATAGACAGTTTAGGTAAAAGCCAAGGATTCGAGGAGAGTTTGTTTGCAGATTTGGCAGTCTCCCTTTTTTCTGAATATTTTTCTTCCAATTTCATGTTCTGCTAGAATCTCTGAACTTCAGTCTTCCTGTCCTTTTCCCAATAGGATTACATTTCTTGGTTGATTTTCATTTTCTCTTTGTACTGCAGGGAGCCTGAACGTGTTATCAGGGGAAAAGCCAACTAATTACGGAGCTCACCTACTGTGCTCCTTCAGTTTCTGCCTGCTTTGGATTGTATACCAGTGCCTTCAAACAGTTTAAAAAAAATTTGTCTGCAGTTTATATTCTTATTATAGGAGATTTAGTCTGATATGAGCTATTCTACCACAAATGGAAACAGAATTTTTGCATAAACTGATATCTAACATTAGTTGCCTGCCAGTCCTTTGTCATGTGCTGTGGGAGAGATTTATGTACCTTAACAATGATCCACATAACAACACTACAAGATAAGTATCATCATTGTCATCATCATCATCAATCATCACCATCGTATTACTGAAAAGAAACTGAGGCAGAGAGTGATAACAAACTTTCCCAAGTTTATAAAGTAAGGGACAGATGCAGGATTCAATTTTGTGTATATATATATACTTTTTTTTTTTTTTTTAAATTGTCTTTTTTTTTTTTTTTTTTGAGACGGAGTCTCACTCTGTCACCCAGGCTGGAGTGCAATGGCATGGTCTCAGCTCACTGCAACCTCTGCCTCCTGGGTTCAAGCAGTTCTCCCACCTCAGCCTCCAGAGTAGCTGCGACTGTGTGCCACCACACCCGACTAATTTTTGTACTTTTAGTAGAGACGGGGTTTCACTATGTTGGCCGCACTGGTCTCGAACTCCTGACCTCGTGATACACCCGCCTCGGCCTCCCAAAGTGCTGGGATTACAAGCGTGAGCCACCGCGCCCGGCCTTGAGACGTAGTCTTGCTCTGTTGCCCAGCTGGAGTGCAGTGGCACGATCTCCGCTCACTGCAAGCTCCGCCTCCTGGGTTCACGCCATTCTCTTGCCTCAGCTTCCGGAGTAGCTGGCATTACAGGTGCCCGCCACCACGCCTGGCTAATTTTTTGTATTTTTAGTAGAGACGGGGTTTCACCGTGTTAGCCAGGATTGTCTTGATCTCCTGACCTCGCGATCTGCCCGCCTCAGCCTCCCAAAGTGCTGGAATTACAGGCTTGAGCCACCGCCACCGCCCCCAATGTTGTATATATTTTATATAAAGCTTGTAATTATGCCAGTGATTATCAGACTTGGCTGCAGATTGAAATTTCTTGGGGAGTTTTAAAACTACTGATGGTTTGATACCAACTCTACAGACTTTTAAAAAAAAATAACCAGTTGTAACTATGATTTGGCTATTGAGATTTTAAAAGTTCCTCAGATGTTTCAAATGTGCAGCTGAGACTGAGAACCATGGTGCTATGCCGTGGTTCCCATGATACCAACTAAATCCTGTAACCAGGTCTGTTGATGCTAATTTAATTTTTTTCTTTCTAAATAATTACAGAATAAAAAGATGTTTTATATAGTTACTATTCTGATATCATGATTAACAATGAAAGTAAGACTTTTTGAATATCTCAAATTAGTTTTTTTAAAAAGCCAATCCATTGGTAAGGATTCTGGTTGCCGTTATCTATATATGAGTGATAATGCTTATGAATGTAATGAGTGTTTCTATTTATCGTGTAATAAGAGCTTTATACTTGTTCACTTGTTTTGTGAATAAGAATAGGAAATAAAATTTACAAGAGCTATTGTATTACTTTTTTATCTTTTTTACTTAATATGAAGAAAATAAATAGCTAATAATGAGAATAAAAGCCAGCCTAGCATGCGAGTCACTTGCCGATGCCTAATGACCGGTTGCTGATAGCGGCTGCTTCACGTTGATAGTGCAGTAAGGTGATGTGGGTGATTGTGGGTGATGAAAAGTTTCTACAGAGAGTCTGGGGGCCTCAGTTTCGGTTTGAGATATTAGCCTGGTTTTCTAGTGTGACCTGAAACTGCCTCAACTTCTCTATACCTTCTCTATACCGAGGTATAGAGACAGTTCCAAGACAGCAGTTGGAATTGAGGCCCTTCTGGCTCCAACGTTTTGTAATTATCAAATTATTTCCTCCTTGAAATACTCTTTCTCTGAAGACAGTAGAACAGTCAAAAGTAAAAGTATACTATTTGAATATGTTTTTAACTGCACCTATTTCGGTGAATAAATCCTGTAATAAACTGATGATTTGGAAGTAGAGTGGATGCTGCTAAAAGCTCAGTTCATCTGAGAAAATTCCAGATAGGGGAAGCTTGATGTAGGCAGAGAAAATGAAGAACTGTGGTAAAATTTAATGAATAGCTGATGAAGCCCATCTGACCCTCTGTGTCAGGAGGTAACCAAATGTGTCTTTGTTGAGAAGTCCTGTGACACAGAGCTGTGCTTCCACCTGGCAGGAGATGCTGGTATTGGTGGCTGCCTGCATTCAAGCCCCTCTTTCCAGAATGGTAACATTGTGATTTGCTTTAGTCAGGGTTCCTATTCTTGCTGGGGGAGGTATGGCTCTGATAGAAAGGTAATAAACCCACCAGGAAGGGCTGATTTGCGTTGGCTGGCTGCAGCATTGAATTGGGAACAATAGATGGGATAATAATGCAGTGGTTGGAGGCGGTTTGGCTTTGACCTGGGTATCATTCATAGGTTGAACACAAAGCTGTTTTTACTCGTAGTTAAACATTTGGCAATTGCTGATCAGTAACAATGTACTAGATGTCCTACTGCAGTAGCATGGTTCAGTGGGCATAACATTGACTGAACTAGAATGTAAAAATATTTGTACTTAAATGTGTCTGTTTTGCTATTGATTGCTCTTGTGAATTTGGAACCATCCTTTGCCGTCTTGGCGTGTGTGTGTGTGTGTGTGTGTGTGTGTGTCTGTATTCATTTGCTTTGAGATGTGAAATCAGGGGAGAGGGTATCTTCAGTAAGATGAGTTTGAAATACTTAAAGGAATGAACCAAAATGAAGGTCAAAATAAAAAAATTAAGAAAAAAATATCAAAGATGTGAAAAAGCTGAATGACAGTATATTTTTATGTAAAAGATTTTCTAGACAGAATATTTGAAATATTGAGGCCCCAAAGCTCCAATGGTTAAGCCCCCAAACACCAATGGTTAAGAACATAAATGCAATGAAAAGACAAAGGATTGTTGACTCATAGATTTACTAGGTACTTTACATATTACTTTACTTTTTACAGTCTTTGGGTAGTGTTAATTATGTGAGTATATTACCCTGTTCTCTTGTTTGTAAATCAAGGTTGCCAGTTCACAGGTGGAATTTGAGGCCATATTCCATTCTTTGAAGAAGCTCTCCAACATATCAGAATTCTACACATTTTACTCTCTTTTTGTTACTCTTACTTGGCATAAATACATGCATTCTGGAAAGAATCTTTAGTGTGCGTGTGTGTTTGTGTGTGTGTGTTGATTATACTTAAGCAGCATTTTTATATACCTTCATTTTAACAAGAAGAACACATATATGTGATAAAGGTAGCATAGGTGATGTTGGGAGGAACATGAGTAGACAGTATGAATTCCAGGATTCTTCAGATCAGAAGTATTTAAGGGTGTGATATAGGTGTAACCCTGTTTATGTTCTACAGAATAGGGGAATTTGTTTTCAGCTTGGACTAAATGAGCAGTTCCTCGCTTGATTACCTGCCACAGGAGTTCAAGGGTTCAAACTTTTAGAATGGTGGTTTATAGCACCTGGAAGGGGGGAGGCATGGGGAATGGAGGGGATGCAGCCTCAAAGGCAGGTAGTCAGAACAAAGCACTCTACCAAGAATAAGGAAAGTGCAGGATTGTGTGAATAGAACTCTTTTCCCCAGTCCACTCCCGGGAAAATACAGCATATGAGCTGAAGCAATTCTTTCATTGGGAGACAGTCAATGCTTTGAATAAACCTTGGGAAAGTGCATAATCAGTAACAAATTTTCTATCAAAAAAACCCCTGCAACACAGTGAAGGGGCAATCTAAATATTGAGGCCAGGTTGTATGAGACAGGAATTACATAAGACACATAAAAGAGAGGATAAGAAAGCACTGAAAGAAGCTGTATCCAGAATAAAAGCTCTGATAATTTACTGTACTTGGGGCCCAGTTCTAAGCTGTAATTCTTACTCTGGCACATGTGTTACAATATTTCACCTACTGGGAGTGCAGCTGCTTTCCCTAATCCAGAGGCAGTACAAGAGACAGAATAAGAGTTCAAGCTGTGCACAGTCCCTAATGCTCACTCCTCCACCTATTACCCATGATGCTGGGCAAATTTCCTATATTCCCTGGACCTCAGTTTATTCAATAGTAAAATGCAAACATTAAAGTACTTCCCTTGTGCATTTTTATAAGTACTAAATGAGATGATTCATGCCAGGAATTAGGAGAGTGCTCAATCAGTGTTAGCTATTAGTAAGATGGTGATTTCCTCTGAGAGAATGAGAGGCAAAAGGATTTCGATTATTGAAAATGTAACTGGGCCCTGGTGAGCCAGGTGATGGCTCATCATGAAGATGTATCACTATATGAACAGACAAAAGGATGCAGGCAACTAACAGTACTTGGATTGGAATGAGAAAATTGACAATTTTGAGAGTTTCAAGAAGTATTGAGATTATTCCAACTTCTAAATTTCAGGCTCCGTTGGAATTTACCACTTTTCTTATAGATATAAATACAGGTTGATATATAGATATAGGGATATCTATTTTGGTTTTGGTTCCTGGAGTGTAAGCTCTCTAAGGCAAGGTCTTTGTCTGACTCTTCGTTCTATCCTCGCCTGTGCTTGGTGAAATACAGTGCCAAGATAGAAATACATTTTCGGTTGTGATAACATTTTGTAAACGGCTCTTGTTTTCTGGAGTTGCTTATTGTGGAATGCTAGACTTTGATGACAGAATTTACACAGTGATCTACATTGCTCTCTGTAACTGTGATTACACATTTTTTTTAAAACCCCATGGCATTTTGAGATGACTAAAAGTTTGATTAAGTATGACTGAATTACACCATGTAATATAAAGTACATTCATTTTACCAGGAAGTTAATGGAAGCTTAAATTGCTATAAAACCTTAAAACATGATTGCATATGATAATAAACTCATTTGCCTTCTAATTAAAGATCAGTGAAAAGCCCTCATTTGGATATGATATAGAAAAATTTCTATTCAGATTTATCCTAGAATCCACTTCTTGTGTTCTACAAGTTCTTTAGAACGTATTTCTCTACTACTTATTTCTCTCATTGTTTCTGTTTTTCAGCCATGATAAAATCCAGTGGCTTAAGACTAGAAAACCCAGAAACAAATCCATACATCTGTAGTGAACTCATTTTTGACACATGTGGCAAGAACACACACTGGGGAAAGGACTTGTTTCTTCAATAAGTGGTGCTGGGAAAATTGGGTATCTGTATGCTGAAAAACAAAACTAGACCCGTATGTCTCGCCATATACAAAAATCAAATCAAAATGTATTAAAGACTTAAATCTAAGGCCTCAAACTATGAAACTACTAAAATAAAACATTGGGGAAACTCTTCAGGACATTGGTCTGAGCAAAGATTTCTTGAGTAATACCCCACAAGCACAGGCAACCAAAGTGAAAATGGACAAATGAGGTCATATCAAGTTAAAAACCTTCTGCAAAGCAAAGGAAACAAACAACAAAGTTAAGAGACAACCCACAGAATGGAAGAAAATAATTGCAAACTATCCATCTGACCAGGGATTAATAATTAGAATACCCAAGGAGCTCAAACAATTCAATAAGAAAAAAAATCTAATAATCCAATTAGAAAATGGGCAAAAGATTTGAATAGACATTTCCCAAAGAAGACATACAAATGGCAAACAGGCATATGAAAACCTGCTCAATATTATTGATCATCAGAGAAATGCAAATCAAAAGTACTATGAGATATCACTACAGTTAAAATGGCTTGTATTCAAAAGACAGGCAATAATGAATGTTGGTAAGGATGTGGAGAAAAGGGAACCCTTGTACACTGTTGGTGGGAATGTAAATCAGTAACCACTATGGAGAACAGTTTGGAGGTTTCTCAAAAAACTAAAAATAGAACTACCATATGATCCAGCAATACCACTGCTAGATATATACCCAAAAGAAAGGAAATCAGTATATTAGACAGAGATCTACAGTCCCATGTTCATTGAGGCACAATAGCAAAGATTTGAAAGCAATAGCAAAGATTTGAAAGCAGCCTAAGTGTTCATCAACAGATGAATGGATAAGGAAATCTGGTAATATACACAATGAAGTGCTATTCAGCCATAAAAAAGAAAGAGATCCTGTCATTTGCAAGGACATGGATGGAACCGGAGGTTATTATGTAACTGAAATAATCCAGATACTCAAACTTTGCATGTTCTCACTCATTTGTGGGAGCTAAAACTTGAAACAATTGAACTTGTGGAGATAGAGAATAGAAGTATGTTACCAGAGGCTGGGAAGAGTAGTGGGGACGGGGTTAGGGGGAAGTGGGGATGGTTAATAGGTACAAAAATATAATTAGACAGAATGAATTAGACAGAATGGTGGTAGAACAGGGTGACAGCCAGCAATAATTTATTGTACATTTAAATATAAGGATTGTTAGTAACACAAAGGAAGGATAAATGCTTGAGGTGATGGATACCCCATTTACTCTGATGTGATCATTATGCATTGTATGCCTGTGTCAAAATATGTCATGTACCCTATAAACATATACAGCTACTATGGACCCATAAAAATTAAAAATAAAAAGTTGTTTTTAGTCCAGGTGCAATAGCTTATGCTTGTAATCCCAGCACTTTGGGAGGCTAAGGTAGGAGGATTGCTTGAGTTCAAGAGTTCAAGACCAGCCTGGGCAACATAACAAGATCCCGGCCTCTACAAAAAAATAAAAAAAAATTAGCCAGGCATGGTAGTGCATGCCTATAGTCCCAGCTACTTGGGAGGCTGAGGTGGGAATATTGCTTGACCAGGGAGTTTGAGGCTGCAGTGAGCTATAATTGCAGCACTGCAGTCATCCTGGAGGACAGAATGAGACCCTGTCTAAAAAAAATTTTTTTTTTGAAATCTGTTGGTTAGAATGCTTCCTTCAGTGTTTCTATCAGGTCCCTCCTTAGTATCCTATACATATAATATAGAATTACATATAAAATACAAAAACTGGAAAACTTAAAAGAGATGGATAAATTCCTAAACACATTCACTCTCTCAAGACTGAGCCAGAAAGAAATTCATTCCCTGATCAGACTAATAACGGGCTCTGAAATTGAATCAGTAATAAATAACCTACTAACCAAAAAAAAAAAAAAAAAAAAAAAAAGACCAGGACCAGACAGATTCACAGCTGAATTCTACCAAATGTACAAAGAAGAGCTGGTACCGTTCCTACAGAAACCATTCTAAAAAATCGAGGAGGAGGGACTCCTCCCCAACTCATTCTATGAGGCCAGCATGATGTTCATACCAAAAACTGGAAGAGACACAACAAAAAAAGAAAACTTCAGGCCAATATCCTTAATGAACACGGATGCAAAAATCCTCAATAAAATACTGGCAAATCAAATCCAGCAGCACATCAAAAAGCTTATCCACCACGATCAAGTAGGCTTCATCTCCAGGATGCAAGTCTGGTTCAACATATGCAAATTAATACATGTGATTCATCACATAAACAGAACTAAAGACAAAAACCACATGATTATGTCAATAGATGTAGAAAAGGATTTTGATAAAATTCAACACTCCTTCATGTTAAAAACTCTCAGTAAACTAGGTAGTGAAAGAACATACCTCAAAATAATGAGTTATCTGTGACAGACCAACAGCCAACATTATACTGAATGGGCAAAAGCTGGAAGCATTCCCCTGGAAAACCAGCACAAGACTAGGATGCCCTCTCTCACCACTCCTATTCAATGTAAATTTGGAAGTCCTAGTCAGAGCAATCAGGAAAGAGAAAGAAATAAAGGGCATCCAAGAAGGAAGAGAGGATGTCAAAATATCTCTGTTTGTAGATGACATGATTCCATATCTAGAAAACCTCATAGTCCTGGCCCAAAAGCTCCTCCAGCTGATAAATAAGTTCAGCAAAGTCTCAGGATACAAAAATCAATGTACAAAAATCCTGAGCTTTCCTATATACCAACAACAGCCAAATCTCGAGCCAAATCAGAAAGACAATCCCATTCACAATTACCACAAAAAGAATAAAATACACAGGAGTATAGCTAACCAGGGAGGTGAAAGAATTGGCAAAATATTGTTCAATTACAAATTATAAAGAGAATTACAAAACACTGCTCAAAGAAATCAGAGAAGACACAAACAAATGGAAAAACATCCCATGCTCATGGATAAAAAGAATCAATATCATTAAAATGGCTATACTCTCCAAAGCAATTTACAGATTCAGTGCTATCTGTATCAAACTACCAAAGACATTCTTCACAGAACTAGAAAAAACTATTTTAAAATTTATATGGAACCAAAAAGGAGCCTGAATAGCCAAGGCAGTCATAAGAAAAAAGAACAAAGCTGGAAGCATCATGTTACCCAGCTTCAAACTATACTACAAAGGCTACAGTAAGCAAAACAGCACGGTACTGGTATAAAAACAGGCATATAGACAAGTGGAACAGAATAGAGAGCCCAGAAATAAGGCTGCACATCTATGACCATCTGATCTTTGACAAAGCTGACAAAAACAAGAAATGGGGAAAAGACTCACTGTTAAATAAAAGGTGCTGAGATAACTGGCTAGCCATATGCAGAAGATTGAAGCTAGACCTTTTCCTTAGACCATATGCAAAAATCAACTCAAGATGGATTAAAGACTTAAATGTAAAACTCAAAACTATCAAAACCCTAGAAGACAACCTAGGCAATACTATCCTGGGCATAAGAACAGGCAAAGATTTCATGACAAAGACACCAAAAGCCATTGCAACTAAAAGCAAAAATTGACAAGTGAGATCTAATTAAACTTAAGAACTTCTGCACAGAAAAGGAAGCTATAAACAGAGTAAATAGCCAACCTACAGAATGGGAGAAAATACTTGCAAACTATGCATCTGACAAAGGTCTAGTATCCAGCATCTATAAGGAACTTAAACAAATTTACAGGAGAAAAACTAACAACCACATGAAAAAGTGGGCAAAGGACATGAACATACACTTCTCAAAAGAAGACCTACATGCAGCCAACAAGAATATGAATAGAAGTTCAATATCACTGATCATCAAAGAAATGCAAATCAAAACCACAATGAGGTACTATCCCACACTAGTCAGAATGGCTATTATGAAAAAGTAAAAAAATAACAGATGCTGGCAAGGTTGTGGAGAAAAAGGAACATGTGTACACTGTTGGTGGGAGTGTAAATTAGTTTAACCATTGTGGAAAGCAGTATGGTGATTCCTCAAAGAGCTGAAAGCAGAACTACCATTTGACCCAGCAATCCTATTACTGCTTATATACCCAGAGAAATAAAAATAATTCTACCATAAAGATACATGCACACAAATGTTCATTGCAGCACTATTCACAATAGCAAAGACAGGAAATAACCTAAATGCCCATCAATGACAGATTAAATAAAGAAAATATGGTATATATACACCATGGAATTCTATGCAGCCATAAAAAATGAGATCATGTCTTTTGAGAGAACATGGGTGGAGCTGGAGTCCATTATCCTTAGCAAACTAAAATAAGAACAGGAAACCAACTACTGCATGTTGTCACTTATACGTGGGAGCTAAATGATGAGAACTTGTGAACACAAAGAAGGAAACAATGGCCTGGCATGGTGGTTCACACCTGTAATCCCAGCACTTTGGGAGGCCAAGACGGGTGAATCACTTGAGGTCAGGAGTTTGAGACCAGCTTGGCCGACATGGTGTGAAACCCCATCTCTACTAAAAATACAACAAGTAGCCAGGCTGGTGGTGCATGCCTGTAATCCCAGCTATTCAGGAGACTGAGGTGCAAGAATCACTTGAACCTGGGAGGTGGTTGCAGTGAGCCAAGATCGTGTCACTGCACTCTAGCCTGGGTGACAGAGTAAAACTGTGTCTTGTAAAAAAGAGAAACCAAGAAACAGAGAAGGAAACAACAGACACTGGGGCCTACCTGTGGGTGGAGGGTGGGAGGAGGAAGAGGAGCAGAAAAGATAACTATTGGGTACTGGGCTTAGTACCCAGGTAATGAAATACTATGTACCACAAACCCCCATGACACGTTTTTACCTGTTTAACAAACCTTCACTTGTACCCCAAACCTAAGATAAAGGTTAAAAAAAATTCACTGGTCTAAATGCTTCCTTCAGTGCACCCATGAGGTCCCTCCATAGTATAAAATACACACGTATTGGCCGGACGCAGTGGGTCACACCTGTAATCCCAGCACTTTGGGAGGCCAAGGCAGGCAGATTGCCTGAGCTCAGGAGTTCCCGACCAGCCTGGGCACACAAACTCTGTCTCTACTAAAATGCAAAAAATTAGCCAGGCATGGCAGCATGTGCCTGTAGTCCCAGCTACTCAGGAGGTTGAGGCAGGAGAATTGCTTGAACCTGGGAGGTGGAGGTTGCAGTGAGTTGAGATCGCGCCCTTGCACTCCAGACTGGGTGACAGAGCAAGACCCTGTCTCAAAAAAAAAAAAAAAAAAGCTACATGTATTACATACACAATCACATATTGTATGACAGAGTGAGACTCTGTCTCAAAAAAAAAAAAAGCCACATGTATTAACATACACAATCATATATTGTATGACAGAGCAAGACTCTGTCTCAAAAAAAAAGCCACATGTACTACATACACAATCATATATTGTATAAGATAATTTATATACAATTTTATAAAATATTAAATATATTACATAAAATAGTATTGTATACTAATATATATGAAATAGTAGTATATACATGTAATATATAATATTTGGCAGTATTTAAATGCTATGGGATAAAGACAATAAGGAGAAAATGGCTAAAAGATAGATATACATGTATATGTACATAAATTTCAATATGTTAGCATATACATATTAATATGTTTGATGTTATTACTGTGTACTAGTATCTATCTATATTTAGCTTGTTAATAAATATGCTTGCTCAAGACTAGATTAGAGCCTTTGTTAATTATGTTGCTAAGGCGCTCTTGCTTTCCTCTGATACCCATCACCAGGCCGAGCTTCAGTTTATTTCCAATCACTGTCTCTAATTATCTGGGAGATGTACTGTGGCTCGTTGCCTCTCATTCTGCTTTGAGAGGTTCTGTCTTCACCAGCTGCCAGGGTTTTCTGTCCCTGGGTCTCTGCCACACTGAGGTATAGGGGAAGCTTGTTCCACTCCCCACTTTTTTTTTTTTTCTTTGCTGGAAGAATCATCTCTGAAGGTTTTTCCCTGACAATACACTCTCCTTGAACTGAATATGTCTAAACACAGTTGGTTTCACGGACATTTGATCTGTGCAGTTGCACAGGGTCCATTCTCAGAAGAGCCTGGTACTTACTTGACTTAATTCTCTGCTGTTTTGATATTCTGGATAATTTTTGAACAAGAAGCCCTACATTTTTATTTTTCACAGGTTCCTGCCAATTATAGAGGCAGTCCTATTTCAAAATGCCATTAAGCATCCTTCTGAGCTGCGGAAAGTCATAGGACCAGTCTTCAGCCGTGCCCATTACAGTAGCAGTGACAGCACACCACTTTGCTCATGATACGGATCAGTAAGTGTTTAAGTGAACTCCGCTCTATCTGCAGATGTTAAGCACTCACTCCACACCCCCTCCCACACTGAGGCCCATGCAATGAAGAGTAAGGGACCTTCTCATAGCCTATGTGATGAATATTGAAAACTCTAAGACTGAATCTTTACTTCATGCAAATAAGTTCTTGAAGGAATCCTCTTAAAGTCTGTCATCATGTTATTAGAGACACAAATTCTCTTCAACTCTAAGGTAGCAGCCAGTAGCATGTTGCATAGCTGAGTAGCTTTAACAGAAGGAAGGAAACGTAGCACTGCATTAGTTTCCCAGGGCTGCCGTAACACATCAGCACACACGAGGTAGCTTAAAACAACAGAAATTACTTTCCTTACAATTCTGGAGACCAGAAGTCTGAAATTAAGGTATCAGCAGAGCTTTACTCCCCAGAGGCTCTGGGGATGAATGTGATCCTTTCCTTTTCCAGCTTCTGGTGGCTGCAGCTGTCCCTTGGCTTGTGGCTGTGTCTCTCCTTGATCCATCTTCATGTCACCTACTCCTCTTATGTGTATCTCTCCTCTGTGTGTCTGTCCCCAAACTCAGACCCTTTCCTAAAACGATACAGGTGGTTGCATTGAGAGCCCAGAACATGTGATTGCACTTAGAGCCCAGACAGATGATACTGGATGCGCATCTTTTTGGGTGCCACCATTCAGCCCACTACAAGCACCTATGTTGATAGGAGTGTTTAAGATATTCAAGCAGGAGGCCAGGTGCGGTGGCTCACACCTGCAATCCCAGCACTTTGGGAGGCCAAGGCAGGCAGATCACCTGAGTTCGGGAGTTTGAGACCAGCCTGACCAACATGGAGAAACCATGTTTCTCTAGTAAAAATACAAAAATTAGCTGGGTGTGGTGGTGCGCGCATGTAATCCCAGCTACTCAGGAGGCTGAGGCAGGAGAATTGCTTGAACTTGAGAGGCGGAGGTTGTGATGAGCTGAGATTGCACCATCACACTCCAGCCTGGGTGACAGAGTGAGACTCTGTCTCAAAAAAAAAAAAAAAAAAAAAAAAATTCCAGCAGGCAACATGACAACATTTGGGAAGGTGTTCAGTGCACATGCAAGGCACCTTCATTTTTAAACTAGGTGTTCCTTAAAGCACAAAACCCAAAGCTGTCACCTTCTCAAAGCTGATTCAGAGATCCATGTTTTCCATGTTGTCAGGAGTGGAAGGCTTTTGTGGTATATTCCTTTCTCTGTGATTTTTATAGTGAACCTTAAAGATGTCTGCCCTAAATGTTCTACATTATTCTAGCTTGTTCACTGGTTCAAAGGCTGTAGTATAAATTTTGCACAAATGATTCATCTCAATTCTCTTGACCCTTGGAAAGTGCTCAATACACAGTCAGCTCTGGTTAAATTTCATATTTAATAGATGAGTCTATATGCTGTCATTTTCATCAATACTTTTGTGTAAGAAACTAGGAAACATGAAAAAGTCACTTAGTTTCTCTAGTCCCATTGAAGGGTGATGGGATTAGGTTGATTTTTGGTTCAATTCCTTTGAATTGAGAATTCTGTATTTTGTAAAGTAGCACGTAAGCACTATGAGGGTAGAAATTAAAAAGAAACTTTTTATTATGGAAAATTTAAACATATGCTAGATAATGTGTTCCTATGCACTCATTACCCAGATTTAACATTTAATAATTCAATTCAAAGTTAACATCATCTAACCCCTCTTGTCATATTATTAAACATATAATAAGCAGTTTGTTGACAATTTAATCTCCAGTTTAAAAACATATACTGTGCAAAGAATTCTGCTTTTTTCAAGATCTTCACAACCAAAGCCTGTGATGCAACTTTTAGATGCATAAATGCTACAGAGTTTTGGGGAAATAAAACAACTTCAAAGTTGGTGCCAGACCTATGGTATGAGGAATACATTTTTTATTCCTCTTTCCATTGTGTTTCTTTAATTTTGGAAATTCTATGAGTTGAAAATGAAGGGAGAAAATGGGAGGTGTATTCATTAGCATAGAGATGGTTGTAAGAGGCAAGAATGGATGAGGTTGTCAGGAGAACCAGGAAAAGGGGAAAAGTAAGAGGCTGAGAGAGTGACCCTGATAATTGATGACCATTCAGCCAGCTAGAAAAAGATGAGTTCACTAGGAGACTTAGAAGTATGTTGGCCTAGCGTGGTGCTCACTCCTGTAATCCCAGCACTTTGGGAGGCCGAGGCGGGCGGATCACAAGTTCAGGAGTTCGAGACCACCATGATGAAACCTCGTCTCTACTAAAGATACACAAAATTAGCTGGGCATCGTGGTATGCGCCTGTAATCCCAGCTACTCGGGAGGCTGAGGCAGGAGAATCACTTGAACCCAGGAGGTGGAGGTTGCAGTGAGCCGAGATGGCGCCATTGCACTCCAGCCTGGGCGACAGGGTAAGACTCTGTCTCAAAAAAAAAAAAAAAAAGAAGTATGTCAACACAGGGAAATCAACCTAGAATAGCTTGGGAACCTGATCCAGAAGCCACAGGAAAAGGATTTTTTTTTTTTTTTAAAGGAAATGAGTGGTGAACATTGTCAAATCCTGCATTTGACATATGAGAGGAGTGTCAGTGGCGTGATGAAGGCAGAAGCCAGACTTGAGAAGTCAACAGAAGTTGACCAAGAGGAGACAGGCCGGACTGACAACTCTCAGAAGGAGCCCAGTTCTTAGGTGGGAGGAGAATAGCCAATAGCTAGTGGGTAGATGAGGAGAGTGAAGTTAATTATTTTCAAGGCAGGAGACATTGACAGTATTTATCTGCTTCTGGGGTAAAAGTAGTAGAGAGGAAAGACAGAAATAAATAAATAAGGGATATTTTCAGAGAGGCTACTGTGGGACTTAGACCACAGGTAGAGAATAATTTATAGGTGGGGGAGGAATCATCATTGTGATGAAAGAGAAGGGAGAAATCTGAAAAATCTGATCTGGATACAGATGTAGACACGTTTAAGGGTAGGAACCGATGTGTTTCCATCTGATATATATATGCTTTATATATATATATATATATATATATATATACACATACACACACACATATATAGGTGTGTATATATCTAATAGGCATATAGATATACATACCTATATATAAAAATTATATATAAGTATAATATATAATAGATACAAGTACTATATATTATACATATATATATAATTTTTTGAGGGAGGTGACAATGTGGTCTGCTGAGAAGCCAGAGACTATTGCTATAATCTCAGTGAACACTAAATACTTATGGAATAAATGCTAATAAGCAATGTTAAAAAAACAGATGTATTCTTAACAATTTGTTGGTAATTACCTTTTTCTCCCTTTTTTTTCTTTTTAGCTTGCATTTTTTTCCCTTTTTAATAACACTCAGTGATGGTACCTAAACAGAAATTATAAAATAAAATAATCATTTATTTTTATGGAGAAAAAATAAAATAATTATTTATTTTTATGGAGAAAAAATAAAATCAACCAACTAACTGAAGTGTTAAATCTAAATTGGTCTTACTATATTCCAGAGAGTTTTAGTGGTAATACAATCCTTACACAACACACACATGCTCACACGCACACACACACACTCCAGAAATCAAATCATCCAATGTAAATGCACCCTACAGTCAACCTGAAAGCCTTTAGGAATAAATACGTGTTTCTTACCATGCTCTGTGATTGCTACCCCCTTGGATCTTCACGCCCAATGCTAAACACAAGTGAAGCATATACATCTCTAAGACCCAGAGTTTGTCAGCTGATTCTTATTATTCAAGGATGGGAGGAGAGCTGTTAGAGGAACAAGGCAGGGGAAAGCTGGCACAGCATTGTTAGAAATCTCAGTACAGTGGTTCAGAGGAGGCAGCTTGCTTCGATAGGGAAAGGTTAGGGGATGGAGGGGCATAGTTGGGTTTGAATTTTCTTTTTCCACTCCTAAGGAAATGCCAGTTCCTATAGAGCACACCGCTCTTTCTTTTCTGCTCCCTTGCCCCTTATTTTCTTCTTCTTTTATTTTCTTCTGTCTTGATCTTTCCATACCCCGAAGTTAAAGGATGGGGGTGCCCACTAGAGAGCAGAGTCGATTCAGATCTGGTAGAATGAAGAATTGGAATGAATCTTCCCAGTCCATGTAGCTTCTATGTTCTACCATGAAGGGAACTCATCTTTCCCAGCTCCCTTTTATATTGTTCAGCTAAAAAAGGAAGCATCAAAATAATTTGTAAGCACTGTGTTGGTTTTTGTAAACTTCAGATTCATTTTAGAGTCATCAGAGAGCTAACTTCTGCTTATACCTATTTGATACCCAACAAGAAATTTTGCGACAATAAAATGAAACACTTATGGTCTCTGAATATCATAAACAGTTTCAGTTATGTGTTTAAATTCAGTATCTGTGTAATAATTAAAGAAATTACAACAGGATAAACCAAGTAGGAAATAAGTGCCTGGAACTATGCTTGGTAGATTTAGGGCATCTAAGGCATTGACCGGTTTTCTGAAAGACCATGACAGTTAAGAAATTCCCCTGCCAGGGATAAAATTAAAAAAAAAAAAAAACTTTAAAATATCAGATCTTTCATGTCTAGGCAGGAAGAGTTTAAATTTTGTACATATTCATGCCATTTCCTCCATGATACATAGCATGTAGAAAAATGTTCAATAGATATTTGTTGAAAATATTTTTTGAGTATGTATTCAAAAAAGAGGATACATCTAAAAAGAGCCTGTCAAGGATCTGAAAAACAGCCACCTAATTGGTATGTTTCTTTCTTATTTTTAATTTGAAAACCAGAGCCACATCATTATTTTGGGGGAGTAACAGTTTTACAACTTTCCTCTGCCAGCACCTTTATAGATGTATCCAGAAAGGCTCTGATTGTCATGAATGCTTTTGCAAACATTCTGCAAAATAATAACGGCAGTTCTGACATAATTTTTTTTTTTAAATTTAATTGGGCATAGAATAGAAATGGAAGAAATGCTTTAAAAACATTACAAGGGATTTCAGAGCAAGAATAATGCTCTGAAATAAGCATAATGGGATGAAGAATGATGACACTGTTTAGTGGAAAAAATTTTAAGTGCTTTTATCCTTTTAAAAAGCAATTCAAAAATTATCCTGACACTGATGCTTAGAAAGTGTCTGTAATTTTTCTCTGAGGCACTATAAAATATGAGCTGGTTCTCCCCCATCTGTGATAGTTTACATGGAAGGTTATCTAATCTGTGCAGAAGATCATGTCTTTTTTTTTTTTTTTTTTTTGAGGCTGAGTCTTGCTCTGTCACGCAGGCTGGAGTGCATGGGTGCAATCTCTGCTCACTGCAACCTTTACCTCCTAGGCTCAAGCTATCTTCCCACCTCAGCCTCCCAAGTAGCTGAGACTACAGGCACAGGCTTCCACGCCCAGATAATTTTAGTATTTTTTTTATTAGCCTGATGCAAAAGCAATTGAGGTTTTTGCAATAAATACAGGTTTTCACTATCTTGCCTAGGTTGGTCTCCAGATCCTGGGCTCAAGTGATCTGCCTGCCTTGGCCTCCCAAAGTGCTGGGATTATAGGTGTGAGCCAGTAAAATATTTTGGAATAATGCAGCATATATCTTGTTATTTATAAACGTTATTTATGTGCTATATTTTGTATATTAAATACTAGAAATTTAATTCTTGCTTTTTAGATAAAAATAAGTATAAATGGACATTAATTTTTTTCTTTATGCCTCAACTATCTTGCATATTTCTTGGGGTATATAGCCTTTTCATCCCCACTTCATTTTAGAAATCATAAATGTAGGCCTTTCTCTAGCCTGTAGGTAAAGAACTACATAGTCTTTAAGAGACAAATGGGGGATATAAAAAGCTTAGATACATTCAGTCTCTCCTTAGAGTATAATGAGAGATAACTGTACACAGTAGTTGATTTTTATTAATAGATTATGTATCTCTGTTTTATTTCAGGGGTTAATTTTCAAGTTTTGGATGGTTCTCCCTCTTTGAGTTACCATTTGTTTCTGCTTATAACCTACTGATCATGCCTTTAGTACTAAGTAAATATTGAAAAGGGAAAGCCTTAGGTGGCTTGCGAAGGCTCTGATGTAAATATGTGTTGCTGAGACGGGGAAGTGAAGGTGTTGGATTATGCATGACTTTCACATGTGTTCTTATACCACATTCATGCCCCCTCAGGTGAGTTAAGTAAAACTGGTTACTTAGTATCAAGGTATAATAAGGTCTCAGAACTTTGAGTCACTCTTTTCATTGACTGTCATAGATTCCATTTTAAGCTCTGTTTATTGAAGACTATCACTATGTTATTCTCATTGTTAATCTTATTCCTGAGGCACCAGTAATCCAAGTGATTAGATTATCCTTAATGTTACAGCAAGGAAAAATTTTCAACAATGTTAATATTAAATGAACTTGCATTAAATATCATTGTCACATGAATTCTAGGTCTTGCTATCATGTTCTGCATTCAATTAAATAACAGAAG
The DNA here is from genome assembly GCF_000001405.40 of Homo sapiens. NCBI lineage: Eukaryota > Metazoa > Chordata > Mammalia > Primates > Hominidae > Homo > Homo sapiens. The sequence continues at coordinate 17,484,267 of NC_000005.10, forward strand.
GCAAGTCAAAGAAGCCCATATCAAACATGGACCAATTTTTACATTGAAGTATTAAAATCTATTTTCTTTAATACTTAGTATGATGTTAATTAGAGGCCAATATAATAAAATGTAAATTTATTTTTATTTTCTCAAAAAATAAAGAAAACCCATCAAAGGAATGCTTCAACTACTTGATTCAAGTACAGACTAATATCTTCATATGCAGTGAAGTGCTGCCAAGTTCTCAGATTCTTTTAGGACCTTTGATTTTGTACCAGCAAAATCAGAATTAGGAAAGAAATGTTGAGAAGGCAAATTGCTTAGAATTTGAGTAATTCTAAGTTTAACATTTATATTAATTTGTTGAACTGAGAAGTTGAGTAATTCTCAGTTTAGTAATTAATGGCATAAATAAAGTATGGGGGGCATTGGTCTTTAATCTTTAAAAGTTTTAAAATCTTTATAGTCCTCATATATTTTTATGTAGACATCTAAGTTTTCATTACGAGTTTAAACAGTTGCAAAAGATGTTTGACATATTGCAAATTCTGTTATTTAAAGATAAAATAACTAGATCATTATTTTAAATATGTTCACCATAATGGCAATAATATAGTAATTTCATATCTGCTACCAAATATTTTAAAATATATGAAAGCTCTTTAAAAGTCAGGTATTTTAGTGTCTACTTTATCTTCTGAACTAATTTTATGCTTTTTACCCATCTTAATTTTCTCCAAATGTGATACATATTTTTGTGCTTGAAATAATTTTATCCCTTACATGCTTCTCTGCAACCTGTGTATACATATATGTATATAATATAAAAATTGAAATAAATATTTCCATATTCCCCTTACCAGCCCAGTTTATCCTCAGAGTACCTGATAAACGACTTGTTGCTGAATCAGTGGGGGATTTTTGCTCCGACATTTAAGTTGTCTAACACGCAACTTCATAAAATGTCAAATTTTCAGAGAAAATATGTTCTTTATTATTGTGAAATGCAAACATTCAGAATATCTGAGGCAGACAGAATTCTGAAATGTCCCATGCATTTCCTGCCCCTCAGTGGCACGCCCCGCATCTGCCCCTCCCCTGAGTGTGGATGAAACCATGAAATTAATGTGCCTATAAATCCCTGATTAGGTTAGGAATACCCTGAAACAATGGACATTAAGTACTGGGTATAATTCAATCATCTGAGTTATCATAATGAGAGATAAGTGTATACAGTAGTTGATTTTTATTAAAATATTATGTATCTCTGTTTTATTTCAGGGGTTAATTTTCAAGTTTTGGGTGATTTCCCCTCTTTGAGTTGCCATTTGTTTCTGGTTACAACCCCTGAAATAACAGCGCTCTCCAGCCAGAGGGAGATTTGCCCCCCTTCCCCCATGCAGGAGATTCTCCTGTGGCGGCTCTGCAGATCCAGGGAGCCCCACGACCAGACCTGGGAGAAATTTTGGAAGCTGAGAGCATCCTCACAGCAGCAGGCAGAACAGACAAGTGGGCCTGGGTCTCACAACCCTAAGGCATTGAATTCCACCATGGAATCAGATCACAGCCAGACCTTTCCCAGGTCAAGGCAACGTCCACGCAGCCAGGCCCACCCTAGAGGTCCATTGTTCGACCTTGAGCAGGAGGCAGTCACTTGGCCTAGTGGGACTTCTGACCTGTGAGCTGGGGTTTGATTTAAATATCCAAAATTGGTGAGAACTTATTATGCATTGATCTAAAACTAATATACTCTCCATCCACAAGTTTCTTCACATTGTGGAAGTGAGAAAAACCAGTGTGTGTGTTTGTGTGTGGGAGTGGGAGGCAGGGAGCTGTGTCCAGTTGTGGCTAAACTATGGCTCAGCAGAAACACAGCAGCCAAAATCTTTGAAAGGTTCTCATTGCAGATCCATAATCAAACCACCCCAGCCAGAACAATTTCTGCCTCTACAGCGCTGTCATGGAGCAGACCTGAATCTCACCCATGGAGACAGGCAGGCAAGCAGGTGTGTCTGCTGAGATGTTCGCCATGCCCCGAGGTCTGAAAGGCAGCAACAAGGATGGGATCCCTGAGGACCTAGATGGGAACTTGGAAGAACCCAGGGATCAGGAAGGTGAGCTCAGGAGTCAGGATGTCATGGACCTCACAGAAGGTGACAAAGAAACCTCAGCCTCAGCTCCTCCTGCAGCCAAAAGGCTGAAAACAGATACCAAAGGAAAGAAGGAGAGGAAGCCCACTGTGGATGCAGAGGAGGCTCAGAGGATGACAACCCTGCTGTCTGCCATGTCTGAGGAGCAGCTGGCCCGCTACGAAGTGTGTCGCCAGTCAGCTTTCCCAAAAGCACGCATTGCAGCTCTGATGCAGTCTATCACTGGCAGTTCGGTGTCTGAGAACGTGGCCATTGCCATGGCTGGAATAGCCAAGGTCTTGGTTGGAGAGGTGGTGGAAGAGGCCCTGGACGTGTGTGAGATGTGGGGAGAAATGCCCCCGCTGCAGCCCAAGCATTTAAGGGAGGCTGTTCGCAGGTTAAAGCCCAAGGGCCTCTTCCCCAACAGCAACTACAAAAAATTCATGTTCTAGGCCCAAGGCCAGAGGGAAAGGTCTGTTTGTGCAGGAATAAGTATTGCATCCAGTCTGCTATGATAGGACTATGTTTGCTGGAGCTTCTGCATCTGTCTACCCTGGATTTAGCCACAATCTTTCTCATTGTTTCATAATGTGACATTGTTTCATAATCACCTTGACTAAATATTTGGGTCGCCTAGAACATATTGAGTCATTTTTATGTGTCTTCCTAGTTGGAAGAAGAAAGATGCATGGGTCTTGATCATCCTGTAGACAGATAGCTGCTTTCAGAGAGGGAAATCCCTTCTAAGAGTCTTGTATGGTTTCATACTGAAGCCTGGAGTTGCTGTGTCTTAGCTTGTGTGCTGGGTTTCAATAAGTGAAGCCTCCGAAAACTTTTCCCTAGTGATATTCTGCCCTGAAATCTGTGCCTGAGCAGGGGCACTGGAATTGTTGTCCTTGTATGTATTTTAAATTCTGGTATGGATTTTGGTGACTCATCTTAAAAACAGTTAAACTGTTTTCCAACCTGCAGAAATAAAGATAAAATCACAAAGCATTTTTTTCTCTCATTTGACTGTTCTCATATTCCTACCTACTGTGCTTTATGTCAGCCAGTGATCCTTTACATTATTATAAAGTAACATAATACAGGAGCATCTTATAAGACTAGAGTGACAGAAACAGAATCCAAATACCACCTTTCTGCAAAGACCCATTCGTAATGATCATCTAAGCAGTTTAAAAGACACAGATAGAAAGAGTGTATTGATAGTTCAGGTTTGCTGTGGTGCTTCTGTAGGTACCCAAATTTAGTTCAAAACATTGCTTTAGAGTATTCTTTTTTTTTGAGATGGAGTCTCACTCTATCGTCCAGGCTGGAGTGCAGTGGCACGATTTTGGCTCACTGCAAGCTCTGCCTCCCAGGTTCACGCCATTCTCCTGCCTCAGCCTCCCGAGTAGCTGGGACTACAGGTGCCCACCACCATGCCTGGCTAATTTTTTTGTATTTTCAGTAGAGACAGGGTTTCACCATGTTAGCCAGCATGGTCTCGATCTCCTGACCTCGTGATCTGCCTGCCTCAGCCTCCCAAAGTGCTGGGATTACAGGCGTGAGCCACTGCGCCCAGCCTAGAGTATTCTTGATTTTATTCATTCTACCAGTGATCCATTCAGAAAATCAAACCCGAGTACAGCAACAGAGGAAAAGAAGTTATTAAAATACCAGACAAAGTAGGTTCATCATGAGTTACAAAGTTATTCCACACTCCACTTGTTCATACTCTATGTTACCTTCTCTGTGGAAAAGGGTACTTTTTCATCATAGACTAAAGACCTGAGATTTATTATGGAATCACTGTGAACCTTCCCAGCACAGCTCACAGATATCCACGGTGCTACTTCAGTCTGTTTACCTTTGCCATGTGCCCCCTGAATCACAGAGTATAAGCAAAAAGATCTAAAAGCCCCCACAGTTCAGTCTCTCACATTGAGTGGAGAATAACATCTATTCTTTCTTCTTGAAGCCAAAGATACCTCCACAAAATGTTGTTTTATTTCCTCATACACTCAAGCTTTTGCTCTTAAAATAGAACTTATTGTACATAGAATCTATCTTTGGCTGAGCATTACATAAATTTCTACATTTTACCAAGCATGGGGAAATTCTGTTTCATACCTCCATATTCTGACATTGTTTAGCTTTCATTTTATTTTACCAACTTCCATGTAAAGGCATATAACAAGTTAGACCAGTGTGTCTTAGAGAGACACAAGCAGGGCACAGGTTCTTGGAAGAACTGGTGGAGATGGGAGGGCTCTCTCAGGAATTAAAGTGCTTGAGCAACCAAAAGAAGTAAGATCCAAGAGACTCATTGTCTCCCAGTCGTTAGATTGCTCTCAGCTCATTCCTTTCCCATGGCGTTGAGGAGTCTTGGGAGCTGTGTTCTGGCAGACGTGGCAGGCCTAGCAGTCTCTTAACACTAGAGTAAAGAAAACCTGGCCCAAGTAGCCTGAAGTGGGGATGAGCCACTGCAGAGAGCAGTGACAGTGGTGATTGGACACACAAGCTTAGAACGTTTTTCCGGCCCCCCATAGAACTCAATGCTTTGAGTGGGGTCTGAGTAAAGCTGAACTGCTGAAAACAGAAACAAGTTCCCATCAAGATCTCAGAGGTCAGCTCAGGAGCAGCAACACAGCGCTGTTTCTCAAAGAGAAAAAATGGATTAGCTGGGAAGGTTCAGTGTCCCTACACATTCAAAATCTTCTCACTATGTAATATCATATAGCCACAGCTCTCGAGAAAGGAATCTGTAGAAGGTGGTATCTTTCTAGGCAAAATCTTTGTTAGCTTTCATGGCTGGTTGTATTACATGTTAATGACAATAAAGTTTTTCCTGGAGCTTCATCACTATTCTTAAAGTCTATCTGATAATGTGCCTTTGGAGACTGCCTAGAAAGATGTGGTGTCTGGTAAGGTGGTGATGAAATTTCTAACAAGTAAAGTGACTGTACTTGACTATTTTCAAAAATTCAATATTTTGGGATAAGCTTAACATCCTCACTGCCTGCCTTTGCCCCCACAAAAGTACTTAGCATATGCCCAAATAAAGTTTAAGCAATCTATCTCCACTATTCTCAAGCACATGATATCTAGGGTCTAGTCTTTAAAAGTACAAAGCAAAAAGTTTAAAAGTATAACTCACAAAAAGTTGTACCCAGACTGAAAAAGCTGAAATGATAAATTGATGGGTTTGTGTTTTTTACGGAAGAGAGTACAACGCAGAGTGCTAACATACATATATAGCAGGGCTCTTAGAAAATGAATGCAGTCAAATCTTTTGTAATAGTTTCTTAAGTAACATGAATATTAGAGAGACGATTCATGAAATTTTAAGCTAGTGTCATGTCTAGGAATATCAAGACATAGCTAGCATTTTGTAAAAAATATTTTTTTAAACAAATCTATTAATGAGATAGATAAGGTGTTTCTTTTTTCTAATTACTTAGTTTTTCTTAGTCACATATTCAAGGGAACATACTAATGTTTGGTAAAATGGTGTTGGTCAAATTCTACTTCTCACTTTCACCTACCGTGCCATATTCAACTATTGTAAGTACTGGAAATTCAAGTATTGTTCATTTTAATATACTTTCACCAAAGTAGTATTTTTTATGAGAAAGCCATAATCTCATCAGTAAGCCCTTTCTAACAGAAAATATGAACTAGTAACTGATTATCCAACAGAAAATCCGACAGAAAATATGAACAAGTAACTGATTATGAGAAGAAAAGAAAACCCAGAAATAATCCTAAGGCAGAGCAACTTCAGGCTTCAGTGTGAAACCATCGCAGTCTCTTGGGAGATGTTTCTCTCTCAAAGAAGCTGTCTGTTCAAAAGGTGCTCAGGGACCATGCACTTTTCTCCTTCTAACTAGGAAGATGTAGAAAAATGATTCAATTCACTCAAGGAAAGAGAAATATTTAGTCAAAGTGATTATGAAAAAGGCTGCTTCCATGATTTAGGTGAGACCATGTCAGAGTTTGAGGAAGATGTTAAAATTGAGGGTGAGTCCAGGGTAGACTGAGCTATGGAAGCTTCAGCACACAGTCTTCTGTCATGGGAAGATGGAGCCGGTACTTATTCCCTCAGGAACAGGATTACTTTTCTAGTCTTGGGCTGGAAATCACATAATTTTTTGGTACTTGATAAAAATGTGGCTCTTAAACTTGAATGTGCAGGCAGGCTTTCTCAGGGGCATCTCTTTTTCAAATCTCACACATGTCCAGAGCCTCTTCTACAACCTTTGTGTCCAAGGCCTTGACCATTCCAGCCATGACATTGACCACATTCCGGAATTTAGACCACCAGGGATGGACTGCATCAGACGCCCAATGGGTGCCTCTGACTCCCTTCAACACACAGATATACCACACTGGATTTTACCCACACTGCCTTTCATAGTGTGCATTGACTTGTAAATAGAGAATCTATTTAAATTGTAGAAAATGAAGTTTAATGTATTTTCATAGGAAACTAGCGGAAACATCACAGGAGACAGGGAACATTGAAAACACAGAGTTGCATACATAAAACCTCCAAGTATACCTGGAATCTATTGTTTCATAAAATGCAATAAACATCTTTTAGCTCAGATTAATAAGAAATTTATTTTGTTTACAGAACCCGTATGCAGACATAGTAAAGAAAAAAAAATAAGATTTCTTTATAATTTTATAGAGTTGAACTGAAACTCGCTCACAGAGACATTTCCACTTGACACTAGTACCTTGGGAGCCTCAAAGTAGATGAGACGTTTACTAACAAGCACACACAAACACAACTGCCACCTGATTTCTGCCTGCGTTTCCACTGGCAATCTTATGCTTAGCTACCTTTGGACCCCCGGAGGGAAAAGAAACCAAAACAGAACAAAACTTCTCACATCAGAACTACCAGTTACGGGGGAAGAGAAAAAAGAAAACACAAGCAAACAGAAAAGAAGTCCTCTAGAGTGCAAGGTTTCCCAGGAGCGTGGGCTCTCCGGCACCCTCTCCACGGAGGCGGCGGGCCAGCTGCATGTCTCGGGGCATAATTGTGACGCGCCTGGCATGGATGGCACACAGGTTGGTGTCTTCAAAGAGTTGCACCAGGTAGGCCTCGCTGGCCTCCTGCAGGGCGCCAATGGCCGCGCTCTGGAAGCGCAGGTCCGGGCTGATGGCCTGGGCGATCTCACGCACCAGACGCTGGAAGGGCAGCTTGCGCAGGAGCAGCTGCGTGGACTTCTGGTACTTTCTGATTTCCCGCAGCGCCAGGGTGCCAGGCTTGTAGCGGTGAGGCTTCTTGATCCCTCCTGTAGGCGACGCCCTTTTTCTGGCGGCTTTGGTGGCCAGGGGCTTCCTGGGGGCCTGCCAGGCGGTGGCTTTGCGGGCGGTCTGCTTGGTGCGCGCCATGTTGTGGGGCCTTGTGCTCTCTCCTCTCTGAGGCTGAGCCTGGCCTGCTGCAGGCAGTACTGGCGTCAGAAAACAAGGGCAGTGGTGCTGTGGACAGGATTCAGAGAGCCTGTGAGTTGAGATCCATGCGCAGGACTCTCCCACACACTTAACCCCTGCCAACCCAACCCCACACTTACCAGCTCTCAGGTCTGTGGGTCGGAGGCCGGGCTGCTTAGTCTTCCCGGAAGGTCTTGGGTTTCCTTGGTCTACCCAGCAGCAGCCAGGAGTCTCCCTCGCAGGCAGTCTGTTTCTGACTGGAGATCTCTGTGGTCTCAGTAAAGCCCTGCCTCTTATAAGGAGCTCAGATGATTGCATTAGACTCACCCAGCTCCCTTCCATTGTACTCACTGCTTCACTAGACTCTCAACCTCGTCAGCGCTGTGAAAACCCAATTTGAGTCCCTGGGTTCTGCACACACCCCAGAGAGGGAGGAACCTCTGCCGTGTGCATCGTGGGAGGGATGGTAGGTGTGAGTTAGAAAAAATTCTGGGTGCCAAGGAGATTCTGAAAGTTTACATTTCACGACCATCATGGAAGTCATTACAATGAAAAAGACATTTGAATAAAGTTGTATGTTACCCGACATCGGTGACTGCTGCAAAACACCAAGGGTGCGATCATGAGGTGTCTCTCAGGTTCCCTGAGGATGAGGTGAAACGGGGAGGGAAATATGGAAAACCTAAATGATCACTCCTCTAACAGGGATGCTCCTGGGGGCATTTTTCTCCCCCAAAGTGACATTCATGGGAATCTGCGGTAGCCTTCAGGCAAAGTTGTGGCTTTTTGATCAAATGGTCCTATGTGCCTGTCACTGAGGCTCTCTGGCTCTTTTTTTTTTTTTTTTAACCTTGGTACCAGTAACAGTATATTGTTAACTATAGTCACCACGTTGTACAATAATTCTTGAGCTTGTTCCCCCATGTAACTGACGTGTTGTGTGTTTTGACCAACATCTCCTCAAATTCCCCATCCCCAGCCACCACAGCCCCAGACGACCATCTTTCTTATATTTTTGCGTCTATCAGATTAACTTTGTGAGATTCCAGGTATCATGGAGACCATGTAGTGTTTGTATTCTTATGCCTGGCTTATTTCACTTAGCATGATGTTCTCCAAGTGCACCCATGTGTACACAAAGGACAAGATTTCCTTCTTTAAGGCTGCATAGTATTCCCTTGTGTATGTATATCGGATTTTCCTCATCCTGTTATCTGCTTTTTGACATTTAGGTGGATTCCCTATCTTAGGTCTTGTAAATAGCACTGCAATGAACAGGGGAGTATAGATATCTCTTCAATAGACTGATTTCATTTCCTTTTCATATACACTTCCCAGTGTGGGATTGCTGGATCATATGGTAGCTGTATTTATGTAGTTTTTGGAGGAAGTTCCATACTGTTTTCTAGAATGGCTCCCTAATTTACATTCCCAGGAATAATACAAGGGTTCGCTTTCCTCCACATCCTCAACAAGTGTTGTCCTTTGATGTTTTGATTGCAGCCATTCTAAAGAGTGTGAGGTGATGCCTTCTTTTAGTTTTTATATGCATTTCTCTGAAGATTGGTGACATGGAGCATATATATATATATACATGCCTGCTGGCCACTTGTATATCTTCTCTCCTGAGATGTCTATTATTTAGGTCCTTTGCCCAGTTTTAAAATTGTGTTGTTTCTTGCTGTTGAGTCCTTTGAGTTCATGGTATATTTTGAACAGTAACTAATTAATGCCTTATTGGATATAGTGTTTGCAAGTATTTTTTCTCACGATGATTTTGTCTCTTCATGGTGTTAATTATTTCTTTTACTGTGCAGAATTTTTTTTTCATTTGGATGCAATCCATTTGTCTATTTTCCCTTTTGCTGCCCATGTGTTTGGGACATATTTCAAAAATTATTGGCTTAACCAATGTCAATGAGGATGTCCCCTGTTTTCTTCTAGTAGGCTCATAGTTTAAAGTTTTGACTATATTTTGGTTGATTCTTGTGTATGGCAAGAGATTAGGGCCCAATTTCATTTTCCTGCCTGTAGATACCCAGTTTCCTATCACCACTGATGGAAGAGACTGTCCTTTTGTCATTGTGTGTTGTTGGCACGTTTGTAAAAATGTAATTGGCTGTACACATTTGGAGGGATTTCTGGGCTCTCTGCTCTGTTCCATTGGCTTTGATTTCTGTTTTGATGCCATTCTTATGCCATTTTTGTTCCTACAGCTTGATAGAATACTTTGAAGCAAGGAAGGCATGGATTTTTTTATTTTCTCTATGGTTTGCCCTATGACAGCACCACTCAGACAGATGTCAAAGAGATATAGATTTTTTTGCTTTTTCAGCTTTTTACTGATTGTTAAGACAGAGTAATGACATGGAATCTTTTTTTATGGGCCATCCTGAAAACTGGAACTCCATTTTATTGTTGCTATACATTTGTTACAGTTTATCTTATATTCAAGATATATGATCAATTACTTGTTCATATAATGACAAATAGGGTTCAGTTATACAAAATATTTAATGTTCAAATCCTACAGAGAGAGCAAATTTTGTTTTTAATTTCTGTATTTCTTAATCATTTGAAAAATAAAGTAAAAATGGAATATTATCTAAAATAAAATATATTATTATTATATGCATTTCCATTTTAGAGAAGGACAAAACAGAGATCAGTATGTTATTTCAGTCATAAACAAAGGTTACCTTGGGACCAGTTCTTTGGAGGTGAAGGTGTGGAAATGAATGCAGAAGTTAGACAGGGTTTCTTTGGTCTGCGTTTCTCTGTCTAGATTTCCATATGGCTCCTAGAGTGTGTTACCATTCTAACATCCTCAAAGATTGCTCTCTGACATGAAGCAATTTGGGCCAGAACGTGAAAAAAATCATTGTAGAGGAAAATCTGGTATTTAATTTAATTTTTATTTTTGCAAGTTCAAAACTGTTGATTCCCTGGGCAAAGTTATGAAAAGTATAAATGTTTATAAGGGGAACTATTCCAATGCTTTTAGAAAGCCAGGGCCTTCAGGAAAAAGTATTATAAGGGACGACTCTGTTGTATCTCCTACAAATCATATAGGAGCAAAAACATCCTAAGTCATAGCAACTTCAGAATTCAGTGTGATTTCATCACAGTCTCTGAAAAGAGTTTCTTTTCTCTTTGTAAAAACAGCTCCCCATTCACAGGATTCTCGAGGCTAATGCACCATTCTTCTCTCAACCAGGAAGCACCAGAACAATGCCTGAGCATGCGTGGACCTCAGAGCTCCAAATATGATGGTGATGATTGTTACTAATTTTGAGACAGGGTCTCACTCTGTTGGCCAGGTGTGAGGGCAGTGGCGCCATCTCTGCTTACTGCAACCTCCACCTCTGAAGCGCAAGCAATTCTCCTACCACACACTCCAGAATGAGTAGGTGAAACAGCAGGAACTAGTGACCACGCCCAGCTAATTTTTTTTTTTTTTTTTTTTTAAAGAGAGGCAGTCTGGAACTCTAGTTCAAGTGATTTGCCAGGTCGGCCACCCAAAATGCTGGGATAACAGGAATAAGCCACTGTGCACGGTCTGAGATACAAATATGATTGAAAGGGATGATCAAACAGGCTGCTGCCTTCATCTGGGTGTAACCAATGTAAGATGTAAGAAAGATGTTAAATCACGGGTAAGTCCAGGATGGGCTGAGATACTGAAGCTCCAGCATAGAAAGTGTGCTCTCATAGAAAGACTAGAAGCAGTACTTTCTCCTCTAAAATCAGGCCTTTCTATCTGGGCTGGGATCTGGAGGAAGATGGGGTTTTTTTTTTTTTTCTCGATGTTGGGGTAATGGGCCCTGGGCTGTCCCCTGTGAAAGGCTTGGGCTGCAGCAGGTGCGTGTCTCCCCACATCTCACACATCTCCAGTGCCTCTCCTACCAGCTCCCAGACCAAGACCTGGGTCATTCCAGCCATGGCTACGGCCATGACCACGTTCTAGGACACTGAACTGCTGGTGATGGACTGCATCGGACTTCTAAAGGCTGCCTCTCTCCCTTTTCCACCCACAAACAGACCTACACTGGTTTTTCTGCCTCCCGTAATGTGAAGCGACTGTGGATAAAGAGTATTTTCACATTTTAGAAAGTAGAGATCAATGTTTGTTCATAGCAAACCAGCAGGAGCAGTCTGTGAAACACGGAGCTGCATATAGAAAAAGTTAAAGTGTGGATCCCATCTACTGTTTGATCAATTGCAGGAGACACTGTCTATTTGGCACCTATACGTTTACTTGGTTTTCAATAATATTAAGGAACACATTTCTCCACAATTGTTCTTGATGTGAAATGCAGAAACGTGTTCACTGAGACATTTCCACAAATGTATTAGACCCTCAATGTAGATTGAAAGTTTACAAACAAAACAAATTGAAACACAGTCACTACCTGTGATTTCTGCTTCTGTTTTTATTCCCAATCATATGCTTAGCTACTTTTTGACCCTATGCGAGAAACGATACTAACTCTGAACAGAACTTCTAACATCATATCTATCATTAACAGAGAGAAAACACAACACAACAAAAAAGAAACCATTAACAGAGAAAAACACAACACAACACAAAGGAACCATTTGCAATGCAAGATTTCCCAGGAATGTGGGCTCTTAAGCACCCTCTCCATGGAGGCTGTGGGCCAGCTGCATGTCTCTGGACATAATTGGGAAGCTCCTGGCATGGATGACACACAGTTTGGTATCTTACAAAAGTTCCGATGTAAATGTGTTGCTGGAAAAGAGGGGTTTCACCATGTTGTCCAGGCTGGTCTTGAACTCCTGACCTCAGGAGATCCACCCACCTCGGCCTCCCAAAATGCTGAGATTACAGGCATGAGCCACCATGCCAGACCAGTAATTTCATATCTTCTACCAACAATTTTTGAATAAACAAAAACTCTTTAAAAGTCAGATATTTGAGTGCCTGCTTTATCTTCTGAAGTACTTTTTATGCCATTTCTCAACATAATTTTCCCTAAATGTGATTTATGTCTCTGTGCATGACATAATTTTATGTCTCTTTGGTGCTTCCCTGTGACCTATGTATACATATACATGTAATATATAAATTGAAGTCTGGGCACAGTGGCTCATGCCTGTAATCACTTCACTTTGAGAAACCAAGAGGGGCTGATCACTTGAAGTCAGCAGTTTAAGACCAGCCTGGCCAAAATTGTGAAACCTCCTCTCTACTTTAAAAAATACAAAAATTATCGCAGCTTGGTGGGGTGCACATTTAGTCCCAGCTACTCTGGAGGCTGAGGCAGGAGAGTTGCTTGAGTCCAGGAGGCAGAGGCTGCAGTGAGCTGAGATCAGGGCACTGCAATCCAGCCTGGGGGACAGAGTGAGACTCTGTCTCAAAAATAAATCAATAAAATAAGATAAAATAAAATTGAAATAGTATTTTCATATTCCCCTCACCCAGCTCATTTTATTTTCAGAGTATTTGATAAAACACTTGTTTCCCTGTGAGTTAGAGATTTTTTTCTCAGACATTGAAGTTTTCTAATGTGCAACTTCATAAAACATCTCGTTTTTACTGTAAATAGTTTCTTTATTGTTGTGAAATGTGAACTTTGCGATTCTGTGAGGAAAACTGAATTCTGAAAGGCCCCCTGCATTTCCCACCACTCAGAGACTCGCCCTGCATCTGCCCCACCTTAAGTGTGGGCAGAACCATGAATTGATGAGCCTGCCCAAATCCCTGATAAGGTTAGGGATACCCTGAACCATTAGCTGTTAAGTGCTGGGTCTAATTCAATCATCTGAGCTCTTTATAAGGGACTGAACCTCCCTGAGATTACATTCCCCTGTGGGAGATCCCTCATCACTGGCTGTGCAGACCCAGGGAGCCTCACAGCCCAGACCTGGGCAACACGTGTAGGAGCTGAGAGCATCCTCACGGCAGCAGGCAGAACAAACAAGTGGGCCTGGGGCTCACTACCCTAAGGCATTGAATTCTGCCACCAACTTGAATCAGATCGAAGCCAGACCCTTCTCAGGTGAAGGCAATGACCACACAAACAAACCCATCCTGGAAGTCCCTCTTGTGACTCTGAGCAGGAGGCAGTCACTTGGCCTAGTAGAACTTCTGACCTGTGAGCTGGTGTTTGTTTTAAATATCCAAAATTGGTGAGAATTCGTTCTGCATTGATCTAAAATTAATATACGCTCCATGCACAAGTTTCTTCACATTGTGGAAGTGAGAAAATTCGGTGTGTGTGTTTGTGTGTGGGAAGGTGAGGCCGGGAGCTGTGTCCAGTTGTGGCTAAACTATGGCTCAGCAGAAACACAGCAGCTAAAATCTTTGAAAGGTTCTCATCGCAGATCCATAATCAAACCACCCCAGCCAGAACTTCTGCCTGTACAGCTGCTGTCACGGAGCAGACTTGAATCTCACCCATGGAGACAGGCAGGCAAACAGGTGTGTCTGCTGAGATGTTCGCCATGCCCCGAGATCTGAAGGGCAGCAAGAAGGATGGAATCCCTGAGGACCTAGATGGGAACTTGGAAGAACCCAGGGATCAGGAAGGTGAGCTCAGGAGTGAGGATGTCATGGACCTCACAGAAGGTGACAATGAGGCCTCAGCCTCAGCTCCTCCTGCAGCCAAAAGACGGAAAACAGATACCAAAGGAAAGAAGGAGAGGAAGCCCACTGTGGATGCAGAGGAGGCTCAGAGGATGACAACCCTGCTGTCTGCCATGTCTGAGGAGCAGCTGTCCCGCTACGAAGTGTGTCGCCGGTCAGCTTTCCCAAAAGCATGCATTGCGGGTCTGATGCGGTCTATCACTGGCAGATCGGTGTCTGAGAACGTGGCGATTGCCATGGCTGGAATAGCCAAGGTCTTTGTTGGAGAGGTGGTGGAAGAGGCCCTGGACGTGTGTGAGATGTGGGGAGAAATGCCCCCACTGCAGCCCAAGCATTTAAGGGAGGCTGTTCGCAGGTTAAAGCCCAAGGGCCTCTTCCCCAACAGCAACTACAAAAAAATCATGTTCTAGGCCCAAGGCCAGACGGAGGGGTCTGTTTGTGCAGGAATAAGTACCGCATTCATCTTCCAATGACAGGACTGCCTTTGCTGGAGCTTCTGCATCTCAGTCCCACCTGGATTTACCCACCATCTTAGTGTCTTAAAATGTGAAGTTGCCCTTACCTGGATGAAGACAGCAGATTGTTTCATAGGAGCCTTGGCTAAATGTTTGGGCCTCCAAGGGCATATTCAGGCATTTTTCTATACCTTTCTAGTTGGAAGAATAAAGGTGCCTGGGCCTTGAGCATCCTGTGGACAGGGAGCTGCATTCAGAGAGGGAAGCCCTTTCCAGGAGATTTGTATGGATTCATGCTGAAGCCTGGTGTAGCTGTGTCTTAGCTTGTATGCTTATGTCTGGGTTTCAGTAAGTGAAGCCTCCAGAAATGTTTCCCAATTGTTGTCCTTCTCTGATTTTCAATGCTCATATGTATTTTTGTGAGTCATCACAAAAACAGTTAAACTCTTTTCCAAACTGCGGAAATAAAAATAAAATCACAAAGAATTTTTTTCTCTAAGTTGACTCTTCTATTCCTGCTTACTGTGCTTTATGTCAGCAAGTGACCCTTTACTTTATTATAATGTAATATAGTATAGGTGCATCATGGAAGACTAGAGAGAAACCAATTCCAAAACCACCTTTCCTCAAGCCGCCATTTGTAATGATCATATGTGCAGTTTCAAAGACACAGAGAGAGCCTATTGATACTTCACGTTCGCTACACATGGTGATTTTACCAGTGCTTCCGGAGACACTGAAATTTAGTTCCAAACATTGCCTTAGAGGATTCTTGATTTTATTCATTCTACCGATGATCCACTCAGAAAATCAAACCTGAGTACAGAGACATTGGAGAAGTTGTTAAAGTATCGGACCAAGTAGGTTCATCACGAGTGACAAAGTTATTCCATACTCTACTTGTACATACTCTGCTTTACCTTTATGATGGAAAAGAGTAATTTTTTGTTATCGAATAAAGACCTGAGATTTATTATGGAATCACCGTGAACCTTCCCAGCACATACAGCTCACAGATATCCACGGTGCTGTTTCAGTCTGTTTACTACTGCCATGTGCCCCCTGAGTCACAGAGTATAAGCAAAAAGGATGGAAAAGACCCCATAGTTCAGCTGTAATATTGAATGGAGAATAACATGTACTCTTTCTTCCTGAAGCCAAAGACACTCCCGTAAAATATAGTTTTATTTCTTCATACACTCAGCTTTTGCTCTTAAAATAGGACTTATTTTACACAGAATCTGCCTTTGAGTATTACACAAATTTCTCAACTTTACCGAGTATGGGGAAATTGTTTCATACCTCCATATTCTGACATGGTTTAGCTTTCCTTTCATTTTACCAACTTTCTTGTAAAGGCATCTAACAAGTTAGACCAGTGTGTCTTAGAGACACAAGGAGGGTACAGGTTCTTGGAAGAACTGATGGAGATGGAAGGGCTCTCTCAGGAATTAAAGTGCTCGAGCAACCAAAAGAAGTATGATCCAAGAGACTTAATATCTCCCAGTCTTTAGGTTGCTCTCAGCTCATTCCTTTTCCATGGCACTGAGCAGTCTTGGAAGCTGTATTCTGTCAGATGTTGCAGGTCTAGCACTTTCTGAACAGTAGAGGCAAAGAGAACCTGGCCCAAGCAGGTTGGTCTGCTGAGGTGGAGACAAGCATCTGTAGAGAGCAGTGCTGATGGTGATTCCACACACAAGGTTAGAACATTAGAACATTTTTCTGGCCCCTCATAGAACTCAATAGTCTGAGTGGGGTCTGAGTAAAGCTGAACTGCTGAAGACAGAAACAAGTTCCCATCAAGGTCTCAGAGGTCAGCTCAGGAGCAGGAACACAGCTTTGTTTTCTCAGAGAGGAAAATTGGATTAGCCGAGAAGGTTCAGTGTCCTTACAAATCGTTTTTTTTACTTTCAGTTTTGGGATCCATGTGCAGAATGTGCAGGTTTGTAACAAAGCTTTACATGTTCCCTAGTGGTTTGCTGCACCTATCAACCCATCATCGAGGCTTTAAGCCCCGCATGCATTGCATATTTTTCCTAATGCTCTCCCTTCCCTTGCCTCCCACCCCCTGACAGGCCACGCTGTGTGATGTTCCCCTCTCTGTGTCCATGTGTTCTCATTGATCAACTCCCACTTATGAGTGAGAACATGTGGTGTTTGGTTTTCTGTTCCTGTGTTAGTTTGTTGAGAATGATGGTTCCAGTGTGACCTGTGTCACCGCAAAGAACACGAGCTCATTCTTTTTTATGGCTCTATAGTATTCCATGGTGTATATATGCCACATGTTCTTTATCCAGACCTTCACTGATGGGCATTTGGGTTGGTTCCACGTCTTTGCTATTGTAAACTGTGCCGCAATAAACATATATGTATGTGTTTTTATAGTAGAATGATTTATAATCCTTTGGGTATATACCCAGTAATGAGATTGCTGGGTCCAGTGGTATTTCTGGTTCTATATCCTTGAGGAATCGCCACACTGTCTTCCACAATGGTTGAACTAATTGACACTCTCACAGACATTGTAAAAGTGTTTCTATGTCTCCACGGCCTTGCCAGCATCTGTTGTTTCCTGACTTTTTAATAATCACATATGAAATCTTCTCAATATATAATACCATATAGCCACAGCTCTCAAGAAAGAAGTCTGTAGAAAATGGTATCTTTCCAGGAGAAATCTTTGACAGCTTTCATGGCTGATTGTATTACATGTTAATGACAATGAAGTTTTTCCTGGAGCTTCATTACTATTCTTAAAGTCTATCTCATAATGTACATTTGGAGACTGCCTAGAAAAATGTGGTCTCTGATTGGTGCTGGTAAAGTTGTGACAAGACACCTAACAAATAAAGTGACTGTACTTGACTATTTTCTATCATTTTCTATTTTGGGATAAGCTTAACATTCTCACTGCTTGCCTTTGCCCCCACAAGTAATTAGCATATGCCTAAATAAAGTTTAAGCAAGCTAGCTCCACTATTCCCAAGCACATATTATCTAGGGTCTAGTCTTTAGAAGTACAAAGCTTACAAGTACAACTACACAAAAAATTGTACCCAAACTACAAAGGCTTAAATGATCAATTGATGGATTTGTGTTTCCTATGGAAGAGGGTACCAAGCAGAGCCCTAATATACATACATAGGGGAGAAGAGAGCAGGGCTTTTATGGATGGTACACAGCTAGGTGACTTCAAAGAGGTGCACCAGGTAAGCCTCACTGGGCTCCTGCAGGGCTCCAATGGTAGCGCTCTGGAAGCGCAGGACCAGGATGATGGCCTAGGAGATCTTGCGCACCAGGCGCTGGAAGGGCAGCTTGAGGAGTAACAGCTGCGTGGACTTCTGGTACTTTCTGATTTCGCACATTGCCAGGCCTGTAGCGGTGAGGCTTCTTGATCCCTCCTGTAGGCAGTGCCCTTTTGCTGGCGGCTTTAGTGGCCAGGGTCTTCGTGGCGCCTGCCAGGCGGTGGCTTTGCTGGCTGTTGGCTTGGGGCATGCAGTGGCCTGGGGCTGTGGTCTCTCTCCTGTCCTTGGGCTGAGCCAGGTTAACTGGAGACAGCGCTGGTTTCAGACTGCAATGGTGGTGGGGCTGTGGACAAAAATCAGAGAGTCTGCGAGTTGAGATCCATGCAGAAGACTCTTCAGACACTTAACCCCTTCCAAGCCAGCCCCAGACTTACCAGCTCGCAGGTATGTGGGTCAGAGGTCCTGCTGCTCGGTCTCCCGGGGGTCCTGGGCTTCCTTGGTCTACACATCAGCTGTGGGGAATCTCCCTCCCCCCAGGCAGCCTGGCTCTGGCTGGACATCTGTGTAGTCTCAGCCAAGTCCAGCCTATTATAAGGGGCTCAAATGATTGCATTAGACCTATGCAGCTACCTTCCATTGCTCTCAGTGCTTGGCCAGACCCTCAACCTCATCAGGGTTGTGAAAACCCAATCAAGTCCTGGGTTCTCCATGCAGCCCTGGGAGGGCTGAACCTCTGGACTGTGCCTCATGGGAGAGATGATAGGTGAGAGTTAGCTAGAATCTAGGTGCCAAAGAGATCCCAAAAGTTTACATTTCATGATCATCATGGAAGTTACAATGAAAAAGACATTTCAATACAGTTGCACATTAGATGACTTCCGTGACTGCCGCAAAACACCAAGGGTGCCATCGTGAGGTGTCTCTCAGGTTCTCTGAGGATGAGTTGAAACCGGGAGGGATGGATGGAAAATCAAAAAGGTCACTCCTCTATTAGGGATGCTCCGGGGGACATGTTTTCTCCCCCAAAGTGATATTCGTGGAAATTTGGGGGTAGCCTTTGGGGGAAGCTGAGACCTTTTGATCAAATGGTCATATATGCCTGTCACTGAGGCATCCTGGCTCCTTTTTTTACTTTGACGCCAGGGCTGAGTCTTGTTTCCATTGCCCATTTTGGAAATGGCATGAGGCCCAGTGAAGGCCCTGAGTTCACTGAACCACTGAACCCAGGTCACAGCTGATACCTTCATATTTCTGGCTCCATGAGAAAAAATAAAGCAAACAAAAACAAACAAACAATCAAACAATACACATACAAAAGGCCCCTATTTTGGTACACTATTAACAGGCTTCTCTGATACTTGTAGTAGAAATTTAATACCCTTGTATGCAATGCACGGACCATGCACAGAACAGGAAATCCCATGACAATCAATACTCACAAAATAAGTTCATATTCCTGTTTTAAAAGGAGAGCTACTTTTGTAGAAAATCTTTAGGTTCACAGCAAAATCAGGCAGAAGGAGCAGAGATTTCCCACATCCTCTTTCCCCACATATGCATAGCCCCCTTCACTATCAACTTTCTGCTCCAGAGTAGTATGTTGGTTACAGTCATTCAACCTGCACGGACACAGCACTCTGACTCCAAGACCATAGCTCTCCTTAGGGACTCACTTGGGTGTTGTACGTTCTATGGACTCGAGCAAAGGTGTAATTACATGTATCCACCGTTATTGTATTCTGTGGAGTAGTTTTACTTCTGTACAAATGCACTGTGTCCCATCTCTGCACTCCCCCTTGACCCTTGGTCTCTTGCAACCACTCAACTATTGATTTATTTCTTTGTATTTAAAACAGACGCATCTCATTGTATATATTTCTTATGTACAAAATGCTGTTATAAAGTATGAACACATTGTCTAATATCTAAATTTGGTAACTGACAGCCATTACCTGACATATGTACTATTGTGGTGAGAATATTTCACATCCACGCTAATAGCATTTCTCAAGAATATGATCTATTGTTAAACCATAGTCACCATGTTGTAATATAGTCCTTGAGCTTATTCTCCCTATATAACTGAAATGTTGTGTATTTCGACAAACGTCTTCTCAATCCTTCACCCACAGCCACCCAGCCCCTGACAACCAGAATTCTTCTTTTTGACATCTATTAGATTAACTTTGTGAGATTCCACATATCATTGAGATGACGTGGTATTTGTCTTCCTACACCTGGCTTATTTCACGTAGCATGATGTTCTCCAGGTGCACCCATGTGTCACAAATGACAAGATGTCCTTCTTTAAGACTGCATAGTATTCCATTGTGCATGTATATCAGATTTACCCCATCCTGTCATCCAGTTTTGGACATTTAGGTGAATTCCATATCTTAGCTATTGTGAATTAACATGAGAGTGCAGATATCTCTTCAATACTGATTTCATTTCCTTTTGGTGTATACCTGGCAATGTGGGATTGCTGGATCATATGGTAGCTCTATTCTTTCCATTTTTGGAGGAATGTCCATCCTGCTTTCTATAATGGCTGTCCTAATTTACGTTCCCATGAATAGTGCAAGGGTTCCCTTTCCTCCGCATCCTCATTAACAAGTGTTGTCTTTTGACTTTTTGATCATAGACATCCTAATGAGTGTGAGGTGGTATCTTCTTTCAGTTTTAATTTGCATTTCTCTGATGATTAGTGATGTTGAGCATATATATGTATATACATACCTGTTGGCCACTGTATGTCTTCTTTTCAGAAAGGTATGTCATTTAGGTCCTTTGTCCGGTTTTAAATTGTGTTGTTTCTTGCTATTGAGTCATTTGAGTTCCTAGAGTATTTTGGACAGTAATTAATCCCTTATATGATGTAGGGTTTGCAAATATTTTCTCTCATTTTGATTTTGTCTCTTCATGATGTTTATTGTCTTGTCGGCTTTGCAGATTTTTTTTTTTTTAAGTTGGATGCAATCCATTTGTCTATTCACCCTTTTGTTGTCTGTGCTTTTGGGTCATATTCCAAAAGTTTTTGGCTTAACCAGAGTCAATGAGAATGTCCCCTGTTTTCTTCTAGTTGGTTTATACTTTCTAGTTTTTAATTTATTTGGATTTATTCTTGTGTACAGTAAGATATAGGGGTCCAATTTCATTTTTCTTCATGTGGCTACCAGGTTTTCCTATCACCATTGTTGGAAGAAACTGTGGTTTTGTGGTGGTGGGTTGTTGGCACCCTTTTAAACTATCATTTGGCCGTATATGGATGGACTGATTTCTAGACTCTCTGCTCTGATCCAGTGGCTTAGGTCTCTGTTTTTATGCCAGTGTTATGAAATTTTGGTTCCTACAGATTGATAGCATACTTCAAAGACAGAAAACCATGAAATCTTTTTATTTTCTCTTTGTATTTGCCTCTGACATCATCACTCAGAGAGATTTCCAAGGAGATATTGATTCTTTGCTTTTTTAGTTTTTTTTTATGATTGTGAAGATAGAGTGATGACATGGAATTTCCTTAGGAGTCACCCCAAAAACTGGAACTCCATTTTATTTTTGATATATATTTATTACTGTTTATCTTATATACATGGTATTTGGCAATTGCATGTCAGTATAATTACAAATAGGCTTCAATTACACAAAATATTTAATGCTCAAATCCTACAATGAGAGGACATTATATTTTAATACAATAATCTGCAAAATAAACTAAAAATAAAACATCACATAGTATAATAATATAGTTATTATATGCATTTCTGTTTTAGACAAGCATGAAACACACATCAATATGTTATTTCAGCCATTAATATAGGTTACACTGGGACCAGCTCTTTGGAGGCAAATGTGTGGAAACGAATGAAGAGATTAGACAGGGTCTCTGGGGTTTGTGTTTCTCTGTGTAGTTTTTCATGCAGCTCCTACAGTGTGTTACCATCCTAACATCATGAAAGATCACTCCGTGACATAAAACAATCTTGGTCTGAATGTGAAAAAACCCATTTTAGAGGAAAAACTAATTTTTAATTTCATTTTTATTTTTGCAAGCTGAAAAACGGTTGATTTCCCAGGAAAAGTTATGGAAAAGTATTAAATGTTTACAAGGTAACTCTTCCAGTGCTCTTAGAAAGCTCGGGACCTTCTGGATAGAGTATTGTAAGGGAAGACTTACTGTTTGTTTTATCTCTTTAAAATCACATTTGAGCAAAAACATCCAAAGTCATAGCAACTTCAGGATTCAGTGTGAATCCACCATAGTCTCTTAAAAGGATGTCTTTTTTCTCTATCTGAAAACAGCTCCCCGTCCACAGGATGCCCAAGGCCCATGCACCTTTCTTCCTCCAACTAGGAAGACCCAGAAAAGCACCCACTCATGCATGGACCTCAGAGAACCAAATATAATGACAATGATTGTTAGTTTTTTGAGACAGAGTCTTACTCTGTTGGCCAGGTGGAAGGGCAGTGATGTCAATTTGGCTCCCTTTAACTTCCACCTCC
Source organism: Homo sapiens (assembly GCF_000001405.40). Lineage (NCBI taxonomy): Eukaryota > Metazoa > Chordata > Mammalia > Primates > Hominidae > Homo > Homo sapiens. Next base: position 17,506,621 of record NC_000005.10, read on the forward strand.
ACAGCTCAATCAGTCCTTCTACCTCAGCCTCCAAGTAGGTGAAAGCACAGGCACCAGCAACCACAACCAACTAATTTTTTTTTTTGAAGGGAGGTTTTGCCAAGATTCCTGGCCTAGACAGGAACTCCTGAGCTCAACTGATCTGCTGCCCTTGGCCACCCAAAGTGCTGGTTTTACAGAGATGAGCCATTGTGGCTGGTCTGAGATATAAATATGATTGAAAGGGATTATGAAACCGGCTGCTGCCTTCATCTGGGTGAGACCAATATCTTCTGAGAGGAAGATGATTATTTTATTTTATTTTTGTACTGGATGTTGGGGAAGCGGCACCTGGGCTGTCCTGTATGTAAGGCCTTTTTCTAATGCCCGGGGTGTAACAGGGGCATTTTCCCACATCTCACACATGTCCAGAGCTTCTCCTACCACCTCCCCAACAAAGATCTGTGTCATTACAGCCATGTCCATGGCAGTAACCTGGTTCTAGGACACTGACCTGCACCTGACGGAATGCATCAGACTTCTACAGGGTGCCTCTATCCCTTTCCCACCATAAACACAACCACACTGGTTATTCTGCCAACCCTAATGTGAAGTGACTTGTGGATACAGAGTCTATTCATACAGAGTCTATTCATATTGTAGAAAGTAGAGATCAATGTATGTTCATAGCAAACTAGGAGGAACAGCCCAGGTGACAGGGAACATTGCAAACATGGAACTGCCAGCCCGTGAGTTGAAATCCATGTACAAGATGCTCCCACACACTGAGCCCCTTCCAACCCACCCCAGACTTACCAGCAGGAGAAGATGCAAACCGAAATGGTCACTCCTCTACCAGGGATGCTCTGGGAGCATTTTTCTCTCCCAAAGTGACATTCATGGAAATCTGCGTGTAGCCTTCGGGGGAAGCTGAGGTTTTTGAACTAATGGTCTTATGTGCCTGTCACTGAAGCCCCCCCGTGTGTTTTTTACCTTGATGGAGGGGGTGAGCCTTCTTTCCATTGCCTGCTTTGGAAATGCCATGAAGCCCCGTGAAGCCAGCCCTGAGTTCACTGAGTTGCTGAACCGAGGACTCAGCAGCTACCTTCATACTATTGGCTTCATGAGTAAAAGCAAAGCAGAGTAAAGAAAACAAACAAATAAACAACACACCAACCCAAGGCCCTTATTTCAATACACGGTGCACAGGCTTCTCTGACAACTTATAGTATAAATTTAATGCCCATGCCTGCAATGCATATACCACACACAGAACAGGAATTTCCAGGATAATCAATACTCACAAAATAAGTTCACATTTCTCTTTTAAAAATAGAGATCATTTTGTAAAAAACCTTTAGGTTCATCCCAAAATTGGGTAGAAGGAACATAGGTCCCCAATATCCTCTCACCACACATATGCATAGCCCCCTTCACTATGAACTTTCTGCCCCAGAGTGGTACATTGTCTACAACCTTTCAACCTACATGGACACATCACTGTGACTCCAACTCCATCGCTCTCCTTAGGATTCACTTGAGTGTTGTATATTCCATGGATTCAAGCAAAGGCATAATTGCATGTATCCACCATTATTGTATTCTATGGACTAGTTTCACTTCCATGCAATCGTACTCTGTCCAGTCTCTGCACTTCTGCTTCACTCTCGGTCCCTTGCAACCACTCAACTATTGACTTGTGTATTCATATTTAAAGTGTGGACACATCTCGTTGTATATATTTCTTATGTGCAAAATGCTGTTTTAAAGTATGTACACATTGTCTAATGTCTAAATCTAGGTAATTGACATTCATTACCTCACATATATATTACTGTGGTGAGAACACTGCACATCCATGTTAATAGCATTTTTCAAAAATACGATCTGTTGTTAAGTCATCATGTTATACAATAATCCTTGAACTTATTCCCCCTATGTAACTGAAATGTTGTGTATTTTGACCAATGTCTTCTCAAATTCCCCACCCCCTGCCACCACAGCCCCAAACAACCACCTTTCTTCTCTTTGACATCCATCAGACTACCTTTGTGATGTTCTACATAGCATTGAGATTATGTGGTATTTGTGTTCCTACCTATGCCTGACTTATTTCACTTAGCATGATGTTCTCCAGGTGTACCCATGTGTCACAAATGACAAGATTTCCTTCTTCTTTAAGGCGGTATAGTATTCCCTTGTGTATATATGTCAGATTTTCTTCCTCCTGTTATCTGCTTTTGGACATTTAGGTGGATTCCCTATCTTAGGTCTTGTAAGTAGTGCTGCAATCAATGTGGGAGTGCAGATATCTCTTCAATAGACTGATTTCCTTTTGATGTACACCTCCCAGTGTGGGCTTGCTGGATCATATGGTAGCTGTATTTATTTAGTTTGTGGAGGAAGGTCCATACTGTTTTCTATAATGGCTGCCCTAATTTACATTCCCAGGAAGAATGCAAGGGCTCCCTTTCCTCCACATCCTCATCAACAAGTGTTGTCCTTTGATGTTTTGATCATAGCCATTCTAATGAACATAAGGTGTTATCTTCTTTCAGTTTTTATTGGCATTTCTCTGGAGATTAGTGATGTTGAGTATATATATATACTAGTAACAGCAGGTATATATGCATATATAGCCGGTGGCCACTTTCATGGCTTCTCTTCAGAAGTGTCTATTATTGAGTTCCTTTGCCCAGTTTTTAAATTGTATTATTTCTTGGTTTCGAGTCCTTGGAGTTCCTAGTATATTTTGGACAGTAAATAGTTAATTCCTTATTGGATGTGGGGTTTGCAAATATTTTCTTTCTTTATGATTCTGTCTCTTCATGGTGTTGATTGTTTTGTCAGCTCTGCAGATTTTTTGTTTTTTCATTTGGATGCAATCCATTTATGTATTTTCCCTCTTGCTGTCTCTGCTTTTGGGACATATTCCAAAAATCATTGGGTTAGCCATTGTCAATGAGGACATCCCCTGTTTTCTTCTAGTAGGTTATACATTTGTTACCGTTTATCTTATATTCAGGGTATTGGATCAATTACATGTCAGTATAATTACAAATAATGTTCAATTACACAAAATATTTAATGGTCAAATCCTACACTGAGAAGGAATTTTATTTCTAATTTTTGTGTTCTTATGGAATAATTTGGAAAATCAAGTAACAATTGAACATTATCTAGCATGAATATGTATTGTCATCATATGTATTTCTGTTTTAGAGAAGCACTAAACAGAAATAAACATGTTATTTCAGCCATAAACCTAGTTTACATTGGGGCAATTCCTTGGAGGTGAAGGCGTGGAAAGGAGTGCCCAGATGAGACGGGGTATCTGGGGTCTGTCCTTCTCTTAGTTTTCCATGTGGCTCCCAGAGTGTGTTACCATTCTGACATCATCAAACATCACTCCCCAACATGAAACAGTCTTGGTAGGAAAGTAAAAAGAGTCATTTTAGAGAAGAATACTTTTTTAATTTCATTTTTATTTTTACAAGCTGGAAAAGAGGTGCTTGATTCCCCAGGAAAAGTTATGGAAAAGTACTAAATGTTTCCAAGGGCAGCTACTCCAGTACTCTTAGAAAGCCCAGCACCTTCAGGATAGAGTATTGTAAGGGAAGACTTCGTTGTGTCTGCTTAAAATCACATATGAGCAAAAATCGTAAGTTATATCCACTTCAGGATTCGGTATGAATCCACCATAGTCCCTTAAAAGGGTTTCTTTCTTCTCTCTGAAAGCAGCTCCCCTTCCAAAGGATGCTCAAGGCGCATGTGCCTTTGTTCTTCCAACTAGGAAGCCCTAGAACAATGCCTGCTCATACATGGACCTCAGAGACCCAAACATGATGATAATGATTGTTATTTTCTTGAGCCAGGGTCTCACTCTGTCAGCCAGGTAGGAGGGCAGTGGTTCCATCTCAGCTCACTATAATCTCCACTTCTGGAGCTCAAGAGATCCTCCTACCTCAGCCTCTGGAGTAGCTGAAACAGCAGGCACCAACCACCACATTTAGCTTTTTTTTTTTCCATTTTAATTGTAGAGGGGAAGTTTTGTCATGTTGCCCAGGCTGGTCTGGAACTCCTGAGTTCAAGTGATCCACCAACCCTGGTCTCCCAAAATGCTCTCTGATCATAGAAATAAGCCATTGTGCCCCATCTGAGATACAAATATGATTGGATGACATTATTAATCAGGCTGCTGCCTTCATCTGGGTGAGACTAATGTAAGATGTAAGAAAGATGTTAAGTCATGGATAAGTCCAGGAGGGGCTGAGATACTGAAGCTCCAGCGTACAGAGGGCTCTGTCATAGAAAGACTGGAACCAGTACTTTTTCCTCTAAGATCAGGCCTTTCTTTCTAGGCTGCAGCCCAGAGGAAGATGACTTTGCTTTGTAGTAGGTGTTTGGGAAGTGGCCACTGGGCTGTCCCCTGAGAAAGGTCTCCCTCCAATGCTTGGGCTGCAGTGGGGCATGTCTCCCCACATCTCAAACATAAGCAGGACCTCTCCTACCACTTCGCTAACCAAGACCTGTATCATTCCAGCCATAGCCACGGCTATGACCACATTCTAGGACGCTCAGCTGCTGCTGATGGACTGCATCGGACTTCTAACAGGTGCCTCTCTCCCTTTCCCACCCACAAACAGACCCACACTGGTTTTTGCCTCCCATAATGTGAAATGACTTGTGTATAGAGACTCTATTCACATTTTAGAAAGTAGGGTGTAATGTATGTTCATAGCAAATACACACACAGGAACAGCCCAGGAGACAGGGAACATTGAGAACACGGAGCTGCATATAGGAAAAGTCAAAGTGTGGATCGCATCTGCTGTTTGATGGAGGAGACATTATCTATTTGCCACCAATAAGAAATTTATTTGGTTTTCAATAACATTAATGAACAAATTTTTTCACAATTGTTCTTGATTTGAACTGTTGAAAGGCGTTCAGTGAGAAATTTCCGGTTGACATGAATGCATTAGACTCTCAATGTAGATGGAAAGTTTACAAACAAAAGAAAACAGAAACAGGCATACCCGTTATATCTGCCTGTGTTGTTACTCCTAATCATGTGCAGGGCTGCTTTTGGACCCCGTGAAGGACATAAAAGCAAAAGTGAAGAGAACTGCTAATATCAGAACTATGATTAACACAGAGAAATTGAAAAACACAACCAAACGGAAACAAAGCCGTCTAGAGCGCAGCGTTTCCCAGGAGCGTGGGCTCCTCAGCACCCTCTCCGCGGAGGTGGCGGGACAGCTGCATGTCTCTGGGCATGATTGTGACATGCCAGGGATGGATAACCCATGGGTTGTTGTCTTTAAATAGGGGGACCAGGTAGGCCTCGCTGTTCTCCTGAAGTCGCCAGTGGCCGCACATTGGAAGCGCAGGTCTGGGTTGATGGCCTGGGTGATCTCACGCATTAGGCATTGGAAGGTCAGCTTGTGCAGAAGCAGCTGCGTGGACTTATGGTACTTCCTGATTTTGTGCAGTGCCAGGGTGCCAAGCCTGTGGCGGTGAGGCTTCTTGATCCCTCATGTAGCCAGGACCCTCTTGCCAGCAGCTTTGGTGGCCAACAGCTTCCTGGGGGCCTGCCAGGCGGTGGCTTTGAGGTCAGTCTGCTTAATGCGAGCCATGGTGTAGGGCTGTGGCCTTTCCCTTGTCACTGGGCTGAGCCTGCTGAACTGGAAGCAGTGCTGGTACCAGACAGCAATGGTGTTGGGGCTGTGGGCAGGATTCAGAGTCTGTGTGTTGGGATCTATGCAGAAGGTGCTCCCATACACTTAGCCCCTTCCAACCCAGCCCCATACTTACCAGCTTACTGATCAGTGGGTCTGAGGTCCCTGTATTCAGTCTCCTTGAGTAGCCTTGGGATTCCTAGGTCTACACACAGCAGTGGGGAATCTTTCTCCCAGGCAGTCTTGCTCTAGCTGGAGATCTCTGTGATCTCAGCCAAATTCAGTCATTTATAGGAGGCTTGGATGATTGGATTAGACCCACCCAGCTACCTTCCACTGCGTTCTGTGCTGCAGCAGATGCTTAACCTAATCAGGGCTGTGAAAGCCCATTAAGTCCCTGCATTCTTCCTCACCCAAGAGAGGTACAGACCTCTGGATTGTGCATTGTGGGAGGGATGGTAAATGAGATCTGTCACTTAACGTTTTGGGTGCCGAATGGATTCTGAAAGTTTACATTTTATTTACATCAAGGAAATAGTTACTTAAAGTTGCATGTTAGGCCAGGCATGGTGGCTCACGCCTGCAATCCCAGCACTTTGGGAGGCCGAGGTGGATGGATCATGAGGTCAACAGATTGAGACCATCCTGGCTTAACTCGGTGAAACCCCGTCTCTACTAAAAATACAAAAATTGACCAGGTGTGGTGGCATGCACCTGTAATCACAGCTACTCGAGGTTGAGGCAGGAGAATTGCTTGAACCTGGGGGGCAGAAGTTGCAGTGAGCCCAGATCACGCCACTGCACTCCAGCCTGGGTGACAAAGTGAGACTCCATCTCAAAAGAAAAACAAAAACAAGTTGCACGTTAGACAACCTACATGTCTGTGGAAAAACACCAAGGCTTGAGATCATGAGGTCTTCATCAGATCCCATGAGGATGAAGTGAACTGGGAAGGGGAATATGGAAACCTGAAATGGCCACTCCTCTATGAGGGATTCTCCTGGAGCATTTTTCTCTTCAAAGGTGATGCTCCTGCAAATCTGCTGGTAGCCTCCTGGGGAAGGCAAAGCTGTTGTGAGAAAACAGTGACATGTGACTGTCACTGATGCCCCCTTTGGCTTCTTTTCCACTTTGAATGTGGATTTGATGCCTGAACAGAGCTATCCTGTTGTTGCCCAGGATGAAAACACCATGAGGTCCTGAGAAGTCAGCCCCGACCTCTCTGAATTGCTGAACCGAGGTCACAGCTTAGCTAAGTAAATATTGAACACATTTCATTATTTGAATAGCTTTAGCAGTACCAAACTGTTTTGGGCACCATAGATGAATTGTACGGTGGCGAAGTCTATTTCAATTTACTCTTAATGAACTTTTGTGATACCTGTAATATAAATTATTGTTCAATTCAATGCAGATTTCATGCACAGAATGATAAATTTCATGATATCAATATTCCAAAACACATTCCTGTTAGCATTTTTTTAATTAGAGCTTAGTATTATTATTTTCTAGTTGTGTAGTTTTTTAAAAAAAATTATGTTTCATTAGCTTGTAAAAACCACTCATAAGTGGCTTTTGTTCCATACATGAATTGTATGGTGTTGAAGTCAAGAATTTTAGTGCGCTCATCACGTGACTACTACACCTACACTGCACCCAGTAGGCAGTTTTTCATCCCCCCATCACCCTGCCACTTCTGAGTCTCTAATGTCTGTGTTACCACTCTGTATGCCTTTCCTACCCACAGCTTAGCTCCCACTTCTAAGTGAGAATGTGCACCATTTGGCTGTAGATTCCTGAATGACTCCACTGAGAATAATGGCCTGTAGTTTCATCCAAGTTGCTGTAAAAGACATGATTTCATTGCTTATGGCTGAGTAGTAGTCCATGGCATATATGAACTCCATTTAACTCTACTCACTCATCAGCTGGTGGGCACTTAGGTTTATTTTATATCTTTGCAATTGTGAATTGTGCTAGGATAAACATATGTGTGCTGGTCTGTTAGGTAGAGTGAGTTTTTTTCTTTTGTGTGTCTACCCACTACTTGGATTACTGGATCAAATGGGGGATGTACTTTGAGATATCTTCATGCTGTTTCCCACAGAGATTACACTAATTTGCATTCCCACAGCAGTGCCTAAGCATTCCCTCTCACCACATCCACCCCAGCATCTATCGTTTTTGACTATTGAATAAGGGTCATTCTGGTGGGTAAGGTGATACCGCACTGTGGTTTTACTTTGCATTTCTCTGATGATTAGTGATGCAGGGCATCTTTTCCTCTGTTTTTTTTTTCTTTTTTTTTTGGAATTGTTGTATCTTCTTCCGAGAAATTTCTATGCACATCACTTGCCCACTTTATAGTGGGATTATATTTGTTTTTTCTTGTTTATTTGTTAGAATTGCTTGTAGATGCTGGATCTGTTAGTCCTTTGTCAGATGCATAGTTTGCAGATGGTTTGTCCCATGCCATAGGTTGTTTGTTTACTAAGAGGATTATTTCTTTTGTTGTCCAAAAGCGTTTTCTACTCAATAAGAAATTTGATGATAATAAAATGAAAAACTCATGGTATCTGAATATGTAAGGCACTGTCAATTATGTATCCACATTCAGTATTTGTGTAATAATTAAATAAGTAACAATACAAGAAACCATCCTGGAACTATACTGGATAGACTTAGAGCCTCTAACACATTGCTTGGTTTTCTGACAGACCAAAACCATTAAGAAATTCCCAGCCTGGCTAATGTAAACAAAAATTCAGAGTAATACTTGAAAATATCAGATTTTTAAATTTCTAGAGTAGGAGAGTTCAACTTCACAAATACAGCATTTCCTCCAGGATACATAGCATGTACAAAAGTGTTCAATAAATATTTGTTGAAAAATAGCTTTTTGAGTCTGTTGTCTACAAAGGGGATGTCAGGGATCAAGAAAACAGCCATCTAATTAGTATGTTTCTTATTTTTAAGTTAACAATTAGAGCCACATAATGGTTTTGGGGTGTAACAGTTTTACCACTTTCCTCTGCCTGCACCTTTATGGGTGCATCCGGGAAGGCTCTGCTTGTTATGAATGCCTTTGTATACATTCTGCAAAATAATAATGGTGGTTCTGACATCATTAAAAAAATTTTAATTGGGCATAGACAGAAATGGAAGAAATGCTGAAGAAAATTAGAAGGGATTTCAGAGCAAGAAATATAGTAATGGCATAAAGAATGATAAGTATTTTCATGGGAAAAACTTTAAATGCTTTTATCCTTTTAAAAGCAATTCAAATATGTTCCTAACATTGATGCTTAGAAAGCAGCTAAGTGTGTTGTAGGGTACAAAGTGTCTGTAAATTTTCTCTGGAGCATTATAAAATGTGACCTGGATCTGGCCCATAGGTTTCTGTGGAAGTCTATCTAATGCAATCAGAAGAGAGTGGATGGCTGAAGTTACTATCATCTGTGAGGTTTATGTTTTGGAAGAGTTAATCTAGGAGGCTCTTCTTATTTTTTTCCACTTGCATCTTATCAGTAAGAGCTTTTTTTCAAAGAAAATGAGATAGCTTCTTGCTCTATCACCTAGGCTGGAGTGCAGTAGCAAGATCTCTGCTCACGGCAACCTATGCCTCCTGGGCTCAAGGGATCCTCCCACCTCAGCCTCCCAAGTAGCTGGCACCACTGGCATGCACATTGTGCCTGGCTAATTTATGTATTTTTTATAGAGAAGAGGTTCTGCTCCATTGTCCAGGCTGATCTCGAACTCCTGGGCTCAAGTGATCTGCCTGCCTCAACCTCCCAAAGTGCTGGTATTACAGGCATGAGCCACCATGCCCGGCCAGTAAAACATTTTTGAATAGCCCACATATATATCTGGTTATTTATAAGCTTTATTTATGGGCTATAGTCATTTTGTATATAAACATTAGTTAATTTAATTCTTTTCCTTAGATAAAAATAAACATAAATCAACATTAAATTTTGTTCTTTGTGCCTCAATTATCTTGGATAGTTTGGGGGCATGGGGCCTTCTAATCTTTTCATTTAAGAAGTCATTAATTTACATCTCTCTCTAGGGTGTTTATCTCTCTAGATAGAGACCTACTAGAGTTTAAGAGAAAAATGAGGAGTATATAAAGCTTAGATAAATTCAGTGTCTTTTTAGAGTATCGTGAGAGATAACTGTATATGGTAATTAATTTTTATGAGAAGTTTATGTATCTGTTTTATTTCAGGGGTTAATTTTCAAGTTTTGGATGGTTCTCCCTCTTTGAGTTGCCATTTGTTTCTGCTTATAACCTACCGATCATGACTTCAGTACCAGTAAATATTGGAAACGAAAGGCCCGATGTGACTTACAAAGGTTCCAATGTAAATATGTTTTCCTGGTAAAGATGGGTTTCACCATGTTGTCCAGGTTGGTCATGAACTCCTGACCTCAGGAGATCCACCCAACTCCGCCTCCCAAAATGCTGAGATTACAGGCATGAGCCACCGTGCCTGGCCAATAATTTCATATCTTCTACCAACTATTTTTGAATAAACAAAGGCTCTTTAAAAGTCAGATATTTAAGTGTCTGCTTTATCTTCTGAAGTAGTTTTTATGCCATTTATCAACATAATTTTCCCTAAATGTGATGTATATCTTTGTGCATGACATAATTTTATGTCTCTTTGGTGCTTCTCTGTGACCTATGTATACATACACATGTAATATATAAAATTGAAGTCTGGGAGCAGTGGCTCATGCCTGTAATCCCTTCACTTTGAGAAATCAAGGTGGGGCAGATCGTGTGAAGTCAGCAGTTCAAGATCAGCCGGGCCGGAATGGTGAAACCTCACATCTACTTGAAAAAATACAAAAACTAGCTCGGCTTGGTAGTGTGCAAATTTAGTCCTAGCTACTATGGAGGATGAGGCAGGAGAATTGTTTAGGCCAGGAGGCAGAGGCTGCAGTGAGCTGAGATCAGGCCACTGTAATCCAGCCTGGGGGACAGAGCAAGACTCTGTCTCAAAAATAAATAAATAAATGTATAAAATAAAATAAAATTGAAATCGTATTTTCATATTCCAATCACCCAGCCCAGTTTATTTTCAGAGTGCCTGATAAATCACTTGTTTCCCTATGAGTTAGGGATTTTTTTCTCAGATACTTAAATTTTTTTCTCAGATATTTAAATTTTCTAATGAGCAACATCGTAAAATGTCTCAGTTTTACTGTAAATAGTTTCTTTATTGTTTCTTTATTGTTGTGAGGAATCATTCGATTCTGTGAAGAAGACTGAATTCTGAAATGCCCCCTGCATTTCCCGCCCCTCAGAGAGTCGCCCTGTGTCTGCCCCTCCCTTGGGTGTGGGCGGAAGCACGAATTGATGTGCCCGCCCGACTTCCTCATTAGATTGGGGGGTATCCTGAACCAACGGCTGCTAAGGGCTGGGTCTAATGCAGTCATCTGAGCCCTGTATAAGGGAGGACTGAACCCCCCTGTGATTACGCTCCCCTGTGGGAGATTCCCCAGCACTGGCTGTGCACACCCAGGGAGCCTCACGGCCCAGACCTGGGCAGCACGGGTAGGAGCTGAGAGCATCCTCACGGCAGCAGGCAGAACAAACAAGTGGGCCTGGGGCTCACAACCCTGAGGCATTGTTGAATTCTGCCACCAACTCGAATCGGATCGAAGCCAGACCCTTCTCAGGTGGAGGCAACGACCGCACAGCCAGACCCATCCTGGAGGTCCCTCGTGGGACTCTGAGCAGGAGGCAGTCACTTGGCCTAGCAGAACTTCTGACCTGTGAGCTGGTGTTTGTTTTAAATACCCCAAATTGGTGAGAATTCGTTCTGCATTGACCTAAAACTAACATACTCTCCTTCCACAAGTTTCTTCACACTGTGGAAGCGAGAAAATTCAGTGTGTGTGTTTGTGTGTGGGAAGGGGCGGCCGGGAGCCGTGTCCGGTTACGGCGAAACTGGCTCAGCAGAAACACAGCAGCTAAAATCTTTGAAAGGTTCTCATCGCAGATCCACAATCAAACCACCCCAGCCGGAACTTCTGCCTGTACAGCTGCTGTCACGGAGCAGACTTGAATCTCACCCATGGAGACCGGCAGGCAAACAGGTGTGTCTGCTGAGATGCTCGCCATGCCCCGAGGTCTGAAGGGCAGCAAGAAGGATGGAATCCCTGAGGACCTAGACGGGAACTTGGAAGCACCCAGGGATCAGGAAGGTGAGCTCAGGAGTGAGGATGTCATGGACCTCACAGAAGGTGACAGTGAGGCCTCAGCCTCAGCTCCTCCTGCAGCCAAAAGACGGAAAACACATACGAAAGGCAAGAAGGAGAGCAAGCCCACCGTGGATGCGGAGGAGGCTCAGAGGATGACAACCCTGCTGTCTGCCATGTCTGAGGAGCAGCTGTCCCGCTACGAAGTGTGTCGCCGGTCAGCGTTCCCGAGAGCACGCGTTGCGGGTCTGATGCGGGCTATCACTGGCAGTTCGGTGTCGGAGAACGCGGCCATTGCCATGGCTGGAATAGCCAAGCTTTTTGTTGGAGAGGTGGTGGAAGAGGCCCTGGACGTGTGTGAGATGTGGGGAGAGACGCTCCCGCTGCAGCCCAAGCATTTAAGGGAGGCCGTTCGCAGGTTAAAGCCCAAGGGCCTCTTCCCCAACAGCAACTGCAAAAGAATCATGTTCTAGGCCCAGGGCCAGAGGGCAGGGTCTGTTTGTGCAGGAATAAGTACCGCGTTCATCTTCCAATGACAGGAGTGTGTGCGCCGGAGCTCCCGCATCTCAGTCCCACCTGGATTTACCCACGATCTTCGTGTCTTAAAATGCGAAGTTGCCCTTACCTGGATGAAGACAGCAGATCGCTTCATAGGAGCCTTGGCTAAATCTTTGGGCATTTTAATGGGATGTGGAGGCGTTTCTCTATGTCTTTCCAGCTGGAGGAATCAAGGTGCCTGGGCCTAGAGCATCCTGTGGACAGGCAGCTGCATTCAGAGAGGGAAGCCCTTCCCAGGAGATCTGTATGGTTTCCTGCTGAAGCCTGGTGTAGCTCTGTCTTAGCTTGTAGGCTTATGTCTGGGTTCCAGTAATTGGAGCTTGCAGAAATGTTTCCCCGATTGTTGTTCTTCTGCAGAATTTCAACGCTCATATGTATTTTTGTGAGTCACCACGAAAACAGTTAAACTGATCAACCGTTTTCCAAACTGCAGACACCAAATTGAAATCACAAAGCACTTTCTTTTTTTCCCCTAAGTTGACTCTTCTATTCCTGCCTGCTGTGCTTTATGTCAGCAAGTGACCCTTTCCTGTATTATAATGCAGTATAGTATAGATGCATCATGTAAGACCAGAGAGAAACCGATTCCAAAACCACCTTTCCTCAAGCCGCCGTTTGTAACGACCATATGGGCGGTTTGAAGGACACAGAGAGAGCCTACTGACACTTCACTTTCGCTACACGTGGTGATTTTTCCAGTGCTTCCGGAGACACTGAAATTTAGTTCCAAACATTGCCTTAGAGGATTCTTCATTTTATTCATTCTACCGATGATCCACTCAGAAAATCAAACCTGAGTACGGAGACATTGGAGAAGTCGTTAAAGTATTGGACCAAGTCGGTTCGTCACGAGTGACAAAGTTATTCCACACTCTACTTGTACATACTCTGCTTTGCCTTCATGATGGCAAAGAGTAATTTTTCGCTATAGAGTAAAAACCCGAGATTTATTACGGAATCAGCGTGAACCTTCCCAGCACAGCTCACAGAGCATACGCCAAAAATTACAGTGTGATTCAGTTTCAAAAATTGTCTGTAGTGACCTGTGAATTCACAGCTCGTGAGGACATTCTTTAGTTCGGCTGAAGCCAAAAAACCTGGAACCATCGAAATGGGAAGAAGTGGAGTCTGCCAAATTCTGCCTCTTACACTTTCAGCTACCACGCCATGTTCAACTATTGTACTTGATAAGGATTGGAAACTTAAGGTACTGATAATTTCAGCAGAGTTTCACCAGAGTAGTATTTCTTGTGAGAAAGCCATAATCTCATCAGTAACGCCTTTCTAAAAGATCCAACAGAAAATATGAACTAGCAACTCATCCTGACAAGGAAGTAAAACTCAGGAAAAATCCTAAGGCAGAGCAGCGTCAGGCTTCAGTGTGAAACTATCATAGTCTGGGCGCGGTGGCTCACGCCTATAGTCCCTTCACTTTGGGAAGCCAAGGTGGGGCAGATCACCTGAAGTCAGCAGTTCAAGACCAGCCTGGGCAAAATGGCGAGACCTCGTCTCTACTTGAGCAAATACAAAAATTTGCCCGGCGTGGTAGCGCGCACATTTAGTCCCAGCCACTCTGGAGGCTGAGGCAGGAGAATCCGTTGAGCCTAGGATGCCGAGGCTGCAGTGGGCTGAGATGAGGCCGCTGTAATCCAGCCTGGGAGACAGAGAGAGGCACTGTCTCAGAAATAAACAAATAAAATAAAATAAACTAAAATAAAGTGACGTAAAATAAAATTGAAATAATATTTTCACGTTTCCCTCACCCAGCCCATTTTATTTTCAGAGTATTTGATAAACCGCTTTCTTCCCTGTGCGTTAGAGAGTTTTTTTTCTCAGACATCGAAGTTTTCTAATGCTCAACTTCGTAAAATGTCTCATTTTTACTGTAAATAGTTTCTTTACTGTTGTGAGATGTGAACTTTGCGATTCTGTGAAGAGGACTGAATTCTGAAATGCCCCCTGCATTTCCCGCCCCTCAGAGAGTCGCCCTGTGTCTGCCCCTCCCTTGGGTGTGGGCGGAAGCACGAATTGATGTGCCCGCCCGACTTCCTCATTAGATTGGGGGGTATCCTGAACCAACGGCTGCTAAGGGCTGGGTCTAATCCAGTCATCTGAGCCCTTTATAAGGGAGGACTGAACCCCCCTGTGATTATGCTCCCCTGTGGGAGATTCCCCAGCACTGGCTGTGCACACCCAGGGAGCCTCACGGCCCAGACCTGGGCAGCACGGGTAGGAGCTGAGAGCATCCTCACGGCAGCAGGCAGAACAAACAAGTGGGCCTGGGGCTCGCAACCCTGAGGCATTGTTGAATTCTGCCACCAACTCGAATCGGATCGAAGCCAGACCCTTCTCAGGTGGAGGCAACGACCGCACAGCCAGACCCATCCTGGAGGTCCCTCGTGGGACTCTGAGCAGGAGGCAGTCACTTGGCCTAGCAGAACTTCTGACCTGTGAGCTGGTGTTTGTTTTAAATACCCCAAATTGGTGAGAATTCGTTCTGCATTGACCTAAAACTAACATACTCTCCTTCCACAAGTTTCTTCACACTGTGGAAGCGAGAAAATTCAGTGTGTGTGTTTGTGTGTGGGAAGGGGCGGCCGGGAGCCGTGTCCGGTTACGGCGAAACTGGCTCAGCAGAAACACAGCAGCTAAAATCTTTGAAAGGTTCTCATCGCAGATCCACAATCAAACCACCCCAGCCGGAACTTCTGCCTGTACAGCTGCTGTCACGGAGCAGACTTGAATCTCACCCATGGAGACCGGCAGGCAAACAGGTGTGTCTGCTGAGATGCTCGCCATGCCCCGAGGTCTGAAGGGCAGCAAGAAGGATGGAATCCCTGAGGACCTAGACGGGAACTTGGAAGCACCCAGGGATCAGGAAGGTGAGCTCAGGAGTGAGGATGTCATGGACCTCACAGAAGGTGACAGTGAGGCCTCAGCCTCAGCTCCTCCTGCAGCCAAAAGACGGAAAACACATACGAAAGGCAAGAAGGAGAGCAAGCCCACCGTGGATGCGGAGGAGGCTCAGAGGATGACAACCCTGCTGTCTTCCATGTCTGAGGAGCAGCTGTCCCGCTACGAAGTGTGTCGCCGGTCAGCGTTCCCGAGAGCACGCGTTGCGGGTCTGATGCGGGCTATCACTGGCAGTTCGGTGTCGGAGAACGCGGCCATTGCCATGGCTGGAATAGCCAAGCTCTTTGTTGGAGAGGTGGTGGAAGAGGCCCTGGACGTGTGTGAGATGTGGGGAGAGACGCCCCCGCTGCAGCCCAAGCATTTAAGGGAGGCCGTTCGCAGGTTAAAGCCCAAGGGCCTCTTCCCCAACAGCAACTGCAAAAGAATCATGTTCTAGGCCCACGGCCAGAGGGCAGGGTCTGTTTGTGCAGGAATAAGTAACGCGTTCATCTTCCAATGACAGGAGTGTGTGCGCCGGAGCTCCCGCATCTCAGTCCCACCTGGATTTACCCACGATCTTCGTGTCTTAAAATGCGAAGTTGCCCTTACCTGGATGAAGACAGCAGATCGCTTCATAGGAGCCTTGGCTAAATCTTTGGGCATTTTAATGGGATGTGGAGGCGTTTCTCTATGTCTTTCCAGCTGGAGGAATCAAGGTGCCTGGGCCTAGAGCATCCTGTGGACAGGCAGCTGCATTCAGAGAGGGAAGCCCTTCCCAGGAGATCTGTATGGTTTCCTGCTGAAGCCTGGTGTAGCTCTGTCTTAGCTTGCAGGCTTATGTCTGGGTTCCAGTAATTGGAGCTTGCAGAAATGTTTCCCCGATTGTTGTTCTTCTGTAGAATTTCAACGCTCATATGTATTTTTGTGAGTCACCACGAAAACAGTTAAACTGATCAACCGTTTTCCAAACTGCAGACACCAAATTGAAATCACAAAGCACTTTCTTTTTTTCCCCTAAGTTGACTCTTCTATTCCTGCCTGCTGTGCTTTATGTCAGCAAGTGACCCTTTCCTGTATTATAATGCAGTATAGTATAGATGCATCATGTAAGACCAGAGAGAAACCGATTCCAAAACCACCT
The DNA here is from genome assembly GCF_000001405.40 of Homo sapiens. NCBI lineage: Eukaryota > Metazoa > Chordata > Mammalia > Primates > Hominidae > Homo > Homo sapiens. The sequence continues at coordinate 17,523,082 of NC_000005.10, forward strand.
TTCCTCAAGCCGCCGTTTGTAACGACCATATGGGCGGTTTGAAGGACACAGAGAGAGCCTATTGACACTTCACTTTCGCTACACGTGGTGATTTTTCCAGTGCTTCCGGAGACACTGAAATTTAGTTCCAAACATTGCCTTAGAGGATTCTTCATTTTATTCATTCTACCGATGATCCACTCAGAAAATCAAACCTGAGTACGGAGACATTGGAGAAGTCGTTAAAGTATTGGACCAAGTCGGTTCGTCACGAGTGACAAAGTTATTCCACACTCTACTTGTACATACTCTGCTTTGCCTTCATGATGGCAAAGAGTAATTTTTCGCTATAGAGTAAAAACCCGAGATTTATTACGGAATCAGCGTGAACCTTCCCAGCACAGCTCACAGAGCATACGCCAAAAATTACAGTGTGATTCAGTTTCAAAAATTGTCTGTAGTGACCTGTGAATTCACAGCTCGTGAGGACATTCTTTAGTTCGGCTGAAGCCAAAAAACCTGGAACCATCGAAATGGGAAGAAGTGGAGTCTGCCAAATTCTGCCTCTTACACTTTCAGCTACCACGCCATGTTCAACTATTGTACTTGATAAGGATTGGAAACTTAAGGTACTGATAATTTCAACAGAGTTTCACCAGAGTAGTATTTCTTGTGAGAAAGCCATAATCTCATCAGTAACGCCTTTCTAAAAGATCCAACAGAAAATATGAACTAGCAACTCATCCTGACAAGGAAGTAAAACTCAGGAAAAATCCTAAGGCAGAGCAGCGTCAGGCTTCAGTGTGAAACTATCATAGTCTGGGCGCGGTGGCTCACGCCTATAGTCCCTTCACTTTGGGAAGCCAAGGTGGGGCAGATCACCTGAAGTCAGCAGTTCAAGACCAGCCTGGGCAAAATGGCGAGACCTCGTCTCTACTTGAGCAAATACAAAAATTTGCCCGGCGTGGTAGCGCGCACATTTAGTCCCAGCCACTCTGGAGGCTGAGGCAGGAGAATCCGTTGAGCCTAGGATGCCGAGGCTGCAGTGGGCTGAGATGAGGCCGCTGTAATCCAGCCTGGGGGACAGAGCGAGGCACTGTCTCAGAAATAAACAAATAAAATAAAATAAAATAAAATAAAGTGACGTAAAATAAAATTGAAATAATATTTTCACGTTTCCCTCACCCAGCCCATTTTATTTTCAGAGTATTTGATAAACCGCTTTCTTCCCTGTGCGTTAGAGAGTTTTTTTTCTCAGACATCGAAGTTTTCTAATGCTCAACTTCGTAAAATGTCTCATTTTTACTGTAAATAGTTTCTTTACTGTTGTGAGATGTGAACTTTGCGATTCTGTGAAGAGGACGGAATTCTGAAATGCCCCCTGCATTTCCCGCCCCTCGGAGAGTCGCCCTGTGTCTGCCCCTCCCTTGGGTGTGGGCGGAAGCACGAATTGATGTGCCCGCCCGACTTCCTCATTAGATTGGGGGGTATCCTGAACCAACGGCTGCTAAGGGCTGGGTCTAATGCAGTCATCTGAGCCCTTTATAAGGGAGGACTGAACCCCCCTGTGATTACGCTCCCCTGTGGGAGATTCCCCAGCACTGGCTGTGCACACCCAGGGAGCCTCACGGCCCAGACCTGGGCAGCACGGGTAGGAGCTGAGAGCATCCTCACGGCAGCAGGCAGAACAAACAAGTGGGCCTGGGGCTCACAACCCTGAGGCATTGTTGAATTCTGCCACCAACTCGAATCGGATCGAAGCCAGACCCTTCTCAGGTGGAGGCAACGACCGCACAGCCAGACCCATCCTGGAGGTCCCTCGTGGGACTCTGAGCAGGAGGCAGTCACTTGGCCTAGCAGAACTTCTGACCTGTGAGCTGGTGTTTGTTTTAAATACCCAAAATTGGTGAGAATTCGTTCTGCATTGACCTAAAACTAACATACTCTCCTTCCACAAGTTTCTTCACACTGTGGAAGCGAGAAAATTCAGTGTGTGTGTTTGTGTGTGGGAAGGGGCGGCCGGGAGCCGTGTCCGGTTACGGCGAAACTGGCTCAGCAGAAACACAGCAGCTAAAATCTTTGAAAGGTTCTCATCGCAGATCCACAATCAAACCACCCCAGCCGGAACTTCTGCCTGTACAGCTGCTGTCACGGAGCAGACTTGAATCTCACCCATGGAGACCGGCAGGCAAACAGGTGTGTCTGCTGAGATGCTCGCCATGCCCCGAGGTCTGAAGGGCAGCAAGAAGGATGGAATCCCTGAGGACCTAGACGGGAACTTGGAAGCACCCAGGGATCAGGAAGGTGAGCTCAGGAGTGAGGATGTCATGGACCTCACAGAAGGTGACAGTGAGGCCTCAGCCTCAGCTCCTCCTGCAGCCAAAAGACGGAAAACACATACGAAAGGCAAGAAGGAGAGCAAGCCCACCGTGGATGCGGAGGAGGCTCAGAGGATGACAACCCTGCTGTCTGCCATGTCTGAGGAGCAGCTGTCCCGCTACGAAGTGTGTCGCCGGTCAGCGTTCCCGAGAGCACGCGTTGCGGGTCTGATGCGGGCTATCACTGGCAGTTCGGTGTCGGAGAACGCGGCCATTGCCATGGCTGGAATAGCCAAGCTCTTTGTTGGAGAGGTGGTGGAAGAGGCCCTGGACGTGTGTGAGATGTGGGGAGAGACGCCCCCGCTGCAGCCCAAGCATTTAAGGGAGGCCGTTCGCAGGTTAAAGCCCAAGGGCCTCTTCCCCAACAGCAACTGCAAAAGAATCATGTTCTAGGCCCACGGCCAGAGGGCAGGGTCTGTTTGTGCAGGAATAAGTACCGCGTTCATCTTCCAATGACAGGAGTGTGTGCGCCGGAGCTCCCGCATCTCAGTCCCACCTGGATTTACCCACGATCTTCGTGTCTTAAAATGCGAAGTTGCCCTTACCTGGATGAAGACAGCAGATCGCTTCATAGGAGCCTTGGCTAAATCTTTGGGCATTTTAATGGGATGTGGAGGCGTTTCTCTATGTCTTTCCAGCTGGAGGAATCAAGGTGCCTGGGCCTAGAGCATCCTGTGGACAGGCAGCTGCATTCAGAGAGGGAAGCCCTTCCCAGGAGATCTGTATGGTTTCCTGCTGAAGCCTGGTGTAGCTCTGTCTTAGCTTGTAGGCTTATGTCTGGGTTCCAGTAATTGGAGCTTGCAGAAATGTTTCCCCGATTGTTGTTCTTCTGTAGAATTTCAACGCTCATATGTATTTTTGTGAGTCACCACGAAAACAGTTAAACTGATCAACCGTTTTCCAAACTGCAGACACCAAAATGAAATCACAAAGCACTTTCTTTTTTTCCCCTAAGTTGACTCTTCTATTCCTGCCTGCTGTGCTTTATGTCAGCAAGTGACCCTTTCCTGTATTATAATGCAGTATAGTATAGATGCATCATGTAAGACCAGAGAGAAACCGATTCCAAAACCACCTTTCCTCAAGCCGCCGTTTGTAACGACCATATGGGCGGTTTGAAGGACACAGAGAGAGCCTATTGACACTTCACTTTCGCTACACGTGGTGATTTTTCCAGTGCTTCCGGAGACACTGAAATTTAGTTCCAAACATTGCCTTAGAGGATTCTTGATTTTATTCATTCTACCGATGATCCACTCAGAAAATCAAACCTGAGTACGGAGACATTGGAGAAGTCGTTAAAGTGTTGGACCAAGTCGGTTCGTCACGAGTGACAAAGTTATTCCACACTCTGCTTGTACATACTCTGCTTTGCCTTCAGGATGGCAAAGAGTAATTTTTCGCTATAGAGTAAAAACCCGAGATTTATTACGGAATCAGCGTGAACCTTCCCAGCACAGCTCACAGAGCATACGCCAAAAATTACAGTGTGATTCAGTTTCAAAAATTGTCTGTAGTGACCTGTGAGTTCACAGCTCGTGAGGACATTCTTTAGTTCGGCTGAAGCCAAAAAACCTGGAACCATCGAAATGGGAAGAAGTGGAGTCTGCCAAATTCTGCCTCTTACACTTTCAGCTACCACGCCATGTTCAACTATTGTACTTGATAAGGATTGGAAACTTAAGGTGCTGATAATTTCAATAGAGTTTCACCAGAGTAGTATTTCTTGTGAGAAAGCCATAATCTCATCAGTAACGCCTTTCTAAAAGATCCAACAGAAAATATGAACTAGCAACTCATCCTGACAAGGAAGTAAAACTCAGGAAAAATCCTATGGCAGAGCAGCTTCAGGCTTCAGTGTGAAACTATCATAGTCTGGGCGCGGTGGCTCACGCCTATAGTCCCTTCACTTTGGGAAGCCAAGGTGGGGCAGATCACCTGAAGTCAGCAGTTCAAGACCAGCCTGGGCAAAATGGCGAGACCTCGTCTCTACTTGAGCAAATACAAAAATTTGCCCGGCGTGGTAGCGCGCACATTTAGTCCCAGCCACTCTGGAGGCTGAGGCAGGAGAATCCGTTGAGCCTAGGATGCCGAGGCTGCAGTGGGCTGAGATGAGGCCGCTGTAATCCAGCCTGGGGGACAGAGCGAGGCACTGTCTCAGAAATAAACAAATAAAATAAAATAAACTAAAATAAAGTGACGTAAAATAAAATTGAAATAATATTTTCACGTTTCCCTCACCCAGCCCATTTTATTTTCAGAGTATTTGATAAACCGCTTTCTTCCCTGTGCGTTAGAGAGTTTTTTTTCTCAGACATCGAAGTTTTCTAATGCTCAACTTCGTAAAATGTCTCATTTTTACTGTAAATAGTTTCTTTACTGTTGTGAGATGTGAACTTTGCGATTCTGTGAAGAGGACTGAATTCTGAAATGCCCCCTGCATTTCCCGCCCCTCAGAGAGTCGCCCTGTGTCTGCCCCTCCCTTGGGTGTGGGCGGAAGCACGAATTGATGTGCCCGCCCGACTTCCTCATTAGATTGGGGGGTATCCTGAACCAACGGCTGCTAAGGGCTGGGTCTAATGCAGTCATCTGAGCCCTTTATAAGGGAGGACTGAACCCCCCTGTGATTACGCTCCCCTGTGGGAGATTCCCCAGCACTGGCTGTGCACACCCAGGGAGCCTCACGGCCCAGACCTGGGCAGCACGGGTAGGAGCTGAGAGCATCCTCACGGCAGCAGGCAGAACAAACAAGTGGGCCTGGGGCTCACAACCCTGAGGCATTGTTGAATTCTGCCACCAACTCGAATCGGATCGAAGCCAGACCCTTCTCAGGTGGAGGCAACGACCGCACAGCCAGACCCATCCTGGAGGTCCCTCGTGGGACTCTGAGCAGGAGGCAGTCACTTGGCCTAGCAGAACTTCTGACCTGTGAGCTGGTGTTTGTTTTAAATACCCAAAATTGGTGAGAATTCGTTCTGCATTGACCTAAAACTAACATACTCTCCTTCCACAAGTTTCTTCACACTGTGGAAGCGAGAAAATTCAGTGTGTGTGTTTGTGTGTGGGAAGGGGCGGCCGGGAGCCGTGTCCGGTTACGGCGAAACTGGCTCAGCAGAAACACAGCAGCTAAAATCTTTGAAAGGTTCTCATCGCAGATCCACAATCAAACCACCCCAGCCGGAACTTCTGCCTGTACAGCTGCTGTCACGGAGCAGACTTGAATCTCACCCATGGAGACCGGCAGGCAAACAGGTGTGTCTGCTGAGATGCTCGCCATGCCCCGAGGTCTGAAGGGCAGCAAGAAGGATGGAATCCCTGAGGACCTAGACGGGAACTTGGAAGCACCCAGGGATCAGGAAGGTGAGCTCAGGAGTGAGGATGTCATGGACCTCACAGAAGGTGACAGTGAGGCTTCAGCCTCAGCTCCTCCTGCAGCCAAAAGACGGAAAACACATACGAAAGGCAAGAAGGAGAGCAAGCCCACCGTGGATGCGGAGGAGGCTCAGAGGATGACAACCCTGCTGTCTGCCATGTCTGAGGAGCAGCTGTCCCGCTACGAAGTGTGTCGCCGGTCAGCGTTCCCGAGAGCACGCGTTGCGGGTCTGATGCGGGCTATCACTGGCAGTTCGGTGTCGGAGAACGCGGCCATTGCCATGGCTGGAATAGCCAAGCTCTTTGTTGGAGAGGTGGTGGAAGAGGCCCTGGACGTGTGTGAGATGTGGGGAGAGACGCCCCCGCTGCAGCCCAAGCATTTAAGGGAGGCCGTTCGCAGGTTAAAGCCCAAGGGCCTCTTCCCCAACAGCAACTGCAAAAGAATCATGTTCTAGGCCCACGGCCAGAGGGCAGGGTCTGTTTGTGCAGGAATAAGTACCGCGTTCATCTTCCAATGACAGGAGTGTGTGCGCCGGAGCTCCCGCATCTCAGTCCCACCTGGATTTACCCACGATCTTCGTGTCTTAAAATGCGAAGTTGCCCTTACCTGGATGAAGACAGCAGATCGCTTCATAGGAGCCTTGGCTAAATCTTAGGGCATTTTAATGGGATGTGGAGGGGTTTCTCTATGTCTTTCCAGCTGGAGGAATCAAGGTGCCTGGGCCTAGAGCATCCTGTGGACAGGCAGCTGCATTCAGAGAGGGAAGCCCTTCCCAGGAGATCTGTATGGTTTCCTGCTGAAGCCTGGTGTAGCTCTGTCTTAGCTTGTAGGCTTATGTCTGGGTTCCAGTAATTGGAGCTTGCAGAAATGTTTCCCCGATTGTTGTTCTTCTGTAGAATTTCAACGCTCATATGTATTTTTGTGAGTCACCACGAAAACAGTTAAACTGATCAACCGTTTTCCAAACTGCAGACACCAAATTGAAATCACAAAGCACTTTCTTTTTTTCCCCTAAGTTGACTCTTCTATTCCTGCCTGCTGTGCTTTATGTCAGCAAGTGACCCTTTCCTGTATTATAATGCAGTATAGTATAGATGCATCATGTAAGACCAGAGAGAAACCGATTCCAAAACCACCTTTCCTCAAGCCGCCGTTTGTAACGACCATATGGGCATCCTAGGCGCAACGGATTCTCCTGCCTCAGCCTCCAGAGTGGCTGGGACTAAATGTGCGCGCTACCACGCCGGGCAAATTTTTGTATTTGCTCAAGTAGAGACGAGGTCTCGCCATTTTGCCCAGGCTGGTCTTGAACTGCTGACTTCAGGTGATCTGCCCCACCTTGGCTTCCCAAAGCGAAGGGACTATAGGCGTGAGCCACCGCGCCCAGACTATGATAGTTTCACACTGAAGCCTGACGCTGCTCTGCCTTAGGATTTTTCCTGAGTTTTACTTCCTTGTCAGGATGAGTTGCTAGTTCATATTTTCTGTTGGATCTTTTAGAAAGGCGTTACTGATGAGATCATGGCTTTCTCACAAGAAATACTACTCTGGTGAAACTCTGTTGAAATTATCAGTACCTTAAGTTTCCAATCCTTATCAAGTACAATAGTTGAACATGGCGTGGTAGCTGAAAGTTTAAGAGGCAGAATTTGGCAGACTCCACTTCTTCCCATTTCGATGGTTCCAGGTTTTTTGGCTTCAGCCGAACTAAAGAATGTCCTCACGAGCTGTGAATTC